>NC_000020.11:35026184-36314371 GCF_000001405.40 Homo sapiens | reverse complement strand
CCACACACACACCACACCACACACACACACACACACACACGCACACACACAGGGAGTGGGAAGGACCCCGAGGCCAGCCCTCCCTCCTTGTCCCCGCCTGCACTCTCCCAGAGTCCCCTGTGAACCAGATCTATGAGGGTTGGATGCATAGATGGGCAGAGGTGGGCCTGGCCCCAGGTCTAGTCGACACCCCCAGGCCGCCCAGAGCCACCCGCCTCTGCACGCGCTTCTGCTCCCAGCACGCTGTCCCTGGAAGGCCTTGTGCACTCCCAGTCCTCCAGGAATCCCTCACACCCCGAGGTGGCAGGTCCCTGAGGAAGTGTCAGATGCCGACACCCCTTCACCTGCCGCCACACTCACTTTGAGGATAGGAGCTGTAGGTCAGGTGGGGAAGCTCAGAAAATTCCAGCAGTACCAGGTGGGGCTCAGAGAAGGGTAAGGCAACCCCAACATCACCTCCTGACTCTTGCTGTTCCGATGGGGTAACTGAGACCCAGAGAGGGCACAGGGAGGTGCACAGTTGCCCAGCTGGCCTCTTGCCTGGGGTCTACCTTCTCACCTGGGTGCATGAATCACACACACCTGGGTTCAAATCCTAGCTCTACTACCCACCAGCTGTGCAGCCTCAGTTTCCCCAGATGTTAAAACGGATGACCACAGCACCTTGCTCCCTCAGCTGCAGGGTGTGCCCATGGAAAACACAGGCGGCAGAGAGCCCTGACTCTATCTCCAACCCAGCAGTCTCTGGACCACGGCCCTGCCCCCCCAGCAGCAGGCCAAGTCCAGCCAGGAGCTCCTCTCCAATTGCAGGTGACCCCCCCCCACCCCAGAGCTGTCACTGCAAAGCTGCCTGGTCAGCCCCAGAATCTCACAGCCCAGCCCTCACAGTACACACTGTTCAGAAAAGGCAGGCAAGCATGCCAGGGTCACACAGCAAGGCCTTGGCATGCTGAGACTCCAACTTGGGCCCTGTTCAGCTGAACCTCCAGTCCTGAGCCTCCCACTCCCTGAGTGGATCTGGCAGAGCTGAGGAGGTGCCAGGGCTTAGTGGCAGCCACGGAGGGAGAAAGGCAGGCAGGCAGCTGGGGGTGGTGGGAAGAACCTTTCCCCCTGTCTCTAGCAAACCCAGATTCCCGTTTACAAGCTGCACTCCAGAGTCCTCGGGTGCTGCGTCACTGCACGCAGTCAGCCTGCAGTGGGGGAAGGAAAGGCTCCCTCCCCATGACAGGAGCTGGAAGATAGAGGGCAGTGGAGAAGCCAGGCGGCAGGTCAGGGGTGAGGGCAGTGAGGACTCCCTGACACCGCTCAGAGGGAAGCCCAGCTCGTTTCATCCCTGAAGTCACAGAAGGCTAAGCCGGGAAAGACTCAGAAACCAAACTCCCACCTCTACTCCCACCAAGTAGATGGAGGCCCAGAGAGGTGCAGGCAATCAGTTAGGGACACACAGCAGTAGCAAACCTGCTCGTTCCTCTTACTACAAACCCCCAGATACCCAGCACCCATGTCCTGGCAGCTGCAACAGAAAGCCTCCCGGACCCACCTCTGTCTGCCCCCGCAGGCTTATCTGTCACTGCAGGAAGAAAAACACCTGAACCCAGAGGCCGAGTGCTCACTCCTAGCCCAGCACCCGGGGTGCAGAGTCCCACTGCCCCCACCAGCACAGCACCTCTTCAGGGCGTTGTTCTAATCCCCCATCTTGAGTCCCAGTGCAGTGCTAGGTACACAGCAGGCGCTCCATAAGTGCCTCAATAAGTCTTTTGCTCCATTTAAACACCAGGATGCCTGCCCCATTTCCACATCATCAAAGACAGAACCTGCCCACATCTTATGCTTTCTAAAGATGACCCCCTCATGCACCAAATGTTCCATTAGCCACTTTTGAAGCAGACTCCCAGAGGTGGGTGACCTGCGCAGCCCTTCTCTCACCTAAGAGGAGCGCAAATGTGACTGCAGCCGGGGGGCGGCTGCACTGTGTGTGTGTGTGTGTGTGTGTGTGCGTGTGTTCGCGCGTGCATGTGTGTGTGTGCGTGTGCATGTGCATATTGAGGGCTCTACCTTTTCCATGAACGGTCCCAGGAGCCAAATATCTTGTTCTTCCTCACCAATGGACTGCCGGTCATGGTCACTCCATATCACTCCACGTGCCCCGTGAGAAGCCTGAGAGATGAGCTGGCTTAACCAGAATTGCATGCTGGGGAAGCACAGCGGAGCCGGGAGAGAGGCCACAGTTCTCCTCTGATGCCCATCCCTTGGTACCCGTGAACCTCACAGTTCAGATGGGGCCTCTGGCGGGGCTGGGGGAGGTGTGGCCACTGACAGCAGAGCAGCCACTGAGTCCAAGGGTGGTCCCAAGGCTGCTCTCCAGACCAGACCCAGCTCTGCCCCCAGCGCATCTGTTCAGGTTCCCCAAAGCCAGGAACTGGGTCTGCTCCACTTGATTCCCTCCCCACCCAACGCTTGCTGTGGAACAAACGGGAACTTCAGAATCCCCAGAACATGGGGCTAAGACCAGCCTCTAAACTCTAACTGACTTACGTCCAAAGCCCGGCCTCTGTCTTCCAGCCTCTGTCATGGGGAGGGAGCCTTTCGTCCAAACCCTGGCACCTCCACTTCACCGGCTGTGCAGCATTGGCTCTCTGTGCCCCAGTTTCCTCTTCCATAAAATGGGGGTGATAATCATAATAGGGTGTGAGGGAGGCTGAAAGAGAGTCCGGACATCGGTGCTCACTAACAGAGGGCTGAGCAGTGCACATGGCCTGGGAGATGGTCTAAAATGCTTTGTTGAAGGAATGAATGAATGAAAAGAAATGCTAGCCAGTGATACAGTTATTATTATTATTATCATCGTCAACATCAGTAGGGATCCCCAAGCCTGGTTTTGCAACCAGCCCTGGTGAGGGGTGTAGCAAAATTCTCCAAACAAAATGTGCTTCCATTCATTTTGGGTTTTTGAAAAGGCCACGTCAGACAGCTCGGTAGGGAGGAGGCGGCGTTGCGAAACCCAGCACAGAAGGATCCTGGGCCCCACTCCTCGGCTCAGGAAATAATGTGTGATCTGCAAGTGAGAAGCCCCTAAACGCTGCCCTCCCTGCAAGGACCCAGTGAGAGGGGCGCCTCGGCTGAGGGTCCACCCCCCCCACCCTCCGAGTGACCTTGGGCAGCCACCCAACCACTCTGAGCCTCAGTTTCCTCATCTGTCAAATGCAGACAATATCCCTTTTCATTCCTAACCCTGGCTGTGGCTAGAAGATGGGGGGATGAAATGGGTTCTGCAAACTGTAGAGTACTGCACGTGCTGCACACCCCTAAAGGCTTCAGTCCTGGCCTGGAGGAGTTGCCAGGAGACGCTGTGGAGGGGATATAGGAACAGAACAGGCAACCCTCTCCCCCATAGGTCACAATGAAAGAAAATCTAGTCATGTGAGTCACAAAGCATCCCCCCATATTCCGATAAAGTAGGAAGTGGGCTTGTCTTTGGTGCAACACACAGGACTCCTCGGTGACAGCTTTTCTCAAAGATGCCCAGTGAGTTTGCTCTCCAGCACCCTCACTCCCTTAACCAACAGGGTCATCTGTTAGAAGAAACTGCCAAGCCTCGCCAGCCCCACGCTGATGCCAGCCCTGGGAGCTTACACACAAAAGCTGTCCTTCAAAGCCACTACAGCAAACCCAGTGGCTTGCTCTGGATCCAAACCCTGGCACCTCCACCTCACCAGCTGTGCAGCCTTGGAGACCTTACTAATAAACTAAACTAATGCTCAGTTTCCTTGTCCAGAAAATGGGAGGACAGCCCACCAGATGCCCCAAGATGCAGGGCTCCCAGGATCACAGACTTCGGACAGTGGAAGGCAGAAGGTCCCTCAGAGATCATCAGGTCCAAGTCTTCACTTTATCAAGGGAGCCCAGAGAGGGGACACGCCTCATCCAAAGAAACACAGCAAATTCGCAACAGGGCTCCTAGAAGAGTGGATGCCGACCATGACTGCACCCTACTCCCTCCACCACCAGCCTCCCTGTGGCCCACTCAGGAGTGGCCACCTCCTCTTAGAAGGACACATAACCCTCAGCATCCCCAAGCTCAACCAGCATGTGGCTGCCTTCCTGCCTTTATCCATGCAATTCTTTTCTTTTCTTTCTTTCTTTCTTTCTTTCTTTCTTTCTTTCTTTCTTTCTTTCTTTCTTTCTTTCTTTTTTTTTTTTTGTAGAGACAGGGTCTCACTATGTTGCCTAGACTAGTCTCAAACTCCTGGACTCAAGGAATCCTCCCACCTTGGCCTCCCAAAGTGCTGGGATTACAAGCATGGGCCACTGTGCTTGTCCATGCAGTTCTTGCAGCCAGCAGTGTCCTTCCCCACTATTCTCCATCTACCCAAATCCCCAAATCCTCCAAAACCCTGCTCAGCGCATGTCCTTTATGAAGCACTTCCAGTGGTTGGACAGCACCAGTCTCCATCACTAGGAAGCACCTGGCAGGATGGCTACAGTTTACAGAGTGGGGTCCTCACAGGTTTGACTCTGTGTCCCCAAGCCTGGCACAGGGCTGGACACTGAGTGGGCCTCAGGAAGCACTAGTAGCCCAAAGAACGGACAGAGGACTAGGAAATGGAAGAGTGAACAGGCCAGTGACCTGGCGAGTGAAGGAAGGGCTGAACAGGTAAACAGGTGATGATGTGAGCAAATGAATGGCCACAGGGGGAAATGCCTGGCCAGGGGCACACCTCTAAAGATGCCAGGTCTGCCCCAGCATGGCCCCTCTCCCTCTTGTAGAGACTTTGGGGTCCCACAGACCTGCTGGGACTTTAGGGGCTACAGGCCTGTAACTCCCACAGATCCTGGCTAAATGCCTCTGGGTATGCAGACCCAGCTGGAGGCCAGGAACGCACATGGACAGTCATGTTGGCAATGGCCTGGCCAAGTCTCCCCCCATTCCCCAGAGCCCAGCCCTCCACTCAGAATGGACCAGGTCGTCAAAAGTCAAAAGAAATGGATGAGTGCACACGTTGAGCCAAGACATCTTCTCAGCACCAGAGGAATGGCGTGAAGAGACAGGCACGACCCTGCCCTTCTCCACACCAGCCACACCCAGAGACATCCAAGAAGGATGGGCACGGGGTAATGAAGCAGAGGCCCACGGGGCTGGGCGGGTGGTGACAGTGACACAGCCTGGCCTGGGCATCGAGGAAGGCTTTCTTTTGGAAGCGATGCTTAAGCTTGGGTGATGAGCAGTAGTGAAACAGGCACGTGGGAGAAGGGGGCTGGGGATGTTCAGGCAGAGGAGCCAGCATGTGTGAAGACCCTGAAGCTGGAGGGAACGTGGCCTGTTCCAGGAACTGAAGGCCCGCCAGGGGGACCCGAGCCAAAGAGGGAGGGGGTGGGGAGCAAGAGGTGGCTAGAAAGTAGCTAGTTGGGGGAGGGGGAGGTTGGGTTTCATCCTGGGAGCCATGACATTTATTGAGTACCTACTGTGTACTTTCTATAAAAAAAAACCCTGCATTCAAGATTTTATTAATTCACATTTCAGAATGTTTAAATGAAAGTGTTCAAATGCACTGATGTTAGCAAATGCGATTTTCTAATGCTTTTCTGAATGAATGAATACCCATCACGGAAGTATAGGAGGGTAGGGACCACCTGCTTCTGTCACATACGGTGCCCGGGATACAGTTCCTCAGAGCCTCCCCATCATGTGAAACTGCTGGCATTTACGAAGCCTGTGGCTCACAAACCACACAAGAACCTAATGAGATGTCAGTGGGTGCCCCGATACATCCGATACGTCAGCGTCTCCCGAAAGCTCCAAAGCACACATTCTCTCCTAGTTCCCAAGTGCTGCACAGCCTTCCTTCAAAAACACCAACTCAGCTGCCAGGCAGCTTCACGCCCGGGGCACAGCCCTCAGACCTGCAGTTCCATCTCAAGGCTGGCACCCGGGGTTCCACATAACCCAGCCATCAGGTCCCGTCCAGCTCACAGTTTCTCTTCAGCATGGACACTGTCTCCAATGCCTGACACAGGCTGCCTCCCCCAACAAAAAAGAGGCTCCTGGAGGTGGGGACCCTGTCAGCCATTGCACTCCCCAGCGCCCAGCACAGGCCTCACCAGGCCTCTGGCAGGTGAGTACGGGGTCGCCATGGACACCACACACGGGCACACTCCCAGAAGTTGAGTTGCGCTGTCCCAGCTCCTGGAGGACACAGGATCCCTGGCCTACCCCTGCCACAGCGGGAGACAGGCACTCTAGCCAGCCCCACGTGCACAGCCAGCGTCTCCGGAGCTGCTGGGAACACACTCGGAGTCTGCTGCTGACTGGCCCCGACAGCCGGCTCTAGGGCCTGGTGGTGGCTCCAACACTCCAGCCACCCATCGGCCAGGCCAGGGCACCAGCTCTGCAGCCCCACCCTGGGACCAGGCAGCCCAGTGCCCTCTGGCAGAGAAGGCAAGAGAGAGGTGGCCACCAAGGAGGGACAGAAACAGGGCTCTTCCAACAGGCATTCTAGGAGATGGTCCTGTACAACTGATTCCCACCACTTCCAGCTGGCGGAAAACAGCCCCCTCCCACAAGTGAGGGCTCAGAGGCAGAGAGAGCCAGGACTCCCCCCTCCCTACTGGGGACTAGGCTTGGAGAGGAGGTGCAGTGGAGGTAGAGGCAGGGCAGGCCAGTCCCCCGGGGGCTGGAACTGCAGCCCCCTCCCGCTATGTCATTTCCACTTCCAGGCAGGTGGGGGTGCCAGGAACCCTCTCCCCATCAGCGCTGCCCTCCAAGCTTAGGGCTTCCCATTCTCAGGGCACCTCCTCTACCCACCGCTCCCGGCACAACTGGCCTTTGCCAATCACAACCCCTCCCCCATTTCATTTTTTCCCACATCAACAGTCTCTGACAGCCCCTCTCTGCAACACAGGCAGCGGAGGAAGAAGGGGAGAAGGGCCGGAGGGATGGAGGGATGGAGGGATGGAGGGATGAAGGGATGGAGGGGGATCGGAGCGGCAGGTTCGGCCAAAAGAGACCAAGGGCCATTACACGTCCAGGTAGCACCTGTCCCCTTCCAGCAGGCCCAGCACATCTGGACCCAGCTGGTCCCCGCGGCCACCTGGTCCATCCGCCACCAGCTCTGAACGCGAACCCCTGTCTCCGCGGGGCGCCGCACGTGGGGGCCTCCGGTAGCCATGTGAGTGCCCCCCCAGCCCAGGTGCCCGGGTCAGCCCAGCCCCTCCCAGGGACGCAAACAGGGAGGGGGCGCTATGCAGCGCGGGAGGGGGGTGCTGCCCCCGCCCCCTCCCCAGATGCCAGGTCAGGGAAAGAGCTCGGGAAGGGGGGAGCCGGCGGCTCCCGGGTCTACCGAGACGGGATCCGAGGCAGCTGGGTTGAATGGAGGAATGCCCGGGCCGGCATAGCCCTGCTCTCCCAAGCGCCAAGGTTGGCCGGGCACGGGAGGGGTCCGCCTGACCCCCAGGCCGCCCTGCGGATTAGGGGGCGGGCCTGAGGAGGGGGCTTCCAGGCTTTGGCAGCCGCTTGATATGGGGTACGGGGGAGTCCGCGGGAAAAAGAGCCGGAATGGGGATCCGGTCCCGGACAGGGGTTCCGGGCCCCGGTGCCGCCGCCCCCGATTTGAGGGTCCGGGGAGACATGGATGGGGCGATCCCAACCGGAGAAGGCGCTTCCCAGCCGCACAGCCGGCCCCTCGGACCCGGGATCGGAAGACAGAACTGGCAGGGGAGGGGGCTTTTCTGCGCCAGCGCCGTCCCCCGGTTCAGGGAGGTCTGTCGGGGAGGAGACCAGATCGGGGGGTCTAGCCGAGGGACGGAGCGCGCCGGCCCGGGAAGGGGGTAGGAGCCGCCGCGCGCCACCCCCGCGCCCTCACCTGCGCCGGGCGCCTCGGCCGCCTCCGGCCCGCTCTGCCGTTCCGCTGCGCCGCCGCCGCCTCTCGGGTCCGCTCGCAGGTCCGCGCGCCTAGGCCCCGGCCCCCGCCCCGGCTCCGGCCCGCGGGCGCCCCATGCCTCTCCTCCGGCCGGCGCGGCGCCCCAGATGCGGCTGCGGGAGGAGGAGCCGTGCGGCCCCGGCTCCCCGAGAGCGGCGGGGAGGGGGCGGGGAGAGGGGAGAGGAGCGCGGGGGAGGGGGCCGTGCGGCTGCGCCCAAAACCAGGCGCGGATCGGGCCGCGGGCGCGGGGCTGGGGGGGCCTTGGGGGGGCCCGCGCCGTTCCTGGCGCCCCACCCCCACCCACGCCCCCGCAACCCGGGGGAAGGGGGAGGGTCTCCGCAGCGGGCGACCGCTCTGTCGCGATCCGGAAGAGCGCTTGGAAATCCGGGGCCGCCAGTCCAGAGAGGGCAGGCTACTGGAACAAGGTCACACAGCGCGGGCCGCGGTGGCACGGGAGCCTGGAACCCCAGGCTACGGGGCGGGCCGGCAGGAACCTGTGTTGACCATCGCCGCCCCGTGGAGGAGGGAAACTGAGGCCCAGAGAGAACGAGACTGGCCCGGGTCACACCGCGCCAGTCAGGAACCACCCCACCCCCGAGAACTTGGGGCTCCTGCCTCTAGGAATGGGTGCCCCCTCCCGGTGACCTGCTTCCGCAGAACCCTCTCCCAGGTGTCTTCTAGCCTCTGGCTGAACGGGGGTTAAATGCAGTCTCTGGAGTGGGATGAACCTGAACTGCGTACCAGCCCTGCCTCTCCTGGCTCTGTGGTTACAGACAAAAGACTGTCCCTCTCTGAGCCCCATTCCTCCACCTGTAAAATGGGGACACCACGAGTCTCTATCCCCAACTTGGGTGAGAAACCAAAGAGATCATGGGTATGAGCTCTTTACCGGTGCCTGGCATTCAGTAGGTGTCAAATGAATGTGCCTGCCTTCTCTGGCTCCCACACACAGCCATCTCCAGAGAATGCCTCTGAATGCAGAAGGGTCAGAATGGCGTGAAAGGGTGGCCTGCAAGGCTCCTCACAGCCCTGTTCCAGTCTCCTCCACCACCCACCCACCCTGCTCACATCCCCAACCCAGTGATGACTGTTTCAGTGCCCAGCCTCTGCCTTTCCCTGTGCCTGCCATGCCCTCCCACCTCTCTACCTGACAAACTCCTACTCATCCATCAAGGCCCAGAGCAATCTGTTTCGTACCCCAGCTTCTCACACTCCCTACTAGTCTACCCATATTTCCTTTCTCCAGAACACATTCCCCTTTCCCCAGTGTCTGGTCTGGGTTTGTCTCTATCTTCTCTGGCTCTAACAACTGGGGTGAGAGGAGGTCACTCAGAGGAGATGACACCCTGAGGCCCAGCGCTGCCCAAGAGGGCTTCCTGGAAGAGGCAGGGCTTCAGTAAAGCCTGGATGGAAAGGTGAGTTTAACACCTGCATGCAGCAGGCAAAGAGGTGGCATGTTTGGGCAGGGTGTCAGCAAGGAGGAGAGTGGGCTCCCTGGAGCAGTGGGAAGATCTTGGCGAATGAGCTGGGAGCCAGCGAGAGCCAGGGGCTGGACAGCGACCTGGCGGTATATATATGATCAGGTTGAAGATGAGCAGGCTTTGCCCTCGAGAACACCTCACATGGGGGCCCGGGAGGCTTGCACAAGGATGCTCATAGCAGCATCGTTTGTAATAGTGAAAAGCTGGACACAGCCTAAATGTCCATCATTTGGAAACTGGATAAATAGCAACACATTCAGACAATGGAAAACTGTCTGTGATCCACAATCCTCAAAATAGGTGATTGCAAGCTTATGCATTGTGAGGCTGAATCTCAAAAACACACTGTTGATTCAGTTTGTGAAAATCCAGGGTTGTACACTTACAATTTGTGTGCTCTTTGTATGAATGCTATACTTCAATACAATTTTTAAAATAAAAATATATATTGTTGGATGGAAAAAGCAAGTTGCAGATGGAAAACATAATTTCATGCCAGATACATAAAGTTTGAAAACACACAACACAATACCATATATTGTTTAGCGACACATACATATGTAATACAAGTGTAAAAGCATGCATGGGAGTGATAGACAGCAAATTCAAGAGAGTAGTGACCGTGAGGGAGAGAGGGAAGGGAATGTTGTAGTAAGGGCTTTAAATATACTTGAAGTGGTTTATGTCTTAAGCCGGGGTGGTGAGCACATGGGTGTTTGTCATGTTGTTCTCTAGACTTTTTTGTGGACATAAAATATTCCTATTGTAATACTTTTTTGTTTTGTAGAAAGTCAGGTGGTGCCTGGGAAGGCAAGGGGGTGCCATTGCTGGTTCTTGAGCAGGAGTGTGACATGGCAGTGGACTGGAACAGGCAAGACTAGAGAAAGGAATGTCAAGGAGGCTAGTGTGATGGCACAGGGGAGAGATGCAAAGCCCTGAGTGGGAACAAGGATGGGGTTATGGGGAGGAGGGGAAGGAAGGGCAAGTTTTAGAGGAACAAGCATTGGGCACGCTTAGGCAAGGGTCACAAACCCAAATGCCCACAGGGCTTGGACAGGTTGTTTAAGCAAGTTGTGAGCCTGGAGTTGTGGGGACTGTGACACATGGTCCAGCAGGGGCAGCCCCTACTCAGCACTAGCTGATTTTGCCATCTAGGGAAGGAGACAGTGGAGCCATATCTTATTTTTTCAAGAGAAGCTAGCAGTTAAGATTTTCTGAAATGTAAAACTTCAGAAAATCCCTGAAAATAATGGCAACTAGAGTGAAAAAATTGTTAACTCTATGCAAACCAAGCCATATAGGTTCACAGTCTCTCCAGTGAGGAAGAGACTTCAGGAGAAGAATGAAGGGACAATGACACCGAGTTTTCCTGCCTGTGAGGCTGAGGAGGCTCACAACCTAAGCAGCAATCAGAGAGGGCTTCCTGGAAGAACTGACACAGGGTAGCGAAAGGGGAAGGCATTTCTGATGGAAAGAACAGTATATGCAAAGGCAGGATTGAGTAGAGTGAGCCTAAAAGAAAAAAGAGCAAAAAACAGGAACAGGCGTTTCACAGAAGGGGAAACATATGGCCAGTAAACATACGAGGAGGTGCCTGACCTCGTTAGTCATGGGGGAAATGTAAGTCAAGACCATGATGAGATGCCACTGCACGCCCAGTCGACTGGCAACAATGAGAACGTGGGACAATACCAAGAGCTGGGGAAGCTCTAGCTCAGTGGCAGCTCCGAAGCTGCGGCCGAGAGGGTGATCTGGGCCACCCACTGCGACCCAGCACTTCCACTCCTGATGTGTATGCCCAAGAGAAACCCATGCAGAGGTACACTCGGCCAGTGCTTCTCAAACGTGAATAAGCCAGTGAATCCCCCAGGGGTCTTGTTAAAATGCAGATTCAGTTCTGGCGGGGCTAGGGCAGGGCCCCAGACTCTGCATTTCTAACAAGTTTCCAGGTGATGCCCGGGCTGAGGATGCCCAGACTGCATTTTGCAGAGCTTTAGGATTTACGCGCAGGAACAGCCACACAGCACTGTTTGCAATAGCAGAAGACCAGAAGACAGCCTGACTGTCCATCGACGGGAGAATAAAAAAAGAAATAAATAATGGTATAGTCACATACAGCCTTCAGAACAAATAAATCATGATTACATACAGCAACATGGCCACATGCTCATCAACAGCATTGAGCTAAAAAGAAAAGACAAGACTATATACAGTATGGCACTTTTTAACATAAAATTAATAAACAAGTAAAAACAAACTACATATTAATTAGGTATGCATGCATGTAATAACACTAAAAACAAGGAAACTAGGGGAGGATAAACTCAAAATTCAGAATCTTAGTGACCTCCAGCAGAGAGCTGGGGGATGGGATGGGGTGCAGCACAGAGGCAGATGTCAGATACTGATTCTGTTCTAGTTCTTGGGGTGAGCAGTGGCTCAAGGTGCATATGTTAGATTATGCTTTCTACTATCTTGTATTATATACACTGTAGGACTTGATGCACCAATGCTGAAGGCATGTCATGAACCAAGGACTCAGTTTAACTCACTTGTGTGTATCTGAAGTATGTATTTTTAAAAAGAGAGAGAGAAACTCATAGAGACAAAGACAGAAAAAGAGATGGAGAGGTCCACAGAGATGCAGTGAAAGTGGAATATAAACCAGGTCTGTAATTTGATAATGATTAAATCCGGATAATGACCATATCTAGCTAATGATGACATTGAGCTTGTACCAAACCAGTCTTGGCCAAACCCCATGACTCAGGTACAAGCTCTGCAGTTTCTCCTGAAGACAACAAGCTGTTTCACACCTCAGCCTTTACCTGAAATGCCTCTTCTCCCATTGTGTAGTCACCTTTCAAAATTCAACTCGAATGTCACCTATTCTGGGGAAATCACCCCTGACTTCTATGTCTCATTCTATGTCTCATTCCTGGTTTTATACCCCCAAAACACTTTATGATGACAAAGACACACCACGTCTCAAAGCAAATGCTGTTGGTGCCCATCTTGAATTCTGCTGCAGCCTTGGTGGACAGCTCCTGAACTCTGGTCTGCTGCAAGCACCCACCAGGTCTCTCCACTTTTCTGCCTGATGGCATTTTCTGAAGTTGCAAGAGCTTGTCCCATCCAAGCACAGGACGGCTTGGAAATGCAGGAGAGTAAGGCCCCCAGCAGAACCTTCAGTCCCTTGGGGAAAAGAGTCACAGAGGAAATGCTGCAGCCTCCGAGCCTTCAGGGAGACAGTCTCAGGCACGCTTTCCACTGTTCTTCAGAACGTCCCCAGCAAGATGGAGCTCCAGTGGCCCACAGTGGTGCCCTGCTGGCAAATGCCCATCTGACTGACTTTCCCTCCTCCTCTGCCTCCCTCCTGCAGACTAGGATCACCTCTCAGATAAACTACCTGCACTCAAGTGCCTGTTTCAGGGTCCACTTAGGGGGAACCCCCGCTTAGGCACACCTGTTACTTCCTCCTCTCCCACAAGACTGGAAGTAGCTCCTTGGGGTTCAGGCCACATTAAATTAATATCAAAGCATGGTATTTGAGACCTGCACAGTTATACCTGTAATCCCAGTGTTTTGGGAGGCTGAGGCAGGAGGACTGCTTGAGGCCAGGAGTCCAGGGCCAGCCTGGGCAACATGGCGAGACCCCATCCCTACAAAATTAAAAAGTTAGCTGGGTGTGGTGGAGCATGCCTGTAGTCCCAGCTACTTGGGAGGCTGAGGTGGGAGAATCACTTGAGCCTAGGAGGTCAAGGCTGCAGTGAGCCGTGTTTGTACCACTGCACTCTAGCCTGGGTGACTGAGGGAGACCCTGCCTCAAAAAAATTTAAAAAGGCAGCATTTGACAGTCTGGGTTCATACCGTGTGCTGCTTGCATCATATGAACTTGGCCAGGCTCAGCCAAAACAAGCAGAAGATTCTCAAACTTTTAATGACACTTAATGACATGTATCCCAGGGGAGGGGAGCTATGCAGAATTACCTCCTTTTTTCTCCTCTCCTATATTTTCCAAATTTTCTATATTGTCCAAATTTGTTCCAAAATAAATTTCTAAGTGTCATGTATTCCTTTGCTCTATTTTGATTTGTTTTCCCGGTGTGGGGGAGTGTGGGCTCTGGAGTGAACAGGCCTGGATTCATATCTTGGCTCTGTCACACACTGGCTGTGACTGGGCAAGTTACCCAACCTCACTGGGTCTCAGTTTCCACATTCAAAAAATGGACACAGCCCAAAACAACACAAACATCTACTTTGCAGGGTGGCTGGGACTGTTATAATGGAAGCACGTTGTGAACCACAAAGTGAATTGCAAGGCTGAGTTATCGTCTTCCCCGGGGCTGGCATCAGGCCTGGCATGGAGGAGGTGCCTGGGAAATGTTTAGAGAACAAAATGATTGAGGCTAGGAGTAGCAATTTCACACTGTACCTTATCTCATCCATTCATTCACTCACTTGGTGCCCACTGATACCCACCCAGGTCCAGCCCCTCCTGGGTACCAGGGATGCAGAGTTGCATGAGGAATGTCACTGGCCTCAAGGGGCTTGCTGCCCACGGAGGAGACACAAGAAAACCCACCACTCCTGGAGGGCACTGACTGAGCCTTGGGAGAGGGTCAGAAGGGTTACAGGAAGAGGTGACCCCTAAGCTGTGCAGGACTTAGCCTGAAGAGCAAGGGGAAGACAGAGGGGACGTTGCAGCGTAAGGACATGCTCAGAGACCTGGAGGCCAGGCTGGGGCACATCTGAGCCACTACTGGCAGCTCACTGAGACGGAAGCCTGGAGAGCTCAAAGGTGAAGCCAGAAAGGTTGGCAGGGGCTGGATCATCATGACCGTGAGGTCCTCTCAAGGCATCAGGACTTTTTATTGAAGGTGATAGTGATCTATAGAAAATGAGGACAAGGCTGGGAAAGAACTGTTGATTTTTTTTTTTTTGGAGATGGGGTCTGGCTCTGCAGCCCAGGCTGGAGTGCAGTGGCATGATCATGGCTCAATGCAGCCTCAAACTCCTGGGCTCAAGTGATCCTCCCACCTCAGCCTCCCCAGTAGCTGGGATTACAGGTGCACGCTACCGTGCCCTGCTTGAATCTTTGACTTTGTGGACTTGGGTGATTCATTTCGCCTCTCAGAGCCTCAGTTTCTTCATCTGCACAGTGGGGGCAAAAATCTCATAACAAGGATATTCTGAGGAAAACGTGAAATGAGGTGTGCTCATTGCCTGGCAGAGAGGAGGAAGGTGTTCAGTTCAGTAGATATGAGTTGAACGAATGAATAAATGAGTGAATGAATGAATGAATGAATGAATGAATGAATGAATTTCTGCCCAGCTCAGGAGCACCCTGAGACCTTCACTTTTACTCTTCTAAGCCCGGAACTCACCAGCCCCAATTCACCTTCTCCCTGCCCACCTCCCTTGCAGTAGTACCTCCCATTCACCCCCAGGCCACAAGGCTGGAGGGCTGGGACTTTTTCAGGGCCACCAAGTAAGGCAAATGCAGAGCAGGGTCCATTGCTCTGTTCCTGCTCTTTGGTGCCAGGAGCATTTTTCCACTGCCCCTCAACATAGATTTGCCATAGGCCCTGCCTAGTGCTGTCTGAGATGAGGAGGCACCTGGGTCCCATTGTCTCCTTGAAGGGCCAGTGCAGCCTGCCTCTGCCTTCCAGATGCCCGAGCCACCATCCGCTCCCACCCGAGTCCTCGGCTCTTTTCTTTAAATAATTCCTCCTGTTTCCTTGGAGACATCTCTCACATGGAAGAAAGGAAAGGCGAAAAGGAGGAAGGGAAGGAGGAATATGGGCTGGGTGCCATTTCCTGAGCACCTACTGTGTGTCAGCACCCCTGTGAGCTGGAGATCGCTCCACAGCCTTTGCAGACGAGGAGCTGAGGCTTGCAGACTTGAGATCGTTTGTGCCAGGCCTCGGAGCTGGGCCAGGATTCGAACCCAGGTCTGTAGGACTTGAAAGCCAAAATTCATTGACAGGATGAAAAGGTGTGTTTGGGACTGTGAGGGACAGTCCTGTCCCTACCCCAGGTCTAAATGTCCTGGCCAGGGCCCTGCTTGTTTCCCAACACCCTCTCCCTTCGTTGATTCAATTCAGAAAACATTTCTGGGCACCCCTGGGCCAGGCATGGGGTAGGAGGAGTGTCTCAGGAACAAGACAAGGTCTTCTCCCTTCAAATGCTCAGAGTGTGGGGCAAGTGGGAGGGGTGGAAGGATAGAGAGAAAGTGACCCCTGGCCCATGTATTTCCTGCGCATAGCACCAAAGTCTTCGGAGGGACTTTCAACTGATTCTCCCAATACCTCAGCTAGGAGGATTTAAAAGCCCCGTTTTTCAGAGAGGAAACTGAAGCCCAAGTAAGTAAATGCATTTTTCCAAGGGAGTAAGTGGTGGAGCCGGGATAAAGTCCCAGGTTATGCTGAAGTGGGCAGAAGACGACTTTCTGGAATTGCCCCAGAGACCCATACAAAGTGGGGTGAGGGAGGGGGCTGTGGCTGGGAATTCAAGGACCCTTGGGTGGAGAGGGAGAAATGGAGGGATGTGGACAGATGCGTCTTAGCCCCTTTCTGGCCTCAGCTCCCTCAAGTCAGCTCTGGGCCTGACCTCACCTGGGTATCTGACACCTTCACCCAAGTAGAGGGACAACCAAATCCTGCCTGCTTCAGCATCTAGTGGATCCCACTCAAAGCATCTCATAAACAGGCCTCACCAGTGAACGTCTGGTCAACCATCAACCCGTGCATCCTCTGGTGACCCCACTCAAGCAGCCCATCTTGTTGACCCCACTAATCCAAATCTTGGATTTAGAGGCAACTGTCACATCTGAAGCCTAGGAGAGTAGAGGCTTTTTCCAAACAGAAGGAAGCCAGGGACACCAGAAAGGAGGCCACTGAAACTGTCTGGGGGAGAGCTAATGGGACCTGGAGTGTAGGAGGGGGAGGAGGGGACAGTGGAAAGAGATACCGAGTAGGCAGAACCAACGTTGTTGCTGGTGGATCCCAAAGTGGGGATGGGGGAGAGGAGGAGGCAAAACGAGGCTCCAGTATCTGGTATGGGGGACTGGTAGGGTTGCCCTGGAGACAGGAGGTCTGGGCAAATGGTAGGGGGAGGCCGGAAGAGGATGGCCCACTTGGGGACTTGTGTGCACTGTCTATGGAGCACAGAGTGCTGTCCCTCCTTTGGAGCCATGTTTTAAGTTTGCAAACAGCTGTCAATCCACAGTCTTCCTAGAACCTCCCAACAAACCTGTGGGGATTGAATGAAAAGATGTCCTTTTTCTCAGAAGGAAACTTCGAGGCTCAGAGAGTGGTGAGGATTGACCCACGGGTTCACTGAGTGAATGTGGAGCCAGGTATTTTGCTTCAGGACCAAGGCTTTTCTCTTGCACACAAGGAGCCTGCCAGGCATCCAGAGGCTTGAAAAGAGATGTCCAGAAAAATGGGCACTTGGGAGAGACCGAGCCTGGAGAGGGAATGACTGAAGGTGTGGAGTGAGCAAGGTCATTCAATAAGAGGGCCTTGAGAAAGACAGAGCCTAAGGACATAGCCACTTCATGGGTCAAGCAAAAGAGGCTAAAAGAATGTAAGCAGGTAAGGAGAAGGAAAACAGGGAGCGGCATGTGACAGAAGTCAGGGCAGACTGTGCTTCCCGAAGGAGAAAGTGGCCCACAGTGCCATGAGATGCAGGCTGCTTCCGCACCACTCATACCTGAGCCCTGCGGGGAGGCTCCGAGGAGGCAGAGGGCACATCGTAACAGGCCAGGAGAAATTGTTCTGGTCCTGGTTCTGCCACCATCTCTCCAGGTGACCTTAGACAAATCCCTTTCCCTCTCTGCACTCCTGTTTTCCCCTCTGTCCAATAAAAGGACTCAGTTTCTGGACACTTTTTTAAAGAATATTTACTGAGCCAAGCGTGGTGGCTCACGCCAGTAATCCTAGCACTTTGGGAGGCTGAGGCAGGTGGATCGCCTGAGATCAGGAGTTCGAGACCAGCCTGGCCAACATGGTGAAACCCCGTCTCTACTAAAAATACAAAAAATTAGCTGGGCATAGTGGTGGGCGCCTGTAGTCTCAGCTACTCGGGAGGCTAAGGCAGGAGAATCGCTTGAACCCAGGAGGTGGAGGTTGCAGTGAGCGAAGATCATGCCACTGTACTTCAGCCTGGGCAACAGAGCAAGACTCTGTCTCAAAAAAAAAAAAAAAAGAATATTTACTGAGAGAATATTTACTGAGAGCCTGCTATGTGCCAGACACTGTTTTAGGAATTTGGAGTAAAGAAAACATAAAGAACCTGCCTTCATGAAGCTTACATCTAGCAAAAGGAACTGGTCAATAAACAAAAAACATGATAAATCAGTAAATGACACAGATGGCTATAAGTTCTATGACAAAAAGGAAAGAGACAGGCATGGTGGCTCACGTCTGTAATCCTAGCATTTTGGGAGGAGAGCATCGTTTGAGTCTAGGAGTTTGAGACCAGCCTGGGCAACATAACCGGATCTCATCTCTACTAAAAAAATTAAAAATTAGCCAAGTGTGCTGGTGTGTGCCCGCAGCCCCAGCTATTCAGGAGGCTGAAGCAGAAGGATCATCTGAGAGCAGGAGATGGAGGCTGTAGTGAGCTATGATTGCATTCCAGCCTGGGCAACACAGTAAGACCCTGTGTAAAAAAAGCAAACAAAAACAAAAAAAGGAAAAGCAGAGAAGGTAAGGGGAATAGGGGGTGCTAGAGTTGATGAAGATGATTAAATAGGGAAGTCCGGTAGGACTCACTGAGAAGGTAAGGTGTGAGGAACAGAGCAAAGGAGGCAGCCCTGCAGATATCTCGGTGAAAAGCATTCCAGCTGGAGGGAACAGCAATACAAACACCCTAAGGTGAGAAATACTACGTTCTCACCACTGTCAAATGCTATAGATTTTAAACATTATATAGAAATGAATAAGTCTTCAAGAAAGTAGAGAAATTCTCTTGTGCCAGAAACAAAGCAGGAATATGAGTCCTGAGAGATCAGCCTACATTGGCGTTGTGGATGTCATGCAGACATCTCTAACTCAGGTAATACAAAGCCTGCAACCTGTACAGGACAGACAGCCAAATGAGTCAGAGCTCACCCTACATAAATTATGGACTCAGGAAAGGCGTGATTTTTTTTTTAATCCTGCCCCATGAAGACAGACAGCAAAGAAAATGATCTGTCTCAGCTTTGGGTCTGGGTGGGATTAAAGAGGAGTAACCTCTGAGAAGTTGTGGATACTGACTGGCCCTCACATGGATTCAAGGCCTGAATTCTAAATATTTATGTGATACCAAAAAATTCAAGCTCAGAATTTATTTATTTATTTTGGAGATAGAGTCTCCCTCTGTCACCCAGGCTGGAGTGCAGTGACGTGATCTTGGTTCACTGCAACCTCTGCCTGCCCAGTTCAAGCGATTCTCCTGCCTCAGCCTCCGAGTAGCTGGGATTACAGACGCATACCACCACCCCTGGCTAATTTTTGTATTTTTAGTAGAGACAGAGTTTCACCATGTTGGCCAGACTGGTCTCGAACTCCTGACCTCAGGTGATCTACCCATCTTGGCCTCTCAAAGTGCTGGGAGTGCAGGCGTGAGCCACTGCGCCCAGCCTCAGAATTCCATTTTAAATGGATCTGAAAACTAACAAAGCCAAAAGTTGGTTCGTTGAAAAGGATCATGAAGAGAGAGAGAGAGATAACATAAGTTGTAAACATCAAGAATGAAGAAAGGGCATCACTACAGATACTATAGACATTTTAATTAATTAATTAATTTATTTTTGAGGCAGAGTCTCAATCTGTCCAACAGGCTGGAGTTCAGTGGTGCAATCTTGGCTCACTGCAACCTCCGCCTCCTGGGTTCAACCAATTCTCCTGCTTCAGCCTCCCGAGTAACTGGGACTACAAGAGCGCACCACCATGCCCGGCTTCCTATTTTTAGTAGAAATGGGGTTTCACCATATTGGCCAGGCTGGTTTGAACTCCTGACCTCAAGTGATCTGAGTGCCTCGGCCTCCCAAAGCTCTGCACCCATAGATACTATAGACATTTAAAAGGCAATAAGAAAATATTGTAAACATCTTTATGCCAAAACTTGGATAATTTAATTGTAATGGACAAATTCTTTGAAAAGCATTACTTACCAAAAGGATACAAGAAGAAATAAAAATTTTGAACAGCCCTATACCTATTTTTAAATATTGAATCTCTAATTTAAAGCCTTCTCACACACAAAAATTATCTAAGCCTAGATGGCTTCACCGGTGAATTTTCCCAAATATTTAGAGAATAAAGAACATTAATCCTATAAATTCTTCTAGAGAATAGTAAAGGAGGGAATATTTCCTGACTCAATTTATGAATATTTCCTGACTCACTTTACATTACAAAAAAGAAAAATTATAAGCCAATATCTACATAAATGTAGATGCAAAAATACTAAACAAATATTAACATAATAAATCTAGAGATATATAAAAAGCACAATACAACATGACCAAATGTGATTTATTTCATGAATTTAATGTTGCTTTTAAATTCAAAAATCGGATTTTTAAAATAAAAAATCCTAGTACTTTGGGAGGCTGAGGAGGGTGGATTGCCTGAGCTCAGGATTTCGAGACCAGCCTGGGCAACACAGTGAAACCCCGTATCTAGTAAAATACAAAAAGTTAGCTGGGCATGGCGGCATGCACCTGTGGTCCCAGCTACTCGGGAGACTGAGGTGGAAGAATTGTTTGAACCCGGGAGGCAGAGATTGCAGTGAGCCGAGATCGCTCCACTGCACTCCAGCCTAGGTGACAGAGTGAGATTCCATCTCCATTAAAAAAAAAAAAAAATCAATCAATATGGCCGGGCGTAGTGGCTCACACCTGTAATCCCAGCACTGTGGGAGGCAAAGTGGGGGCAGATCACTTGTGGTCAGGAGTTTGAGACCAGCCTGGCCAACATGGCAAAACCCCATCTTTACTAAAAATACAAAAAAATTAGTTGGGCATGGTGGCACACGCCTGTAATTCCAGCTACTGGGGAGACTGAGGTGGGAGAATCACTTGAACCTGGGAGGTGGAGGTTGCAGTGGGCCAGAATCTCGCCACTGCACTCCAGCCTGGGCGATAGAGCAAGAATCTGTTTCAAAAAAAAAAAAAAATCAACCAATATGGCCAGGTAGGATGGCTCACTCCTATAATCCCAGCACTTTGGGAGACTGAGGCAGGTGGATCACTTGAGGTCAGGAGTTCGAAACCAGCCTGGCCAATATGGCAAAACCCCGTCTCTACTAAAAATACAAAAATTAGCCAGGCTTGGTGGTGCATGTCTGTAGTCCCAGGTACTTGGGAGGCTGAGATGGAGAATCGCTTGAACCCGGGAGGTGGAGGTTGTAGTTAGCCGAGATCTTGCCACTGCACCAAAAAACCAATATAATTCACCACTTCAAAAATATTCTAAAAAACTATCATTTCAAAAAATGTGGGAAAAAAATTAAAAAAGTGGAAAACATTTGGTAAAATTCAATACCCATTCAAAATAAAAATTCTCCATACTAGAAACTGAAAAGGTCTTCTCTTACCTTATAATGGGCACCTATAAAACCCTATAGCTAACATCACACTTATTGGTGAAAAACATTTAGAATGCTTTTCCCTTTAGATTAACTGTCTACTGTCATTATTTTTATTTAACATTGTATTAGAGATCCTAGTCAGTGCAAAAAGATGAGAAAAAATGTACAAACTGGAACTGAAGGAATAAAAATATCATTATTCACAGATGACATTTTGTGAATGTGGAAAATCCAAAAGAATCTACAAACTATTAGAGTTAATAAGTGAGTTTAGCAAAGTCTCTATACACAAACAAATATTCAAAAATTATTTGTATTTTTACATATGAGCAACAAACAAAAAAATTATTTATTTATTTATTTTTTGAGACAGAGTCCTGCTCTGTCGCCCAGGCTGGAGTGCAGTGGCACGATCTTGGCTCACTGTAAACTCCGCCTCCCAGGTTCAAGCAATTCTCTTGCCTCAGCCTCCCGAGTAGCTGGGATTACAGGCGCCCACCACCACATCTGGCTAATTTTTTTGTATTTTTAGTAGAGATGGGGTTTCATCATGTTGAGCAGACTGGTCTTGAACTCCTGAACTCAGGTGATCCACCCGCCTGGGCCTCCCAAAGTGCTGGGATTATAGGCATGAGCCACTGTGCCTGGCCGAAACAAAGAAATTTAAATAGACAACACAATATCACCAAAACCCATAAAATACCCAGAAATATCTCTAATGAAAGATGTGTAAGACTTTTACACTGAAAATCACAAAACACTGCAGAAAGAAATGAAAAAAAGAACCTAATAAATGGGGAGATATATCATGTTCGCAGCGAGAATCTGTTTCAAAAAAAAAAAAAAAATCAACAAATATGGCCAGGTGCGATGGCTCACTCCTGTAATCCCAGCACTTTTTCACGATTTGAAAGATGTCAGTTCTTCTCACATGGATCTATAGATCCCAATCCCAATTAACATCCTCTTGGGAACTTGATAAGCTCATTCTAAAATTTATATGAAATCCAACGGACTTTCAACTGCAGAGACTATACTGAAGAAGTAGCATGAAGCTATAGGACTAATATTACTAGATTTCAGGGTATATTAAAACATATAGTGGAGAGAAAATATTTACAACAAAGGGCTGGTATCTAGGATGTATAAAGAACTCTCAAAACTCAATAATTTAAACAACAACAACAACAACAACAAACAATCCAATAAGAAAATGGGCAAAAGACATTAGTGAACATTTCACCAAACAAGATATACTGATGACAAATAAGCCCATGAAAAGATGTTCATCATCATTAGCCATCAGGAAAAGCAAATTAAAAGCACAATGAGATAGCATTATATACCTATCAGAATTGCTAAAGTGAAAAACAGTGACAACACCAGATTTTGCAAGAATGCAGAAAAACTGAATCACTCATATGCTGCTAGTGGGAATGTAAAGTGGTACAGCCCCTCTAGAAAACAGTATGACAGGTTTTTAAAAAATAAAATTAAACATAAACTCTGGGAATTAATAAGCAATTATAGCAAGGTTGCAGGATACAAAGTTAATATACAAAAATCAATTACTTTCACCAGCAATAAACAAGTGGAATTTGAAGTTAAAAGCCCAATACCATTTACATTAGTATCCCCAAAATGAAATAGGTATAAATCTAACAAAAATATGTACAAGATCTATATGAGAAAAACTACAAGCTTCTGATTAAAGAAATCAAAGAACAGAATAAATGGAATGTTATTCCATGTTCATGGATAGAAGATTCAATCTTGTCAAGATGTCAGTTCTTTCCAACTTGATCTATAGAGTCAATGCAATCCCAATCAAAATCCCAACAAGTTATTTGAGGGTATTGACAAACTGATTCTAAAAGTTACACAGCGAGGCAAAAGACCAAGAATAGCCAATTCAACATTGAAGATGAATAAAGTTGGAGGGCTGATACTACCCAGCTTCAAGACTTACTATAAAGCTATTATTGTCAAGGCAATGTGGTCATTGGTGAAAGAAAAGACAAACAGATCAATGGAACAGAATAGAGAGCCCAGAAATAGACCCACATAAGTATAGTCAACTGATACTTGACAAAGAAGCAAAGGCAATGCAGAGGAACAAAGCGAGTCTTTTCAACAAATGGTGCTGGAAAAACTGGAGATCCTCATGCCAAAAAAAAAAAAAAAAAGAGTCTAAACACAGACTTTACACCTTTCACAAAAATTAACTCAAAATGGCTCATAGACGTAAATGTAAAACACAAAACTATTAAAGTCCTAGATGACAACATAGGATAAAGCCTACATGACCTTGGGAATGGTAATGACTTTTTAGATACAAACAAACAACACCAAAGGCATGAGACATAAAAGAAATAATTTATAAGCTGGGTTTCATTAAAATTAAAAACTTCTGCTCTGTAAAAGACAATATCAAGAGAATGAGAAGAAGAGCCACAGACTAGGAGGAAATACAGTCATGCATTGCTTAATGATGGGGATATGTTATGAGAAATGCTTCATTAGGTGAATTTGTCCTTGTGCAAAGAACATCATACAGCATACTGGCACCAACCCAGGCGCTATGGCCTACTATACACCTAAGCCAGATGGTATAGCCTATTGCTCCTAGACTGCAAGCCTGTACAATATGGTACAGTATTGTATACTCTAGGTAATTGTAACACAATGGTACATATTTGTGTATCTAAACATATCTAAACAGAAAAGCTACAGTAAAAACATGGTGTAAAAGATTTAAAAATGGTACACCTGTATAGGGCATTTATCATGAGTGGAGCTTGCAGGACTGGGAGTTGCTCTGGGTAAGTCAATGAGTGAGGTGTGAATGAATGTGAAGGCTGAGGACATTACTGTACACTATTGTAGAATTTACGAATACTGTATACTTAGGGTACACTAAATTTGTAAAAAATATTTTTCTTTCTTCAATAATAAATTAACCTTAGAACTCTCAAAGAACTCTCAAAATGCAGCAAGAGCTCAACTCAGATTACTGTACCTTTTTTACTTTATAAACTTTAAACTTAAAAAATACTTTTTGGCTGGGCACGGTGGCTCACACCTGTAATCCTAGCACTTTGGGAGGCCGAGGCAGGTGGATCACCTGAGATCAGGAGTTCAAGACCAGCCTGGCCAACATGGCAAAACCCCGTCTATTCTAAAAATACAAAATTAGCCGGGCATGGTGGCTGGCACCTGTAATCTCAGCTACTTGGGAGGCTGAGGCAGGGAGAATTCTTTGAATCCGGGAGGCAGAGGTTGCAGTGAGCCGAGATTGTGCCACTGCACTCCAGCCTGGGCAACAGAGCAAGACTCCGTCTTAAAAACAAAACAAAACAATGACAAAAAAAACTTTTGCCTCTTGTGTAATAACAATTAGCTTAAAACACAAACACATTGTACAGCTGTACAAAAATAAACATGAGATGCATGAGCTGCTGCCAGCATACCATGGCATACTGTTTTAAGTAAACTTTTTTTAATGGTAGAAGTACACTCCAAAATAACAATAAAAACATGATATAGTAAATACATAACCAGTAACAGTTGTTTATTATCATGGTCAAATGTACATAATTGTATATGTTAGACTTTTATACTACTGGCGGCACGGTAGGTTTGTTTACATCGGCATTACTACAAACACATGAAGAATGTGTCAGCCTAGAACATTAAGACATCTACTACGTCACTAGGCAATAGGACTTTTTAAGCTCCATTATAATCTCATAGGACCACCTTCATATATGTGGTTTGTCATTGATAGAAACATTATTATGTGGTGCATGACTGTATTTGTAAAAGATATACTTGGTAAAGGACTGTTATCTAAAATACATGAAGAACTCCTAAAACTCAACAATAAGAAAACAAACAACCCAACTTAAAACTGGGCAAAAGACATTAACAGACACCTCTCCAAAGAAGATATACAGATAGCAAGTAAGCATATGAAAAATGTTCAACATCATATGTCATTGGATAATTGCAAATTTAAACAACAGTAAGATACCACTCCACAGACCTATTAGAATGGCAAAAATCCAAAACACTAACAACACCAAACGCTGGTGAGGATATGGAGCAACAGGAACTCTCATTCACTGCTGGTGGGAATGCAAATGGTACAGCCACTTTGGAAGACGGTTTGGTGGTTTCTTACAGAATTAAAAATACTCTTACCATCTGATCCAGCAATCATGCTCCTTAGTATTTACCCAAATGAATTGAAAACTTATGTCACATAAAAACTTGCACTTGAAAGTCTATTTCAGTTTTATTAATAATTGCCAAAACACAGAAGCAACCAAGATGTCCTTCAGTAGGTTAGTGGACAAGTAAACTGTGCTATATTCAGACAATGAAATATTATTCAGCACTAAAAAGAAATGAGCTATCTAGCCATGAAAAGACATAGAGAAATATTAAATGCATATTACTAAGAGAAAAAAGCCAATCTGAAAAGGCTACCTACTGTATGATTTCAACTACAGTTGACCCTTGAACAACACAGATTCTAATCACACAGGTCCACTTATATGTGGATTTTAAATATATATATATTGGACAACTTTGAAATTTGCAATAATTTGAAAAAACTCACACATGAACCACCACCCCTGAGACAGCAAGATCAACCCCTCCTCTTGCTCCTCTTCCTCTGCCTACACAATGTGAAGATGATGAGGATAAAGACCTTTATGATTATCCACTTCCACTGAATGAATAGTAAATGTATTTTCTCTTTCTTATGATTTTTCTTAATAACGTTTTCTTTTCTCTGGCTTACTTGATTGTAAGAATACAGTATATAATACGTATAACATACAACATAGGTGTTAATCAACTGTTCATTATCAGTAAGGCTTCTTTCTAGTAAACAGTAGGTTATTAGTAGTTAGGTTTTGGGGGTCAAAAGTTATACTCAGATTTTCAACTGCACAAAGGGTCAGTACCCCTGCCTCCTGCATCGTTTAAGTGTCAGCTGTATATGACATTCTGGAGAAGGCAAAATTATGGAGACAGTAAAAGCATCAGGTGGTTGCCAGAGGTTGGGGGTAGAGAGGGATGAGTGGGTGGAACATAGAGGATTTTCAGGGCAGCGAAAATGATCTGAATAACACTGTAATGAGGGACACATGTCGTTTTACATTTGCCAAAAGCCATGGAATGTACACCAGAGTGAACCCTAATGTAAACCATGGTCTCTGTGTGATAATGATGTGTCAATTTAGGTTCATTGATGATAACGAATGTACCACTCTGGTGGTGGGATTTTGAGGTGGGGGAGGCTCTGCGTATGTAGGGATGGGGGTATATGAGAACTCTCTGTACCTTCCATTCAATTTTTTCTGTGAATTTAAGATGGCTCTACAAAATAAAACCAATTGGAAAAAAACCCCTAAACATACAATTACCATACACCCCAGAAATTGCACTCTTGGGCATTTATCCAAGAGAAATAGAAACTTATGCTCACACAAAAATCATGTTCACATGATTGTTTATAGCAGCTCTATTCATAGTAACCCCAAACTGGAAACAACTCAGATATCCTTCAACGGATGAATGGCCAAACAAACTGGTGCATCCACACCATGGAATACCACTCATCAATAAAAAGGAACAAACTACTGACACACAGAACCACCGTGTGCATCCCAAGGGAATTTACACTGAGTGAAAGAAGCCAATCCCGAAAAGCTATTGTGCGATTCCATTTATATAACATTTCTGGATAAAAACACAGAAGTGGAGAACAGATTAGTGAGTGTCAGGGATTGGGGTTAGGAGTAGGGTGGAGAGAGAATGTGGAAGGGTGGCGGGTGTGGCTGAGAAAAGGGAAACACGAGATTCTGGTGGTGATGAAAGTGTTCTGAAGCTTCACTCTGTGTGGATACGCAGACCTACACAGGTGATAAAATTGTACAGAACTAAACACACACACACACTCATGCACAAATGAATACAGGTAAAACTGGGGAAATCTGAATTAGACCAGAGGGCCGCATCAATATCAACATTCTAGATGTGATATTATACTAGAGTTTTGCAAGATGTTACCATTGGGAGAAACCAGGTAAAGGGAATGTGGGATCTCTCTGTATTCTTTCTTACAATTGTATGCAAATCTACAATTCTCTCGAGACAAAAAGGTTAAATAAAAATAAGCTATAGAACTATAGTAATCAAGACAGTGGGCATTAGTGCAAAGACAAATAGATCGAAGTACTGACGACAGTCCAAAACTGGACCCATGCCATGTCACCTGGCTCATGATGTATCCTGAAATTCAGTGGGGGAAAGGGTGGTCTTTTCAATAAATAATGCCACCAAAACTAGATATCCATATGACAAAAAGGAATTTTGACTCTTATCATGCACCATACACAAAAATTAATTGAAGATATAATTAATTGCAAGATAGATCAATTTCATAGATCTGTATGTGGAAACAAAAACAATACAAATTCTAGAAGAAAATATGAATAAATATCTTCATTTCCTAAAAGATATAAGAAACAGTGGCTGAGCATGGTGGCTCACACTTGTAATCTCAGCACTTTGGGAGACTGAGGAAGGAGGATCACTTGAGCTCAGGAGTTCGAGACCAGCCTGGGCAACATGGTGAAACGCCATCTCTACAAAAAAATATGAAAATTAACTGGGCATGGTGATGTGCACCTGTAGTCCCAGCTACTCGGGAGGCTGAGGTGGGAGGATCACTTGAGCCTGGGAGGTTGAGGCTGCAGTGAGCCGTTATCATGCCACGGCACTCAGCCTGAGCAACAGAGCAAGACCCTGTCTCACAAAAACAAACAAAGAACCACTAATGATAAAAGAAAATAATGATAAATTAGACTTCATTAATATTGAACTCTTCATTTAGGAGAGGTAAAAGACAAGCCTCAGACTAGGAGACATTATGTTTTCAATATAGGTATCCAACTGATGGCTGATAGCCAGACGGAAGAGCTCCCAGGAACCTACAGGAACAAGACAGACAACCCAATTTTACAAATAGGCATCAGAACAACAGTTTAATGATGAGAACCCAACAAGAGTGGCCACTGGCCCTGCCTCCGGCAGGTGGCCTTCTCTTGGCCCAGACGGTCCAGGACACAAAGCATGAGCTTGGTCACAGCTTCTACTGCCTCTAGAGGGAGGGGAGAGAGGCGAGATCTAAATCAGGGTCTCCGGACAGGCCCCACAGGAAGCAAAAGACTCAAGAAACCAGGTCTGAGATATCTCACAGTGGTGGATTCCGAACTGTTGCCAGGGTTGGGGGAGGCCCTGGATGCCAAGTTTCCTCAAGTAGGAGCAGGATTTCTTGAGGAAGGGATGGGCCTTGGGCCTGAGCGCCACTGACAAAGAAGCTGCGTCAGGGAAGATGGGGAAACACCGGGGCACTAAGTCGTGTGGAGTAAGATTCTCCTGTGGCCACTGCAAACTGCCCCCCTCCACTGGCCAACGCTGGCTGACTCAAGATGCTCAATGCCATCTGGGGTCCTGTGTCTGAGGAAGCCCCCAGTGGGCAGCCCAGAGATGGGCCTCAGGAATTCCACCTTTTTTCACACTTCAGTTTTCATGATCAGTGAGGAAACAAAGGCACAGAAGGATTTCACATGACTTGCCCCAAATCCAAGAGCAAGCCAGTGGTGGAGCCAAGATTTAAGTCTAGGCAGCCTGACTCCAGAACCTTCTGTGGGAAGGACCATGCGAGCGCTGGGTTTACCAGAAACCATCTCTCCATGGCTCCAGAAACCATGTTTTAAAAGACTCCAGCCCACAGTAGTACTAAAATAGAAATAAAGCCAAATGGGCAGTTAGTGAAATATTTCTTAAATTTTTAGCCATAGACTTCTAGAACTAAAGGGACCTTGGACATCACTGAGCTCAAAATCATTGTTCACTGCTGTTCACAAAGGTCACCAGGATTTCCCGAAGGATCCCAACAGTATCAGCAAATCTGCAGACAGTGGAATCCATGCAGAAACAGACCCACTATCTTTTACGTGCAATGTGAAAATCCAAAGATCTTTCTCAACTGAAAGTCCTTCTTTTACAGTTAATTCATGGTTGATTCTTTGCACGCAAAAATCTGACCTCAATGGATATGAAGATGTTTTACACCAATTAGTGTGAATATTTACACAGTTTGCTGCAGAAATATCAATTAGTTTTATTAGAGGTGCTACCCTAGACGCAGTGGTATCCTGGAGCCAATCCATCCTGGCTCATGGGAGCCATTTGTTAAATATTCAGGAGTTTTGCAAGCCATTCAGTAGCTTGAAATTGGCTATGGTTGAAGTATGTATATCATAGAAATCAGAAAATACTGCAAATCAGGCTACTAAAAAAAATCTGGCCAATCTGGCTGGGCGCGGTGGCTCATGTCCATAATCCTAGCACTTTGGGTGGCTGAGGCGGGCAGATCACTTGAGCCCAGGAGTTTGAGACCAGCCTGGGCAACATGGTGAACCCCCCCTGTCTATAAAAATACAAAAATTAGCCGGGTGTGGCAGCGCACCCTGTAGTCTCAACTCTCAGGAGGCTGAGGTGGAAGGATTGCTTGAGCCTAGGAGCTTGAGGCTGCAGTGAGCTGAGATTGTGTCACTGCACTCCAGCCTGCAAGACAGAGCAAGACCTTGTCTCAAAAAAAAAAAAAAAAATTCTGAGAACCAGTTTGCCAGCACATCACTGCCCTACACTGTGCTGGAGGTGTTACATAACTTGGAATATAAGCCACTTTACCTTTGCAGTGAATTCCACTTAATTGAGTTCAGAAAAAAGGAGGCAACAGACTGCACTACATCAAATAGGTCAAAATAGCCAATAGACATGGAAAGGTATTCTACATCATTAATCATCAGGAAAATAAAAATTAACACCACAGTGAAATACCACTACACTCCCACCACAATGGCAAATGTTAAAAACTGTCAATGCCAAGTGCTGGGAAGGATGTAATCAGAATCCTCATATGCGGCTGGTGGGAGAGTAAATGGGCACAACCACCCTGGAAAACTTCGGCAGGGTCTACTAAAGCCAAACATCCATATATTCCATCACCCAGTAATTTCACTCTGGGGTATTTACCCTATAAAAATAAATGCAATGCTCACCAAAAGAAATATACAGGAATGCTCATGGAAACTTTATTCATCATAGTTCCTAACCAGAAATTACCCAAATGTAACTTGGAGACCTCATCAGGAGAATGGAAAACCCAACTGTGATATATTCATACAATGGAATACTACACAGAAATGAAAATAAAGACAGTATCACCACATGGGATAACATGAATGCATCTCACAGATATACATCAAGTTAAAGAATACTACAGTCAGGTAAGGTGGCTCATGCCTGTAATCCCAGCACACTTGGAAGCTGAGGCCAGAGGATCACTTGAGGCCAGCAGTTTGAGACCAGCCTGGGCAACATAGGGAAACCCCATCTCTACAAAAAATTTTTAAAAATTAGCCAGTGTGGTGGTGCATACCTGTAGTCCCAGCTACTTGGGAGGCTGAGGTGGGAGGATTGCTTGAGCCCAGGAGTTTGAAGCTGCAATGAACTGTGATTGTGCCACTGCACTCCAGCCTAGGTGACAGAGTGAGACCCTGTCTCGAAAACAAGAAAAGAAAATGTACTATATGGTTTCATTTGTATATCATTTCACAACTCATCAGTGATTTGGTAGAAGTTAGAATGGGGTTCCCTCTCGGGGTGCAGGTATACTGGAAAGGGAGATGAGGAAACTTTCTGCAGTGCTGAGAACGTTCTATATCTTGATCTGGATGATGGTTATGGGGATGTATATCCATTTAAAATGTACATTTAAGATTAATGCACTCTATTGTATGTTCCCCTCAATAACAATTCAATTTAAATGTTTTGCACTCTCCCTGGAAGAAAACACCTTCAGCCTGGTCCTCAGTGAAATTCCCATAGGTCCAACTGAAAATAAAAATAAAATTCAAAGCATCCAAGAGACATGCCACCCTGAGCAAAACAGAAGAAACAGCAAACAACAAAGTCAGATCCCCAAAGACTTCAGATATTGGTATTGTAGGATTCAAAATGTAAAATACAGTAAATATATTCCATGTGTTTACAGACAGAATAGAGGAGCTTGAAACAATGAATATGCAGTGAGGGATGCTACAGAAAGAACAGGCAGGTTTGAAAAAGAACCAAGCCAAACTTCCAGAAATAAAAAATATACAATAATTAGAATTTTTAACTCTTAGAAGTGTTAAACAACAGGTTGTTAACCTCAGCTGAAGAGAAAAAAAATGTGACTTGGAATCTGAAGAAATTGTCCAGAATACAGCAGAAAGAAATGGAGGGAAAACTAAGACAGACACAAAGGATAGATGAAAAAGGTCTGACAACCTCTACTTCGAGTTCCAAGAAGAGATAATTGAGAGAATGGGCGAAAGGTAGCATTCAAAGAACTTTCCAGAACTGATGAAAGACATGAACCCTCAGATTCAGGAGTCAAAATGAACCCTAAGGGAGATAAATTTAAAAAACAAACAACAGGTCGGACGCAGTGGCTCACATCTATAATCCCAGCACTTTGGGAGGCAGAGGCAGGCATTTTACTTGAGGTCAGAAGTTCGAAACCAGCCTGGCCAACATGGTGAAACCCCGTCTCTACTAAAAATACAAAAATTAGCTGGGCATGGTGGCACGTGCCTGTAGACCCAGCTACTCAGGAAGCTGAGGCAGGAGAATCGCTTGAACCTCAGAAGCAGAGGCTGCAGTGAGCCGAGGTCGCCACTGCACTCCAGCCTGGGCGACAGAACAAGACTCCATCTCAAAAAAGAAAAAAACAAAACAAAACAAAACAAAAAACAATAAAACGACACTATATATCCAGTGAAGAGCCCTTTCCAGCCCCAGGCAGACTTTATGGGGTGCAGAACCTAAGCCCTCTAGCTGACCCTGAGGAGAGCCATCTGCTCCTTCAACTTAAAACACTTGTGAGGCCATATATTGGGAATCTCAAGCCCAAAGTGGTAAATTTGCCCAATAACGGGGCCCTTGGTTCACTGTCTTCAGGCCTCCTCTGTGGTAGCCCCACCGTCCCAGAACTCAATAGAAGCCGGGTGGGGCTCAGCCTCCCTCTCTGGTCTCTGTACTTCCAGACTTTTCTTTTCCTGTTCAACCATCACACAGCAGCAGGAGCGATTTATTGAAAACACAACTCTGACCCTACCTCTCCTCTGCCTAATCCTCTCCACGGCTGCCCGCCACCTGCAGAATAGAGCCCAAGATCCCCTGGCTTGGTACCATAGGCCCTTTCAGATCAGCCCCGATGACACCTCCAGACTTATGTCCCTCCACTCCTGCCCTCCCACCCTGCTCTCCATTCTCTCCACACCCTGTGATCTTTCATCTCTCTGCATAACGTGCTGTTCCCTCCGCCTGGTGCGCCCTTCTCCTTCTTGAGTGTCTTGAGAATTTATGCTCATAAGCTTTAAGATTTTGTTTAAATGTCACACACTCACAAAGGCCTCCCTGCTGCTCTTTTTGCCCTCCTCACAGCAGTCATTTGCCCACAGTGCTTCTCCAGCTTGAATTTTTTATACTACACCATCATGGTCTGTTTATGTGTCTGTGCCACTGAACGTGCCATGCACTGTGAGTATATTGAGGGCAGGGACCAGGTCCTACTGTATCTGTGCTGCTGGGAGCCAGCCAGAGCACATCACAGAGAGGTGGGTCCCATGCCATCTAAAAGGTAGGAAAGTCAGCATGAACCATGAACAGTTAAAATTACCCTGTAAAATCCAATAAACTGCCCCAGAAATGCAGCTACGTGGTTTTGCTCTCACCCCAACCCCGCAATTAGTAACATGGCTCACCTCATACTCCTTCTGGGCCACACACCCATTGTACAAAAATGGCACGAAAAGTCAACTGTGCTTTTAAAATTCGTTTTCTGTCTTTCTTTATTGCTAAGAATATAATTGAACTCATGTAAATTAAATGTGCATATGGTTAACTGTACTACTGAATAAATGAAAAAAAACAGATGAATGGGAGAGTGGATGGGAAGATAGATTTATAGGTGGGTACATGCCTGAATAACAGTAAGAATCATACTAATGTTAATAAAAATTGATAATATTTATCGAGCTCTTTTTTATTTATTTTTATTTATTTACTTATTTATTTTTGAGACGGAGTCTCGATCTGTCGCCCAAACTGGAGTGCAGTGGCATGATCTCGGCTCACTGCAAGCTCCGCCTCCCGGGTTCACTCCATTCTCCTGCCTCAGCCTCCCGAGTAGCTGGGACTACAGGTGCCAGCCACCATGCCCAGCTAATTTTTTTGTATTTTTGGTAGAGACGGGGTTTCACTGTGTTAGCCAGGATGGTCTCGATCTCCTGACCTTGTGATCTGCCCACCTTGGCCTCCCAAAGTGCTGGGATTACAGGCGTGAGCCACCGTGCCAAGCCTATCGAGCTCTTAATATGTGCTGGGGACTTTACATTTATCAATTCATTGACTCCTCAAACAATCCCATGAGGTTTATATTACGATCCCCATTTTACAGATGAGGAAACTGAGTCATAGTGAAAGTGAATAAGATACATGGGTGGGTAGAATAAATGGATGGATGAAAGGATAGATGGATGGATAAATGGATAGATGGGTGATGGATGAATAGGTGGATGAATGGATGGATAGGTGGGTGGGTGGATGGAGGATGAATGGATAGGTGGGTAGATGGGTAGATGGATGGATGGATGGATGGATGTGTGGATTGATGAATAGATAGATGGGAGACCAGGTGGCCAGACTGATGGAGGGGTAGTAGGTAAATAAATAAAACAATGCTTGTTCCTCTGCGTCCAGCTGAACCTCTGCCTTGGTATCTCTGGCCTTGTTGCCTGGATCTCAGAAGTCAACCTCAATCCAAACTGCTCTCCCTGTCATCCATTCAGACTGGCTCTCATTCAATGCTGGCTGCCCCTCCACCCTTGAGGCAACAACTCACACCTGGGTAGCCAATTCCTCCCTACTGTTTTCGGTAGTTAATTATGTGGCCAAAGATGTCCTTAACAGTATCTCCAATTCCATATGTTATCCCATTGAGAGGTGAGGTCTGTGTCCCCCTCTCTGTAATTTGGGTGGACTTGTGACTCTTGCAGAAGTGATGCAAGGCTATGTGATTTCCAAAGTTAGGTCATAAAAGCGATTCAACTTCTACTTGGCTCTTTTGGGAAGAGAGCCCTTAGAACCCAGCTTGCCCTTAGAACTCAGCTGCCATACTGGGAGGAAGCCCAAACTAGCCCACAGGAAGAGACAGCACACAGGTAGCTGTTTCGGCTGACAGCCCAGCTGAGGTCCTACCTGACAGCCAGCATCAATCACCAGACACGTGGGTGATGATCCTCAGATGATTCCAGCTGCCAGCTGTCATGGTGCCGCCAGCTACTGAATCTTCCTAGGTGAGACACGAGGCATCATGGAGCTCACACCCCCACTGTGCCTTGTCCAAATTCTTGACCCACAGAGTCTGTAAACGTAGCAAAATTGTTAGTTTAAGCCACTAAGATTTAGACTGACTTTTTTTTTTTCCTGTAATAATAACAGGAACATCCTCCCATTAGCAGCCAGGCTCTGCCTTGACTACCTTTGGGGAGGTGGTTGGGAGGGTCTGGGCTTTGCTGAACCATGTATCAGTCCACATGGGAGGCCCACTGGGCACAGGGAGCAGGGCCTCTCCCGAGCCTCCCTTCCCTGACTCTTCAGGGTGAAATGAGGTCAGCTTCCAGGTGTCCTGGATTCCCTACAGACAGGGGTCACAGACCAGGCTTAGGCCCCCTGTAGATGAGGCAGGGCCTCGGAGCGGGAGCTTGACCCCAGCAAACGCTTGTTCTAGCTCCATCTGAGCCTGGCCTGGTTTGCTTCCAGGTTTTGTTCTTTTAAAAACTGGTTCACTCAGTGGGTATTTAAGACAAAAGCCACAGACCGTGGTCTGATGCGAGGGAAAAAATAGTATGGGGGGTTGGGAATCCGACAGATCTAGGTTGAAGCCCAGCTCTGCCACTTCCCAGCCATGTGGTCTTGTGAGTTGCATCAACTTTCAGGGCCTCTTCTCTGTGTGGGGATAAGAATAGCTACCTACCCCCATAACGGATTTGTTGTGATAAGAAATGAGATTCCAGCCTGGGCAACATGGTGAAACCCCATCTCTACAAAAAATACAAAAATTAGCTGGATGTGGTGGTGCGTGCCTGTAGTCTCAGCTACTTGGGAGGCTGAGGTGGGAGGACTGCTTGAGCCCAGGAGATTGAGGCTACAGTGAGCTATGATTGCACCACTGCACTCCAGCCTGGGCAACAGAGCAAGACCCTGTCTCAAAAAAACAAAACAAGGCTGGACACAATGGCTCACACCTATAATCCCAGCACTTTGGGAGGCCGAGGTGGGCAGATCACCTGAGGCCAGGAGTTCAAGACCAGCCTGGCCAACATGGTGAAACCCCGCCTCTACTAAAAATACAAAAATTAGCCGGGTATGGTGGTACACATCTATAATCCCAGCTACTTGGGAGACTGAGGCATGAGAATCGCTTGAACCTGGGAGGTGGAGGTTGCAGTGAGCTGAGATCGCACCACTGCACTCCAGCCTGGGTGACAGAGCGAGACTCCATCTCAAAATAAATAAATAAATAAACAAAACAAAACAAAACAAAAACAAGCAAACAAAAGGGAATGAGATAAACTATGGAAAGCACCCTACTCAGTGCCTTGCACACAGTAGTAGGAGCTTAATAAATGTCAGATGTTACCTTGTCTCCTTTCTGAGTAGTGTGATGATAGCCTATCTCTTTCATCCACAAGGCCTAACACGGTGCCTTATATGCCATAAGTGCTCAATAAATGCCTTAAATGAATGGATGAATTTACCAGAGTCCTCTGAAGTTCTTCACTCATCTCTAACCTTGATCCATGTGTTGATATGACTCTCTTCCCCAGTAGACTCAGACCTCCCCAGGGACAAGGATGGTTGCTATCTCATTCACCTGTTTTATCCTCAGCATACAGTAGGTGCTTAATTGGTGACTACCAAACAAATCAGGTGCCTCCCTGCTTCAGCACAGAGTCCTCAGTTCAGGATCTGCACCTGCTCCTGCGAAGCATTGAGGGGAGGCTTTCGATTTATCGTCAGCCTCTATTGACCAGAACCATCTGCTGACCACTGCTCCCCCGACCCTGACCCGACCAAGCCCCAGGTGCCCTCAGAGCTCATATGATGGATGCCCTCCCAGGAGTATCCACAGGTTTGGACACCTCTCAAAAATTCCTGCAGGACAATAAAGCACCTATAATTTTGGAGTGTGTCTTAGGTTGGGTTCCCCCAAGTGCAGATCCTGGGATGAGGAGTTGGGTGCAAGTAGTTTACTTGGAACAAGGGGAACGAGCCAGGAAAGGGAGGGAAGTGGAGACAGGAGCTGCCGCTGTGGGTGACTGTCTCATTGAGGTGCAAGGAAGTCCTTCTTGGCCGTCCCCCAGGCCCCTTGCTCGAGGGCAGCTCCGGGGGAATCGAGTCTTGGTACTTCTAGAGAAGTGGGCTCTGTGCAGAGTCTCGGGCTGAGAGTCACAGGGAGCCCTGGCAGGCACCTCTGGGAATGTGGGCAGGACACAGCAGCCTGTGCTACAATGTGATGTCCACAGGTGAGGGACAGCCAACAGTCATCGTTCCTCAGGGGCTCGAGGCAAGAGAGGCTCTGTGAACAACAGACAGCTCTGGTCCTTCACTGTCCACTCAAGAATGTAGGTGCATGGGGCCACACTGTCTCAGGGATAACTTTGAATCTGCTCTAATTGATCGTATTTAAAGTAACTCATTTGGGAATCTGGGACTTTAACAGTTATTTGTGTAAGAAACCTCAGTTCCCAGTGGAGGGGGTGGAAACCACTGTGCCACGGAGATAATGATGATCCCCAAATGCCCTCTCGCTCTTCAAAGACAGATTCCTTAGATCTAATCTGCAGCCAGTGGGCTGCAGGTTCCAGCCCCTCTGGTCTTGCTGAAAATCCAGAGCCTCCCAAATTACAAGAGCAAGGAGTTCTTCCAGGGCCTCCCAGGCTGTAGCTCCTTGGTTGGCCCAGAGGTTTCTGCAGCTGTCTCTAGATGTTCCCTCCAGAAGCCAGGTCTCTGCCTCACCTCTTAGCGGCCACCTATGAATTGAGGCTCCTTGACTATTTCTAGACTTTTTTCTTTTCTTTCTTTCTTTCTTTTTCTTTCTTTCTTTCTTTCTTTCTTTCTTTCTTTCTTTCTTTCTTTTCTTTCTCTCTTTCTTTCTTTTCCTTTTCTTTTCTTTCTTCTCCTTCTCCTTTTCCTTCTCATCACCACACATGGCTAATTTTTGTATTTTTAGTAGAGACTGGGCTTCACCATGTTGCCCAGGCTGGTCTCCAACTCCTAGCCTTAAATGAACCACCCACCTCTGCCTCCCAAAGTGCTGGGATTACAAGCATGAGCCACCACGCCCGGCCTAGATTTTTTCTATATTAATTTAAGGAAGAACCACCTCTGAGTAACAGAGTTGGTACATAACAGTGATAATAACAAAGATAATAATATTAATACTTGTCTCCTTGAATCCTTTTTAGAGCAAGGCAGAACATAGAGAAAGCAAGGCAGAACATAGAGAAAATAGTATCTAATGTTTTAGCATTTTGCAGCTTACGAAAGGCTGTCTCACATACTAGTAATTTATTGAACACTATGAAATTAACAAGACAGACAGTCCCTATCCTCATGGAGCCCATATTCTGGTAAGAAAGATGGACAAGAGAGAAGCAGTTACAGTGAAGTGTAAGTAGCAGCATTTGATGAGTATTTGCCAAGCACCAAGCACTGTGCTAAGTTCTTTATGTGAACTGCCTTATTCAATCCTTAAGCAATGCTTTGAAGTGATAGGGTCTTGTCCCCAATATACAAATGGAGAAACTGAGGCACAGAGAAGGTAAGCAATCTGCCTGAGAGCACACAGCTGGCAAGAGAATTTCGTACCCACGATTCTCTGATTCCAAAACCCAAGGATCCAGGCTGGCTCATCCCTTGGCTCGCTACACCTCAGTTTCTCCATCTGTAAAATGCGAGTAAATAATAATACCCCGCCTGGTCCCGCCCATGGCATGTCATGAGGATTAACCAAGACAGTGACAGAAACACTGTAAATGGCCAAGAGTAAGCTGCTGTTTTTCTCACTCCTGGCTGAGGCTCTGGCCTTTCGTTCCTGCTCCTCACCCCTGAAGGCCATCTGTTCATGGCATGGGCTGCAGCCACCCGGCAGGCCTCCCGGTTCCCAGGGAAATCCCGGTCTGCCCTCACCAGCTCTCTAATGACAACATGGTTCCGTGGCGTCCGTGCTGATTTAATTATAGATTAATCAGGAGACCCAGGCAGGAGCTCTTCTCTTTTCCCCAGCAAGCTGGAATGTGACCCCTGTGTGCACACACACATGTGAGGGACAGAGGTAAGGCCCTTCTGGCTCCCACCTTGGGGGATGGCTGATGTAAGTTGGGACCCCCTCACCTGGGGCTCAGGAATCTCCCAGCCTCCACCTGGCTGACCTCTCCCAACCTGCGTTCCCATCACCAGCCTTTGCCTTTGCTGTCCCTTAGACCCCAAATATCCATCTTACTCCATCCAATCTTGTTACAGCCACATTTTCAAGGTTCGGCCTAAATGCTGCCTCCTACAGGAAACCTTCCCTGATGCCCAGCTGCGATGATTTCCTCCCCTTCTGAACCCCCAGGCAATTGATCTGGCCTCATCTGAAGGCCCTGACCACTCCGTAGCCTGGACTCACCTCTCTGATGGGATGTAGTCCCCCTGAGGACAGGGCGATGTCCCCAGAGCCCAGCATGGGCTTGGCAACAGTAAAATAACAGAATGAATAATTGAAGGGAGTGATCAACCTAGAAGTTCCCAAGGGCCAGAAGAACCTGGAGTCTAGAGCCCTGCCTCCTTCCAGAGCCCCAGCCTCCCTGCTGGCCCCTGGTGGGGGCTGCACACCCTGGACGATCCCAGGGGCCCTTCCTGAGAGACCAGACTGCATCCTCTGGTCCCTCCTGCCTTTTGGGAACTGCCCTCCTGACCCTCACTTGAGGGGAGGAGCTCGTATCACAGTCAGCAAAGGCTGGACAGAAATAGCCCACAGCCTCATCACCAGAGGAGACTCATGCCCCAGCCCACCACCCCGTTTCTCCAGGAACCAGAGCCACGATGAACCACTGCTCAGCAGGAACGACAATGACAACAGGGAGCTACACTGAATACCCACTGTGATCATTTATGTGTATTCTCTTAATCTTCCAGTGACCCAGGGCAGGGGACATTATTTTCCCCTTTTGCAGATGAGTAAACTGAGAAGTGAAGTGATTTTATCAGCAATGGCAGAGAAAGATGTTAGCACAGTTTGGCTCCAGAGCCTCCACCTAGGGACACCCCCCACCCCCTACCCACAGGTGCTGTACCCTACAACCGCTCTCTGGCTGCAGCCTGGGCCCTTGACCTCTGACCCCCGGTTGCCCTTGCAGCAGGTGGGACCCGGGGACCAGGCAGCGCACTGCCCACTATTGCCCGGCATTCTGGGGGCGGCATGAATGAACCGACTCATGAATATGCAGGCAGGCCGGGCTGCGGAGCGCTCTCAGCTAAATCTGATCACAATGCGGGATAAATTAAGCGGCAGGATAAATGCATTAAAAATAACGGTCGGAGGAACAGGCTGTTCAAGGAGGGGTCTGGGGAGGAGGGGAGAGGCACAGTGGGGGAAGTTCCACCAGGCACTGCCAGCCGCTCCCAAACAGCCCCAAATGAAGTTCCCTTCCGTGGGGGAGGACCCTCTCCCCATCTCCACCCTCCCCTGGTTCCTATGGAAACGCAGAGCAAGTTTAGGAGGGAAAATGCCTAGAGATGAGGGAAATGGGGAGGGACTAAGAATAGCAGCTGGGCTGGGGCTGGGGCTGGGGACAGGTGCAGACAGGGTCTCTTTCCTGACACGGGTGAGGAGAGGACCTGGGCCAGGCCAGGCTCCCCACACCCCCGCAGGCTTCCAGTAGCATCAGGAGAGGGGCAGTGGGGGAGAGAACCACGTTCTGCCAGCCCCAGGGTCGAATACAGATGGTGTCCCTGGGTAATGGCAGCAATAATAACAGCAGCTACGTCTCCATGGAGCGTTTGTTCAGGGCCCCACAAAGGGAGGCAGGCACTGGGGAATCTCTCTTTCTACAGGCAGAGAAGTGCAGCCCAGAGGTATGCGGCGACTCGCCCAGCAACACACAGCTGGGACCGGACAGGGCAGCCTGGCTCCAGACCTCTCTCTTGACTGCTGCAGGCCCGCTGTGAGTCCCAGCACCAGCTACACAGGGCAGAGCTTGTTCAGCAAACTTTTTTATTTTTGAGATGGGGTCTCAATGTGTGGTCTCAAACTTCTGGGCTCAAGTGATCCTCCTGCCTCAGCCTCCTGTGTAGCTGGGATTACAGGCATATGCCACCAAGCCTGGCCCTTGTTCAGCAAATCTTTATTGAGCAGCTACTATATTGCAGGCACTTGTGTAGGCACTGGGGCCACAGTGGGCAGGAGCGTGTTCTTACTGGATGGAGACTGGGTGGCTTCCAGACTTCCTCTCTCCAGTCCAGACAGGGGGTGGGTCGGGAGCTCAGACCAAGGAAAGAAAGGTTCTGGGAAGCCGAGGATGGCTTCTCAGAGCTTGGAGGACAGAAAGCCTGATTAGACTTTAGCTGGGTGGGACAATCACAGGCTCCAAATCCAGCTCTGCCACCTGCTGGTTGTGAGATCTTGGGCCAGTTACTCAACCTCTGCACCTTGTTTCCTCCATCTATAAAATGGGGATGATGACGGCACCCACCTCCTATGACCATAAGTAAGGTACCAGCTCGACAGTTCCAGGCGCATACTGATCGCACTTAAATGTCAACTCATCACAGTATTTTGTGTTTTTTGTTTTTTTTGTTTGCTTGTTTGTTTGAGATGGAATCTCGTTCTGTCTCCCAGGCTGGAGGGCAGTGGCACGATCTCGGCTCACTGCAACCTCTGCCTCCCGGGTTCAAGTGATTCTCCTACCTCAGTCTCCTGTGGAGCTGGGATTACAGGAGTGCGCCACCATGCCTGGCTAATTTTCGTATTTTTTATAGAGACGGAGTTTTGCCATGTTGGCCAAGCTGGTCTCGAACTCCTGACCTCAGTGATCCGCCCATCTCAGCCTCCCACAGTGCTGGGATTACAGGTGTGAGCCACCATGCCCGGCCAGCTCTTCACAGTTTTATGATATTACTGTTCAGGCAAGAGCCCTGCTCTCCACTCCACCCAACCCCCACCTGAAGGAGCCAAGGGTGTGCTTCTATTCTTTCTCCAAGACCCCCGACCTCAGGCTCCCAGAAGCTGTCCCCTGGGTGAAAGGGGGTGGCCTACAGGCTCACAGGTCATTGCCCACCCAGCCTCCCCCAGTCACATCTGGGTGCTGGGTGGGTGTTTGTGAACGAAGCACACCATGGCCCACCCATCTCTCCTCCGTTCCCAGCAGGCCCAGAGTGCAGAGGTGGGGAAGGAAAGAGAGGAGAGGCCACGGAGAGGTGAATCCCACCTGAATCAAGTGACAAAAAGGGAACTGGGGAGGGGGAGGGTGATGAACAGAGAGACTTTGCTCAAAGAGATGTCTCCTCGGCAGCTGCCCATAGTGTCGAAGCACATGGCCTGGGCACTGTGCTGCACTGGGTTTGCACAGGACAGCCCTGATGCTTTCCCTCATCTCACAAGGATGGGCTCACTTGTGCTCTAGAGGGGATTAATAAATACGGGAATTCAATGCCAGGCAAGAGTGGAAAGAAGCTGAAATGGCTGAACCTAATGTGGGACCCTCCTCTCTTAGCTGGCGCCCAGACCTGCATGGCTGTCTTGTTGTCAGACGTGCCTGCACGCACTTTTTAGAACCGGGATTGTGGTCCTGAGCTGCCTGAAAACCTGCTCTCCCAGCTTGAAGGTCTGTTGCAGCCTCTTACTATTATTGTTATTTTAATTTTTGAGACTTGGTCTCTGTCACCCAGGCTGGAGTGCAGTGGCGCGATCACGGCTCATTGCAACCTTTAACTCCAGGCTCAAGCGATCCTCCCACTTCAGTCTCCCGAGTAGCTGGAACTACAGGCACGCACCACCACACCCAGCTAATTTTTTAAAATTTTTTTGTAGAGACAGGGTCTCACTGTGTTGCCTAAGCTGGTCTCAAACTCCTGGCCTCAGGCAATCCGCCTGCCTTGGCCTCCCAAAGTGCTGGGATTACAGACCTGAGCCACCTAGCCTGGCTTGCAGCCACTGCTGAGCTGACCACAGGGAAGGTCTTCACTTAAACCTGTGCTGGTCAATCAGGAGACCTGGATGGCATGGCTTCCTCTTTTGGGTGGTGGCCTCTCCTCCCTTCTCTGTTTCTTCCTTTCTCTCTCCCTCCCTCGCCCGTTCCCTCCCTCTCTTTCTGGTTAGTTCTCAGCTCACCTTTTCCTCAGATGGATCTTTCCTTTCCCAACTCTGAATGGAGTGAGATCGCAGAGAGCAGAGCAGCGCAGTGAAGGATGGAGAGAGACAAGACGGTGTCCAGGCCGGCCTGGCCGTCAGCACCCTCGGAAGCTCTGGGCAGGCCCTCCCTGTCCTTCTGCGGGCTTGTTCTCCTTGTTGCCTTCTGCAGGCTCCAGGCCCTTCCTGCTCTGGGCCTTGTCCTGTGGGTTGGCCCCGCATTCTGTCCTCTCCAGGCTGACCCTCCATGCACCTCTGAGACCCACCGCCCGGGCTCACACCTGCCCAGTCTCGAGGCTGCCTGCCCTGGCTGCATCTCTCCCCTCCTCAGAACAATGAGGACTTTGTAACACGTCACATTCATTCTCCCTCTGTGCATGGTCTCAGGTGAGTGGGATCTGGAGACAGGAAGAGGGCACGTGAGGTATCGGGTATGCAGGAAGTAGGCTGGAGAGAGCCAGCAGGAACCAGCTTGTGTGCTCCTGGCTTCCGGGGGGGCTAATTTTGATCCCGGCTTCCTGGGCACAGAGGAGGCTTCCTGGGCAAAGGCCCCATTCAAGGCCAAGGCCTTTCTCTAAGCAATCAGCCTGGAAAGCAGGAAATGCAGCACAAGCTCCTGCCTGGTTCTACAGATTCTGGGCCCTTCCCGTAGACGTCTGTGGAACTCGGTGGAGCCTGCGTGCTGGTTTGCTGTTTAGACTTCCAGTCAGAAACGATGTGATATCAACAGCAAAAACAAACAAAAAACAAAAACCAACCAACAAACAACAACAAAAACCCTTGACCCAGCAATTCTACTACCACAGAGCCTACGAACGCATATGGACAAGAAGCAAAGCTGCTTTTCCAAGCATGTTCATTACAGAGCTATTTATACTGGAGCAAAACCAGAAACCTAGTTCCCCAAAACAGGAGAGTGGTTATACCAAGGTATAAACACAGAATGAAATATGCTGTGGCAGATAAAAGTGATGCCGTGGGCCGGGTGTGGCGACTCACGCCTGTAATCCCAACATTTTGAGAGGCCAAAGTGGGAGGATTGCTTGAGGCTAGGAGTTCAAGACCAGCCTGGGCAACATAGAAAGACTTTATCCCTACAATTTTTTTTGTTGTTGTTAATTAGCCGGGTGTGATGATATCTTCCTGTAGTCCCAGCTACTCTGGAGGCTGAGGTGGGTGGATCGTATGAGCCCAGGAGTTCAAGGCTGCAGCGAGCTATGATTAAGTCACTGCACTTCAGTCTGGGTGACACAGCGAGACTCTGTCTCTAAAAAAAAAAAAAAAAAAGAAAGAAAGTGACACTGTGAATGTAAATTTATGTATTGACATGAACAAATGATCAGTTTTGGCCAGGTGCGGTGACTCACGCCTGTAATCCCAGCACTTTGGGAGGCCGAAGTGGGTGGAAAACAAGATCAGGAGATCGAGACCATCCTGGCTAGCACGGTGAAACCCCGTCTCTACTAAAAATACAAAAAATTAGCGGAGCCTGATGGCGGGTCCCTGTAGTCCCAGCTACTCAGGAGGCTGAGGCAGGAGAATGGCATGAACCCATGAGGCGGAGGTTGCAGTGAGCCGAGATTGCGCCACTGCACTCTGGCCTGAGCGACAGAGCGAGACTCTGTCTCAAAAAAAAAAAAAAAAAAAAAGAAAGAAACAAATGATCAGTTTTACAAAACAGCCTGTATAGTATAATCCCATTATATGCGTGCACACACATACAAAAAAGTCTAGATGCTTTCCAGCAAAATTCTTAACCATATCTTGGTAGTAAGATTTGGGGAAAGTTATGATTTTTTTCTCTTATTTTTCTTTATCTATATTTTCTAATTTTTATTTATTACCTAATTATTACACATTCATTATAGGAAGGGAGGATAGTATTATAATTTTGCATTTTATCTTTTTAAAAAAGTATAAACCCTTTGGCCAGTAATTCCAATTCCAGGAAGGTGTCCTAAGGAAATAACTAGGTTGATTACAAAGAGGTAACTACAAGAATAAACCATGTACTGTTTCTCACAGGGGAGAAATGGACACAAGCTAAAACGCTGGGCATTGGGGATTGGTTGAGCAAAGCGTGGTGTAGTCATATGCAAGGTGCCATGCAGCCACTAAAAATCATGCTGTGGAAGTGCAAATGTTGACTAGAAAGATGCTTGTGAATATATGATTGGAAGAAAAGAACAGGACTTAGAACATTATGTACTGAATCAGCCCCTCTGTCTGTAATATGTGCTGAGTCCTAAGACTGAAAGGATATATGCTTAATTGTTAATAGTTGTTTCATTTAGAGGAGCTGATTACAGGTGATCTTAATTTTCTTCTTTATACTTTCCTGATTATTTGATGATACATATGTATTATTACATAATTTTAAAAATTAATTCTTTAAGAAGGAAAAATAACCTATTCCAAGAGGTCAGGCAGTGAGAGGTGAAAGCTGGGCCCCCTGGTCCTGGCAGCTGGGGGCCATGGAAGCACCTAAGGAGGGGGTTGGGGTTGGGGGCAGCTGGTCCAACACCAATGTGGCGTCTGTCTGCACCTGCACTGGCTAAGGAAGCCCCCCCCCCGCCCCCCCCCCCCACCAGCTCCCTGCAGGCCTGCTCTCTGCCATTCATCCTCTGGAATTAGCTTGCAGAGACCATTTTAGGAAGCCCGTGGGCGGCTGGAAGCAGCTTGTGAGCAGAGCTGGAACCGGCTGAGAGCTGCAGAGAGAGAGAGTGCCCAGAGGAAGACAGGCAGAAAATAAGGGGAAGCCAGCACCTTTTTCCCATTTTTCTTTTTGGTTTGATTTTTCGAAAACAGTTCTCCAGAAAATCCTCACTTTGGCCCAAATGTTTCTTCTTCTGCCTTCCTTCCTCCAGGCCTCCATAGAGGGGCTGAATCTAAACTTGCTATGAAGCCGGGACCAGGGGTCTGGTCTCAACACTTCCACTAACTCACTGTGCAACCATGCTCAGTGGCTCACCCTCTCTGGGCCTCAGTTCCCAATTTCTGTCCAACTGGTCTGGAATGGACTCAAAGTTCTTTGAGGCTCCATGCTTCTGGGATTCCGTTTTAGGAGCAAGACAGCTGGACTAGATGTCTCCAAGGCCTCTGTACAGCTCTGACATTCGAGATTTGTGCTTCAAGATCTTTGAGAGTCTAAAACACACTGGCAAGAGCCTCTGTTTTTTGCAGCTGTGGTCTGGAATGCCATGGTATTAAATTGCGAATATTCCAGTCTAAGTTCTAGCTGAGTGGCTGCTTATTGTTTAAGACTACCTAGCTGAGCCCTACCTTTGCCAGGGGAATGGGGTTCTCTTTGCCAGTCTGGACATGGAGGCTTACATCCTGGGTCCCCACAAGTAAAGTTCAGACCCCAGGTAGCCCCTTGAAGTAGACATGAAAATAATAGCTCACGAATATGGTGCACTCACCAAATGCCAGGCTGCAATGGGTGAGTGGCCATTTGCCAATGGAGCCCCCGCCCTGGGGTGACAGAAACAGTCTCTGTTTACTGAACGTCTAGGATATTCCAGGCCTGGGGGCTACAGAGATCATAGGACTCAGGGGGTTGGCACTATGTTATGCCTGTTTTCCAGATGAGGACGCTGAAGCTCAGCGAGGTCCAGTGACTTGCCCAGGTCACAGAGCCAGAAGGTGGGAAAGCTGAGACCAGAGCCAGATCAGCTGACCCCAGGGCCCTGTGGAACTACTCTGTTGCCTCTGGGCAGCCCCTGGCCCTGCAGACCTCCAATGGGCGGGGCAGGCCATAGCTTCCAGATGATCAGGACTCCCACGGCAAGGAGGCTGATCCAGGGCACCCACCCGGCCGGCCTTCCTTCCCCAGCCAGGGTGGCCATGCTGGAGGTGGAGTTGGTTTGCAAGTAGGTAGGGCCTGTGTTTGTGCCCGCGTGCACGTGGGTGTCATCTGTGTGGCTCCGGGAGGGTGTGTATCTGTGTCTCCGTGTGGGCGTCTCTGCACGACGCACACGCATCTGTGTGTGAGCGCTCAGATGTGGGTGCTGGTTGTGTCTGCCTGTGTGTGTGCTGCCGTGTCTCTCCTGGAGCATGCGAGAGAGACAGAGTGCGATCCGTGGAGCCTGTGGGAGGGGAGCTGGGTGGGGACAGTTATCTGCGTGCTCCCTGCTGCCCTCCTTTGGAGCTCCATGGCCTTGGGCCCCTGAAAAGCTGCCTGCCCCCGTGGGTGTCCTGACATTTTGCCAAGTTGAACCTGCAACCCCCAGCTCCCACACCTACCCAGTGGCAGGACCCACCACCCAGGACCATTGTGGGAACCTCTTGGGCCAGATGGGGGGCTCATATCAGCCTTGGCCTTGGTCCTTGGAGGACAGGTGAAGGCCCTGCAGAAAGGCAGCTGGGTTGCAGCATCCCTGCTCCTGAGCCCAGCTGTGGGTTGCAAACAACTCGCCTTCAGCCTGGGACTCCCCTTCCTCCACCCTGAATCAGGCCTGCGAAGGCCTGTGTCTGTCTTAGGGGGTGGACTGGGAAGAAAAACCCTAGAAAGGAGATTCGTGGTCTAAGAACTGGAAGGGAACCTCACAGTCATTTAATGAGGCCGCTGTCCTAATGGATGTGTGTTAGCCCCATTGGCTGCAGGTTTTACTTCCAAATCTCTGGGAACAGAAAACTCACCTCTTAAAAAAAGCCCATTCCATTGTAGGCAGCTTTGATGGTAAGTTGTGCCTCACACTAAGGTTTTCCATCTGCCTCCCATGGCTTCACCCTATGGATCTCAGCCCTGCCTTCTGGGGGCCATAAGGCTCAACCTTGACCATTTATGCTGAGGCAGGGGGCATCAGTCCAAAGCCTTGTAGGGACCCTCAGGCTGAGAGGTAGTTTCTGAGGCCAGGTGAAGCGCTGAGAACCCTCAAAGACACAGACAGGCTGAGGTAGGGCCATTCTGCTGGGGGCCGATCTCCTGGCTGGGTAGCTGAGAGCCCCTAGGTCCCACCAGGCCAAGGATGGGGGGAGGCAGCTGACACCAAGTGTCCCATGGAAGTTTGGGGATAGCTGCCCTGGCTGGGCCTGGGTCAGGGTCTCGGGGGCAACTCTGAGCCCTGGGGAGAGTTGGGAGCCACTGCCTGAAAAGAAGGGGTGCATACGCGTGATGAATGGATGAGGGCAGGGCTGCGGCTCCACCCCCAGCACAAGATTCTGCTGGGCTGAAGGATGGCGTGAGCTAAGAGCTTGGCACACGGGTTGGGGGGTGTGGACGAGAACTGCTGTTATGATGCTGTTCATCCATCCTCCCGCTCATTCTTCTCTGTGTCAGGCCCAGGGCTGAGGGATGGTGACCTGGAAGTGAAGCCGCCCCTCACCTTCCCGACCCCCACTCCTGCCCCAGAGGATTGGGCAGGTGGGAGAGACAGACTCAGCTCTGGATGTGTCATCATAACTCAGCACGTGCCCAGAACAGTCCCAGCCCCAGAGGCACCGCAGAGTGGGCTGCAGGTATCTTTGGCTCAGTCCCCTGCTCCTGGAGGAGAGGAATGTCACCCCTACCCCTCTGGGACTGGGTGCCATAGTTTTACATTGGCATGGGGCAGAGCCAATGCCTCTGTTTTACAGAGGAGATGCCCATTTTACAGATGAAGAAACTGGGGCTCATAGACTATCAGTGACTTCCTTATTATCCTTATCATGGGCAAGGCTGGGATCTGCCACATCCCAGAATCCAAGTGTCTCCTCTACCAGCCAAAAAGGCCAACAGCAGGGTAATGTGTCCTCAGAGGACCATACTTATGGCTCAGGAAGACCTTGCACCCGGTTCCAGCAGCTCTTTCCATGAGTCACCGGGGACCCAGCTGTTTATACGGCCTCACTTGGTCTCAATTTCCTCACCTGTAACATTGGATAAGGAGGCTTCTTCTGTGCTCCTGGCCCTCCCTGGCAAGCACGCATGCCCCACCGCCCGCCCTGCCCAATCCCTGCTTCTGGAATTCGCTGGCCTCTGACACACACTTAGAAATGAGTGAGTGTGAGCAAGGCAGGGTGGCATCCTAACCACATCGAGGTAGGTCCCCTCTCCTGCCAGGTGATGGACAGAGTCCTGTGGGTTAGAACAGCTTCCTCCAGCCACAGAAAGAGTATAGTAAAGTCGAAAAGTTGCAATCCGCTGGCTTGCAAATGTGGTTTGGGTTCCCTTGCACTGTGTGTGTGTGTGTGTGTGTGTGTGTGTGTGTGTGTGTGTGTGTGTTTTAATCTGAATTTCTTTGCCAACATTTAAAAATGAGACATTTCACATAAAAGTCCAGATTTCCGGCTTCTCTTGAAAAACTGGAAGCTCTGACAAGTCTGCCTTGAATTGGTTGCCCTGGGCCGGAGCTGGGGAGCCAAGGCACACTCTCCCACAGTCCTCGCATGGGCCTCCACTCATCCATGTGTCCTGCCTGATTTTGCCCCCTCCTTGGTACAAGAATCAGGCTCTGGAGTCAGGCTGACCCTGGTTAGTCCAAGTGCGTGGCTCAATCGCAGTGTGACCATTGGGAAGTTCCTGTTTTCCTGCTGATAGAACAGGGATTCCCGTAGCACCTACTTCATAGGGACGCCGCAAGGCTGAGAACAAATGTAAAGCTACTGCGCCCATTTAACATGGCGCGTGGCCCATGGTGAGTGTCAGCAAATGCCAGCAAGGTCTTGTTCACCACCATTTTCTCATTCTCTCCCGACAGGGGCTGAAGCAGCAGCAACGATGCCCTACCCACCCCCGCTCTGGCCCAGCCCTAGAGCTCTCCCTGGGCTGCACATGCGCTTGTGTGGTGGTGGCAATCCTGTCTGGGTAACACATCCAAAACAACAGATCAATAGCCACTAAGCACTGCAATGCCATCGCAGAGGCCACAGCGCCGTCCGGGCTGCTGGGCAGTGAGTTCAAGCTTTTTCTTTTTTGAGCAGGAAACGATGCACCACGTGACCTTGGACAAGTTCTTTCCCTTCGTTTCACCAACTGCAGGATGAGACTGTGGTCTCTAAAGCCCCTTTCAGCTTTGACATCTTAGGAGTTTTACAGGGGGGCAGACAATGAAGTCCAAAGCATTGCAATGCAGGGGTGAATCAGGATTCTTTAGCAAAAACCTTTCATAATGGGGCTCAAATTAAAAGGTACTGTATTGGCTTATGTAGGAGGAAGCCTGGGGATTGCGGGATGCAGGCAAGGCTGGATCCAGGTGCTTCAGATATTTTTCTTGGCTTCTCTTGCTCTTGTCTCTCAGCTCAGCTTCCTTCTGTGTTGGGCTCATCCTCATTTCAGGTACGAGGGCTTTCTGTGACGGGGATGATGACCCCTAGTAGATCTAACTGAGAGTCCTCTAGAGCCACAGCTCTAAAAGCAAGTGGGGTCCTTTTGCGCCTTCTTGAAGAAGCATCCCAGGGAAGATGCCAGGTGGCCTAGCTAGAGTTGTGTGTCTGTCCCGGTGAGTGGAAGGATGGGGTGAGGTACTGTGATTGGCAGTCCCACCAAAGATGACAGGGAGCAGAAAAAGTTGTCCTGAAAGCAAAGGAGGCCTGACATCAGAAAAGAGGTGAACAGAAATGGACTATGAAATCTAAAATAACAGCAACCCTTATTGTAGGGGCCTTTAGTGCAAGGACAGAGAGGAGGGGGGAATCTTCCAATCAATGACCTTCCAAGTATGGACATGCAGAATCTTGAGCAGACGATTCTAGTCCCTGAGAAGCAATAAGAAAAACACTCCGCTCCACCAGACTCTGACACCCAGAGCCAGCCACGTATGTGGTTCTTCTGACTGCAAATGCCGGGAGGGGTCAGGAAGGTTTGTGAGAAGCCCTTGATGTCCAAGGAGGGGATGAGGATGGAGGTGTGAGGCAGCATGCTAGGACTTAATAGGAGAGGAAAAATCGAGGACAGATGTGAGGCATGAAAGGTGGCAGTGGTCCTGGAGCAGGTGGGGCTGAGGAAACATGATTTTGACTATGGCAAAATAAAAAATAAAAAAAAAAAACACTAAGAAAAACTGGAACAAAATATAGATTAATTACATTTCGTCTTAAGATGAGAATGGACTTTTAAGCATTAAAGCAATGGGGAAAAAATCAAAAGGAAAAAGCTCGACATACGTAATATAAAAAATAAAGCATACATTTCAAAATCAAAACATTAAAAAGCAAATGGCAAACTGGGGGAAATATTTATCATATTAATGTATTTGTGATATGATAAATACAGTTTCAAAAACATATGAGGACACTAAGAGAAAAAGGGACAAAGGACATGAATAGACAATTTCCAAAAGGGAAATGAATAATGGTGTCGTCTTCTTCATTCAAGCGGACCACAGAGAGCTCCTCTAACTAGCCCTATCCCACTCCTGCTTTCAGGCTGCTGTATTTGGAGTGACAGTGTCTCGCTTATTGATTCACAGGGCGGGCAGCTGAGGCGAGGCCTATCCAGAGGATGGTTGGTCATTGAGTCAGCCCCTCAGGGGCTTCGCTTTTGCAGCATCTTTTTTTTCTTAATTAAAAAAAAATTTTTTTTCTAGAGAAGGGGTCTCACCACGTTGCACAGGCTAGTCTCAAACTCCTGGGCTCAAGTGATCCTTCCACCTTGGCCTCCCAAAGTGCTGGGATTACACGTGTAAGCCACCATACCTGTGTGTAGCATCTCTTTCTAAAGAAAATGCCTTTTGCAAAAATCAACAGCAGTTCTGGTAGGACAGGGATGGGTGAGAGGAGGGAGGCCTTTGCTCGGGCATTCCACCCTGAGTGGCCCCTCACTGGCCCTCGTTGTCCTCAAGGAGGGCAGAGGCAGGCTCCTTCCAGATCAGAAGCAACCCCACCCGCAGGTACCACCTTGCTCTGGGCCAGGTCAGTCCGGTGTCTCCAGAGGCCCAGACGCAGACACAAAGGGTCTGGGTGGAAATATCAGCAAAGTGTCATGACCCCAGAGGCCAGTGGGTCCTGCCTGCCACCCTTGTAAGTGACTGATACTGCCAGTTGCCAGGCTGCAGCCTCGGATCCACTGGTGATGACCTTGGATTAAGTAACCATCTTTGTTGAGGAGCGCTGCATGGTGGCAAGGGCGGGGTGAGATTCACAGGCTTGGGCTCCAACTCCAGGCGGGCTCAGCAGCCTCTGCTTTCCGGGAAGTCCCTTCACCTTGCGGGGCCTTGGCTTCCTTCTTCCTTGTCTGGACAACGAGGAAGGATGAGGCCTTCCCTGGAGAGCTGGTGCTCCAGACTGAGGAAGGCAAGTAAAGGGCCTAACATAGTGCCCGGCAGCCAGGAGGGAAGCCCCCAACACACACCGGCTCTTAGTAATCACCTCTACGTCCAGGAAGTTCCGTGGCAGAAGTGGGTGTATGAATGATTCCAACCAAGAACCATTAGTACCGACAGAGAATTCACATGCCCTCAACTCCTGTTTTTTGGGGTTTTCTTTTGAGACAGGGTCTTGCTTTTTCACCCAGGCTGGAGAACAGTGGCGTGATCATAGCTCACACAGCCTCAACCTACTGGGCTCAAAACAATCCTCCTGCCTTAGCCTCCTGAGTAGCTGGGACTACAGGTGTGTGCCACCATGCCTGGCTAACTTTAAAATTTTTTGTAGAGATGGTGTTTCGCCACGTTGCCCAGGCTGGTCTCGAACTCCTGAGCTCAAGCGAGCTGCCCGCCTTAACCTCCCAAACTGCTGAGATTACAGGTGCGAGCCACGGCGGTGGCCCTCAATTCCCTTTTAGTCGTATGGACACCTGAACAGTAAGTGGGACCATCCTCACTGCCCATCAGCAGTAAGAACATCCGCACAGGTGCTGATGGTGCAACCACAGTCTATCAGGGGGCCCTGACTCACCCACTGCTTCTCAACAGAGCCACTTCAAGTCCTCCACTGCCACCCCATCACCCAGAAAACCCGTGACAGCCCTCCCAATCCTTCCTCATTGCCCCACCTCCCCAAATGTACCATGGACATCTGAGAATAGGAAGGTTCAACACACCCCATGATGGGACAGTCAAGAGGTAACTCCTGTGCGGGTGCGGGCCCAACAAGTTGGCATTCTGCCCAGATCTGCGACCCTGGGGAAGTGGGGCCTATCAGGCTAGAAGGGACCATCAAAGACATCCCTTTGGATCCATCTTCTGAATCATGGTACAGCACAGCCTGCACCCGACACGACTGTGGCCTGAGTCACTGCTGCCTCTCACCTGGATTGTCACACTAGCTCCTTAGCGGTCCTTCTGCTTCCACCCTTACTTACCCCCTGCAGTCTGTGTCCGACACAGCAGCTTGGGATCCTGTTACAAACAGAAGTCAGCTGCTGGGTGTAGCTCATGCCTGTAGTCCCAGCTACTGAGGAGGCTGAGGTGGGTCACTTGACTCTGGGAGTTTAAGGCTGTAGGCCGCAGTGACAGCGCCTGTGAATAGCCACTGCACCCCAGCCTGGGCCACATAGTGAGACCCCATCTCGAAAAAAAAAAAGCAAAAACATGGAAGTCAGGTCATGACACGCTTCTGCTTGAAACCCTCAACCGTGTGCCCATTTCGCTGATAAAATGGACAGGTCTTACAACAGCCTATAGGCCCTGGACAACCTGGTCCCTGGTTTCCTCTCCTAGTATTCTCGTCTTTGGTCACCCCACTCCTGCCTACTGACCCTGACCCCCTGATGCTCCTCCAATACAAAAGACAGGCTCCTGCCCCAGGGCCTTTGCCTTCGCCGTTTGTTCTGCAGGAACACTCTCTAGACCCCTACATGGCTCACTTGCTCACCTTTAAATCTTTGTCCAAATGCCACCCCCTTTAAATTGCAGCATCTCGGCTGGGCGCGGTGGCTCACGCCTGTAATCCCAGCACTTTGGGAGGCTGAGGTGGGCGGATCACGAGATCAGGAGATCGAGACCATCCTGCCTAACATGGTGAAACCCCATCTCTACTAAAAATACAAAAAATTAGCCGGCGTGGTGGCAGGTGCCTGTAGTCCCAGCTACTCGGGAGGCTGAGGCAGAAGAATGGCTTGAACCCGGGAGGCGGAGCTTGTAGTGAGCCAAGATCACGCCACTGCACTCTAGCCTGGGCGACAGAGCAAGATTCTGTCTCAAAAAAAAAAAAAAAAAAAAATGCAGCGTCTCCCCTCACCCTGCCAGGACTCTCCGTTCCCCTTACCCTGCTCTATTTTGTTTCCCAGGAGCATTTCTCAGGATGGGCCCACTCTGCAGTCTACTTAGCATGCTTACTGTGTGGCTCCCCCACGAGGATGTTAGCTTACTGTGGTCCCTGAGTGCCACAGGCATGGAGCTGACCTCAGCCACCCTGTGGCTTCTCCCCGGGTCCCCACTCTACACTCTCGAGTATGTGGAGACCTCCTCCTTAGGCCAGCCCTCCCACCTCTGTTCTTGGGTGAAGGTCCTACATTTTTCTCCAACGCTCCTCACTGCAGGCGGGCTCTCCTGAAGATGTAACTCCATCTGTCATCCCTTAGAAGTGAGAGGCCAGACCTGAGCCAGGTGCACTTTTTGGAAGTGGACAGAGGGAAGAGGGAGAAATCAGGAGAGAGAAGCAGCAAGACAAAGACCCAGGGAAGAGGGAAATGTTGAGTTTCTTTAGGGCAGGGCCACCTGACACTGGACAATGCAACTGAGACGCCCCTATTTTTTGCCTCCTCCCACCAAGCAGCTGTCAGCCTGACAAGGCTCAGGATTCCTATTTTCCAGAGAAATCGAGGGAGTCGACACAGATCCAGGACACATGAGAGTAGGCCTGGCAGGCTGGGGGTGGGTGGGGTGGTGGTGGGGCAGGGGACAGGGGGAGCTGAGTGCCAGATGAATGCCTGCGCACCCTGCCCCCCAGTAGTGAGCAGCTGACATTATTTCCCACTCTCATCCCACCACTCAGCCCATCTCTCAGCAGGGAGGCCCGTCCAGGAGCCCAGGGTTGGGGGATAACTAGCCAGTACCGGAGACCTTGGATGCTCTGAAGATGGAAGGGTCTAGAAAGCTCTAACAGAAACAAAGCCTGTCCAGGCCAGATCCAGTGAATCTGAGGTGGGGAAGTGCCATCTACAGTCAGCGGGGGACTGAAAAGAGAAGCAGCGTCTGCAGAGCTGCAGGACCACACGGGCTCCCGGATTACTGGGTAGCTCAGGTGAGCCTTCCCCTGAAAGGAGTATGGTCCTGATTTCAATCTGGCGGACGTGACTCAGTGCTGGCCTTGACCGTGGCATTCACTCTGCATTTTCAGCCCCCATGTCAGCAGGGGACAGCATCTCAGTCAAGCCAAAGTCTGATTAGTTGGAGAGACCAGCATGTCCCAGTGCCCTGGGAATATTAAGGAATATTTACAAGGGGATGATGGTGGGGAGATAATGGTAAGAGGCAGTCAACAGTGGGGAACTCTTCCACTGCTCAAGTGGTGAGAAATTCGATGGGAACGAGGGAGGCTCACAGCAGGGAGGGTTTGTCATGGGGACAGCGGAAGGGGTTAGAAAGTCGCTACCTCTGCTGATTCTGCTAATAGGATGAGCCAGCCTTGCAAATAAGAGATAGACCCCATGAGGCCTGCATTTGAGAGGGTTTTTAAATCAGGCCAGGTCCTGCCAATAGCTTCACACGTAGATGTGTTAGAGCTGGAAGGGAGCGTGAGATCAGCAACACCACTGGTTCTGTTCCGAAAGCGTCTGCCTTCCAAAAATACTGTAAGTATTAAGTAATAATTAATCTGTTTTCACATTTCTTATTCATCAAAGACATACAGAGGACTGCCCGTTGGGACGAGCAGGAGAAGACCTAAAGTGGATGTCACTGCAGCCCCAAACAAAAGAGACCTATTTTTTTTTTGGCAGCCCAGCCATATTATCCTGTATAAATGTAGTTTCCGTTTTCAAAACATTTAAAATAACACAAGGGTCAACTTTTAAATACCTGTGGGAGCCCGCAGATTCTATATCAGAAACCTAAATCCAAGCCTTTTTGTTTTTTTTTTTTTTTTTTTTTTTTTTTTTTTTTGAGATGGAGTCTCACTCTGTGGCCAGGCTGGAGTGCAGTGGCGCAATCTCGGCTCACTGCAACCTCCACCTCCCGGGTTCATGCCTCAGCCTCCTGATTAGCTGGGACTACAGGCATGCGCCACCACACCCAGCTAATTTTTGTATTTTTAGTAGAGACGGGGTTTCACCATGTTGGTCAGGATTGTCTCAATCTCTTGACCTTGTGATCCGCCTGCCTCAACCTCCCAAAGTGCTGGGATTACAGGCGTGAGCCACCGCGCTCGGCCCCAAGCCAACTCTTATTTCATGCGAGGAGCTGAGGCTCAGAGAAAACAAGCAGCTTGCTCAAGATCACACGGCTGGCTGGCAGCAGGGCCAAGGCTGGGAGCAGGGCAGAGGGGAAGGCTGCCCTGGACACGTGGGGCCAGCAAGGAAGGAAATCGGAGCTGTGAATGAAGCGGCAGAGTGGGCTGTGGACACCAGAGGCATGGGCCTGACTCTTGTTCTCAGTATTCACTGGCTGTGACCCTGGCAGAGTGATTTCAGCTGAGCCCATTTTCCCATCAGCAAAATGGGGATAGTTGGAGTACTTACCACATATTGCTGAGGATTTCAGTGAAGTAACAGAACAGAGCCCTTGGTAAACAGTAGCTAGTTTTGTTTAACCTGTTAACTGTGTGTGTGTGTGTGTGTGTGTGTGTGTGTGTGTGTAGGGGGCGTGTATCTGTGTAAACACAGGAATACTGACTGACATGCTTGGAGAACAAGGTTACATGATCCAACTTTCAGGTACTGCCCTGATGGGAGACAAATTCTGTCCCAGGGAAGCTCCAGGTACTAATCGCAATGCTGTCACTTACAGGTAATGTTACTTAAAACTGAGTGTGCCTCAGAACTCAGGTCCCATCTGGATTTGCTGCTTCAGAATTTCTGCAGGATGGGACTTGGGAATCTGCATTTTCAGAAATTATTGAGATGTAATTTACATACCATAAAAATCTTTTTTTTTCTTTTTTTTGAGACAGAATCTTGCTCAGTCGCCCGGGCTGGAGTGCAGTGGTGCGATCTCGGCTCACTGCAAGCTCCGCCTCCCAGGTTCACGCCATTCTCCTGCCACAGCCTGTAGCTGGGACTACAGGGGCCCGCCACCATGCCCGGCTAATTTTTTTTGTATTTTTAGTAGAGACGGGGTTTCACCATGTTAGCCAGGATGGTCTTGATCTCCGGACTTCATGATCCACCCACCTCGGCCTCCCAAAGTGCTGGGATTACAGGCATGAGCCACCGCGCCCGGCCAAAATTAATCATTTTCAAGTGCTTACTTTCAGTGGTTTTTAGTAAATTCTTAAGGTTGTACAACTATCACCACCATCTAATTCCAGAATATTTTCATCACCCCAAAAAGAAATCCCAGACTCATCAGCAGTCACTGCCATTCCATACTGTCTTATTCTCTGGTAACCGCTAATTGACTCTCCCTCTTTGTGGATTTGTTTCTAGTGGACATGCCACGTGAATGGAATCACATAATAGGTGGTCCTTGTGTCTTTGACTTAGCACATTCTCAAGGTTCATCCGTGTTGTAGCATGTATCAGGACTTCACTCCTTTAAAGATACAGTTTTCACAAGCTCCCCAGCTAGTTCTGATGAGTGGGCTTTGGGAGAAAAAGAGGAGCCAATTCATATCAGGTGATTCTTGGGTTATTATTGAGACATGGGGCCTCATCCCTTCTTCCTTGTGTGCCTGTCTCAGGGGCCTCAAGAGGAACAGGAGGAACACTGGCTGCCTGCCTCTTCCAGACTCCAGAGGTTGGGCAAGTCTCCCATACACTGGAGGGAGGTGTGTGTCTATGGACAGTAGCCTGGCTGCTCTGGAGATCAGGCGGATTAACTGCAAGAGACACACACACACAAGGGGATTGTCTCAACTCGAAGACTTTAATGTACATTATGCTCTTGGAAAAACATCTCCAAGGAAACAAGTGGAAGCAAAAGTCTCAACCAGCAGGGATTCTCATTCAAAAACATGGTGTGAGCCCCAGTCTTGGAAAAGGATGGCACAGGGACTGTGATCATAGTACAACAGTTTGATGTCAGGGTGGCAGGGCCTGTGTACTTGTCTAGAGAGGAACCCTGCCACACAGCACGAAGGACTCCCGAGGAACCAGGAGCTCATTACTCCGGTGACTGACAGCTCCACAGCGGGACTGGGAAGATTTAGGCTGACCAGGTCTTCTTCAGCACTTGGAAGGCACAAAACTTCGTAAAGGCCTTAAGAAGCCTGCTCTGGGCAGAAACCTTTCTGGTTGTTGTTGACTCTCCAGGTCATCAGAAACAGTCACGGTGGCTCTGGTGAGGAAGGGGAGGGTCCCACTTCTGGGTGAGGCCTCGGAATGGAACAGGTGGGAGGTGACAGCACCAGCAAGGCCTCTGAGGCCAGGGTCCACACCCACCTTGGGAGATGACCCACTGGGCCTCTGGACAGGAGAATGGGATTTCGATGGAGAAAGCTGAAGCTGACCACCTGCTAGATTGAATCCAGCTGCCTCCCTTGAAACTCTCTTCCCAATCAAGGGCTCCCAAGGAGCTGCAGGCCAAGTCCTCTGCTCCTATTTAGCAAGAGGCAGGCGGCAATTCGGGCTGATCTCCCCATCACCCTTCATTTAACCGCAAAAAAAGTCACCAACCAACTTCTCAGACCCCCTGGGCAATCCAGGGTTTCTTGTTTCCTAAGCTCCTATGGAACAAGCAATCAGTTCTTTCTTGGACTTTTGGTTCAATTCCTTCTCATTCAGAGGAAATATGGTTGCCGTGTAGGCAGATGTCTCCTAGGAGCGTGTGTGTGTAAGAGCCTGTGTGAAATTCAGCCAGGTTAGCACCAAGGCCTGGCTGATGGGGAACCCACAAATGTGCCTTCAGGATGGGTACAGCCTCTTTGGCAATGAAGAAATATATTTATCAGTGAAAAAGGGAATTCTGGCTCCATCTTTGCAGGACCTGGAGAGATTGCTGCCCTGGCAGGTCCCAGGATGGGAAGAAGTAAATGGAGAGGCCAGGACTGCAGCCCTGTGGGAAGGGGCCCCTCGCAGCTGAGAGCGCTCCCCGAGTTAGCCCATCTCGATGCCCTCAGGGAGCTCCACCACCACCGGGGCACAGTCCTCAGGTTCCGCAGCAAAGTCCCACCGGAACTTCTTGGTCAGGTGAGCTTGGAACTTTTCAGCTTTCTTTCTCAGGGTGGCATCCACGGCAATGCTGCAGGCAGAGGAAAAGAAAACCTACAGAGAACAGAGGATAAGTCACTCCTGAGAAGACGGAGGGCAGGGGGCGAGAAAGCTGTGGAAATTTCCTCATGGTGTTCGGCTCTTCTGGGGCGGGTAGATCAGCTGCTGCTGGCATAGGCCCAGGACACCTGCTATGCTCCCCCCAAACCAAGAAAGAAGGTCCAAACCCAGCTGAGATGCTAGGGCAGGACTAGAATGGAAAATTACTATCTGGGCAGAGGCTGGGGGCCATTACCCTGGCTCCACCCCCTGGGGGGTTCTACTGGACACCCGGGCAGTAACCCAGAGGAACAGGTAGTAGCTACACCAGTCGGTACTAAGGTCCTAAGAAAGGCTTGGGGGTGCTTATAAGCCCCTGGATCCCATAAAGTCCCAGGCCCCAAGCCAACACGACTGAATTGCTGCTCTAATCTTCTAAATGGGCCACAGGCTGCCAGTTTGAGGCTTCTATCCCCCTTAAAAGCTGTCTTTGATTTTTTTTTTAATTGTGGTAAAATATACAGATGGACCCTGACTTACATTCAATTTATGACACTTCGACTTTATGATGATGCAAAGTGATACACATTCAGAAGAAGCTGCACTTTGAATTGTTTCTTTCAGTACAGTATTCAAGAAATTACATGAGATATTCAACACTTCCTTATAAAATAGGCTTTGTGTTAAATGATTTTGCACAACTGTAGGCTAGTGTTAGTGTTCTGAGCACGTTTGAGGTGGGTGAGGCTGAGCTACAATGTTAGGGACGTTAGGTGTAATCAATGCATTTTTTACTTACGGTATATCTGATTTACAGTTTATTAAGACATAACCCCATGTGAAGCTGAGGAGCATCTGTACATAAGATCTACCATTTCAACCATTTAAAAATATTTTTATTTTTTAAACTGTGGCAAAATATACATATTATTTTAGCCATTTTAAGTGTACAGTTGAGTAGCATTAAGTACACTGACACTGTTGTACAACCATCACCACCATCCATCTTCAGAATGACCCCATCATCCCCGGCCAAAACTCTGCAGCCATTAAACAGCAACTCCCCCTTCCCTCTTCCCTCCAGGCCCTGGCAACCCACATTCTACTTTCCAACTCTGTGAATTCGACTACCCTATCCCCCTTCCCTCCTCCCACCAGGCCCTGGCAACCCACATTCTACTTTCTGTCTCTATGAATCTGACTACTCTAGGCACCTCATCTAAGTGGAATCATACAGCATTTGTCCTTTTGCAACTGGCTTATTTCACTTAGCATAATATCCTTCAAGGTTCATTAATGATGCAGCATGTGTCAGAATTTCCTTTCTTTTGAAGGCTGAATAATATTCTGTTGTATGCAGATACCACATTTTGTTTGTCTAGTCATCTGTCAATGCCTATTTGTGTTGTTTTTACCTTCTGGCTATCGTGAATAATGCTGCTATGAACATGGGTGTACACATATCTCTTAGGGTCTCTGCTTTCAGTTCTTTTGCACAGAAACCCAGGAGTGGAGCTGTTGGATCATACGGGAACTCCCTGTTTAAATTCTGATGAACTGCCACAGTTTTTCACAGGGGCCGTACCATTTTATATTCCCACCAGCAATGCACAAAGGTTCTCATTTCTCCACATCCTGGCCAACGCCTGTTATTTTCTCTGTGTGTTTAAATCATGCCATTCTAATAGGTAGGAGGTAGTATCTTACTGCAGTTTGGATTTGCATTTCCCTAATGATCAGTGGATATTGAGTATGTTTTCATGTGCACATTGGCCATTTGTATATCTTCTTTGGTGAAATGTCCATTCAACTTCCTTGCCCATTTGTAAATTGGGTTGTTTTTGCATTGTTGAGTTGTAGGAGTTCTTTATATATTCTGGATATCAACCCCTTATTCTGATGCTCTCATGAACAGTTTCATTTAATACAAACATGGGCAGGGGAGCAGAATGGTAATTTTTTCCACATCTGAAACCCCATTCCAGATTGTCCTGGATCCCAGTCCCTCCCTAAGAGTAATAGCAAACCCATGATTCCTTCTTATACTATTTTACTGTTTTCAAAGAAGTTTCACAGAGCATCCAACTGGATCCTCCCAATACCCTGGAAAGATACAACAGAATGCCTATTTTAAGGAAATGGAAGCTGAGAGGAGTTAAATGACTGAATAAAAATTACCCAGAAAGGAAGAAGTGGTTTTTCCCAGACTACCATCTGCTACCCTACAGGCCCACCCAGAGACACAGGGTTGTGACGGTGGAAGAAGCTCTTTGATCCACATCGCCCTCATGCCACAGTTGGCTTTCAGGCCACCATGGAAAATGCTGGGCCGCAGGAGACCTGACCCAACAAAGGCAACAGGCGTCCTCTGCAGCTGATTCCAGGGGGAATATTCCTCCCACCTGCTTCTCCGCTGTCTTCCTGTTAGCAGGAGTGCGGCTCGTTTTCAGTGGTCTTTGTCTGGAGCCATTCCGTTGGAGTAGCAGCAGTGGGAACACAGAGAGGTGATGGGGGGGAAGGGGGGCGGTACAGAATCCAGCTTCATTAACTTGGGAATCGACTAAACACAGGAGTGGGAAGCGCAGCCACAACAAAATACCAGATCAATAACTAATTAGCAGGGCTGTGTGATCTTGGTGGCGAGGGCCATGGGGAAGCCAAGGGTTGGCCTGTCTGTAGGCAGCCAGTGGAGCCCGCCTGGAGCAAGGCTGAATTCTGGGGAGGGGCCTGGTATGGACAGCACAGAAGCCTTCTCTCAAACAGTTTTAGCTCTGGAGGCCCTGCACACCCATGAGGCCATCCCCAGAGGTTGTGGGGAGACTGCTGGGCTGAATTAACAAGTCTCTTCCTGTTTCCCTTCCTTACATGGGAATTGGATGACTCTCCACAGTCCCTGCTCTCCAGCCACTGAGCAGCTGCCCAAACATGTGCCACTGCTTCCTCTGCGCCTCTCTGCACACACGCTTTTCCCTCTGCTCTTAACACCTTTCCATCTCCTGCTTTCTCCTCCTTCACCTATGAATTTCTCCTAAAGACTCAGGCTCAGCTCAAACATCACCTCCTTGAGGATCTCTTCCAGACCAAGGATGGAGTAGGTGCTCCTCTGCGTTCCCTCAGCCCCAGGGCTACCTTGATCAGTCTCAGTAAGCTAACAGGCCATTTGCTGTTGATCTTGTCCACCAGACACGGAGCAACCTCACAGCAGCGGCTCTTTCACACCGTGCTCCACTCTCGGCACAGCGCCCGACACACAAAAAGGACCCATTAGATGTTTAATGAACAGAAGAATGAAGACAACCACAGACTCAATTTGGGGTTCACTTTTGTACAGTGCCTAGCACCAAATAGCTGTTCAATAGTGATATGGTGATGCTGGGGAGAAAGAAAGGCTCATCCTAAGGAGAAGGCAGCTTCTTTACCAGGCCCCTGAATGCCATGGCTCTCAAGAAACCTCCTTGTGACATGAACTGCTCAGACCCCTGTTCCCCAGCACTGTGCCCGAGCCTCCCTCATGGCATTCCTCACACTGTGCTTGTATCACAGTGATTTGCACCCTCTAAAAGTGGGGATTGTGTCCCAATTATCAATGTGTGCCACAAAGCATATCACCCAGGGCCAGGTATAGAGTTAGGGCCCAAAGGGTGCTCACCGAATGACCTATTGAGACCCAGGGACTGCCCTGCACTTGGCAATGGCCAGGAGTGACAGGCTGGAACAAACTGGGCTCACGCTCATCACCCATCCTCCCAAAGCACCTCTCAAACATTGCCTGGGAATAAATTCCACTAGAGGCAGGTAAAACAGACACCTTCAGTCTAACAAATACGTTTTCTAATTTAAAAAGTGCTTCGTCCTTTTTAAAGAACTCACCAACTTGATCTTTACCACAGCCTGGGAGGCAGGACAGGAACTTACTATTCCCACTGCAGAGGTAAGACACTAGGCATGCGGCAACACGCAGTGACAAATGCTGAGCAGAGTCCTGTCAAAGCAGAGGCATCTCGGCTTCATCCTTTGCCTGCCCAGACCTTTTGTCTTGACAGAGGCTTAATCCATCCCTGATATTTATTTTTAGCACTGCCTTGTAGGGAACCAAGGTGCTTCTGAAACTGTCCCTTCTGCAGCCTCCAGGACACAGGGCATAGTCTGGGTTGACTTAAAAAAAAAAATCAACCTTATTGTGGTATAACTTACACACAATTAATTTTATTCATTTTATTTTATTTATTTTTTAGAGACGGGATCTCACTGTTGCCCATGCTGAAGTGCAGTGGCATGATCATATCTCACTGCAGCCTTGAACTCCTGGGCTCAAGGGATTCTCTTGCCTCGGCATCCCAAGTAGCTAGGACTACAGGTACATGCCACGAATACCTAGATAATTTTTTTTTTTTTTTGAGATAGGGTCTCACTCTGTCACCTAGGCTGGAGCACAGTGATGTGATCACAGCTTACTGCAGCCTTAACCTCTGTGCTCAAGTGATCCACACATCTAGGCCTCCTCAGTAGTTGAGACTATAGGTACATGCCACCATGCCTAGCTAAATTTTGTATTTTTTGTAGAGACAGGGTTTCGCCATGTTGCCCAGGCTGGTCTGGAACACCTGGGCTCAAGTGATCCACGCACCTTGTCTTCCCAAAGTGCTGGGATTAGAGGCATGAGCCACCACGCCTGGTATTTTTTTTTTCTTCTTAATTTTTTGTAGAGTCAGGTTCTCACTATGTTGCCCAGATTAGTAAATTCATCAATTTTAAATGCTTAGTTAATCTGGACAAATATATATATACCCCCATGCAACCACCATATGATACATGTTCACAGTGTTTGCTTTGCTTTTGGTATCCAGTTCTGAGTTTGAAGGTGCGTATAAATTTGTGTAACCGTCACCCCAATCAGGACATGGAGCCATCCCATCACACCAAACAGCTCCCTTGTGCGGCCCCTTAGCAGTCAAACCCTTCCTTCACCCCTACCCCCTGGCATTTCCTGGTCTATTTTTGACCACAGTTTCACAAACTTGGTATTTGTAAAAACTCCTCACAATTCAGAAATGAAGATGTCTAAATAGTACTTAGTTTCCAAGCAATAACTTATTCTGATTCTTTTATTTTCAGATTAATTTTACGCCTTCTTCAGGAAACTTAACAGTGGTCTAGTTATTTTATTCACTAAAACAAAATCAAGTCAACACTTTTTAACGTCACTGGGACATAAATCACCTTAATCTCAGCATATCAATACTGAATATTTAAAAAATACTTTTGAAATAGGATAATATTTTGCAAACAAATGCATTTATCTAAAACAAAAAGCACACCTACTGGGTGTTTTTCTTCAAACACAAAATAAAGCATGAACACTTTAATCATTTAATCTGTGTATTATGAAATTCTAAATTACTTTAGTCACACATGTGAAAGCTTTTCTTAAACCTAAGTTAAATAAATTGAGTTCAGTTAGGTCACCTCGAGAAATTCAAAATATCAAGGTAGGTAGCTATGTCACTATCTTATCCTATTTTTTTAGCTAGACCAAAAAGATGACATTTCCTAATTTTTTCAATTCCCAAATAATTATTCAACTTAGAATGAAACTAGCAATAGGTAGAAGATTTTGTTTCCACTTGCAGCAGAAGAAAGTGGTGTTAAAAGCAAGACTATTGTTTCACAATGATGACCAGGAAGGTAAAAAGCAGCATAAATGAGATCACCTGAGGTCAGTTTGAAAAATCTGGGATGTTTCATCTGGGGCTCTAATCATATACAGGAGCCCACCATAGGCTTTAGAATGTAAAGCTCAGCCTTGCCTTTCACTAGCTCTGTTGATTTTGAGCAAATTATGTGACCTTCCTGAGCCTGCTTCCTCATCTATATAATGGGATTAGAGACCTAGCTTCTAGCACTGTTGTGAGGGCTCAATGAGACTAAGCATGCAAAAGAGATAGCTAATGGCAAGAGGTGTAGGAGTAGGCAGGCAAATTTATCATAGTGGGCATCGTGATAAAAATACCATAGACCTCATCGTCAGAGTTGGTGTTTTCCCTCAAGAGTTAAAGATGAACACACATTTAGAATACTAGCAACAAAGGAAGTTGGAAAGCATATACGGCCTATTGTAACTAGAAGTATTTTTAAAAACAGGTTAGATGACTATATGCCTAAGTACTACGTAATCAACAATAAAAATCCTTATTTTGTACATAACTCACTTTCTAACATATCATTAAATTCAGATTATCCTTTCATTGGTTTTAAATGAATTATGGTGACTTACGTTGCTTTAAATAAAAGAAAAAACTGCATCTATTTTTGTAAAACAAATCCCTTTTATTCAAGTGAAATCCAAGGGATTTGTAAAAACCAGTGGCTTCTATTCAAAAGGGCCTCACATGGGAAAGTTGAAAAAAAATTAATGGCTAAGAGAATTCCATTACGCGGCTGATTTTATCCATGCTAATGTGGCTGTCTTTAAGTGCTCACACACACAAACACCAGTCCCTCTCCATGGGTAGTAGCCATTTAAGCTCCTAAGTAAGACAGCCAGTTCCACTTACTTGACTACCTGGGAGGGCAGGCGGCTGGCTGAGGAAGGCTTTTATGGGCTGATTCATTCAGTCACAAATGCCCTGAGTGAATGCCTCTGTGTGGAGAACTGGACTCTCACTGCCAACATGGCATCAACGTGACTCTCCATTAAAAAAAAAAAAAAAGTTTTACAATATCCTTCTCCACATTGTGCCTTTTGAAATCTCAGTCATCCCTCAAGTGCATGGTCAAATGCCCCCACCTTCCACCCTTGCATAAAGCCTCAAATCTCAACCCCAGTCAGAATTAACCACTCCCTCTTTGGTGCTCCTAACGCCCTTTGATCAGACTCCACTGTTTATACCTATGATATTTACATTGTCACAAGAATTATGAACTCTATCCATCTAAAAACACCCAATAACACCAAATGACATAAATGTTAGGCCTTGACAACATATTGATGATAACCAGATGTGAGTTGGGTGGATCACCTGAAGTCAGGAGTTCGAGACCAGCCTGGCCAACATGGCGAAACCTCATCTCTACTAAAAATACAAAAAAATTAGGTTGGCGTGGTGGTGCACACCTGTAATCCCAGCTACTTGGGAGGCTGAGGCCAGAGAATCACTTGAACCCGGGAGGCAGAGGTTGCAGTGAGCCGAGATCGCGCCATTGTACTCCAGCCTGGGTTACAGACCAAGACTATGTCTCAAAAAAAAAAAAAAAAGAAGAAGAAGAAGATAACCAGATGAACAAAAAATAGGCCTCGTGTAAAAGGAGCCCATGACTCAGTGCGGGAGTCAGGCAGACAATATATTAGTTTCAGCAAGCACATCTCATGCAATATAATAGCGACAAGTTCAAAGTAAGCTAAGAGTAGGGAAAGGGGAGAGTGAAAGAGAGACAGAGATTGAGACAGAGAGAGGAGGGATGGCTTGACAGAGAGGGATGCCTTGAGGGCATGTTGTAGAATGAGCAAATATGTACCAGGGAGAGGGAAAATCAGGTTCCGGCAAGAAGGTATGAAACATGGGTATAAAGTTTCAATTATGCAGGATGAAGAAGTTCTAGAGATCTGCTGGATGGCATGATGCTTATGGTTAATACTGTACTGAACACTGAAAATCTGTTAAGAGGGCATATATGTTAAATTGTGTTTTTTTTTACCACAATTTTATTTTTATTATTTTTTTTTGAGACAAAGTCTCACTGTTTTTGCCCAGGCTGGAGTGTAGTGGTGCAATCTCGAATCACTGCAACCTCTGCTTCCCCAGTTCAAGAGATTCTCCTGCCTCAGCCTCCTGAGTAGCTGGGACTAGAGGCGCCCACCACCATGCCTGGCTAATTTTTGTATTTTTAGTAGACATGGGGGTTTCACCATGTTGGCCAGGCTGGTCTCTAACTCCTGACCTCAAGTGATCCTCCAGCCTCGGCCTCCCAAAGTGCTGAGATCACAGGCGTGAGCCACCATGGACCAGCTGTTTTTTACAACAATTTTTTTTTTTAAAAAGCATGAAACAGCATAACCTGTCCAGGAACCTGCAAAGAGACCACTGTTGCTGGAGTTGATGGGGGAAAACGGAGAGGAAAGAGAAGCTGGAGAACAGGATAAGAAGCCAGATCAGAATGGCCTTTGCGACCAATGTTTAGGCTTTTAATTTTCCACGCAATGAGGAGCCACAGAGAAGCAGGATCACAGCTGCATTATGGAGCAGCACCTCAGGTGGCAGTGTGGGAGAGAGATGGGGTAACTGGTAAGCACGGAGGCTGGTAAACTCCGATGCAGTCTAGGTGAGACCAAAAGGCCGGGGCTAGGGAAATGGTACTAGGGCAGGACTGCCTTCTAAAACACTTACTGCTACCTGCTTACTGCTATTTGGTTAGTTAACTTTCTGTTAACTTTCTCAAAATACAAGAGTCTGCTATCTGGAGTTACTTGGCTAGTTAACTTTCTGTTAACTTTCTCAAATTACAAGAGTCAAGACAATGACTCTGTCTTGCTCACAGCTATATTCCCAGTTCTAGAACAGAGTCTTCTATACAGCAGATGCTCAGCAATTACCTGCTAAATCAATGAACAAATCCCTTGAGGGCAGGAACCCTGGCTAACTCACATGTATATATATTCCTCAACACTTTCAGTAGAATGTTATATATGAAGAATGCTCAAAGACATGTGTTTTTTGTTTTGTTTTGTTTTGTTTTGGCACATGCCCTGGATTTTTCCAAATAATGACATCGAATTTTCTTGGTGAAAAGTTCAAAGACTGAATGTTTCCAACCATCAGCTTTGCACAACCCACCTGGGCATCTAGCAATCCAGCTGGGCACTTTCTGCTTTGTAAATCATTGCTGGCAACAAAGCCTGGCAATTATAGAGCTCAGCTGCTGGTTGTGCTAACAATGGTCTGGACAGCCAGCAACACCGTGGCCCTCCTGTGTCTGTGCGACGCATCAACGTGCATCAGGAGGGAAGCAGCCACTGCCAGAGGCAAGTTAGCAGGCTAATGCCTCCTCACACTGCCTCACAACCCATAACCAGTACCTTTGGGGAAAATTTTCCCCACAGAGGAAGGACAAAGGGGTTTAATTTCTCTGTTATATGAAGAACCAGTAAAAGGACAGTTTTATAGCTCTTCTGAGTGGAACAGACCAGGCTCAAATCATGCGCTTGACTGACTCATTGCCATGGTTTACACAGGTCCTTCAACTGCCAGCTTTAAGTCAGATGCCTGCTCACAGGGACTCATCCAACAGTAGGTTGGCTTTAGAAAAGCGTTCTGTACCTCTGAGAAACAGGACCTCGATGAAGTCTTCACTGATGTCAATCAAGAATCCTTTCTGGGGGATTCACACTGTGTTCACTACACAAGGGCATAAGCACAGGCAGGAAACCAAGACTCAGGCCTGGGTACAAATCCTGACCTCCACCTGCCAGCTGTATGACTTCAAGTAAGTGATTTAACCATTCTCAAGTGTTCCCATTTGTAAAATGGGAATAATACCCCCATCTTACAAGGCTCCAAAGGGATTCAATGAGTGAACAGGGTCTCACTCTGTTGCCCAGGCTGGAGTGCAGTGGCACGATCATAATCATTGCTCACTATAGCCTCAAACTCCTGGGCTAAGTGATCCTCCTGTCTCAGCCTCCCAAGTGGCTAGGACTACAGGTGCACATGACCATACCTGGCCAATTTTTTAATTTTTGGAGAGACGGGGTCTCACTATATTGCCCAAGCTGGTCTTTAATTCCTGGGCTCAAGTGATCCTCCTGCCTTCACCTCCCAAAGTGTTGGGATTACAGTCATGAACCACCACGCCCAGCCCCAATATTTAACGAATGCTCGTCCCTTCTGTTACCCCGAGTGGGATTGGAAGGTTGGTGAAAGGCTGCCTTATATGGAGCAGGCCTCATGGGGGTATTACACACAGGGAGAAGAAAGAAGCTCATGGGAGGGAAAGTATGGAAACTGACAGTGGCAGCTTCTGCCTCTTCTATTCTTGAGAAAGTTACACAATGTGAGTGACAGAGGCTGTCCCAAGTACATAAAGGACTAATCTGTTTGCAAAGGGAGGAAATAGCATAGGATGAAGATTGTAAGTTGTTTGAAGCTTCTTTCCTAATTACCACTCATAATGAAAATTTAATTGCCAAGTTAAAAGCAAATTTCACTTTTTCTGTCATAGAATCTCTGCAGAAACTGGCACATTTTGTTTGAACAGGAAATCAAAGTTATTTTAATGCTTAAATGAGATCTAAGGAGCTGCAGATGTTTCACTGGGAATAACAAACTTCAAAATTCTGCTTTACTGGGTTGTAGCAATTCATGGCTACAGGGAGAAAGAAACGCTGTTTTAAGCTGAGTAAACCAAAGCAGTGGGAGGAATTCAAATCCAAGTACCCCAGTGTTAGGCACTCTGGGGACGAGGTGTAGGGAGAGGGTGGTACAGAGAGAAAATTTCTGGCATAGAGGCACTTACAATTGAGTAAGAGAGAGAAAAGCAGGAAATATCCCAAGACTAGGAAACTGAAATTTAAAAATTTTGGGGTCATGGAAGAATAGCGAGAAACAAAACACATACTGTTGCCTCAATTCTGACCCACATGTGCATCAGCTCAGTCAGAAAGACTGCTCACCTGTAAGGTGCTGGTGAGGAAGTTGTCTTGGGAGACAATGTCTACGAAGAAGTCAGCGGGGATCTCACCAAGCTGGTGGTACAGGATGGAGATGAGGTTGATGTAGAGGGTGTGGTGCTTCATCATGGCTGCTTCTGACCGGCACAGGAGGTTCAGGAGCCGCTTCCAATGCTCAAATGCCTCGTACACATTCCCCAGCAGGAAGCACACAAAAGCAAACTGGAGTTCACCTGAAAGGTGCAGAGAGGAGAAGTGATTCTGAGGGAGAGGAGGACCAGCTGACACTCTCCATCACTATTCACAAGGCCATGAATTCCACTGGACCTCAGCAACAGATGAGCTTTTATCCTTGTCACTCCTGCAGAGCCTGGCAGGAGATTTTGCACCTAACAGGTACTCAATAGATGTCTGCTGAACCGCTATGAATTCAAGCCATGGGAAACCAACCTGTGGCTTTGGATTTCTATAAAATCAGACTGCTAGAGAAGAGGTATTCCCAGTATTTGCCTGGCATTTTAAGTTTACAAAATGTGTTCATGGATATTATGCCAAGTGGATTTCAAACCTGGCTGCCCATCAGAATCACTGAGAGTCTGTTAAAAGTAAAGCTACCCAAGCTTCACCCTCAGAGGTTCTGGTGGAGGAGAGATGATGGGGCCTTCGTATCTGTAGCTCTAACAAGCTCCCCAGGTGATTCTAATGTGGATGGTCTGCTCCAGGGTCAGGAAATACTGCACTATACCATGTAACCCTCAGCCCAACTCCACAAGGCGATCAGGAAGATGGTATTTGCCTCATTTCATAGATAAGGTCAAGGGCTTGCCCAAGGCCACACATCTAATGCTTCACAATGTGGGCAACGGAAAGATAAAACAGATTCTCCATTGGGTGGGAACAGTTCTGGAACCTCCCACAAAAGAAAAATTCATGAGTACTTATTCCAGGGTCAGCCTGCCAGGCAGATTATTTTTGTTTGCTTAACCACAGGGCTCTGTGATTTAATCTCTATGAGCAGCTTGGTGGCTAAGAGCATGGGCTCTGGAGCCAAACTGCCTAGCTTCAAATCTTAGCTCTGCCACTTAGCAGCTGTGTGACCTTGGGCAAGTTACTCAATCTATTAAGGCCTCAATTTCCTTATTTGAGGGTTGTAGCAAAGATTACATGAATGGATATAGTACATGTATAGCATTTAGAATAAGACCTGGCACAAAGTAGCACTCAAAAAATATTATGTTCCCAATTTCTATCAGATGCCCATCTCAAACAGAGACCTGATGATCCAGACACCACTGTCCCTGGGCAAGTAACTGGGTCTCTGGTTACCACAGAATACTGCTCCTCATCACAGGCATTCTCTCTACTTCAAAGGTGGCTGGAAATTTAATGAGGTATACATACATGTGGGCCATAAAAAGAAGAGATGTACTCAACACCAAATACCTCTTTAAATGCATGGCGTTTGATCTGTGCCACCTCCAGAGACCTGGAAAAACTAGCTCCCTGTTCCTAAGCATACGGAACTAAGTTTGATTTGTGTGAATAGCTACCTGGTTTAGAAATTTTGGATTTCTGACCAATATTTTCAAATATAGTCAAATTTTCTTTGTATAATATAGGTTAATGATTTGCTTCTTCAGCTGGCTTTACTTGGTTTGTGAAACTAAATATTAGCCTATTATTTGCGTTTAGGACATTTATTAAATTTGTGCATTTCTGACTTTATCTAAAATTAAATTATATTTTTCAAAGAGGTGTGATGTAGATTCAAAATTATCCCTGGACAGGTGCGGTGGCAGGGATAGTCCTAGCCCTTTGAGAGGTCAGTGGAGGAGGATTGCTTGAGTTCAGGAGTTTGAGACAAGCTTGGGCAACACAGGGAGACCCTATCTCAACCAAAAATAATTAGCTGGGCGTGGTGGCACACACCTGAAGTCCCACCTACTTGGGAGGCTGAGGTGGGAGGCTCAGTTGAGCCCAGGAGGTTGAGGCTGCAGTGAGTTGTGATCATGCCACTGTACTCCAGCCCATGTCACAGAGTGAGACCTTGTCTCAAAAAAAAAAAAAAAAAAAAACCAACAAAGTTATTCCTGTAACAGACCTTTTCGCAAGATATATTTTGAAGAATTGAAATGTTTAAGAGGTAGAAAGACAGGATTTCTATTCATTTTTAAGCCAGACTTTTAAAAGTTACTTATTATACGAAAATACTAATGCATTAAGATGTACCTGTTAAAGGCTGGGTGCGGTGGCTCACGCCTGTAATTCCAGCACTTTGGGAGGCTGAGGCAGGTGGATCATGAGGTCAGGAGATCGAGACCATCCTGGCCAACATGGTGAAACCCTGTCTCTACTAAAAATACAAAACAAAATTAGCCGGGCGTGGTGGCGGGCGCCTGTAGTCCCAGCTACTCAGGAGGCTGAGGCAGGAGAATGGCGTGAACCCGGGAGGCGGAGCTTGCAGTGAGCCGAACTCACACCACTGCACTCCAGCCTGGGCGACAGAGCAAGACTCCGTCTCAACAACAACAACAACAACAACAACAACAACAACAACAACAACAAAAGATGTACCTGTTAAAATATAGGTTATATCATTAGCTGAGCCAATGATATAAAAAGTCCTGTCTAGGCACAGTAATCCCAGCACTTTGGGAAGCCGAGGCAGAAGGATCACTTGGGCCCGAGAGGTTGAGGTGGCAGTAAGACATGATTGTGTGACTGACTGTACTCCACCCTGGGCGACACAGCGAAACCCTGTCTCAAAAAAAAAAAAAAAAAAAAAAGAAGTCCTACATTCAAATTTCTCACTGAACTTCCAACAAGAAAATATGCAAATTACCTGGAAAATTTATAAATATATATAAAAATAGCTGTTCAAAATGTGACACATATTTGCTGTCACTAGTATTTAAGAAATAAAGAAATATAAACAAGGTGCCATTTTTCAGCTATCCAATTGGAAGAGGCCTTTGTTAAACTGTCATGCCCAATGCTGTCAAAGGTGATGGGCAACAGGTTCCTACCAGCCAGCAAGGATGCAAAAACCTTCTCCTGGCAACATGCACAGTCTGACCCAGCAATTCTATCCCTAAATGTATGTGTAAGTACACACGAGAATGTTCACTAGATGATATATGTATATATATTTTTGAGACGGCTCTTGTTGCCCAGGCTGGAGTGCAATGGCGAGGTCTTGGTTCACTGCGACCTCTGCCTCCTGGGTTCAAGTGATTCTCCTGCCTCAGCCTCCAGAGTAGCTGGGACTACAGGTGCACACCACCCAGCTAATTTTGTATTTTTAGTACAGATGGGGTTTCACCATGTTGGCCAGGCTGGTCTCGAACTCCTAACCTCAGGTGATCCCCACCGGCCTCAGCCTCCCAAAGTGCTGGGATTACAGGTGTGAGTCACCACACCCGGCCACTTGATGATACAATAGAGAAAACAGGGAGCATCTCAATGGTCCATAACAGAGAACTGGTCCAATAACTATGGAACATGAAACAGCCACTAAAAAAGTGACTGTTAGTGACATGAAAAAACATTTATATTAAGGCAGATTACAAAGTAATAATATACTTCAATCCTGTTTTTATAAAAACTCATATATATACAGACACATATACTGAATTTTTAAGACTGAGAGGAAGTACATAGAAATAAACAGAGAAGACATTGAAATGAAATACATAGAAATACACAGAAAAAAAGGAACGTAAATATACCAAACTGTTTAAATGGTTATTTCTAAGTAGTGAGATTTGAAGTAAATTTTGTTTTTCTTTTATGATTATTATCTATCATTTTTGTAATAAAAGGGAAGGTAACAATAAAAACTGTAATGATTAAAAAAAAAATCACTGTCCTGTTCTAAGCCAGTTGAGAGACCAACATCTTGAGGGTCAGGAGCAAACTGAGCAGGCAGGTGAGAGGCTACAACGAACACAGGTCTGGCCCAGAAACCAAGAGTCCTGGGTTCTCGTCTCAGTTCAGCCACTCAGTGGGCCAAATCTTTTCCTTCTGTAGGACTGGGCTCTATCAGTGGTTCCCAAACAGAAGATTATCTGCACCAGGTTCACCTAGGATGTTTGTTTATTAGACAGATAGAAACTGCGGAAGCCCCACTCCAGATCTCTCAAATCGAAATCTCCAGGGCTAAGGGTAAAGACACACCTGTATCTTCAGCCTCCTAGCCAGGTTTAGTTGCTGCTGGACTAACACAAGATGTACTCCCTATTCCAAAACACCTCTGCTAATATCCTCCCCTTGGCCCACTCCCAAAGAGCCTTGTTCCTTCTCACCAAGCACATCCTGGGGGCTGCTGGGGAACTGCTTGTTGAGCACAGTCTCCAGGGCATAGCTCAGGTCCATGCTGTGCTTGGTTATCTCAGCTGGCGTGGCACCCTCTGGGAACATCTGCGTGGGCAGCTCTGAGAAGCGGATCTCTGTCCCGGCTCTGGGCTTCATCTCTGGTAGCCGGGCCAGGCCCTCTTGGTAGCTTTTGCACTCAATGCCACAGCGGGGTAGATTCTGCCCCACGCGGTCCTTGGTGTGCTTCATGGAGAGCACAGGTAGCACATCGGAAAAGGCACAGATCTGTCGATTCTCGGGCTGTAGCTTCTCCACTGTGGCTTCGCTGATGAAGTTGGTGAGTGAGATCCACTTCTTCAGGGTGGCATATGGGTAAGGCCCCAGGAACTGGTCCAGCTCCTGGAGGTTGGCCCTCATGGCCTCCACCTCAGACTCTGGGGCTGGGGACAGGTCTACCTCTTCCCTGAGTGTGCTCCAGCGCAGCACTGTCAGCCCCCGCTGGTGCAGGCTAAGGAAGAAACCCATACGAGGGCCTACTTCCTTCGGATTAGCCTTGTCCACAGAGCTGTAGTGGAGGAAGTGGATGCCTGGAGGGATCATCTTCACGCCCCGGAACTTGGGCCCGACCTCCCAGGAGTTATAGTCAATCCCAAACTCTGTTCCCTTGGGCATGTTCAGGATGACCACAGTGGCCCCTTCAAAGAAGAGGCGCTTGGCTAGCTCAGGATCCATCTGCACGGCAGCCATGGGGCCAGTGGTGGGTGACCAAAAGAACCCTTTTTCTTTGATGAACAGCTGAGAAAGAAAGAAACCAGAGTTAATCAGAACGTGGGGGAAAGATGCTTCATTTGCTAAGCATTCTGTATGTGCCAGATATTGAGTTAGACCCCTGACATAATTATTTCCCTTAATCCTCATGACAACCCTGCATTGAGTTTACAGATGAGAAAAACGAGGATTAAAGGAAAGGATTTTTGTGTTTTGGCTTAACATGCAAGGACACTCACTTCACAGCTATAAGATACCAGTGAAAGAAAAGTGACATGCTCATGGTCATACCAGGACCCAAATTAGAATCTGGATACCCTGCCTGCAGGCCAGTGTTCTGTCCACCGTCCATTCTTAATATCTTCTCAGATCTCTTTCTCACAACAGAGGGTGAGGGTGGAAAATGCCTGGACAGGTCACTCTAAACTATATGCCTACATCATTTAAAACTACAATTCTGCCAAAAAACTATCCCAAAAGATTTGGAAAGATTAAATCAAGTACATATCCAGTTTCCCATAAGCCTCAGGGAAGGCCCAGAAATGGACAGACGGTAGCAAGTGGAGGCTCAGCATCTAAAGTTTGTTCAGGGTCTAGAGAGCTTTCCTACCACAAATCTCCCCTCTTCTTTCACTCATAAAAAACCTAAACTCCAGGGAGTGAAACAACTTCCCAAAGAGCCCACAATCAGTGGTGGCTCTGGACCATTCATCCAGAATGAATTCAGGTGGTAAAGCTAGCCTAGGAAGAGAAAGCTGGCCAGAAGAGAAAGAGCTTAGTACACTTATTTTACCTACTTCTGAATATCCCAGACATTGCCTCTGGGATATCGGCAAGAATGGTACCAACATGAACAAATGTAAACAAACCATTATGCAACCTTCTAGTCCTAAGATACCTACCTGACTAATTTAACAAATACTCACTGAGTGCCTGCATTGTGCCAGGATCTTTGCCAGGCCCCCAAAAAACATCACAGATTAAGACAGTCACTGCCCTCTAGGCAATTCCAATCTAGCCAAGACGTCAAAATTTCACACACAGAAAAACGAGCTGCCTGTTTAATTGTTTACTTTTTTTTTTTTTTTTTTTGAGACAGGGTCTCGCTCTGTCACCCCAGCTGGAGTGCAGTGGCGTGATCTCGGCTCACTACATCGTCCACCTCCCGGGTTCAAGCAATTCTTGTGCCTCAGCCTCCCAAGCAGCTGAGACTACCGGTGTGTGCCACCACACCTGGCTAAGTTTTGTATTTTTAGTACAGAGAGGGTCTCACCATGTGGCCTAGGCTAGTCTGGAACTCCTGACCTCAGTGATCTGCCCGCCTCGGCCTCCCAAAGTGCTGAGATAACAGGTGTGAGCCACCATGCCTGGCCCTGTTTACCCTTTTTACTTTAAATAAAGCAGTGCAGAAAGGAAGACCAATCCTTTTCCAAAAATAAGAGCACATTTTATCATTGTTACCTCAAAACCACCACAAATGACTCTTACCCTGAATCAGCACTTTGTGTTTCACCAAACTGCAAGTCACAATCCATTAGTGGATTAGGAAATCAATGTGAAGGTCTCAACCAGCATTATTTTTTAAACGAAAATAACAGAATTTTTGAAATATCACAATACATCATGAGTAGTAAAGCTAAGTACTGTTTTCTGGAGCTTTGTGTGTTTGTGTGTATACTTGGTTGTGCCATAAAATGTATTCGTTACTGTAGGTCACAGTCATAAAAGTTTGAAAGACTCTGCTCTAAATAATTCGTATCAACAGGCCGGGCGTGGTGGCTCACGCCTGTAATCACAGCACTTTGGGAGGCCGAGGCGGATGGATAATGAGGTCAGGAGTTTGAGACCAGCCTGGCCAATACTGTGAAACCCCATCTCTACTAAAAATACAAAAAAAATTAGCCGCGCATGGTGGTGTGCGCCAGTAGTCCCAGCTACTTGAGAAGCTGAGGCAGAAGAATTGCTTGAACCTGGGAGGCAGAGGTTGCAGTGAGCTGAGATCACACCACTGCACTCCAGCCTGGGGGTCTGAGCGAATTCCGTCTCAAAATAATAATAATAATAATAATAATAATAATAATAATAATAATAATAATACGTATCATCTTCCTATTTGTAATCCTGAATTCAGAAAGTATTTAATATTTGCTGAATGAACAGATATTCCATTTACAATAACAGCTCATCAATTAGCCATTTTCCCTTGTGACATCTGTGTGCTCCTCCTTGATAATGACGTTTCTTTCATGCTAATTCCACCAGTCTGTAATTCTATTCACTATATCTCCAGCAGCTGGCACAGGGCCTAGCACAGAGGAGATGCTAGGAAAACGTTTATTAAATATGCATAGAACTCTGCAGTCTACCAGCCCCTGTCACTGACAGCTCTGTGAGTTCCTCACAGTCCTGGAACACCTAAAGTCACATCCATCCACTTCTCTCCACCACCTCCCTAATCCAAGCTACCATCGTCCCTCACTCAGAGTGCTTGCTCCTCAACCCATTCTCCATTCAACAGCAGTAACCTTTTCAAAATGCCAATCTAATCACAACACCACCCATGTCAGCTTCTGAGTGGTTTCCCATATGGTTCTTGAAAAACCAGAATTCTTCCTATTACCTACAAAGCCTGCACGGTCTGACTCCTGGCAACCCCTTTAGCTTGTGTCACACAATGGTCCCCCACAAGCTCTCTGTTCCAGCCACAACGGCCTCTTTCAGAACCTGAAATTGGAGGCTGTCTCCATATAGAAAACTCTTCCCTCCCCACTTTGTCAAATCCTTTTTTCTGATCTCAGCTCAATATTCACCTCCTCAGTAAAGGTTCCTTGCCCTGGGGCTAGGTCAGGTCTCCTGTGATATAATCTGGGGTGCCTTGTACCTTTCCGTCTCAATGATCACAACTGCAGTTTTGGATGTTTGATTGAAGGCTGTCATCGCCACGAGACTTGAGTCCTGCTGTATCCCTAGCACAGATTCAACGCTTAGTAAACATTTATTTAATACAAGTATGATATCCATTTTGTAAACGAGAAACAAAGCCTCAGTTCGGGGAAAGACCTTACTGGAAGTCACGCAGAGAGTAGGGCAGAGCCAGGTCGAGTGCAATCAGGGTCTCCGGCCCCCAGGCTCTAAAGTTAAGAAAACCGCGACGTAACTCTGGCGACGGCTTCTCAGGAAGGGCCTCCAGAGACACCAGCGTCCCACAAACAGAGAACCAGCCGCCCCGGCGAGGTGGGCCTAGTTCAAGGCACTCCGTGACTCTGAGCCGAGAAGAGGGGCGGCCCAGCCACACATACACAAGGAATCAGGAAAGGAAAAAGAGGCCAGGAGGCCACACTCACCGCCTCGCCCCACGTTCCGGTACAGCGGAAACGCACCGGAAGTTCTCCAGCTTTGGCGTCTGACTGGAGCGACGGGGGAAGCGGTCCGGCAGAGCCCTGGGTCGCGGGAAGAATGGCCCGTGCCTGCAGGTTCCGCCGGATGCAAGGTTGCCTTTTGTTATTCTTAGTTTCTCGTTTTAGCTTCTGAATTGTGAACAACTTTCATTAACCTATGCATTTTATATCCCCGTCCAGAAACACAGCCACCAGCCATCTTACTTTGGGCTCAAGCAGTCATGGTCACTAAAGCACAGCCAAGGCTTGTACCAGTGGCTACTATTCAGAAGTAGCCAGTCAGGCGCTCGGTCACTGTCTTTGTCAGCCAGTCTCTATCCCGGTCACAGTGTCTCAGCTTCCAGTCACACTCAGCCCTCGGGGAGAGCCTCAGAAACCCAGCCACCAGCCCAGAGAGAACCAGCGTCAGCCTCCGCTGCTGCAGCAGCAGCGGTCGCCACCTCAGTCCCTCTGGCCATTATCACCCCGTGTCCTTCCTGCAGGCCAAGTCCTAACATCTCAGTCAGGCTATCAACGCACTAGGGAAGGAATCTGCCTGTCTTGTTCCTCACTGTTTCCCTGGAACCGAGCACAAAGCCAGGCACAAAAGCTCAGCTGAGTACATATATTATGCATTTAATTAATAATGATGATAATTTGGTATTAATAAATAACTATTTGTGGGTCTAACCCTGCACTATTAATCAGGGTTCCACCAAAGATACAGAGCCAGTAGGAGATCTATATTAAGTGATTTATTGCCAAGAATTGGCTTATGTGATTTTAGGGCAGGCCACTTGGGTATTTCTTTTTTTGAGACGCAATCTCACTCTGTCACCCAGGCTGGAGTGCAATGGCGCTATCTCGGCTCACTGCAACCTCCACCTCCTGGGTTCAAGCCATTCTCCTGCCTCAGCCTCCCAAGTAGCTGGGATTACAGGCGCCCACCACCGTGCCTGGCTAATTTTTGTATTTTTAGTAGAGACGGGGTTTCATCTTGTTGGCCAGGCTGGTTTCGAACTCCTGACCTCAGGTGATCTGCCCACCTTGGCCTCTCAAAGTGCTGGGATTACAGGCATGAGCCACCGTGCCCGGCCCACTTGGGTATTTATAATCCTTGCACTAACCCTTGTAAGGTATGTGTATTCCCAATTTGCAGAAGAGAAAACTGAGGTTCAAAGAGATGTTACACAGCCAGAGAATGGCAGAGCTAGAATGCAAACCAAGGGCTGTCTGTTCTTATCTCTTGTGCTGCTGCTCCTTAGCTTGTCTGTCACATTTCCTCAGTGACAGCTGGACACGCCAATCTGTCTCGGTCAAAATTTATCTCTTAGTGGGTTGCAGACTAGACCGGGCCCTGCAGTCATGGTTAATCACAATGAGCTGCTGCAGGATTAACCAGAGACAGCCTCCATCAGTCACAGTCATGCTTACCAATCTCAGCCTGTCCTGTCAAGTTTCATCTCCTGCATGAAGAAGCTCAGCTCCCTCTCCACCCCTCCCCACTCCCAGTCTTAAGTGCTGAGCTCTATGGTCTGGTCTCAAAGCTCCCTGTTTCAGTTGGGCTCACCGTCTTTTCAGAGACTCCAGGACACTGAACACTGGTTGTAGAAGCTGTAAATGGTGGCCTAGGAGTCCCACCTTGTGGGTCACATGTCCATTTAGATCAGAATTTCTCAACCTTGGCACTATTGACATTTGGGGCCAGATAAGTATTTGTTGTATGTGGCTGTCCTGTGCATTGTAGGATGTTTAGCAGCAACCCTGGCGTCTACCCACTAGAGCTAGTAGCACCCCTCAGTTGTGACAACCATTGCTAAATGTCCCCGGGGCGGGGGTTGGGGGTAAAGGAGGAGGGGTCATTTCCCCACTCTCAATGCAGTTGAAAAACACTAATCTGGGTGAACTTACCTTTGATTATTCGACAAAAGCCGAGTCAGGATGGTCCTTTATGGGAGACAGAAATATGGATCAGGGTGTATGGGGTCCTGAGGAATCATATGAAGACCCATTGTTTGTAAACCAAGTCCTATTCCAGAACCCTAGGGATAACAGATTGCTAAAGGAGACCTATAGGGAAAATTCAGAGAAGGATTCATAATGTTCCTCGCAGCAATTGCCTCTGACAAGAGACAGAAATCTGGAGAAGGCTGAAGAATCACTTTTCACTGCATAGTCTTTGTATCATTTAATGAATTACCTTTCCAAAGAAAATAAGTATTTAGTATTTGAAAGTATACGGAAATGCTCAGGATATATATACGTGTATATAGATATATATGTACATATATATACATATATGTACATATATATATTTTAAAGTATTTACAAAAGTATGTACAAGATGACCAACTCTGGAAAAATACATACACATGGAAAAGACTCGCTGGTGAGATTTGCAGCAATAAAGGTGGGCTGAGGTGAGTTGCTTGGTGGAATAAAAGGAAAGTGTGGTGTGTGCACCTCAGGTGGTCCAAGGGATGAGTTTAGGTTTTAAGTGCATTGTGGTTGTTAATTTTAATATTTTTGCATTTATTTTATGAAGACCTCCTTTCTTGGCAAATAACATAAGCTTTTCATTTGTGGAAGTAATATAGTTTCCTTTTTAAATGCATTTGCTTTTAACGTGAGTCAATTTATTTAGTTAGTTATTTTATTTTATTATTTTTTTGAGACGGAGTCTCTCTCTGTCACCCAGGCTGGAGTGCAGTAGCACGATCTCGGCTCACTGCAACCTCCGCCTCCTGGGTTCAAGCGATTCTCCCGCCTCAGCCTCCCGAGTAGCTGGGATTACAGGTGTGCACCACCACACCCGGCTAATTTTTTGTATTTTTAGTAGAGATGGGATTTCACTATGTGGGCCAGGCTGGTCTTGAACTCCTGACCTCAGGTAATCTGCCTGCCTCAGCCTCTCAAAGTGCTGGGATTACAGGCGTGAGCCACTGCACTTGACCTGAGTCAATTTAAAGAAAAATAAGTGAATAATGGGACAGGTGGTATGAGGATATGGGAACATATATAGAGGTTCTGGGCAAAGGCCGAAGTTGAGGATTGCTGTATTTTTTCCCACTAGGCTCCCATGTAGGGGGGTTACAGGAAGAGAGACTCCAATGTAGGTACTCTTCTTTCAGGAGGAGGGACCATGCTGTTTCTCCGCTCAATAAGCCCCTCCACGTCCTGGGGCCTGTATGCTTACTGTTCCCTCTCCTAGAATGTGCACCAAAGTTCCTCGCCTTTGTTGATTGATCCTTCTTTTCATTCAGCTCACAGATCGCCTCCTCAGGGAGGCCTTACCTGGCCACTGTATTTAAAGTGGTCTCCTTCAGTGACCCTCCTTCCCTTCTCCCGGTGTATTTCCTTCCTAGTGCTGAGTGCTCTGTAACGGACTGTTTGCCTGTGTTGGCATCTGTTTCCTCCACTAGCCTGTGGGTTCATGAAGGGCAGGGACTTTTGTCTTGTTTGTGTTGTGCCTGGAGAGTCACCCAAGGCCTGGACCACCTTGAGTTCCAAATATTTGTTGCATAAACATGTTCTAAGTTGGGATGTCTCCACTTCAGTTTTAGCCCCTCCCACAGTGCCAACTTGTACCAGTGGCCAAAGTCAGAGAGAGACAGTGAGAGAGAGAGAGAGAGAGAGAGAGAGAGAGAGAGAGAGGAGAGGTGCCAAGGAAGTATGGTTCAGCATCAAACACATTTATTTCACTTATATTGAGTATACAAGAACAGAGAGCACACGCATACAGCACGGAGCACTGAGGTGGGGGAGCATGGGGACGAGAAAGGAGAGAAGGGTGTGAGTAAAAAGGAACAGGACAGCATCGCAATTGGTTGTTAAGGTGCTTTTGAAAAAAAAAATTATTTCGAGTGATGTTGCTCATGCAGTTTCAGGCCAGTCTTGGAATGTGCTTGCAGGATTCAAAAACTGAAACAGGTCCTGGTACTTCCTGTACCCTCAGATGGAAAAGATCCAGAGAAAACAAAATAAGAGAAAATGAAGACCCATGAGATAGCAAAGTAGAAAAAGACCCTGGAGAGCATCTGGTTCTTTCTGCTTATTTTGCAAGTCGGGAAACTGAGGCCCAAGAGGGGGAATGGGGATAGCCTGATGTCACATGGTGAGTTAGGAGCTGAGCCAGGATGGTCACCCAGAACTCCTAACCGCCCTCAGGGACTTTTTCCACTATGCTACATGGCCTCCTGGGTGGAGAGGTGGCACAGAGAGGATGAGAAACAAAAAAGAGAAAAGGAAAAGTAGGTTGAAGACAGACAAGACAAACGTCTCTATTCTCTACAAAGAGAAGGATGGGGAGGAAACAGTGCCCTAGATTCTAGCTTTGCAGGTCCCCTCCTCCCTCGTGGCACTGCCTGCATCTCCGTAGAAGGGAGGTCACAGCATCCGCGGGATGGTGATTTCCCCAAACCCTGGTGGCCCATAAACTCCACAAGCTAAGCCTGGTCACTTCACCCCTGCCCCAAAGCCAGGTGCAAAATCCACAACAAGGATCCTCCCTCTGAGGTGTGTTCAGTGTGCTCAGGACTCCTGGTTCCTGCAAAGATGAGTTCCTAGACCGAAGTGGCCCAGAGAGGATGGAGCCACCACTCCAGCTCTTGACCCAGAAAGAGGGGGAACTCTCAAGAAGGGCAGGAAGAAGGTTCTGTGGCTTTTCCACCAGGATTGTAGAAAGAACCTGGTGTATGGAAAGTGTGCTGCTACACTCAGGGGGAGTTGGAGTGGACCCACCGGCCTGCACCAGGGGGAATGCCACTGATTCTGCTGCCCCGCTGAACTTCCCATTTGCCCAGAGAAGCAAATGCTATTCTGATTTCCTGCCCTGCCTCAGGCCAGCACCAGCTAAGCAGCTAAGGTGTATGTCATCACTGACAAGCCAAAGGGACGCATCTAACCTGGGCCGCCTGGGGGCATCCCTGGGCTATGCCCCGATAGGTTGGCGAGAGTGGGGAGATGCTCTCAGATGGGCCAGCCATGGTTGAAATATAAAGCTGGCTCAGGTGGCTCCTCAGGTTCCGCCCTCCCCTCCCACCTTCTTCAGCCTGAGAATAGTCCCTGGCACAAGCAGGTAATCAGTAAATACTTGTGGAATGAATTTATTAACTGGTTTAGAAGGAGGACTGGGAGGTAAAATGGAACTGAGAAATTCGCAGTGCAGTGGGACATTTTCCCTCATCAAGGGGCACTTTCTGAGCTCAGAGAAGTAGCTTGTGGCAGACAAGCCTGAGGAAGCCCACGTGTGGCAGAGAGCAATGCCAAGCTTGTGATGGGAGCTTCTTGAAGGGTTCCTGTGGTCTTGGGGTAATTTCTGGGCACAAGCTCAGAGTTCAGCTGTTGACTGAGAGGGAGGTCTCCAAGCCAAGGTCTTATGCAGAGCTGGAGCCTATGAGCAACATCACCCGTCAGTCTCAGCTTTGTCCTGGGACAGGGGAGGGCTTTGCAAATGCAGTTTTGATCTTTCAGGGTCTGCCCCATGAAGCCTCCTTACCATGGCTACTTTGGCCTGAGAAGAAGAAATGATTCAGAACAAGGAAGAGAGTAGAGGAAAAGGCTTAGCTGGGAATTTTTAGACAGTCAGGTTAAAGCCACCATCTTCTACAATGGCTGAGAGCACCACCTCCCTTTGGATATGGAGTTGGTTATTACAATGGGGTCAGGGAAGGGCAGAATGTGGCAAAAAAAAAAAAAAGAGAGAAAGAGAGAGAAGACTGAAAACCAAGGCAAGCCCCGTAGGGAGATAAGGACTAAGCCAGGGACCTCTACTGTGGCAACTTCAGCAGCAGAGTCCCAGACTGGGACCCAGTACCTGAGCACAGACCAGGCCCTGACTGTTACTACCAGGGGGGCAGGGAGAAGGTGTCTTGAACTGGCATTTTGGGGACGACATCTGTGTTGCTTCTTTCTTGCCAAACCCACACCTCTCCATTAGGGCCCCCCACCCCTCCCCACCAATCAACCAATTACAAACACCACACACAGTATTACTACACTGAACCCGTCAGCCCCTACTGTGAGCCAACCCACACCCAGAGTCCAGGTCTCCTTAGCTGGGCCAGTTCAGTGAGATCTAGGAACCTCAGGATACATCAATCACAGTCAGATAATTATAATTTTAGAATGTCAGCTTCATACTTACCAGCACTGTTTATTTTAATATTTTTTCCTGTTATATGTAATATACATAACTTCAAAGCACATCCGTACAAACCTCCTACAAGCTGCACCTTCATAATGAGAAACCATAAGCATACAATGTCTACTTCCCTTCCTGTGGCTTCGTTTTCTGTTCTTGCTTTCTTTTCTTTTTCTCATTTCAAAGGAGAGTCATCTGCAGTGGCCCTCAGAAGGACCAGGACACAGAGGGTGAAGGGTGTGGGGTGGGGGAAGGGGGAAGGGGGAGGAGGGAGCCGAGACAGAAAATGACAGCAAGACATTGAGAGTTGAGGGTGAGGGGAGGCGGGAGAGAGGAAGGTAGGTTTTGCAGCCCAGTGTCAAGATCCAGAAAGTAAGAATCCAGTGTTCCTCCTCTTTCTTTCCAAGTGGGGAATTTTCTTTTTTTCTCGGAAAATGGTTGACTGTGCGTGTCTTGCTGCTGTGACTTCTCTTGCTTTGCTGTGCAAGTGTTTTCCTTTGCATTCAAGTGGGCCTTAGAGATGCTGGAGAAGAACAAATGGAATTGCTCGTCTGCTAACTGTAACGTGCAGAACCAGGGCGGGAGGGACTTCTACAATCATCGTGGTCTGGCTTGCGTTTCTTATTTGGCGGGGGAAAGGGGTGAGCAAGGGATTATAGTTATTATATAATTTTTTTTCTTGAAAAAAATCCCACCAGTTCTTCAATTTGTCTGCAAAGGAAATGTAGGTGTTCAGATGTCGGTTGTTGCTGTCAGCCAACTGCTCTGCCAGCCCCAGCAGCAGTGCAAGGATGCGGTGTTTCCTGTATATATATCTATATCTCTATATATCTATATATATATGCTTTTCCCTTCCCAGTCTCTCATCAGTGACAGTACGTCGCAGCTGGGACGTCAGTGTTGCGTCGGAGAATCCAGAATGAAGGCCCCTTCTTAATGGTTCTCTGGCTTGGGTTGGACCAGAAATGCCAGGATCTCTTCACAGAGGTCAGGATTCCTGGAAGCCAGAGGCATGGGGTAGAATGGGGGGTGGGGAGTGGGGGGAAAGGAAGGAAGAGGACAAGAAAAATTAGTAACTTCTGTCACTTGTTTTAAAATACATGGCAAGAGGTTGTTTTTGCTACCCTTTACCATATGCCCTTTATTGTGACTCAGCAAGGTAGAGTGACTTGCACCTGTAATCCCAGCTACTTGGGAGGCTGAGGTGGAAGGATCTCTTGAGGTGAGAAACTCAAGGCTGTAATGTGTAATCATCATGCCTGTGAGTAGCTATTGCACTCCAAGGCCACGCAGCTTGTGTGTGGCAGCAGAGAACCGAACCCACATCTGTTGGATTCCAGAGCCCATGTGTGTTTGCTCGCTTGTTTCCAGGGAGGTGGTAATCTTTTACTTTGGCCTGACAATGTGTTAAAATGTCCTTTAACACCGAGAAGCTAAGATCATCATCATTTTACTTTTTCTTCCTATCTTGTCAGCTCTAAGAAATGTTTAGTCACGATTGCAGATGTTCTTTTTTCATTTGGTTTTCCTTTCTGTTGTCCGTGGGCTTGCTGTGTCCTGGAGATTAAACCACAGACAGCAGTGTTTAAATAAAGAAATGAAGTCTGGATTCCAGGTTTGGCTCCAAAACTCAGTGTTTAAAGGAGCAGGCTCTGAAATCAGACTCCCTGAGTTCAAATCCCACTCTATGGGCCTGCTAGCTCTGTAATCTTGGGTGAGTTTCTTAACTTCCTTTACTTTAAACAGTTTTTAACAGACGAGTCTTACTATGTTGCTCAGGCTGGAGTGCAATAGCTATTCACAGGCACAATCAATGCACATTACAGCCTTGAATTCCTGGCTGCAAGTGATCCTTCTGCCTCAGCCTCCCAAGTAGCTGGGATTACAGGTGCACGCCACAGTGCCTGGCAAGTTTCTTAACTTCTTTAAGCCTCAATTGCTTCCTCCGTAAAATAGGTTCTGCCTCCCATTATAGGGAGGAACTGAAGCAAGGGCCCAGCATATAGTAAGTGCTGAATAAATACTGGCTGTTCTTATTATGATGATTGTTGCTGTTGTTAATTTAACCACACACTACTCTGATCTCCTTGAGGGTAAGGGCTATCTTTTAACTCTTGTCTTTCCAGTGTTCAACACTGTGCCTGGCACATAGCAACTACTCAAAACCATTTAATGGATGAAACATCATTTCTGCTACTTGCATGCAGTCGAGTGCTAACGGAATCACAGAAAATGGATCTTTCTTGGCTCATTTGACACATAGGAAAACCGAGGCCCAGAGGCTTCAGGCTTAGTAAGTTGGCAAAACCAAGACTAAAACCCAAGGTTCCTGTTTTGGAACAGGTCAATTTTTTCCCATTAAATTTTGGAAGGTTAGGAAGCTAGGCAAGTGCTGCCCTCTTGCTGGTGGTGTTTGGGAGACAGGTCCTCTCTGAAGGAGGTGGGCCAGTGGGAGAAGATGGAGCAGAAACCAGACGTCTGACCTGCAAGGTTGCAGGGAGAGAAGGGAAAAGGTTCTGTGTGACATGAGTGACTTTCCACGCTCATAGCAAGAACTTCAAGAAGGAAGAACTTTAAGAAGGAAGACAGAGTTAACTGAAGCAGGGACAGATGTTTCTGGAGGATTTGCAGAAGGAACAGAAGATGAAGACCAGTAAGACAAACACCCTCATGGAGACAGGGCCTCAGGCACCAGGCTGGTGGTGGAGAATTACGATCTGACTTTCTCAGTACTCTCATCAACCTCTAAACATGGAAAAACCTCAGAGGGACAAGGAAGCAGGTTCACCTTGCTGAGCCCCTTCTGTAGGCAAGACACAGATCCAGTATATCACAGGTGTTGTTTAGTTATTACAGCAACTCCAATGTATACATTAATGACATTTTGCAGATGAGGAAACTGAGGTCAGAGAGGTTCCTCTGGGCACACAGCTACCAAGGTGTTTCTAGCTCCAAAACCTAGTTGTATCCATCTATTCCTTCCTTCCTTCGTTTCGTTTTTTGTTTTTTGTTTTTTACAGGGTCTTGCTCTATTGCCAGGCTGGAGTGCAGTGGCGCGATCATAGCTCATTGCAGCCTGGACCTCCTGGACTCAAGCAATCCTCCCGCTTCAACTTCCCAAGTAGCTGGGACTACAGGTGCCAGCCACCACACCCAGTTAATCTTTTACATTTTTTATAGAAACGAAGGTCTCATTATGATGGCCAGGCTGGTCTTGAACCCCTGGGCTCAAGTAATCCTCCTGCTTCAGCCTCCCAAAGTGCTGGGATTACAAGTGTGAGCCACTGTGCCTGGCCCCTGGTCAAAATTGAGTAGAAAGAATACTACTCAAAGAATATTACTCAGTAGCAAAATTACTACATCCTAACTGGGCATTGGTTTTGGTTTGGTTTGGTTTGGTTTTTCCTTACAGTAACAGGCTGCACTTTAAGTTTGTGCATCAATTAATGAAGTGGCTGTCCTATAAGTCAGTGTAATCATTATTCTGGGTATGTGGGATGTCTTCGTAAGCCCATAGACACTTCAGAAGTACCAAAGACATCTAAACAATACAGTGTTATGATTTATTCTTCTTGGTTTATTACAGCACAGCACAGTCCCTGCGTGCAGCATTTTGTTAGCCTATTTCAAGTTAATGGTAATAGTAGTCATAATGAGCTTTTATTAAGCACTCGCGATGTGGTAGGCAGTGTGCTAACTACCATGCTGCATGGATGATCTTGGTAGCCCTAGGAGACAGACGTTATGAAAAGTGGGTGTGGTGAAAAGGTCAAGACCATTGGGTTTTGGAGTCTAACAGATTGGGTTTCACTCTCTAATCAATCCATCATGTTCACAGCTTCATGACTGTGAGCAAGCCACTTAACATCTCTGACCCTCAGTTTCCTCATTTGTAAAATGAATGAGCAGGTAACAGTACTTGTGTTGAGTGCACAGCCTGGTGCCTGGCACAGGGTAAGCTTTCCATAAATTATAGCGATTGTTATTACTGTGATGATCATTGCCATTTGGCTGACGAGGAATCATAGGCTGAAAAGTTTAAATGATTTGCTAAAAGGTCACACAGCTAATAAAGGGCAGGGCTTGAGACTCTGCAGGAGTACAGAGCTCTTCCTTGGGGTACCAAGAGGCATCCATCCATTAAGCCAATGTTTCCAAGCACTTTAAAAAGGAGTTTTTGAATTCAGAGGAGACCTCTTCTAGAATTAGTGAGTCTGACTGTATTAAGAGTCAGACTTGGGTTCTACTTGACCATAATTACTGGTAAAGCATGTGGGCAGAAAAGGCAAGGGAGAGAAACTTCTGGCTTGCCAGGGCAACATAAACAAGGTGACCTTTACAGAACAACCCAGAAGAGAGAGAGATGGGGCATGGTGGTGCGTGGGGCAATGGCAGCAAAGAAAGAACTAAAGAGAGGCGAGGAGGAGGGAATGAGACAGCAAAGGGAGCAGTGAGGTGGGCAGATGTGAAAGACTGCATCGCGGCGGGGTGGGCAGGATGTGGAGGCCAGGATGAGGGCTCTGAATGGCTAGGGAAATGGGAAGGCGGGAGCCTGGGGGCCTGGTTCTGAATGCCCTGGGAAAGATGAGGAGGCGTGAGAGAGGGAATGGAGAAGAGATGAGAAAAGCACAACAGATACCCCAGGAAAGCAAATAGCCAGAGGACTGTAATTGGAAGGGGGCTCGCTCCACCTCTTCATTTTGCAAGTGAGGAAACCGAGTCCTCAAGCGGGAAGAAACGGACCTACGGTCACACACCAGTCAGTGGAACAGCTTTAGAGCCAGGTCCCTGGATTCCCAATACAGAGTTCTTTGCATCAATGCTACTATACCTGGCTGCACGCGGACTCCCTAAGGACCAAGGCAGAAATGAAGATTCCCAGGCAATACAGGTCCCAGGTCCCAGTCCAGTCTTTCTAAATCAGACTTTATGGAGAGGGTTCTCCAGTGCCTGTATTTTAAACAGGCTTCCCCAGGTGATACACCCAGCTCAGCAAGTGGCCTACACTCTACCACTCTGAGATTTGGGAGGAATAAAGGAAGAATGATTGAAAAACTGAGGGGATAGGAATGACAATCACTTGTATGAAGGTCTGAGGAAGCCTGGGAGGTAGGCTCCGCCCATGGCCAACCTACACTTCTAGACCAGTGCTGTCCAATAGAAATAGAATGTGAACTACATATGCAATTTAAAATTTTCCTAGATAGGTCCAGGTGCAGTGGCTCACACCTGTAATCCTAGCACTTTGGGAGGCCGAGTCGGGCAGATCACTTGAGGTCAGGAGTTTGAGGCCAGCATGGCAAATATGGTGAAACCCCGTCTCTACTAAAAATACAAAAATTAGTTGGGTGTGGTAGCACACGCCTGTAGTCTCAGCTACTTGGGAGGCTGAGGCACGAGAATCACTTGAATCCGGGAGGTGGAGGCTGGAGTAAGCCAAGATCGTGCCACTGCACTCCAGCCTGGGTGACAGAGTGAGACTCCGTCTCAAAAAAAAAAATTTTTTTCCTAGATAATAGATTTTCTAGATAACACTTCCTAAATTTTCTATATATTTCTATTTTTCTAAAAATTTCTAGATAAATAGAAAATTTTAATTTCACAATTAAATTTCTCAATTTTAGTTTCCATTAAAAAGTTTAAAAAGAAACAGGTGAAATTAATTTAATTTTATTTTATTTTTGAGACGGAGTCTCGCTCTGTTGCCCAGGCTGAAGTGCAATAGTGCCATCTCAGCTCACTGCAACCTCCGCCTCCTAGGTTAAGGCAAATCTCCTGCCTCAGCCTCCCTAGTAGCTGGGACTACAGGCACCCACCAACCCCCACTCCTAATTTTGTATTTTAGTAGAGACAGGGTTTCACCACGTTGGTCAGGCTGATCTCAAACTCCTGACCTCAGGTGATCCACTTGCTTTGGCCTCCTAAAGTGCTGAGATTACAGGCATAAGCCACCGTGCCTGGCCAGATGAAGTTAATTTTAATAGTACATTTTACCTAACCTGATGTATCCCTTATCATTTAAATATGTAACCAATGTAAAAATTATTGAGATTATTTACTTTTTTTATATTAAATTTTCAAAATCCTGCATGTATTTCACCCTTAAAGCACATTTCTTTTTAGACTAGCCAATTTCAAGTCCTCAATAGCCACATGCGGCTAGTGACTACCATCCCAGACAGCACAGAAAGAACACTTCCATCACTGCAGAAAGTTCTGCTGAACAGCCCTAGTCCAGACCAGAGGTTAGCAGCCTTTCAGAGCAGCAGGAAAATGTTTCAGTGCTTTTTCTTCTGACATTAAGGGGTCTGGTAATCAAAGGAAGAGAAACATTCTCGTATCTTTCTAGAAAAGACTGGTTTCATTCATTCAAGGAAAAGGGCAAAAAGGAGACCAGCAATTATATTTGTGGGGTCTTTGAGATGGATTTTTTTTCATTGTGGTAGAGCCCATGAAATGTGTGAAGTACACAACTCTAAGTGGGAGAATAATTTTATAAATGTGTTTATATGTATATACCCATGTAACCCACCCAGTTGAAAATAGTGACATTTCCAGTACCCTAGAAGGTTCCTTTCTGGCCCTTCCCTCTTCCTTGTGAATACTGCATCCCAGAAGTAACAGAAAAATCAGAAGAATTTTTTTCTCAGATAGAAAATCAGGAATATTCTGATTTTCAACCTTGTCGATTAGTTTTGCTTGCTTTTGGACTCCCTACGAATGGAATCATACAGTTTATACTTTCTGTGCCTGGCTTATTTTATCCAACTCAATGTCTATGGGATTTTGCTTTAAGATCTGATAAGATCTGGTAAATTTCCAGAGGGCCCAGAAGAACCCCTCCCCTAATTTAGGTTGCTTAAAAGCCCTATCTGCCCCAACATCATCTTATTTCTCTTATTCACCAAAGCATTGATGGCCCACAGTGAAACAAGAGAATATTAGAGTCCCTAAGATTTTGGCTCCTGCAGGTCTCAGAAGTCAAAATGCAATCATGCCAGGCATGGTGGCTCATGCCTGTAATCCCAGCACTTTGGGAGGCTGAGGCAGGCAGATCACTTGAGGACAGGAGTTTGATACCAGCCTGGCCAACAAGGTAAAACCCCGTCTCTACTGAAAATATAAAAATTAGGCTGGGTGCGGTGGCTCACGCCTGTAATCCCAGCACTTTGGGAGGCCAAGGCGGGCAGATCACCCGAGGTCAGGGGATCGAGACTATCCTGGCTAACACGGTGAAACCACGTCTTTACTAAAAATACAAAATATTAGCTGGGCGCAGTGGCGGGCGCCTGTGGTCCCAGCTGCTCGGGAGGCTGAGGCAAGAGAATCACTTAAACCCAGGAGCCAGAGGTTGCAGTGAGTCAAGATTGTACCACTGCACTCCAGCCTGGGTGACAGAGCAAGACTCCATCTCAAAAAATATAAAAATTGCAATCAAGCAAGACAAAAGGGATCAAGGGCTCTGGTCATCATGGCCCCTTAACAACATTCAGTGACTTGTGATAGAGAGAGAGACTCAGGGCCAGGAACGTGGCACTGGGCCTAGTAGGACTTTTTCTGACTTCCGGTTTATAGACAATGCCCAAGGAGATAATGAGGACCTCCATCTGTCCCACCTCAATATCCACTGTCAATCCTCTCTCCATTTCCCTCCCTTTAAAAAAATTTTTAACCACTTCTGGATTTATTTTTCTGGATCTGGAGCCTGAAACCCCAAAGAAACCAAGGAACCAGTCTTCCTTCTTCTCCCCACCGACTTGTATCTCGGGGAGGTGCCTCTCTCCTTTGAGCAGCAAATCAGGAAGGCTGATGGGGGGAGGGTCAAAGCTGCACTAGGGGTCAAGCCACTGGCTTCTCAGATGGAAATGGCCCTCAGAGGATCTTGCTACTGCTCCCTCCTCTCTCTCATGGTTGCTGGGCCTCAGGAGCCTTACCTGTGGCTTCTTGTCCCTCTCCTCTGGGGATGGGTCTGTTTCTCTGTATACGACAGCTTTGGTTACCAGCATATCAGGATGCTGCAGTTTGGCCTCCTTGATGGCCAAAGCCAGGGCCTGGTGGTAAAGAACAGCAAAGGAAGGAACCATGAACTATCCAAGACGAGAGAGACTGTGAAGAACAGCAAGCCCTCTAGTGCACAGCTGGAAAAACTGAGGCCCAGAGAGGGGCAAAGTCAAACAACTAAAGGGAGAGACTAGAGCTCAGGTCTTCTGGCTCCTTCTGGCTCCCATCCAATGCCCCTCTCTTGGGGGTTTCTTATCTGAACAGGGTCAGCAAGAAGTGGACACCTTCTCTGCCCATGAGGATAGCCATCCATGGGTAACCCAACATAGGAGGGATTGAGGACTGGGCAGTGGCACTGGGAAGAACGGTTGCTACCCCCATACCTGGTCTTGATCGACATCTTCATCCCCAGTAATGATGATTCGCTTCTCGATCCTTGTCTCAGAAAACCCTCCTTTCACAGTCTGCAGAGGGAGAGGGAGGTGAGGTCACTCTTGGGTCCTGTTGGGGCAGCAGCCTCAAGAGGGGACCTACCCAAATCATCTCTCGAGGGCAGGGCTGAGAACCAGCAGTTACCTTCTCTCCTGACTTCCTCAGATTTTTTCTTTTCTGATTTTGGACTTTGAACTGCAGATCTTGCCTGGTTGCCACCACTCCCCAAAACTACCAAACTATCCCATCTAGGTCTTCCAAGCCTAGCTCCAATGCTGCCTCTCAGACCCTGGTTGGCAATGCTTCTGTCTTCCTGCCTTGGTACTGCCTGAGCACTGAATCTGTCTCTCTCACAGTTCTGGACCTCTCTGCCTGGTGCCGACCTTATGTATGTCTGTGGCCTTGTTCACCTCACCAGGCTGCCAGCTCTTGAAGGCAGGGTCTGTATTTTGTTCATCTCTATATCCCCTCCTCCCCCACTCCCTCACCCAGTCTAACCAGGGCAGTGCTGAATGCAGATTTGTTGAATGAACACATGAATGAAATGTGAATGGTGACAAGGTTCTGCCTTAAGCAACTTCAAAAAATACTACAAGAGAAAATTGGATTGATGATACTTATGACCTCCGCTGTTTTCTGAAGGCAAGGGGTTTGGACAAGTTTAGAAGTAATAACTGAGGCAGGACCTAATTGTTTGGCATGTTAAAGCAGGGTGGTGTCTGTGGGGAATCCCAGCTGGAGTCAGGAGTGGATAGAAAGAAGAGGGGGCTCCCAGTTGGCAGGGACTTTGGGAAGAAGAGTTTCCTGAGCTGTCTGCTGTGGGCGTGGGATGTAAAACCTCCCATAAAGCTTTCAGAGAAGTCAACATTGCTCAGTAATGCTTTTGCTGAGAGTGGGTTCTTTGTGGGGTACGTGAGAAAGTGCTGAATCCTGTAGAGGCGCAGGCAGAGGCCAGGACAGTCCGTGCATGAAGGCCCAGTGCAACTGACCAGAGTTCTCCTCTGATGGCTCATCAACCTGGCTGCTCCAGGCCTCCAGCCCTGGCTAGGCGCCCTCCTGCCTTCCTCCTGGCCACATAGGTGTGGACGCATCAGCCCGCCTGCCTCCCAACTAGCCCTTGTCCTTATTGCTGGGTCACCCAGGAAGGCTTCCCTCCTTTGCCCCTACCTCTTGCTGCCTGAGCTCTAACTCACACCCTGGTCCAGGCCCTCCCCACCAGGCCTGAGTTATTTATTATCCGTCTCTCTCCATACTTCTCCCTCTTCTTTCTCCCACCTATCTACACATCCTGGTGGACCTGATATTCTCTCCTTAAACCTATGTTCACTGGGTTACTCTCCAATCTAAAAACCTTCATGGCTTTCCAATCTCCCTGAGGCCCAGATCCTCCAGAGTCAAATGTGTCCTGGTATTTGTTATTTGCTCTATATTCCACCTCCCTGCCCCCAGTGCAACCTAATTTCCCAGTTACACCCCCTACATGTGCTTCTCATGTCCCATAAACAGGCCTCACTTACTGCTACATCCAGCAGCCCTGGCACAGAGGCTAACACAAAGTTGACACTCACTAACATCTGCTCAGTGAACAAACAAATAAGCAAACACACAATTTCTGCTTCCCTCTTCTGCTTTGCTTAGAACACCCGCATCTGTCTTCTCCTCCCTCAGGTGTCCTGCCTGGCTTTCCAAGACTCTACTCAGTCCCTACTTCTTCCAGGAGATGCTTCCTGACTCTTGCAGGGCCTCCCATATGTCACCCCGTCTAGATTCCTCCAGCACTTTCCATCTACAAGGCGCACACGCCATGGTTCACAGTTACTTCAAAGAGGAGAGTATTGTTCCCCCTAGCCTGGCTGTCAACGCCGTGTGGGAAGGGCCCGTGCCTAGAACAACATGTGGCACAGGACAAAGCGCACAGTATTCCAGAAGCTGGTAAACACTACAGGTTTTCTCTGTCCACTTTACAGATGGCGAAGCCGAAGCAGAACAACAGTCATGACCTTCTCGCCTGCAGCTCGGCTGGGGGCATGGGGCGCCCTGCTGCTACTCACTTTGGTGACATGGGTGGTGGTGGAGGTTGAGAGGGTTTCCGCAGTGGCGCCGTAGGTGCTGGTGAGGACATCTTTCCCGATGATCTGCAGAATATAACCACCCCCCACCCAGGGTGTCAGGTAAGGACAGTGGGCTCTGGAGGGGTGAGGGCGGGGTGGGGTAAAGGGCTCTGTGAAGGTGACGTTTCGAAGCCAAGATGCTTTCAGCCATTAAGAATTCAAGAATACTAGAATCTTCAGAAAACTAGACCCATCAAATTCTCAAATCCTGGAGTCTGAGATTCCTAGACGCTAAGATTCCTGAGGCCCAGAATCCTAACAATACCCTAGAATTTAAGAATCCTGGCATCATGGAAGAATGACCAAAAGGATCCAAGGTGGAAACACAGCCCTCCTGATGCCCCATCCTGTCATAGCCAGGTGCACGCTCTCTGCGGAGCTAAACAATGAGAACCACAGACTTGGAGAATGCAAGAGCTGAAAGAGACCCTACAGTGACAGACTCAGGGTCACTGGGCAGGCACCAACAGAGGCAGGTCCAGAATCCAAGCCTCTGGCCTCCTAGTCCATTGCTCTTCCTGGTTAGTAGGGAGGGCAGATGCAAAAGAACCCTCAGCAGCACCACCAAGGTGAGGGGCCGCTTTACCCTCACATGTCACCAATGCCCCACTTACATGTGTGGGCGGTGGGGAGGGCCACTCATGAGATTCTAGCAGGCACCAGGGAGCCCTGTGGGCATCTGAAAAGGGTCCAGTTTCCTGGCTTTGCACCTAGAAGGGTGCCTTCTGGGCTCAACGCTGCACTTCCTGCCAGCCATACATGGGTCCATGCCCATATTCTCAGTGTGGAGTCCCCTAGCCTGAGCTGGCCTTGCCCACTTACCGGAGAAAGAGAACGGATTTCCGTGGCCACCGTCTGTGGGCCTGGGATCATGGCAGCTGCCCCCTTCCCGGACTTGAGACTGTTCTCCTGGGGAAACAATAGTGCTCAGATGGCCAGCTCTCAGCCGGGTGGGCCCCCAGGATGGGCGGAGCATGTGGCCATGTAGCTATCACGACCACAAGGTTGAGTAGAAATAATAGAAGCAAAGGACTGAAGGCATCGTTCAGTTCCGCCTCATTCATCCCTTGCTCACTCAGGCACACATTTGTTCACTCGCACACTTGCACACTCGCTCATTCAACAAACATTTACAGACTGTCTGGCGTTAGGAACACTGTAGTGATCAAGACATGGCATTGTTCTCCGGAAGCACTAGCAGAGGAGTTGCCAGATTCAGGCTCGTGTCCTGCCCTGCCACCTTCAAGCCATGTGACTTGGGGCAGAGCCACTTCCTCTCTATGGGCCTCACAGATTCATCTGTAAAAAAGGACCCTTGCCCCAATCCCACACAGAACCTATGAAGCTAATGGAGTAGAAAAGGTTTTGCAAACCAAAATACATAGGATAAATATAGGGGCATAAGCTGGCTATTTAGAATATAATAATAATAATGACTTTCTGAGTGCTTGCTATGTGCGAGGCATCATTTTAAGGATGTTACATGCCTCATCTCGTTTAATTCTCATAACACCAGTTGGGCATTATTTTTAATATTCCTGATTTACAGATGAGAAACTGGAGGGCAAGAGAAACTTAAGAGTTCAGTCTCCCAGCAAGTTAGTGGTAGAGCTGGAACTTAACTCCATGTTGTCTGACTCCAAGTCCAACACACTGTGCACGCCACTCTGCCCTTGGGAATCTTTCCCTTCAGACAGCTCTCTTGGCCCTACCTTAAATTCTAATTGCTAGATCTTCCTGGAATTGTCCCCTGACTTACTGCCCCCGATCTGGCGCCAGGGCCCAGCTGCCTGCTTCTACCTCCTACTTTCTGCACCATCTCAGGGCTCAGCCTTGTCTGTCCAGGGGCCCAGAACTGTGTCCATTCTGCAGGTCCTCAGTGGCCTGACCTCTGATTCTGGTCCAGGCATGGCACTAGATCTGGACTTCTGCCTACCAAGGGACAGGTGAGAAAAGAAACTCGCTGACTTTCCCCTGCCGCTCCCACACCTGCATCCTGCTGAGGCTGCCAGCAGCCTGGTTCCTTGGTACTGCACCACAAGGCACGTTCCCAGATGCACCTGCAGTTCCAGAATGTGGCCCAGCAGCAGGCTTCCCAAGGGCAGCTTCCGGGCTCAATGCTTCCTTTCCCCTTAACAGCCACTAACCCCTATGAATCCTAGCATCATTCTGGGAAGTTCTCCCTTAAAGCCTCTTATTCTCTCATTGTTCTGTCTTTCCCAGGGCAAAGCCTCACCTCCACCTTCACACTAAAAACAGAGGCCACCACTAGGGACATCAGTCATTCAAAACGAGGCACCCTCTGCTCCTCCCTTCCTCTCCTGTATCCTTGGCCAGTCCCGTCACCTGCCTCCAGGAGGAGTGGTTCCTCTCCCTGACCAAGGCAAACTCAGCCCTCTCTTCCTCCACATTCAGGCTCTCCTCACTTGCCACCCGCTCTCTGGGCCACCTCGGCTACTCAACAGCTTCTGCTGCCTCATGGAGGTCAAAGTCCCCTATCCCTTCACCTATAGCCCAGATATTTATTGGACCCTAGGCCTTTAAAACCAGTTGTGTCCTAGACATTTTGCCCTGGAAATGTTCCACAGGCACCTCAGACTCATCCGATCTCGAAAGGAATTCACTGCTTCTTCCACTTCCAACACACGCTTGTCACTAAAGAGCACTTTCCCCCATCACTCTGTTTACATCAGCAGTTCTCCAACTTCAGAGGCATCAGCTGGAGGGCTTGGAAAAACACACACTGCTGGGCCCCACCCTAGAGTTTCCGAGTCAATAGGTCTAAGGAGGAGCCCAAAGGACCTGCCTTGCTAACAGGTTCCTGGAACCACATTTTGAGAACCATTGGCTAGTGAACGGTGTCACGAGCTCATCTTTCCTCTTGTCCCCTGAACATCCTACCAACGACCAAATCCTGTGCTTTCCCCCCTCCAGGCATCCCTTAACCCTGACCCCTTCTCTGCATCCACCTCCTTGCACTCCAGCCCCACCCCAGCCTGGGCACCAGCATCTAAGCTGGTTCCCTGCCTTCTCTCTCTGTCTCTCCCAGTGGCATGTGGGCCCTAGAGCCCCGGGATGTTCCCTTCTTCAAGCTGGATTCACAGTGGCTGGTACAGAACTATACACATCATGGGTGTTCAATCAATATTTGTGGAAGGAAGGAGAGAGAGAGAAGGAGGGAAGAATTTTTTGCTCAAGTCCCTCCTCCACAGAGGTTGCTAGAATAATCTTTCTAAAACACAGAAACACATATCTGATGACATCATGTCCCTAATGTAAAAAATTTAAGTGATTCCCCATTGTCTGCAGGACAGAAGTTTGAACTTGGTATATGACATTTGAGGTCTATCAAGCTCTGGCCTAGCCTTCCTTTCCAGCTCTTCCCCCCCGACTCCTCCTCCGTGTGCTTGACATCTGGCTTTCTTGACCACTGGTCCTTCCCCAAATGCTGCACTCCTTCCCTTCTGCCCTTTGCACTTGCTTTTCCCACTGTCTAGAATGCCTTCCCCCAGGACCATACTTTAATTTATCCTTCAAGCATAGCTCACTCAAATGTCCCTGCCTAGGGAAAGCCTTTCCTGGCTCCTCCTGGCAGAGCTGTCACCCCATAGCTGTCCTCCTGGTGGCCCCTAGGATAGCATTATTACACTGTCCCATGAAGGCAGGAAAGAAGTAACTGCAGCTCACATCTTCAGGCCACTTATTATGCGCCAGGCACTGTTCTCAGGGCTTTGCACAGATTGCTTTCGTTCCCCCTCACATCAGCCCTTTGAGGTCATGCTATTACTGCCCTCTACCCTCACCCATTTTACAGAAGTGAAAACTGAGGTTTGGAGAGGTTCGGGTGACTTGCCCAAGGTCATCCAGCCAGGAAGTGGGACAGCTGGGCCTTGTTCTCCGCTGTATGCCCAGAACCTAAATACAGGGTCACAGCACATTAAAGGTGCTCATGATGGTCATTTGAATGAATGAATTCCAGCAGGCAGTATAGTTTCTTCAACTGTATCCCCCATACCAGGCAGATAGTACAGACTAATAAATGTTTTTGGAACAAATGAATGAATAGATGGATGGATGGATGAGTAAATGAATGGTATAAGTGCCTGCTCACCATATGAACGGATTTAAATTTAGCCCTACAAGCATCCCAATGACACGTGGTGAAGGACTGAGGGGAGAGGAGGAACTGAGTGACCAGGGAAAGGTGTGCAAGCTGGTAACTAGTTTGGACTTATTGATTTTAAAATTTCTGTGTATTCAAAACCTACCTGCTGGCTAGTCTAGATTGATGGAATTACCTTCCTATGTGTATGTCAGGAGGTTGGCAAGAAACAGTATTTGAAAACAACTTCTCTGGCTCCAGCACTGCTACCTTCCCTAGCCCGAGTAGTGGCTGCAACCGCAGCCCCAGCCCCATGCGGCTGATGTTCACAATGGTCAGGATTAAGGAAGCAGAGCAGAGTGGCTGGGGTTGAAAGTGGGGCTCCTGGTGTCAGAAGGCCTGGGGATAACCTGGCACTACCACTTATTGATTGTGTGACCTTGGGTAAGTCGCTTTACCTCTCTGAACTTCAGTTACCTCATCTATAAAGGTTGTGGAGGGAAGAGCATCCACCTCACAGTGTCTGTGAGCATCCACGGAGATTATCCACTCAGGAGTCTCAGCACATTGACTGGAACCACAACCTGTGTGCCAAATGCTATCTGTTCTGTTTAATCATGAAGGGATCTAGTGTTGCCGGGGTCTCTTAAGAACTGCAGAATGGGGATTATTGCCATTTTGCAGATGAGGACACCTCAGGCCAAGGGCCTTCCTTCATGGGTCAGACAGCAAATAAGTAGCAGAACCATGAGGTCCCTCAATAGGGAGGTCCCAAAAATCCTGGTTCCAACTTAGGGTCACCACACGCCATCTACTGACCAAGGCAAGGAAGTGGTCTAAGGCATGAGACAATGTGCAGCCACCAGGATGGGTCCAGCCTCACCTTCAGAGTGGAGGTGAGATGAGCCAATGAAATCTCAATGCAAGATGAGATTCGTGGGTGCCAATAACCAAAGAAGACCATCCTCTCTCTCTCTCTGCTGTGGCTGAGATGGCCTAGATAACTGACACTATCAGTGGGGATTCCATCGCCCACATTACTCACTTTGGAAAACTGAGGCCTGACTATGTCCTGTGGCAACTAAAGCCCCAGATAATAAACAGCTGACTTATGTCCCATGCCTGATGCAGCGAGGGCAGCTCACAACTTCCTGAAGCAGCCAGGCGATGTTAGCTTGTTCTCTGGCTGTTTGGTGGGGCAGGGGGCTGGTCAGAGAGGGAAGCCTCCTGGGTTCAACTTACCATGGTGGTCGATATGGTCTCCGTGGTGATGGAGGGAGTGGTTGCTATGAACTCCCTCCCCACTGAGGCACTCCCATCAACCTGCTGACCAGAGGAGGAGTCGTTAGAGCTGGGGAGAGCTGGGTATACCTGCAGCATCTGTCACCTGGGCTCACGGCCTCCCAGTTACAAAGTGACAGGCTGTGTGAGTGAACATCACTGGCAGGGGGCTGCACACAGACCAAATCACAGAGGTGCAACAGGCCCTCATTACATTTCAACCAGTGTATTTGGTAAATAAAAAATAATCTCAGACTATCTGGCAAATTCTATCCAAATTGCAATGCGTGTAATCTTTGACCTAGCAATCTCTAGGAACTGACTCTTTGGATATAACCTTTGAAAAGCTCACCGAGAAGTATGAGCAAGGAAATTCACGAGCGCTGATAGTGAATTGCACAAAACAAAAACAATCACAGGGCGAGCCATTGGGAGACAGCGAAATAAATCAAGATTTGCCTCCTAACTGAGATGATCAAGAGTAAGGTGGGTCTATGTATGCCAACAAGGAGTGATCTCCAAAATAATTACTAAGAAGAAAGGTAAGTTGTAAGAAAATGATCACTTCTGTGTAAACATTGTTAAGTATATAGAGATGTAGGTATCTGTGTTGAAATAGGCTTATATTTTTTTCTGGGTGATATTATAAGAAAAATCCCATTTTGTTCTGCTTGAATTGTATAACTATAAACTTTTTTTGTTGTTTTGTTTTTATGTCAATAAGGGTTACTGGGCTGTGGGATCTAGGGCCAATTTTAGTTTCTTTATACTTTTCTGTATGAAAACACAACAGAAACACGTGTTACTAAAACAAAACAGGTCAGTGGGGGAAGCAGCTTGCCCAAGGTCACACAGCTCATCAGAACTCAAGAGTCCTGACCTGTAGTAGACGGCCTCATAAACTCCTACCATCATTATAAAAGTGGGAGAAAGAAATCTGGAAACAAAAGAATTGCCCATGTTGTATTGGTTTATGTCTTATTTCAGTTTTCTCTTTCTCTCTCTTTTTTTCCCTGTCACCCAAGCTGGAATGCAGTGGTGGAATCATAGCTCATAGTTCACTGCAGCTTCGACCTCCTGGGTTTTAGTGATCCTCCTACATCAGCCTCCCGAGCAGCTGGGACTACAGGCATGTGCTACCATGCCCAGCTAATTTTTGTATTTTTTGTAGAGCTGGGGTCTCCCTATATTGCCCAGGCTGGTCTTGTACCCCTGGGCTCAAGCGATCTGCCTGCCTTGGCCTCACAAAGTGCTGGGATTACAGATGTGAGCCACTGTGCCTGGTCTTATTTCAGTTCTTCAGGAAAAGGTTAGTCTCAGAGCAAAAAAGCTCCTAGCATTGTAGCTCTTCTGGCCAGGAAAAACCAGGAGGGCATCTATCAGATCCTCAATCTTAACTTCCTAAGTTTAAAAAGCATGGAAGGAGTGCAGGGAATGGACTGGAAGTCGTGGGCCTGTGCCTATGCCTGACGGCTTTCTCCAGGTGGTCAGGATGCTGCTTCTTGTCAAGACACATGATCTTCGGTTTTCTTCTTTCACTTTGTTCATTTTACTGATCTGATGTGGAACTCTAATGCATAAAAAATGACCCAAGGTGAGCTATTCTGACTGAAGCTGAATTGGGATCTCTCCCTCTTCTCTCCTCAAGCAGCCCCTGAGATACCTCAAGAAACCTCTCCAACTCCTCCAAGCAATGTGAACACCAAGGTCCCAATCCACTAGTCAGTACAGTCCTCCCAATATGCCCAGGAGGAAGGGGTAGACAGGGTCATTCCCATTTTATGGATGGCTAAATGGAGGCTTTAAGAAGTATGGTCTGCCCAGGACAGGAACCTGCTTTACCCGTTGCCCCTCCCCAGAGCTCAGAGAGGACACTGAGGCACAGGAGAGCATCAGGATTAACATATGGGTTCCAGGGAAGCTGAGATTAAAAGAGCTGGCCAAGGGGTTTGGCCACAGCAGTGGGGACCCTACCACCAAATGCCCAATACCCATGCTTAGGGTACATTGGAAGGCACAAGTTACCTGGGTGTTATCCATAGCGGAGACTCTGGTCTGCAGTACGGCCTCCGGCTCAATCTTCTTTCTAATGGCCAGACTGCTGACAGTCATGGTTTCTGTTTTCACGGGCTGTAGGAAAAGGAGGGAGAATGCTCTGTAACTGAAACCCTAGCATGACCCTTGCTCACAGACAATTGCAGTGTGGTGTCTGCAGGCTATCTCCTATCCCCACAGCTGGCCACATCTCTGGAAGGGTACTCTGGACAGGGTAAAAGAGTTGTGGTGTGATATCATAGACAGATAGCCCGCGAGGAGAGCCAGGACCACCACCAGGACCAGGCAGGCCTGCCCTGCGCCCCTGTGCCACACACCCTCATGGTGGCTATATGCTGTTTTTTAGGCTACTATTAGAACATCTACCATTTCATTAACATACTCTATGACAGGCCCTGGGCTAAGTGTTTTCCTTGTGTACATAATGTCACCAAATCCTGGTGAGCTCACCACCTCTCAGCCGCTTCAGCTGAACTCTTCTATTTTTTTTCTTGAGACAGACTCTCCCTTTGTCGCCCAGGCTGGAGTGCGATGGTGCGATCTCGGCTCACTGTAACCTCTGCCTTCCAGGTTCAAGCGATTCCCCTACCTCAGCCTCCCAGGTAGCTGGCACTACAGGCTCATGCCACCACACCCGGCTAACTTTTGTATTTTTAGTAGAGACGGGGTTTCACCATGTTGGCCAGGCTGTTCTTGAACCCCTGACCTCAAGTGATCCACCTGCCTCAGCCTCCCAAAGTGCTGGGATTACAGGTGTGGGCCACCGTGCCCAGCCTGGACTCTTCTTTAGAGCAAGAGCCACACATGCTTGGAGGCCTACAGCATCCAGGCAGGAGATGTCAATGAGTGAAGAGGGTTTGTTGAGGACTGGGGTGAAGTAGAGAGCATGTGGGGTCCATTTGGGTATGGCAAGCTGTGACTATGACCTCTGAGTATAGTTTTGTTTTTGTTTTTGTTTTGTTTTTTGAGATGGAATCTCGTTCCGTTGCCCAGGCTGGAGTGTAATGGCGTGATCTCAGCTCACTGCAACCTCTGCCTCCTGAGTTCAAGTGATTCTCCTGCCTCCCGAGTAGTTGGGATTACAGGTGGGTGCCACCACGCCCAGCTAATTTTTGTATTTTTAGTAGAGACAAGGTTTCACCATGTTGGTCAGGGTGGTCTTGAACTCCTGACCTCAGGTGATCCACCTGCCTCAGCCTCCCAAAGTGCTGGGATTACAGGTGTGAACCACTGTGCCTGGAGATTTTTTTTTTCTTGTTTTGTTTTGTTTTTAAGAGACAAGGTCTCACTCTGTCGCCCGGGCTGGAGTGCAGTGGCACGATCAAAGCTCACTGTAGCCTCGAACTCCTGGGCTCAAGTGATCCCCCTGCCTTCTTGCCTCAGCTCCTGAGTAGCTGGGATTACAGGCACAAGCCACTGTGCCTGGCTGAAGGGGATTCTTATAGATGGTTGCAACCCTGTAACCCAGCCATTCATCCAGTTAATCATCTATTAGTGCCTAGTATATGCCAGGCCTAGAGGAGCTGCCACCTGGTGGGAGAGCAGGCTTGTCAGCCACTGACCTGACCGCTTTGGATAGTGCTGGAGCATAGGCATTACAGGGCAAGGGGGTAGGGGGGCGATATTTCTGCCCAGGGTGGTCAGGAAAGCAAACCCCTGCTAGGAAACTGACATTTGAACTTGGTCCTGGAACATGATAGGTTTGTAAGGCACCGAAAGGGAGAAAAAAAAACCTGCTCAGAGAATATAGCATGAAGTGAGAGCCCAGAGTGGCTAAGCTCATATTTCAATGCCAGGAATGTTGGGGAAAGGAGAGTGTAGGAGGGAGGTTGGGTCTAGAAGAGATGAGGGGGCAAAGGAATGATATGGGCAGGCGTGCCTTAGAGAAATCCCTTCACAGCTCTACAGAGGAGACCACAGAGAGGCCCAGAGACAGTCTGTCCCTCCTCAATGACCACATTTCCTCTCTTCCAGGAGCTTCCATTACCACCCTGAGACCCCAGGGCCAGATGGATTTAAACTGCTTCCCCTTCCCCGGGAAGCCCAGACCCCAGAGAGACAAGCCTGGGCCCGGATCAGGAAAAACCATTCAGCTTTCAGACCAGGCTGCAGGAGCCCCCAAGAGTCCACAGACGCATGCTCTCTGCAGGTGCCATGCAACACAGGTGGGGGGGCATGGGGTCAAGAAAGACCAGACTACCTGTCATCGCTCGACTTCAGCAAGCGATGGGGTCACAGGGTTAAAATACCAAGGAGCGCGTGTTAGGGGTAAACCGAGATGGCAAACATGCGAGCACAGAACCATGCTGTTCTGCGGAGGGGCAGTCATGCAACACGAGACAGAGCTTCAGGCTGCAGGCTGGGTGCTCGGTCTTCTCACGGGTGGCCCAGGGCCCTCTGAGCATGCGGTGCCCAGCGGGCCTGGCTCTTGAGGAAGCTCCACTGTACCTCAAACTGGGGCATATCCGGGGTGGAGCAGGCCCCTCGATCCGGGCTGTCCTCAATGCCCCCAGACTCATCATCCTGGCTGGGGGCCCCCTTGTTGAGATCCCGGGAGAACAGCAGGCCCTCAGTGTCCGAGTCGCTTTTGTCCCGGTCGAGCTCAGGCAGGCTGCGGGAGAAGTCTTCGAAGGCGCTGCCATGGTAGTCACCAATGACCGTGAAGTCCACCTCAGCCTCCAGGCTAGACGTAGAGCTGACCGTGATGCTGGAGCACTTGCGCTCAATGGCCAGGTGGTTGTCCTTCAGGAACACCGTGTCCCTCTCCTGGTCCTGGTCCTCATCGCCTGTGTCACTCTCTGGGGCCCGGGGACGTGGTGGTTTGACTTTCTCCTCGGAGCCCTCCCTCAGCCCTGCTCTCTATGGCCAGATAAAATCAAAAGAATGGGGATGTGGGGTGGGGAGAGAGAGAGAAAGAGAAATCAAGATGGTGAATGTCAGGAGAAATCTCGGGGCTGTGTCGACATCCTGAATGGAAGAGCAGGCCAGGAAATGAAAAACACCCCAGGAAAGGTTCCTTGAAATCATAACAAGCATAAAAAAAACAAAAACGACTCAAGAGTGGAGATGCCCCTTTCTGAGGGTCTCACACTGATGGCAAAAGCAAGTACAAAGCAAACGTCCTGCCAGTGACTCCTGGACAGGAGGCTCCATCCAAGGGTATTGGATCTGGGAGCTTATTGGAAGCAGCATTGCACGAAAGGCAGGGATGGAAGCCCGGACCCCAGGCCCATCCGTGCAGGTGGGCGTTGAGAAACAGAAACTAAGGAGGGAGATCCAGGGATTCAGGGAGACCCAGGAAGGGAAGGCAGAGAGGTTGGAGCCAAGAACTTTGAGGAACAAAAGAGGAAGCCAACATGTTTGTCAATTCCACTGAGTCTCCGGGGGAGGGGTCAGCATCGACTAGAGAGAAGAGCAATTCAGGGTCAGGCCTTTTGGGCACGAGCTTCTTGGGAGCTGAGTGCTACGCCAGCTCCACCCTGGGCTCCATGAGTGGACCACAGGCAAGTCAGGGAGTAGAGGCTCTGGTCCCATCAGTGTAATTGACAACAGCGGGCCAAGGCAGTGCCTCGGGGAACCAGCAACTCTTGTCCGACATACATACCTCTCAACTGGCCTGTCAGGGATTAAACACCACACACACATTTTTGGCTGGTTCATAACATTCTTTTTAAAGACCAACCTAATACCCATGAAAGATTTGTAAAGAACTTGGCTTCTGGTTCTAGGGATTCAGTGGGCTTAGACATTCACTTGCTAAGCGAGCCTCCATTTAGCCAGTTTCTGGAAGGTTGAGAGGTGTGAGGGAGACATTCCAGACAAGCCAGAGTTGAGCAGCACGAGAGGTGCTGCCACAGCAGGTGGGAACCTAAGGCGGCGATGCATCCTGGCCGGGTGAAGGTGACTGGGTCATCAGGGCACAGAGGGGCTGCAGAGACCTGAGGGCCCGAGGGGCTGGCAAATCTCAGGCGCCCCCCCTTCCCAGGGGTGTTGGCTGCTAAGTTGGTGGAGCGCTTCTCTTCCCTGACCGCATCTCCGGATTTGTTCTGGATTAGAGAAGACAGTTAGTCTTAAGGAGGCAGAAAGAAACTTGGCACTGGGACTGAGAGGGAACCAGAAGTGAAGGATGGAAACCTCTGGACTGTCAACTTTCCCAAGGCGGGAGAACCAGGGATGGGAAAGGATGAAGAAAGATCGCTGGACAAGCCAAGCAAGGTAGGCAGGAACCCAGCGGGTATGAGCGGCAAGGCAAAGCAGGTGTGTCATTTGCTGGTGGTGGCGCCACCTTCTCCATGGGGGTTGTGTGACCCTCTGGGCACCAGGTCACACCAAAAGCTGAGGGTCTTTGTGGCCAAGCTAACATGGGCCAAGCAGAGAAGCCCATCATTCAGCCTGAGCTACACCCAGGCCCGTTTAGGGAAAAAACTCACAGGGATGGATAAGCAGCCTCTGATTGCAGAAATGACGAGGGGCCACTGAAACATGCTTCTAAAAACTACAGAGCATGCGGCCAGCCCCCATGGGCGGGGAGCAGCGGTGGGGGCGGGGGCTCACGCGGCCAGTTACCCCAGTTCCAGTAGCTTCTGCCAGCGTGGTTTCACAGCCTGAATTGGGGGACACGGGCTCTAGTTCCGTGTGTGCTTCCTGGTAGGATGCAGAAGTGTCCTCCCTGAAGTGTCTGGTAGCCAGAGGTATCACTGTGGAATGTGTGGCTTTGGGGCTGGCAAAGTCCCCTGGGGGCTGGAGTTGGGCGAAGCCCAGGTCTGAGAGCGTACTCCGCTGCTGCTCTGCTTGTCCCACGGGTGCCTCTGAAGATACGTCATTTGGAAGGGACCTTGCTTCACCCTCACTCATTCGGCGAGTTTCAGCTCCGTGGGTCTCAAATATCCGAATTTTGTTGGCCACTGAGGTCTTGCTAATATCTTCTAGGGAGCCCTCTTGGTCCCCAGCCTGGAAAGAGGTCATCTCCCTTCGCTTCCCTGAAGGGAACCCAAACCCCAGAGGTATGCGCCCCTCAGCTTCTTCAGGGACTACTCTGGGCTTTCTGCTGGTGATGGGAGGAGGCCTGCGCTCACCTCCTGTGGCAGGGGACACCACAAACCCTACTTGGTCCTTGGGCTCTGGGCTGGCTTTCGAAAGATGGACATGTCTAAGAAAGGGCTCCCTGAGCTCCGAAGGCTCCCCTGACCCATGGGAGGTTGGGCTTGGAGAAGCTTCCTCCAGAGCTGCCAGGTCCTCAGAATGACCAGGGGAGGCTGGCAGGGGAATGATCACCTCCATGTGAAGAAATGCTGAAGCCTCGCGGTCCTTCAGCTCAGCCCCTCCTTTCTGGGTGGGAACCACTCCCCTCTCTTTGGGTGGGAAGTTGCCTCTGTCTGGTTTGACTGGCTTCCTGACATTCAGAGGGATGGCCCGAGGAAGGGCGCAGGCCTGGGGGTCGGGATGCACGCCCTGTCCTCTGTGAGGAGGGTGCTTCTTCAGTTCCTCTGTGGGACTTTCCTCAGCCTTTCCCAGCAAATCTCCACTCACGGGGGTCCCTTCCTCTCGGGCTGCGCTGGCTGTCAGGTGGGGAAACTCTCCTTCCACTCCCCACTGGGCATCTTCCCAGCCTTCAGCAAACGTCTGTCCTGCGGGAGATCCCTTCAGGTCACCAGGTCCTCCATGGTTCTTGGGGGTCCCTGCCCCTTCCTTTGGGGAAGTCATGTGGGCTTCGTCCTTGCTCCTGCTGGAAGCAGCAGCAGAAACCCTCAGGTCTAAGGAATTCAGCGTCGGCCTGGGCTCACCTCCGGGAGGGGCATCCAGGCGCCCTTTTCTCTCCTCCAGGGGTGGAGGGAGGACTTGGTCTTCTGAGTCTTTTTCTTCATAATTTAAATAGAAGCTCCTCTCTGCAAAGGAAGTATCAGTTTCATTGCTCAACTCAGCTCTGGCTTCTGCGTGGGCTGGATCCAATAGAAACGACTGGAGTCCTCCCTTGTCGGAGGCTGGAGAGAGGACGTCCACCTCTGCTGGCCTGGTCCCTGGAGCAGTGGGTCTCCCACAAGTGTGAGGCTCCTCCAGCCCCTTCCTCAGCTCTGTCTGGCCCTCCGGCTGACCATCTGACATGCAGCGGTTCCTGATGGTTGCCTCTCTGGTGTCTGCCCTGAGCTCAGAGCCCTCGAGGAGCTTTTCTGCCAATGTGCGGCCGGAAGCCAGGGCAGCCCCTCCTGGGCTTTCCCTGATCCAGGGGCCTTCCTCCCCCACTGACTCAAAGTCTTCAGGACTTGCAATCATTTTTCCTTGTTGCTGGGTGTTTGCTCTTCTGTTTCCCACCATTTCTTCTGTGGCCACTTCCACTTTGAACTTGTCCACCAGAACGTCTACCTTGGAGAGTCTGCCGTTGGCAAGGATACCAGCAAGGCCTGCCTGCCTTTCTTCCTGCTGCATGGTGGTCACTTTTAGGAGACCGAGCTCTTCTGGCCTAGTGTACTCTCTTTCTATAAATACCCAATGCTCTGAACCCTGTGTTTCAATTGGAGCAAGAAGAGTTAACATGAAATATCAGGTACCTGAAGAATGGGTGAGTTTTTCCCTTTGTAAGAGGGGACCAATCTACCACTGAAATGTTTGACTTTGGGACAGCACATCCCCAGAACTGGCTGGGGAGAGGAAGGCATGACGTGCCAGCCATTCTCATCAAGGTCCCTCTTCCCATCAGGCACTTGATAAATTATTGACCAATTTTCCTCAACCACTGCCCCCAACTTGATAAAATGGGATGGGGTCTTATGCCCTTCCCATGTCAGCCATGGGGAAATGGAGATCCACAGATGGGCCAGGACCCTTCCTCTTCCTCTTTTAATAACATAACTGCCACCGTCAGAGGGGAAAGTCATTTCCATCACATGGAGTCTTTGAATGTTAGAGTCAAAAGTACTCTTACAATGTTATCCAGTCTCATTTCCATATTGTGTAAATGAGGAAACAGGTCTAGAGATGGACAGTGACTTGCCCAAGGTCACTGTTAGTAGAAGACAGAGTCAGGAAAAGAAAGCCTGATTTTTGAGGCCGGAGATCTTTGCTAACTTATTTCACAACCATGGAATATGGGTGCCAACTGTGACCTAATGGCAAATTGAAGGGATGCATTAAGTTCCACAGGCCACAGCCTGAAATCGAACCTTTCTACAAGGGCTTCTGGGAAGAAAGCATAGTAGTCATGGAGATACCACATGACCACGTTAGTGCCAGGCACCACAATGGCTTAAACAGCTTGAACACTGTGGTGTTCAATCTAAAAGAAACAAATACCAGGGCCCATTCTAATTCTAACAAAACCCATAGAAAGAGCAGAAAAGAACTCAATAGAATGCATCAAGGAAGGGAGAGAGGTAAAGATCTAAGCATCATCGTGCATCAAAGGCACCAGAGGCCAAGCGCGGTGGCTCACGCCTGTAATCCCAGCACTTTGGGAGGCTGAGGCTGGCAGATCATGAGGTCAAGAGATCAAGACCATCCTGGCCAACATGGTGAAACCCCATCCCTACTAAAAATACAAAAAATTAGCCAGACATGGTGGCATGCACCTGTAATCCCAGCTACTTGGGAGGCTGAGGCAGGAGAATTGCTTTAATCTGGGAGGCGGAGGTTGCAGTGAGCCGAGACTGTGCCACTGCACTCCAGCCTGGTGACAGAGCGAGACTCCGTCTAAAAAAAAGAAAGGCCAGGCGCGGTGGCTCACACCTGTAATCCCAGCACTTTGGGAGGCTGAGGCAGGAGAATTGCTTGGACCTGCGGGGCAGAGGTTGCGGTGAGCCGAGATCGCACCAATGCACTCTATCTAGCCTGGGCAACAAGAGCAAAACTCCATCTCAAAAAAAAAAAAAAAAAAAAAAAAAAGCACCAGATCGCAGCACTGTTAGGCCATCTCCCAACAGCCTCTACCTCCCCCAAGAGTTCTTCAAACAATGCCTGGGAGGGATGATGGACTTCTAGGGTGGTTAGAAAAGCAGGAAGGTCACTGGGTTTTTCATCTTGTGGCCACAGGATACTTCCCACAAAATTTTAATGCAAGTCGGCTATGTGACAGAAATACAGAGCTGCCCTGGTAAAGTTGGGGGTGTGGGCGGCCTTAATGCCCTGAGGTACCTCCCTCCTCACTGCCCCAACTAGAGCCCCTCGTGATACAGATATGGAAACTCAGACCTGGAGAAGCATCTTGCCCAAGGCCATACAGGGAGCAAGTGGAAAGGCAGGCCTTGAACTCAGTCTCTGACGCCAAGTTCTGTGAAGTGTGTCCTCTCCACCCTACCATGACCACCTCCACAGGGAGACATGCCCAGAACTTCTCCTGGCAGCAGGAGGGGGAAGGTTTATATGACCTTGGGCTCCTTTTCAGGTTATGACTTGGTGAGGAGTCTGTTAATCCCACCCCACAGGGAGGAGGAGTCTGTCAGATCCCATAAGATCTGAAACATTTTGAAGGCTCAAGAGAGCATCATAAACCCTCTGTCCCCACTGTGTTTTGAGAAAATCTCTCTGTCAGGGAATCAGAACCCATTAAAATAATCTTGTTCATGGGAAAGCGAGATAAAAGGAAGGGGGGAAGGTCTAGGTAAAGTCTGGGGTGGGTTTCTGAGCTTTTACTTCAGGTCATTAAGGCTTCAGGACCACAGCTCCTGAACCATCCCAAAGGGACGTGCTTTGAGAGCCTACGGAAGCTAGGTCCTTTTGCTCATTTCCTTGAGAAGCAGGTTCCTTCAGCTGCCTCCATTCCAGCTGTACTGACATCCGCCTGGCAATGATGGCCAAAGCCAGTCAATATGCCTCCTTCTGGAACATTCCTGCCCCAATTCTAACTAGCAACTAGGCTAGATAAGCAAGAGTGAGTGGCGCAGGTGCTGGCAGAGAATGAAAAGTAGACTCTGCAGGAAGAAAGGGGAAACGTATAGTGATTGTTAGTTGCTATGTGCCAGGCAATGCCAGCCCTTTGTCTGAGTTATTAAATTTAATCCAAATGGCAACTTGTGAAGCAGATATCGTTATCCTTATTTCAGAAGGCGAAACGGTATCCCAGAGGGGAGAGGCCATGCGCAAGATCACAGGCTGAGCAGCGGGGGACAAAGTAAAATGTAGGATCCTGAAGAGGAAAAGAAAACTGAACAAAAAAGAAAAAAACTTCCACGGTGCGAAGGCACGGGTAGAGCCACACACCTGGCCCGAGGGGTTGGCGTGAAAGTCGTTCTAACCCGAATCACAAGATGGGATAATCTTAGGGTAGCCCCAGGTAGCCGCAGCCCCGCAGCCATTCTTTCTGGAGCCAGGGGACCGTCGGTGCCTTGCTCAGAGCGCCCCCTGCCGTCAGGTAGGGGCACTGCAGCAAAGGAAGCTGGCAACAGGGGTGGGGAGAAACAGAGCCAGTTGGGCTCACAGCTGTCTGCACCCAAGGCACAGACAGGAAACTCTCCAGCCTGGCTGTTCTCCTGACTCCAGGCTGTTCAGGCCCCTCCTGGAGCTCTGGGTCACATTTTGGGGCCTGCCTTTTTTTTTTTTTTTTTTTTGAGACGGAGTTTTGCTCTGTCTTCCAGGCTGGAGTGCAGAGGCGTGATCTTGCCTCACTGACAGCCGCCTCCCGAGTTCAAGCGATTCTCCTGCCTCAGCCTCCCCAGTAGCTAGGATTACAGGCACGCGCCACCACGCCCAGCTTATTATTATTATTATTATTATTATTTGTATTTTTAGTAGAGACAGGGTTTCACCATTTTGGCCAGGCTGGTCTCGAACTCCTGACCTCAGGTGATCCACCCAACTCAGTCTCCCAAAGTGCTGGAATTACAGGCGTGAGCCACCATGCCCAGCCAGGCCTGCCCTTTATACGAGGAGGGGGTCCAGGGTAAGGGGCCCTCCAGAAACCATTTCCTGGGAGAAAGTGGGAAGAGAGTGAAGTGTTCTAGGGAAGGGGAGGTGTTCAAGTCTCCGAAGGGCTGGCCTGGAGGAGGATGCAGAGCGGTAGCGGGCACCAGCGGGCAGAATGAGACCTACAGGCTGCTAATTTGAAAAGGCAGATTTCAATTCAACACGAAAACTTCCCAATAGTTAATGGGCTGCCGCCAAGGACAGCAAAAGTGCCTGCTGTGGAAGAGCTGGATGGACATTTGCAGGAGAATGATGCGGGGGCGGGGTGCAGGTTGTGGGCTCTGCTCCCCAAATGGGCACCTGTCCTTGGTCACAGGAGCATCTCTGTGTCCAGGGCATCTCTCTAGCCCTGTCCTTGGTATGCTGTTGACTCTTGTCCGATTTCCCTCAAGAGAGTGTGCGGATAGTTTTGTTCTTTAGATTGAGGAAAAATTCATAGAGTAGAAGTATGACTTATGTTTTATCACTTATGTAGCTCATTTATGTCTTTCTTAAAGTTCCAGCACGTTTGCAGCAGCTAAAGAAGTTTTCTCTGAGAATGGAGAAAGGTACAGGCCCTCAGAGGAGAGCATACATCAACAGGGGAGCGGCAGATATTGGGGAAGAAAGTTCTGCCCAGATGATCGCTCAGTAGCTTCCAACCCTGATAGTCCATAAAATCCCATCAGAGGAGGGAGCACAGCCTCCTGCCTGGGCCTGGATTCTATGCCCAGCATCCATGAAGGGCCACAGGAAGTTCAAAGAGCCCTCCACTTGCTGCCGCCCTGGGCATAGAAGCAATGGCCTCCTCATTTCAAACACTTGCCTGACCAATCTCTCTACAACCCTAAGGATACTCCTTAGAGAAAGATGTCCACTTTTGCCTGCCTCCTTGATGGGCCCAAGCTCCAGGGGAGTTCAGAGAAGACGCAGGCCGGAGATGCCTGGAATGTCGTGCCCTAACTAACCACTGCTAGACCATTCAGGCTTCTGAACAGAGAAAAGACCTTAAGGCAGAAGGCATTTGGGTGCCATGACCCCTGACCCTAAGCATAGAAGTCAGAGCCTGCTTCTAGCATGACCCCTGACCCTAAGCATGGAAGTCAGAGCCTGCCTCTAGCATGACCCCTGACCCTAAGCATAGAAGTCAGGGCCTGCCTCTAGAGTCACCTGCCTCACCAGGACCTGAAAGAGGGAGATCATTCCTGCCTCTCCTTCGAGGCCAAAGGCAATGCAGGCTGTTCTGTCTTCCCAGAATGGTTGCAGTCCTGTCCCTCCTGAGAAACAATGGATGAGGGAGGGGCTGGCCCTTTATGGATCTCTGGGATGGGGACATTTCCTTATCACAGCATGGAGACAGCATGGGTTACCCATTGCTTCCAACTGCTTGGCAGAATCTGGTACATTCCCCTCACCCCAGAGAAAGGGTTTTCTTAAGACCACAGAGGGTGGTTCTGGGTGGGCAGGAGGAAGGGGCACAGGAAGGTGAAGACAGTAACCTCAGGAGATGCTGCGAGGCTTTTCTGAGTGAACACTTCCAAGCCTGCGGCTGCTCCAGGCTCAGGTACCAAGTCCCGCTGAGAGATGTCCTGGGTCCTCTGGGACTGCAGGGGAGGCCCAGAGCCAGAGGAAAGGGAAAGAGGGAGGAAGGGAAGGAGAGACAGAGACAGGAAGAGAGGGAAAGAGAAAAAGTAGGAGAGAGAGACACACACACAAAGTCCATAAATAGCCCAGCTTTTTAAGTCCCATATCTGTAGGATTTGTGGATTAGGTCAGGGAGTAGCCACTCTGTGGGGTGAGCTCGGGAGGGACTGCCCTTCTGAGCCACTTAAGGGAGGGAGGCCCACAGTCAGCCCCAGTGCCCTTCCCCCATGGCCTGCCCACTCTCATTCAGAGATGTTGGAGCCATATCATTTAGACTCTGGCTCCAGATGTCTCTGGCTTAGGCTATGGTTCAACCCTGCAGTTTGGATTACAGCCCCCTTTAAACACTGAAACTTGGGTTTGGCAAATGGGAACAGTTAGAGTTCCCTCTGTTTTCCCCTTGGCCCAGATGAGGCCCAACAATATACGAGGAGGCTGCTAGGAATTCTGGATGACACAGGCATCTTCAGGATGCCCCCCACAAAACTGATTTTGGGATCAGGGATTCTAGTCACCAACAGCAACAGCCCCATGACTGCCCAGCACCTTCCAGTTGAGAAAGTGCTTTTATATTAATTATTTCACTCTACTTTCCCAACTACCCTATGGAATGACCATTTTGGTCCTCCTGTAGGTGGACTAGGCAATGCGGCTCAAAAAGGGGAAGTTACCCAAGGAGCCAGTCAATCCTTGTCTATGGCACCTCCCCATCTCCCAAATCTTCAAAGGCCCCTAAATGCCAAGGGGGCCTGTAAGCCAGTTCTGAATGGTCCATAGCTCCAGGGTGAGCTCCTGGACCATAGTTCTTTCCAGCAGTGGACTATACTTCTTGCGGCTGAGCAGGGCTGGGAGGTGGAGCAGATTCCACCTTTTACTAAGACCCATCTTCTAGCAGTTCCAGCTATCACCAGCAGGTGGGGCACACCCTACACCAGGCTACACTGAGACACTCCAGAGGTCTAGACCTCACTTCCCAGGGCTCATCCTCCCCTTCTCTTCTGGAGACTCACTCTTTCAGTAGCCTCTGCATCCCACCTCGCCCACAGCCAGGCCAAGCTTGGCCAGCCCACATCAGGATTGATTAGGGGCCACGCTGAAGGGCAGAAGAGGATGTTGTTCACTGGATCACTAGACCAGCCTCCGCCACCCAGCCCAGGGTCTTGCTTGTGCCAGAGGCAAACAGAGGCCCTTCATGGATGCAGAGGTCTGCCCTTCTTCCACAGCACCAGCCTTAAAGGCCCCCAAAGCATCCCTAATTCTGTGACTCACAAACCAGAAAGCCACCCCAGTAGCTCTCTCTGGACTTATGCCTTACTAGACAAAGCCGTCTGTTATCTGGCAGGTTCAGGCCATGGTAGCACTGATCCAATAAAATGCTCTGCTAATTAGATCATGGGTGCATCACCAATTTTCAAAGCATTAGAGGGCAGCACACATACAATTGACTCTCTACCTGGTCTTTATGTGATTTGGTCTTGCTCCTAGGCAGCTGTGATTTAATAGCACATACAATAGCCTGGGTCACAAGAAAATTGGGTTCTGGTTCCTCTTCCATCAGCTAAGACACTGAATAAGTCCTTCCTCTTTCTGGGTCTCGGTGCCCCTATCTGTAAAATGAAGGTTCTGAGCAGGTTCCCAGGGCCCTTTCAACTTTTATTTTATTTAGGAAAGGGGAATTTTATTTGTTAAAGAAAAGTCGTCTGTGAATGCCTCTAGTTAAATTAGTATGCTTGACTTTAACACTTTGGATTGAAACATGCTTTCTTTATCCTGATTTGAAGTTAACCTCCTCTGTGGAAGAGTCTGGAACTCTCAAGTGAAACAATAACTCACACTGCGCATCAAGGTACTCTGCTAGTCCCTCTACGTGCATTATCTCGTTTAATCCTTACAACATCCCCATGAAGTAGGTGCTTTTATTATCTCTACCCAACGAGCCTCAGAGAGGTTAAGTAACAAGCCCAAAGTCATCCAGCTGGCAGGCAGCGGAGCCAGAATTCAAACCCAGGCAGTGCAAGTCTACACCACAACCGTATTTGAGACCAGTAAGCAATAGCTTCAGGGAGAAAACACCTAAGTATAAACTGGGGTAAATATCGCCAAGATTTAGCAAGGGCTAAAAATACTGACTTGAGAGTCTAAATGCAGTGCTTCCCCAAATCCTAACTTTATCTCTTCTTCAATCGAGAAAACACCCCACTCTTTCCACTCGGAAAGGCAGGTCATGTGAGATCCTTTTCTGAAGCCTCAGAAGCAGGTCTGATTTCTGTGAAGGGCCCATTCCCCTCCAGTGGACTCCGAAGCCCCTTCTAGGAGGGACCACTCCCCGATCCGTGTTTTCACAATAGGCACAACAGGGTCTGGTTCTGGAGAGAGCTATTGGGATTCTCAAAATGTAGTGTGCATGAAAAGCCTCTGCAGCACTTGTCCAGATGCCGATGCCAGCACTGAGTCCAAATATCTGATTCAGTAGGTCTGGGCTGGGGCCCTGAAACCTGCATTTCTAACCAGCACCCCTTCCCCATTATACTCGGGCTGATGGAAGGGGAGTACGCCAAGCTACCATGAGTCTTGAGTTTTTCATGTTTTAAGTTGGTCTCCAGGACCCAGGATTCCAAGATTTAGTGAATTCATCTCCCTCAGCCTAATCTACCACCCTCTCCATCCCCACCAGCCCCTAAGCAGCAATGGGGGAAGCATATTGGTGTGGAGGATGAGTGTAAGTCAGGATGCAGCAACCCAATGTCTCTTTACCCAAGGCCCCTATCGAGGGGTTCAGGGCGACACCTACCTCATTGGCTTTCTCAGGGGTGCCCTTGGGGGAGGGGGAGGCGGGGGAGGAGGGCAGCCTGCGCTCCCGTTCCCAGTCTCGATCCCGGTGGATGAGTTTGCTGTTGGGCTCCTTCAGGGTCCTTTTGAGCTCATTGATGCTGGCCTGGTGCTTCAGCAAGACATCTTCTGGCTTGTCTAAGAACTAGGGATAGATGGAGAGGGTGGTGGTGTTAGGGGAACAGCTCCAAGCGGGGATGCAGGGTGCAGGGATGATGGCAGCAGTCACCATCACCACCCTCCACCAGCAACGTTATTCCCACTCTGACCTGTGTCACTCTCATGGCAGCCCCAGAGACAAACCAGGGCAAGGAGAACCACCCCAACAGGTGCACATCCCAAGGCACAGAGCACTGAAGATGAAAAAGAGGAGATGTCTAGTCAAGCCACCTTCGCTTCTCCCTTGCCTGGCTCTACAGCCTCTGAACAGCCAACCTCTACCCAAAGCCCACAGGTCTGGGTGAGTTCCCTGTGGTGCTATAAGCCCGGTCTTAGTCACAGAGGTGACTTCCCTCTGTTACAACTAAGGCATAGCAGGCAGCAACTGCCAGAGAGCTATAATAACTCACTAATCCTATTCACTGGGCTGCTCTGACTCATTCAGGTGCCTCCTAGATCCCTCCTGGATCCCAGTGTCCACTTTCTGGCTGAGACTTGGGCCACTGTACTTAACAGGATGTCCAGTCTGGGCCCCTCCTAGCCCAACATGCACAACTGCTCAGGCCCTGGGGAGGCCCACAGTACAGATCCTCCTCAAGCCAGGGACATCCAGAAGAATGGCCAAGCTCCCACACTAGGGACCAGGGGCAGGAAAAAATTGCATCTAGTCTCCTCTGTGATGGGACACTACCTTCCCCAACCACCCTGGACCTTCCAGATACCTTTCAGGTACTGACTCACCAATAGCAGACAGGGTGAGATACAGCCAGATAGAGAAACTAGAATGCTGTGGAGTGTTCAGGAAGATTAGGAGAATTAGAGACCAGGAAGAAGAGCAGTAAGTCCCACAGCTGGGCACAAGAATTGAGCCAGGTATAGCCAGAGTTGTAGGATTCTACCTATATGGGTAGTGTTCCCAGCCAGTGCAGCATGACAGAGTCATCTCCTTAGGTCAAGGGAGGACGAGCTTTGTGCAGGAGCTGGCAGGGACCTGCCAAAAGCTGTTTATCTGGCTACTTCTGGGGCAAAGTGGTGGCTGGCAGCCCAAGGACGCTTATCTGCAAGGCTGCTTAAAAATTCATGTTAACTCAATTCAGGACAAGAAATGGACAATCTCAGCTTATTAAAGTCAGATCAGGTAATTCTGGAAGAACCACTGGAAGGTAAGCTTACCCTTGGACAAAGCTAGAATCTTCCCCTGGGCTCATCTCTGGTACCCAAGGATCCACTATGGCTGACTCCTAAGCTACCTCAGGAAGGAAACCAATCCCAGTGAGGCTCCTGCTTTCCCTCCAGACATCTGTCTGTTCCTCGGGCATCCCTTCCCAAGCTGAGCTGCCCTCTGGACCATGGCTGTCTGAGAAGTCAAACCTGATGGTGCTTGCACAGGGAGAGGGTTTGGGCTGCAATGGGTAGTGAGTCCCAACCTGAGATGTGGCTTGTCGTCTTCCATCACAAACCTGCCCCACTGCCTCCGTGGGTGTGTTATGTCCCTGAAGGCTGTAGGGAGCAGTGGGATCCTGGGGTCCTGGGATCCCTAAAGGTTAAGGGCATTGGAGAAACCTAGTCTGAATGCTTTGCTGTTCAGACAGGGGACTGGGGCCTGAGGGGAATTTCCCAAGACCTTCAAAGAGTTGGTGGCAGAAGTGGGGTTGAAACCCAGATCTCAGGACTCCAAGGCAAGGCTCTTCTTATGTCCCAGTCTCTGGCCCTTTACCTTGGCAGCCCAAGAATAAACCCACTTCTCTTGCAGTTAAAGTTCAGATGAAGAGTTGGTGACTGTGTGAGAGGGAAGAAGTGGTTAACATGGAAGGAATAATTTGGGGGAAGCAACAAATGGGAAGAAGACGAGGAAAGGAGGAGAAAAGGAGGAGGTTTTTGCCATAGCGGAGCAGTAGTCGACCCTGCCTGGGGGAGGTGTAGGACTGGAGTTGGGGCAGATGCAGGTGTGCTCTGAGGCACCTCCCTCCCCCACCCCCAATCCCCACTCCCACATCTGACTGCCAATAGATACAAAAAGAAGCTAGGGGTGAGGACACAGGGGACACAGACGAGATGGAGGCGAGACCAAACAGTGCTGTCGGGCAGGAGATGAATCTAGGGAAGGGGTGGGTCAGGGGAGATGTGCTAAATGAAAGCACAGAATGGCCTGGAAGAGCTGGTGGTGCAGGTGGGATGGTCAGCAGGTGAGCTGCAAGTATGGAGGACCGGGTGAGCTGGGGAGAGGGTGGGAGGGCTGAGGGAGGAGGGAGAGATGGCCGATTGGCCAGGAGAGTCTAAGAAGGGAGCTGGAGAGAGAAGCTTAGCGGGTGGCGGAGTGGGGAGCAAGGACGGCTGCAGAGGGGGATGGCTGGGGAGCAGAGATGAAGTTGAAGCTGAGATGGTGCCAGGGAAGTGAGCCTGGGATGGACTGTGGGATGGTGACAAATGAGCTAGGGATGGGAACGGCTGGGTAGGGAGGGACAGGTCCCATGCAGTACCTCCTGCTTGTGTCTCGGCGTGGTTTCCTGCTCCGGCTAGTGGGATGTGGTAGGAGGGAAAGAAAGCAGCAGGGTCAGTAGAGCAGATGGATTAGAGATACCACGATGGGCTTGGTCCAGCAAGGAGCCCAGAGCACGCACACTCGACCAAGTGGAGGCCAGGGCAGCTGGGTGGGCCACCAGCAGGGCAGTGAGGTAGTCAGAAGAAGGTACAGGTGTGAAGCAGGGTGCTGTCCCAGGAAGGCAGAGAAGGGAACTAGAGGCCAAGTGGGCAGAGCCACACTGGGCAGATGGGATGTGAGAATGGAGTTCCCTGCTCTCGCTGTCAGTGGGAGCATGTTCAAGGCCCTGTGCTCACAAGGTAGACGGAAAGAAACCTGCTGAACAACTATACCAAGAGGAAGCTCTCCCTGGCCTGTGTGTGCACACACCTGTGTGTGTGCATGTTGTTTGCACATCTGTGTGCATGGATCTAAGGGTGACGGGTGCATACATCTGTTATTAAGTGAGTGTGAGGCTGAGGTCATGCAATCCTGCATGAGCGTGTACACACAGATACTGGGACTGTGTGTGTGCACCTGAGTGGGGCATGGGGAAATAGGAAGGGGACACACTTGAACCTCACACTCCTAGAGCTGTTGGTGACACCTGGTCATGCTCTGAGGAGGAAGAGAGTGGTGCAGATCCAGATCCCAGTCAGAGGGGCAAATTAAGAGTGTGCAAAAGGAGGCCTGAGTCCTCTAGGGGACAGAGTGCCCCTCTGGAAAAGCAGGGCAAAGCTGGGGAGAGTACAGGACAGGCAGCATGCCCACTCCCATGCCCACCCCATCCCGGCAAGGGCCAGGTATTGAGAGATGACCCAAAGGCAAGGCCCTGCCATGGTGCACTCCATAGTAAGGGTGCTTGGCCACAGCTGGAGGCATGTGAAGGTCAAGGCCGAGGCTAGACCTCAGGTCAGCCTCCTGATCCCCAGGGCAGAGAGTATGAGAAAGCCAGGCTCCTACCTTTAGCTCCTTGATCTTGGTTGGAGTCCTGACCTCTCCCTCCTCAGCCTCTGACCGTTGCCCCCCAGACTCGCCATCCTCATCCCGCTTGTCACCGTCAGGCCCTGCATCATGGTTCTCGCTGACCGAGGCTGGGCGGGAGAACTCTGCTGAAGTGGGTGGAGATAGCCAGGCAACCATGTGAGACCCCTCCCAGAGAACAGACAGAGAACCAGCCCAGCCCTGCCCAACCACGCCTGGAGTGGAGCCAACTCTTCCACACCCCTCACCCATTGCCCAGAGGGGTGAAGTAGACTTCTGATCACATGGCCAGTGAGTGGCAGAGCTGCCTCCCAGCCCAGGACTCCTTCCTGGTTTCTACAGCACTAGAGCCTGGGTTCAAATCTCAAATCCATCTGTTCTTGACTGTGTGACCTTGGGTAAGTTACATAATATTGCTGGGTCTTGGTTTCCTCATCTAGAAGCAGTGCCTGCTTTAGAAAGCGGAGGTGAGGAATGAACAAGCTAATGTATATAAATATTTATGGAAGAGTGGCTGGCACAGAGTGAGGCTTCCATCAATGGCAGCCCATAAATGTTGCTGTTTTGGTTGTGGTGGTTGTGGTAGAATACTCACTTGATCATCATTTAGCAACACACAAATATTGTGAGACTAGCTTTACTAGTGAAAGCTAAAGTCCTAAAATTTGCAACTGATTTACCTTCTTTATAAATTAGGGAGAATTCAGGGAGATGCCTGCAATAACACCTTTCTCACTCACTGGTATTCCAAAATGCTTTTCTGAATAGGAAAGGAAGGGGTGGAACTAGACTTCGCATCACGCATTGGGCATAATCCGACTATGCCCGTGGATTGTGTCTTGGTAGAAAATAGGCTGAAAAACACGGGTTTAAAATAACCAGAGCTCAGATTATCCTTGGGGTTGGCCTAGATTTTTAAAAGAGGATAATTATCCTTTCTATTCATATACACTCACTTTGCAAAGTACGCATTTATGCATATATTTCGTTTGATTTACACAATACCCTATGTTGATGGCTGGAATGGGACTGACTTATCCCCATTTTACAGAGGATGACTGGAGACATCAAGAGGGGAAATATCCCACTGGTGACCTTTTGGTGAGTTGGGACAGGGACCAAGGCCTCCTAGCTTAGAGTCCATGCTTCTGCTCCTCTCCGATGAGCTTCACCAGCTCTGGGCTAACCTCTGCTGCCTGCCAGAATCTGGGCTTCATTTGGCTCCTGACATAGTAATGGAAGCTACAGGGGAGGGACCTTTCCCTTTGCATAAACCCCAGTTGTCAGTCCTCTGTCTACCCAAGGAGAAGAAGGAGCTTCTTCAGCCTCAGATGAACCCTAGCAGAACTACACATCTTTCAAACATGCACAGGAGTCCTGAGACAGGTCTCATTTTCATATACCAGACAAAGTATCAGACTTTCTTAATCACCTGGCAAACTCCTAGGTATCCTTCCAAACCCTGCCCAGTTGGCACCCTTTCTGCAGAGCCATTTCTGTCCCTTCTAGACTTAATTCCTCCCTCCTCATGGCTACTCTACATTCTACACATGCTTTTCCCATTGCTTGAACCACAACAAATGCTTACAAACCTGCTATTCTATGAGCTCCTCAAAGGAAAGGACCAAACCTATTCACTCTAAATACTATACCCAGGACCCAACACAAGGCCTGGCACACATATAACACTCAGAAAATATAAGTAGAACTAACTTGCCTGGAGGCCTGCCCCAAGGTGTTCTGGGAGTATCCACGGTTTCCCTACCCAAGTCCCCACTTTCCACCTTTTTTTTTTTTTTTTTTTTTTTGAGACGGAGTCTTGCTCTGTCACCAGGCTAGAGTACAGTGGCGGTGCAATCTTGGCTCACTGCAACCTTCATCTCCCGGGTTCAAGTGATTCTCCTGCCTGAGCTCCCGAGTAGCTGGGACTACAGGCGCCTGCCACCATGCCTGGCTAATCTTTGTATTTTTAGTAGAGACGAGGTTTCACCATGTTGGCCAGGATGGTCTTGATCTCTGGACCTCGTGATCCACCTGCCTTGGCTTCCCGAAGTGTTGGGATTATAGGTGTGAGCCACTGTGCCTGGCCTTTTTATTTTTTATTTTTTTTATTTTTTTTGAGATGGAGTCTCGCTTTGTTGCCCAGGCTGGAATGCAATGGTGTGAGCTCACTGCAACCTCTGCCTCCCAGGTCCAAGCAATTCTCCTGTTTCAGCCTCCCGAGTAGCTGAGATTACAGGTGCATGCCACCACGCCCGGCTAATTTTTGTATTTTTAGTAGAGATGGGGTTTCATCATATTGGTCAGGCTGGTCTCGAACTCCTGACCTCAGGTGATCTGCCCGCCTTGGCCTCCCAAAGTGCTGGGATTACAGGCATGAGTCACCATGCCCAGCCCCCACTTCCCACCTTTAAGCCACTCTCTACAAACCTAAAAACAATAATGATGGGTACAATTTCTTAAGGTGCTACTATGTGCCACAGAATATTTTCTAGGCATGATCTCATTTAGTTTTCCCTAGAACACAGCAAAGTAGGTACTATGTATTTTGTAGAAGAGGAAATAGGCTCAGGGAGTTAAATAAGTTGCTTAAGGTCACCCATCCATTCATTCAGATATTTATGAACCACTTCCAGTGTCCAGAGAACAGCCCACGGTGACTGTCAAGCCGAGATTTGAACTCAGATCTGCATAATTCTGAATCTCCCCAGTGACCCATGTGACTTCCGAACATCACCTACAAACTCTAGTGTGTACATCCTGGGGAGAGACTTGGGCCCTGAAGGGTGCTGATTTAGTAGGTCTGGGGCAAAACCTGGGAATTTTCGTGCTTGCTTAACAATCTCACAGGCGACTCTGATGAAACGTGGTTTGTGCACCACATTTTAAGCCCTATCTGCTTGCTACAGGACTATATAGGGCCAGTTTTCATTGATGTTAAGGGCACCCATCAATCCAATAGAAATGGGGACAGTGGAGAGTGCCATGTGGTTAGATTGTCAATCAGCCCAGAACCTAGTAGAACCAAAAGAATGACCAAGAACGATGCCCTGGCCTCCCAGCAGATAAGGCATCATCAGCTCCACACTGCAGTCATAAGACACTATTCTCCTAGTATGATGATGACCAGTGTAAGGGACACCAGCCTGCAGCAGAGGGATGCAGGGGAGGAGGGTGAATCAGACCTGCACTGCCAGGCCCAAGGTTAGACCACAGGTTAGACTGGTGGATTGCTAAGCTTCTTGGGTAGGTGGCCCAAACCATATGGCTAAACCTGGGACCCCAAAAGACCACGACTCAGGGAAGTTGTGGGGAATCCAGAGAGTGGTAGTATCACATCTCAAGTGGGAGTGAGCTCTAGGTTGGGACTAAGCCACCAAGAGCTGCCCAGGGACAGCACTGGTCTTGAGGGGCCAGCCTGGTGCAGATGAACTTGGGATGCATCTACCATTTTCCTGCTCATTCTGCAGAACCCAGCATGCCCACTCCCCCAGTTCCCTCTGAAGACCATTCCCCGCCCAGCCCTCCAATTTGGGCCATACCTCCATCAAGGCTGCGGGACATGGTGTACCGTTTGCTGGAAGAACGCTCAAAGAAGGGTGCAGGCCGGTCAATGAGGGCGCTGGCCTGGCGAGTCTGTGCCTGGGTCCTCCCACTGTACCGGAACTTGGAGCCCATCACCAGGAAGCCCTTGGGTGGGGGCTCAGGGGACACCAGCCTGCAGCAGAGGGATGCAGGGGAGGAGGAGGAATCAGACCTGCACTGCCAGGCCCAAGGTTAGACCACAGCTGGCCTTTCATCCCACTACTCCACCAACTACAACAATTCAAAGTGGTCCAGGAAGGGAGGGACTTGGGGAAAGGGTGGAGGACTTTCCTAGAGTTCTCACTAACTCCTCCCCCTGCTCCCCTCCATACACATGGCCTCTGCCCCATCCCCATTACCCCATCCAAGGTCAGGCTCACCGGAAGAATGTATGATGCTCGATGCAGACCTTCCACAGTCTCTTGGCTGACCGGTGGTTTGGGAGCTTAAAGCCAATTGTGCTCTCAAATTGCTCATACTGGAAAACCAAAAGGGCAGGTTAGAGGCAGGGCCTGAGCTCACTCTCGCCACTAGCCCATTCTTTGTGTTTTTTATTTTATTTGTTTAATGTTTTTTTGAGACACAGGGTCTCGATCATTTGCCCAGGGTGGAGTACAGTGGCGCAATCATAGCTCACTGTAACCTTGAATTCCTGGGCTCAAGAGATCCTCCTGCCTCAGCCTCCCAAGTAGCCAGGACTACAGTCAGACGACACCACACCAGCTAATTTTTTGTAGAGAATGAGTCTCACTATGTTGCCTAGGCTGGTCTCCAACTCCTGGGCTCAAGCAGTCCTCCCACCTCAGCCTCCCAAAATGCTGGGATTACAGACGTGAGTCATTCTTTCTGAACTCTTCTCAGGCATCTGCGACTTTGGCCTGTTCATTCACTGAATCAATAAGGGTGATTGAGCCCTTACTCTGTGACGGGTCCAGTGCTAAACACTAGAGATACATGGAGACCAAGGCAGAAGATTCTAGTAGGGGAAGGGGACCTCCAATAACAAATAAGCAAACAAGATAATTGCAGACACTGATCAGGGCTACAAGGGGAATGAAGGGAGATGTGTGGTGCAGCAGAACTGGGAAGGCATAGGGGCTCCTGTCATCTAAGGAAGAGCAGGGGATCCCCTCTAGACCTAGATCTAGGTGATCTTGAGCTGACATTTGAAGAATGGGAAGGAACCAGCTATGTGAGAAGCGAGAGGGGGAGATACTTTCAGGTAAAGGAAACATCAAATGCGAAGCACTCAGGCAGGAAAGAGCTCGACTTATTCAAAGATCTCAAGGCCGAAGAGGCTAAAGCACCTTGGGCATGGGGCAGTGTGGCAAGGGATAGGTGGGAGAGGTAGGTGGCCATGGAAGGAGTTTGAAGTTTAGCTCAAGAGCTAAAGAGAGTTCCTGAAAGGTGTAAGCAAGGGTGTGGATGGGAAGGGGGAGTGGGCTTGCCATGATCTGATTTAAGGGACTTTTTAAGATCTCTCCAGCAGCTATGAGGAAAATGACCTGGAGAGCACCAGAGGCGAGGGAGAAGGCCCTCATAGGCACAGGCAAAAGATGGGGGATGCTGGAGGCGGGTGTGATGGAGAGGAAGAGAAGCAAATGGGTTCATGTTTATTCTACAGGTACAACCAAATGGGCTTTTTGATGGGTGAGATGTAGGTAATTGAAGGAAAAGAGGTGTAGACATATACATGTTTGCATTTGTGTGTGTTGTATGTATAGTCGAGTCTGTGTATCTTAAAATGTGTACAAACTTCCATACTTACAACACCTAAATACATGAACTTTACACAGACATGTATTCATTTATCTGTGTGACCTGAATGTATGTAGTTATATTTCTTCTTTTTTTTTTCTCCCTTTTTTTTTTTTTTGAGACAGAGTCTTGCTCTGTTGCCCAGGCTGGAGTGCAGTGCCAGCTAATTTTGTATTTTTAGTAGAGACGGGGTTTCACCATGTTGGCCAGGCTGGTCTCACACTCCTGACCTCATGTGATCCACCTTCCTCGGCCTTCTAAAGTGCTGGAATTACAGGCATGAGCCACTGCACCTGGCCATATGTGGTTATACTTTTATTTAGACTCCTCTCTCTCTCTCTCTCTCTCTCTCTCTGTGTGTGTGTGTGTGTGTGTGTGTGTGTGTGTGTGTGTGTGTGTGTGTGTGTGTGTGTGTTGGCAGTCCAGGCCCAGCTGCCAGGGTCCACTCCATTCTAGTTGATTCCGGTGAGGAGGAGTGTTTCCCAAGGCAGACTCACCTCCCCAGGCCGGATCTTGATATAGAAGTTACTCCTCTTGTAGGAGATCTTGAGGATCTTGGGCCAGGCAAAGCGGTTGATTCTCAGCCGGTCCCGGTAGATGAGCAGGCCATTGGCACAAACGCCTAACATGATGTCGATGCCCTCAGAGTCCTGCATGAGAAGAGACCATGGAATGGGAGGCCCGGGGTCCATGCCTGGGGACAGCCTACCACCCACCCCGAAAACACTGCCCTGTGCGCTGCTTGTAACGAGCTCTCAGGAACAGGGTTAGAGCCTCCATGCTGGAGTCCCACTGACCAATCCCTCCCATAGTCATTCAGTCATTCACTCATCCATTTAGGTATTTTTTTCACCCACTCACTTGTTTGATCATTTGCTCTGTCAATCACTCAATCGTTCATTCATCCAGCAAATATTTAGTGGCACACACTTGGTGCCAGGCTATGTGCCAGGTGCTAGGGATATAGAAATAAACTAAGGCCTACGTCTTTCCCTCACAATGCTCCCAATCTAGCAGTGGCTCAAACAGGTTCATAAATAAAATACATGGAGAAAATAATACAGATCATGAGAAAATAAAAGGTTATGGAACTTCGAGAAATGAGAATGAGAACAGAAAAGGTTTCAAGTTGGAGGTAACACAGGGTCTGGCACACCACGCCCTAGGGAAAGGCCTGATAGTTCTTTGGGGGCACCACCCAGACACTAGGGGAACCCAGGAAGCTGGTGGTACCTTGGCATGGTGCAGGTCTACTCCGTACATGGAAAGCTTCTTGGCATTCTCTAAGAAGTGGATTTCTGCTTCTCCCGGGGTCATCCCCCTGAGGGAAAGAAAGTGATCACAGGTGACCAAGGGAAAGGCCCAGGTTTAGTCCTGCTGTCCAAAGGTGCCCACCATCAGAACCCATGATTCTAGAAAGTCAAATATGCTGAGCCTCACCCTAATCTTTTCCCTCTGCCCTCAGAGCAGGAGGGTGTACCCCAACTCCCACTTCAGCCCACCCAACCCCCAACTTCTGCCAAAGCTCAAGTCCAGTCTTGTTAGTCCAGGGATCATACAAAGGCTGAGCTGGGAGTCAGGATTTTTGCCTCATTCTGCCACTGAGTTGACTGTGAGCTATAAATTCTACTTTTCCATGACTGTAAAACCATTGTTACGGACATTGTTCATTATCATCACCCAGGGGCTCCTAAATTATTACCCACACAGGATATTTCTTGCAGAATTTAGTATCAGAAGCCACTTAATCTCTCCTAAGGAACAGGTGCACATTCTCCTTTCCAAAAAGAAGAGTTATGTAATTAATCAAGTTCCTTCTTTGCTTTGGCTGCCAGGAAACTTGGACTACATTTTATACTTAGTCACAGCAAACATTTATTGAGTACTATGTGCTGGTTACTGTTCTAAGCACTTTACACATATTAACTCACTGAATCCTCATAACAACTCTGTAAGATAGGTATTATTATTATTGTCATTTTACAGATGAAAAAACCGGCACAGAGACATTGAGTAACTTGTCCAAGGTCACACTGCTATGAAGAAGAGTCAGAATTTGAATCTAGACAATGTGACTTCAGAGTTTATGCTCCTAATCACTTCATTACAGGTCTTGTGTATCCTCCAGGCCTCAGTTTCCTGTGACCTGTCTACCTCTGGGCTGCTGTGTGGGATACTTGGACACGAGATGTCAGTGTGCTTTAGGTCCAAAGAGCTTTAGGGACAGCCCTTAGTATTTCTCCAGCCCATATTGATCTGAACATCTTTCTCTGAATTATTATGACTCTTGCAAATCCTAAGATGTCTTGCTATCTAGGACAGGGATGACAAATAGATGGCAGGCAGGCCACTACTCCCTATTCCTATGCCCAGGTGGATATTGCTAACCTGGGCATTGTAGGGAATCAGTGTCCTACTCAACACAACACCACAGCAGTCGCTATTAACCAAGTGGAGTTAGTGTGCGACTCTCAGAGACAGCATTTGCCACCCTTGACCTAGCATTCATCACACCCCAGCAGGCTCTTCCCCACGTACACGATCCCTCCACATCTGACTCTAGCCCTCCTCTCCAGATAACGCCCACAGAACCAAGGCCTCCTAATTCCCTCCATCCTCAATAGTAATGAGACAATATCACCATACTCCTTTCCCTGGGTGCCGCACTTTACAGTTTATAATGCACCTTCACATTATTAATTATATTGAGTCCCCATAACAATCCTGGACTTACAGCCCCAAATACTTCCAGCTTAAAAGGACCCTACAAATCATTTAGTTCCAAGGGCTCCTCTCCAGGGGAACCTGTACAGAAGCAATGGCAAAGGGGAGTATCTGGGTTGTTACAAGGACTGAGAAGGTGTTATGGGCATTTACTGGGTCCCAGGGATGCTGAACATTCTGCACAATGAATTCTCCTGCCCCAAATGCCAATAGTTGAGAGACACTGATAATCTAACTTTGTGCATATACAGGTGAAAAATGGGGCTTAGATAGGTTAAATAACCAGCCTACAATCACACTAGTTAATTATCGTCCAACTGCTGGAACGAGGTACTTTCCCCTGCATGATCAACTGTTCAACCCCTCGATCCACAGACAGCAACACTAACAGCCAACATGCAGTGTGCCTTTAATATGTGCTATTTAGGCTTCCCAACAATCCTACAGGGTGGGTTTAACAGCATCCACCTTGAACAGATGAGGAAACCAAAGCATAGGAAGTGAAATGACCTTCCTGAGATCCTCTAGTTAGAAAGTGGCAGAGCCAGTATAGGAACCCTAGCAGGCTGGCTTTCGGGTCCAAACTTTTGAACTCTACACCAAGATCTAGACATGAGGACACTTACTCAGAGACACAGTAGCGATTATTTTCTCCAGTTGGCAGATAAACTTATTCTCAGAGGCCAAGGACAGGGAATTATCACACCTATAGAGGAGCTTAAGAAACTTGGGTCCCAAAAGGTCATCAAGGCCACACAGCCAGTCACTATCGTTCCTATTTACAGAGATGATTTGCTCTTAGATATACCTCAAGCTAGGGGCAGAGCCAGGCGGGGTACAAACAGCACAGTATGTGGCGGCCTAGGACATTCAGGCCTGCAAGGAAGGCTCCCACTGGCCAAGGAGCCACAGAAGGCCCTGGCTGGCACCCTCTTACCTATATGTCTTATGCAGCTCCATGATCCTCTCCTCCAGCTCCCGGGTCTGGTTAGGGGCGAAGCGGAGCTCGCTGACATAGTTGCCCACATGCTCCTCAGCATCATAGTCACCCAGCTCAGCCTGCACAGCGTAGGAGCCCAGTAGGGCATGCGTGACAAAGGAGCATGGCAGCCGGCCCGTGATGATGTCTGCCCGCAGCTGCAGGCACAGGTAGTATCTGGAGATAGGGGAGAGCCAGCATGGGCACAGGGCCCTACTCCTCCCTAGATCCCCCAAGCACAGCTGTCCATCAGAACTAAATAGAACATAGCTCAGCAGAAAAGTGTGTTTGTAGACATTGGCGCTTCATATATTGACAATCTGGGTATGTCTCATGAGATGGTTTTGCAACATTTCACATGACTTTAAGCATTTTTGTGCATTTCTAAATTTGAGGGATTTGTTTTCTATTATGACAGCATTTTCAATTTCTAACTCAATTTCAAGCTAAATAGGACTACTTTGCTGGTTTGTCCATTACAAAATGTCGTATAGTTTTAATTATACAAGTAATATACTGTATTCATGTTGTGGAAAAATTCACACTTTAGAGGTGACTCTAAATTTCCTCTTGATGACCAGAAATGTATGTGGTTTTGATTTATGGGTGTTTCTTACCTGTAAATGGCATCAAATGCTGTCTCTGATTCTAACAGCTCACTTTTTCATACCCAGGCCTTAGAGCCCTCCCATGTCAGCACATGTGACTCTACCCCATTCATTTTAACTTCCACATTGTATTCCATGTCCCAGATGAACCTGCTTGCCAATGCTTTCCCAAAACTTTCTTATTTTGCCTCCAGCTCTAAGTAAATTGTCTGAAAACAAATTGGTTTAAAGAAACATTTCCAACTACCAGGCCATGATTTTTTATAACTTTTATGCACAGTTGGACGATTTTACAATTTTAGAACCATTTAAAACCATTTTTATTGCTTTTTTGGTTACTATGTATTAAAAAAAAGTTTCATTTTTAGCCAACGATGCCTCCCTGTCCATTTTTGTTATGTTTCACCATTTTTTTTCAACTGCCTATTTCTTTTTCTTTTTTTCTTTTTTTGAGATGGAGTCTCACTCTGTCACCCAGGCTGGAGTGCAGTGGCACGATCTCAGCTCACTGCAACCTCTGCCTCTCAGGTTCAAGCGATTCTCCTGTCTCAGCCTCCTGAGTAGCTGGGATTACAGCCACATGCCACCACGCCCAGCTAATTTTTGTATTTTTTGTGGAGACAAGGTTTCGCCACGTTGCCCAGACTGGTCTCAAACTCCTGGTCTCAAGCAATCTTCCTGCCATTGTCTCCCAAAGTACTGGGATTACAGGTGTGAGCCACCATATCTGGGCTTTTTTCTTTTAAGTATCTTTTACTTAAAATAATTCTTACTACTTGGTGACATTATTTCACAGTCAGAACTGAAGTCCTGGCAAAAAGTATGTGCAGCCTCAGTGTGCGCCCAGGGCCAAGGCATAGACTCAGAATCAGTAGCAGCTCAAACATCACAGGCACCGAGTACAGGCTTATGGGCATTCTGTTCAAAAGTCTCAAAATTCAGAAATCACTGCCAAATATTCTGACCAATCTTTCATTTCAATCAATTTGTCATTTTGACCAGTTTATTTCGGGCCTAACTATTTTTGGCGAAATCAGCTGCTATAGCACCCATCTCCTGGGGCCATCTGTGCTAGGCAGGCCTAACTTCCTTCCTGGTGTCCCTGGAAGCACAGTGCCCAGTGTCTGGCACAAACAGGAGAGGTATCAGTAGGGAAGACCAGGGGGATTGAGGCTGTGCTGGCCTAACCTACACAGTCCACTTGGGAATGGAGTTTCAGATCTTGCTGCTGCCACATTAGCCCGCACCTGACCTCAGGGCTCAGAACTAGGACTAATGACGCCAAAGCCCAGGCCTGATCTGTTCCAGGAACATCTGTCTTATCTCCCAAGGCCAGAGTCAGCACCTTGACCTTTGGTCGATGGCCTGGCAAACACGCAATCAACATGAAGATGAAGGAGGGACCCAATGGGAGAGAGGGGCTGGCTTAGGAGCCCTTCCCCTGCTGTAGGGGAACTCCAAGCCCATATTTTATGTTGGGAGTATAAGGCCCATCACCTGGATGACACAGCCCCAGGATATCATGAAGTGAGACTATCTCTTTGGAAAGGGCTTAAGAGAAGGGCTTCCCCCGTTCTGGTTTCCAGAAATGGGATAACCCCACGGAAGCTCTCATCCTGAAGGATGCTTTGCACTCATTTCCAATCTTCAGGCCATGTTATCTACTGGCCCTGAGGCACAACGAGACTGCACACACAGTCCACGCTTGCCCCAACAGCCCAGGCTTTTCTCTGTGGGGAGTCCTAAGCCCCACTTGACTTCCATGTGCCTGATGTGTGCACAGAGTGGCATGCAGACCAAAGTTCTACGTTCAAAGGCATCCCATTCTACCCTCTCCATACTCCCAATGCTGCAAACTGGTGGCTCACCCAGCACAGCAGCTTTTACATGGGTTTGGTATGTCCCACCCAGAGATGGCCCATGCTATGTTTTTTTAAAGTTTGCATTTGTTGCCAACATTTAGAACTGTGGTTTTTATTCTTTAATCTCTAGGTTCATTTCAACAATCAGGCCCAATTCCTACATGACAGTGATGGCCCGGAGGGGAACAGCAACTGTTTTAGGTGGCTTCTGTCCTCTTAAATCTACAAAAGGCCCCACAGTTCCCTGTGATACCTCCTCCTCTGACATCAAGGGTCAGCTGCCACTGACCACTGTGCTTGCATCACTGTGTTTCTTACAATGAGTCGGCTTCCTGTGTACGATGCTGTCTGCCTGACCTCGGTAGGCGACTGCATTTGCAGCTGCTGTCACATACTGCCTGTGTCCCCAGGGCCAGGGTCCCTCATCCATAGTCCCACACAGCCAGCACACCTGTCTCTCCCTCCACAGCCCTCACCTTGTGATGTCTTCTGTCAGCTGGGCAGGATCAGGCGGGTAGAACTTGACTGTGAAGGCAAAATTCCAGGGGCTACCTGAGAGGAGATGGGAGAGAGATCAGCGAGGCCCTAACACCCCACTGGGTGGTCCAGATGCACCATCCTCTGGGCAGTTTTTCAAAGTTTCTCCTATGTATAATCTCAGGACAATCCAATCAGGAAGGCTGGAACATTATTCCCATTTGACAGATTAGCAAACTGAGGCCCAAGTTAAGAGACTCGTGAGCTAGCAGTAGGAAGGAAGGTAGAAAGAAAGAAAGAAAGAAAACTGACGCTGCATGCCAGGCACACTGTTAATTGCTTTACAAACATTACTTCAGTAAACCTCACCACAACCCCATGAGTAAGTCCTATGATTAGCCCCATTTTATAGATGAAGACACTGAGGCCCAGGCAGTAAATTAGCCCAAGGTCACCCTGCTTGGAAGTGGCAATGCTGGGGTTCAAACCCAGGCCACCTGGCTCCTTGGTCTACAACCTAGTCTGGGTTGCAGGATGTTAATGATAAGAAAAAAGTCTAGATAATACATTAAACAGGTTTCCTAAATTTGGACTTGTCAGAGCCCTCACCCTGCTACTGTGCACTGCAACTCTCTGAGGGGAACATGCATTCAAGAATTTCCAAAAATGATTTGATCTGTTGTATCCATTTTTCACAGAGCATCCTGAAAGATTAATGTTTCTCAGAACACATGTTGGAAAACTCTGCCCTATATCATGTTGACTCCATCTCAGAAGACAGGATTGGATTATAAACAAGACCAGAAGACAGGATTGGATTATAAACAAGACCTAAAAGGTAAATATAATGGGCTAAATGTAACAAAGGGATATTTTAGGGGGATAAATGCTAACCTCCACACTTAGATGTGAAAAACCAATGGCACACATCTAAGAAGATACACAGGGGAATAAAGGCTGAGGTTATAGCTGGAAGCAAGCTCTGCAAGCCCAGAGAAGGGGTGGTCACTTGAGAGGGGATGAAGGCAGGTAGATATGAGGTACTGGACAAAATTAGCGAAAGTCTACATATCCACAACAATGGTCAGACCACCCACCCCTGGAACATTTCAGGTTCCAGGCTCAAAATGGCCCCTGACAAAGTGAGAAAGCGAGGCCCATCCATGGCAGGGCTGTGGTCATGGACCACTGGAGGCCACATCATCACTACCATCCTTGTCTCTGCGGTAACCACCATCTGCACCATACAGATGTCACATCTCAAACTCTTACTAGATGCCAGTCACTGTGCTTGCTAAGAACTTTATGCACATGTACAGGGGTTTGATCTTCATAATCATCCTGAAGTTGACTTTCTTTTTTATAGATGAATTCTGAGAGGTTATGTCACTCTCTCAGGGTCACTCAGCTAGTCAGTGGTAGAGAATGGGGATCCTAACTCTGGCCATCTGGCCCCAGAGCCCAGGCTCCTGACCACACCGACTCCTTGGAAAGAGCAGCTTCAATGAATAACAATGGTCTCAGGAATTCCTACCTCAGGAATAATAATGGTAATAATCAATAATAATAATAAAAATAAATAATAGCTAATCATACTGGGTGCTACTGTGTGCAGGCACCATTCTACATGTAATACTCATTTAACCCTCACAACAACATAAATATAAGTACTAGCACTACCCTGCTTTACAGAGGAGGAAACCAAGGCACAGTCAACACAAGAAGCAGGTGGAGTTAACATTCAAATCCAGGCAGTCTGGCCTCAGTGTCTGTCTGCTTAACCATCACACCAGATTGCCTCAGGGAAGCAAGAAGAAAACAGCTACTGAGCACCTACTATGTGCTTGGTGCTGTCCATACATATGTCATTGAACTGTCACCCCCACTTCATGAGGCAGGAACTACTAATCCACTGGCCAAGGAGAAGCAGGGGCCCAGAGGGGTGGAAAGCTTGTCCCAGGTGCCCTACTTTGCCCTACCTTGCCCCAGGTGCACTGAGGTTTGGGAGGAGATACACCCAACTCTGAAGCTCAGGCCACAAGGACCAATGGGACCACCTTCAGAAGGCTGAGGTGCTGTCACAGAGGGCAAAAAATTGCTCCACTGGGGCACCAGAAGGTAGGATGAGGATAAATGGCTGGAAGTTACAGGGGTAGAGGCAGAGACTGTGGCTCTCCTGGATAAGGTACTTGCTAGCGATCAAGACTTACTCGATGACTTGGGATGGCTACAAGGAGTGACATCCACCAGGCCTGGGCTGTGCTGGCAGGGGCTGCAGGCCACCTCTGGGAGGGATGCTGAGACCTGACCATTTGGTCCAGCCACCTGTCTTTCCCAAGCTCCTGGTCCTGACCAAACACCACACACTCGGCTGCCTATATGTTTTCCGATCCCTTTAGTCATGAGAGACAGGCCTCCCAGCCAGGCTGGGGCTCCTGGGGGACAGCCTGAAGCCCAGGCGGAGGATCTGTCAGCCCCCCGAGGAGTGCACTCTGTCTGTGTGCCTGCCTCTTTGTCTCCAACTGACAGAACCTTCAGGAAGAATTCCTCGAGCCCCCTCCTGCAGAGTCAGCTGGCATCCCTGGGCCCAGCTGCCCGCTGTCATGGTAACAGGCTCAGCTACAGCTTTCCAGCCAGGGGACCAGGGAGTTCAGGAGAGACCAACCACAGCCAAGGGGGAGGGGCCCTGGGTGGAGGCATCTCTGCCTCGAGGCGCCAGGTCTCCAACTACTCAGGCTGCCTTGCTGAGGCCACCTACCACCCCCTTCTGCCATTTGGGAGCTGCCCCATCCCTTCCCGACATGCTTTCTCTCTCTGGGCCAGAAAGGACAGGTTGTTGGCCTGCTCATCTGCCTTCACCCCAGGCCTTGAAAAGAGCACAGGATGGTGTTGGAAGACCAGGCCTCAAGACCTGGCTCAGCCAACATTTGGCTCTGTGACCTTAGGTAATAACTGCCTCTCTCTGGGCCTCTGAGGAAAGGGTCATTGTTTACTGAAGACTACACCATTCCTGGACAGAAGGGTGGCTGTTTCCAGCCCATCTGCTTGTCCTTTGTCCTAGATGGCTCTGCAGGTCCCTTCTAGAGCTGGCGTCCTGAATGTATTTATGATTCCTCTGCTAACCTGCTGTGTGACTCTGCACAGTCGTCTCTCTTCTCTGGGCCTTAGACTTGTCCTTCCCACTCTGGCTTCTCCCAAGATCTGCCATGTGGAGTACACGGACTCATGGATCTGAATGCATTTTCTTTCTTTTTTTTTTTTTTTCTTTTTTCGAGATGAAATTTTGCTCTGTTGCCCAGGCTGGAGTGCAGTGGCATGATCTCAGCTCACCACAACCTCTGCCTCCCAGGTCCAAGAGAATCGCTTGAGGCAGTCCCAGTGCCTCAGCCTCCCGAGTAGCTGGGATTACAAGCACCCGCCACCACGCCCAGCTAATTTTTGTATTTTTTTTTAGTAGGGACAGGCTTTTCCCATGTTGGCCAGGATGGTCTTGAACTCCTGACCTCAAGTGATCCACCCGCCTTAGCCTCGCAAAGTGTTGGGATTACAGGGATGAGCCACAACGCCTGGCCTGAAATGCACTTTCCAAAGGAGGAGAGAGCAGTACAAGGGGGGCTCTCATGGCCTGGAATCCCCTCACCCACCCACCTCCCCAAACACAACAAGCCACTCACTCCGGATCTGCTTCTTGATCTCCTTGGAGGGGTCCAGCCAGTTCTAAAAGAAAAGATAGAGATCTTCAGAGGGAAGACGCAGGAAAGGACCTGACTGGGCTGAGAGAGAGAAATATCCTGAAATGGCTGGTCAGCAGCCCCTTGTAGGGAACGCCCTTCCTTGGCTAAGCCTCTTGGTTCCTTTTCCTTGGGACTAGGGGGTGAGGGGAATGGGGCCAGGATTCACCACCAGGCTTGGACCCAGTGCCCGGAGCTGCCACTGCCCTGAGGCAGTCCCAGTGAGCAGGTGATGCATCTGCAATGGGACTGGCAGGAAGAAGGAAACTCAGAGCCTCCCAAGGGTAGGGGAGAAGCTCTAGCAGGGAGCTCCTCAGCTCCCCCAGCAACTCTAGCAGCCAGACCAGGGCTCTCTAAATTCTCATCTGGGGGTGACCTGTATGTCACCAAGAAATGGCTGAGACAGGGAACCGCAGGTGGATAGGGCTGGTTGAGCCTTGGGGACACGCAAACAGAAGATGCTTAATGATTTGAGCACTAATGGATGCTGTTGGGGGTGGCCAGGATTACAGGAGCCTAACGGAAGAGCAGGTCCCACCCTGCTCCCTAGCCCAGGTACCTTCTGGCTGTCAGCATCACAGAAGGTCAGGCCGAAGTAGTCCTTCTCTAGGAGGTTGAGGTGTTCACAGACCAGGTCAAACAGCACCTGGCCCCGGCCATGTTTCTAAGGAGGGAAGCAGAGCAGCTATGAGGCTGAAGCACACCCCGGGGCGAGGCTGGGAGATACCCTGGGCTCCACCAGGACAATTCAAAAACCCCAAGGGCCTTTCGGTGTCTGGACAGGAATGCAGCGCTCCTGCCACCCACTTGGCTCTGCCCTCTGAGTCCTAAGGGATCCTGGGGGTGACAACAATGGCCAGCTCCTTGATGGCCTTCTTCCAAGTTCTGGTGGTGGTTTCTGGACTTTGAGCTTGCTTGGGGAGAAGCTGAAGTGGAAGGCATAGGAAGTGACGGCTTTCTCCTTCCTTTTTAGTGATTAGGAGAAGGAGGCTAACTTAGACCGAAGGGGCAGAAAAGCAAGTCCTAAGCTTTGGGTGTGAGAGGAAGAGAAGCCGCCCCTGGAATATGACAGAAGCGGGCAGGGGGAGAAGGGGAGGGCTTGGGGCTCAGGGTCACAGTGTGACCCTCCCTTCCCTGAGTGAAATCCAGGGCAGCCCAGGCTAGCCCACCACTCCCTTCCCCACAGCCAGTGAGGTTTCACAGAGGCTCATGGGGCCTCCATCAGCTTCTGCTGGAAGTACCATTGTTAGGGCCAGGTAGGTTCCTCCCACTCCTGTAGAGCTAGGCTTGGGCCTCTCTGAACCACCATTCAGAATGACGAAGCCGAGAACCCGACTGGGCACTCCAAACCCACAGGGGTAAAGATGAGCACCAATAAGGGGATCACATGGCAGGGGAACAGGAGGCAGTCACCACCCAAAGAGGCAGGGACTCTAGAGAGGGAGTGAGACCCCTGTAAGGTCTGGCTGGGCCCTCGGGACCAAGCCTGACAAGGAATTCCTGAACCTGGAGATCATCAGAGAGAGAGGACCTAGCCTCAGTCAAATGCTTTGTGCACTTCTAGGACAGGCAGAAATGGCATCTTGGGGCCCATCAAGGTAGGAGAGAGGACATAGAAGACAGCCCTTTCCTTTGTCCCAGGAGCAGGGAAGGTGAAATCTTTCTATAGACAAAATACATACACAGTCGGGTGCAGTGGCTCATGCCTGTAATCCCAGCACTTTGGGAGGCCAAGGCAGGCAGATCACTTGAGGCCAGGAGTTTGAGACCAGCCTGGGCAACATGGTGAAACCCTGTCTCTACTAAAAATACAAAAATTAGCCGGGTGTGGTGGCGGGCACCTGTAATCCCAGCTATTCAGGAGGCTGAAGCAGGAGAACTGCTTGAACCTGGGAGATTGAGGTTGCAGGGAGCTGAGATCGCACCACTGCACACCAGCCTGGGCAACAGAGCAAGACTCTGTCTCAACAAAAAAAAAAAAAAAAGAAAAAAAAGAAAAAATACATGTACATAAAAACAAAACAAATCAAAACCCTGTAGAGAAGAGGGACTCAGCCTCCCAGGGCTCAGGAGTAAGCCACATCCCTAAAATCAGTGCATGGGAGAGAAAAGGGGGCAGCTCCTATATATCTCAGTAGCAAGGACACCCTCTGAGCCCTTTCACACATGCGGAGAAGGGCCACGAATGCTGCCTCGGCAGGGATAGAACCTCTAAGGGCTCACAGAGGGGGCGAGCGAGAGCTCAGAATTAGGGCGGGAGTCAGAACCTATATAGGAAAAGGAGACCTAAATGTGAGGCCAGGAGGGCCAAACCCAGAAGGAGGCATCTGCTGTGTCACCACCATGGGGCAGGGCCATACCACAGGGTTTCTACATGGCCTGGGTGACATCTTCCCAATGGGCCGCCTCCCTGTGACGTGGTGATGGGCTTGCCATAGAACCCTCAGGTGACTAGTTTGTCCTGGAGACTTGAGATGGTGCCCTGGACAGGGACATTCACTAGGAAGGGAGGAGCCCTCTCTCCACCCAGTATATAAAAATGATTCTAATTTAAATGTCAGTCTCTCCTGGGTGAATAGGGGAGCCCAGTTCCCAGGTCTACTGTTTGTAGATCAGCCCTTACATGGTGGCATCCTTGCCAAGGTATAGTCACCCTGCAAAATCTTCCCCTGGTGCCAGCCCTGTACCTCGTCTAATTCTATTTGCAATCATAACCACTCTCTCCAGGCTTTGGTGCCACCATCTGTACAAAGGAGCTCCGAGCCAGGTCATCTCTCTGGACACTGTGACTGGTCCAGGACTCCTCTGGTTTGGCCCAAGCTGGGTACACACAGGAGCCTGCCCTGGACCTGAGGCTGGCTGACCGGGGACGGGACATATGGCACTCAGTGCTCCCCTACCTCCACCTCACACTCATACTCCGAGGCATCAAGCAGAGTGACCCGGCAGATGGCACTCTTGTATTTCTTGGCAATCTTCTGGGGCGATTTCTGGGCCTTGCTGGGCGTGGTCCTCTCCGAAAGGCCATCGGCCTCACTGTAGTCCTTCTCCTCCATGTCTAGGCTCTGCAGGACCAAGCAAGGGAATAGTTTGCTCAGTGAGTTTTAAGCCATGGCCTTTCATATAAGTAAGAAGCAATATAGAGGCATCTGGGGCCAAGACAGACCCCAGAATGAAAGTCGCTACCGTCTGAGACCCACAGGGCAACTAGGGTCCATGGCTGGTGTGTACAGGAGGAGAGCCAGGGCTTCCATGCATAATGGGTGGCCTTGTGTGAGGGGTCCCCATCTTCCCTGCAGGCTACTGCTGCCATAGGCATCCTCTGAGGCAGGAGCATCCCATGAAACCAAAGCCAGTGGCCAGAGCTGCCCTGTCTCCCCAGAGCAGCACATGACTCATCACAGCATCCATCTGGTCTCCTTCTTTTTGTCTGTCACTGGATCTAGCAGGAGTCTGGGAGCTGTGGACTGAGTTAAAGGAGAGGAGAAAGGCCAGAGACCTGCCCCACCGCCGCCCGCCCCGGGTCCTAACTCCACTGCTGATGCCCTCAGTGATCTTGGCCAAGTCCCTGCCCCCTCCAGGCCTGTCGTGAATTAAGGAAGGTGTTAATTAGATGAGGAGGTGAGTCTGTTGTAGCTTTAGGGCAATGGGTTTTGCTCTGGGGTTACATGGGGCTGGCCAAGCTAGAACAGACAGGTTCAGGGGTAGGAAAATAAATGGAAAGAACTCAGCCTTCAAAATCAGATCTAGATTTGTCTTCACCTCTGTTACTTTATGGCAATGTGACTTTGGATAACTCATTTTATCCTGCTGGTGCTCAGTTTCCCCAGGTGTAAAATGGGGGAGTTAGTAGCTACCCTCTTTAGTCTGAGAGAATAAAATTTTAAAATGACCACAATGGGCCAAGCATGGTGGCTCACACCTGTAATCCCAGCACTTTGGGAGGCCAAGGTGGGAGGATCACTCGAGCCCAGGAGTTTGAGACCAGTCTAGGCAGCATAGCAAGACCTCATCTCTACTGAAAGTTAAAAAAAAAAAAAAAAGGCCAGGCATGGTGGCTCACACCTGTAATCCCAGCACTTTGGGAGTCCAAGGCAGGTGGATCACCTGAGCTCAGGAGTTTGAGACCAGCCTGGCCAATATGGTGAGACTCTGTCTTTACTAAAAATATATAAATTAGCTAGGCGTGGTGGTGCATGCCTGTAATCCCAGTTACTAAGGAGGCTGAGGCAGGAGAATTGCTTGAACCCGGGCGGCAGAGGTCACAGTGAGCGAAGAGTGCAGTGGCACCACTGCACTCCAGCCTGGGTGACAGGGCGAGACTCCAACTCAATTAAAAAAAAAAAAGAAAGTTAAAACAATTAGCCAGGTGCGGTGGTGCACGCCTGTTGTCCCTGCTACTCAGGAGGCTGAGGCGGGAGGATTGCTTGAGCCTGGGAGATTGAGGCTGCACTCCAGCCTGGGCAACAGAGTGAGATCTGTCTCAAAAAAGAAAATAAAATAACAACAATGCTCCCAGCACAGTGCTTGGCATGTAACAGGTCACTAATAAATCTTAGTTTCCTTCTTTCCTCCCTCCAGAAAAAATACTGGAGCCCTAAGAACTGGACCTGGAGGACGGTCTGGGCAGGAAAGGTACGCCCATGCTCTCGGGCACACACCTGTTCAGCAGGCCGCGTGTCCTGCTGGGATGGATGCTTCTCATTGGAGTTGGCCTCTGGGTGGCCGTGGCCTGCAGGGGTCACAGGGGTGGTCACAGCGGCAGCAGCCTCGGGCTGCTGCGGGGCCTCCTCCTGAGCTTTCTTCACCTCAGAGTCGGGGCCTGTCTCTGTTGTCATGGTGACCAGCACGCCTGCATTGGCATGAAGGAGATCATGTGACAGGGAGGGACAGCAATGGTATGACAGCGAGAGGGGCAGGAACCACACGCGGAGAGAGACAGATGGAGGCAAACGGACAAAGAGTCACAGGGCAAAGGGAGGAGGAAGGGAGAGACAGAGGAAGTGGGGAGGAGGGAGGGTCATGGGAGGTGAGGGGTTAGTGGCTGAAGTCACAGGCACCCCTCCCACCCTGTGTCTGCAGCTCTTCAGGGACTCAAATCTCTGGGCCTTTCATAGGGATGATGAGTCCTTCCAGGGAGCCCTGCTCTACCAGGAGCACACGGGGCTGCCAGTGGCCGCCTCCAGGCAGGGTCCAAGCCAGGCTGTCTCTCCAGCCACCTCACCTGGCGCTTGGTAGACCCTCAGCAAAGCTGGATGCACAGAATTTAACTAAAAGAACCCTGGGTTCCAGACCTTTCCAGTGCTGAAGCTGGACACACCTCTTCATACCCCAAGCTTCAATAATTCCTGCCCTGCTAACTTCACAGAATAGATCCAAAAAGAGAATGACAGGAAGAAACTTGAAACAAAACAAAACAAAAAAACGCGCAGGCTTGACGATGTAAAAGTCAAAAGAACAGGCTCAGTCCCCGAGTTGGCCACAAATGTGGCAGTCACTTCACCTCTCTCAGACTCATCCAAAACATGAGCAACGTAGAGAAATGCTTTCTGGGATAAACTATTCTTGTCATTTTCCCCTTTCAGCAGTAAATGAGGAGATTTCAGAGAGTCAAGGACCCATTGCCCAGCTATTCTGCTGGAATAGGCAAGTTACAGAGAGAGAAAGAGAGAGAGAGAATGGCATGGTCTCATTTTTATATTTGAAAAACAAAACACGCCAGGCGCGGTGGCTCATGCTTGTAATCTCAGCACTTTGGGAGGCCAGGGAGGGCGGATCACCTAAGTTCGGCAGTTCAAGACAACCTGGCCAACATGGTGAAACCCCGTCTCTACTAAAAATACAAAAATTAGCCAGGTGTGGTGGCGCACTTCTGTAATCCCAGCTACTCAGGAGGCTGAGGCAGGAGAATCGCTTGAACCTGGGAGGCGGAGGTTGCAGTAAGCTGAGATTGCACCACTGCACTCTAGCCTGGGCAACAGTGTGAGACTCCTTCTCCAAAAGAAAAAGAAAAAAGAAAAACAAAACAGTAACCTCAACAACATATGTTTGTGTTTGCACACATTTAGTAAAAGGTCTGAAAGGATACTTACCAATGTTAAGAGAGGTTGGTAAGGCAGAAGTGGGTAAAGGAAAATGAAAGAGATCCCTGGGAACTGGGTGACATAAGAGAGAAAACTTCACTTTTCACTTTATATGTTTTGGAAGTACTTTTATCTTTTAAAATATGCATACATAAGCCGGGAGCAGTGGCTCATGCCTATAATCCCAGCATTTTGGGAGGCCGAGGCAGGCAGATCACCTGAGGTCAGGAGTTCGAGACTAGCCTGGCCAACATGGTGAAACCCCGTCTCTACTAAAAATACAAAAATTAGCTGGATGTGGTGATGCATGCCTGTAATCCCAGCTACTGGGGAGGCTGAAGCAGGAGAATCGCTTGAACCCAGGAGGCAGAGGTTTCACTGAGCCACTGCACTCCAGCCTGGGTGATAAGAGTGAGACTCCATCTCAAAAAAATAAAATTAAATTAAAATAAATAAATAAAATATACATACGTACTTTTTTAAACGTACAAGTTGGCTTTTTAGAAAGGTAGGGTGGCGGAGGGGCATCAGATGCACCCATTCCTGCCCCCAATCAACAGATCCTCAAAAAAAAGCTTTGAAGCTAAAACCAGGGAAATAGAGAAATGAGCAGGAACCCTCACCCCTGAGTCCAGGCCCTTCCTCTAAATCTATCATATTACATGAGAGAGATTCAGGCTAGACTGGCATGGCACGCCCTCTCCCCTGCACCATCCATCGTGGGAGGCCTCTGATAGACAGACAGACAGACACAGCATCCACCCTGGGCTAGCCACGTGCTCCAGGTCCCCCGCCCCACACTTCCTTTTCATTTTTCAGTTTTTCTCCCTGCATCTCAGTGGACATCAGCCCAGCCCAAAGCCAAGAGCACTGGATAGAAAGCCAGGGACCCTGAGCATCCCACTCAGGCACAGGAGAGCTCTGGGGCCCTGAACATCCTCAGCCCCCCACAGAGTGGATAACGGTGGAAAGGCTTTTTGCGTGGAGGCTTGGAGTACAAATGAGAGGGTTTGTTGTTACTGATGCTGCTATTTAGAAGGAAGATGAGGAGGAAGGGAAGGCCTGGGTCCCCATCACCTCCTCCCCACCCAGAAATGCTTTCCACTCAAGCCACTACTCTCTGCTTTATGGGTATAACGTAAAGCCATAGTTAAATAAAGGCTCTCTGTCACTTACAGGACAATGAGTGCTGACTCCAGGCCAGGATACAAAGCAATGAGAGCTGCTCTAGGGGAGCCCACAGCCTTGGAAGGGTCCAAATGATACCGGTGCACCGGGCTCAGGATCTTTTCTGAGCCTGCACTTAAGGATACTGGTCATAATGCCAGATAAGGCCTATAGGCAAGAACCCTTAAAATAACTGCCTACTTAATTTTGCTTAAAAAGAAAAAAAAAAAAAGCATCACAGACTCATCTGTGTGTTTTCTGCTGTGAGATGCAGAATCCACATGACCCCTTGTGGGCCCAGACAGCCGGGAGACACTTCCACTCCTCCCTCTCCGATGGCCTCAATCTGATTTCAGCTCACACTCTCGGAACTTTTCCTGGGCCTGAGGTTCCTTGAAATAGCCAGGAAAGCAACCTTAAATAAATATCCCAGTCTTCCTCTGCCTGGGTCTCCAGCAGAGCCCGCTGGCAGCAAATGCCTGGCGCTCCCAGAACGACAGAGGAGAGGAGCTGGATGCCTTTTGAGATCATTTTTGAGATAATTCAATCTACTCCTCTTCCTTTACAGGTGAGACCCAGTGAGCAAAAAAGACGACTGACAGTCATTTCCTCAGAAACCAGGTTTCCCTGGTTCCTCCGCCCACTCTCCTCCCTCCCCAGCCTCCAGACTCCCCAGATCCTAACTCTAGGTCTGCCTTCTCTCCACTGTACTTGGCTGCCTCAAGCAAACCCCAACAGAACCCCCCAAAGGAGAAAGTACTCAGGTTCACGCTAGACACCAAGGACGTGGCAGGAGCCACCTCTGCATTCCATGGCCAGGGGCTAGTGAGAGAAATGATGGCTTATCCACTCTAAAGAGTTAAGGAAAAAAACGTAAAAAATCATGGAAAAGATTTGAGTAAAAAAAGCATGATACACAATAGTTTGTACAGATTATCTCTGTGTTAATGAATACACATGCACAGATACAGAAAACTCAGCAAAGTATTAACTATAGTTATTTCTGGGTGGCGGGAAGACAGATTATTATTTTTTCTTCTGTTTAACTGTAGTTCTTGGTTTTGCTACTATACTTGGAGATTCCTTGAATGAGTTTAAGTTAGAGGTCAAAAAAGAAATTTTTCTGAGGCACATGGCTTGGTATGGCAGTATGAGAAGGAGATAAAATCTGTTTAAACCTTTTAAAAATTTATAAATCAAAAATAACATCTTTAAAAAAAAAAATCTATGATGAAATCTTTATTTCACAAATCCAAGGATAACAGCATGGTTCTCTCACTAGGCCACAGAAAGGGAGCCTAGGTGGCCGTGGCTTCTGACATAGCCCGTCACGTGGGCATGGTTCTGCCCAGGCCCAGGTGAGCACAGACTGATGGAGCCTGCTGTGCGGCTAGGCTGGGCCAGGCACTGTAGTGGCCCCTGGAGGGAAGCACGTGCTGGTTCCCGAGGAGCTGGCTGCAGTGTGGGAAGAGGATGCTCACCCAGGAAATGGCTAAACACTCATGCAGGAGATGATTTAGATTTGCCATGTATGTTTCAGCCTCTCAGCAGAGTCTGGGGACCTGGTGATCTGGACTATAGCCTAGAGTTCCCAAAGGAAGCTTCTAGGGTGGGGAGGTGAAGGTGGAATTAGGTGTTGAAAAAAGGGAGCCATTTAGACAGGAGATGCAGGGAGAGCATTTGAGCTGAGTCACCATGTGGGCAAATGCCCAGAGATGGGAAGAAGGGGGTTGGGCAGGGGATAGAGAGGAGACCTTGACATTCTGGCACTTCAGAGTGAGAAGCCTGTAAAGGTGAGCACCAAACAGCCTGGAAGGAGGAACTGGTTGGAGCTTGGGAGGAGTGACGGAGCTGGGAGCCTTGCTGGGAGTCAGAAGCATCACTGTGCAGGAGAAGGACAGAGATCCCAACACTAAGCGTTGCTGCCAGCCAGGCCCAGGGCTAGAGACTTCACACAGTCATTCATGGACCTCTTGAAGGGAGGTAGAGCAGGCGGCCCTGTGGCTCAGTGCTTCACAGCACAGGCTGTGGAGTCAGGCAGACCCAGATCCAAAGCCTAGTGCCAATGCTTGCTCACTCTGTGACCTTGGACAAGTGACTTCACTTTTCTGAGCCGGAGTTGCCACTTTTTTTTTTTTTTTTTTGAGACAGAGTCTTGCTCTGTCACCCAGACTAGAGTGTAGCGATCTCAGCTCACTGCAACCTCTGCCTCCTGGGTTCAAGCAATTTCTCCTACCTCAGCCTCCCGAGTAACTGGGATTACAGGTGACCGCCACCGCAGCCAGCTAATTTTTCTATTTTTAGTACAGACGGGGTTTCACCATCTTGGCCAGGTTGGTCTCGAACTCCTGACTTTGTGATCCACCCGCCTTGGCCTCCCAAAGTGCTAGGATTACAGGCGTGAGCCACCATGCCTGGCCTTGAGTTGCCTGTTTAATAAAACAGAGACACTCCTCCCTCCCTCTCAGGATGGTGAAGGAGATTTAGGAAAATAACACAGAGAAAGCCCTTAGTGGCCCAGTGTGGCGGCTCACGCCTGTAATACCAGCACTTTAGGAGGCTGAGGTGGGCAGATCACAAGGTCAGGAGGTGGAGACCATCCTGGCCAACATGGTGAAACCCTGTCTCTACTAAAAACACAAAAATTAGCTGGGCGTGGTGGCACGTGCCTGTAATCCCAGCTACTCGGGAGGCTGTAATCCCAGCTACTCAGGAGGCTGAGGCAGGAGAATGGCTTGAACTGGGAGTCGGAGGTTGCAGTGAGCCGAGATCGCGCCACTGCACCCCAGCCTGTCAACAGAGGAAGACTCCATCTAAAAAAAAAAAAAAGCACTTAACATGGTATACACCCAATAAAACAAGCCTGAGACGTAGGGTCTATAATTACCAGCAGTAATGGGAAGCTGCAGTGAGGAGGGGCCTGAGAACGGGACTTCAGAAGTGTCCACCCACAACAAATGGAAAAAGAGATGTTTCTAACAGACAGAGGCCAGCAGGGCCAGACTGATGACACTAACATATGAAAGGCCTAATGCACAGGATTAGAAAAGAGAAAGGTCAGCCAGAGAAGTAAATGCTGACAGCGCCTGTACTTACTCTGTCTGGGGGAAAGGGACCCAGTGAGGCCAGGGATGCTTGCCTGGGCTGGGGCTGGCCCAGCACACTGTCAGCATCTGACCCTCTTCAACACCCTAACCACCTTCTGGCTCCTCTAGCTCACCTTCCAGGGGCACTCAGCAGCCTTCTCACCTGTGGCTGTTTATCTGGGTGGCCTGCAGGGAGAGGGTGTCCTAGCCCAGATGAGGCAATATCCACTCAGCCTGGCAGTGAAACCACTCCTTAAAAAATGAATCAACTGGTGTCCGGTTTATACATCAGGCCCTCTAACCAGGGTTAGCATGAGTCAGCATCTCTGAGTCCAGTAACTTGGATTTGCTTCTTTTCTCCATCACCATTGCAACTGCCTAAATCTAAGCCACTATCAGCTTGTTCCAGGGGCTGCCCCAGCCTGCTCCATGGTCTCCCTGTGACCACTTGGGCCCTCCTAGAGTTTATTATCCACAAAGCAGCCATAAGAATCTTTCCAAAACTCTCAATGGACACCCTCTTTATTTATTATTTATTATTATTGTTATTATTATTATTATTAATATTATTGGAGATGGAGTCTCACTCCATGGCCCAGGCTGGAGTGCAGTGGCATGATTTCGGCTCACTGTAACCTCCACCTCCTGGATTCAAGCAATTCTCCTGCCTCAGCCTCCCAAGTAGCTGAGACTACAGGCACCCGCCACCATGCCCAGCTAATTTTTGTATTTTTAGTAGAGATGGGGGTTTCACCATGTTGCCCAGGGTGGTCTTGAACTCCTGAGCTCAGGCAATCCGCCCGCCTCAGCCTCCTAAAGTGCTGGGATTACAGGTGTGACCCACTGCACCCAGCCAGATGCCCTCTTTAAAACCCCCAAGGGCCTCCCATTAAAATAAAACACAAACTCTTTATCAAAGCTACAGACCTCTGTATATGGCTGTTGCCCATCTATTCAGCATCAGCTCCCACCACTACTGGTCCCCTATTCCCTCCCCAAGCCGCCACCATCACCATGAGCCTGTCACATTGGCTTTCCGTCTGTTCTTCGACTGTGCGAGGCTTTGGGGCTTTGTCCTTAATGATAGTCTGTAATGTTCCCTCTGCATGGACAGCTTGGCAGCTCCCACCTTCAGATTGTGAATCTGTGTGCCCCTTGACCACCCTGTCTAATTTATTTAGGTCCTTTCCCCTGTTTTTTTGGTTACAGCATGCTAGATTGTTTTGTTTTTGTTTCATTTTGCCATTGTTAACCATTGTTAAGGGTAACAATTCAGAGGCATTAATTACATTCACAATGTTGTGCAAAAATCACCACTATCTATTTCCAAAAATTCTTATCACCCCAAACAGAAACTTCGAATCCATTAAGCAAGCATGCTGGGTTGGGTGGTTGGTTTTCTCTTTCTTTTTTTTTGGAGACAGTCTCGTTCTGTTGCCCAGACTGGAGTGCAGTGGCATGATCTCAGCTCACTGCAACCTCCACCTCCCAGGTTCAAGCAATTCTCCTGCCTTGGCCTCCCCAGTAGGTGGGACTACAGGTGCACACAGCCACGCCCAGCTAATTATTTTGTATTTTAGTAGAGATTGGGTTTCGAATTCTTGGGCTCAGCCAATCTGCTCGCCTTGGCCTCCCAAAGTGCTAGGATTACAGGTGTGAGTCACCACGCCCAGCTGGGTGGTCGGTTTTCACAGTAATTATCACAAACTGATCTTCTATCATTGATTGATTTACTTATTTCTTTTTATCCCTCCTTCCAAAATAAACTCCATAAAGATAAGAATTTTGTCTGGTTAGCCATTATCCCCAGGGCTCAGCGCAGTTCTTGATAAATAAAAACAACATTATCATTTGTAGTCTGCTATTTGCTAGGCGCTGATCTGAGTACTTTACATCAATGAACTCACTTCATCTTCACAATAACCTATAATGGGTAATAGGTACTCTTATTATCCCTATTTTACAAAAGAAGAAACTGAAGCAGAAAAGTTAAGGAACTTGCTCCAGGTCACACAGCTAGTAAACAGCAGTGCCAGAATTCACATTCAGCAGATTTGGCATCAGATGGAGGGGTAGATGGATAAAAGGTTGAACACATGGATAACTGATGGATAGAACACAAAGAGACAATTTCTAGTCTACCCAACTGAGGATGGAGACCTGGGCTGCATTCACCTTGGGAGCCTTTGTGGCTACCAGCCAGCCTGCCTCTCCTGATGATTTATTTTATCTCAACACCTGATGTTTCCATCCAAAGTCCTGATATTATTCTCCTCATTTTACTAATGAGGATGCACACGTGCAAAGAGGCAAATGGATTTGTCCAAAGTCATAAGGCTGTGCCAGGTATCTCTGACTCCAGAGTTCTTCCCACTGTATGGCATTCCAGCAACCTCAGGGGGCTCATGCTGTACTGATTTCTCCCAGGGTTGGGGCTGGCTAAAGAAAGACTTCCCAAGATTGAAAAGGAAATATACTGGGAAGAGCTGAACTCAGAACTGGGACCACTGCTGCTTCAGTGCTTCCACTTCCGATCTGATCAGCTTTGGGCAGGTCACTTCCTCTTTCTTTCTTCTTTTTTGAGATGGATTCTCGCTCTGTCGCCCAGGCTGGAGTGCAGTGGCACAATCTTGGCTCACTGCAACCTCTGCCTCCCTGGTTCAAGCAATTCTCCTGCCTCAGCCTCCCGAGTAGCTAAGATTACAGGTGCATGCCACCATGCCCAGCTAATTTTTGTATTTTTAGTAGAGACAGGGTTTCACCATGTTGGCCAGGCTGGTCTTGAACTCCTGACCTCAGGTGATCCACCCACCTTGGCCCCCCAAAGTGCTGGGATTACAGGCGTGAGCCACCACACCCAGCCACTTCCTCTTTCTGAGCATGTTTCCTCATGTGTCAAACAGGGATGAGAGACCCTGTCCACATCAGAGGAAGGCCATGGAGATCAAGGCTATTACAGAGAATGGGAGGACTTTGAGATACAAAAGTTAATGTCCTGGGCCAGGCGCGGTGGCTCATGCCTGTAATCCCAGCACTTTGGGAGGCCGAGGCAGGCAAATCACTTGAGGCCAGGAGTTCAAGACCAACCCAGCCAACATGGTGAAACTTTGTTCCTAGAAAAAATACAAAAATTAGCCAAGTGTGGTGGTGCGTGCCTGTAATCCCAGCTACCTGGGAGGCTGAGGCAGAAGAATTGCTTGAAACTGGGAGGCAGAGGTTGTAGTGAGCTCAGATCGCACCACTGCACTCCAGCCTGGGTGACAGAACGAGATTCTGTCTCAAAAATAAATAAATAGCCAGGCGCAGTGGCTCACACCTGTAATCCCAGCATTTTGGGAGGGTGAGGCGGGTGGATCACCTGAGGTCAGGAGTTCGAGACCAGCCTAACCAATATCGTGAAACCCTATCTCTACTAAAAATACAAAAATTAGCCGGGCATGGTGGCAGGCTCCTGTAGTCCCAGCTACTCGGGAGCCTGAGACAGGAGAATTGCTTGAACCTCGGCAGCAGAGGTTGAAATGAGCCGAGATCATGCCACTGAACTCCAGCCTGGAGACAGAGCAAGACTCCATCTCAAAAAAATAAAATTAGATAAATAAATAAATAAAAAGTGAATATTCTGCTGGATACAGAGGAGACTATGTTATAGATGCTTATGACATGTACACAAGAAGCATGTCTTTGTATGCATAGGCACAGCAGTGAAACAACATGAGAACACACACAGCCACATGTATCATGCAAGCAAGGTTGTCTCTTCTAAACCCTGCACACCGATGACACCAAAGACTGTTGCCCAGGTGTTCTTGGAAATTCTGAACCAGGTGAGAGAGGAGATGGGGGGCAGGGGAGGGAGGAGACACCAAAACACCAAGAGACTCCCAGGCAGAAAAAAAGTCTCTTGTTTTGAATGATGTTTTTAATAGTCAGTTACTAAGACAACTCTTTCTGGGAAGTCAGAGGACATGTCTCTCCCATCTCCCTACAACCATGTCGCTTGGGTTGTTAGTCTCCATGTGCACCCCCAGATCCATGACCTGCTTGAAGAAGCAGGAGGCTGGCCCATTGGACTGTCCCTTGAGCTCCCTTGCCTCCTGGTTTCTGGTTCCATTTGGCCAATAGAAGACACTGGCAGGGGCCGGGCACAGTGGCTCACGCCTGCAATCCCAGCATTTTGGGAGGCCAAGGTGGGTGGATGACTTGGGGTCAGGAGTTTGAGACCAGCCTGGCCAACAAGGTGAAACCCTGTCTCTACTAAAAATATAAAAATTAACTGGGTGTGGTGGCAGGCGCCTGTAGTCCCAGCTACTAGGGAGGCTGAGGCAGACCTGGGAGGTGGAAGTTGCAGTGAGCCAAGATCATGCTACTGCACTCTAGCCTGGACGACAGAGACTCTGTCTTAAAAAAAAAATAATAAAGAAGAAGGCACTGGCAGGAATTCAGAAGGTGGAAGGAGAGAGATCCTGGGTGTATCTTCCCCAATTTCTCTCTCTGTGGTCCTGGTGGTGGCTGAGCCCCTCTGCGACAGCTCCCTGCCCACCTCTACCAGTCACGGAACTCAGGTAACACCACTCCCTCCTGCTCATTCAGGCCGAGAGCTAGTAATGCCTTCTGTCACTGTTAGTTTGTGGGTGCCTCACCATCCCATGTGGGTTCCCCTCACCCTGCTCACATCTTTATTAACATCTCCTCAGGTGAAGCATCTGAGTGGAATTCTGTTTCCTGTCAGAATCTGACTGATCCACCACCTGATGCTCACTTAGGATAAGGGGAGCCTGAGAAGAGGCAGAATAAGCTAAGAAGTCAAGGAAGGCAAGGGAACCGTCAGGAAGCCCCTTAACCTCTTTGTGCCTCAGTTTCTTCATCTGTAAAGTCATGATGATAAACTTACATACCTCACAGGCTTACTGTGAAAATGGAATCAGATCATGCCTGTAAAACACTAAACACATACCAGAATATTAGAAATATTTGCTCCAGAAATATTACTCTCCAATTAAGTCCAAAGACTAAAATGTTAACAATAGCCTTCCCTTGGAGAAGGAAATAGGGGCCTTTTTCTCCGTATTTTTCAATTTTCTACTATGAGCATGTATTACTTTCGGAGTCAGAAAAGAAAAAAGAAGAATTACAAGAAAAAAAAAAAAAAACAGAAAGAGTGCCTATTAGGGCTTATTCTTTCTCTCACTTGCTGGAGATGATGTGACTTCCTTCCCAAGGGGACTTCCCCAGTATGGAACACTCACTTCCCTGAGTGATAATGTCTACATGGACGTGAATGAAAGGATGGAGGGTACAGGCTGAGAGAGCTGCCTCTGAGACCTCAAGCCACTTTCACAGCCAGGCAAGAAGGATCAAAAAGGGAGCTGAGTCTGCAGTCATCCTGTCTGGTGCTTGGATTTGTACATGGCAGTGGGGAGACGGCAATTCGTCAGAGGTTTGCAGTACCCACGGACACCACTTTAGACCAAACAATGTGAAAAGGCCACCACCCATCAGCCTTGGCTTCTTGCCCAAAAGCTTCACGGGCCACTAGGGAGCCTCAGGCTGATGTGCAGTGGTGGGCTGGGGACCACGTGACAGCACAGAACTGCAGAGTAACAGCATTAAAACGGAGACATGCGTCCCACCTGGCCCATCCTGATGACGATGCAGAAGGCAGAGAGAGACCTCCCGTTAGCAGGGTATCCTCCGAGAGCTGGGCAACATGCTGGCTGTCTTTTGGGCTTTATCTTATTTGAGCTGCACAAGGGCCACACGGAGTAGGTGAGCTTATTTCCCAGGCGGCTTAGTGGCCAAGGCCACATGGCTAGTCAGTTTCAAGGAGAGCCAGGACTAGGACTCAAGTCTGCTGGCTCACAGTCCAGTGCTCTCCCCACTCAATGCTGCTACATCCCACGACCTCCAACTTGCTGTAAGCCATATAACCAAAGCTACTGTTGCTCTGGATGTAGAAATAATAACGGCAGTATCAATCCCTCCCACATGCAGGGCACTTTACAACTTAAAGGATCTTTTTATAATCATTTTGCTTGGACCTCACCAATTAGCCACTGTTGAGAGTGGGCAGGAAACAGCAGTTACAGACATGGGCTTATGAGCCAGAGCTGGAATCCTGATGCCACAGGCTTGGTGACCTTGGGCAGGTTACTTAACCTCTATTGAGAAGACTATCCCCTGCACCTCCAAGGTGTATAGTGAGAATTAAATGAGATAGGCAGGGTGTGGTGGCTCACGCCTGTAATCTCAGCACTTTGGAAGGCCAAGGAGGGAGGATTGCTTGAGCCCAGGAGTTTGAGAGCAGTCTGGGCAACAGAGCGAGACACTGTCTTTACCCTGTGCCCCCCCCAAATTAGCCGGGCATGGTGGGGTGCACCTGTAGTCCCAGCTACTCAGGAGGCTGAGGCAGGAGGATCACTAGAGCCTGGGAGTTTGAGGTCACAGTGAGCTGTGACTATGCCACTGCACTCCAGCCTGGGTGACAGAGTGACAGGCTGTCTTTAAAAAAACAAGAATAACGACTGGGCCTGTAATCCCAGCACTTTGGGAGGCTGAGGCAGGCAGATCACCTGAGGTCAGGAGTTCGAGACCAGCCTGGCCAACACAGTGATAACCTGTCTCTACTAAAAATACAAGAACTAGCCAGGCAGGTGGCACGTGCCTGTAATCCCAGCTACTTGGGAGGCCAAGGCAGGAGAATTGCTTGAACCGGGGAGGCGGAGGTTGCAGTGAGCTGAGATCCTGCCACTGCACTCCAGCCTGGGCAACACAGCAAGACTCCATCTCAAAAACAAAACAAAAAAACCCAAAAAACAAACAAACAAAAAAATAAGAAGAATAAAATAAAAAGAAAAAATAGAAAAACAGATAATGCACATGAAGCTTGCTCTAGCACAGTATTTGACATATAGAAGACACTCAGTGGCAGCAATGGCTCTGATCACCACCAGACAGATGGACAAACTGAGGTACAGAGAAGGTAGAAAGCTTGTCCAAGGACAGTCTGGGTGTGGGCAGCTGCACAGCCCAAGCAGCAGCTTAGAGCATCCTAAGAGAATTTGAAAATTTCCTAGGAGAGCTCCATACTGGGTGGGTGAAAGAAAGGGTCTTTCCCTGGGACATCACCACCTTTTGAGGGTGACAGAGAGATGGCCTCCTCCAAGACCAGTTCCCCCAGGCTCCAGTGAGGAGAGGAGGGAACAGGAGAAGGGAGAAGCAGCAGACCTTTGAGGGCAACTCTCACGGTCTCATGGTTTCTGACTCCTTCTCTCACTTGATTTTCACTAATTGTCTAAATACTGTTAGAGTTCAGTTAGCGTTACTTAGAATACCGTAAAATTGGAAACAACTTCAAATGTCAATCAACAGGGGGGCTGGCCAAATTAGTAGGGTTTATCCATTAAAAATTTAATTATGAAAGTATAACATACCTATTGCAAAAATTTTTGAGATAGATTTTATATCTACTGACATAAAAAGATGTCAATGTGTAGTTACATGAAAAATGCAAGTTGTAAAACAATAATGCAATGTATGATCCCATTCTGGTTTGTATGTTTATGTTGGTATAGAAAATATCCTGGAAGGATACACAACATGCTGTTATTAGCTACGACTGGAGAGTAGGATTTGTTTGGGGATCTAAGGGGAGAATACACTTTTTTTCTTTCTTTCTTTCTTTTTTTTTTTTGTGACGGAGTCTCGCTCTGTCACCCAGGCTGGAGTGCAATGGCGCAATCTCGGCTCACTGCCCCACAACCTCTGCCTTCCGGGTGCAAGAGATTCTCTTGCCTCAGCCTCCTGAGTAGCTGGGATTACAGGCGCCAGCCACCATGCCCGGCTAACTTTTTGTATTTTTAGTAGAAATGGGGTTTCACCATGTTGGCCAGGCTGGTCTTGAACTCCTGACCTCAGGTGATCTACCCGCCTCAGCCTCCCAGAGTGCTGGGATTATAGGCATGAGCCACCGTGCCTGGCCTACACTTCTGAATTATTAGATTTTCCACAAATTTTTTTTGTAATTAAAACTAAAGAAAAGTAAATATAACAGTAAAGAAATATTTGTTTTTCTGTTTTATTCACTTCCCATATGCTTGCTGGAACTCCATTTTCTACCTGTTTTCTTCCAATCTGTATCTATGTTCATACCTAATTTTATACCATTGTAATATGAATACTGATAATCTTATGGGTCTTCTTTCCCATTTAACATTAATTGTATCAGACCATTAATGACATCACATCATGACATCATCATCATCTCCACTAATGTTCATGGATACTTCACTATGTACTAGTTACCATGCCAAGATGTTTACATGCCTTAACTTATTCAATCTTGATGACAACCCTAAAACCAGGTACTTGGACTATCCACATTACAGCTGGGCAAACTGGGGCTTTGAAAGATTAATTAACTTGCCAATTGCCTCACAGCTAGTAAAAACAGAAAGAAGACTTAAACCCTGTTCTATGCAAGTGCCAGGTCCTCACTGGGAACCTCTCTGTCCTATTCCCCTCGAAGATAGTGAGTGGTTAGTGAGAAGAATGTGGCAAGTAGGGAATAGCAAGAATATGGCAGGCACTATGTCTTACAACTTGAGTGACCTTGATCAAGTCACTTCCCCTCTTGATTAGTTCACTCATTCTTTCATCGGACAAGTATTTGCAAACCACTGAGCAACATGCTGCGACGAAACAATGAATAAAATGTGAACTCAACTCTGCCTTCAAGGAGACTGGAGTCTAGCGTCATTCTCTTCAAACACAGAAAGGATCTAGCCCCGGCCCCACCTCTGTCGCAGAGCAGTCATAAGCACAAAATGAATCAAGGATGCAAAAGAGCTTTGCAATTGCACAGCTCCATCCACTGCAAGCAGTTTTTCTGTGGGTGTTCACCACTGCGTATTATTTTATCCAGTGGATGTTCCAAAGCTTTCCCAATCATCTTCCTATTGTTGGACACTTAGTCCCAATTTACTGCTATTATAGAGGAAGCTCTGATGGGGATTTATTCAAAAGAAATAATTCAAAGGAAAAACAGGCCAGATGTGCAAAAAAGATGCTACCCAATCTTCCAGATGACTAAAGGGAGACCAGCCCTTCTCAAACTCACCAGGCCTGAAACAGAATTCCTGACCCTGTGGCCTTACCCACTCCAAGCTCCTCCTTCTCCAACCTGGCGAACCACCCACTACCAGAGGGACACCTTAATGAGTGCCAATCTTGATCCCTCCCCAGCCCTCCAAGTCCCCACAGTTAAGGTTTCTCCTGTAAGATCACGTCCACCCTCTCCTGTGGATCATACGGTTGCCAAAAGGACCTTCCCAAAACACAGTTCTGTCATGCTCCTCAGCAGACTAAAATCCTGCAAAGATTCCTAGAGCATCCCGGCTCACGTCAAGTCGAAACACCTTGGCCTGACATTTAAGAGAGACAGAAGCGGGAGAGAAGTAATGTTTACTGAGTTCCTGCAATGTGTTAGCATTACACTAGGTGCTTTATATAACAACCACAACATGGTCCCTGTGAGACAGGCATGTTTATCTGCATTTTACGAATGAGGAAACTGAGGTTTGGGCCAGCTGAGTGATGTGCCCAAGGCCACGTGGCTAATACAATGCATTGCTGTGACTATAGCCTACGTCTGGTGGATTCCAGAGCTCCATCAAAAACCCAAACACTAGGTGACTTTCTGAGTCACCTCCCAGCTCACACTCCGCCACACACACTATCTGTTCCACGCACATCAGACCGCCCACTCTTCTTCAGAGGCATTCCTATTTCCTTCCCCTCTGACCTGGGGAAGTGGGTGCCCTTCCCCCTTCAACCATCGAAATCCGACTTGGCCTTCAGTGCCCAGCTCAAAGGTCCCCGTCTTCTTGAAGCCTTCCCTGAGCACCAAAATAGGAATCCATGCTGAGCCTATGCAATAGCACACTCTTTACTTTTAGTGTGTCATGTCTGCATCTCTCCCAGCTAGACTGGGAGGCCTTTGAGGAGAGGGATGCATCTGACTGAGTGACTATTTCAACTTGAACAAAACAGAGTATGGCCTCTGAGAAACTACAGGCTGCCTGGCATGGCCTTCAGGAACATGGCTCTGACCCACACTGCCTAGGTTTGAATCCTGACTCCCCCACAGCCTAGCTATTTGACCTTGAACAACTATCTAAGCCACAGCTCCATCAATCTGTAAAACGGGAAGAATAACTCCTATACCTCATCTACACCTCACAGGGCTTTGTGAAGAACGTATGAGTTGTACATGGAAGCCCTTAAAACTGGGCCTGGCACATAATAAATGCTCAATAAATGTTAGCTGTTACTATTCTGATCCACAAGCCTCTAGCCCACAAAGGAAGCAGTGCCAGCCTGCTCCACCCCCACCCATCCACCAAGGCTCAGCTCCCTGCCCACAGGGCCTCCTTAGCCCAGTCCCCACTGTGGCCTCGGGATGTGTCCAGAGCCAGCCCATCTTCCCTAAAAGCCAATGGGAGCAGGGAGTCTGGTGTTTCCCCACTTCTGGGGGACCCTGGCCAGGAAGGAGAAGGCCAAGGCTAATCCTTCTCTGAGAGCTCCTAGTCAGTACTTATCTACCCCTACCCCTCAGCACTATAGTAATATTCAGTCCACAAAGCCACCCTTGCCTCACCAGGCACACACACACACACCCCTCACACACCTCTCCACCTGGACTGGCCCTGGCCTACCAATGAATTGCCTGGCTCCACTGGACACCAACCTGGTACTTCCAGATATTGCCCCCAGTAAATGTCATGGTAGAAAGAAGGGCTCTGGACTCAGACCGCCTCGCACTTTCCAGCTGCGTAACTTTAGTCCAGTGACATAACCTCTCTGAGCCTCAGTTTCTCCTCTGTAAAAAGTGGATAATTAATCACATCTATCTGACAGGGTTACTGTGAAATGACTCAAAGCACTTCTTGCAGTACATGGCATACAGTAAGTTTCAATAAATACTATCACTTTGATTGTGTAATCATTGGTATTTATCTCCAGGCAGAGATGATCATCCTCCCCGCCCTTTTTTTTTCTTTGAGAGGGAGTCTCGCTCTGTCTCCAGGCTGGAGTGCAGTGGCACGATGTCGGCTCACTGCAACCTCTGCCTCCTGGGGTCAGGCGATTCTCCTGCCTCAGCCTCCCGAGTTGCTGGGGCTATAGGCGTGCACTACCACGCCCAGCTAATTTTTGTATTTTTAGTAGAGACGGGGTTTCACCATGTTGGCCAGGATGGTCTTCATCTCTTGAACTTGTGATCTGCCCGCCTCGTCCTCCCAAAGTGCTGGGATTACAGGCGTGCGCAATGGCGCACGCCTGTGTCCCCTTTTAACAAATGGGACAGAGAAGCCCAGAAAGGGGCTCTTAGGGAAGTCCCGGCAGGTGCTAACAAGCACCTCCCACCACAGCCTGAAGTCAGAAAACTCTCTGTTGCCCCCTGGAGGCTCAGGCCAGAACATCCCTGGGCACCTGGCATCCTCTCAGCTCTATGCACTTCCAAGAGGGTCCAGGACCACCCACGGCCCTTTCTCTCAGCCCTGACCTCTCCTGCTCACCTACTGAGGGCAAGGGCTGGGAGGCCAACATAACACCCCTCCTAAGGGATCAGGTAGCCTCAGGCTCCAGGCTACAATGCCTAGCCCTTGGCAGAGTCCTGTCTATAGCACAACCACCGCAGCAGGGAAGCCAGCACCTGAGCTGCAAGAGCCCCAGAACAAGAGGTGGAAGACCTGGGTACATTAATGCTGACTCCCCCGCTCAGCTGCTTTGTGACCTTGGCCAAGTCACTCTTACTCTCTAGGCCCCGTTCAACCTTTCAATATCGACTGAGTGAGGACTACCTGACCAAGCATTGTTTTCATGCAGGATTCTATGGAAGAAGCTCTTCAAGAAGCTCACAGGGCTGAGCCCAGGAGGACTGTCACATAGCCCAGGAAGGGCTTTAATAGGAACAATGCCCTCTGCACTGATCTCCTCCAGGACTGCCTTGAGGTGCCCCTGAAATCCCAGGGACTGTGCTCTGCATGCCATAAATACTATGCCTGGGTTGCCAGGCAGGCATGACCTCAGGCTGGCCAGGAGAAGCCAGCTCCATCCTTGCACAGAGCTGGCAGAGCCTTCCTGGGCCACGGTGGCTCATAGGGGAGGCTGGCACAGGCTGCCTCTGCCGCAGGCTCCATCTGGAGGAATGGGTGGGCAGAGAGGCACACAGCTGCCTCTATTCTCCACACCCTTGCCCGGGACAGGAGGCACTGTCTTCCAAGAGCTGCGGAGGGCACCATCCAGGCCCCAGATCTTGACCTGGCTCAAGTGCCACTGATTCTGGAAGGCTCCTAATGCTGAGGGTGGGGGGATGGGGTGGGAATGAAGCCAAGCCGCTGGACCCCGCACAGCCCTGGAGAGGTCCTAAATCTGGCCGTCTCACATTCCCACCTTTGGGTGCAGAGGAGGTGCTATGCGGATCCAGAAGTGAATGTGGGAACACGTGGTGCTCTCTCCCCCACCAATGCATCCTCAGAGCTCCGAGGGAAAAGCAACGACGATGGCTGGCAGCTGAGGGAGAGACCAGCATCCCCAGAACTCCCTTTTGGTCCTTGTCCAGACTTCAAGGTCTCCATGGACCACTTTGAGCCATATACGTCTGCCAGTCAGTGGCCTCTGCACCCAGTAAGTACCCCAATGGCTGTAGACATTGGCCCCCCATGCCCATCCCTGAGACCCCAGCCTCTCGGGCCCTTGGACCTCCCCAAGTGTGAAGGTGCCAGACACAAGTGGGACACACAAGCCCTCTCCCTCTGATCAGGGGACGGTCACTGGCCAGGACAATGCCAGGCCAGAACTGCAGAAGTCCTAGGGCTAAGATCCCTCCTAGCAGCTCTGAGGTACTTGGAAGGGAGACGGAAGGGGAGGCAAGCCCAGAGCGGGGAAGGGTCCGTAACCAGAGTGAGGAGAGATGAGGGCAAGGGCTCGCCAGCATCCCAGGCTCCAGCCAAGAACTCCTCCTGCAGCGTCAGAAGCAGCAGAAATCCAAAGAGCCCTTGGCCTCTGGAGGCGGCAGCAGGAGTGCTCTCCGAAAAGAGACTGGGCCAGCCGGTGGGAGCCCAGCGCCCACCCACCGCTCATCCTACAGCAGGACCAACCCCCCGCCAACCCCCAGCCTCCGGATCCTCTCTCCAGGCCTTGGAGGAGGCTGCAGACCGGTAGGTAGGGAGGAACAGCGAGACCCTCCCCCACACTGGCCAGGGGACCAACAGCCTGAAAACTCAGTTCTCGGCCTCGCCCCCGTTCCTCCCCAGGGCTGGAGGCTGGGCCTAGATGTTGCAAGCCCCCGGCCCCGAGAGCCACCTGATTCCCCCATGTGCCTACCTGGGCCCGGGGTTCCCCATGTCGGGCAGGTTGGGCGAGGGGCGGCCCCCTCGGCTCCTCTGGCAGGCAGGCCGCGGGGCGGGGCGGCGCGGGGTCGCGGCGGGCTCTGCGGAGCAGCCTGTTCGGCGACACCCCCGCCCGCTGATGGATGCCGACTGCAGCAGCGGCGGCGGCGGCGGCGGCTCGGCGTGCGCCAGGGGCTGGGCACGGTGCCCACAGCCCCGGGCCTGGCGCCCGACGCGCGGCCAGCCCCCGCCCCCGCCCCGGCCTCGGAGCCCAGCCCAGGGGCGGCCGCCGCTTGCGCCTGCCTCCCAGCGCGCCGCGGCCCTGCCCCTGCCTCCGCCTCCTCTCTGCCTGTCTCCTCTACCACCCACCTCCCCCCGCGCCCCGCCCTCTCTCTCAGGCTCCCAGGCCACCTCCTCCCGGTCCGTGCCACACGGGCAGTTCCCAGACCACTGCGGGACTGTGCAGCTGGGGGGCCTCTCGAGCGCCCCGGCTGCCCCCACCCTGGTCCTAGCCAGCCCCGGGCCTCCTTGCTCTCGCCAAGCCCTCTTGGGGGCTCATCAGCGAGAAAGGGAGGGGGAGGAGAGAAGAGGGGGATGCATGCCTGACTCAGAAGGGGTGACTCAGCCTCAGTGGGCCTCCCATCCCACCGGAGCCGGATCCCCTCACCACCCCTGCAGCACAGCGACAGGGCAGAACCCGCCTAGGACTCGGCGTCCTCCCCCACCGGGAGGAGGTATTACAACTGTCTCCTGGGAATCCTCTGTGCCTCTGAGTGTGTCCAGAGGGTGTCTATGTGTACATTTGTCCACATGCGCCTTGGTGACAATGACAGTAAGTGTAACAGTGAGAGCCCAGGGACCTATTGGGGATGGGGCCTGTGTACAGGCGCACTTGCTGTATGTGTCTGAGCACAGGCTGAGTGTGCACCTGAGCTCCAGGAAAGGGCAGGGGCTGGCCAAGCAGCTTGTGGCAGAGATCATGGCTCAAAACCAAGGTAAGCCATGCTCCTCCCCTCCAGGAGCACTGTTACCCACTAAAAAAACCAGTCCAACCACTGCAGCACCTCCATCTCACACAATCCGAAGGTGGGGACCTCAAGCCACAGAGGACTCTGGGAGGGAGAGGGCCTGGGTTCCAGTCCAGGTCTGCCACTGGCTCAGCAAGTACCCTTGGGCAAGTTGTTCCATGCTCTGGGCCTCATTTGCAAATGACGAAAGGGCTGGACGTTCCTATCTCTAGGGTCCCTAGTTCATGGCGAAGGCATAGAGAGAATGGTGGGTAACCGCAGCATGATCTCCAAAGATTTCTGTCCATGGGTCCACTGCAACCCATATGACCGCGAACCCCCAGTCACCACCCTCACCTCCAGGCATACACAACTATTCATTCATTCTTCACATCATTCCTAAGTACCTACCATGTGCTGGCCATAGTTCTTACCACAGAATCCACTGCCCTGGGAAGCACAGAGGCCCCAAGCTGGGAAGCAGCCTCGATGTGAGCTGAGCCCTCCATCCTTCCCTGATGCGATTCCCTCAGTATCAGCCTCACCAGTGGGCTCTCCATCTCTGCTTGTCACACACTATAGAGCCAGGCACCTCCCTCCCCCAACTCCTCCCTCCCAGTGTGCTGCTCCATCATGGTGACCTTCTACCCTGGGTCCTCATAGGCACTCTAGGGCCTCCAAAGAATGAGGCTATGCCCTCTCCTCAGCACCCTTTAGAGAACTCAAGATACAATTGCGTCCCTTTGTACCATGCCCAAAGCAAGCCTTCTCTTCTCCAACTTAAACCTCCTTCATCAGGTGTCTTTAGACAAAGCTTCCGGTGCCTTCACTCCCCCTGCTCACCAGGTTCAGCAGCGGATGAAGAGCAGAGAGCAGAATGAAGCCAGCTTCTCCCAGTCCTAGAGAACAGGCCCACCCTCCAGACAGAAGGTGGGAAGACAGACAAATCTGCCCAGGCCGACTGACAGAAGGACGAGTGTCCTGCTTGGCAGCCTTCTGTACAAATCCTGTCCTTTGCCTTTGGACTTCTCATCCCCAGGCCTTTCAAATTCACTTTTTCCCAGGAGCTCCCAAGGGAGTCTCACACAGGCCCCTGGGGCCGTGGCCTTGGGCAAGTCACTTTGCCACACAAGGTGCTCTGTTTGAGTTTAGCTCACCACACATTTATTTAAATGAATGAGTGAAAGGACCAATAAAACTCAGGAGTTATACCAGATGCATTTATTGTTTCAGATGCACAGCTGCTAAGAGATTCTTGACTGCCTGCCTTCAAGTATTTTGATTCCAAATAGGCTCAGTCTCCCCTGCTGGCTGAGCCTTCCCAATCGTGGGCTCCCGTGGGCAGGAGGCTCTGGGCTGCATGGCCAAGGCTCTCTCTGTTCCTCTTAGTTCAACTCTCCTTCCCTGGCCATCTCCCTTTCCTTCCTTCCCCCAGGCTGAAGCCCTCCCCACTCCTCCCCTGGGGCAGGGCCACTTTCCCACCCTCCTCAACCAGATGGAGCCTCTCACTTTCCCAGGAGAATCCAGGCTACACTCCAAAGACCGAGGCAGGATGTTCCCAGACATCGTTCTGCATTTATACCCAAAGGGCTCAATTCACTTCAGGTCATTGAGACCACACAGAAAATGAGGCTTCTGCTATTTTAATTATTTTGATTATTATTATTATTCACTAACATTTCTATTAGCACTTTCCAGTTTGCAAAATACTTTTGTGTGTCATCTGCACAGCATCTTGTGAGATAATATCATCCCTCATCTTTTTTTTTTTCTTTTTTGAGACGGAGTCTCGCTCTGTTGCCCAGGCTGGAGTGCAGTGGCGCGATCTCGGCTCACTGCAAGCTCCGCCTCTCGGGTTCACGCCATTCTCCTGCCTCAGCCTCCCGAGTAGCTGGGACTACAGGCGCCTGCCACCACCATGCCCAGCTAATTTTTTTTTGCATTTTTAGTAGAGATGGGGTTTCACCATGTTAGCCAGGATGGTCTCGATCTCCTGACCTCGTGATCCGCCCGCCTCGGCCTCCCAAAGTGCTGGGATTACAGGCGTGAGCCACCGCGCCCGGCCCCCATCTTATAAATAGGCAGGCTGAGGCTCAGAGTGGGAGTGACTTGCCCAAGGTTACGCTTACACAGTTACACTGGCTCCCTGGACTACATACTTTCCACTTTACCCAACAATAACCCTTTCCAGAAAAATCAGGCTGGAGGAAGCAGGAGAGACACTTAAGAATGTATGGCCCCCATAGGCATCAGTTGCAATTACTACTTGAGTTACTTGACTGTTTTCATTCCCCAGGCAGGGAAACTGAGGCACAGGGATAGGACTCAACCTAGGACCAAGTCTCATGGAGAAAGAAGGAAAGAGGAGCCCATCCAAAAAAGGGGTTCCTCAGTTCCTTAGCTGCAAATTCTGCTTCCAGCCCTAGCGCTACCATTTCTTTTTGTATTACTTAGGCAGGTTATTTGACATCTCTGAGCCTCAATTTTCTCACCTATAAAATGGGAGAATCCCTGCCCCATGTCTGTCACTGGGCTGCTGTGATGGGAGGTCAGCAGATGCTGGCAGAAGAGAAGGGACAGGACCCTTCATTCCCTCTCTGCTCTGTCTAGGAGGCAGGAGAAATTCTTTCCTCTTAAATTTTAACTGGATGGAACTTAATGGTGCAAAAGTCCAGGATACAGGAAAGCCAGGAGGAGAACGGAAGTGATTCGCTCCACTGGCTGGGAAAGCAAGGGACACAGAGTCAGCCACAGACCCCCAAGGTCACTGCGGGGCAGAGATTCAACCAAACACTTCAGGCAGGGCCCCTCCTATCTCCCTTTTATCTTTCAAAGGAGGAAACCAAGGTTCTAAGCAAAGCAGTGACTTGCCAAGGTCACCCACAAGTAGTCAGTGGTCTCCTGACTCCCAGCCACCAGGGCCCTTGACTACTGGGCAAGCAGGGTGGGGTGGGGAGCACTCCCAGCCCAAGGACTTAATCTTTCATTCAGCAAGCAGTAATGCTCACACCAAGCCAGGCCCTGGACACTGGGGAAGGCTGGAGGAATTGAATACAGCCTCTGCCCTTGAATTCACAATCAATCTAGTGGAGGCACGTACCCCAGCACATCAGAGGATACTAGAAGGTGAAGCACCACCATTTTCTGAGCACTTCCTCTGTGCCTGGCACTGGACACACATTCATTTGTTTAATCCTCAAAGCAATTCTCTGGCACTGAAATTATTAATCCCTTTCACAGCTGAAGTAACTGAGGCTCAGAAGGGTTAGCGACCCCAAAGTTCATCCAGCTAATAAATGGCAGGGTCGGAATATGACTGACAGGTATGTCTGGTGCCAAACTCTGAGCTTCAACCCTTATAAACTCCCTGTTTTTAGGTCTGTGCTAACCAATATGGTAGCTACTAGCCATGGCTAGTTGCTATGGAGCACTTGAAATGTGGCTCGTTCAAATAAAAATGTGCTGTAAATATAAAAATCAGATTTTGAAGATTTCATACCAAAAAGAATGTAATATGTCTCGGGCATGGCTCACACCTGTAATCCCAGCACTTTGGGAGGCCGAGGTGGGCGGATTACCTGAGGTCAGGAGTTCGAGACCAGCCTGGCCAACATGGTAAAACCCCATCTCTACTAAAAATACAAAAATTAGCCGGGCATGGTGGCATGTGCCTATAATCCCAGCTACTCCAGAGGCTGAGGCAGGAGAATAATTGCTTGAACCCAAGAGGCGGAAGTTGTAGTAAGCTGAGATCGTGCTATTGCACTCCAGCCTGGGGGACAAGAGCGAAACTCCGTCTCAAAAAAAAAAAAAACAAAAAAACCTTATGAATGTATTGGGTTAAATAAAACAAATCATTTGAATAATTACATCTGTTTCTTTTGACTTTTTTAAAAAATGTGGCTACTAGAAAATTTAAAATTGCGTGTGGCTTGCACGTGTGGCTCACATTATATTTCTTTTGGTCAGTACAGGTTTAGATACTCTGGGGTCCTAACTCAGCCCATAGGGATCAGAAAAGGCTTCCTGGAGGAGAAGACACTAAGCCAAGCTGGGTTAAAGGTGAGGTCATGGGGAGGAGGGTGTTCCAGGACAAGAGAGCTGGAGGGCAGCTGGCTCCTGCCCGGGAGGGCAGCCGGGCCCAGTGACAGCCCCAGGCCACTGGGAGCTGGGCCAGAGGGAGGGAGCTAGCGGAGCCAAACTTAACAGAGCAGCATGACCCACCATTCTGGGAAGTGCTGCCTGGCAGGCTGTTTCACTGAGGTTGGCACTCTGCAGAGGGCACCACAGGGCAGCTGTGTCTGGGTGGAGGAAGTAGGCAGGGTGGACAGGTGGCAGTGCCCACCTTGCAGGGACCTCCCCCCTCCAGCTGCCCCCTACTTCCTCTTCTCCATCTTCTCTAAGAAGCCTCTCAAAGCACTGCAGTTCCCAGAGACCTTACCCTTCCCTGTAACCTTCCATCCAGCCCAGACCGTGGGAACCACACCCTCCTGCGTTAAGCCTTATTCTAGTGTGGAATGATGAGGATGCCTGCAAACTGCATAGCAGGTCACAGTATACAAAGCACTTTTCCATACGTATCTAGTGTAGTGTTGTTGAACAGCCTAAGGGCAATGTTCACCTCTGGCAAAGGGGCTGGGGCAGGGATGGGGGACATTTATTAGCACAGGAGCTGCATGACCTTGAGCAAGGCCTTAGCCTCTCTGAGCCTCAGTTGCCCCATCTGTACAATGGGGATAATATCAGCACCGTCTTCCAGAGCTATGAGAATGACATGCAAGAATGCCCACAAAGGCTCTGTTTGGTGCTGGCATGCTCCAAGCTCCCTTCTGCACCTCAGATGGACCCCACTAGGGTGCCCCTCAGTACCCTCAGTGTCTCCAAAGCCTGCCCATTCTGAAGGTTGCCTCCCTTCCAGAAAGCCTGGCCCCATCTCCGCCCCGCATGCTCCCCCAGCCAGTTTCTTCTTCTCTGCCTACTGGACCCTCATCTCATCCTTGCCTCTACTTTTGAATTTGGGGCTCCGTTGTCATGAGGCTCTCCAACGTCTCCAGTAAGACTGTCATTTCTCAAAGCTGGGAACCTCAGCTCTGGTCCATGCCCCTCTTCCTCTTCTATACCCACAGCCAAGCCCCCTGTACATGTCTGGGCATCCCAGAGGCTCTCACAGACCGCTCCAGTGGCTTGGACAACTGATTGCCATCTTTGGCTAAAAACAATGCTGGTCTCCACAGAGCACAGTAAGAGGATCTGGTCTGGCTCTGCTTCCTCAATGGAAGAAGCTTCAGTGGCTCCTCATTCTCTGATGAAGCAACTCAAATACCTCAGCCCGACTCTCAAGACCTTCCACAGCCTGGTCTCACCTGGCTCTTCAGCCTCATTCTCAGATTCCATGTGATGAGCTTTGTCAAACTGACTGGTTCCAGGTCCCCAGGGCACAGTGGCTGTGCCCTCTTCTCTGCCTGGGAGACCCTCTTCCCATTTCCCATAGTTATTCTTCTAGGCATTCTCCAGGAAGTCGTTCCTGAACCCTTCCTCTTTGCACCAACTCCTCTGGCTAGAAATAACCTCTTGGCCTCTCTGTCTCCGTCCTGCCACCCTCAAGTTCAGGGTCATGTGACCTGTCCAAGGGTTTTAAACTTCCATTGCACTATGAGCTTTAGGATAATGGCCACTTTTCATCATACTCCCTTCCCTCCGCCCACACACACCCCTGAAGGCCCACATCAGTGCCCAGTTCACAATATGTGCATAGTATGTGTTGGCCATCTTCACACCGAAAGCCAGAGGCCAGGGAGCAAGTAGGAGTCAGGAGTCCACCCAGGATGCCAGGACACTCCTGAGGCTGAGTTCTGCCTTATCTCCACCTCGGCTATGTTTCTTAATAGGTCCCCATGCTTCCAGCTGCTTCTTGGGAAATCAGCCCCTCTAGGAGGTCTGGGAGCCACATTCCTGAGGCCAGAACATGAAAAATCTGGCCATGTACCCACTAGATACAGATGTCCACCCAGCCTCCCGTCGGGTGCCTGAAGTGTCAGCTGAGGTTTGCATCATCACAGCATCTCTAATTCCTTGCAGTCAGAAGAGAGCTGGAGAGTATCATACAGAGGCTGGGAGCAGTGAGAGGCAACAGGAGAAAAGCTGTGTGTGTGTCCCTGGTCCCAGGTGCCAGAAGGTGCTGCAGCATCACCATCAATTAACATCGCCATTGCAGAGAGCATCTGAGTCCCCACTTATGTGCTGGCACTGTGCCTAGCAACTTGCCTATATTTTCAATTTTAAATCTCCTACTTCCCTGTAAGGCAGACATTATAGATCCACCTTGATTTTACAGGGGAGGAAACTGAAGTTAAATCACTCATCCAAGGTCACACTGCTAGTAGGTGCAGGGGCCCAGGATTCAACCCCAGGCATGCCTGACTCCAAGGCCTGTGTTTGTTCTATCATTAATCCTACACACATTGGGCTTCACACAGGTTTATTCTGGAGATACTGACATATTCTGTTCATGTCTGGGGGGTAGTTACACAAGTATGTGTAAACTTATGATCTGTGCACTTTTCTGTGTTTATGTTATAACATCAATAAAGTTTCCTTTTTTTAATGTTTTTGTCCCAGAGATGAATATATGCTAGAGATTTTCAGGATGTAAAATACTCTTAGGATTAGAGTCTAAAGCCAGAAAGCTGTTTCTATCTTTTTTTCCTCTGTTTTGTTGTTGCTGTTATTATTGTTTTGAGACAGGGTCTCACTCTGTCGCCCATGCTGGAGTGCAGTGGTGTGATCATGGTTCACTGCAGCCTCAACTTCCCCGGGCTGAGGTAATCCTCCTACCTCAGCCCCCTAAGTAGCTGGGACTACAGGTGTACACCACCATGCACTGCTAATTTTTATATTTTTTGTAGAGATAGGGTTTTGCCATGTTGCCTAGGCTGGTCTCAAACTCCTGAGCTCAAGTGTTCTACTCACCTTGGCCTCCCACAGTGCTGGGATAACAGGCATGACCCACTGCACCTGACCTCCTTTTTTTTTTTTTCTTTTCAACAGTTTTTCCATTTAAAACAGGGACTGTTATGAAGACCTCATAACCCCCCAAGCCAGACCCAGCAGAATTTCACCTGCTGTCTGCTGTCAGATCACAAACATTTCCTTGCACTCACATTCCCAGCCCAGGTGCCCACTCCACCCAGCCAGCACTTCACTTCCAGAAGCTGGCACTGCTCTGCTGTCTTTTCAGTCCTCTCTTCATCCATCCATCTGCAGGGACCAGACGGCTAGACCAGCCGCTGCATCACTGGTTAATCCGCAACTTCACAAGGCAGCCAGGCAGTGACGCCTGAATGTTCCCATCTCCCCACACTAGGCCAGGCTGGGCAGAGAAGTCGTCTGTGTATGTAAACACAGCCTTCTGCTTAGGCAGCTCCTGCCGGACTCCCCTCGCCAACTGGGCCCTCTGTGGCTTTTATCTCCCTGCCTAAAATAACCATTGGCTTCAGTGGTTCTCTGGGCATGAATCAGACTCTCGTAGAAGCCTGTGAGCAGCTTGAGGACAGGGAAGTTATGGTACCGATCTCTGTATCCCCAGTGTGCCAGTACAAAGGTTTGTGGGATTTGTCGAACTCCTCTGTGTACCTGGAGGGACCTACAGTAGGAAGCAAGAGCTCTCTACAGAAAACAGTCACATCCTCCAAAAGCTCACAGTTTAGTAAGAGAAAGTACCCACACCAGCCAACTGCAATGTAAAACAGAAAGCACTAAAGGTTGTAAGAAGAGGACAGAGTGTTGGGGAGTTCAGAGGAGAAAAAGATTAGAGAGCAGCAGGTGTCAAAGGAGGTTTCGAGGAAGAGGTCATATGTGGGTTGGGCATTAAAGGCAGGGCAGAAGGACAATGTAGACTGAGGAGAGAGCATAACACAAGCCATAGTGCTGGGAATTACAAGGTAGAATCAGGAAACGCTGCATATGACCTGGAGCCTGGGATACTGAGGGTTGAGGCTATCCCTGAGGAGATAGAAAGGAGCTGGTGCCAAGCAGAGCCTTGAATGACAAACCAAGTGCACTGCACTGTCTAGCAACTGGCCAAATGTGATTATTTAAATTTAAATTTAATGGAACAAAATGTAAAACTCATAGCCACATGTGGTTAGTGGTTACCATACTGGACGGTGCAGATGTAGAACATTTCATCACTACAGACATTTCTAGTGGACAGCAATGGTGGATAGTGTCAGAGGATCCAGAGAGCTTTGAGCAGAGGCATAATTAGAGCTGGGCTTTAGGAAAATTAATTTGCTCCTGGTGAAGACTCAGTGACCGGAGTGAAGGAGAAGCCTGGAACCACAGTGGGACATTGCAATAATCCAGGTGAGATCAGTCACCACTTCTTTTCCCTCTGTTCATCTCTTCCTATCAGGAAACAGGGATGATTCTAAAGTGTGGTCCCTGGAACACCAGCAATATCTGGGAACTCTTTTTTTTTTTTTTTTTTTGAGATGGAGTCTCCCTCTGTCGCCCAGGCTGGAGTGCAGTGGTGTGATCGCAATCTCAGCTCACTGCAACCTTCACCTCCCAGGTTCAAGCAATTCTCCGCCTCAGCCTCCCAAGTAGCTGGGATTACAGGCACCCACCACCACAACCGGCTAATTTTTTTGTATTTTTAGTAGAGACGGGGGTTTCATCATCTTGTCCAGGCTGGTCTTGAACTCCTGACCTCGTGATCCACCGCACCCAGCCTTATCTGGGAACTCTTAAGTACACAAATCCTCAGGCCCCACACAGACCTACTGAGTCAGAAACTAGGAGGTTTGGAACAGCAACAGTGCTTTCATCAGCCCTCCTGTGATTCTAACGCACACTGGAGTTTCAGGTCTGCCAGCATAGAGGCTAGGAGCCTACACTTTGGCTCCAGAGTGATGTATACTCTGGAGTCAGAGGACCTGACTTCATATCCTGGCTCAGTTGTTTCCTAGATGTGCTTAATCTATTTGTGCCTCAGTTTCCTTATAATAACCATATGGAGTTATTATAAGGATTAATGGAGCTAATACATGTAAATATCTTAGAAGAGTGTCTAACTTATAGTAAGTATTCAATAAATGTTACTTATCAGTCCTATTATTCACTCCTATGGCAGTTTAATTCCTCCCATATACAATGAGACAGCATCTGTCTCTTGCCACTAGCTATGACCTCCTGCCTTTCCATCATATAATATTCCCAGGCCCACTCAGCCATTCTATTTCCTGTCCTCCAGGACCCGAGGGTCAGTTCCTTTCCCACAAGGCAGAGGCACTTCCTGTATCAGAGAGTGTCCCACCAGGATAAGAATGTCAACAGACAGATTTAACTGTCCTGGGCAAAGATGCCCTCTAAAGGAATGAGTCAGGAGATGCCCCATGGGTTTTCCCCTGGGAGTGGGAAGGTCTGGAGGTGAGGGCTCAGCTGCCCACTGTGATTGAAAGCCTCAAGCCTGTTCAGTTGGATCCATGCCAGCCAAGAGGGTATGGAAAATGGTACTGTGATCCTGCCTACTGTAGGTAGCTAGACCCTGGCTCAAGGAACCAGGCAGGGGAGGGTGGCGTCCTGTGTGGCAGAGGGCGCTGGGCTGGGCATCAAGAAACCTTGATTTGACCTTTGCTGTGAGATCTTGGGCAGTCATTTTCCTCTCTGAATTCAATTTCCTTACCTGTAATATGAGGGGGTTGGACTAGCGCAGTTCTAAACCTTTTAGGGGGCTGGGCGCAGTGGCTGACGCCTGTAATTCTTACACTCTGGGAGGCCGAGGCGGGCAGATCACCTGAGGTCAGGAGTTTGAGACTAGCCTGGCCAACATGGTGAAACCCCATCTCTACTAAAAATACAAAAATTAGCCAGGGATGGTGGCGTGCGCCTGTAGTCCCAGCTACTTGGGAGGCTGAGGCAGGAGAATCACTTGAACCCGGGAGGCAGAGGTTGCAGTGAGCCAAAATCGCGCCACTGCACTCCAGCCTGGGCAACAGAGCGAGACACTGTCTCAAAAAAAAGAAAAAAGAAAAAAAAAGAAAAAGAAAAAGAAAACCTTTTATCGGTCCTGATTTCCTTTGAAAATGCAATGAAAACTGCAGAGCTTCTCCTAGAAAAATGTACATGGGTATGCACCTGCACACACATACACACACACAAAGTCACACTCACACACACACATACCTACCTTTATCATCTTTCAGGTATCAAGAGAGCTCATGAAGCCCATGCATAGATCACCCCCTGAGTGATAGATAGATAATCCCCTTGGTTAAGACTTGGGCTAGATGATCTCTAATCAGCCACGATAAGAAATTAGCTGTATATGTGTGTATTTTGTATTTTGTATCTAATTTAAAGGAACCCTACATTAAAGACTTCACTAAGACGATGAGCTTTTATGTGGGCTTTTGTGGGACATAGATGTTGATTGGCTAAATGCTGTGCTTCCCCAGAGCCTGCCTCACCCTTGTCATATTGCCTCTGAAGTCACCCTCTCCATTCCACTCTCTCTGCCCTTTTTCAGCAGGGAGTGAGCACACAGTCCTGAAAAATACTGCTACCCCCACTAGCTGTCTCTGTCCCCAGCTATGAGAGGGTAGAAAAGAGCGAGCCTGGTCTGCCTCTCATACTCCCACCCCAAAGCCCTGGCTCAGAGGTCAACCAATCAAGAGGCCCCCAGATGGCACCTCTATCCCCAACACACACACACACACACACACACACACACACACACACACACACAAACACACCCTCCCTCACATAGCCACAACCACAGGACTGCACCTCCAGACACCTGGCGGTGCGGTCACTCGGAACCGGCAGGAGTTATTTTTAGAGGCCAAGTGACAGGATGGTGAGAGCAGTTCCACTCTGTCAGAGTTACTGCTGCCACCACCAGCTCTGATGAATCACTCTCCACTACGTGAATGGACAAGTCTGTCAGCATGGCCACGGAGGCCATGCCAGCTTCTAGAATGAATGTCTTGGATTGGTGACTACGCTGATCACACCAGGCTGAGCCCAGGATCACACCAGGGACAAGACTGCCAGGCCTGAGCCAGTGCAGCCAACCCAGCCCAACTGCCCAGCACAGCCTCCCATAACCAATACAGTCGGGCCAACACAGCACAGCACAGCACAGCCCGGGCAGGTAAGCCCCTTCAACACAGTCCAACCCAGCCCCATCAGGCCACCCAGGGGCCTCTCTTTGCAAAGTCCTTTTAGAGTGGCTATTGATGCCTCCCTCCGCCCAATCCGTGCAAGTGAGCCTCCCACCCACTAAGCTACCGCTGCCGGGTTATTAAGATAATGAGCCGCCAATAAATTGGGCAGATTCAGACAGTGTCAATGCAGCTATCAACTGGTTTCATCTTTCATCGTTGAAAAAGTACATGATAAGCCTTAAAAGTGTGCATACCGTTTAACGCAGAAATTCCTTTTTTAGGAATGGATCCTTAGGGAACAATGAATGACACAAAGATGTGGCTATAAGAACATTTGTCTAAGCACTGTATACAGGAGTAAAGTAGAGCATTGGAGTTAATATATATGTCCAATAATAGTGGCTACGTTATAAAAATAGTGATACATACATATGCTGAAATACTACGCAGCCACACAAAATAATGTTGTGGATCTATATGTGGCTATATAATCATGTTCTTAACACAATACAGGTAAAAAAGCAGAGACAAAATGGTACGTAACAAATGATCCAATTTCTACAAAATACGTTTTTTGTTCTTTTTTCTTTTCTTTTTTTTTTTTTTTGAGATGGAGTTTTTGCTCTATTGCCCAGGCTGAAGTGCAGTGGCATGATCTCGGCTCACTGCAACCTCCGCCTCCTGGGTTCAAGCAATTCTCCCACCTCAGCCTCCCGAGTAATTGGGATTACAGGTGCCCCGCCACCACGCCTGGTTAATTTTTGTATTTTTAGAAGAGACAGGGTTTCACCATGTTGGCCAGGCTGGTCTCGAACTCCTGACCTCAAGTGATCTGTCCACGTCAGCCTCCCAAAGTGCTGGGATTATAGGCGTGAGCCACCGTGCCTGGCCCCAATTTCTATAAAATATGTATGTATGTGTACATGCCTAGAAAAAAGCAAACAGGAAATATTTTAAAACATGTTACCAGACGTTGTTTTATGATAGTGGAATTATTTCTTTTGTGTACATTTGGGTCTTGTTTTGTTGCTTACTTTCTGGTATATATGTGTAAACATATTTATATAAGAAAGGTCTGTTACCTTCACCTCTCTCAAAGCTTCTGGCCTGAACCATTGAAGGTCCCTCCTAGAATCTCACTAGAGCCCCCACCTTTCAGCAACCACAGCCCCCCTTGGGCTGCCTCTCTGGCTTTGAACTTTGCTGCCCTCTTCAGTTGTTCCCTGGAGTTTCACTAATGGGGCCCATCTAGCCAATTCCCACAGTCTCCTGACACAGGCCCTCACAGCGGAAGTACCCTCCAGGGCTCCCTATTCATGCATAGAAACCTAACAGAGTCCCATTCCCTCATCTGACAGTAAAAGAAAAAAAAAATAATAAAGATGACAGTCGTAGTGAACCTTCACATTTCTACTTTGTCTTCCTTTTTACAGAGCACTTTATTATACATGTTTCACTTAGCCCTCCCATTGGTGAGAAAACTGAGGGCCAGCAAGTACAGCAGCACAACACTTGCCAAAGGTCATAGAGTGAATCAGGATTCACATGCAGGTCTGATATTGACAGATAAGGAGGTAAATGGAAGAAATGAACACGTAATCCTGAGCCCACAGTCTATGAAAGGGGCCATATTCTACAAAGACCCTCCTCCTGCCCCCAGCGCCTTCTCCCAGCTGCTGTCCCTTGCCCAGAATCCCACAAAACCCCATCTGGGGCCACATGCCCTACATCTACTCATCAGCCCATCATTCCCTCCCAGCTTTGGAAACAGGCTCTTGCTGCCTCCTCGGAAATCTTAGCAACGAGACATCCTGCAGCACCACCCTCTCCACCTGTGGGCTCTTCCATCTTGGGCCTGTCTCATTAGGGGAGGGGGTGGCTAGTCGGGCTCTCTCATGGGGGTGGGGGCTGTGACACCCACACACGGCAGGGGCAGGGGAAGAGAGGAGATGAAATCAGCCTGGATGGCCCTCACTCTGGGCCTCCTCTTGCACTATTCATTTCTTGGGCTTCTGATTATCTGCTGACTGGGACAAAAAAAGAAGCCAAATCCTAGGGCATGAATTCTAGTCCATTCCAATTTTATTTTTGCATTTCTGAAATACACGGATTCTTCCAACCAGAATATTAATATTCAAAATAGCAATAATAAAAGTATTAGCAACAAAACAGCTACTTTATTCAGTGCTTACAACCACCCTTGAGAAGTCATATCCCCACTTTACAGATGAGAAAACTGAGACTCAGCTTGCCTGAAGATACCTAGCTAATAAATGGAAAAACAATTGTGTCTGACATCCAAGTGTATACTTTGACTACCATGTCTCTTAGAAAGCACTTAATCCTGGTTGGGTGCGGTGGCTCATGCCTGTAATCCCAGCACTTTGGGAGGCCAAGGTGGTTGGATCACTTGAGGCCAGGAGTTCAAGACCAGCACGGCCAACATGGCGAAACCTCATCCCTACTAAAAAAAAAAAAAAAAAAACATACAAAAAGTAGCCAGGTGTGGTGGCGCGCACCTGTAGTCCCTGCTACTCAGGAGGCTGAGGCACAAGAATCACTTGAATCTGGGAAGCAGAGGTTGCAGTGAGCAGAGATTGCGCTTCTGCACTCCAGCCTGGGTGACAGAGCGAGACTCTGTCTCAAAAACAAACAAACAAACAACAACAACAAAAAAAAACCACCTAGGCCGGGCACGGTGGCTCATGCCTGCAATCCCAGCACTTTGGGAGGCCAAGGTGGGCGGATCACCTGAGGTCGGGAGTTCGAGACCAGCTGACCAACATGGAGAAACTCCATCTCTACTAAAAATACAAAATTAGCCAGGCATGGTGGCACATGCCTGTAATCTCAGCTACTCAGGAGGTTGAGGCAAGAGAATCGCTTGAACCCAGGAGGCAGAGGTTGCGGTGAGCCCAGATCGTACCATTGCACTCCAGCCTGGGCAACAAGAGTGAAACTCCGTCTTAAAAAAAATAAATAAATAATAATAAGAAGAAAGCACTTAATCCTATCCCTTTACTGCACAGATGGGGAAACTGAGACCCAGAGAGGGGAAGGGCTTTGTAATCAGTCAGCATCTATTTATTTACTGAGCAACAACTAGGTCTGAAGCGCTGAGCTAGTGCTGTGAATGAGGAAAAATTTAAACTTCTGTGTTATTGGATAGACAAGCTGTGACTCTATGTATTAATCATTGCTAAACCTAGGCAATGGGTTCACAGAAGTGCATTACACTATACTCTTTATTTTTATGTATGTTTGAAATTTTGCATAACAAAAAAATTTTTTTTAAAGGATGACAGAAAGATAACTGACTATCATGCAAACCGTAAGTCTGGCTTGAACTTATAAAACTCGAAACAAATTTAGGAATATTTTTGCTCTGATAGTTTTGAAAATCAGAAAAAGGCAATTGTACTGGAATCTACTTCATAGCCTTTCTTTTCCCACCTTTCTGTAAAATTTTCTGCCTCTGTTGTTGCTAGGAAATCAGTGAGCCAAGAGAATCCTCGTTGGCCTAGCCGGGCCGTCTCCCTTCCCACACTGCCTCTCTGGGGGTACAGCGTCCCTGTACCCAGGAAGCTGGCCCTCTTGGGCCGGCTTTCTGTGGATCCACAAGGCAATCACCACAAGAGGCTGAATAAGAGCCTGTCAGTCACTGGGAGACAGGCAGCTATAAATCCAGAGGACCATGATTAGAAAGCAAATTACAGGCCTCCCGCTCTAAGTTTCCAACTCACAAAACTTCTTGGCAGTCAAAGGGCCTTTACTTAAGTTGTTCAAAGTTTCCAGAGAGAGTGAACACACACAAGGCAAGAGAGAAAAAAAAAATGGGACACAACAGAGGCAGAAAATTCTATAGACAGGTGGAGAGAGAGGCCACTGGGAGGCAGCATGTCACAATAGTTAAAAGCAAGGCTTTGGCGGCAGGTCAAAGCTCCAGTGCATGTTCCAAAGCTTCCTAGCTGTGAGACTTTGAGCAAATAACTTAACCTCTCTGAGTCTTTATTTTCTCAGCTACAAACTGGGGATAATTCTTCCTACTACTCAGAGTGGACGCAGGGATTGAGTGAGGCAATATATGTCAAATCATTAACCCAGTTCCTGGCACATATTAAGCATGCAATAAATAGTGGCTTTAAAAAATGTGCTGGCTGGATGTGGTGGCTCATGCCTGTGATCCCAGCACTTTGGGAGGCTGAGGCGGGCAGATCACCTGAGGCTGGGAGTCGAGACCAGCCTGGCCAACATGGTGAAACCCTGTCTCTACTAAAAATGCAAAAATTAGCGGGCGGGGTGGAGAAGCTGTAATCCCAGCTACTCGGGAGGCTGAGGCAGGAGAACTGCTTGAACCTGGGAGGCAGAGGCTGCAGTGAGCCTGAGATCGTGCCACTGCACTCCAGCCTGGCTGACAGAGCGAGACTCTTGTCTCAAAAAAAAAAAAAAAAAAAGTGCTAACCATACAACCCAGCAATTCCACTTCTGAGGCTATATCCAAAATAATTGAAAGCAAGGTGTCAAAGAGATCTCTGTACAGCCAAGGCCATAGCAGCATTATTCACATAGCCAAGAGGTGGAAGCAACAAGTGTCCATCGACAGATGAGTGGATAAACAAAATGTTGTACATATATACAATGGAATATTATTCAGCTTTAGAAAGGAAGGGAATTCTGATACATATGACAACATGGGTGAACTTGAGGACATTATACTAAGTAACAAAAGCCAGTCACAAAAAGACAAACACTGTATGATTCCACTTATCTGAGGTATCTAGTCCAATTTGCAGTTACAGAAAGGAGAATGGCAGCTGCCACAGGTTGGGGGAGGAGGAAATGGGAGTTATTGTTTAATGGATATAGTTTCACTTTTTTCATATTAAAAAATTTGGCTGGGCATGGTGGCTCATGCCTGCAATCCCAGCACTTTGGGAGGCCGAGGCGGGCAGATCACCTGAGGTCAGGAGTTTGTGACCAGCCTGGCCAAGATGGAGAAAACTCATCTTTACTAAAAATACAAAATCAGACGGGCACGGTGGTGCATGCCTGTAATCCCAGCTACTCAGGAGGCTGAGGCAGAAGAATCGCTTGAACCCAGGAGGCGGAGATTGCCGTGAGCCAAGATCGCGCCATTGCACTCCAGCCTGGGCAACAAAAGCGGAACTCAGTCTCAAAACATAAAAAAAGTATTCAGGCTGGGTGCGGTGACTCATGCCTATAATCTCAGCACTATGGGAGGCTGAGGCAGGAGGATAACTTGAACCCAGGAGTTTGAGACCAGCCTGGGCAACATAGTGAGACCCAATCTGTATCCAAAAAAAATTTTTTTTAATTAGCTGCCCCAGCGCAGTGGCTCATGCCTATAGTCCCAGCACTTTGGGAGGCTGAGGCATACGGATTACTTGAGGTCAGGAGTTTGAGACCAGCCTGGGCAACATGATGAAACCCTGTCTCTACAAAAAATAAAAAATTAGCCAGGTGTGATAGTGCATATGCCTGTAGTCCCAGCTACTTGGGAGGCTGAGGGGCGAATATCCCTTGAGCCCAGGAGGCAGAGGTTGCAGTGAACCGAGATTGAGCCACTGCACTCTAGCCTGGGCAACAGAGTGAAACCCTGTCTCAAAAAAAAAAAAAAAAGGAAAGGAAAGAAAAGGAAAAAAAGAAAAACTTAGCCAGGCATGGTGGCATGCATGTGTAGTCCCAGCTACTTGGGAGGATGAGATGGGAGGACCATTTGAGCCTGGGAGGTTGGGGCTGCAGTGATCGTGCCACTGCACTTCAGTCTAGGCAACAGAACAATACTCTGCCGTGGAAAAGTAAATTTTAAAAAATTAAAAAATTCAGGCTCACACCTGTAATCCCGTTACTTTGGGAGGCCAGGGCAGGAGGATTACTTGAAGCCAAGAGTTCAAGACCAGCCTGGGCAACAAAAGAAGAACCCCATTTTTACAAAAAAAAAAATTAGTCAGGTACCACGGTATGCACCTGTAGCCCCAGCTACTCAGGAGGCTGAGGCAGGTGGACTGCTGAAGTTCAGGAGTTCAAGGATGGAGTGAGCTATGATTGCACCTGTGTACTCAGGCCTAGGCAACAGAGCGAGACACCATCTCTAAAAAAAAAAAAAGAAAGAAAAAAGATTTAAAAGTTCTGAAGATGGTGGTAGTGATGGTGTTACACAATATGAACCTACCCAACACTACTGAAGTGTACACTTACTTAAAAATGGTTAAGATGGACCAGGCATGGTGACTCACACCTATAATCTCAGCACTGTGGGAGGCTGAGGCAGTTGGATCACTTGAGGCCAGGAGTTCCAGATCAGCCTGGGCAACACGGTGAAACCCTGTTTCTCCAAAAAAAAAAAAAAAAAAAAAACTTAGCCGGGCACAGTTGCATGTGCCTGTAGTCCCAGCTACTCAGGAGGCTGAGGCGGGAGGATCGCTTGAGCTTGGGAGGCAGAGGTTGCAGTGAGCCAAGGGCATGCCACTGCACTCCAGCCTGGGCAACAGAGAGAGACCCTCCCTCAAAAAACAAGTGGTCAGGGTGGTAAATTTTAGGTTCTGTATATTTTACCACAATTTTGAAAATTTTTTTGTAAGTTCTAGCAAGAAAACCAAACAAGAAAGTAAAAGGCCATGAGATGATGCCAAAGAAATAGGGGGAACTGAAAAAGTGAGACCACAGTAATAGGAAGGTTAATGATCCAAAGACGAAACACTCACCTCATATGCACGCCCTTCCTAAGCTGTCAAGTATAAAGGGAGGAAATTTTCTGGAGGGATTTATATTTCCAGGGTGTTCAGGACCCTACCTGCTACCCTCAATTCTGCCCCTACCGAGGGGTTGTCCTGATAATCACTGAACAGGCCTGTGGGAGAACCTACCTCACCCCTTCCCCTTTCCAGAATCCTCAAGGAAACAGTAAAGGATCGAAGTCTAGATGTGAAGGAAGTCTATCTTTACAACAACAGGCAGAGACAGCAACTTTCAGGCAGAAGAGCAGCTTGTGCAAAGGCCTAAGCTAAGAGCTATGCGTGGGAGACCTCCAGGGTGGCCAGAGCCTCAGATATGTAGAGGGAAGCAGGAAGGAGGCAGGGGCAAGAGGTGAAAGCCCACAGGCTAGACACTTGCACTTCCCATCATCTCAGTGACCTTTAAATCAATCCCAACTGGCAGGTATTAATATACCCATTTTATGGAGAGAGAAACGGAAATCCAGACAGATAAAGTAACTTGCCCAAGGAAACACAGATGGTGAGCAGAGGGGGGATTCCAAACCCGCTGACTCCTGACCTCATGCTTATTGCTTCGGCCCATGTGGTATCAGTCCCTAAGGCCAAGACCGTGGGCTCTGGAGGCAGAATCCCAAATCCCCCTCTATCCCTCACTGATTGTGTGATCTGAAGGAAAGTACTTAACCTTTTGAGTCTCAGTTTCTTCAACTGTACAATGGGAATGACCATATACATACCTCATATGGTTTTAAGAGAAGTAAACGTAATATTTCAAGGAAAGTGGGTTGCAGGCCGTGATAATAGACAATACAAAGTAGGCTGGGTGCAGTGGCTCACGCCTGTAATCCCAGCACTTTGGGAGGCCGAGGTGGTCGGGTCACTTGAGGCCAGGAGTTTGAGACCATCCTGACCAACATGCAAAACCCTGTCTCTACTAAAAATACAAAAGTTAGCCAGATGTGGTCGCATGCACCTGTAATCCCAGCTACTCGGGAGGCTGAGGCAGGATAATCACTTGAACCCAGGAGGTGGAGGTTGCATGCAGTGGGCCGTGATCAAGCCACTGCACTCTAGCCTGGGCAACAGAGTGGGACCCTGGTTCAAAAAAAAAAAAAAAAAAAAAAAAAGACAGAGAAAACACAAAATAGTGTTCTTATTTATTATGCTTAGGCACCCTCACAGACTCCCACAGACAGACGTGCAGCCATTGCTTCTGCCTACCTGAGACCAATGCAGCCTTTGGAGCAAGGTAGATGACAGACCTGGACCCCTGAGGAGCTAATAGCCCAGGCTGGGCAGTAACCTTGCAGGAACAGCCTGGAAACTACCTCCTCCACTCTTTATTCTCAACTCCATGGCCTGGGTAAGTTGTTCTGCAAATGTTCAGTGGGACACAGTCCAAGCAATCTCTATTCTCGTGGGAATAAATGTAATAGAAAAAACTAGGGCTGCCAACTCACCCACCCTTTGGTCTCCACCATGAGCTGGTCTCCTGCCCCACAGTACCTTCTGGGACCAGATGGCCTAGAATGTCAAACCATCAATACCAGGAAGGCCTTTGGATACCATCGAATCCCACCCCTCGTGTACATGGGAACACTGAGGCCTAGGGATTAGTGGGGATCTGCTTAAGTTCACAGCGTGAGCCAGTGGCAAAGCTAGAACACAACCTCGGGCTACCAACTCTCTGGTCTACTGGAGTTTCCAATTTATTTCACCATCGCTATTTCTTGTTGTGTCAAGCTTAAGTTTACATATTTGAAGTTCAAGAGTATAATCACCCCTGGAAGCCTAATTCTGGGAGGTGGCAAGAACTTTGGAGACAGACAGACCTGGGTTCAAATCCCAGCCCCGCCACTTCCTAGCTGAGTGGCCCTTCATTTATTTATACAGTAGAAAAAGACAATGGAGGCAGAGGCTAAGAGCATAGGCTACAGTCCTACCTCTGCCATTTCATGACAGGTGAGTCACTTTATCAACTGCTGGTTCAGCTTCCTCTTCCGTAAAACCTACCTCACCTAGTCATCCAAGTATAGAATGAGAAAAATATAAATGAAGAATCAGGTACAAGGTTTGCTATCAAGTAATGATGGATATTATTGTTACTTTTTTTTTTTTTTTTTTGACAGGGTCTCACTCTGTTGCCCAGGCTGGAATGCAGTGGCGTGATCTCGGCTCACTGCAAGCCTCAACCTCCTAGGCTCAAGCGATCCTCCCGCCTCAGCCTCCTGAGTAGTTGGGACCACAGAGGCGCATGCCACCACGCCCAGGTAATTTTTGTATTTTTTGTAGAGACAGGGTTTGCATATTGCCCAGGCTGGTCTCAAACTCGTGAGCTCAAGCTATACGCCTGCATCGGCCTCCCAAAGTGCTGGGATTATAGGCATGAGCCACTGTGCCCAGCTACTATTAATATTATCTTTAATGCTATGATTGGGGTATGTTTTCAGCAGGTAGCAAGAAGGTACCTCTGTCTCAAAGCTCTAGTCTTCCCATTTCTCCTCATGGAATCATGGAGTGTTAAGCTGGCCAGGGCCCTGTATCACAGACAACAGATCTGAGATCCAGAGGGAAATGGCATGCTCAAGGTCAGGGAGCAAGTTAATGAGAGGGGTGAACTAGAACCCAGATCTCTTGAATCTACTGACTTAATTCCCTAAACACAAGCTCTTACTTTGTGCATGGGCTTGGTGGGAAGAAATGGTGGTCTTTTCAGACCCCAAATACCAAAGGGTAGTTGGATCTCAGCCAGAATGGAACTCATCTTGCCCTCATGGCAGTCCCAGGCCAGAAACAAGGCGGGGCTCAACGCTGGTGGACCAGGCCAACTGGGCTAACAGCCAGAGTGGAGCCAAAGGCACAGCTCGGGCCCTCTCACCAGCTACATAATAAAGTAATTATGGGATTAGGGATAAAATTAGTCACTTGTGTAATTATTTTTCTTAGAACAAGAGCAGAAAGGACCTTTTTCAAGAGTTGTTCCTTGGCCCTCCCAAGAGTATTCATGCAGAGACACAGATGAGTGCACACACCCACAAGCACGTGTACACACACAGCAGTGATGGTGGTGTGTGGAGCGGGTGCTGCTTGGCTTTCTGTGGCAGTGCCTCACAGTGGGTCCCACACCTACCAGGACTACCTCTGAAGGCCAGGGGTGACATTTCCCAATGTCTGCCTCACTGAACACATTTATCACACTATCACAGGTGCACTGCCTTCCTTCCGGGCCCCCCATCATACAGAATCTCTCATACCCCTCCCCGGCCACAGCATATCAGGCCTGGACCCCCAAGCCCTCCCTCCATCTTGGAGGCTAGTGGTACAATTCCAGCAGGACCTGGGGGTCCAGTAATCCAGAGAGATCTTTGCTACTGGCTGCTGTGGCAGGCATAATAATGCGCCCCCCCCCCCCGCCCACAAAGATGTCCATGTCTTCATCCCCAGAATCAGGTGAATATGTTACCTCACGTGGCAAAAGGGACCTTGCACAGGTGATTAGGTAAAGAGTTTTGAGATGGAGAATGGTCCTAGATTATCTGAATGGGCTCAATGTAACCACAGGGGTTCTTGTAAGTCAAAAGGGGATTTGGGGGAATCGGAGGAGATATGATGACGGAGGCAGAGGTGGGAGGGACCCAGCTACTAGAAGGGGCCATGAACCAAGGCATGTGGGTGGCCTGGAGAGCTGGAAAAGGCCAGGTGAGGATCCTCCCCTAGCAGCTCTGCCAACACCCTGACTTCGGCCCCATAAGGTCCATTTTCAGATTTTGACCTCTAGAAGTCTAGGGTCATCCATTTGTGTTGTTTTAAGTATATGGTCATTTGTTAGGGCAGCATTAGGAAACTGACACAGTCACCTAGGGAGGGGTCCTCAGAACTCACCTTTCCCTCCAGACTGAAACGCCCTCCTCAAGGGCTAGCCAGGGAGATTCCTTGGGGCCAGATGTCCCCTGGATATACCTCTGGGGAACAGGCCTGAGCTGGGGCCCCAAGCTCTAACCTAGAGAGATAACTTTGTGGGGGAAAGCACCCCAGAAAGAAGGTGACGGCTCTGGGAGGAAAGGGAGAGACCCCACCTTATAGATCCATCCAGGCCCTCCACCCCTCCCACATATTCTTGAACAGAGGGCCACCTACGCCATAAACCACACCATCCACAGCAGTAGCCTGGCATCAGGGAAAGAGAGCACTGGAGGCAGGAAGCCTGATTCTGGCCTCAGCTCTGCCCCTGCATCACTAGGTGGTGAGAGATCAGCCCCTTCCTCTCTCTAGGCCTGACCATTGTCATCCTGGCTTACCGTAGTATTTCAAGTGTCTTCCATGCTTTCATGCACAGAAAGCCTCACAGGGACCCTGTGAGGTAGCTCCCTGTCATGATGTTCACTTTACAGCTGAGGAAGTGGACACAAGGTGGTTAAGAGGGGAGGCTGGTTTGAACCCAGGCAGCCTGACACCACAGCCCTATTCTGCCTCCCGCCTTAGGATGAATGAATGCATGGACAGAGGACAGTTGGGAGCAGTCCCTACACACAAGGAACAGGCTCTTCAGACCTAAGAGAAATAAAAAACAGGCTGGGTGTGGTGGCTCACACCTGTAATCTCAGCACTTTGGGAGGCCAAGGTGGGTGGATCACCTGACGTCAGGAATTTGAGACTAGCCTGGCCAACATGGTGAAACCCCATCTTTACTAAAAATACAAAAATTAGCCAGGCGCGGTGGCTCATGCCTGAAATCCCAGCACTTTGGGAGGCCGAGGCGGGCGGATCACCAGAGGCCAGGAGTTCAAGACCAGCCTGACCAACATAGAGAAACCCCATCTCTACTAAAAATACAAAATTAGCTGGGCGTGGTGGCACATGCCTGTAACCCCAGCTACTCGGGAGGCTGAGGCAGGAGAATCACTTGAACCCAGGAGGCAGAGGCTGCAGTGAGCCAAGATTGAGCCATTGCACTCCAGCCTGGGCAACAAGAGCAAAATTCTGTCTCAAAAAAAAAAAAAAAAATTAGCCGGGTGTGGTGGCGGGCTCCTGTAATCCCAGCTACTCAGGAGGCTGAGACAGGAGAATCCCTTGAACCCAGAGGCAGAGGTTACAGTGAGCCGAGATCATGCCACTGTACTCCAGCCTGGGCAACAAGAGCAAAACTCTGTCTCGGGGAAAAAAAGAGAGAGAGAGAGAGAGAGAGAGAGAGAAATTTTTAAAAATCAAATAGAGAGAGAGAGAAAAATAAAAAACAGTTCCTGCCATTCACCCTGGATGCTGGGGGTTAAAGGTTGGCATAGCAGTTTGGCAAGTTTACTGAGAGCCTCTAAGGCAGCCACAGCCTTTTACCCAGCATTCTCTTCCTGGGTCTTCACCCCAAGAGACATCATCATCTGAAATACAGGAAGAACATTTTATGCAATGTTCATTGCACTGTTATTCATAATAGCAAAAACTAGAAACAGCCGGAATATCCATGAGCAGGAAAAGGGATGAGTTGATCGTGTATTTAATAGAATCCTCAGTAACGACACGGAAGGCAGCTTCCGATACAACATTAAGAGAAAAATGCAGGACAGTACTGATGATGCGGTAGAAATTATGACTGTGCAAGAAAGAGCAAAGGAAAACTGGTGAAAGGAAACACTCCAAGCTCCCAATCATATTCAGGAGTAATTTTTTTCTGCTTCCTGTTTTCCCAAATCTTGGTACTATGTTATTATGGTTTTAATTAAAAAAAACAAAAAAAAAAACACTGCTGGGCAAGGTGGCTCATGCCTGTAATCCCAGCATTTTCGAAGGCCAAGGCGAGCAGATCACTTGAGGTCAGGAGTTCGAAATCAGCCTGGCCAATATGGAGAAATACCGTCTCTACTAAAAATAGAAAAATTAATTGGGCATGGTGGCGGGTGCCTGTAATCCCAGCTACTTGGGAGGCTGAGGCATGAGAATCACTTGAACCTGGGGGGCGGAGGTTGCAGTAAGCTGAGATCACGCCACTGCACTCCAGGCTGAGTGACAGAGCAAGACTCCGTCTCAAAAAAAAAAAACAAAAAAAAAAAACAAACCTGCCGGGTGCAGTGGCACACTCTGTAATCCCGGCTACTCTGGAGGCTGAAGTAGGAGGATCCCTTGAGTCAAAGAGTTTGAGGCTGTGATTGCACCTGTGAGTTGCCACTGCACTCCAGCCTGGCCAACATAATGAGCTCTCATTTGTAATTTTTAAAATAAATGAATAAATTGAATTTTTAAAATTAAAAAACGGTATTATTTTAAAAACGACAATAACTGCAATGCAGCCCTGAGGAACCCACACACTGAACAGTTAAGGAGAGGAGCAGCAACAGGCAAATGAGGGCAGGCCAGAGTGAGAAAGCCAGAAAGTGGGGTGTGCTGTCCCAGAGACCAAGGAGAGGGAGTGCTTCGGGAGCAGTGAGCCTGGGGTCAGGGTGGCCTGGGACCCGCTAGTGACCCAATGCTTGCCCTTATGCCTCCCAACTGCATTCATAATGCAAACCAGGTGCCAAGAATGATCTAACAATCGGCCCTCACACATTCCCCAGGAAGGCGTCTGAAAAAGTGCCCCCACCATGACCAGTGGCTCCAGGAGCAGTATTTACAATGCAAACCAGGCTCCCCCCAGGAGAAGCGGTAACTTACCACACCCGTGGCCATTCACCCCGCAGTCCAGCCCAAGCAAAACAGAAGAGGCCTCACGTACAAGAGCCTGGTCAGAATTTTCTGGTGTCTTCAGAATAGGACTCTTGGTCCATACCATTCACCAATTCTACCACCTGTGTTTCCACAGGGACTCGCAAACCAAACCACTCCCAGGACCCACCCCTCACCCCCACCCATGCTGGCTTCTTAGGCCCATCCCTCAGCCTCTTTGAGACATGTCCCTTAGATTCTGTGCCTCCTCCATGTAAGCTACACAAGCTTGCCCAGAGAGTCACATCTCATTGGCACAAATTCACCCACCCACACACCCACCAGCCTTTTTTCTTCTGAGAATGCCCCTTCCTCCCTCTCTCCACCCACCTCATCCAGGACCCCAGGCAAACCTCAGCAAAGGAGGGAAGGTCCCCCAGCAACTCATGCCTGACTTCAACATCCCATCCCTGCCTCCCACCACACCTGTGACAGACAGTGGCCAGGTCTGGCTGCTGCCTCTAGACCCCAGAGGTGGAGAGAGGCTAGGTCACAAAGCTAAAAACTAAACCAGGCTCTGAAGGCCAACTAAGAAGTCCTCTCTGACCCTCAACCTGGTGAGTCGACAAGAAGCAGGGCTGAGTCACTACCAGATGCAACCCCATCACCCCATGCTAAGAAATTGACATTGCTTACAGCCCAAATGCACGGGTCATCCTCCTGGGCAGCCTGTGGTAATGAGTGTCACGGGGCCAAGGCAGGGCCAGTACCAATTAAGGCTGCTCCCTTTCCTGCCAGTGAGCTCAGTCTCATTACTTTGCTCCATTTTCAGCTCATCTGAAAAATCCTCATTTGAGGTCCCTGGAGGATCTTAAAAGTGTTATTTAAACATTAGCTCTGACACACAGCCTCCCCCATCCACCCAAGGCCAATACTTTTTTCTCCCTGCTTTTTGGCACTGCCAGGAATGAGCAGCATCTAAGGCCCGGCCTGGGGCACCTCAGGTCTTGCAGCCTAGGGCCCCTCCTCAGTCTGAACTTTCCCCATCTCCCTGCCTTGTTTAGAAGAGAGAGCAGGGAAGGGAACTTGGTGTCTCCTGTATGGCAGACATGTCATCTTGGCAACAAGCCCTGTGAGGTGGCATTATTATTCCTGTGTGATAGATGGGGAGACTGCAACTGAGCCACCCTCCCAAGGTCACATAGCCAGCAGGTAGACAAATTAGGCCTGGAACCCAGGACTGCTGAGCTCCAGGGCTCTTCCAGCTGCCCCCGCCCACCCCCACATGCTCCTTTCTGCACACTGCCTAGCCCCACCCTGCAACAGACACAAGCACCCATCATTCGTTCCCCCGGGCTTCTGACCCTGGGGCTCGGTCCAGGTGAGACAGATGAGGACAAGAGGGGTTGCAGGATGTAGGGCTTCTAGGACAGGCTTCAGGGAGCACAATTTTTCCTACAGAAAACCAAAACAATGCTCAAGGCTGGTTACAACCCCCTATTCTGACCTGCATCTTACAAGGGAACCTACGAGAGAGAATGCAGTCAGAGGCACACAAGAGGCACGAGGAGGGCCATGGAAGGTCAGAGAGGGGATCTGGGCTGTGTGGTCAGGGAAGTCAGAGCTGGAAGGACCAGAGTTTAGCCCAATGCCTTCATTTTTACAGGTAGGGAAACCGAGGCCCAGGGAGAAGAGACCTGCCCAAGGCCAAGAGTGAGTCTGCCTATGTCAGGATTGGTATACAGTTTTCCTGATTCTTAGGCTAGCTTTCCTGGACCTAGAAGGATGAAAGGCCTGGGGCAGATGCTGCCCAGGATTAGTGAAAGACGAATGAGCAAGGGGATCCAGCACCCCCAGCTAAGGAGGTAGGACAGAGACACCAACACAGTGCATCCATGGGGACTCCAGCCTTACTCGTCTCTCACCTCAGGGAAGGTGTAGGCAGAAGAGAGGCCCTTCCATTCACCAAAGCTTAAGCTCCAGCAGGAGCCAATCAGGGCCTTAGAAGAAGGCAGAAACTTTGGTTCCCCTGGCAACTCAGACAAAGGCATCTCCTCATCACTGCAATCAGCTGGGGTGGGGATGCAGACTGTATTCCGCCAGACCCAGACAGGGCTCTCCTCTCCTTTTCTCATAAGAAGGGGGTACCAACCCAATCCCTTTGGTTTTAGCCCTGAAACTTCAGTCATATCTCTGAGCTCATCTCAGATGGGAGGCGGGGTATGGATGAGCCTCACTGTCAGAGGCTTAGGACAATAATAGCTGAGTCCTCTCCAGTCTGCGGGGGCCCTCCCGCTGCCACTAGGTGTGTGCCTCTGAGATGGGCCGGGGGCTGTGCTGATGTTCATCAGTTCATCACCCCTATCCTCCTCTCCAGAGGCAGTGCCAGCTGCATGCCATGGGAAAGCCTGTAGCTGCCAGTGAGGTGCCTGGGCCAAGCCCAGCTGTGGCATTATTCACAATCATGAGCAACTTTCATGCACCTTCTCTTGTTCCCATCCATAAGGAAAATTAGACGGGTAATCTAAGACCTAAGTTTCTCTGGAATGTGAGCTTCCAGTCCACACCAATCAAGAAAATAACAGAGAGAGGGAGCACGCAGGAGCTTACCTTTCACCACTCTTGAAAAGTTGCCTAGTCTTGGTCCAGAGCCGTGGAATAAATACACAAAACATTCCACTGGCCAGGCACGGTGGCTCACGCCTGTAATCCCAGCACTTTGGGAGGCCGAGGCGGGCGGATCATCCGAGGTCGGGAGTTTGAGACCAGCCTGACCAACATGGAGAAACCCAGTCTCTACTAAAAATACAAAATTAGCTGGGCGTGGTGGCACATGCCTGTAATCCCAGCTATTTGGGAGGCTGAGTTAGGAGAATCGCTTGAACCCGGGAGGCAGAGGTTGCAGTGAGCCGAGATCACGCCATTGCACTCCAGCCTGGGCAACAAGAGTGAAACTCTGTCTCAAAAAAAAAAAAAAAAAAAATTCCACTAACTGGAACTGCCTTTTTGTACATGCTTTGAAGAAAATCACAAGAAAACTGATAGACTCTGAAATACAGCTTCCAAATAAAATCCCCAGCTTTGTTACCACCAAAGGAGGCCAAGCTGCCACCCCTCCTTAGGAGGTATGCACGGTGTCCCCACAGGAGGCCTTCCTCATCCCTAATGGAGGAGTCATCATTCAGAGATTTTAGAAAGATTTTCTACACAGAGAGTCAGATAAAAGAGAGGTTTCTCAGGGAGCTACTGAATTCCCAGAAAAGTCAAACTACAGGCATCAAAACCCACATGCACTGTCCATACTTTCGGTTTTATAATCTCGTCAGCCCCCCATCGAGAAAGTCTGCAGCCATCTAGGACAAGTTCCTTTCTTCCCCCTCCCTTCCCCAAGACCCATCGGCCCCACACTGTCCGTTCTCTGTCTCTACTCACTCTGTGATCTGTTCCCTCTTCTACACTTCCATGAGCCTGAGATGAAGCCCATCACTTCTCACCAGGCCACACCAACAGACTACCATCCGTCTCCTGGTCTCCAGCCTTACCCTTCCAATTCATCCTCCCACTGCCAGAAATCAGATCACATCATTCCCAACCTGATACCCTGCAGTGTCTTCATCGCTCTCCAGATAAAGTGCCAGCTCCTGGTCAATATACACGGGCTGCAGGAGCTGGACCCACCTGCCACTCCACTTGCCTCCTTGCCGTCCCCAACACACACAGGAAACTCCTGCCACTCCAAAGTGTTTCATGCCTCTGTGCACTTGTGGTTCAATCTACCTTTCTGAATCCCCCACTGTTGAATGGAAGATAATAGCTCACCTTTACTGAGCGCTCAGTAGGTGCTAGGCTCTCTGCTAAGCCCTTTGCAGGTTCTACCTCATTGATCCTCCCCAAGAAAACCATGAGGCAGGTACGAACAGCAGCCTGTTTACAGATGAAGAAACAGAATCAGAAATGCAAATGAACCTAGCAGAAGTCACACGGTTGATAAGGGGAGGGGCTCAAATAGAAATCCAAGCATCTGACTCTTAGGTCACCCCTATCCTCCACTCCCCAGAAACAATGTAATGGCCATGTGGAATCAGAAAACACAGGATGCTCCTAACTGTGTCCCCTCCTTCTGGGCCTGTAGGAATAGCCTGTCTCAGAGAATGACACCAGAAAGGTTCCCAGCCTGTCTCTCTCTGGGTTTGTCCCCAACCCTGCAACCCCACCACCATACAGCACAGCCCCTTGAGTACGCAAAGTGGCTGAGCCCACATCTTAGAAGTAGGGCTTTATAGTTACATTAATGGCCCAGCAATGACTTCCAGCTACTCTTTCAGGAAGTCTAAACTCTTTGGCTGAGCATCAGGGACCCCCAAGATCTGGCACGAGTGCATCACTTTCCAATCTTAATTACCCGCTGCCTCCCCTACCCACCATGTATGCAATCTATCAGTGGGTATTTATTTTCTCTGCCATGTCAGTTCTCACTAAAAGCTGCCATTTATTGAGCACCTCCTAAGAGCCATACCCTATGCCAGGCACTCAACCAGCACTCTCTCATTTCCTTACAATTCATTCATTCATTCATCCAATAGATACTTATTGAATACCTACTGTGCGCCATGCCACATGGAATCAAGAGTGAACATGACATTAAAAGAAAAAGACAAATAGCTACAAATTGTGATAAGCATTATGAAGGAATCAAGAGGTGGTGAAAAAAGCAGTGCAGGGGGTGGGAGGACTAAATTAAACTGCGACGTAGAGGATAAGAAGGAGCCAAGGCGGCAAAGAGCCAGGAAAAGAATTCTAAGCAGAGGGAACCTAAGCATGTGTAAAGGTCTTGAGACTGGAATAAATTTGCTAAATGAACAGAGAAGACTCCTGTGGCTGACGGAAATGACCAATAGAATAATTTCCAATGATCTATGGAGACCAATAGAGATAGATGGCTGGAAGGGGGAGGCAGGAACCGGCTCACTCAGGGCTCTGAACGCCATGGTAAGGAATTTAGATTTTATTCTAAGGGCAGAGGAAAGTCACTGAGTGACATAGTCAGATTTGTGTTTTTTGGGTTTTTTGTTTTGTTTTGTTTTGTTTTTTTGAGACGGAGTCTCACTCTGTCGCCCAGGCTGGAGTGCAGTGGCGCGATCTCGGCTCACTGCAAGCTCTGCATCCCGGGTTCACACCATTCTCCTGCCTCAGCCTCCCGAGTAGCTGGGACTACAGGCGCCCACCACCACACCCGGCTAATTTCTTTTTTTTTGTATTTTTAGTAGAGACGGGGTTTCACCATGTTAGCCAGGATGGTCTCGATCTCCTGACTTCGTGATCCGCCCACCTCAGACTCCCAAAGTGTTGGGATTACAGGTGTGGGCCACTGCACCCAGCCAAATTTGTGTTTTACAAAGTTCACTCTGGCTGCCACTTGGAAAGGAGACTTGGGAATATAGATGGTGTATGTATTGTATGCAAAGTAATTGGCATAGCACTGGCACATAGGTGCTCACTGAATGTTAATTCCCTTTTTCTTCTCTCTCTAGCCCCCATCTCAGGCTGGGAATGTCCTCTTCATCTAACTCCCATTCCTTCTTCTGACCTATACATTGTCAGAACTTAAATTTTCTGCCCAAGCGCAGTGGCTCACTCCTATAATCCAAGCACTTTGGGAAGCCAAGGTGGGTGGATCACCTGAGGTCAGGTGTTTGAGACCAGCCTGGCCAACATGGCAAAACCCTGTCTCTACAAAAATTAGCCAGGTATGATGGTGGATGCCTGTAATACCAGCTACTTGGGAAGCTGAGGCAGGAGAATCACTTGAACCCAGGAGGCGGAGGTTGCAGCGAGCCAAGATTGCGCCACTGCACTCTAGCCTAGGCAACAGAGCGAGATTCTGTCTCAAAAACAAACAAACAAACAAAAAAACCAGAACTTAAATTTTCTGAGGACATGTGATCTGGAAGACATGTGTCTTCCTCGTTAGATCGGGAAACTGAGGTGCAGCGAAAGTACACAATTTTCCCAGTGTCACAGAGGGGGCCTGTAGCAGTGGTGGAATTTTTCTGCCTTCCCCTCTTCCCCCAAACTAGACCCTGGGCTGGTCTGAAGGTCGGGAGGAACAGGAGGCAGCAAGTGCGAGGGCCTTTCCTCTGTATTCTTGTTCTCTACCTCTGCCCCTCCCCCCCGATCATGGAGACGTTCAGAAAGCCTGGTTCTCAGTCAATTATGGTCTCAGGGTAAGTGGAGCATGGGAGGGGGCCTAGAGAAAGCCCCATCTCTAGGTATCCTCTCTCCTTCTGCTTGAACCAGATAAGGGCAGGCCAGACTATAGAAAGAAAACTTTCCCATGGAGACTGGATGCTTGCTAGGATGTTGGCTGATCCTATCGACATCTCCAGGAAGCGAGCAAGGGTCGAGGCACTCATTTTACCCAGGTGGAACCTGTGGCAGTCAGTGCTCTATCGTTTGTTCAGGGATGGAGAGAAAATCGTAGAACCCCAACTAGAATCATACAACGTGGCTGTCTGAGGATCACTGAGCCCAAAGCCCCATTGTACAGGTGCTGAAACTGAGGTCCAAGAAGGGAAAGGGGCTGGCCAAGGGCCACATACCGAGTAAGCAGTGGAACCAGGACTAGAAGTCTGCGTGGCTTCTGCCTTCCAGTTTCCCAGGAAGCCTCCCTTGAGAAAGGTAGAAAAGGCGGCAGAAGTGAGGCTGGGATTTGGGGGTATGGGGGTAAGGACAGGGCAGCACTGCCTCCTCAGGCCTGCTCCACCCCAGCTCCCAGCCATCGCACTGCTCATGGGTGTGGCCAAACCTGCCAAACCAGTCTCTGTGCCAGAGCTGAGTAGCAAAGCCCAGAGCTTCAGGGGTGTGGGTGAGGCGGTAGACACCAAGAACCAGGAAGGACACAGAAAGGCTCTTCCAGGGCCTGCTAGCCTAGGCCACATGGCCACTGCCCAGAGAAAGGATGGGCGCTCACAGCTGAGCGGCTCCACCACCAGGAATGGTGTACAGCAGGACTCACCAGGCCTCCTGTCCCCATTTGGCACAAAGGCCGGCCCTCTGCATCGCCCCCTCCTCTGGACACTCAACCTATAGGCTGTTTGCGTCAGTTGGGCAAGAGACCCAGGAACTTATCTGAGAAACATGACAGGAGGCAGGGAAACATGACAAATGACATGGAGACACTTCTCCCCCCACAACCATAGCATCGGGATAAAATGTGGCCACTCTCCACCTGGCCAGGTGCACACACGCTCTATCCTTTGCCCTCCCCTACTCCGTGAGCAAGGCCCAGGAACAGCTGAGCACACGACACCAGGCAGGGATCAGTAGATCTGGGTTCCAGCATAGTTTGGTGACACCTGGCAAAGTCTTGGGGAAAGCTGCCCTTCTCGGGCTTTGGTTTCACCACCCTTCACAAGGCAGAACTAGGTTAAGTGCGTAGTTTCAGGGGCCTTGAAGGTCTGCTCTCACTCCACCTCCACTCCAGCCTTCCCCACTTCCTGCCCAAAGGAAATAATAAGAGGTTACACCCACCAGTGTATGGGGTCCCTGCTGGACAGGTCTGGCTTCTGTGTCAGGGTCTGCCTTGCTGGAACCTGTTCCGTCAGCTCTCAGAAGCCAGCAGGAGACCCCTCGGGCTTCAGTGTGGGGAAGCTGATGAGCTACTCAGCCCAGTGGTCACTTCCAGGGCCTGTGAGACCCAGGAACCAAATGTTAGAAAGGAAGGGACCTTGGAATCAGCCTGGGCTCCTGTGAGCACATGACACATAGGCCAGGCAAATGCCCCACAAATGCCAGGGACTGTTCTCATCTCCCCTTTTGGTAGATGGGGAGGAAGAGGACCAGAGAGAGGCAAGAACCAGCCTAAGGTCACCCAGCATGGCCACAGAAGAGGAAGGATCACAGCCCAAGCCTGACCCCCAGCACATGGGCTCCCAGCACATGCTACCTCCCCCAACAGAGGTATTTTTCCAAATTCAAAATCATGCATCCCATGGAAGAACCAAGAGACATCTTTGTCACTACCCCTTGGGAAATGCCAGAGAACGATATGAAGTTCTGCTTTCGGGCTGCTATAACCAAACACCATCAACTGGGTGGCTCATAAACAACAAAAATGTGTTTCTCACATTTTTGTGAGAAGTCAAAGATCAGGGTGCCAGCAGATTCCGTGTCTACTGAGGGCTGCTTTCTGGTCCAGAGATGGCTCCTTCTAGTCATCATATGGTAGAAAGGAAATCTAGCTCTCTGAGATCGCTCTCTTTTTTTTTTTTTTCATGTCAGACAGGTAATGCGTTCACATTGTACATTGTAACAAGGTTTGAAGGCGGCACATCTCACCCCCATGCGTGAACACCCAATCATCATGCTCATGAACTACCAAAGGCTCTGGGATCTTTTATAGGGACATTAATCCCATTCGTGAAGGTGGAGCCCTCATGACCTCATCACCTCCCAAAGGCCCCACCTCCTAAAACCATTACCTTGGCGGTTAGGATCTCAACAAATAAATTATAAGGGGACACTAACATCCAGACCATAGCATGTGTTTACCTGCCATGTGTGCCTCTGTATCCCAGTACATAGGACAGTGTTTGGAGTATGGTAGGAACTCCAATAAAATTGGAGTTTTTAATAAAAATTTGCGGACTAAATCAGGACCCAGTGGAGGAGCAGCTGGAGGCAGAATCCATTTCTAGGCCCAAGCACTGGGGTGGTCGGTAGGAGAAAGAGAAACAGATGAGAGAGAAAATATGAATCTGGTTGTCCAGGGCTCAGGCTCCAGCCAGGCTACATCAAACAGACAGGGACACGGTTGGCCTAGAGCTTCAGAAATCCTAGATTCAAAGGCAAAAGGCAGATTGCCCGTCACATGGAATGTATGGACTTCAAGGCCTGTGTGTGCTTCTGTGGTTTGCCAAGTTCACCGGACCAGTCCCTCTTTGCTCACTCAGTCTTCAGCTGGACTGACTGCCCTTTTCCTCCTGTGTGCTCTACAGTCCAGCGGATAAGACTCAGCACAGCCTCTGGTTTTGAATCCCAGCTTCACCAATACTTAGGCAAATTATGACACCTTTCCGTGCCTCAGTTTCCTGATCTGCCAACTAGGGATTATACTATAACCCATTTCTTAGGATGAGGATTAAATGACTTTAAGTGATACAGAAATGAATCACTTATAACCACGCCTGGCTTAGAGTAGGGGCTTGGTAAATGGTCATCTGTTTTAATGGTTATTAGCGCTTAGTGCTAATGTTACCGACAGTTTCTAGCTGTGATCAGCTGAAGGCCAGAACAGCAATGTCAGGGGTGGACTCAGACTGAGGAGGGCTACTTGGAGTGATGAAGCAAGGACTAGCTTGGTCTGGGAGAGAGGACCCCTGGGCTCAAGTTCACCTCTATCAGGCTCACCGTGTGACCAGCGCAGAGGGTACAGAGGAGGAGGGCGGGCAGGGAGAGTGGTATTGAAGAAAGGGCTGAAATGGGCTTGCCCTGGATGGAGGGCAGTGGGCAATCTAGCATTGTTCCTCGCCTGCTTAAAATTCATCAGTGACTCCTCCTGTTCTTCTGAATCAAAGCCAGCCCTAATCTCATCACAGGATTCAAGGGCACCCTGGACTGACATGAAGATACCCTACCCTGCCCACCTTGTCCCTTTCCTTCCCTTCCCCTCCCTTCCCCTCCTCTCCCCTCCCCTCCCCTCCTCTCCCCTCCGCTTCCCTTCCCTTCCTTCCTGCTTTCTTGCTTTCTTTCGAGATGGAGTCTTGCTCTGTCACCCAGGCTGGGGTGCAGTGGCTCAATCTCGACTCTCTGCAACCCTACCAGGTTCAAGCGATTCTCCTGCTTCAGCCTCCTGAGTAGCTGGGATTACAGGCGTGCACCACCATACCTGGCTAATTTTTGTATTTTTAGTGGAGATGGGGTTTCACATGTTGGCCAGGCTGTTCTCAAACTACTGACCTCCAGCGATCTGCCCACCTCAGCCTCCCAAAGTGCTGGGATTACAGGCGTGAGCCACCACACCCAGCCACACCTTGCCCTTTCTTTTGGCCATCTTTCTGATCCTTCCTGGTCCAGTCAGCTGTCAGCCTCCAGGGCAGTCACCCTGCTCTCCCCAGGGCTGGCCAGAGCCCCTTTGGGCATTGCAGCCCCTGAGCCCACCTCCCTTCAGTACTAATCACACCATAGTCATGTGTGATTAGTCATGTCAGTGCTTGGTTCTTCATCCCAGTCTCCCTCTCAACTACTGGGGAATGAGAGAGGTCTTGTCACATTGATATCAGTATCTCAGCATCTCAGGGATAGCTCAGTTATAGAAGAAGTGCTTGGTTAAGGTTTGCTTAATGAATCAAGGGCTGGAGAAGATAGCATAAAAACTTATTTCAACTCTCTAAAACTCTAATTCAATTGCCCTAGGTAAGTCATTTCATCTTTCCAGGCCTCTGTTTCTTTATCTGTTAAATGGGGATCATTATTCTTGCCCTAAGTCCTCCTTACAGCTGCTGTGAGGATCAAACAAATGTGCTTTATAAGATGTTCTTATATCAAAACAAAATTTTTAAGTAAAATAAATAAATAAATTTACATTCATTAATGCATTCATTCAACAAATATCTATTAAGCATCTATTAAGCACCTACATGTGCAGGGCATGCTCTAATATAATCCCAGGTATTCTTTTTTAAAAAAATTGAGATATAATTCATACGCCATAAAATGTACCACTTTACAGCATACAATTCACTCCTCTTGAGTATATTTACATACGGAGTTGTGCAATCATCATCACTAATTCCAGAATCCCAGTTGTTCTGGCAAGTGCTGAGCTGTAAACTCCAATGCTCCTTAGGAACCTGGGTCTCTGGTTCTGGTTTGGCCCAGGTGCTACTTTTCTGACAAAGCTTAAGGTGCCCCTTGGAAGATATTCTCTGGGATAGAAGTAGAGCAAAAGATAGGCACTCAGTACACTCTGTGTTTCTTTTTTTTTTTTTGAGATGGAGTCTTGTTCTTGTAGTCCAGGCTGGAGTGCAGTGGCTCGATCTTGGCTCACTGCAACCTCCACCTCCCAGGTCCCAGTTCAAGCAATTCTCCTGCCTCAGCCTCCCAAGTAGCTGGGATTATAGGCACGCACCATCTGTGTTTTATTTAATGAAACAAAGCAGTAGATTTTCCTGGGGAAAGGCCCATCGTATTAGTCCAGTCCAAGCCTTTTCTTAGCCTTGCCTCTCTAAGCTGTCCTGAATGCAGCGATTGTGCTGACCCTTGCCTCAGTTTCCCTGTCTATTCCCTCAGCAGCAAGCAGGCTGAAACCCATTCATCCAACATCCCACAGAGGGATGCCCCCCTAACAAATGGCTAATCTTGTCTACTTTGTCAGAAGGAAAAGACTAGCCTGTTATGTTAGCTGAGATTGGCAAGAGCAGTGGATTGGGACTGGATTTGGGGAACTCTCAAATACAGAAGTGGTGAGTGAGGCTTTACTCTGGAGGCCTTAGGAAGCCTGGAAGGTCTGAACTGGGGACATGACTCCTCCCCCACACTGGGCTGAACCAGAGAGGGAGTCCTGGATGTAGAGAGGGACTAAGAGGCCAGCCAGAGGCTGTCCCAGTAGCTGTCAGCACTGGGCACTGAGAAGTAAGGTCAGGATTCCTGGACACTGGCTTCTATCTTCTAGCCCTGCTCTGTCTGTGTAACCTTGGAGAAGTTACTTACCTTCTCTGAGCCTCAGTTAACCCACCCACAAAATGGGGATAATTATACCCTTCCTGCCTTATCTCTCAGGATTACAAGGAAAATCAGATGAGATGATAAATTGAAAAGCCCTTTGTAGAAAAGAATATGAAGGACTTTGATTCTAGTTCTAGTGTGAGCCAGGTGATAAGGGCCATGGGGTTGAAGGATCCTAAGGACAGAAGAATTATGAAAGAATTCTTCTGTCCTCTGCCTCTTTTCCCCTTACAGAAATGCTGGAATTCCTTCAAGAAGGATTGGAGAAATCCAGGGACTCCAGAGACTGTAAGAGTCACAGAAGAAATACTGGATGTCTGGACCTTACGTGGGCAACATTCCTGAGGCCTGAGTCCCCCAGAGACACCCCTCCAGCTCTCAGGCAGGCAGCAATCCAGGACGAATGATCTGCTACCATGTAGAAGAGAGGATGGAGAGCAGCTAGGGTAGCCAGAGTCAGCATTTCAGAGCCACTGCCACAGGAGGAGGAATTGGTGGGCAAGAGCAGGGGAGGGAAGGGGCAGTTTTCCATGTTGAGTCTCCACACTTATGTCCCTCCTTCAGCAGACAATGGCACAGCCATTCATATTTCATGTGACAACTGCATTTGTCATCATTTTCCTCCTCTGAACCTCAAGTTCCTCATCTGCAAAATGGGGTAATAAAACCCCTGACTCACTGTGAGTCCAGCTCAAGAAAAATAACTGCTATTCTTCTATCCTTTGAAACTGAGAGAGCACCTAGCACTACATCATACTCTTCCCCCAATTTCCCACCTGTGTTGTTTGGAGAAAAATCCAAAGGCACTTTAGGGACAGAGCCCAGGCCTCTGGGGGCATTATCCAACTTCTGACAAATGGATGAGATTAGCTAAGGGAGGGCACAGGAGAAAGGAGCCCCTCCATGGGTGAGAGGCATATGCTTCAGCCTGCTGTCCAGGGAGGACATGGAGAACCCTCCTGAATGGCTAGTCCAGCCATTCTGGTGCCTGGAGCACTGTGCTGTCTGGAGAAAGTGCTGATCCCCGGGGAATGGACCATTTTTCCTGCCATTCACCACCAGGAAGAAGGGAATGAAGCACTGACAGCTGTTGGTGCCCAGGTGCCTTGTCTACCCTCCAGATAGGGCCTGCCCACCTCACATCAGGAGGAAAGGAAGGAAATGGGCACCTGTGTTGAGCTCTCCTGGAGAAGATCAAACCTCTTCACGTCTCAGAAGAGAACAGTCTGGAAGAAGAAGGCACCTTCTGTGGGGCCTGAAAGCACAGCTGGCCACAACACCCCTCATCCTCACCCCCAACTCAGCTCTTTGGTTCCCCCAAACTTCACTACCCCTGCTTCTCTCTTCCAAACCTTCCTGGAGATCCCTCCCTGAACTGAATGTCCAAATCCTAGTTCCCCTCAACTTAGATCAAATGTCCCCTTCTCCCCCTTTCCCTGACCTCTCTCCTCTAAACTCCAGTTGCATTTTTCCTGTCCCTCTCAGTGGCAATTTGCATGCTGACTGTGTCACAATCACATCTGCACACATGTATTCCCCTCTAGGGGACATAGCTGACTGCACTGGGTTGTAGTACAGGCTCTGGAGCTAGGCAGACCTGAACTCAAATAACAGCTTTGCAGTTTCTTAGTCACTTATTCCCTCTGAGCCTCAGTTTCCCCTGGAAAATGGGGACAATAACAGAACCTACTCTCTGGAGTTGTTGTTGCAACTATTATTATTATTATATTTTTGAGACAGTCTTATTCTGTCACCCAGGCTGGAATGCAGTCATACGATTGCGACTCACTGCAACCTCCACCTCCCGAGTTCAAGCAATTCTCCTGTCTCAGCCTCCTGAGTGGCTGGGATTACAGGCATGCTCCACCACGCCTGGCTAATTTTTGTATTTTTAGTAGAGACGGGGTTTCACCATGTTGGTCAGACTAGTCTCAAACTCCCGACCTCAATTGATCCACCTGCCTCGGCCTCCCAAAGTGCTGGGATTACAGGTGTGAGCCACAGCACCTGGACTGTTGCTGCAATTAAATGAGATAATGCACATAAAGAGTTCAGCATGGAGCCTGGCACAATGTAAGTAATGTGACTTATTGTGATGATGACCTTTCAGGCAGGTTTATGGATGATTTGTCTTGACATCTCCTGAAACACCTAACACACAGCCATATGCTGGCTGGATGGATTTGTATGGAGGTAGACATGTGCACTGCATAGGGAAGCCCTTTCCAACAGGCAGAGCAGTGCAACCTGGAACTGGGCTGCCTCTGTAAGTCGTGAGCTCCGTGCATACAAGCAAAGGCAAGATGGCCACTTGGCCTACCAAACAGAGGCTGGAGATGCAATAGTCAGAGCATGGTCTCTGAAGCCAGACACCTTGGGCTTGAAACCCAGCTCCCTTACTTACTCAAAGTGTGGCCTTAACTTAACAGGGCCTCAGTTTCCTCATCGATAATATGGGGAAATAATAGTAATAATAGGACCTACCCAAAGACTGTCATGACAGTTAAATGAAAGAATACACATAAAACAATAGAACATGCCTGGTACAGGGAGAGTAATTCAATGCACATTAGCTATTGTTATTATTGTTGGCATTTGCATTACTATAACTGAAGAGGGGAGTTACAGCCCCCTGCAGGCCTATGAGCTGTTACAACCTAGAGCTCCACTAATATCCTAGCATGTTCTCGTGGTCTGCCAACAGCCTTCTACTCCCCCGGTGTCTGGTGCTAGCTCTGCCCCTACGTTAGCTACATAGGTAGGCACCTGACCCACACCTGGCCACTCAGAATATTCCTATCCTCCCAGCAACAGTGATTGAACCACTCAGAGTCCTTCCCTTGGATTGACATACAGATTCTAGAAGAAAAAGAGTCTCCCTTTTCTGTTTGGATTGCTAAGCTGGGACACAGGACAGCTTAAAAGGGAGAGACAGGCAGTGATGGCAGAGAGAGAGTCAACCTGATTCTTCATTCTTCAGTCCCATGAACTGCCCCAGGATCCACTAAAGTCATTTTTTGGTTTAAAGCCACTTTGAGTTAAGTTTTTGTCACTGGTTTCTGGAAAAAAGCCATGCCCAATTGTATAGACCCTAACTAAGATAAGGTCAGTGCTGTCCATGGGCAGGGCCAAGCAGAAGCCAGTATTATAACTACTCTTGTGTATGTGGCACCACCCCTATCACCTGGGTTGCAGTGGGCAGTTTTCAAAGCATGTTCTCAAGAATACCCTGACCCAGTGGTCTTTAGACCCTGCTTCCTAGAGCCCTGGGAATTTGCAGAGGTATCTCCAAAAGCACCCAGGAAACTAAGCCACGAGGAGGGCAAAATTCTGGGTAAACTGCCCCAGAACCAGACAAGTTCTGCTACAAATGCTTACAATATGGGTTTCTGTTGCCCAAAGAGATTTGAAAAACTCTATTCTAATTGACACTTAGAAAAGCACTGAGAAGTAGCTAGGGCGGATGTGTTCATCTGCATTCTACAGAAGGAGAAATGAGGGTTCAGAAAGGGGAAGTCATGAGACCATTACTGTAGAGCAAGAACTTGAATGTGGGGCTCTAGACACACGGCCAACTAGCTCCGACTGCACCCAGCTGCCTGTGAAAGTCTATTATCTCTCACATTTCCTGTCTCCTTCAGTAAACTGATGGTGGTTAATACCTAGAGTCTCATCTTTCTTGGCTCTGACTCCTACAGAATTGTCTGCTTCTGAGCTTGGCTCCTTGAAAGGCTTCAGGAAGCTTGAGGAACGTGTGGAATAAATGTATGAGCCGATCTCAACCTCCCCTTAACGGAGCCCCACCTTCCCTATGCGCACATACCTTGAGCTCCGCATCTCCCCACACATTTGCCCAAATGTCAGGGAAAGGCTGAGCAGGCTCCCTCCCGGGAACTCCTAATCCACCTCCTCTGTCCGGCTGTGCTGTGGCTGTGGACAGAGGATTCCTTGTTCCCGATGCTTCCTGCCCAGAGATCTCCATGGGGCCCCTGTAGGAAGGAGCCAAATCGCTCCTTTTAACCGAGCTAAAGCCACCCCCTACCCCCACCACCCCCAGGAGCAACATGCTCCCAGCTCTGCCCACCATTCATTCTACCTGTCCCAGCCTGGCTCAGCCACACTTCATTCCCCATAGTTCCCGCTCCCTACAGGTGCACACACATGTGTACACACACACACACACACACACACACACACACACACACACACACACAAATGGAAAGTTTCCCTAGGGGTACAAAGATACTTCACATTGAACCAAAATTAAAAACCAGAGGACTCCAGAATGACAACATCACAGCCCTGGCAATTGTGCCTTACTAATAACATCACAGTGACATTTGCATGTTACTTCGAAATTTCCCAATCAATGTAACTCCATTGGCTGAGTTCCCTCTCTACTCCCTCGCCCTGCCAGAATCACAGCACCTCCAAGTTGGGAAGAAGCTTTGACACGCCCCGGGCCAGTGGTTTCCAAAGTGTCTTCCATAAAGCCAAGAAAAGGTCAGTTGCATTGTCTGGGGGCTGAGGAATTGGCCAGCCCCACGCCAACTCCAACCCACACTGCAACCCCTTTAGCTGTTTTGTACATTGAGATTCTTTGGGGTGCAATGGAAAAAGGAGAGTTCCCTGCTGGAAAGTTTGAAAACAAGTCATTTAGTCTGACCCTACTTTCCCCCATCCCCTGATCCACCAATGTTGATGTGACCCTGAGGCCAGTAGAAAGGAAGGTCATGTAGTAGTCAACGGGCAGGGCCAGGATGAAAGCACTCTCTCCTGAATCTAGTCTACGACCTAGGAGTGGTGAAGCAAAGGCAGGCAAGGGCCACGGGGCAGCTTCCAGGCCCAGCACCGTCCTTCACCAGCCACGGTGGCATGGATGAGCAATAGAGGCAAAGCCTGTTTTTGAATACAGAGCTTGATGAATATGCATTTCAGCCCCTAACCCAAAACAAGCCAAAACCAGGGAGGGTCCCCAGCATGGCCCCCGTTTTCAGCGCCACCAGAAACAGGTGGCGTAGACAAAGCCTCACACTTCCCCAGCAGTCAAATATGTCAAAAATCGAGAGGCCGAGGGCCTGGAAGACCTCTTCGTCCAACCTCAGCAGAAGGAGAATAAGTCTGTGCCTCCAGAACACTCACCCCTCCTCTGTCCACACCAGCTCCCCGGGGGCAAGAACTTCTGTCAGTCAGGCACCTAGAGGGAGGAAACAGCGTTAGCTCCTCAGAACAGGAGTTCATGAGCCCAGCATGTGCTGGAAATTGAGAGGCTGGCATTTGACTCTCTGAGGCACCTTAGGGAAGTTGCTGAACCTGTTAAACAAAAAGGCCTTGTGACAAGGCGGAAAGCAAAATAGAAAGTAACAAATATGCACCTGAAGCGGCAGCAGGGGCCAGGCAGCGAAGGACCTTGGAGGCCAAGGAGAAGATTCGCTCTTTATTGTAAGAGCAAAGAGAAACCACTGGCTTACAGGGTAGAGGATGGAAGAGGGGCAGGGGAAGCTGCAGGAACATCAGTTAGGAGGTTGTTGTGATTATCCAGCGGAGATATGATGAGGGCCTAAGCTAGGGTGGTTGCAGAAGAGACAGAAAGAGGTGGACAGACTCAAGAGGTATTTAAAAGGTGGTATCCCCAGAACTTGCTGGTGGACTAGATGTATGGGGAGAAGGGAGAGCAGGGGCCCCAACCTCCAGATGCCTCCTCAGGTGCCATGGTTATACCCCCTGCTGTCCACTTGGCCTTTCCTTGCTTCAGTGTCCCCATCTGTGAAATAAATATGGTTGGAATCAGTGATCCCTCGGAGTCTTTTCTTTTCTCTTTTTTTTTTTTTTTTTTGAGACAGAGTCTCGCTCTGTCGCCCAGGCTGGAGTGCAATGGTGCGATCTCTGCTCACTGCAACCTCCGCATCCCAGGTTCAAACGATTCTCCTATCTCAGTCTCCCAAGTAGCTGGGATTACAGGCGTGCGCCACAACGCCCGGCTAATTTTTTGTATTTTTAGTAGAGACGAGGTTTTACCATGTTGGCCAAGCTGGTTTCAAACTCCTGACCTCAAGTGATCCACCCACCTCGGCCTCCCAAAGTGCTAGGATTACAGGCATGAGCCACCATGCCCGGCCTCCCTCGGGGTCTTTTTAGCATTCACATCCTGTTCTGGTGTAATTCACTCAAAGTATGTAAGTACTTTTCTCAATCTTCTTTGAGCTCCAACCACAGGTCAGGCTTAGTATGCAATGGGGCAGGAGACTTGGAGGGAGAAGCTACAGGCACCCTGGACTCACACACTCAGAACAGTCAGTCTCCAGGTGGGATGAGGTGTTCCTACTTCATGTAAAATGTGAAACTCAGGTGAACAGGAAGAACACACAGTGGTTTATGAGCTTAGGCTCTGGAGTAACTCAGACCTGTTTGAATTCTGGTTCTAACACTTACTACTTATGTGGCCCAGGGCAAGTCACTTTACTTCCTCATTTGGAAAATAGGAGTAAAAGTGTCTGCTCCCAGGGCTAATGGGGGGACTAAATGAGATGATGCCTGTGAACAGCTCAGCAAGGTGCCTTATCACAACTGTCCAAAAGGTAGCAGCACCATTCAAAGATGGGGAAACTGAGACCTAGAAGGATGAAATGACTCACTGAAGACCAGGCAGTGAATAAGTGGCAGAGCTGAGACCCCTACACTGCGGCTGGGGTCTGGAGCCCAGCTAAACCACTAGGTTGTACACATACCATTCCCGTTCCTGCTTTTCAAATGAGGAAGTTGAGGTCAAAAAAGAACAAGTGACTTGCCCAAGGTCACAGAGAGAATCAGACATAGAAGAAGGATTTGAACTCAGGCCTCCTTGATGAAAAAGCCCATGGTCTCTCCGTGGATATCCAGAAAGTAGATATGTGTGGATAGTCTTCAAATTTCAGGGTCCTTTAAACCTGGAATAGGGACAAATGCAAATTGAGGCCAATGGTGTGTGTGTGTGTGTGTGTGTGTGTGTGTGTGTGTGTGTAAAGCAAACTGAGGCCAATGGGATGTGAGAGTGTGTGTGTGTAACAAATGCAAACTGGGGCCAATGGGTGTGAGTGTGTGTGTGTGTGCACATGTGTGTAGCTACCTTGAGAGGAAACCAGGAGGAGCTGATGAAACAAAAGCCTCTTTCTCAGAAGCCCTCTCTGGGGACTGGGCAGGAGAGAAGGGCACTGACAAGCAGGGCCATCCATCCTGCTGGGGCTGAGCTGAAGCCTGGATCTAAGCAAACAGAATCAGCTCCAGCTTGGCCACCAACTTGCTATGTGATCAGCAGTTCTCTCTCTCTTTCTCCCTCTTGCTCTGTCTCTCTCATCTCTGTTTCTTCGACTTCAGAATGAGACCGTTGTACTAAACAATGTCAAGGCCGGGCATGGTGGCTTATGCCTGTAATCCCAGCACTTTGGGAGGCCGAGGCGGGCGGATCACCTGAGGTGGGGAGTTCGAGACCAGCCTGACCAACATGGAGAAACCCCGTCTCTACTAAAAATATAAAATTAGCCAGGCATGGTGGCATATGTCTGTAATCCCAGCTACTAGGGAGGCTAAGGCAGGAGAATCGCTTGAACCCAGGAGGCAGAGGTCGCGGTGAGCCGAGATTGCGCCATTGCACTCCAGGCTGGGCAACAAGAGCGAAACTCCGTCTCAAGAAAAAAAAAAAAAAAAACAATGTCAAGATCCTTTCCAGTTATAGAAGACTAATAATAACCATTGCTTACAAGCTCTGGATTTCTGGTCAGGTGCTGCTCCTGCAACCTCGAATGGTGGCATTAGCTGGCTCCAATACCACCACGACAGGGGCAGAATGTCCTGCATTCAGGTTCCGGCTGTGTAGCCAGGTCACTTTCCCTTCACAGGCCTCAGCTTCCTCATCTGTAAAATGGAATTTATCTTTGCCTGATCACTTGCAGAAAGGAATATCCAAGGAGCTACCTGAAAACCAAGCAATCTCTTGAGGTATCATACAAAGCAGCCCCAAATCCCCATCCCAACTCCCACCCTCAAGCTATTTTAACTTCTTCCCCTCTGGCCAATGTCCCCTTGAGGCACATGGAATAACTGAATATGAGCTGCTGGATGCAACAGTACTGTCGTGGCAACAGCCCCCGCACTAACAGTAGTAGCAATCACCACACAGCAAATACTTGACTGCTTAGGCATGCCAGGCACTGTGCTAAATACTCACTTGGATTATTTCTCAGGCCATCCCCTCAACCACCATTAGTCTCAGTTTGCAGATGAAAGGCTCAAGTTCAGCAAAGAGAATTGCCCAAGGTCACACACAGAGCAAGTGAAGGGCGTGGCCAGGATGAGGACCCAGACCAAGGTTTTTCATTTGCCATCAGAAGCCCTGAACTCGGCCGGGTGCAGTGGCTCACACCTGTAATCCCAGCACTTTGGGAGGCCGAGGCAGGCGGATCATGACGTCAGGAGATTGAGACCATCCTGGCTAACACGGTGAAACCCCGTCTCTACTAAAAATACAAAAAAAAAATTAGCCGGGCGTGGTGGCAGGCGCCTGTAGTCCCAGCTATTCGGGAGGCTGAGGTGAGAGAGTGGTGTGAATCCAGGAGGCGGAGCTTGCAGTGAGCCAAGATCGCACCACTGCACTCCAGTCTGGGCAACAGAGCGAGACTCCATCTCAAAAAAAAAAAAAAGAAGCCCTGAACTCATCCTCAAGGCTATGGGGCTGTCCAGGGTAACATTCCACCAAGGGGCAAGGCCCGGGCTGGGGTGAGGTGGGGAATATCTGTCCTTCATTGACCTCCCAACCTTCCCCAAATAACTAGTCTTTATGTAGTCTTCTGTTATTAATCAAATGTGCCCAACTCAACTCTGTCTACAATAGTGTTGTCAAATAGAAATACAATGCGAGCCACATATGTAATTTAAAAGTGTATAGTAGCTACATTTTATTTTATTTTATTTTTTGAGTCAGAGTCTCGTTCTCTCACCCAGGCTGGAGTGCAGTGGCACGATCTTGGCTCACTGCAGCCTCTGCCTCCCAGGTTCAAGCAATTCTCATGCCTCAGCTTCCCAAATAGCTGGGGTTACAGGTGCGCACCTCCATGCTTGGCTAATTTTTGCATTTTCAGTAGAGACAGGTTTCCCCATGTTGCCCAGGCTGGTCTCGAACTCCTGGTCTCAAGCGATCCGCCTGCCTCAGCCTCCCAAAGTGCTGGGATTACAGGTGTGAGCCATCGTGCCTGGCCTTAGTACCTACATTTTAAAAAGCACAAAGGAATGAGGGAAATTAATTTTCATAATATATTCATTTAACCCAATATATCTATCTCAACATGTAATCAATGTAAAAAATACTATAGGCCCAGCACGGTGGTTCATGCCTGTAATCCCCACACTTTGGGAGGCTGAGGTGGAAGGACCTCTTGAAACCAGGAGTTCAAGACCAGCCTGGCCAACATAGCAAGACCTTGTCTCTACAAAAAATAAAAAAATTTAGCTGGGTGAGGTGACACATTCCTAAAGTCCCAGCTACTAGCTGAGGTGGGAGGATCTCTTAAGTCCAGGAGTTCAAGGGTTGCAGTGAGCTATGATCATGCCACTCACTCCAGCCTGTGCAACAGAGTGAGAACCTGCCTCTAAAAAAAAAAATTAAAACTAAAATTAAAAAGACTATAGAGATATTTTACATTTTTTAATACATCCTCTTCTAAATCCAGTGTGTATTTTATACTTACAACACATCTTGATTCAGATGCTAAATATTCATAAGATATTTAGCTTCTCCTTGCCTTTACAATTTTTTTTTTTTTAAGATGGAGTCTCACTCTGTCGCCCAGGCTAGAGTGCAGTGGTGTGATCTCAGCTCACTGCAATCTCCACCTCCCAGGTTCCAGCAATTCTCCTGCCTCAGCCTCCTGAGTAGCTGGAATTACAGGCACGTGCACCACGCCTGGCTAATTTTTGTATTTTTAGTAGAGACGGGGGTTTCACATGCTGGCCAGGCTGGTCTCGAACTCCTGACGTCAAGTGATCTGCCCACCTCGGCCTCCCAAAGGGCTGGGATTACAGGCATGAGGCACCATGCCCAGCCGCCTTTATGATTTAAAAAAAAAAAAAAAAAGCCGGGCACGGTGGCTCACACCTGTAATCCCAGCACTTTGGGAGGCCAAGGCAGGTGGATCATGAGGTCAGGAGTTCAAGACTAGCCTGACCAATATGATGAAACCCCATCTCTACTAAAAATACAAAAATTAGCCGGGTATGGTGGTGTGCATCTGTAATCCCAGCTACTCAGGAGGCTGAGGCAGGAGAATTGCTCGAAGCCGGGAGACGGAGGTTGCAGTGAGCTGAGATCATGCCATTGCACTCCAGCCTGGGCAACAGAGCGAAAGCGAGAGTCCTTCTCAAAAAAAAAAAAAAAAAAAAAGGTATATTCTCAAATCTAAGTTTCCAAACACGCATAGTTTGTCAATAAATGAAGGGAGCATTCTTTTAAAATGTTAAATTAGTTAAAATCAAATAAAATTAAATATTAAATAAAATTTAAAATTTGGCTGGGCTTGGTGGCTCATGCCTGAAATCCTTTGGGATTACTTTGCCTGAGCTCAGGAGTTTGAGACCAGCCCAGACAACATGGCGAAACCCCATCTCTACTAAAAATACAAAAAATTAGCCAAGCATGGTGGGGCATGCCTGTAATCCCAACTATTCCAGAGGCTGAGGAAGGAGAATCGCTTGAGCCTGGGAGGCAGACGTTGCAATGATTGTGCCACTGCACTCCAGCCTGGGCGACAGAGTTCAAAAGGTCAGTTCCTTGGTGGCACTAGCCACATTTTACATGTCCACTAGCCACATGTGACTAATGGCTGCTGTATAGGGCAGCTGCAGCTCTGCAGTCAAGTCCTTGAGGGCCTGGGCTGATGACCTCCTTGGCCCTAGCCCAGAGCTAAGCCTCGAAGGTAAAGTTGACTTACCTCTGTGAGCTTACCTCTGAATAGAATGGTATCTACTCATTCAACAAAACCCTACTGAACCTAAAATTAATATTTACCTCTGGTGCCCACACAGTGATGGTGACAATGGGATCTGAGTACCCAGTGTCCTTCACTGACCCCTCAAACCTCCCCAAAATAGGAACTCCTGTAGTGTTCAGAGGATGAGGCTGTGGCTCACAGAGGTAAGTCACCTGCGCAAAGTCACCCAGCTTTGACTAGGCCTGCTGACTTGGAACCCTGAGCTCTGTCCCTAAACTTTGGCAGGGGCCTACCCCGAGGCTCAGCCTTCTAGAAGTAATAAGCCTTTGCCACTATTCTCAGGGTGCCCAAATCTCCCAGTCTTTTGGCAGAGAATGGCCCAGAATAAGAAACTCAATGAAGAGGACAAAAGGGAAGGAGAGCGGAACGGCATGGCATGGGCTGCACAGGCAGTGGTCCTGTGTGCAGGGCTTAGGCCACTGTGGCACCATCCTTAGTTCCCCCACCCACACCCAGCAGGAGGCAAAGCCAGCAAGGTCCACTGGCTGCCTGGCCTCTGGACGGGTCTCCAGGGCTAGGCACCCTGCCCTCCCCCACACCTCCCCTAAGAGCACTCACCCAGAGGCCCTTGGACTAAGGCCAGAGCCAGTGCTCACCTCCCAGGGTCACCTTAGCTGGAGGCAGGGGAAAGGGCCAGGTGGCAGCCTGCCCCCTGGGGAGGAGGGGAGGAGAGGGCCCTGGAAGCAGATTCCAGAATAGGGAAAAGGTGGCAGGTACCAGCCAGAAAAACCTGGGTGACTCCACCCCTCCCCTGGGGTGCAGCCCCCCTCCCACCAGCCCAGGAGAGTGAAACTCTCACCAGCTATTAGGTTTAACAATTAACTCTGACTGGTTTTCATTTCAGCAGGAGGTAGTTCCAACAAGAACCATCTGGGGCTAGGGGCATTTGCAAGGGGATAGAGGCTGAGAAGAGGGAGGGGCTCATGTAAAGGGAGAGAGAAGTGGCCAGTGGCCCCCTCCCCTCCTTCTTCCCATCACTCCCTGGCAATGTGGGATAGCCCTCTGTGCCAAGAAGCGATGGCATAAGTTCCATGAAATCAAGGGCAGTGCCTGGCACATAATAGGTGCTCAATAAATATTTTTCATCAACAAATTAAGGGGGGTGGGTAAAGTAGAAGAAAACAGGCCCGCTCAATGGGCAGATTGATGGAGAAGAAGTGAAAGGAAGCAAAAGATGACTTGCCCTGGGCTGAGTACCTCCTTGACCCCTTTGACCCCAGGACCTCACAAGAACTGGAATGGCTGCCACCCAGGGCATGCCAGAGACATGGCTCTGAAGTCCTCCAGCCCTGGATGCCACTCCTGACTCCATTCTTCCTAGCTCTGACCTTGGAAGCCCTGGTTTCTTCCCCTGCAATGGAGGTGATACCACTACAGTCCAGGGCTGTACAGTGCCAGGCCCACAGACGCTAGGGTGCCTGTTCTGTTCTCATACAGTCATGTCTCTTGCTGCTTGGCAACAGCCTCCTCTTCTCAAGCCACCCCCTGATTTCCCCCACATCCCAATATTCCCCTGGTTCCCACCTATGTGGCCCTTTCTCCTTTTCCGGAAGGAAAGCCTGGAATGATGACGGCTCCGGCCCACTCACATCCCACTCACCTGGGATCACGCACACACCCTAGCAACAGACTGCTCCCAGCTTAACGTTTGCTTGTCATGTACATCCTTCATGGGTTCCCTGGCCCCCTCCTCACCCTAACACAGGCCTAGGTCCATCCAGAGTGCGCACAGCCCATCCAGAGCGCGCGAGGCCAGTTCACTCGGTGTTCTTGGGTGCCATCTCCTCCTCCCAGGCCTCTGCTTCCCACCTGCATAGCGTGGCATGAGGGAGGTGGATTCAGAGATCACTTCTGCTGGTGGGCTCTGACATATAGAGATTCTGACATTTCTGGAGTCATTTCATGCTTTAACTTCAGACATCAATGTTCAAATCCCAATCTTGGCCAGATAAACAGGCAGCCCTGCAGAAGCCCGGAACTGAAGCCCACTTGCCACCATTCTTAGCACAAGCCTGGGCAGAGAGGGACAATGTCCCCCCACCTCCCTGGTCCCCACTCTCTCTGCCATAAAGCCTCACTTTTCTACCCCATCTTCCCGGCAGTCTCTCTCTTACTCTCAATGGCGGCATCATGAGTCATCACTCCCCCAAATTCTTCTTGGCAAAACAAAGCTTGAAGTTCCTGCTCCATCCGGGGTGCCGACCCTATGCCCCTTCTGCAGGGAAATTCTAACTCTGCTTCCGCTCTGCTCTTTCCCGCCTCCTTCCTGAAACTCTCCAAATATGCACCCCACTTCCCCATTCTCCACAGGGAATATGGGTCTCCTCCCAGCCTGTCATTGCCCTTCCTACTTCATGCCCTTCTGGCTCAAATGTCACCTCTAGCCTGTTGTCACCTCTACACTAATGACTCCCCCCTCAACTCACTCAGCCACATCTCTGCCAGACACTGACTTCTTGTACTAGAGTCTTACTGCCTCATTTGACCTTAAGACCCTGGAGACCAAGGAACTCCTGTTATTATTATTTTTTTGTCTCTCACCCTGGCCCCCGCAGCACAATGCTCAGAACGTAGTAGATGTTTGTTGAAACAATGGTAATAATGCCGGGGCGGTGGCTCACGCCTGTAATCCCAGCACTTTGGGAGGCCGAGGCGGGCAGATCATGAGGTCAGGAGATCGAGACCATCCTGGCTAACACGGTGAAACCCTGTCTCTACTAAAAATCCAAAAATAATTAGCCAGGCATGGTGGCGGGCGCCTGTAGTCCCAGCTACTCAGGAGGCTGAGGCAGGAGAATGGCGTGAACCCAGAAGGTGGAGCTTGTAGTGAGCTGGATCACGCCACTGCACTCCAGCCTGGGCGACAGAGTGAGACTCTGTCTCAAAAAAAAAAAAAAAAAGAAAGAAAAAGAAACAATGGTAATAACTATTAACCAAAAAATAATAACTCATAATCATTTATTAGCTATTTGTTCTTTACAATGCTTTTATCAGCATTTTACACAAAGCACTTCAGTTAATTCACCCAAGCCCCCAGTAGACTTGTCATCCCTACCTCTTTGTTTTAAACTGAGAAAATTAAGGCTCGGAGAGAGGAAGTGATCTGCTCAAGGTCACACAGCCCAGAAATGGCAGAATCAAGATCGGAATTTAAGTTCTTATTGCCCTACTTGGCCTCCCTCCAATCCACAAATAGAGGGAGGGGCCCTGTGAGAAACCATGGCCTGCCAGTGACATGGGCCATAGGGGCTGTAAAGAGGCCAGCTCAGCCCAGAGCTGGAGGCAGATTCTGCAAACTTAGTAAGCCTCAATTAAGAACTTGTTCTGTGCACAGCCCCATGCTAGGTGCTGGGAAGCAAAGAATAAGACATAAGGCATCCCAGTGCTCACAACCCGGTGAAAGCCACCTCCCTGGATAAAGCTAAGACCAAAAAGAACTCATCCCCCAGAGGGGAACAGATAAGGTACTAAGGGAGTGCAGAGGAGTTAAAGACAAATTTCATCTTGGAGTGAGGGGGAGGGCTTACAAGGCTTTGTAGGACATAGGCTGGCATCTGAGCTGAGCCTTGAAAAGGCAGACAGGATTTCAACAGTGATTGGGGAATGGAGGGGGTGGCATTCTTGGCAGGGAGGAACAGAGGGAGCTAGGGCAAAGACATAGGAAGCACTGGGTGTGTCCCAGGAGCCTCAGGAAATTAGTTTTCGCAGCCCTCCCCTTGGCACTGACCCACATGTCCAGCTCTGAACAGAGGTCACCTTGAGCTTCCCCAGATTCACAGGCACCTTGCTCAATTATGGTGAGTGGGGACGGAAAGGGAGAAAGGACTTGAGCATTTGGGCATGTGGTCAGACAGAAGGGACTCAAGGGGCCAGAATGCAGGCTGTGTCCAGAATCTCTGAAGATGGAAGATGCAAAAGTGGGAGGTCCCCCCAGTGGTGGGTGAAGCCAGGGAGGAGCAAGGAAAAGGACAAAGAACTTGGACTGGGCAGCAGGAGACCTGACTTCCAGAACCACAGATCAAAGCTGCATGGAAACTTGGGATTATCCTGTCCAACCCCCATTTTACAGCTAGGAAAACTGAGGCCCAGACAGAGGGACAGGTCTACAGTCCCTGACCACCTTCACAGCAAAGCCAGTAATGTGCTGAGAGGCATGAGAGACCAGCCCTCTCCACCCAGCTCTGCCATTGGCTCCCTGGTGACCTTTCTCTAGACGTTAGGCTCCAACTGCGCAAAACAACCCTGAAGACAGCAGTTCTAAAGTTGTATGGGTTGTGACTCCAAGACAGACGGTGCCTGTGGATCCTCTCCTAGGGACAATGCACACTCTTAACATTGTGCATGCCATATTTCAGAAGTTCATGAACATCTGAGGCCAGCCTTCTACAAGGGCAATCTGAGAACCATCTGTGTCCCAATCATCTCGATGGGGAGACTGTTACAGCAGGCTGCTTCCGGGGCCCTACCTCGGATCTGACGCCCACCCCCCACCCCGCCCATGGAGCAGCTGGGTTTGAATCTCTTGGGTGAGGTCTGGAAAAAGAGTGCTGGGTTTTTTTGTTTTTTTTGTTTTGTTTTGTTTTGTTTTGTTTTGTTTTTTGAGACAGAGTCTCACTCTGTCACACAGGCTGGAGTGCAATGGTGTGATCTCAGCTCACTGCAACCTCCGCCTCCCAGGTTCAAGCGATTCTCCTGCCTCATCTTCCCTAGTAGCTGGGATTACAGGTGCATGCAGCCATGCCCAGCTAATTTTTGTATTTTTAGTAGAGACAGGGTTTCACCATGTCAGGCTGGTCTCGAACCCCTGACCTCAGGTGATCCACCTGCCTCAGCCTCCCAAAGTGCTGGGATTACAGGCATGAGCCATGGCACACAGGTTTTGTTTTGTTTTATTTTGCTTTTTAGCATGCTCACCTTTGTTGCTCTTAGGGGGAAACAAAGTTTGAGAGGCCCAGCCTTAGGGAACCCTAGGAGGGAGGGGAATGGGGTGGGGTGCTAAGCTGCTCCCCCTTTTAGGTGTTTCACAAATTGAACTTCTGCTCCCTTGCCTATGAAGAGTGGCTCTGTGGATAGAAGTTTCAAAGCCACCACTCCTTCACCAAGGTCCCTTCTGACTGAGCCACCTGCTCAGGCAGGCAGGTGGCTGGGCTGAGCCAGGCTGACCAACATAATGGTCTCGGTTGGGGTGGGTGGAGGCTCAACAAGCTGACTGCAGCTGCCCAGATTCCTGAGTGACAGTCTGAGACCAGCAGCCCTGACTGGGAGGGAGTCTGGACTCCCGGGCTGCACATGGGGTGAGAGCAGGTTTCCTATTCCTCCCTCTCTCCAGGCCACCTCCCTCTGGCCCTCAGGCCAGCTCCTTTTTTTCTTCTGGTGGATATGTACCTCTGAACCTGGGTCTCCTGGCTCCGGTCTCTGCCTCCCTCCCCACTTCTTCCAGAGTTCCACCCGTCACTGAGCCTGCAGCATATCCAAGCTCCCAAGCAGTCTTGTGAGGAGACAAAAGTAATGCTCTTTGCAAATGATATGCTTCTTTAAGTGGAAGACTCGATTCAATGAAAAATTGAGGTGGCCAGAGACAAAACAATAACTAGGAAAAAAGGCAAGTACCTTCAGATGGGCCCTGTCACCACCCCCCATACCGATGCAGTGTCTCTCCTACAGGTGGGCAGCTGCCTAGAACCAGATGGGCTCAGAGCCTTGGCGGGCCCCAAGGCTGATGCTGTAGAAAGGCCAGTCCCGGAGGTGCTGCCAGAGTGCAGGCCTGGGAGGGAAGATTCCTCGATTGGAAGCCCTTCTTTCAGAGTCAAGAATTTGTTCTCTGAATTTGAGCAAATGCATGCCCCTCTGTGGACACCTAAATGCTCCCGCAGGCTCTGTCACAGGCCATATAGGAAAGACTCAAGAGTACCGGTGGGCTTCGGACAGATCTAGATTGAAATCCCAGCTGTGCCACTTGCTGGCTGAGGACTGCGTAGGCCTTGGGCAAGTTATTTAGCCTCCTGTAATACGACGGGGATCATCATCTCTGCCTCACTTGGTAGTTGTAAGGATTAAAAGACATAAGGCATGTAAAGCGCTTAGCACAGGGCCTGGCACACAGTAAGCCAATAAACATAAGCAGTTGATTATAAGTCACCAGAGTGAGCCTCTTATGAGGAAGACTCTAGACTTTCTAATTCTAGGTGGCCTCAAGCAAACCCAAAACCACCCACCTGAAGTGGGCCTGGAGACTCTATCTTTAGACCTCTAATCTGGGGACAAGGTGGGGAGAGGGAAGGGGAGAAAGCAGACAGAAGGGAGAGAGCAAACTGAGAAGAGGAGGGAGGAAAGGAAAGAAGAATCAAGGGGCCAAGGAGGGGCCTGGCTTCCCCAGTGTGGGGGGAAAGGAAGATGACTTGCCAGAAACTACCAGGACAGTATAAGCCCTCTCTCTTTCCCAGAGCTTTCCCTAGACCCACCAAGGCAAGGCTTAGAGGGACAGGACCTGCTGAGAAATGCCACCCTGGCTGTCAACAGGGACACTGAAGCCTTGGGTTACATCTAGACTCCAGAGCCCCGCATGGTGGCCCTCCCACCAGAGTAGGCAGAGATGGCCATAGCCAGAGTGATAACAGAACAACCGGCCCATTCAGCCTGCTCACTCAGAGCCCAGGGACCCCTTTCTTGGGGTTCTAATCCTGACAGCAGGACACTCTCCTGTTGCATCCTCACCTCTGGAACATATGCAGAGCCCACTCCAGGCCTCTATCTGCCCTGAGCTCCTGCTTCTGGGCCTAAAGTTGCAACTAGGGAAAAAGCACTGTTCAGACTGAAGACAGGAGCCACAGATAAGGTGTTCCAATTACCACTGACCAGCTGTGTGACTTTGCGGGTGTCACTTTTTCTCCCTGAGCATGTTTCCCTCCTCAGGCTAATAAGGGCAACGGCAAGGACCATCTCTAAGGTCCTCCCAACTCAGACAGAGGCGACACTTCATGGGATGCCTCTGAGCACAAACAGGCAAAGAGGACCTGTCTCAGGAGAGGAGCGGGCTGGGCTGGGCTGGGCTCTGAGGAGAATGCAGCGGATATGACAATGGCCAAGGGTTATTATGATGATTATTATTATAATTAAAAATCACAGCTACAAGCCCTTAAGCAATTTACAAAGAGCTTTCTCATTATCTCCTGGGATCGCAATTTGGTGAAGTAGGCAGGGCTGGATGATGATTATTCACATTTGATAGATGAGGAAAGTAAAGCAAGATTAGGTGACTTGTCCAAGCTCCTAAGTGCAGAGAAGGGAGAGCTGGAAAGGAAGTAGGTATTGAGTGCCTACTGTGTACTACCTCATTAGGCATGCTCATATCTGTTATTTTGATCAAGTCTCATGACCATGACACTACTGTAGGTGCTACTGTCCCATTTCTTTGTTTTGTTTTGTTTTGTTTTTTCGAGACGGAGTCTTGCTCTGTCACCCAGGCTAGAGTGCAGTGGCACAATCTCAGCTCACTGCAATGTCCGCCTCCCAGGTTCAAGCAATTCTCCTGTCTCAGCCTCCCGAGTAGCTGGGATTACAGGTGCCCGCCACCACGCCTGGCTAATTTTTGTATTTTTAGTAGAGACAGCGTTTCACCATGTTGGCCAGGCTGGTCTCAAACTCCTGACCTCAGGAATAATCCGCCTCAGATCACTCAAATTTGAAATACAAATCTGATCAGATGATCTGCCCACCTCGGCCTCCCAAAGTGCTGGGATTACAGGCGTGAGCAACCATGCCTGGCCTACTGTCTCCATTTCATAGAGGCTCCACTGCAAAGCCTAAATTTGGATGTAGCCCTGTGGAACTAAAAGGCATGCACTCCTCCCCAACTTCCTGCATGTATTGGGTTGAACAGTGTCCCCTCCCAACCCAAATTTATGTCTACCTAAAACTTCATAATGTGACCATATTTGGAAACAGGGTCTTTGCAGATGCAATTACTCAAGTTCAAATGAGGTCATACTGGACTAGGGTGGGTTCTAAATCCCATATGACTGGTGTCCTTAGAAGAGGAAATGAAACAGAGAGAAAGCCACGTGACGACAGAGGCAGATGCAGCTGCAAGCCAAGAAATGCCAAAGATTGCTGGCAACCACCAGAAGCTAGGAGAAAGGCAGGAAACAGATTGCCCCAGAGCCTCCAGAAGGAGCCAACCTTGCTGACACCTGGATTTCAGACTTCTAGCCTCCACAAGTGGGGGAGTAAATGTCTGTGGTTCAAAGCTACCTGGTTTGCGTGCTTCATGACAGCACCCCTAGGAAGTTAATACACTGTGCATCCTTTGAGTAGCAGACCTAGGACCCTCAAACTCTGTTTTTCAGATTCCCACTCATTAGGCAGCTTTAGAGGTTAAAGAGGACCCAGAGGCTCCTCATGAGAAGTCACTCTCACCTCTCCTGCACCTTCCAGGGCCAGGCTGTCGTGAAACCAGGCTGAAGACAGGCTTACAGAGGAAAAAGCTTCCTAGAACAGCCTGTTCTAGGTATCTATCCACCCCAGTGGGGCCTCCCATTGAGCTTGTTTAGCAGCCTCTGTGCCCAGGTCTCCAGGTCAACAGTCCTTCCCTTCCTCCCAGACCAACCATCCTCTGTCACCACCTGGAGAGCTGTGTTTTTGAAATGCAAATCTGATCCTTCCTGGTTGGCTTACTCCTCTTCCCCAGCTCCCTGCCGTCTGCAGGACTTGCTCAGGCTCTTTGGCCTGCACCAGATCTGTCCCTAATCTTCCTCTCAGCTTTATCTCCAGTCATTCACTCCTCCACCCTCATCCCTGCCACTCACCACCTCCTATTCCAACCATGTGGAACTATTTGGGGTTCCCCTAAGAAGCCGTTCTGCCTTTGCACATGCTATTTCAAATACCCAGACGGTAAAATCCAGCCCAAACACCATCTCTGTCCTCCAGGAAGCCTTTTCCTCCATAAACAGCCACACCCTGGCAGCTTGTACATTGTCCTTGCGGTGGTATTGCATCTTTACATGTCTGCTCCCACCCCCAACCTGTGAATACTGCTGGATTCATTTCTGTTTTTGTAGGCCTAGGGCCCAATACAAAGGCCTTCAAGAATGTTGAGCTGAATTGTGGAGTAGCAATAATGGTCATAATAGTTGACATTTATCAAATGTTTCTTATGCACTCACATTATGCTAAGCATTCCAAGGATGTTATCTCATTTAATTATCAAAACAATCCTGTGAAACAGATACTAGTACTGGTCCTGTTTTACAAGTAAGGAAATGAGGAAATGGAATCACTTGCCCTAGTCCCCCCAGCTAGTACATGGCAAGCCCCGAATGACTGTAGAGCCAGTGCTAGTAACCACTACTAAGTGTGCCACCCATCCCAATACCTTCATTTTACAGAGATGGACACGTGCCAAAAGGGGAAAGTGATTGGCCCTCAGTCACATAACAAGGCATGGACGCAGATATTTGGATTCCTCTTTCAATACTTTTCCTCTTCTCATTCCAGTACAAACCTAATCCAGGAAGACACAGAACCCAAGCTAGGCTGTGTCTCCTGAGGAGCCTCCTCCTGCCTCCACTAGAGCAGAGCCCAGCATGGGCCTGGACCCACGGTGAGTGCTCAAATCTACAGCCAGGAGATGGGAGATGCAGCATTGAAAAAGACAGGTAAATCAACTTGAGAAAAGGCTGAAGCCTGCTTGGATTACACATTGTCAGGGCTTGAAACGAAACTTTGGGTATCATTTAGTGCCATCTGCCATTTTATAAATTAACTCAGTTTGACAAGCTTATTGAACACAAATCATAAGTCAGGCACTGTGTGGGACACTAAGAAGATTAGTAAGCAAGTTCCTGCCCACATGGCATTTACAGTCTAGTAAAGGGACAAACAACAATTACAAATTCTCACAAGCCCTGTGAGACACAGAGAGCTCTAAGAATGTGTAACAGGGAAAATTGACTTGGCCTAGAGAGTTGGCAAAGGCCCCCCTGAGAAAGTGACTATTGAGCTGAAACATGAAGAGTGGGAGTTAATCAAGATAAGAAGCAGGGGAAGAGTGTGCTAGACAAAGGGAACAGGATGTGCAAAATCCCAGAAGCAAAAGAGCTCATGGTGCCTAGATGAACTAAAAGGCCAAAGTGGCTGTTGTCCAGAGAAGTGGGCAGGAACTGGATCCTGAAGGGCCTTAGAGATCAAAGTAAGAATTGGAGAAACTGAGCAGATCAGGGAAACCCCTCGCTCAGAACCTGGTCCACAGCACACTGTCAAAGAGTCATTGCATTAGTCACTGAAGGAGAGACTTGTCCAAGATCATAAGACCTGGGACTTGAAAGCAGAATTCCTACCTACCAGGTGGGGCCTGAGTGCTATTTCAGGCACCTGTGTGAGGGACAGGGGAGGCTTTCCAAGTGTTTCAATTAATAGATGTTTCCTGGCTCCCTGTCTCCACCTCTCTTGAGCTCCAGAGTAAATAAGAATTACCTGTGTTTGTTAAAACATAGATTGCTGGGCCACACCTCCAGAGTTATCAATTCCTAGGTCTGGCGTGAGAACCAAGAAATTGCATTTCTTTTTTTTTTTTTTCCCTGAGATGGAGTCTCGCTCTGTCACCCAGGCTGGTGCGCAGTGATGCAATCTCAGCTCACTGCAACCTCCGCCTCCTGGGTTCAAGCGATTCTCCTGCCTCAGCCTCCTTAGTAGCTGGGATTACAGGCGCGTGCCACCATGCCCGGCTAAATTTTGTATTTTTACCATATTGGCCAGGCTGCTCTCGAACTCCTGACCTCAGGTGATCCATTCGCCTCGCCTCCCAAAGTGCTGGGATTACAGGCGTGAGCCACCACGCCCTGCCAATAAATTGCATTTCTAACAAACTCCCAGGTAACCCTGCTGCTGTTGGTGAGGTGAAAAAACCACAGCTCTAGACTAGAGTATATTGGTGGGGAGATTAGTAGTGAGGACCATGGCCAGGATCTCTGGGGACTAGAAGGGTGGATTCCTGAACCTGGGTAACAACGAGACAAACTCTAGCAATCTGAGCAAGGGAAGGGTCATCAAAGTCCCAAAATCTAGCCCACTAGCTGCCTAGCCAGGTAAACCAAGGCTTAGGGAGTTTAGACCCTTTCACATAAAGAAGCTTAATAAAAAGTGTTGGGTGAAGAGATAAACACATGAAGGGGTTGGCTAAAGTCAAAAGAAGATCCCAGGCTGGGCGCAGCGGCTCATGCCTGTAATCCCAGCACTTTGGGAGGCGGAGGCAGGCAGATCCCTTGAGGTCAGGAGTTTGAGACCAGCCTGACCAACATGGTGAAACCCTGTCTCTACTAAAAATACAAAAATTAGGCCGAGCACGGTGGCTCATGCCTGTAATCCCAGCACTTTGGGAGGCCGAGGCGGGTGGATCACCTGAGGTCAGGAGTTCAAAGCCTGCTTGGCCAACATGGCAAAACCCTGTCCCTACTAAAAATACAAAAATTAGTCGGGCGTGGTGGTGGGTGCCTGTAATCCCAGCTACTTGGGAGGCTGAGGAAGAAGAATTGCTTGAACCCAGGAGGAGGAGGTTGCAGTGAGCCGAGATCATGCCATTGCACTCCAGCCTAGGCGACAAGAGTGAAACTCTGTCTCAAAAAAGAAAAAAAAAAAAATTAGCTGGGCGTGGTGGCTCATTCCTATAGTCCCAGCTATTGAGGAGGCTGAGGCGGGAGAATCACTTGAACCCAGGAGGCGGAGGCTGCAGTGAGCTGAGATCGTGACACTGCCTACACTCCAGTCTCGGTGACAGAACAAGGCAAAAGATCTCTGGCCCAGACTCCAGAGCTCATGAACTCCAGGCCAGCTTTTCCCATGTCCCGGGATTCTGGGATTCAAGGAGGGGACAGAAAGCTCAGCTTTCCCCAGCCTCTGCTGCTTTTGGCAGGGAAACATTTTTAAGAATTGCAGAAATCTGCTGCTGGCCCCCAATCCTATCACCCATCCACCTTCCTTCCTTTTACACTCCCAGCTCCCTCCCTTTGCACTCCAAATCCTGTGTCCTGTATCTTGGCAAGCCAAGCAGCAAAGGGGGATGTGACGTTACGGGGAAGAACTGGAACTAATGGAAGAATTCTTGCACTTGGATATCCTTCTCTCTGAACAATTTCTTCCTCCTATAAGACTCTACTTCTCTCTACCCTTGTATCACAGTCAAAATCCAACCTACCTACATTTCAGTACCGGTATCTGAAACCCACAAAGCCACAGACTAAATTCCCAAACTTCCTTTTCACGCAGTTTTTCAAAAATGGCGTGGCCCGGTACAGAATGTTTCTCTTCTATTCCATTTGGCAGCAAAATGCCACTTCTCTGCAAACCCACATGCACAGACTAATATACAAACAACTACACATACATAAAAACAAATATACCAGAACCTATAAAAACACACACACATATACATCAAGAGATACATTTTCACTGTTCACTATACACCCAAATGTACAAGAAGTACACAGGGAGGACACATGCACACAGACTACAGATCTAGAAATGCCTGTATGCACCAGTACTTGGAGAAAGGGGTATGGACATACCCAGAGACATCTCTTTCAAAGTAGAGAGGTCTCCTGAGGAGGGATTCCCTGGAGTGAGGAGCTGGCCCTTTAAGAGAGTGGTTCTCCCTCCTAGTCCTTTTCAGGGCACCTGAGCTTCTACCCACCTACCTTCCCACCCACCCAGAGCCCTGCACGGGTGAGACTGGCACAGGCTAGGTCTGGTGGGGGGCTGGGGGGAGGCCGGAGGGGACATGTCCCCTGGCCACAACAGGAAATGAATCCCTGAACCGGCTGGTCACCAGCCTGGAAACTGCTGTTGCTACCACCACCACCCCGCACCCACACCCACATCCACACACGCGCGCGCACGCATACACATACACACACACACACACGCACGCACGCACGCACACGGGCTTCAAGCAGGACACGCCCTCCTCTCCAGCTCAGGTCAGAACGCGGGCTCTGCTGTCAGCCCAGTTCCCCCGACCCCCGGGGTGTGGCCGCCCACCTGCCAGCAGGGAGTCTCTGCCCGACGGGGAAGGGACACCCCCGCCGCCGCCACCCACCGCCCAGGCCAGGTGCCCAGCTCCCAGCGGCGGCGGCGCCTGGACCGCCGCCCCCACCGCTTCCTCCCGGCAGTGCGAAGACAAAGCCGCGCACACGCACACGGGGGCTACGCGGGAGCACACCCGCACTCACACGCGCACACACGGGAGTTACACTGGCGCGCACACAGCGACGCGCGCGCACACACACACCCACACCCGCCACAGGCTGCAGCCACAAGCGAAGCCACTGGCACACGCCCTCACCCAGAGGTGTACACACTGCTACACATTCGGACACACCCTCTCACAGATACATTCACCGACAGACACACGCAGACACACGCACCCTCACCCAGATACGCACGCACCACTCGCGAAGACACGCAAGGCACACACCCTCACACACGCACACACAGATGCACACCCGGCGCACACACGCACGCGCGCGCACACCGAGCAGCCGCTCGCACGGATCCACGGGCACACGCGCGCTCACACCTAACACACACCCAGAGACTGGAGCCCCGACACACAAACCCGCGACAGTCCCCACACACACGAACCGAAGCCCGCGGCTCCTGGAGCCGGCCCGCCGGCCTGTCAGTGCCCAAAGATCGGGAATCGAGCCCGCCGCCCTCGGCGGCCACCCCACACGCACACGCGGGACCCGACGCGGCGGGGTCCCCGGGACGCGGAGGGGGACGGCGGGTGCGGCTAACCTGGCGGCGGCGGCGCGGCTTCCGGGAGCTGTCTGGCTCGCGGTCCTGGTGTCCGGCGGCTGCCCCGGCGGGCTCCGAGGCGCGCTAGAGCTGCGCAGAAATGCCCCGCTCTCTCGCGCGCTCGCTCCTGCTCTCCCTCCCACGGCGCTCAGCCCCCTCCTCGCCCGCCCCCCACACCCCCTCTCGCCGCTCCGCCCCGCCCCGGCCGGCTCCCCCGGAGGAGGCGGCGGCGATCCCGGCCCCCCAAGCAGCAGCGGGCGGGCGAACGAGCAAGCAGCGGCGGCGAGCAGCCAACACCAGGGGAGCGCCGGAGCCGCCGGAGCCGCCGGAGCTGGGGCCGCGCGCCGGTCCCGGGGAGGGGAGCAGAGGAAGGGGCTGAGCCCCGCGAACCCTCCCGGCGCTGGGGACCCGCCGCCGGCTTCCCCACGTGGGCCCGGCGTCAACCTGAGCTGCGGCGGGCTCAGAGGCCGGGCGAAGAAGAGGAGCAGACCCCACCCGGGGCCCCCACGTCCTCCCGGGTTCCCGCCAGCGCCGACCTCGATTTTCCCTAGCTTAGACTTCTCGGCTCTGTGCCCGGTGCCCCGGGGTAACCCCGCGGCCCCGCGCCCAGCTCGCCGACCTCGTCTACCTCCAGCCAGGACCTGGCCCACGCCCACCCTTTTCCACGCCGCGCTCCCATTGTTCCCGCGGCCAGGGCTCGCGGAGGATAGCCCAGTGCGTTCCAGCCCCTCGCAGGTGGCAACCTCTGGACTCTCTGGGGACTCTCCAAGGGCTGAGTCCCTGGCTCTGGGATCCCGACGCCCACCCTCCACAAGCCCAAACACCCCCAAAGTAATGGGCTTTTCTAAATTAGGGTTATAACCACCACGGCCCGTATAGGCGCTCCTTTAGGTCCTTCTTGGAGTACACACTGAGGCTAGGAGAGAGGAGGAACTAACCCGTGTTCAGCGAGCCCAAGATAGCATCTGAAAGAAGATGGGGCAGGGATGAAGTGTCTGCCTTCTATAGATAAAGAAAGGAATTCCTGCCCTAGGGCTCCTGGGGCAGGGCCAGGCCCTCCAGAAGTGCCCGGAATAATGAGCCTGAGCCTCCTTTGTTAGATGCTAAAGGAAGAAACAGGGAAGATGCAAATGTCATTCACTTGCCAGGGTTTTACTGGAAGTCAAGACATGCAAAGGCCTGCTAAGTAGCTTTCACCTACTTGTCTCACTTAAGTGGCAGCTGGGATTATCCCCATTTTGCAGATCAGGAGCCTATCCTAGGTCTCCCCTCCAGGCAGCACAGAGCCAAGATGAAGCCCAACAATTCTGGTTCTTCACTGTGGTCCATGCCTCAGGTATAGGATACTAAGAGCAGGTGCAAAGTGAGCAGCTGAGAACATAAGAAAGCAGGAAGGAGAGGCAGGGCTTGGGCCTCCAAGGACTTACACAAACTAAGGGAGGGCAAAACTAAGGAACTGAGGCCCCAAAGCAGGACTGAACATGGCTTGTCCAGGAAGGAAGATTATGATTAACAATAAGAACTGATAATAACTCACCGGTTAGGAACACTTACTATATTTATTGTTCTAAGATCTTTATTTGCATTAATTCGTTTAATTCTCACAATAACATTAGAGGTTATTCTTATTCCCACATTATGCATGCTGAAACAGAAACACAAAGACATCACATAGCTTCTAAAGTGGCAGAGCTAGGATCCAAACTTGGGAAGCTGACTCCCAAGCTTCCGTTTTTTTTTTTTTTCTTTTTGAGAGAGACTTTCACTCTGTCACCCAGGCTGTAGTGCAGTGGTACGATCTTGGCTCACTGCAACCTCCACCTCCTGGGTTCAAGTGATTCTCCTGCCTCAGCCTCCTGAGTAGCTGGGATTACAGGTGTATGCCACCACATCCAGCTAATTTTTGTATTTTTAGTACAGACAGGGTTTCACCATGTTGGCCAGGCTGGTCTCAAACTCTTGGACTCAAGTGATCCGCCTGCCTCGGCCTCCCAAAGCACTGGGATTACAGGTGTGTGCCACCGTGCCCAGCCCCAAGCTTCCACTTTTAACAACCACAAAACAGACAGAAGAGGCAGCCTTGAATGGGAAGCAAAGACATTTGAACTACTAGAGCACCCAACTCAGCAGGACTCTTTTTTTTTTTTAATTGATGTCTTCTGACTTCCTTGTAGGTACCTGGTACCCAGCACAGCACCTAGGATATAGGCCTAATTTGTTAAATGACTGCACAACTGCCGCATGGGACTGGAGAGCAGGGTGTCACATAGAGGGCTCGATTGCAAGCCTCTCTGTTCTGCTGGGTATTTTTATCAGTTGGTTTTAGATGAAGCAGAGGAAGGTATGAAACGTTGATCAAATCTACTGTTGTCATGAGGTTGGGAGGGAAAATGAAGACTCCGGAAACCAGAATCAGTTTCTTAAAGCTCTCAGCAGTTTTGGAGGCTGAGCTGGAACTCTCAAGATGACGTGCCTCAGATTGTAAGTATAAACTCCTGCTCTTAGGTCCAAACCAGAGCAGTCCCACAGAACTTTCCATGATGATGGAAATGTCCTGAATCTTTGCTGTCTGATACAGTGGCTACTAGCCCTCTGTGGCTATTGAGCACTTGAAGCGTGGCTAGTCCAACTGAGGAAATGCAAAATAATAATTGTATTTAATTTTAAGTACTTTAAATTTGAATGGCCACAATGGCTGCCATATTGGACAGTGCCCTTCCAAATGAGCAAGTGCCCCAAATACAGTGTAGAAAGAATCTCAATCAACAGTAATTACAGTGAAAGTGACTTAAAGGTTTTAGTTGACCTCAAGCTCAACAATGCAACGTGCTGCCAAAAAGAAAGAAAGGAAGGGAGAAAAGGAGTAAAGAAGAGAGAGAGGGAGGGAGGGAGGGAGGAGGGAACAAAGAGAAGGAGGAAGGAGAAAGCGAAGAAAGGAAGGAGGAGAAAGTGAATATGAATATTCTATCAACGGAAACCAGAGTTGAGGCCAGGCGCAGTGTCTCATGCCTGTAATCCAAGCACTTTGGGAGGCCGAGGCAGGCGGGCAGATCACCTGAGGTCAGGAGTTTGAGATCAGCATGGCCAACATGGTGAAACCCTGTCTCTACTAAAAATACAAAATTGACCGGGCACAGTGGCTCACACCTGTAATCCCAGCACTTTGGGAGGCCGAGGCAGGCGGATCACGAGGTCAGGACTTCGAGACCAATCTGGCCAATATGGTGAATCCCTGTCTCTACTAAAGATACAAAAAAAAAAAAAAAAAAAATAGCCAGTTGTGGTGGCACGTGCCTTTAATCCCAGCTACTCAGGAGGCTGAGGCAGGAGAACTGGTTGAACCCAGGAGGTGGAGGTTGCAGTGAGCCGAGATCGTGCCATTGCATTCCAGCCTGGGCAACAGGGTGAGACTCTGTCTCAAAAAAAAAAAATACAAAATTAGCCAGGCGTGGTGGCGCACTCCTGTAATCCCAGCTACTCGGGCGGCTGAGGCAGGAGAATCCCTTGAATCCAGGAGGCGGAGGTTGCAGTGAGCCAAAATCACACCACGGCACTCCAGCATGGACAACAAGAGTGAGACCCCGTCTCAAAAAAAAAAAAAAAAAAGTTGGGCCAGCTCTGCCCTAGATGGATCACAGCTGGACCACCAAGCTCATTTGTGAGCCCCATATTCTTAGGGGGACTGGAGCATGTCTACAGGAGACCGGAACGTAGAGGACCTGGACGCCATGCTGTATGATGAATGATTTAAATAGCTTGGAGAAGGGAAAGCACAGAGTAGACATGGTGACTATCTCCACACCTCTGAAGGACTATCATACAGAAAGAGGATTTGCTTTGTTTCCTTTCGTTTAGGTCTAATCAACAAAACAAAAAATTCTGCATTAGCAAACTCCTAGGCCACCCTCTCTGAGGGAAGGATCCATATCAAATTTATATGCTGTTCTCCTCAGCACCTAGTCCATCCAGGACCTGGTTCCTATGAAACAATGACTACAGATTTGCTGCCAGAATGGATACGAAAGAATTCCATTGGCCAGGTGCTGTGGCTCACGCCTGTAATCCCAACACTTTGGAAGGTCGAGCAGGTGGATCACCTGAGGTCAGGAGTTCGAGACCAGCCTCGCCAACATGGTGAAACCCCGTCTCTACTAAAATACAAAATTAGCTGGGCGTGGTGGCACATGCCTGTAATCCCAACTATTTGGGAGGCTGAATGTCTTGAATCTGGGAGGTGGAGGTTGCAGTGAGCCAAGATCACACCACTGCGCTCCAGCCTAGGCAGCAAGAGTGAAACTCTGTCTAAAAAAAAAAAAAAACAAAAAGGGGCCAAGTGTGATGGCTCACACCTGTAATCCCAGCACTTTGGGAGGCCGAGGCAGGCAGATCACCTGAGGCCAGGAGTTTGAGACCAACCTGGCCAGCATGGTGAAACCCTGTCTCTACTAACAACACAAAAAAATTAGCCAGGCTTGGTGGCTCATGCCTGTAAGTCCCAGCTACTCGGGAGGCTGAGACATGAGAATTGCTGAACCTGGGAGGCGGAGGTTGCAGTGAGCTGAGATTGTACCACTGCACTCTAGCCTGGGCAACACAGTGAGACTCGGTCTCAAAAAAAAAAAAAAAAAAAAGAGAATTCCATCACATCACCTCCAGTGGGGGGATATCCAGGAAGACAATTTCAGCTCACTATAAAGAACTCCCTAACAGTTGGAGCTACCCAAGAATGGAATGGACCACCTTGGGAGTGATGAACTCCTTGTCAATATATGTATTCAAGGAAAGATTAAGTCTTCATTGGGAAATTGAACTAGGATCCTGGTGACCTCTCAAGTTGAAAAAATGGGCAAGTTCTATTAGGAAGGGAAAGACAAGATCAAAGCTGTGCTTCCAGACAATTATGTGACTGTATGTGTAGAAGAAATGGGTGGGGAGGGATCAGAGGCAGGCAGGACCAGTAGGAAACCACTGCAGTGGTCCAGGAGATAAAAGAATAGACTGGGGCTGGGCACGGTGATTCATGCCTGTAATCCCAGCACTTTGGGAGGCCGAGGAGGGTGGATCACAAGGTCAGGAGTTCAAGACCAGCCTGGCAAACATGGTGAAACCCTGTCTCTACTAAAAATACAAAAAAATTAGCCAGGCATGGTGGTGGGTGCCTGTAATCCCAGCCACTTGGGAGGCTGAGGCAGAGAATTGCTTGAACCCGGGAGGCGGAGGTTGCAGTGAGCCGAGATCACACCACTGCACTCCAGCCTGGGCGACAGAGCGAAACTCGTCTCAAAACAAAACAAAACAAAACAAAAAACAAAAAAAAAGAATAGACTGGGAGGCCATGGGAATGGAAAGCCAATGCAAGTGTGACTTGAAAGAGGCACTGGCACTAGGCTGGTAGTCAGGAGCTGCAGGTTCTAGTCCTGCCCCTGCCATTAACTTATTGTGTAGTCTCAGGTAAATCCCAGCCCTTGAGTAGATCCCTTCCTTTATTCAAATTTCAGAGATCCCATCTGTAAAATGCAGAATGATCTGCAATATCCTTCCTAACTCTGGATTCTGTGAATGGGAGAGAGATAATGAAGGATAACTGGGATGATGTATTAGAAAGCCTTCATACACTTCAAAGTAATAATATCATTAGTACAAGTACCATTGTTATTATTATTTCAAAGGCAGCCTCACCAGAACGTGGTGACTGGACTGGTAGGAGGGGACAGGACAGAGTCAAGTGGCCTGCATCTGTGGGTGGACAAGACACCAGGATCTCTGATCTTTTGGGAAGGTCAGCTAACCACTGTATCCCTCCCCCAAGATCTGTGAAGACAAACAGTATTCTGTGCCCTGTCACCTCATTAACTGCTTCCTCATTCCTTTGAGCCACACCTTATACTTGGCTAAAAGAAGCAACCAATTCTAAGAAAAGTTAGCCTCTGTACTCCCTCCTTTCAATGTTCAAAAATGGGTCCTCGTCTGGGACTTTCCCTATATAATAATAAGTTTCATCATCTCATATAGGAATAGCCAACATTATTGAGTACTTAGTATATGTTAGGAAATTTATTTACATAATTTTCTCACCCTGGGAGGTAGCTGTAATGGCTTATGAAGATCTATAACTTTCTCAGTCACATAGCTTATGAGAAGGATTCCAGTACAAGTCTGTGCGATTTCAAGGCTGCATTCTTAAAGATTTTTTTTTTTTTTTTTTTTTGAAATGGAGTCTTGCTCCATCACCCTGGCTGGAGTGCAGTAGCACTATCTTTGCCCACTGCAACCTCCATCTCCCGGGTTCAAGCGATTCTCATGTCTCAGCCTCCCAAGTAGCTGGGATTACAGGTGCCTGCCACCATGCCTGGCTAATTTTTGTATTTTTAGTAGAGATGGGGTTTCACCATGTTGGCCAGGCTGGTCTCGAACTCTTAACCTCAGGTGATCTGCCTGCCTCAGCCTCCCAAAGTGCTGAGATTACAGCCGTGAGCCACCCTGCCCGGCACCCTAAAGATTTTTACTATGTCTTTTTGTAGCAACTTAGGGAGGAGGGCAAGATCAGTGTTGTTGCCACTTTATAGCTGGGGAAACTGAAGCTCAGAGAAGGTAAATTCTGTCATTTGGACAAATTAGTAAAGTCTTCTATGGTGCAGTTTGGTGCTGTTTCTACTTCTCAGAGCTTCCTCCTCTGCACCTTCCAGGACCTCCCCAGTCCTCCTAGGAGTGATGAGTAGAGACTTGCCCAGACTACTTAAGGGAAGGACTTACACTTGTCCTTCTCCTGGGGAAGGGAAAGGTTCCTGAAAGGTGAAAGTTAATTTCCACCTCCCCTCCCCACCCACCAACTCACACACCCTAAACCAGGACCTTGTGGTGACCCGCGCTGAAGGCTTACAGAGTGAGTCATGCGGGGCTGACCTGTCAGAGTCACCCAAGCACAAGATACTAAGCTTAGTTTAGAGGGGTGGAAAAGTAGGCAAAGTGCTCTCATCCTCAGGAGCACAGTCCACTTGCAGCTTGTGCCCCTCACTCCTTTCATCCCAAAATACTGCAAACATTTGGGAACACTGTACAAGGGCCTTAGAGCAGAGGGAACACATGACAAATAAGAGTGAGTCCAAGGAGTTGAGATTGGAGTGGAGCCTTAAAGAGTGAATTCAGCACACAAATTAGGTAGAAGGGCCCTCCAGGCTGCAGGAATGCCCTAAAGCTTAAATATATTTGGATTCCATCTAACAGGCAGTAGGGAGCCATGGAGTTCACTATGGCTTTGGAGACTGTCTGAGTTTGAATCTGCCTCTGTCCCTTCCCAGTGGTTTGATCTTGGGAAAGTTACTCAACCCCTGTGGTTGACGTATTATTTTTCTCCATTATTTGCCCTTCCCTTGGCCAGTAAGAGAATTATCCATCCTAGCCAGTTGCCATGTGACTTGTGTACCTTCCAGAGGAAGGAGTGCACTTCCCCAGCCCATTGTCAAGCTTAACCACATGACTTCCTTTGGCCAATGAAATGTGAGCTAGAGAGATACATGCCAGTTCGAAGCAGAAACTTGGAGTGCCATTGCATGTTTGAGTCTGAAATCTTACTTTTTTATCTCTGCCACTGGAAATGTTGTGTCTTGGATAGGGCCTGCACCTTCAGCCTGGACCCTGGAATGAAAAGACACAGAGCAAAGCTGCAGTGAATCTACAGCTGTGATGTGTAATGTGATGAAGAAAGCAATTGGCTTTTTGTAAGTCACTGAGAGTTTGGGGTTGTTTGTTATCACGTCATACTTAGCAAATGCTGACTGGCACACCTCTCAACAGTAGGTGATTTTAGTAGCATCTACCTCACGGCACTGCTGTGAGGATTAAATAAGATTATCTCATGAAAAATGTCTAACCATTTCATCAGAGATTTATATTATAAAATGACCACTCTGCCCACACATAAATGGACACTGGATAAACAACAGAAATAGAATTTGCAAAAGAGTAGCAAAAGATGATGCTATATAGTGGGCTGAATAGTGTACCCCGCAAAATTCATGTCCCCTCAGAACCTCAGAATATTAACTTATTTGGAAATGGGGTCTTTCCAGATGTAATTAGCTCAAGATTTTAAGAATAACTCATCCTGGATTTAGGGTGGGCCCTAAATCCAATGACTGGTGTCGTTATAAGAAGAGGAGAAGACACAGGGAAACAGAATATAAAACGATGTGAAGATGGAGAGAAAGATTAGTGATGTGTCCACAAGCCAAGGATTGCTGGCAACCGCCAGAGGCTAAGAGAGAGGCATGGGAGGTTTTCTCCCTCAGAATCTTCAGAAGGAACCAGTGCTGCTGACACCTTAATTTCAGACTTCTGGCCTTCTGAACTGTGAGAAAATAAATTTCTGTTGTTTTAAGCCACCCAGCTTGTGGTAATTTGTTATGACAGCTCTGGGAAACTAATACAGATGGATTGTTTTAAAATAACACTGAACAACTTGTTAATCATTTGGAAAAAAAATAAAATGGCTTCCTACCTTGTAGCATACATTAAAATAACCCCCGGTTAGATTAAAGACCTGAATTTGAAAAGCAAAACTTTATGATCTTTAGAAACTAAAGAAAATCATCTTCAGGACCTCAGGGTAGGGAAATAGTTCCTTAACAAGACGCAGTCACAAATTGTATTACTCTGAGTTCTCCAGAAAAACAGAAGTGTTACTGGAAAGGGGTCTGGATCCAGACCCTAAGAGAGGGTTCTTGGATGTTGCACAAGAAAGAATTCAGGGCAAGTCCATAGGGTAAAGTGAAAGCAAGTTGTGTTTTTGTTTGTTTGTTTTTGGAGTTGGGGGGATGGGGGGAATGGAGACTCTGTCGCCCAGGCTGGAGTGCAGTGGCGCGATCTCAGCTCACTGCAACCTCTGCCTCCCAGGCTCAAGCAATTCTCCTGCCTCAGCCTCCCAAGTAGCTGGGATTACAGGCACCCACCACCATGCCTGGCTAATTTTTGAATTTTTAGTAGAGACGGGGTTTCACCATGTTGGCCAGGCTGGTCTTGAACTCCTGACCTCAGGTCACCCGCCTCGGCCTCCCAAAGTGTTGGGATTACAGGCATAAACCACCATGCCCAGTGAAAGCAAGTTTATTAAGAAAGTAGAGGAATAAAATAATAGCTACTCCTTAGACAGAGCAACCCCCAGGGCTGCTTGTTGCCCATTTTTATGGTTATTTCTTGATTATATGCTAAACAATGGGTGGTTTACTCATGCCTCCCCTTTTAGACCATATAGGGTAACTTCCTGACATTGCCATGACATTTGTAAACTGTCATGGTGCTGGTGGGAGTGTAGCAGTGAGGACGACCAGAGGTCACTCTTGTCGCTATCTTGGTTTTCCTGGGTTTTAGCCGGCTTCTTTACTGCAACCTGTTTTATCAGCAAGGTCTTTATGACCTGTATCTTGTGCCCTCCTATCTCATCCTGTAACTTAGAATGCCTAACCAGCTAGGAATGCAGCCCAGCAGGTCTTAGCCTTATTTTACCTAGCACCTACTCAAGATGGAGTTGCTCTGGTTCAAACGCCTCTGACAGAACCAATAGAATAGAGAGAGAGTATTATAAAAAATTAGGTCATGTGGTTATAGAAGCTAAGCCCTAAGATTTGTAGTCAGCAAGCTGGAGACACAGGAGAGCCAATGGTTTAGTTCTAGTCTGAGTCCAAAGGCCTGAGAACCAAGAGAGCCAATGGTCCAGATAAAAGTCCAAAGACAGGCCGGGTGCAGTGGTTCATGCCTATAATCCTAGCACTTTGAGAGGCCAAGGCAGGCAGATCACTTGAGGTCAGGAGTTCGAGACCAGCCTGGCCAACATAGTGAAATCCCATCTCTACTAAAAATACAAAAAAATTAGCTGGGTGTGGTGGCAGGAGTCTATAATCCCAGCAACTCGGGAGGCTGAGGCAAGAGAATTGCTTTAACCCAGGAGGCGGAGGTTGCAGTGAGCCGGTATCCCACCACTGCACTCCAACGTGTGTGACAGCGAGAACCTGTCTCAAAAAAAAGTCCAAAGGCAGGAGACGACAAAAGTACCAGCATGAGCACAGTGAGACAGGGAGAAAGAATTCTCTTACTCCACCTTTTTGTTCTGTTCAGGCCTTCAATGGATTGAATGAGGCCCACCCACTTGGGAAGGGCAATCTGCTTTACTCAGTCTACAGATTCAAAAGTTAATCTCATCTACAAACACCCTCACAGACACACCCAGAATAATGTTTAACCAAATATCTGGGCATGCCATGACCCAGTCAAATTGACACATAAAATTAATCATCATACAAATCAAAAATGAAAAAACTTGATATGGTCAGCCAGATTAAATGTAGAAATTCTGTGCATCAAAAGATGTCATAAAGGGAAAAAGACAAACTACTAAATGGGAGAAAATCTCTGCAATGTTTTGGCTGGCAAAGGATGAGAATTCGAAAATATGTAAAGAATTACTAACAAATTTATATTAGGTAAATGGACAAAGGATGTGAACATTAAGCCACTGAAGAAATACAAATGGCCAATAAACATATGAAAACGCTCCACCTGACTAGTAATGGACTTGTGGCAATAGCTAACGAAGTAGAAGATGTGCAGGCCTTTGACTCGGCAATCCTACTCCTGAATATAAAACCCAGGGAAATGAACATGCACAAAAGGAAACCTGTTGGAGATGTTCTCTGAAGCATTGTTTGAAATATTGAAAAATTAGAAACAGTCTAAATGTCCACCAATAGGTAAATATACAAAATAAATTATAGTGTAGTCATATAATGAAATACTACACAGCAGTGAGTGGTAGGAATATGGATAATTCACCGGGCACAGTGGCTCACACCTGTAATCCCAGGACTTTGGGAGGCCAAGGCAGGCAGATCACTTGAGGTCGGGAGTTGGAGACCAGCCTGAACAACATGGTGAAACTCTGTCTCTACAAAAAAATACAAAAATTAGCTGGGTGTGGTGGTGGGCACCTGTAATCGCAGCTGCTCGGGAGGCTGAGGCAGGAGAATCACTTGATCCCTGGAGGCAGAGGTTGCAGTGAGCCGAGATCACACCCTGCACTCTAGCCTGGGCGACAGAGCCAGACTCTGTCTCAAAAAAAAAAAAAAAAGAATATGGATAATTCTCAAAAACATAATGTTGGTAGGAAAAAAGAATATTGCAGAGGATGCAACTTATGTGATGTATATTAAGCTTAAAAACATACAAAGCAATGCTATATATTGTTTAGGGATACTCATACATTTGTTAAAAGTTATAAAGACATGTATTACTGCTATGCTCTGAATGTTTGTGTGTCCCCAAGAGTCATACATTGAAACGTAATCCCAAATGTGACAGTGTTAGAAGATGAGGCCTTTAGGAGATGATTGGGTACCCTCATGAATGGGATTACTGCCCTTATAAAAGAGACCTAAGAGAGCTAGCTGGTCCCTTCCACCATGTGAGGTCACCGTAAAAACGTGAAGTCTGTGAGAAAGTAGGCCCTCACCCCATTGATCTTGGCCTTCCCAACCTCCAGAACTGTGAAAAATAAGTTTCTGTTGCGTATAAGATACTCAGTCTAAAGTATTTCGTGATAGCAGCCCAAATAAATGAAGACAATTGCCATGATAAACACCAACTTCACGGTAGTGGCCACTTCTGGGTAGAGAGGGAGGGGAATGGGATGGAAGAACAGTACATAGGAAATTGCAATGGTATTTGTAACAGTTTTTTTCTGGAATTAGGTAGTATGTACATGGGTGCCTACTATCATATACTGTACTTTTTCTTGAGATATAATTAACATATAAAATTAATCATTTTAAAGTGTGCAATTTAGTTGGTTTTTAGTATATCCACAAAGTTGTGAAACCATCACCACTCTCTAATTCCAGAACATTTCATCACCCCCAAAAAGAAATCCCATGCCTATTGAAACTGCCTTTGCAAAATTATGACTGAGACAGTGAAAGAGATCTAACTTAATCGACTCTACATGCTTCTAACCTCCAAGCTGTCCTTGTTCATTCCTAGGCATAGACTGAACTAACTTTGGGAGAAACTTAGTTTATAGTTTTTATAGGTTTTTTTTGTTTTTGTTTTGATACGGAGTCTCACTCTGTCACCCAGGCTGGGGTTCAATGGCATGACCTCGGCTCACTGCAACCTCCACCTCCTGGGTTCAAGCGATTCTTCTGCCTCAGCCTCCTGAATAGCTGGGATTACAGGTGCCCACCACCACACCCGGTTAATTTTTGTATTTTTGGTAGAGGCAGCATTTCACCATGTTGGCCAGGCTGGTCTCAAACTCCTGACCTCAAGTGATCCACCTGCCTCAGCCTCCCAAAGTGCTGGGATTACAGGCATGAGCCACCGTGCCTGGACGTAGTTTATAGTTTAAAACAAAGACGATAACAGCCCTTTCCAAAAGCAGACCTCTTTCTTGCCTGGAGACTAGATTGCCTTCGTAGGACTAATATTAGCCATAAGATTAGAAATTAAGGTTTAGGAGTCATGCAGCTGGAGGCTACAAGATTCTGACCCTCTCTAAACTGCTCCTAAGATCAATGCTTGAGATATTTTGCAGACCTGCACTTGATGGATCAGCTGGCACCACCCAGATTGATAAACTGGCTCATCTGATCTCGTGACCCCCATCCAGGAAGTGACTCAGCTCAAGAAGACAGCTTCGACTCCCTGTGATTTCATCCCTGACCATTCAGCACTCCTGGCTCACTGGCTTCCCCCAACCCACCAAGTCGTCCTTAAAAATTCTGCTCCCCGAATGCTTGGGGAGACTGATTTGAGTAATTATAAAACTCTGGTATCCCGCACAGCCGGCTCTGCATGAATTACTCTTTCTCTATTGCAATTTCTCTGTCTTGATAAATCGGCTCTGTCTTGGCAGTGGGCAAGGTGAGCACACTGGGCAGTCACACTATTAACCGTTATTCCCCATTCCCAACTTCCTACTATCCCTTGGCAACCACTAATCTACTTTCTGTCTTGATTTATTCATATAAATGGATCATACAATATATGTTATTTTGTGATTGGTTTCCCTCATTTAGCGTAAGATTTTCAAGGTTCATCCATGTTGTAGTGTGAATCAGTGTTATTCCTTTTTATGGCTGAATAATAGTCCACTGTATGGATATACCACATTTTGTTTAGCTATTCGTCAGTGGATGGACATCTGGGTTGTTTCTACCTGCTGGCTATAAGAAATAATAACACGATAAACATTGTGTACAAGTTTTTGTGTGAACGTACATTTTCTTTCTTTTTTTTTTGAGACGAAGTCTCATTCAGTCACCCAGGCTGGAGTGCAGTGGTGCAATCTCGGCTCACATCTCAGCTCACTGCAAGCTCTGCCTCCCGAGTTCAAGTGATTCTTCTGCCTCAGCCTCCCGAGTAGCTGGGAGGCATGCACCAACACTCCTGGCTAATTTTTTTGTATTTTTAGTAGAGATGGGGTTTCACCATGTTGGCCAGGCTGGTCTCAAACTCCTGACCTCAGGTGATCCACCCACCTCGGTCTCTCAAAATGCTGGGAATACAGGCGTGAGCCACCACAGCCAGTGCCCCCCACCTCCCTTTTTTTTTTTTTTTTTTTTTTTTTTTTGAGACGGAGTTTTGCTCTTGTTGCCCAGGCTGGAGTGCAATGGCGAGATCTCAGCTCACCGCAACCTCTGCCTCCCAGGTTTAAGTGATTCTCCTGCCTCAGCCTCCCGAGTAGCTGGGATTACATGCATGTGCCACCATGCCCAGCTAATTTTATATTTTTAGTAGAGATGGGGTTTCTCCATGTTGGTCAGGCTGGTCTCAAACTCCTGACCTCAGGTGATCCGACCACTTCGGCCTCTCAAAGTGCTAGGATTACAGGCATGAGCTACCATGCCCAGCCTCCATTTTTGTTTTGTTTTGTTTTTTGTGTTTTTGTTTGTTTGTTTTGAGACAGTGTCTCACTCTGTCGCCCAGGCTAAAGTGCAGTGGCGTGATCTCTGCTCACTGCAACCTCCATCTCCCTGGTTCAAATGATTCTCCTGCCTCAGCCTCCCGAGTAGCTGGGCTTACAGGTGCCTGACACCACGCCCAGCTAATTTTTGTATTTTTAGTACAGACGGGGTTTCATCTTGTTGGCCAGGCTGGTCTCGAACTCCTGACCTCTAGTGATCTGCCCACCTTGGCTTCCCAAAGTGCTGGGATTACAGGCGTGAGCCACTGTGCCCCGCCTATGAACATACATTTTCATTTCTCTTGGATATACGCCTAGCAGTGGAATTGCTGGGTCATGTGGTAACTCTGTTTTACTTTTTGAAGAACTTCAAAGCAGCGATACTATTTGACAGTCCCCCAGCAATATATGAAGGTTCACTTTCTTCACATCCTTACTAACATTTTTTTTTGAAACGGAGTCTTGCTTTGTCACTCAGGCTGGAGTGCAGTGGCTCGATTTCTGCTCACTGCAACCTCTGCCTCCCCGGTTCAAGTGATTCTCCTGCCTCAGCCTCCTGAGTAGCTGGGATTACAGGCGCACACCACCATGCCCAGCTAATTTTAAAAATATTTTTAGTAGAGACAGGGTTTCACCATGTTGGTGAACATGATGAGAACATTTCCAGGGGAAAACCATTTCCCTTCTGGCTCCCCAACTCCCCCATCTGCTGAGAGCTAGTTCTACTCAATAAAACCTTGCACTCATTCTCCAAGCCCACATGTGATCCAGTTCTTCCAGGTACAACAAGGCAAGAAACCCCAGGATACAGAAATCCCTCTGTCCTTGTGGTAAGGAAGGGGGTTTAATTGAGCTGGTTAACACAAGCCGCCTATAGATGGCAACCTAAAAGAGCACCCTATAACACACGCCCATTGGGGCTTCAGCTGTAAACATTCACCCCTAGACACTGCTGTGGGGTCGGAGCCCCACAGCCTGCCCATCTGTATGCTCCCCTAGAGGTTTGAGCAGCAGGGCACTGAAGAAGCAAGCCACACCCCCATTGCACACCCTTCGAGGGTTCCTGTTTCACCGTCTCTACAAAAAATTTTTAAATATTAGCCAGGTGTGGTGGTGTGTGCCTGTAGTCCTAGCTACCCAGGAGGCTGAGGTGGGAGGATCACTTGTGCCTGGGAGGTTGAGGCTGCAGTGAGCTATGATCCCAACACTGTACTCTGTCTCAAACAAACAAACAAAAATAAATACAAACGTTGTATGATTCCACTCATATGAAGTATCTAGAATAGGTAAATTCGTAGAGACAGAAATTAAAATAAATAGAGGTTACCAGAGGCTGAGGGAAGGGGAAAATGGGGAATGTTGTTTAATGGGTACAGAGTGTCTGTTTGGGATGATGAAAAAGTTCTGGAAATAGGAAGTGGTGATGATTACACTACTTTGTGAATGAACTTAATGTCACTGAATTGTATACTTAAAAATAGTTAAAATGGGTGAGGTGTGGTGGCTTACGTCTGTAATCCCAGCACTTTGGGAGGCCAAGGCTGGCAGATTACCTGAGATCGGGAGTTCGAGACCAGCCTGTCCAACATGGCGAAACCCCGTCTGTACTAAAAATACAAAAATTAGCTGGGCGTGGTGGCCCGTGCCTGTAATCCCAGCTACTCGGGAGGCTGAGGCAGGAGAATCGCTTGAAACCGGGAGGCGGAGGTTGTGGTGAGCCGAGATCGCACCACTGCACTCCAGCCTGGCGACAGAGGGAGGCTCTGTCTCAAAAAAAAAATTTTTTTTAAGTTTGCCGGGTGTGGTAGCTCACACCTGTAATCCCAGCACTTTGGGAGGCCGAGGCAGGCGGATCACGAGGTCAGGAGATTGAGACCATCTTGGCTAGCACAGTGAAACCCCGTCTCTACGAAAAATACAAAAAATTAGCCGGGCGTGGTGGCGGGTGCCTGTAGTCCCAGCTACTCGGGAGGCTGAGGCAGAAGAATGGCGTGAACCCAGGAGGCAGAGCTTGCAGTGAGCCGAGATCGCGCTACTGCACTCCAGCCTGGGTAACAGAGCGAGACTCCCTCTCAAAAAATAAAAAATAAAAAAAAAGTTAAAATGGGGCCGCCACCGCAGCGCCTGCAGAACTTTCGGGCCACGTCGCCGCCTCCTGCTGCTTCGCCTCCCAGGGCCCTCCCTCTCCTCCCCACGCCCTTCACTCCCCTCCGCCTTCCCTCCTGCTAGGCGGCCGGGAAGGAAGAAGAAATTCAGTCAGGATGGCTAAAGGTGACACCAAGAAACCAAAGGGAAAGATGTCTGCTTATGCCTTCTTTGTGCAGATGTGCAGAGAAGAACATAAGAAGAAAAACCCAGAGGTCCTTGTCAATTTTGCAGAATATTCCAGGAAGTGCTCCGAGAGGTAGAAGACCATGTCTGGGAAAGAGAAGTCTAAATTCAATGAAATGGCAAAGGCGGATAAAGTACACTATGATCGGGAAATGAAGGATTATGGACCAGCTAAAGGAGGCAACAAGAAGGATCCTAATGCCCCAAAAGGCTACTGTCTGGATTCTTCCTGTTCTGTTCAGAATTCTGCCCCGAGATCAAATCCACAAACCCTGGCATCTCTATTGGAGACGTGGCAAAAGAAAAAAAAAAGTTGGGTGAAATGTGGAATAGCTTAAATGACAGTGAAAAGCAGCCTTACTTCACTAAGGCGGCAAAGCTGAAGAAGTATGAGAAGGATGTTTCTGACTATAAGGCAAAAGGAAAGTTTGATGGTGCAAATGGTCCTGCTAAAGTTGCCCAGGAAAAGGTGGAAGAGGAAGATGAAGAAGAGGAGGAGGATGAGGAGGAATAAAGAAACTGTTTATCTGTCAAAAAATAGTTAAAATGATAAATTTTATGCTATGTATATTTTATCCATAAAAAAGTAAAGCTAAAGAATTAGGGAGCCCCTGCCAACTGGGAAATAAAAATTAAGCAGAAGCTGGGCACAGTGGCTCACACCTGTAATCCCAGCACTTTGGGAGGTCAAGGCAAGAGGATCATTTGATCCCAGGAGTTAGAGACCTGCCTGGGCAGCATAGTGAGACCCCCCCCCCCCATTTCTATAATTATAGAAATAAATAAAAATGTTAAAAAATTAAGCAGAGTAAAAACAAAAACACAAACACGATAACTAACAGTTGTATTCATTTCTTAGCTTATCTAAGAATAATTGGGAGCAAATTCCTTCAGATATTCCAAGATTGCTGGATTTACTTAGGATTCATCTATACTGTGTTGCTCATGATCTTCCCACATATTCGTGATCACTTTGAGTATGGGACACTAATTGTCTTCACCTTTAGCAGAGCAAAGAGCAAATGATAGGCAAATGTTCTTGGGGGGAAAAATGGAGGAACCAAAATACCCTTTTTTGAACAGGTATAGAACTCCCATCGGATTTATGTAGCTAAGCATAGAAGGTGGAGCTCAGTTCTCTGCTTCTAGTTGAGGACAGAATCAGCAGATATTGTGACAGAAGAGAATTAGATTGGTTAAGAGGAAACCTTCCTGGGAGTCCTTTTACCACTGTAGAATGAGAGGATTGGACCAGGAATATCTAACACCTCTCTACCTCTAACAGTACATGACTCTGTTTCTTAAAAAATGAATAGGAATTCACACTGGCCGAGTGCCTGTGGCTTGTATGGCACTGTGCCAAGTGCTTTTTTAGCTTTAGCTTACTCTACTCTCACGAGCCCAGGAAATTAGTATTGCAACCCCCATTTTATATACAAGGAAATAGGCTCAGGTAACTTACATAACTTATTCAAAATACCAGAGCTAGGAAGAAGCACAACTGAGGACCAAGGCCTGGGATGTCTGACTTCAAAGTCTTATGCTCCCTCTTAGGCTATGCTACAGAGTTTTCCTTTGTGGAGATATTTGGGAAGAGGAGAGAGTTGACTCTGGGCTACGGCCTGGGCCACCTCCTGCTCAAAAGCAGGATGCCAGCTGGGCGCAGGGGCTCACACCTGTAATCCCATCACTTTGGGAGGCTGAGGAGGGAGGATCACGAGGTCAGGAGTTCGAGATCAGCCTGACCAACATAGTGAAACCCCATCTCTACTAAACATACAAAAATTAGCCAGGTATGGTGGCACACACCTGTAATCCCAGCTACTCAGGAGGCTGAGGCAGGAGAATTGCTTGAACCCGGGAGGCGGAGGTTGCAGTGAGCTGAGATCGTGCCACTGCACTCCAGCCTGGGCAACAGAACGAGACTCTGTCTCAAAAAAAAAAAAAAAGCAGGATGCCTTGGAGCTGCTTCTCCCATCGTTATGTCAGAGCCAGGGACGGGGTGCTGCTGATACTGCCACTCCCCAGAAATTGAGCTGGAAACTCTGCCCATCAATCTTCAAAGCCCTTTGCAGGTGCTTACCTGCTCTTGTAAATCACAGGACCATTCATTTCCCAGGTGAAGAGGTTGCAGCCCTAAGAGAATAAAAGAGACTTGGCCAGGAAAGGACAGCACCCCTTGACAGAGGTTTTGAATCCACTTTCATCGTTTTGAATCCACTGACCTAGAATGGGAAGAAGAACAACAACAAAAAAACCAAACCAAGTTACAACGGAAAACACATTGATGTGGGTGAAGGATCTCATGCTTAGGCTTTACCAGAGGACATGCCAGAACAATTTCCCATCAGTCCTGGTCTTCTCGCCTCCAGTCCATTCCATACCTTGGTGGCCTGATTAGTACTCCCAAAGCACAACTTCAACAAGCGCACTCTCAGTTCAAGAGACAAGTTCAAACTCCACAACTTGGTATTTGAGGCCCTCCATGGTGCACCTCTCTCTCTCTCTTTCTTTTTATTTATTTATTTATTTTGGAGACAGAGTTTCGCCCTTGTTGCCCAGGCTAGAGTGCAATGGTGCAGTCTCGCTCACTGCAACCTCTGCCTCCCAGGTTCAAGCAATTCTCCTGCCTCAGCCTCCCAAGTAGCTGGGATTACAGGCATATGCCACCACGTCTGGCTAATTTTTTGTTTTCAGTAGAGACAGGGTTTCACCATGTTAATCAGGCTGGTCTCAAACTCCCGACTTCAGGTGATCCACCCACCTTGGCCTCCCAAAGTGCTGGGATTACAGGAGTGAGTCACCACGCCCAGCCACGCCTGGCTAATTTTTTATTTTGTGTAGAGACGGGTTTTCACTGTGTTGCCCAGGTTGGTCTTAAACTCCTGGGCTCAAGCAATTCTCCCACCTCAGCCTCCCAAAGTGCTGGGATTATAGGCGTGAGCCACTGCACCTGGCCTGTAGCTCTATTTTTAACTGTTACCACTCTTGAAGAGCTCCTAATCCTTCTCACTGTTCCCTATATGTGCCTCACCTTGTTCCACTACAGCAGACCTGGCAGACATGCCAGTTCTAATTTCCCTTCTTCCAGTAATAATCCCTCCCTTTTCTTCGGAGAACTCTTTGCCCTTCACTCAGAAGATAGACAGAACCCTATACCCTCCAACAGAATGTATCTTTCAGGCCACAAGGATTAATTCAAGTAGCCAAGATGGCCCCATTATAATATTCTTTGGGACTTTTCTGCTAAAGGTAGCAGGGAAGGCTGTCTCATTCTCCTCTGATCTCCCTTTTCTGGGCCTCTCTCTGGGCACCTAGCACTTTTTACCTTTTAATATGATTATTCTTATATTCTCTGTGAGACTGTCTCAACTACTGCTTTCTCCAAATGCTCAATTTTTTTTTTTTCTTTGAGACCTAGTCTCACTCTCTTGTCCAGGCTGGAGTACAGTGGCGCAATGTTGGCTCACTGCATCTCCGCCTCCTGGATTCTAGCAAGTCTCCTGCCTCAGCCTCTCTAGTAGCTAGGATTACCAGAGCATGCCACCATGCCCAGCTAATTTTTGTATTTTTAGTGGAGACATGGTTTCGCCATGTTGGCCAGGCTGGTCTTGAACTCCTGACCTCAGGTGATCCACCCACCTCGGCCTCCCAAAGTGCTGGGATTACACATGTGTGCCATCACACCCGGCCAAAATGCTTAATTTTAACAAGCACTTACTTTCTGTCTTATATGCAGATGTTGTGTTATACTCTAGGGATACAAGTTGGATAAGACATAGTCCCTTGTTGAATGGATGGATGAATAAAAATGCTCCTCTGGGCCTCACCCAGAAATCTGCCTGATACCCACTCTAAACAAAATAAAACAACTTATCACAGGGGATTTGAACAAAGGAAAATAAAAAATATAAAGTTCAAAATCATTAACCTGGCATCCAAGACCTTCTACAATCTGATTCTAATTTTGTCTACCTACCACACTCTTAGCTCTAGCCAAACTAAAGTGTTTTGTTGTCCTAGAAAACACTATGTCTCCACTTGCATGTTCGTTTGCCCAGGCTCTGGTTTTCTCCCATGGTTTCTTTTCCTGTTTTTCTCTCCCATTTGTACCTTCCTTATTCTCCATTTCATTCCACTCTTTTTCTTTCTTTTTTTTTTTTTTTTTGAGACAGGATCTCACTTTGTCACCCAGGCTAGAGTGCAATGGTGCCATCATGGCTCACTGCAGCCTCGACCTCCTGGGCTCAAGTGATCCTCCCACCTCAGCCTCCCTAGTAGCTGGGACTACAGGCATACACCACCATGTCCCGCTAATTTTTGTATTTTTGTAGAGATGGGGTTTTGTCATGTTGCCCTGGCTGGTCTTGAACTCCTGGCCTCAAGTCATCCACCTGCCTCAGCCTCCCAAAGTACTGGGATTACAGGAATAACCACTGCACTCAACCTCTTTCCTTCACTTTTACCTCCTCTCTCTCCCCTTTTCCTTCCTTTTCACTCTCCCTGAGCTTTCTTTCAATACTTCCCTCTATCACATCCTTACCTCTTAATTTTCCTCTCTCGTTTATTTCCTGACCTCCTTCCCTCTCCACCAGACTTGCCACTGCCCTCCATGATTGTGCACAGTCTCCTCCCTTTGTGGGCAAAAGACAGTATAAGCAATTGTAAGTAAGACAGCTTTTAGATCTCATCACAAGAAGCCCTCAGAGTGGGGTGGAAAGAAGAGGGGGAGAAACGGAAGGGGAAGAGATCTTAGTGGCAGAGAAGAAGCTGCCTGGAGACTGCAGGTGAATCCATGGAAGGCATCCTGCCAGTTATTTACCTCCAACCCACCCCCAGCTTTCCTTTCCTCCTTCTGATCAAAGAATTGGGAAAAATTAGAACTGCAAAAATCCTTAACATTTATTTACTCCACCTCCACAGTTTCGCAGCTGGGAAACTGAAGCATAGAAAAGGGAAACAACTAGCTAATGTCACCCAGCAAGTCAGTAGCTCAGCAGAAATGGAATCCCAGGCTTCCTGCCCCCCAGACCAGTTAAGTGTCCTTTCACCTATACAACACTTTTTTTGAGACGGAGTCTCACTCTTGTCGCCCAGGCTGGAGTGAAATGGCGCCATCTTGGCTCACTGCAACCTCTGCCTTCCGGGTTCAAGCGATTCTCCTGCCTCAGCCTCCTGAGGAGCTGGGATTACAGGCGCCCGCCACCATGCCTGGCTAATTTTTGTATTTTTAGTAGAGATGGGGTTTCACCATGTTGGCCAGGCTGGTCTCAAACCCCTGACCTCAAGTGATCCGCTTGCCTCAGCCTCCCAAAGTGCTGGGATTACAAGCATGAGCCACCGTGCCCAGCCTATACCACACTCTTAAACCTTCTTTCCTCTTGTTCCTAGTTCTTCCCCACTTACTGAACTCCTACTCCACCAGGTTTGGGATTATGTCTAAGGATTCCCAATCCCCCCCGCTAGTGAGTATAGGGGCCAGTGAAGTAGGGACAGAAGGGACAAACCACATCACTTCTAGCCTAAATCTTAGGCGCTTATTGAGTGGTGGCAGGGGATGGTGAAATGTCAATCTTGCCTGTAAGGGGCCAGTCTCCTCTTTGGAAAGCCCTGTTATAAGTGATCTGTATTGAGTTAGGGGATGCTGTGTTTCAGCTGGCCATCCTGCCAGGACCCCTCCTCACCCTTCCAGCCTAGCAGGCTGCCTAGAGACCCTATCTTACCCCGCCAGCTGCAGACTTAAAGCAGAGGCCACCCAGGCACAGGATGGTCTGTGGCTGCGGGAGGAGGTTGCTCGAGGCAGAGGGGAGGAAACGGTTTCCAGCAGCTCCGCTTTCAGTCTGCTCCTCCACTCTACAAAGGGCCACTGTCTGAGCACAGAGGGACCCTGGAGGGAGGCTTCCCAAGGTGCTCGGCAACAGGGCCGGGTTTCATCACACTGGGCCTCCAGGCCAAGTAAACATCAGAGTAGAAACAGGCCCAGCAGTTTCTGCAGACCAGCTCCTGGCTCCAGGCGGGCTCAGTGGCATCCTCACCCAGGGCTTTCCTGAGACAATAAGGAGGGCTAAGGTTATTGGCCCAATTTTATAGCTGCAGAAATAGAGAATGAGGAATGAGCTCTATCCAAGTTAATTTCCCATTACCCAAGAAGCAGACAAACATCCTACGTCCCTCTTAAGGAGCAGGAGTTTTTTACAATAACTTTTTTTTTTTTTTGAGATGGAGTCTCACTCTGTCACCCAGGCTGGAGTGCAGTGGCACTATCTCAGCTCACTGCAACCTCTGCCTCCCAGGTTCAAGCAATTCTCCTACCTCAGCCTCCCGAGTAGCTGGGACTACAGGCATGCACCACCACCACACCCAGCTAATTTTTGTATTTTTTAAAGTAGAGATGGCATTTTGCCATGTTGGCCAGGATGGTGTCAAACTTCTGACCTCAAGTGATCCGCCTGCCTTGACATCCCAAAGTGCTGGGATTACAGGTGTAAGCCACTGCGCCCAGCCACAAGAACTTTTTTAACTAGTTCAGAGGGAGACAGCTCTGTGAGCTGAAGTAATCAGGGAAGACTTCCTGAAGGAAGTATGATTTAAGCTTAGCTTCCATGTTTAGGTAGAATCTCCACAATAAATGGACAGGAAAGAGAAAGGCATTTCAGGCAGAGAGTATGGCATTTGGAAAGCAGGAGCATTTGGAGTCAATAAAGAGAACTATCTGGCTAAGGTAGAGGATTCACATAGAAGAAAAGGGTGGCAAATAAGGCTGGAAATTTGGTTGGGAGTTAAACCACAGCTAGTTTTTTGTGGGTTTTTTTTTTGAGACAGAGCGAGACTCTGAGCTCACTGCAACCTCTGCCTCCCAGGTTCAAGCAATTTTTGTGCCCCAGCCTCCCGAGTAGCTGGGATTATAGATGTGCACTACCACACGCAGCTAATTTTTGTATTTTGAGTAGAGACAGGGTTTTACTATGTTAGTCAGGCTGGTCTCAAACTCCTGACCTCAAGTGATCTGCCCACCTCGGCCTCAGAGTGTTGGGGTTACAGGCATAAGCCACTGTGCTTGGCCTAGACCACAGCTAGTCTTAATAGCCAGGTTGAGGATTCACGGGCAGAGCAGTGATGGAATGACAGCAGAATTTTAGAAAACTTAGGATGGTGTAAAAGAGGCCCTAGATTGAACCCTGTTGATAACCTTGGACTGGTTATGGCATCTTTTGGGGGCTTAGTTTCTTCACCGTTAAAACAGTTGCACTAGAAAATCTGAAGCCCCTTTACATCTCTAAAATGCAAAGATTCTCCGATGGGGAAACATGGATCATATAGAATGAAGAAGGGAGACCGAGAGGCTAGGAGGACAGTCTGGAGGCTATGGCCAGCCTCTAGATATCTCTGGGCTGCATTTCTGCAGTGAATCATCTGCCCAGAGCTGCAGAAAGGCTATCACCACCACCGCCACCACTGCTAGGCATTGTGCTAAGTACTGCCCCCTTTTTTAAAAAATTTCATTTTTGTGAATAGAAAATGCATGCACATACTGCAAAATCTAAAAGTCATAAAAGGGTGTATGTATGGTAAAAATGTTTCCCTTCTCCTGTTTCCAGCCACCCATTTCTTCTCCCACTGTTACCAGTTCCTTGAGTATCCTTTCAGATGTACATGAGCCTGTATCTGTATAAAGATTTTATAGGCTGGGCACGGTGGCTCACTCCTGTAATCCCAGCACTCTGGGAGGCCAAGGCGGGCGGATTACCTGAGGTTGAGAGTTCGGGACTAGCCTGACCGACATGGAGAAACCCCGTCTCTATTAAAAAAATACAAAATGAGCCGGGCGTGGTGGTGCATGACTGTAATCCCAGCTGCTTGGGAGGTTGAGGCAGGAGAATCACTTGAACCCAGGGGGCAGAAGTTGTGGTGAGCCGAGTTCGCGCCATTGCACTCCAGCCTGGGGAACAAGAGTGAAACTCTGTCTCAAAAAAAAAAAAAGATTTTATAAAGATTTTTTTTTTTTTTTTTTTTTTTTTTTTTACAGAAATGAATGCATTGGCTGGGCGCAGTGGCTCATGCCTGTAATCCCAACACTTTGAGAGGCCAAGGCAGGTGGATCATCTGAGGTCAGGAGTTTGAAATCAGCCTGGCCAACATGGCAAAACTCCATCTCTGCTAAAAATACAAAATTTCGCTGTGTGCCGTGGTGCACGCCTGTAATCCCAGCTACTTGGGAGGCTGAGGCAGAATTGCTTGAACCCGGGAGGCAGAGGTTACAGTGAGCCAAGATCGTGCCACTGCACTCCATCCTGGGCAACAGAGCGAGACTCCATCTCAAAAATAAATAAATAAATAAATAGTGTGTTTATAAACAACAAATTAATGAATATCCCTTACACTTGTCTTTCAGCATATGCAGAAATATGTCCACAGGGCCGGGCACAGTGGCTCATGCCTGTAATCCCAGCACTTTGGGAGGCTGAGGCAGGTGGATCACCTGAGGTCAGGAGTTCGAGACCAGCCTGGCCAACATGGTGAAACCCCCATCTCTACTAAAAATACAAAATTAGCCGGGCGTGGTGGAGGGTGCCTGTAATCCCAGCTACTTGGGAAGCTGAAGCAGGAGAATTGCTTGAGCCCGGGAGGCAGAGGTTGCAGTGAGCCAAGCCTGTGCCATTGCACTCCAGCCTGGGTGAAAAAAGCGAAACTGTCTCAAAAAAAAAAAAAGAAAAGAAAAGAAAGAAAGAAAAGAAATATGTCCACAGGATATGTTCCTAGAGCTGAAATTGTGCGCTAACCTTTTCACGTGATGTAATATGTACAACAATGGTTTAGGGTAATCATAATTATACCAATTATGCAAATGAGAAAATTAAGGCACAGAAAGATTCAATAACTTGGTCAAAGTCACACAGCTCTTATGTAGTAGCATTGAGATTCTGATATGGACAGTGTGATACTAGAGCCAACACAATTAATTATTCCACCAGTGGTTCTCAGACTTTAGCACGACTTTGTCCTGGTTCTCAGGACATCAGCAAGACCTGGAGGCTTGTTAAAACATAGATCACTGTGCCCTACACTAAAATAGTTTCTGATTCAGTCCATCTGAGATAGGGCCCGATAATTTTTTTTTTTTTTTTTGAGATGGAGTCTCGCTCTGTCATCCAGGCTGGAGTGCAGTGGCGCAATCTCGGTTCACTGCAAGCTCCGCCTCCCAGGTTCACGCCATTCTCCTGTCTGAGTCTCCCAAGTATCTGGGACTACAGGCGCCCGCCACTACGCCTGGCTAATTTTTTTGTATTTTTAATACAGACAGGGTTTCACTGTGTTAGCCAGGATGGTCTCGATCTCCTGACCTGAGAATTTGTATTTTAATAAGTTCCCAGGTGGTCCAGATACTGCTCGTCCAAGGACCACAATTTCAGGACCACTGTACTCTACTAGCTCTCCCATTTTAGCTGTGCAGCTAGCTCAGAAAGAAAGCAGTTGGTACCCAGCATGTGGCTTTGACAGGACCAGAGTTGGGAGGCACTGGAGAGGTTTCCTGGATCCCATAAGGCTATCCTCCATGAGGACAGAGTGAGAGTCTGGCACAGTGCCTGGCACATGGTACTCAATAAATATTTGTTGAATAAATGAATAAATAAATGAGGTACAAATGCTCCATGCAACTTGTTGCTGCCTCTTTTTCCCAGCACCCCAGGAGTCCCCTGCCCCCGGGAAGCCCCACTGCCCACACTGGCTGAGATCCAAATCCATGTTATGAAAGCCCTTGGGAGTGAAGCTGTTCATTTCCTCCCATTCCTCCCATGGCCTATAATGAAATCAACGAGGCAGCCAGGGCCCTGTTATTAATGGAGAGGCAACATCTTAGCATGCTAGAGCTAGTTCGAAATAAACTAGTCTGATGCTTTCATTGTATTATTATTAATAGCAATAACTCATAGCATACCCATGCTTGCTTTAAAAAAATAAATCCCTCTGACCAGTATTTCCTTCCCCCTTATTCTGGTACAGAACAACTCCTTCCAGGGGGGAAGCCATTGCATGTGGTTGGTGTGGCTGGCACACACACACACACACACACACACACACACACACAGGCTGGGAGAGATTTAAATTCAGGAAGAGGCTGGGTGCAGTGGCTCATACCTGTAACCCCAGCACTTTGGGAGGCCAAGGTGGGCAGATCACTTGAGGCCAGGAGTTTGAGACCAGCCTGGGCAATATGGCAAAACCCTGTCTCTACAAACCCCCGGCTAAAATACAGAAATTAGCCAGGCATGGTGGCGCACACCTGTAATCCCAGCTACCTGGGAAACTGAGGCATGAGAATCGCTTGAACCTGGAAGGCGGAGTTTGTAGTGAGCCAAGATCGGGCCACTGCACTCCAGGCTGGACGACAGAGCAAGACTCCATCTCAAAAAAAGAAAAAAATAAATAAAAATAAATAAATTAATTAATTCGGGAAGAGATCTGAGGTCTGCGGGATGACCCTTCTGCAGAGCAGCAAGGCACTGACAGAGATTTCCCCAAAACCCGCAAAAAAAGGTATTCAAAGTCAGGGATCGTGTCCTGAGGACCCCACACACCAACCCAACTCCTCAAGGTGCTGCCTCCCTTACAGAATCGGATCCCTAAACTCCGGCACCTCAAGGTCCTGCGGCCTCCTCCCAGCCCCGGAGCTTCTTCCAGCTGTTCCTCGCCTGGCCCGAAGTCCCACCCCTGCTGCCTGCCTGTCCCTTGGCCTCTGTCTTAGGCTCTCTTCCCTGTGGGTGCCCTTGCTTGGGATCCCCTAAGGCTCTGACTGTGTGTGGCTGGAGAGGTCCAGGCCACAGAGCCCCGGAGGGCACCACCTCAGAAGCCCTCGCTGGACAGCTGGAGAGAAGGTGGCCGTCCTTCAGCCAGGCTCGGCCCCAGCTGCACTTCACGGGGGCAACCTGATGCCCACCTGCAGGGGGACAGATGCGGCCAGCGGCGGCCACCAACACGTCCCTCAGACACAGACGCTGCCAGGCAAGCCGAGCTAGCCAGGGGCGCCTAGGGAGGGACAGCCAGGCGACCGTCATTCTGCACGCCCTGTCTGTGAAGGGGCAGCCGCACTCAGCTGCGGCCACAGTCAGCGCCTCACAGGGCAGCGCTGAGCGGTGCAACCTCGGCAGGGGTCAGGAAGTCTCTGGAAGCCGGTAGCGCCACTCGGGCCAGGCGTTGCCAGAGTCAATCCGTCGGTGTCGGCCGGCTCAGCAGAGATGGGGTCAAGCAGCTGATCGGCCGCTAGGAACCTTGTGCTCAGTCAGACACAGACCGTCGCGGCCGGTCACACAGCTCGCCAAGCACAGATGGAGGCTGGTCAGGCAGAGGCAGATAGGCCGCCCGGTCAGACGCAGCCCGTCAGGCCCAGATGGCGGCCGGGCAAGAGCAGCCAGCCAGCCAGCCAGCCAGGCAGCCAGTCAGCCAGCCAGTCAACCAGCCAGCCAGTCAGCCAGTCAGCCAGCTGCGGCCAGGCTGACAGATCCAGCAGTCTTGGTCTGTCAGGCACCCATGAAACCTGCGTTCAGTCAGACGGAAGCTGACACACTCGTATTATCAGGCGGTGGCGGCACCTGTGGTCAGTCAGGCACAGTCGCTGGGTCAGCGCGGCCCGTCGGGCTCGGACAGAACCAGTCGGGTCGCAGCTGTCGGGCCTCTCTCCGGGCAGAGAGTTGCTGGAGGCGGGGCTTCGTTCCGGGGCGGGGCTTCGTTCTGGGCGGAGCGTTGGCTGGAGGCAGGGCCTCGTCCCGGCTGGGCCTGCCTCCCCTCCCGGCAGCTTCCGGGCGTTGCCATGGCAGCCGCGGCCGGCTCCCAGACTGCCAGGGGGTCGAAGGACTCGCGGCCTTTCCCGCGCTGGCCCTGCCCCTGGGCGCCCCAGCGCCTGCCAAGTGGAGGTCCTGGCCCTGGGGCCGACTCTCTAGAAGCGGCCAGTGGGTTCGGCGAACCGCGCCCCGCACAGCAGCAGAGTCCCCGCTACGGGGTCGGCATTTTCTCATCCTCTTGCTCAGGCGGGCATGATTAGGGGGCTGGGAAGGACTCACAGAAGGCGACGCAGCAAGAAGTGACAGAGACCCAGACCCTCCGGAGCCCCAGCTGCTCACCTGACCCTGCACCGCCCCCCAGGAAGAATCAAACGTCTCTAGGCAGAAAGGGCGGCCGTATCCAGAAGAGAGAACAGCCATGCAGTGATGTGCTTAGGGAAATCTGGCGCAACAATGTCAAGGCGAGCACTCACCTTGTGCCCAGCCCTGTAATAAAAGGTTTATATACAGTATTTCACCCGAGCCTTATAATTTTGCTTTGGGGTTCTATAATGATTCCCTTTTTACAGATGAGGAAACCAATCACAAAGGGTTTGGTGATTTGCCCAGGGTCAGGGGCAGTGAGGTGCGGGAGCCGGATTGGAACCCAAGCAGTCCAACTCCTGACATGTTGGCATGTGGACCCTCAGCCCACCCTCTGTTCTCTCCTTGTGACCTTCCGAAGGCTCAGCATGAGTCCCCTTAGCAGACCTTCAGGACACCCAGCCCTATGCTGGGTCCTGAGGTGGCAGAGTCCTGTAGGAGTCTCTGCCTGGAAGGCTCAGAATAAGGGGCTATCAGAACCAAGAACCTGGTCAAACCAGAGGACAAACTATGGGTTTGCCTTGCAATATTTAGAAGAAGGGGAAGCCTGTGAGATCAGAGAAGCCAGGGCCAAGAAGCCACTGGAAAACTGGGTGGGCTGTCACTGGGGAACCCCAGGAGTATTACAGCTTCAAGTCCAAAAGTCTATGATCAAGTTATAGCAGTGTGAACCAGAGTTAGGAACATATCATGGATCATAAACTCAAATGCCTACCGGGGACAGAAAGGTAATGAAAATCATGGAAAAAAAAATCAGGCCGGGCACAGTGGCTCATGCCTGTAATCCCAGCACTTTGGGAGGCCGAGGTGGGTGGATCATTTGAAGTCAAGAGTTCAAGAGCAGTCTGGCCAACATGGTGAAAGCCTGTCTCTACTGAAAATACAAAAACTAGCCGGGTGTAGTGGTGGGTGCCTGTAATCCCAGCTACTCAGGAGGCCAAGGCAGGAGAATCACCTTGAGCCTGAGAGGCAGAGGTTGCAGTGAGTCGCAATTGCGCCACTGCACTCCAGCCTGGGCAACAGAGTGAAGCTCCCTCTCAAAAAAAAAAAAAAAAAAATCAAATGCCAGATCAGCAAACCTGCCCCATCTCCGGGGGGCATCTGCCTCTTTGCTTCTGCTGACTATGCTCTCAGACACCCACTGCTTCTAGTCTTCTAGTTAGGCAAAGTTGGCTAAGTCAGTTGACATCAAGTCTCAGTTTCTCCATCTGAGAAGGAAACGTTTGGCTTTATCTCACACATTTTATGGGGATCAAACATTATTGTATGTAGAAAATATTTTGTGAAGTGTAACAAACTATAAAATGGAGGGGGAGGAGAATGTGACTGATCATTTGTTGTGCATCTGTTTCACAGTCTGCAGGAGTTCTGACAGCATTCCTCTGAGTCAGGGCTAGTGTCCTCTTGTACAGATGAAGAGATAGTCTTCAAGGAATATGTTGACTTAACCAAAGTCACAGGCTTGCCAGAGTTAGAATGTAGAACTCTCTGACCTCTAAGACCAATCTCTTACACTGTTTGGCAAAGTGTGGCTTGGGTCCCACCAAGGCAGGGCAGGTGATCCCAATTGGGGCTTAGCCCAGGAGGGTTCTTGACTTGAAAGAATTCAAGGGTAAGTCAGTGATGTCAGATAGTAACTTTTATTGAAGTGGCAGTGTTCGGCAGCAGCAGACGTACTGCTTCTTGTGGAGCAGGGTTACCCCATAGGCAGTGTGCCTAGAGTAGCAGCTCAAACGCAGTTCTGCAGTCATATTTATACCCACTTTTATTTACATGCAAATTCAGGGGCAGATTATGCAGAAATTTCTAGGAAAAAGGTGGTAACTTCTTGGTCTTGGGTCACTACCATGGAAAGGGCAGTAACCTCTGAGTGTTGCCATGGCAATGGTAAACTGGCATGGCACACTGGTGGGCATGTCTTATGGAAAGCTTCTTCTACCCCATCCCTGCTTTAGCTAGTCCTCAATTTGGTCCAGTGTCTGAACCCCACCTCCAGACTCGAGTCCTGCCTCCTACCTCACTAGTGGTCATAATACGATGATTTCAGGTGGAACCCAGATGAACATTTTTTAAAACCAGGTTATGTCATAGTTTTTATTTTTAAGTATAGAGCCGGCTTACTCATACTACAAAAGTCCTACATTTCACACAGCCAGGGTGTAGTAGGCTGAATAATGGCCACCCAAATATATCAAGTCCTAATCTCTGGAAACTACTGTAAACATTACTTTATTTGAGAAAATAATTTTTGCAGATGTGATTAAGAATGTTGAGATGAGGATATCATTGAGGATTAGCCAAGTGGGCCCTAAATTCCATCACACATATCCTTATAAGAGAGAGGGAAAGGAAGATTAGACCAACACACACAGAAGAAGAGGAAGCAATGTGACCATGGAGGCAGAGACTGATGTGGCCACAAGCCAAGGATTGTTGGCAGCCACCAGAAGTTGGAAGAGGCAGACGGATTCTTCCCCAGAGCATCTGGAGGGAATACAGCCTTGCCAACACATTGACTTCAGCTCAGTGAAACTCATGTTCAATTTATGGCCTCCAGAACTATGAGAGAATAAATTTCTGTTGTTTTAAGCTACCAGGCTTGTAGTAATTTGTTTTGGCACCCACAGGAAACAAATAAATGGATCTACATGACTTCAAAATTCATGCCTCTTTTTTTCTCTTTTTATTATTTATTTATTTATTTTGAGACAGAGTCTCGCTCTGTTGCACAGGCTGGAGTGCAGTGGCGTGATCTCGGCTCACTGCAACCTCTGCCTCATGGATTCAAGTAATTCTCATGCCTCAGCCTTCCAAGTAGCTGGGATTACAGGCATGCGCCACCACGCCTGGCTAATTTTTGTATTTTTAGTACAGATGGGGTTTCACCATGTTAGCCAGGCTGGTCTCAAACTCCCAACCTCAGGTGATCCACCCACCTCGGCCTCCCAAAGTACTGGGATTATAGGCATGAGCCACCGCACCCAGCCTTCTCTCTTTTTAAAATAAACTTATTATTTTAAAATAATTTTACATTTACAGAAAATAAATGTAAGTCTTTGATTTAGAGTACAGAAATTTCCCATTGTGTTAGGGCTCACCAGAGAAAGAGAACCAATACGGTGTGTGTGTGCATAAAAGAGATTTATCATAAAGAATTGGCTTACCTAATTATGAAGGCTGGCAAGCCCGAATCCCACAGTGTGGGCCTGCAGGCTGATGACCCAGGAGAGCCAATGGTGCAGTTTGAAGGCAGCCTGCCGGAGAATTCCATCTTGCTTAGGGAGGCCAGTCTTTCTGTTTTATTCAGGCCTTCAACTGATCAAATGAGGCCCGCCCACACCCAAGTTCAACCATTTAAATGCTAATATCATCCAAAACCACCCTCCATGTTGACACATGAACTTAACCATCATACTCAAGAGTACAGAGAGTTCCTGTATAGCCCTCACCCTGCTTCCCCTATTATTACCACCTTACATTACTATGGCATTTGTCACAACTAAGAAACCAACACTGGTACATTCCTATGAACTAAATTCCACCTGTTTTCTGCTCCAGAGTCCCTTCTAGGACACCACACTACATTTAGTCATCATGTCCCTTTAGTTTCTTCTGGCTTGTAACAATTACTCAGGCATTTCTTGGTTTTTAAGACCTTGACAGCTTTGAGGAGTACTGGACAGGTATTTTACAGAGTGCCCCTCAATTTGGGTTCATCTGATGCTTTTCTCATAGTTAGACTGGGGTTATGAGTTTGGGGAAACATGTCATAGAGGTAAACTGCTCTTCTCATCAAATCATAGGTACATGTTATTGACATGACTTCATCAGGATACATGTTAGCGACATGACTTGATTACCTGGCCAAGCGAGTGTCTGTCCAGTTTCTCCCCTGGGAAGTTGCTTGTTTTTCCTCCCTTTCCACTCTTTGGAAGCAAGTTACTAAGTGCAGCCCACACTCAATGGGAGAATTAAGCTCCACAACCTGAAGGGGTTGTATCTACCTACATTATCTAGAATTCTTCTTTAAGGATCATTTGTCTCTTCTCCCTTATTTATTTATTTATTTATTTATTTATTTATTTATTTATTGAGACAGAGTTTCACTTTGTTGCCCAGGCTGGAGTACAATGGCACAACACTGGGTCACCACAACCTCCGCCTCCCAGGTTTAAGAGATTCTCCTGCCTCAGCCTTCCCAAGTAGCTGGGACTACAGGCATGCGCCACCACGCCTGGCTAATTTTGTATTTTTAGTAGAGACGGGGTTTCTCCATGTTGGTCAGGCTGGTCTTGAACTCCCGACCTCAGGTGATCTGCCTGCCTCAGCCTCCCAAAGTGCTGGGATTACAGGCGTGAGCCACCGCGCCCAGCCCTCCCTCATTTATTTATTTAATCATTTATAACAGTATGGACTCATGGATATTTGGTTTATACTTTGAACTTTATCCCAATACTATGTTATTTTGTTGCTCAAATTGTTCCAGCTTTGGCCATTGGGAGCTTTTTTTTTTTTTTTTTTTAGATGGAGTCTTCTCTGTCACCTAGGCTGGAGTGCAGTGGCGCGATCTCAGCTCACTGCAACCTCCGCCTCCGGGGTTCAAGCGATTTTCCTGCCTCAGCCTCCCGAGTAGTTGGGACTACAGGCGTGCTCCACCATGCCTGGCTAATTTTTGTATTTTTAGTAGAGATGGGGTTTCACCATGTTGGCCAGGCTGGTCTCAAACTGTTGACCTTAGGAGATCCACCTGCCTCAGCCTCCCAAAGTGCTGGGATTACAGGTGCAAGCCACTGCGCCTGGTTGGGAGCTTTTTCGGCTGTTGCCTGTGTCCCTTTGACACTAATTGCTTTGCTAAGTGTGGTTTGGGTTCCACTGGTTGCACCGAGATGATTTCAAGTGCAACCCAGAAGAACATTTTTTAAAGAGTTATATATTTACTTTAATGTATATTAGGAAAACATATAACTAGCATGTCAACTTGATGATTTCACAAATACTGCTGAGGACAAGGTTAATGTAGCAACAGTTGGGCGAAATTAGTCAATTCATAGAGCGGTATTAAGTAGAAACTGGTACTGATGTGCTATGGTCTGAATGTTTGTGACCCCTCACCCCCAAATTCCTATGTTGAAATCCTAACCCCCACAGTGATGGTATTAAGAGGTGGGGCCCTTAGGAAGTGATTAGATCGTGGGAGAAGAGCCTTCATGAATGGGATCAATGTTATAAAAGAGGCCGGGCCAGGCACGGTGGCTCACGCCTGTAATTCCAACACTTTGGGAGGCCAAGGTGGGCGGATCACCTGAGGTTGGGAGTTCAGGACCAGCCTGGCCAACATGGTGGAATACCGTCTCTACTAAAAATGCAAAAATTAGCAGGCATGGTGGCAGGAGCCTGTAATCCCAGCTACTCGGGAAGCTGAGGCAGGAGAATCGCTTGAACCTGGGAGGCAGAGGTTGCAGTGAGCCCAGATCGCGCCATTCCACTCCAGTCTGGGCAAGAAGAGCGAAACTCCATCTCAAAAAAAAAAAAAAAAAGAAAGAAAGAAAAAGAAAGAAATAAACCCTGTCTCTACTAAAAATACAAAAATTAGCTGGGCATGGTGGCAGGCACCTGTGATCCCAGCTACTCAGGAGGCTGAGGCAGGAGAATTGCTTGAACCCAAGAGGCAGAGGTTGCAATGAGCTGAGATCGTGCCACTGCACTCCTGCCTGGGTGGCAGAGCAAGACTCCGTCTCAAAAAAAAAAAAAAAAAAAAAAAAAAAAAAAAAAAAAAAAACTGGGCCTTCGCCAGACACAGAATCTGCCATTTCCTTGATCTTAGACTTCCCAGCCTCCAGAACTGTAAGAAATAAATTACTGTTGTTTATAAGCCACTCAATTGATGGTATTTTGTTCTAACCGCCTGAATGGACTGACACATTGTGGTACATGGATATGGAAAAAGTTGTTAGGCTGATTTAGAAACGATTCAAGTTTGAGAAACTGTAGTAGGGCAAAACCAAATCCCACGTTCAAGCAATGATAATAATGATGATCCTGGCTGGGCGCGGTGGCTCATGCCTGTAATCCCAGCACTTTGGGAGGCCGAGGCGGGCGGATCATGAGGTCAGGAGATTGAGACCATCCTGGCTAACACGGTGAAACCCCGTCTCTACTAAAAATACAAAAAATTAGCCGGGTGTGGTGGCAGGCACCTGCAGTCCCAGCTACTCAGGAGGCTGAGGCAGGAGAATGGCATGAACCCGGGAGGCGGAGCTTGCTGTGAGCTGAGATCGAGCCACTGAACTCCAGCCTGGGCAACAGAGCAAGACTCCATCTCAAAAAAAATAAAAAATAAAAAAATAATGATGATCCTAAGTGGACTTTATGGGACACCCCCCCAACACCACCTGTTTTCCAGAGCCCTGATGACAATTAGATCTGCCTCAGTGCAGACAAATGCTAATAGCAATAATGGTGGGACTGTATGCCCAGGCCCGGGAAGGTACAGATGTTGCACTGCCTTTGTTTCCCAAGTCTCAAACTCCTGACCTCAGGTGATCCACCCGCCTCAGCCTCCCAAAATGCTGGGATTACAGGCATGAGCCACCATGCCCAGCCATTATTATTATTATTATTATTGAGACAGAATCTCCCTCTATTGCCCAGGCTGGAGTGCAGTGATGCGATTGCAGCTCACCGCAGCCTCCGCCTCCCAGGTTCAAGTGATTCTCCTGCCTCAGCCTTCCAAGTAGCTGGGATTACAGGCGTACACCATCACACTGGCTCATTTTTGTTTTTGTTTTGGGTGTTTTTTTTTTTTTTTTTGAAACAGAGTCTCGCTCAGTGCCCAGGCTGGAATGCAGTGGCGTGATCTTGGCTCACTACAACCTCCGCTTCCCAGGCTCAAGCAATTCTCCTGCCTCAGCCTCCCGAGTAGCTAGGATTACAAGCGCCAGCCACCATTCCAGGCTAATTTTTGTATTTTTAGTAGAGATGGGGTTTCACTGTGTTGACCAGGCTGGTCTCGAACTGTTGACCTTAGGTGATCTGCCTGCCTTGGCCTCCCAAAGTGCTGATTACAGGCGTGTACCACTGTGCCCAGCTTCATTTTTGTATTTTTAGTAGAGACGAGGTTTTGCCATGTTGGTCTGGCTGGTCTCAAACTCCTGGCCTCAAGCAATCTGCCCTCCTCCGCCTCCCAAAGTGCTGGGATTACAGGCATGAGCCACGGCACCCAGCCATTTAGCTTTCTTGACTCTGTCCAAGCCTAAGCCCTGACCCAGGTCCTGAATCTGCCTCCTGATTGAGCAGTGACACACCAGAATCTGTGGCCTGATCTGAAATAGAAAGCCCTTCAAGAAAGGAATACTTTAGTTTCCCTGCTGCTAGTCTGAGCTGTGGGTGGTTTCAGGCTGTGTGTACTCAGACTTCTAAATCCCCTATAGTGCCTTCCCAGGGAGCTTGGGAGTCAGATGAGTTGGATTAAAATCCTAGTTTTTTTCTGAGAACTAGACAAGTGACATAGCTTCTCCTCTGTAAAAGGAGGAGAGTAGTAGCACTTACTTCACAGGATTGCTGTGCAGGTTAAATGAGACAATATATGTACAGTGCTGAGCACAGTGCTTGGCCCACAGTATGTGCTCAATTAATTAATTTCTTTACAATTATTAATGCCTACTGCATACCAGGCACTGTGCTGAGTGCCAGGGACATAGGTGAAAACCAGAACAGAAAATAAACTAGTAAATTAATAGATAGGCAGGGCATGGTGGCTCATGCTTGTAATCCCAGCACTTTGGGAGGCTGAGGTGGGAGGATTGCTTAGAGCCAGGTGTTCAAGACCAGCCTGGGCAACAAAGTGAAACTCTGTCTCAACAACAAAAAAAAACTTTTTTTTTTTTTTTAATTAGCCAGGGTGTGGAGATGCACTCCTGTAGTCCCAGGTACTCCAGAGGCTGGAGAAGGAGGATCTCTTGAGCTCAGGAATTCGAGGCTGTGGAGAGTTACGATCGTATCACTGCACTCCAGCCTGGGTGAGAGGGTGAAACCCTGTCTCAAAATTAAATTAATTAAATTAAAAATAGACAAAGCAGGCCAGCTGTGGCAGCTCACACCTGTAATCCCAGCACTTTGGGGGGCCAAGGCAGGAGGATCACTTGAGGTCAGGAGTTCAAGACCAGCCTGGCCAACATGGCATAACCTCATCTCTACTAAAAATACAAAAATTAGCCAGGCGTGGTGGTGCATGCCTGTAATCCCAGACACTAGGGAGGCTGAGGCAGGAGAATCGCTTGAACCCAGGAGGCGGAGCTTGCAGTGAGCTGAGATTACACCACTGCACTCCAGCCTAGGTGACAGAGTGGGACTCCATCTCAAAATAAATAAATAAATATAGTGAGGCATATAAAGCCAAGTCCTCAGTACAGTGCCTTGCATATAAGAAATGTGCAGAAATGTTCATTACTATTAATAAAATAATGAGATTTTTGAAAAATGAAGGAAGGAAATAAGTAGGGCAATGTGATGATAACTGGAAGAGACCGCCTGGAGAAAGGGCGGCCAGGAAAGGCTGTCTAAAGAGATAACATTGGAGCTGAGACCTATAGGATGAGAAGAAACTTAGCCTTGCCAAACCCAGTGAAGAGGTGAAGAGTCTTCCAGGTAGACAGCATGTGGAAAGGCCCTGAGGCAGAGAAGAGCTCAGAGAGTGGAAGGAACAGCAAGGAGACTAGCGTGGCTGGCATATAACGAGACAGGGAGAGAGTGGCTCAAGATGGGGCATGAAGCTGGGGGCAGTGGCTAATGCCTAAAGTCCCAGCACTTTGGGAGGCCGGGACGGGCTGGGGAGGGTGGATGGCTTGAGCTCAGTTCAAGACCAGCCTGGGCAACATGGCAAAACCCTCTCTCTACAAGAAATATAAAAATTAGCTGGGCATGGTGGCGTGTGTCTATAGTCCTAGCTACTTGGGAGTCTGAGGCAGGAGGATCACCTGAGCCCAGGGAGGACGAGGCTGTAGTGAGCCATAATCACACCACTGCACTGCACTGCACTGCAGCCTGGGTGACAGATTGAGATCCTTCTCAAACAAAAACAAAAAAAAAAACAAAGATGAGGCACGAGGGACACAAAGGGCAGGTCAAAGGGCAGGTCATGGAAGGCAGTGGTCGTGGAAATAAGTTTGATTTTGTTCTAAGTGTGATGAAAAGCCACTGAAGGCTTAAACAGGAGAGTTATAAGATCTGATTTTTGATTAAAAGTTCATTCTGGCTTCTGTAGGGAGAACGGATTAGAAAGGGAGAGCAGTAGAAACCAGAACAACAACAATTAAGGGGCTATTAGAGTCATCCAAATGAAAGACGTTGCTAGCTTGGATTTGGATACAGATCAGCACTGTCAATGGGACTTCCTGGGATGGTGGGAACATTCTCCACCTGTGCTCATATGGTAGCCACTGGCTCCTAGTTCCCTGTGACTCTTGAGCACTTGGAATGAGGGTGGTGTGGCTGAAGAACTGAATTTTTAATTTCATGTCATTCTAATGAATTACAATTTAAATAGGCACACGTAGCTAGTGGCTACTATAATGGACAGCACAGGGAATTGGCTGTATTTGAAATATATTTAGGAGGCAGATAGGACTGGGGATGGTTGCCGTGTGGGAAGTGAGAGAATGGGGAATCAAGGGAGATCGAGAATTACTTGGTGTATTAGTCCATTTTCACGCTGCTGATAAAGACATACCCGAGTCTGGGAAGAAAAAGAGGTTTAATCGGACTTACATTTCCACATGGCTGGGGAGGTCTCAGAATCATGGCAGGAGGTGAAAGGCACTTCTTACACAGCAGCAGCAAGAGAAAATGAGAAAGATGCAAAAGCGGAAACCCCTGATAAAACCATCAGATCTCATGAGACTTATTCACTACCATGAGAACAGTATGAGGGAACCACCCCATGACTCAAATTATCTCCCACTGGGTCCCTCCCATAACGTGTGGGAATTATAGGAGTACAATTCAAGATGAGATTTGGATGGAGACACAGCCAAACCATATTACTTGGGAAACAGGTGGATGATACTGCCATTTACTGATAGGGAAGAGCAGGCTCTGGGGAGATACCAAGAGTTTTGTTTTGCACAAGAGGAGTTTCAGATACTGTTGGAACATTCAAGTAGAGCTATCAGGTAGAAAGCAGAATGTATGCTGAGCACAGTGGCTCATGCCTGTAATCTCAGCACTTTGGGAGGCCGAGGTGGGCGGATCATGAGGTCAAGAGTTCCAGACCAGCCTGGCCAACATGGTGAAATCCCATCCCTACTAAGAATACAAAAATTAAAGGGATGTGGTGGCACGTGCCTGTAATCCCAGTTACTCAGGAGGCTGAGTCAGGAGAATCGCTTGAACCTGGGAGGCGAGGGTTGCAGGGAGCCGAGATCACACCACTTCACTCCAGCCCAGACACAGCAAGACTGCGTCTCGGAAAAAAAATAATAAAAGAAAAAGAAAAAGAAAGCAGGATGTATACATGTTTTTCATCATCCTCATCTTTAGGTTCCAGGAATACCCACATGTTTGGCTGCTTAGGCGGTGGGAAGCTCAGAAAGGGGACCAGGAGCCTCTCCTACTCCTTGTCTTGGCTAATGTATCAACTACCAAACTACCCATTAGCGCTAGTGTTTGAAACTTGTATAATCCATGGCTCTTCCTTCCCCTCCTCCCTCTTCTCTCAGGTATTCAGCCCACTGGCTTCTTCTCTTGAAATGCTAGAAACACTCACTTCACCGGTTTTCTACTTCTGTGCAACTCTCCTGGCTCAGGGCCTTGTCATCTCATTGTGGACTAGAGCCCCTGGACTTCTCGCCACCTCTCCTGTCCACCTTCCACCAGCAAGGCCTTTCTGACTGCAGGATTTTCCTCCTGGGAATCATGTCTGAGTCTGCATCAAGAGTCTTAATCCTTTGATCTTTCTTTACATTTCCAGAATTGTATCCAAAGGAACTCAGGGCCAGTGGTGGTAGCTCATGCTTGTACTCCCAGCACTTTGGGAAGCCGAGGCAGGTGGATCACCTGAGGTCAGGAGTTTGAAACCAGCCTGGCCAACACAGTGAAATCTCATCTATACTAAAAATACAAAAATTAGCTGGGCATGGTGGCACACGTTTGTAGTCCCAGCTACTTGGGAGGCTGAAGCAGGAGAATCATTTGAACTCAGGAGTTGGAGGTTGCAGTGGGCCGAGATGGCACCACTGCACTCCAGCCTGGATGACAGAGCGAGACCCTGTCTCAAACATAAATAAATAAATAAATAATTTTAAAAATAATAAAAATGCAGGCCAGGTGCGGTGGCTCACACCTGTAATCCCAGCACTTTGGGAGGCGAAGGTGGGTGGATCACCTGAGGTCACAAGTTCGAGACCAGCCTGACCAACAGGGTAAAACCCCGTCTCTACTAAAAATACAAAAAATTAGCCTGGCCTGGTGGCGAGTGCCTGTAATCCCAGCTACTTGGGAGGCTGAGGCAGGAGAATCACTTGAACCCAGGAGGTGGAGGTTGCAGTGAGTCAAGATCGCACCATTTCACTACAGCCTGGGCAACAGAGCAAGACTCTGCCTCAAAAAAAAAAAATAAAAATACAAATACAAACAAAGGAACTCAGAGGCTGGGGGCGGTGGCTCACGCCTGTAATCCCAGCACTTTGGGAGGCCAAGGCAGGTGGATCACGAGGTCAGAAGTTCGAGACCAGCCTGGCCAACATGGTGAAACCCCCGTCTCTACTCAAAAATACAAAAATTAGCTGGGCGCGGTGGCGGGCGCCTATAATCCCAGCTACTCGTGAGGCTGAGGTAGGAGAATCACTTCAACCTGGGAGGTGGAGGTTGTAGTGAGCCAAGATCGCGCCACTGCACTCTAGACTAGGTGACAGCGCAAGACTCCATCTAAAACAAAAAACAAAAAAACCCAAAGGAATTCAGAAGTCTACACAAAATGTGAAAATTCACGAGGAAGTTCATCACAGCATTAATTCTAAAAGCTGGAAGTGTCATTTCCAACCTTATCTTAATTGACACATCAGCAGCATTTGACACTGTTGATAAATTCCCCTTGAAACACTTTCCTCATTTACTTCCAGGACACCACACTCTCCTGGTTGTTCTCCTACCACCCTGGTCGCTTCTCAGTCTCCTTTGCTGGTTCCTTCTCATTCCCTGACCTGTAAACGTTACCCAGGGATCAGACCTCAGACCTTGTCCCTCTCTTGGTTCTCTCATGCAGCCTCAAGGTTTTAAAGACATCTATATGCTGACGACTCCCAAAGATTCATCTCCAGTTCAAACCTTTCCCTGAATGCCAGACTCATAAATCCATCTGTCTGCTTGACATTTCCACTTGAATGTCAAACAGACATCTCAAACTTAACATGCCTAAAACTCAGCTCCTGGTGTTCTCCCCAAAGCTTGCTCCTCCCATGGTTTCTTCCATCTCACTTAAGGCGGCTGCCTTTTCATTTGCTCAGGCCAAAAAGTGTGGAGTCATCTTTCAGTTCTCGCTCTCCCACTTCACATCTGGTCCGTCAGCAAATCTTATAGACTTGAGCTTATGTCAACCCCTGAATTCAACCACTTTTTGCCCCCTTTGCTGTCGTCGCCCTGGCATAAGTCCCTATCATAGCTCACCTGCTTGATTGCAACAGTCAGTTATCAGGTCTCCCTGCTTCTGCCCCTGCCTCCACTTCAGCTCTCCCGCACTGCAGTTCAACTCCCTCCCATGGTCCCATTTCTCTCCTCTCTTCCCCAGCCTCTTTGCTGTTCCTGGAACAGGCCTGGCCCACATGCTTCGGCTTTGTGGCCTGTGCATAAGCTGTTCCCCTACAGACATCTCCAAGCATGGCTCATCCCCTCGCCTCCTTCGGGTCTCTGCTCCAGAGTCACCTGGCCGTACTATAAAGCATTCCGCACCTGCACTTCATATTCCTCTTTCCTTTTTATGTTTCCAAAGCACTTTCGCTATCTACCCTTTTATGCATTTTAAGGATCTTGTTTATTGTTGTTTCCCTTACTAGAATGTAAATTTTAGGAGAGCAGAAATTTTCCTGTGTTTTTTTCTTTACTGCTGCACTCCCCCGTGCTTAGAGGCACATAGGTGCTCGGTAAACAGGTGGTAAATGAGTCAATAAATGAAATATTGGAGTCTTCTTATCCAGCACCGGAGGAGTAAGGAGATAGAGAAGCAACGTTTGCTCAGGGAATTCTGAGGCCAGTAGCAATTTCCGTTGCGAAGAGCAAGCGGGGTGGAGGGGGCCCTAACCCCACGTGACCACACCCCATTCCCCATTCCCCACCCCCACGCCGGAACATTGCAGACCCGGAACCACGGCTCGCGGGCCCCCAGCGCAAGGGCACTTCCGGTACCGCTCCTCTCTTGCCAGCGCAGAGAACTGCCAAGTCAGTTCCGGTCCGGCAGAGATCGCGGAGAGACGCAGAACGCAGCCCGCTCCTCCAGGGCCCTCCAGGCCCTCCGGCCCCGGGCCGGCGGGTGAACTGGGGGGCCCCGGGACAGGCCGAGCCCTCTGCCCTGCAGATAACGGAGGCCTCTGCTGTGGCTGCCCACTGGCTGTGCCCGCCCACTGGCTGTGCCCAGACCTTGAAGCCGCAGCGAACCTCTCTTTCCCACCCCACCTCGGTGACTAATGGCGGCCGTGGCGTCTCCCAGCCCGGACCCCGCCGGCACCCGGGTCTCCCGACCCAAGCCTCGACGAAACCCCCGCAGAGCCGCCGGGACGCAGCGCCTTTGGGCGGCGCTGGGCGTGGTGGGCCGGGAAGTATGGCGGCAGCTCGAACGCCGCGCGGCGGAGGCCATTAAGGCGTGGACGGCCCGGGAAGGCGGCCTAGGGACGCAAGCAGGCTCGGCCGCCTCTTTAGGCCACGGAGCCGCGCAGATCCGGTTCCCGGGTGACCACTCTGTCGCCATTGGGCGAGACCTACCTAGTCCTGACGACAACGGACAAAGGCCTTAAGGGGCCTGGAAGGTGAGCGAAGTCCCGAACGACGACGGGTGGAACGGTTAGCGGCCATCGGGCGGTTGGTCTTCATTCTACCAGACTTTGCTGTCGGAAGAGAGAAATGGTAGAATGACAGGCCACGTTTGGCCCGTTGGAAATGCCCACCACCCTCTGGGAAGATTTACTGGCCGTTTATGGAAGGCCTGTGTATATAATATGAAAAAGCTGCTCTCAACTCCACCCCAACCTTTTAATAGAAAACATTTGTCACATCTAGCCCTTCTAGATGGAAAGAGGTTGCCGACGTATGATAAAATAGAGTTAGAAAGTTACACATCTTGTAAATTCTCATTTGTTTAAAAGAAATCATAGAAAATACATGTCTTCTGGAGATGACTTTTGGAAATGGAGTTGTTAAGACGGCCTCTGGAAGCGATACGTCCACGTTTGTTAAGTGGGTTAGATGACATGGAGCTGGAAGACCTGAGAAGGAAGAGAAGAAGGTTCTATGCTAGACTGGTCATATTTAGAAGACATTTTCATATTCTATCCATTGTTTTGTGTGCATTTTATTCCTCACTACTGTGTATATAGTTGACAATGCTAAGCTTTTTTGAAATGTCTCTTCTTTTTAGATGTTCTGAAGTGCCTGATATGTTAAAATTAGAGGTAGCAAAATCACATTTTGTAAATACCTTTTTGTTACAATTCATAGGAAATATTTTTGGGGGGGAATGGCCAAATCACCTGTTGAGTAATACTCATTGTGTTTGTGCAGTGGTTCAGGGGAGGAGAGAGGAGGGGGAGGTGCAGAGAGCTCTATGCCATCCTGTTTACAGCGAGGCAAGATGAATCATTATGTCTGTGCATTTTGTTTTACTTATCTGTGTATATAGTGTACATAAAGGACAGACGAGTCCTAATTGACAACATCTAGTCTTTCTGGATGTTAAAGAGGTTGCCAGTGTATGACAAAAGTAGAGTTAGTAAACTAATATATTTTGTACATTTTGTTTTACAAGTCCTAGGAAAGATTGTCTTCTGAAAATTTGATGTCTTCTGGGTTGATGGAGATGGGAAGGGTTCTAGGCCAGAATGTTCACATTTGGAAGACTCTTTCAAATTATAACTGTTGTTACATGTTTGCAGTTTATTCAAGACTGCTGTATACATAGTAGACAAATTAACTCCTTACTTGAAACATCTAGTCTATCTAGATGTTTAGAAGTGCCCGATGTATGTTAAATGTATAGGTAGTAAAATACCACTTTGTAAATATCTTTTTGCTAAAATTCATAGGAAATGCTTTTGGAAATTGAATTGTGAAGCCACCTTTGTGAACAGTATAGTAATGTCTATACTTGTTCAATAGTTTAGAGGAGGTAGGAGGGAAGAAATTGCAAAAGGTAATATTACTAGTGTGTTCATACTTGGACATTTTCAGACACCATTTTTCTATATGTTTTGTGCATTTTGTTTTGCTCTGTATATAGTATATATAATGGACAAATAGTCCTAATTTTTCAACATCTAGTCTCTAGATGTTAAAGAGGTTGCCAGTGTATGACAAAGGAGTAAAATTAGCATATTTTGTACACTTTGTGTTGAAATTCGTAGGAAAACTTGTCTTCTGTAAAGACTTTTGCATAGGAATTTGTTTGACCATCTCTAAGCATTACACGTGCCTGTACTTGTCCACTGGATTGAAGGCAGAGAAGGAAGGGAGGAGGGAATGATTCAAGGCCAAAATGGCCACATTTAGAAGATACCTCAGATGATAACCATTGTTATGTGTGTGCAATTTTATTTAACAGTGCTGTGTATGTGGTGGACAAGTTATATGAAATATCTAGTCTTTCTAGATATTTGGAAGTGCTTGATGTATTTAAAAGTGGTAGTAGAATAACACTTTGTAAATAGCTTTTAAAAACTGATGGGAAATGCTGTTTGGAAGTGGAATTGTTGAACCACCTGGGAGGTGGGAGGGAAGAAATTGCAAATGGTGTTTTGCCATTGTTTATTAGAAAATTTCAGCTTAATCCATTGTGTATATGTTACATGCATTTCATTTAACTTTGCTATACTGTATATATTGTATATATAACGGACAAATTAGTCCCGATTTTATAATATCTAGTCTCTAGATATTAAAGAGGTTGCCAATGTATGACAGAAGTAGAGTTAGTAAACTAACACATTTTGTACACTTTGTTAAAATTTGTAGAAAGGCTGTCTTCTGAAAAGGACTTTTGGAAGTGAGATAACATCAGCTCTAAGTGACACGTGCCTATATCCATCAGGTTGGTGGTGGAGAGGAGTTGGAAGGAATGAAGGGTTCTAGACCAGAATGTTCGTATTTAGAAGACACTATCAGATATAACCATTGTTACATGTGTGTAGTTTATTCAACCCTACTGTGTATATAGCGGACAAACTTAAGTCCTTATTTGAAACATCTAGTCTTTCTAGATGTTTAGAAGTGCACAAAGTATGTTAAAAGTAGAGGTAGTAAATAACACATTTTGTAGCTATCCTTTTGATATGAAATATTGTCTTGGAAATTGATCAATTCTCTGAGCAGTACCCATTTTGATATTTGTGCTGGTTCAGGGGGAAGGAGGAGCACAAAGTGCAAAGGGCTTTCTACCAGTGTCCAGTGTGTTTATGAGGAGGCACATTGACCATTGTCCCTTATGTCTGCATTTTCATTTACTGTGCTGTGTATATAGTGTATATAAGCGGACATAGGAGTCCTAATTTACGTCTAGTCGATGTTAAAAAGGTTGCCAGTATATGACAAAAGTAGAATTAGTAAACTACTACATTGAGTACACTTTGTGTTAAAATTCATAGGGAAGACTTCTTAAAAACAAGTGAAATTGTTAAAACCCCCCCTAAGCATTACAGATGGCTTATAGCTGTCCACGGGGTTGGTAGAGGTGGGAAAGGGAAGGGTTCTAGGCCAGAATGTTCCTATTTAGAAGACACTCAAATTACAGTCTGTGTTATGTATGTATACCATTTATTCAATGCTACTGTGTATATAATGGAAAACTTAAGTCCAGTTTGAAACATCTAGTCTTTCTAGGTGTTTAAAAGTGTACAACGGCCTGTCGCAGTGGCGCATGCCTGTAATCCCAGCACTTTGGGAGGCCGAGGCAGGCGGATCACGAGGTCAAGAGATCAGGACCATCTTGGCCAACATGGTGAAACCCCATCTTTACTAAAAATACAAAAATTAGCTGGTCGTGGTGGTGCCCACCTGTAGCCCCAGTTACTCGAGAGGCTGAGGCAGGAGAATCGCTTGAACTTGGGAGGCGGAAGTTGCAGTGAGCCAAGATCGCACCACTGCACTCCAGCCTGGCGACAGAGCGAGGCTCCGTTTCAAAAAAAAAAGTGCACAATGTAGGTTAACAGTAGAGGGCTTAAGTAACACCCCTCTAAGCATTTGTTTTCAGTACTTCCTAGGAGTGGTTGCATTTGGGAATGGAATTGTTAAAACTTGATGCTTAGGAGCGAATGCAGACTATTCATTGGGTGTTTGGGGTGGGGGAAGGGGGGGTGGGCAGAGGAGGTATGCAGGGAGAGGGGTTCTGTGCTCCTGAGATTAGTTCAGATGGTCTAACCATTGTTCTATATGTGCATTTTAGTTAATATTGTGTATTAAAGGATAAGTCTTAATGCTCAAAGTATGTTAAAAATAGATGTAGTAAATCAGTCCCTTTGTGAATGTCCTTTTGTTAGTTTTTAGGAAGGCCTGTCCTCTGGGAGTGACCTTTATTAGTCCACCCCTTGGAGCTAGACATCCTGTACTTAGTCACGGGGATGGTGGAAGAGGGAGAAGAGGAAGGGTGAAGGGAAGGGCTCTTTGCTAGTATCTCCATATCTAGACGATGGTTTTAGATGATAACCACAGGTCTACAAGAGCGTTTTTAGTAAAGTGCCTGTGTTCATTGTGGACAAAGTTATTATTTTGCAACATCTAAGCTTTACGAATGGGGTGACAACTTATGATAAAAACTAGAGCTAGTGAATTAGCCTATTTGTAAATACCTTTGTTATAATTGATAGGATACATCTTGGACATGGAATTGTTAAGCCACCTCTGAGCAGTGTATGTCAGGACTTGTTCATTAGGTTGGCAGCAGAGGGGCAGAAGGAATTATACAGGTAGAGATGTATGCAGATGTGTCCATATATGTCCATATTTACATTTTGATAGCCATTGATGTATGCATCTCTTGGCTGTACTATAAGAACACATTAATTCAATGGAAATACACTTTGCTAATATTTTAATGGTATAGATCTGCTAATGAATTCTCTTAAAAACATACTGTATTCTGTTGCTGTGTGTTTCATTTTAAATTGAGCATTAAGGGAATGCAGCATTTAAATCAGAACTCTGCCAATGCTTTTATCTAGAGGCGTGTTGCCATTTTTGTCTTATATGAAATTTCTGTCCCAAGAAAGGCAGGATTACATCTTTTTTTTTTTTTTTAGCAGTTTGAGTTGGTGTAGTGTATTCTTGGTTATCAGAATACTCATATAGCTTTGGGATTTTGAATTGGTAAATATTCATGATGTGTGAAAAATCATGATACATACTGTACAGTCTCAGTCCCATAAAATTGGATGTTGTGCCTACACACAGGATCTAGAAGAATATGTCAAACTATAAACTGCTTGTGATTGTGAATGACTTTGTTCTTTGCTTGTGTTTTTCAATTTCCTATAATGCACATACTAACTTTTAAAAAATAAAGGTTATTTTAAAAGCCTGTATTAAGCCCTCGTTGCTTGTAGAATAGAGTTAGTATACGCTACAGAAGCACAGGTTCATGCTCCTTCATGCTTGGGCTCTGAGGTATCTGGAATTTCTCATCTTTGACTCCTCCCTCCATTGCCTGGGTGTTAGCCACTGCCACCCAGGTGCTCTGCTGTTCAGGATAACCTTGCACTTTACAGGTTCTGTGGTTTGCTCAAGCCATTCCTTCTGCCTGTAATGCCCTTTCCACAGTTTCACTTGGCAAAATCATTCTTCAGAGCCCAACTTAAATTCAGTATCTCCACAAAGTCTTGCCTGTAAGAACCTGACACTCCCGAGTGCCAGAACTGAACGTCAGAAGATACGGCCTTTTTTTTGAGATGGCGTCTCACTATGTCACTCAGGCTGGAGTGTGGTGGTGCCATCTTTGCTCACTGCAACCTCTGCCTCCCAAGTAGCTGGGATTACAAGCATGCGCCACCACGCCCAGCTAATTTTTTGTATTTTTAGTAGAGACGGGGTTTCACCATGTTGGCCAGGCTAGTCTCAAACTGACCTCAAGTGATCCGCCCGCCTCAGCCTCCCAAAGTGCTGGGATTACAGGCGTGAGCCACCACCCCCGGCCGATACGGCCTTTCTTTTGCTGCCCCTCCTTGTTCCTCTTGTATATGGATGGAGCCCACTTGCATCGTAATTGTTACCTGAAAGCCTACTTGGATTGAGCTAAGGTTTAAATAATTTCTGCAACAACGGTGCAACGTAATGCCTGACACACAGCAGGTGCTTGGAAATGTCTGTTGAATACAACAGACGAAAGCCTTTCAGACTGCTGCTTGGTGTGACATCACTAGTAAGGGCACTGATTGAATAATCAAGCATTTCCAGGCTGGAAGTTGCTATCGTGGCTGACCAAACCAGAGGGCATCGGTCAGATGCAGCATAACCTATCCCCAAATCAGGCACAGCAAACATTCTCTAATGGCATATAGAGAATATGACTATAGAGGGTTCTTATTCTCAACTTTGACGTGAGGCTAATGAGACACTGGCCTCCGGATGTGGGACGGTAGTGTCTCTGTTTCCCCAGATGCTGATGGTGTAACCTGGGTGGGTTGGGAGCCTTAGGGCAGGTAGACGAGGCCTTTCCAATTGCCTTCCCAACCCGGTATCAGGCCTGGACCCAATCTTTCCTGTTGATGCTCCTCTATGAGACAGGTCTTAGCTGACCAAGATGGGCTTCAGGGAGGCACATATTCCTTGAATCCCTGGCGTGGAGGGAACAAACCACGTGTCCCCCCAGGTCCATGCACTTCGACAAGTCATTTCAGGATGGGATTGGTTTGTAAGCTGGAGATAAAAGCTGAAGCAGGACCTCTTCTGTAATTTAAGGTGGATTCACCCATAAAAGTCTCCAGGAAGGTAAGGCGCATCAAGAGCCAGGAGCTAAGGTCAACTCTCAGGCAGTCCTGGACCCCCAGGGCAAAGATAACCCTCAGTGGCCGCAAGAGGGAAGTGAGGTCCAGAGAGGGCCAGGCCCTGCTGGGAGCAGACCGCTTAGCTAGCAATATGTATTGCCATGCAGAGAACACTGGACAGGAGGTCAGGGGCCTCAGCTCGTGTCTAAGCTCTGTCACTGGCTGCGGACTTGGCCAATGGACCACATCTAGGCCTCAGTCTCCTCAGTAAAATGAATGGTTTGTTCTGCCTCTTCAGATCAGATGCTGGGCCTTTCAAAGCCATGAGTTTCATCGGGGGTAAAGCCAGGGCCAGAAGCTTCTAAACATGGTTCTTTACTAAAAGGAACCATGGGCCTTGGAGAAATGGCTAATTCCAGGGCTGCAGCAAAGAAAGTACAAGATCATCTTGAAATATCCTGTTATGGCAGGAATCAAGACAGTGCTCCAAGAATGACGGGGACATATCAAAAGGACACAGAAGCCAGCTTGAAGTGGCTTCCATTGGCCAAATCTGTCACAATTTGAGCATCAAAATGTAGAATGACTCATATAATGCAAATGATAGCACACTGAATAAAACAGGAAGCCATGAGTCCAATTCTGATAGAAATAAAGAAATGGCCTGTATTCCCAGCTATTCTGGAGGCTTTGGTGGGAGGATCACTTGAACCGAGGAGGTCAAAACTCTACTTCATCCTGGGCAATAGAGTGAGACTTTCTAGAAAACAAAAATCAGGCCGGGCACAGTGGCTCAGACCTGTAATCCCAACACTTTGGGAGGCTGAGGCAGGCGAATCATTTGAGGTGAGGAGTTCAAGACCAGCCTGGCCAACATGGTGAAACCCCATCTCTACTAAAAATACAAAAATTAGCCAGGTGTGGTGGTGGGCGCCTGTAATCTCAGCTACTAGGGAGGCTGAGGCACAAGAATTGCTTGAACCCAGGAGGCAGAGGTTTCAGTGAGCTGAGATCATGCCACTGTACTCCAGCCTGGGCAACAGAACAAGACCCTGTCTCAAAAAAAAAAAAAAAAAAAAAAAAACAAAGAAAAAAAGAAAACAAAAATAAAAACAAGTGTTGGCAAGGATGTGAATAAACTGGGACCCCTATGCACTGTTAGTGGAATTGTAAAATGGTGCAACTGCAATGGAAAACAGTAGGACAGTTCCTCAAAAAATTAAAAATAGAACTACCGTATGATCCAGCAATGCCACTTTCAAGTCATACCTTGATATACTGGGGGATTGGCTCCAGAATCCCTGGGTATACCCAAATCCGTACATACTCAAGTCCTGCTACAGAACCTGTATATATGAAAAGTTGGCTCTCCCTGTCTGCAGTTTGGCATCCCACCACTGCATTTGACTGAAAAAAAAGCCACATATAAGTGGGGCCACACAGTTCAAACTCATGTTGTTCAAGGTTCAACTGCATATCCAAAAGGACTGAAAGCAGGGTCTCAAAGAGATACAGTACATAAGTTGCTTAACCCTTGAAACTTCAATCTTATTTTTAAAATGGAGATAAATGTCAACCTTACATGCATGTGTGCTATGAAGTACCAAATACTGTCCCTAAGGTTTTGTTTGTTTGTTTGTTTGTTTGTTTTGACAGAGTCTCACTCTATTCTCTGTTGTCCAGTCTGGAGTGCAATGGTGTGATCTCAGCTCACTGCAACCTCCACCTCCCGGGTTCAAGTGACTCTCCTGCCTCAGCCTCCTGAGTAACTGGGATTAAAGGTGCCCGCCACCAAGCCCAGCTAATTTTTGTATTTGTAGTAGAGACAGGGTTTCACCATGTTGGCCAGACTGGTCTCGAACTCCTGACCTCATGATCCACCTGCCTCGGCCTCCCAAAGTGCTGGGATTACAGGCATGAGCCACCGTGCCTGTCCTGTCCTAAGTTTTTAATGTATATTAGGTCACTTCATCTTTAAATCCTTTTGCTGTAAACTGTTTAAAACCACACTCCTGAGATCCACCCCCAACTGTGCTTCCCTCACAGCCTTCCTTATCTCAGGAAGCAGCTTCCACTTGCTCAAAAAACATTTCTGGAGTAATTCTTGATTCTCTCCCATTCCTCACATTGAGTCCAACAGCAAGCCCTCTCAGTTCTGCCGTCAAAATATGGCCAGGATTGGTCCCATCTCAACACCACCACAACCACTCTGATCCAAGCCTCCATAATCTCCTACTTGGATCACTGCAGTGCCTTCCTCCCCGACGCCTTCCATGCTGGTGCTTCCCCAGTCTAGCCAGATTCTAGATCCTAGATCTCTGCTAAGAACCTTCCAAAAGCTCCCTTCACATGGTCATGATCTGGCCTCCACCCCCCTTCTTGCAACTTTTTTCTCCTTTGACTCCATTCTGGACATACTGGCCTCCTTGCTGTCACCTAGCCATGCCAAGCATGGAACATTCCTCTGCCCGGAACATTCTTGGCCTTGATATCTGCAGGGTTCACTCCCTCACTGGTGTACTCACCAATGTCATATTCTTCATAAAGTGTTCTCTAATGACCCTTCACAAAGTAGTAGCCTCCACCCCCTACCTACCCTGATTTTTCTTGTGCACTTCCTGTGCTCATCATCAATACAGAACATAAGCTCCTAGAGGCCAGGGACTTTGTTCCATCTTGTTTGGTGCTGTCTCTCTAAACCTAGACCATCTCCTCTCCCTAGGGCATGTGTGCTGGTTGGATTCTTCTAGGTTTTAGATTCAGTGATGCCAGCTCTCCTAGGCCTCCCTGTTTCATGGAGATGCCCAGGAGCCTGAAGGTGAGGGGACTGAGATGGACAGAAGACAAGCGCTGTTTGGAGGGAGGGGAGCAGGTAGCAGCCAATGGGCTCCAGGATGCTTCTCGCAGAGGGGGCAAACCCCATGAGCTGATGATCATCGAAGCTGATGAGGATGTGGATAATGGAGCAATGTGTGAATGCTGGTGAGAACTGTTTTTTGTTTGTTTGTTTTTTGAGACAGAGTCTCCCTCTGTCTGTCACCTAGGCTGGAGTGCAATGGCACGATCTCGGCCCACTGCAACCTCCACCTCCCAGGTTCAAGCGATTCTCCTGTCTCAGCCTCCTGAATAGCTGGGATTACAGGCACCTGCCATCATGCCCGGCTAATTTTTGTATTTTAGTAGAGACAGGGTTTCACCATGTTGAGCCATCAGAGAGCTCAAAGCCAGTTGTTTTGTTTTGTTTTTTTAACAGGCTCTATTTTCTATCGCAGTTTTAGGTTCATAGCAAAACTGAGTGGAAAGTACAGGGATTTCTCATATACTCCCTGTTCCCGACACATGCACAGCCCCCTGATTATCAATGTCCGCGACCAGAGTGGTACATTTGTTACAATTGAGGAACCAATACTGACACATTGTTATCACCCAGGGTCAGAGTTTACACCAGGGTTCACTCTGGGAAGTTTACATTCTATGGATTTGGACAAATGTATGATGACATGGGTTTACCATTAGTAGTAGTATTACAGGGTGTAGTTTCACTTCTGTAAAAATCATCTGTGCTATATCCATTCATCCTTCCCTCTCCTCAGCCCTTGGCAACGACTAATTTTGAAGACAACTCCATAGTTTTTGCCTTTCCATAGTGTCATATAACTGGACATACATCCAGTTTGTAGCCTTTTCAGATTGGCTTATTTCACTTAGTAATATGCATTTAAGGTTGCTCCATGTCTTTTCAAGAGTTGATAGCTCATTTCTTTTTAGTGCTGAATAATATCCCATTGTCTGGACATACCACAGTTTATTTATCCATTCACCTACTGAAAGACATCTTGGTTGCTTCCAAGTCTTAGCAACTACAAATAAAGTTGCCATAAACATTTATGTACGGGTTTTCATATGGATATGCTTTCAACTCCTTGTGTGGTAGGAGAATGTTTAATTTTATAAGAAACCACTGAACTGTCTTCCAAAGCAACTGTACCATTTTGTACTCCCACCAGCAATGAATGATGGTTCTTGGTCCACATCTTTGCCAGCATTTGGTGGTGTCAGTGTTCTGGATTTTGGCTATTCTAATAGGTGTGTGAAAGCCAGGTTTTGTAATTATGGCTAGAGCTTATACAAATCCATAGTGACTTCCTCCATTTTCTTCTTGGTCTCAATTGTCTAATTTCTTTTTGTTGTTGTTATTGTTTTTTGAGATGGAGTCTCGCTCTGTCACCCAGGCTGGAGTGCAGTGGCGCGATCTCTGCTCACTGCAAGCTCCGCCTCCCGGGTTCGTGCCATTCTCCTGCCTCAGCCTCCAGAGTACCTGGGACTACAGGCACCCGCCACCACACCCGGCTAATTTTTTGTATTTTTAGTAGAGACAGGGTTTCACCGTGTTAGCCAGGATGGTCTCGATCTCCTGACCTCGTGATCCACCCACCTTGGCCTCCCAAAGTGCTGGGATTACAGGCGTGAGCCAAAGCACCTGGCCCAATTGTCTAATTTCTAATAAATAATATGTTTCTCTTTTTATCCTGAATATCACGGAGCTTATCAATGATTTTTTTTTTATTTGAGACTGGGTCTGGCTCTGTCACCCAGGCTCACTGCAATCTCAGCTCACTGTAACCTCCACCTCCCAGGCTCAAGTGATCCTCCCTCCTCAGCCTCTTGAGTAGCTGGGACTACAGGTGCACACCACCACATCTGGCTAATTTTTGTATTTCTTTGTAGAGACAGGGTTTCATCATGTTGCCCAGGCTGGTCTTGAACTTCGAACTCAAGCAGTCTGCTCGCCTCAGCCTCTCAAAGTGCTGGGATTACAGGTGTGAGCCACCACACCCGGCCTCAACAAACTTAAAAATCAATTTTTATCTAATTATAAAGTCAACTAAAGCCAATATTTATGCATATCCATATTAGCTTCCTTCACTTTCTTCCTTTTTTCAGTTCTAATTTTTATTTTAAGATAACTTCACACTTAAAATTGCAAGAATGATAATGCCACTATGAAAAATATGGCAGTTCCTCAAAAAATTAAAAATGGAATTACCATAGGATCTAGCAATCCCACTTTTGGATATATAACCAAAAGAACTGAAAGCAGTGGTCTCAAAGATGCATTTGCACCAATGTTCATAACAACATTATTCACAATAGCCAAAAAGTAGAAGCAACCCAAGTGGCCATCGGTAGATGAATGGGTAAACAAAATATGGTATATACACATAAAATGGAATATTGTTTAGCCTTAAAAAGGAACGAAATTCTGACACATGCTACAACATAGGTGAACCTTGAGGACAGCATGCTAAGTAAATGAACCAGCCCCAGAAAGACAAATATTGTATGATTCCACTACTTTAGGTACCTAGGGTACTCAAATTCATAGAGACAGAAAGGAGAGAGGTAGTTGCCAGGGACTAGGGGGGAAGGAGTAATGGGGAGTCATTGTTTAATGGGTACAGAGTTTCATTTTTCCAAGATGAAAAGAGTTCTGGAGATGGATGGTGGTGATAGTTACATAACAATGAGAATACTTCATGCCACTCAACTATACACTTAAAAATGATGAAGATGATACATGTTATGCTATTCGTATTTTACCACAGTTAAACATATGTTTTTAATTTCAAGGATGGTTCAAAGAACTCCTAAGGCCAGGCGACGGCTTACAGCACTTTAAGAGGCTGAGGCAGTGGCTGGGCACGGTGGCTCACACCTGCAATCCCAGCACTTTGGGAGGCCAACGTGGTTCGATCACCTGAGGTCAGGAGTTCAAGACTAGCCTGACCAACATGGTGAAACCCCATCTCTACTAAAAATACAAAATTAGCCAGGCGTGGTGGCATATGCCTGTAATTCCAGGTACTCGGGAGGCTGAGGCAGGAGAAGCTCTTGAACCCAGGAGGCAGAGGCTGCAGTGAGCCAAGATCTGCCACTGCACTCTAGTCTTGGCAACAAGAGTGAAACTCTGTCTCAAAAAAAAAAAAAAAAAAAAAAAAAAAGAGGCTGAGGCAGGAGGATCACTTGAGCCCAGGAGTTTGAGACAGGCCTGAGCAAAACAGTGAGACCCCACCTCTGTTAAAAAAAAATTTTTTTTAAAAACAATTCCTAAGTACACTTCACGCAGACTGGCCAGTTGTTATTTGACTATATTTTCTTTGCCATTCTCTCTCTAAATGTACATATTATAATTTTCTAAATAATTTGGAAAGTAAATTGAAGAAATTATCTCTCTTAACTGCCAAGTACTGCAGTGTATATTTCCTAAGTACAAGGAGAGTCTCTTACGTAACAGTACAATTACAGACAGCAAGAAATACAATTACGGCCAGATATGGTGGCTCACACCTGTAATTCCAACACTTTGGGAGGCTGAAGCAGGCAGATCTCTTGAGCCCAGGAGTTCAAGACCAGCCTGGGCAACATGGTGAAACCCTGTCTCTACAAATAATAAAAAAATAAATTAGCCAGGCATTGTGGCACACCTGTAGTCCCAGCTACTCAGGAGACTGAAGTGGAAGGATCCCTTAAGCCCAGGAGGTCAAGGCTGCAATGAACCGTGATTGCACCACTGCACTCCAGAGTAGACAGAGTGAGACCCTATCTGGGAAAACATAACAAATAAATAAATAAATACTATTATCTCTCCCACAGTTCATTTTCACATGCCACCATGGGGTTCAATAATCCATTTTCTTTTTCTTTTTTTTTTTTTTTGAGACGGAGTTTGGCTCTTGTTGCCCAGGCTGTAGTGCAATGGCACAATCTCGACTCACCACAACCTCCACCTCCCGGGTTCAAGTGATTCTCCTGCCTCAGCCTCCCGAGTAGCTGGGATTACAGGCATGTGCCACCACGCCCGGTTAATTTTTGTATTTTTAGTAGAGACAGGGTTTCTCCATGTTGGTCAGGCTGGCCTTGAACTCCCGACCTCAGGTGATCTGCACACCTCGGCCTCCCAAAGTGCTGGGATTACAGGCATAAGCACTGCGCCCAGCCTCAATAATCCACTTTCTTGATCCTGACTTTCTGTTGGGGGTGGGTGGTTTTGGAAGTACGAGATAGGTGAGGACAAAACAAGAGAGGCGGGTGGGGCCCTGCTCAGCCCCTGGGGTGGGGGCTATGTGTGCAGAACACCCGCTGGACCCCTGGAATTGCACAGATGCTAGGCATGAAGCTCAGGAAAGGGATGGAGCCTGGCGGAGAGTCACACAGCACACATCTGAACTCTGCTACCTCTCACTGCCCCAGCCCTCCAGTGTCTGTCCCCAAGGCCCACAGTTTGGCAGCAGCCATGAAAAACCTTTGTTTATGCTTTGATCCTGCTTATCAGCCACCTAGAAACTGCTACTCATCCTCATTGTTTGCTCTGGACCAGTGATTACAAATTCAGCAACTCAGCACCCTTGCAGTTAAGCCCCATAAATCCCCCAGCAGTAGAAAGGCATCATGGTAAAATGGCCTGTACGTGTACTGCCCTGAAAGTATTTCCCTATGATGTAGCCTTGCAGATGAGCAAAGTGACCCATTTCACCCCTTAACTGGAAGGTAAGACTTTCCTAGGAGTTATATGAAAGGAATAGAAGACTTTTCTTTTTTCTTTTTTTTTTTCTTTTCTTTTCTTTTTTTTTTTTTTTTTGAGATGGAGTCTTGCTCTTGTCGCCCAGGCTGGGGTGCAGTGGCGCAATCTTGGCTCACTGCAACCTCTGCCTCCTGGGTTCAAGCGATTCTCCTGCCTCAGTCCCCCGAGTAGCTGGGGTTACAGGTGCCCGCCACCACACCAGCTAATTTTTTTTTATATTTTAATAGAGATGCGGTTTCACCATGTTGGCCAGGCTGGTCTCGCACTCCTGACCTTGTGATCCGCCCACCTCAGCCTCCCAAAGTGCTGGGATTACAGGCATGAGCCACCGCGCCCCACCGGAATAGAAGATTTAAACAATGCCTTTCTTCCAACCCCAAGTTGGGACCTTAAACACTACCTATAACAAACGCTGGTAATGTGTCCTGTGTTTATTTTTCAAGTGGGTTTTTTTTATTTTTCCCCCAAACAGTGGAAGCTTTTAGCACTAGGGGCTATATTTTTGGCTCAAGCAGCTTGGGCTTGCCTCTCTAAGTATGACTATGCTTATTTACATATGGAAAATAATTCCAGAGGGCAATTATATTCTCCCCAGCACAGTTTCAGGGCTGTGTGTGCAGACTTCCTTTTTTGAAAATAGGTGGCTCATTTGGGATAGATGAGTAACGGTGGTGTAACTGTCCACACACTTCAATGCTGATTAACTAGGAGGGTGCTGGGCTGTGGTTTTCCTGGATTTTCTGGAACCACCACCTGGTAGCTGAGTGAGCTTTGCCTTCGGGGCCTCAGGCTCCTCATCTCTCAAATGGATGCTGCCATCCAGTTAGCTGCCAGGAAATAGTTTCAGAGTAAGTGATGGCCTCTGTAGAGTGCCTCACATAATGCCTGGCACACACCAGGTACTCCATACCTGAGCCTGGGGCCCTCTCCCTGGCTTCTTAGGCATGGCAGATCACCCCGGGCTTCCGGGACCCTTGGATCTGTGCCTAGGTGGCAGTGAGGACCTCTGCAGCACTGAAAATGTCATTTGTTCCAAACACTTGTGCCAGGGGGTATCATATTTACTCCTTCTGAGTGAACTCCTCTCCCAGGTAAATGCTCATGTCATGTCTTCCACTGCCCACTGCCTGATTCTTTTTTCTTTCTTTTCCCTTTTTTTTGAGAGAGAGTTTCACTCTGTCACCCAGGCTGGAGTACAGTGGCATGATCATGGCTCACTGCAGCCTTGACCTCTTCGGCTCAAGTAATCCTCCCACCTCAGCTCCCTTAAGTAGCTTGGACTACAGGCATGCACCACCATGGATGGCTAATTTTTGTATTTTTTGTAGTGACAGGGTCTCACTATGTTTCCCAGGCTGGTCTTGAACTCCTGCCTCAGCCTCCCAAAGTGCTAGGATTACAGGCGTGAGCCAGCACACCCAGTATCCTGCCTGAATCTGATCCCATGTTATTGCATGTGTATGTATGTATGTGTGTATGTGTATGTGTGTATGTGTATGTGTGTCGTGTGTGTATATGTGTATTTATGTATATGTGTGTATATATGTGTATGTGTGTATATGTGTATGTGTATATGTGTGTATGCATGTGTATGTGTGTATATATGTGTGTATGTATATGTGTGTGTGTGTGTGCTGGGGAAAGGGAACCTTGAGAACCGGCGCTCATTCTGCAGCTCACAGCCTGGAAGCTAGGCTCACACACAAGTCCCACCTCCCCCTGCCCTACATTCCCCTCACTGTCCCACTCATTCTTTTTCCAAACAGTACCCCCCCCACACAGTGCTTGGTATGGTTTGCTGCCCTGTCTCCACTCTCCCCTGAGAGGCTGCCCGTTCATGTTCCCATGAGCTCCTTCACCTAGATAAGAGTGTGGGGGTTAGGCGAGAAGTCATTCAGGCTCCTCCTACCCCAATCCACTCAGTGATGGCCTTTATCACTGATTATGAGGGCTCAGACTTCCAAAGTCTCAGTTTCCTATTCCACTGAAGGGGGAAGAGAGTTTCTAGATGATCAAATTGACCTTGGTCTAAAAGACGTGAATGACACTTAGCGAGTGCTGAGCACTTACCATGCCAGGGACTTTACACCATATGCTGAATATAATAAGCATCTCTTGCTGCCCACTCCCTGCTTGGTTACTGGATTCAAAGAGACAGCAGTACTGCCTAATTCTATAATTCTATTCAAATGTTCACTTGGTTTCTCAAACAAATGCCAAAGAGGGACACATTCTCAATGCACAGAAAAGCACAGAGGACTCCTTGAAGTCCTCTTCAGACATTTCTCCTTCTCAAGTTCTTTTGTCACATAGTGGCTTCAGGAACTTTGCTCTTCCTCAGCTCCCCTCAAGACCTCCTGAAGCCCAGCCCAGAGTCTCTCTCCCTTCTCAGTACCCTCATCCTCAGTTGCTCTTCCAGGCTATTTTCTCACCCATTACTGCCCTAAAAAACATGTTCTGCCTGTTATTCTGGAAGCATTTTCTTTTTCTTTTTTTTTTTTTTGAGACGGAGTCTCACTCATCGCCCAGGCTGGAGTGCAGTGGTGCAATCTCGGATCAGTGCAAGCTCCACCTCCCAGGTTCACGCCATTCTCCTGCCTCAGCCTCCCAAGTAGCTGGAACTACAGGCGCCCGCCACCACGCCCAGCTAATTTTTTGTATTTTTAGTAGAGGCGGGGTTTCACCATGTTAGCCAGGATGGTCTTGATCTCCTGACCTCGTGATCCGCCCACCTCGGCCTCCCAAAGTGCTGGGATTACAGGCGTGAGCCACCGTGCCTGGCCGCATTTTCTTATTTCCCAGGAAGCAGGACCCAGAGATCTTGGTGAAAAAAATCTTCCACCTTGTTATACACATACCACCTCTTTTAATCCTCAACAGCCATTAAGTGGCAGAGCCTGCAGGTCACTGAACTCCACAGTCAGATGCTCAGCAAGGTGACTGTCACGTAATAAGTGCTCAACATGTGACCCCTTACATAAAGAGTTTGGGCTGGGCATAGTGGTTCACACCTGTAATCCTGGCATTTTGGGAGGCTGAGGCAGGAGGATCACTTGAGGCCAGGAGTTTGATACTAATCTGAACAGAACAGCAAGGCCCTGCCTCTACAAAAAAAAAAAAAAAAAAAAAAAAAATTAGTCGGGCATGGTAGTGCACACCTGTAATCCCAGCTACTTAAGAGGCTGAAGCAGGATGATCGCTTGAGCCCAGGAGTTTGAGGCTGTAGTGAGCTATGATCATGCCATTGCATTCTAGCCTGGGTGACAGAGACAGACCCTGTCTCAAAAATAAATTTAAAAACATAAAATTTAAAAGGAGTTTGGTGACCCCTAGCCAAGAAAATAAAAGGCAACAGAAAATGCATCTTATCCAACCTTTGACTCTCTCTGCAGTGCTCAATAAATAAATTTCAAGGCTGGGCACAGTGGCTCACGCCTATAATCCTAGCACTTTGGAAGTACCAAGACAGGTGGATTGCCTGAGCTCAGGAGTTTGAGACTAGCCTGGGCAACACAGCAAAACCCCATCTCTACTAAAAATACAAAAAATTAGCCAGGTCTGTAGCCAGGCCTGATGTCACACACCTGTAGTCCCAGCTACTTGAGAGCCTGAGACACGAGAATCGCTTGAATCCGGAAGGTTGCAGTGAGCTGAGATTGCACCACTGTGCTCCAGCCTGGGCGACAAAGCAAGACTCTCTCCAAAAATAAATAAATAAATAAATAAATTTCAAATGGATGAATAAGAAGCCCACACCATCATCTTGGAGCCACAGCCCTAAATGCAAAAGGATACCTAAATATGGTCAGACACCCCAACTTACTTGGTCCCAAAACAGTGACCCCTTGTCCTTGTAGGTCACAGTCAACCTTTCCAGGACTGCTGCAGATATCCCTGACTCCTTGATTCTGGAGCTATCAGGGAAGTGAAGATCTGTAAGTCCACTGCTTCTTTACCCTTTACGTCCACACCCCCTTCAGAGAGAAAAATTTCATACTTCTTTTCTGGTATGCAATATGAAAACGGCTTTCTTTTAAATTCAACAGAGTTCCAGTGTAGTGGCTCTGTATGAGTTTGTCCTCACATTGCTAATAAAGACATACCTGAGACTGGGTAGTTTATAAAGAAAAGAGGTTTAATTGACTCACAGTTTCGCATGGCTGGGAAGGCCTCAGGAAACTTAGAATCGTGGCAGAAGGGGAAACAAACAAATCCTTCTTCACATGGCAGCAGGAGAGAGAATGAGAGCTGAGCGAAGGGGAAAGCCCCTTATAAAACCATCAGATCTCGTGAGAACTCACTCACTATCATGAGAACAGTATGGGGAAACTGCCCCCATGATTCAATTATCTCCACCCGGTCCTGCCCTTCACACATGGGGATTATTACAATTCAAGATAAGATTTTGGGTGGGGACACAGCCAAATCGTATCAGGCTCATACCTGAAATCTCAGCACTTTGGGAGGCCAAGGTGAGAGGATCACTTTAGGCCAGGAGTTTGAGACCAGCCTGAGCAATTCAGTAAGACCCTGTCCCTACAAAAAAAAATTTTTAATTAGCCCTACGTGATGGTGCATACCTGTACTCCCAGCTACTTTGGAGGCTAAGGCAGGAGGATTGCTTGAGCCCAAGAGTTCGAGGCTGCAGTGAGCTATGATCGTGCCACTGCACTGCAGCCTGGGCAACAGAGCAAGACCCTGTCTCAAAATAAAAAATAAATTCAACAAACAAAACTATAATGTTGAATATGCTTTTCAAACTAGATCACCCCCATTCATGAAAGCCATTGATCTTGTCCAACTTGCTCATTTCACCACTGGGGAAACTGAGGTACAGATAAGGGAATCAAAGTGCTCAAGAGGGTCCAGTGAGACACAAGCACACCTGGGACTGCCAGAGCTCCTGGTGCCCAGCTCAACGCCCAGGCATTCCTCAGAGTCTATGCCTTGCCAGGGACAGGGTGGGGGACTTGGAAGCGGGCAGGCTCCTGTGCCGCCATGGCCTCCGCCAGGCTCCTCAGTGCTCTCAGGCTAACCTATGGGGTTCTCGAAGGGAAAGAGGTGTCTGGAGCTTGGTCTGTGGTGCTGAGGCTGCTGGAGACAGGAACCCTGAGTTGTAGGCCCAGATCAGTGTTGGGCAGCTCCAGATTAAAGACCCAGCAGAGAGAGTGAGGAGCCCTCTTTCGTTCAGACTCTGCAGCCTCCTTGTCTCCACCTCCTCTATCACAGCTACTCACTCCTCATCCTGGACCTGATGCCTGCTCCTGTCATGCTGTCCCATCAGCGTCTCTCTGGCTCCTGTACCCTCCTCCCAATCAGTCGCAGCCTCACTTCCACTCTCTGACAGGGACCCAGCCCACCACCTGCAGGCCCATGTGTGTTTTGTTTGACACTATTTGAAAACAATCTGAATTAGTTGCTCATGTTTAAAAACTGGTAGGAATCATCTAAAATATTGAATTTCTTGATTCTCTTGAAGAATCTACAGACTGACGATATGAGGCCCGAATTATTTTCTGACAGGGCAGCAACTGACTGGGCTAAGGGGCAGCTGCCCCATCTGGATGGGGAACTTACACAGTGGGCCCCAGCATCTCCACCATTCCCCGTTGCCTTCCCAGCCCTTCTGCTGCCCTCCTTTAGATGACCTGTGTGGCCTTGGAAGGCATTTGCAACCCTAGTCTTGACCACTTTGATTTGAGCCTCCCCCACATCCAGCTTATCAGACAAGACCCTCCTACCCTGAACCTATGCCCAATGATTAACCCGTCCACACACAGCCTCTGACCATCCATTCACTCAGCCCAGCCCTCAAGCATCAAGGGAGACTGTGCCCCCATTGCTGTCCCCCAAACACCTCTGTGGACCCACAGCTCAGCCCTCCAGGCCCCCTTCCTCCAAGTCCCACAGCTCCCATGGTGGTCATTCAGAAAGCACAGCGCCCAATCCACCATCCTTTATTTGTCCTAAATAAGGACCCCTGTGCTCTTACACTAAGCCAAGAGTTCTCGGATTTTGTACCGAGGTGCTTTGATGGCTTGGACAATCCTCAATGGGGGGAGGTATTTCTGGGGTGCCATAAAAATAGGATAACGAGGTTTAGTCGTCTTGTTGATGCTGCACAAATCCAGGACCACAGACTTAGGGTTGTAGATCTCTCTCTTCTTGGGCCGGTTTGGAGTGAACAGTTGACTTTGGCAAGGCTCCACGAGCAGCTGCAACAGGTCCTTCCGAAAGATATTCCAGCTGTTCTGCTGGAGGAACTTCTGGCACATATCTTCATCACTAAAGGGCAGGCACAGAAGCCGAGGTTCTCATGCCAGTCCCGCCCCTCCAGCCTTGCCTCCTGCCACTCTCCCCTCCCTAAGCATGTGGCGCTTCATTCTGCTTCTCTGACCCTCCCAGACTCTCCTTCTGCACCCTTTCCCTTTCCACAGTTTTCTTCCCTTAGGCCTGTGCTGTCTCATGTAGTAGCAATGGGCCACCTGTAGCTACTGAGTACCTGAAATGCAGCCAGTCTGAAATAGAGATGTGCTGTGAGTGTAAAATACACACCAGATTTCACAGACTTAGAACACAGAACTTAGAAAGTAAAATAGCTCCTTAATCATTTTATATTGATAAATGGATAAAGTGTGGTATATACATATTACATGATTCGGTTTACGTGAGATGTCCAGCACAGGCAGGTCTGTAGAGACAGGAGGTAGACTGGTGGCTGCCTTGGACTGGCCATGGTGGTCTGGCTCTGCCCTCCCCCTCACCTCATAGTAAGTGCGGCTGAGGAAGGTGGAAGAAGGACTGAGGCCTCCTGAGACCACAGCAAGGCAAGGTGGTATAAAGCTTCAACTAACTCACCTGTACTCTCTTACCTAAGCAGACAAGCTGAATACATCATTAACAAGTCAGAACATTCATTCTTCCAGCCAGATTATATCGACAAAGATAAAGTCAACTTTGATCCATAGAGATTGGCTTAAGAAAAAACTCAGAGGTCAGCATGGCTACAAGCTAGTCCTGTAGCATCAGCAATATGACAAAGCCAGCTGCCACCCGCTCATGAAAGCTGACCGTGTGCACCTCTTCTCAACTCCATGCTTGTGGCAGCAGGTTGGTAGTTTGAAACTGGCCATGGTGGGAGTATTTACACTATGGAAATCAGCAAACACTGCAAGCCAGGGTCCTCCTCCGGCATCTTGGAGAGCTGGTTGTTAAACATCCATGAGCACACTACTGGGTAGTCCTCACTTAAAAAGTTCCATTAACTCTCAATTTCTTACATAATAAATAACAACAACATCTCACTCAGACTTAGAACTTACCATGTGTCAAGCACTTTACATTTGTGAACTCATTTAATTTTCACAACCACTCCATTTCAGAAACATAGAAATTGGGGTGAGGCTAAGGGATTCACCAAAACCTAGGAGGGGGAAAGCATGTGATGACTAATTCTTAGGGGATAATTTTTTTTTAACCTAGATTCTAAGCTAGGACAGACAAGACTCCATGTCACTTCCTGATGCTGATGGTCACATTGATTTCTAGTCTACTTTTTCACTGAACAGGGTAGCCTCAGCTTCACACAGGGGTCTCAGTTCCAATCCCCTGTCTCACTTGAACTGAAAGCTGCATCTGTCCTTTCAGGCTTTAAAAAATCAACCCATGGCTGGGTGCGGTGGCTCATGCCTGTAATCCCAGCACTTTAGGAGACCAGGCGGGTGGATGACTTCAGATCAGGAGTTTGAGACTAGCCTGGCCAAGATGGTGAAACCCTGTCTCTACTAAAAATACAAAAATTAGCCAGGTGTGGTGGCACACGCCTGTAATCCCAGCTACTCAGGAGGCTGAGCCACAAGAATCACTTGAACCCAGTGGGGGGACATTGCAGTGACCTGAGATCACGAGACTGCACTCTAGCCTGGGCGACAGAGTGAGACTCCGTCCCAAAAAAAACCAGCCCGTGACGCCCTTAAGCCCTCCTGGGCAATCCCCAGCATTAGTTCATACTGTCTGTCTGTTTTGGGTGATCCTCTTCACTTTGGCCTTGGGGATTTCCTGACTTTCTTGTGGATGCAGCCATGCATTCTACCCCACATGGGCCGCCCTGTGCTCTGTAGGGGTGATTTTCAGGATAACCAGCCTGCGCTATTCACAGGACAGGTACCTCTGCCACCGGCTCTGTGATCTTCAGGATCTCAGAGTCTTCGGTTAAAACGTGAGGGATTTGAGCTAGATAATGGATATGTTTTCTGCCTGTTTTAGCAGTCTAGAAAGGCATGAGTTCAACGATTAATGAATAAGACAGAATTCTGTGGGTCAGCATTCTAGATGAGGGCCGCAAATGCTGACTGAGCAGGGCGGATGCTGAATGTTCCATCTGCCCCCACTCAACTCTATGTAAACCTTTTATGAATTTCCATTCAACAGATATTAACTGATCCCCATCATGTGCCAGGCAATATGCAAGGAGCTAAGGCTCCTTAAACCCTTTTTTGAGTGGCAGGTCTACATGGCCATTTCCTATATTGGTAATACCCAGGAATCAGAGAAGTGTGGCATCCTTGAACCAGAAGGAACCGCCAGTATTTTTCAGCTTGTTTTTCTCACAAGACTGCCCCAGTGTTGGCCTTATCTACATATCATCTGCTCTTTAAATTTATTAATGATTTTCCGGGCTGGGCACGGTGGCTCACACCTGTAATCCCAGCACTTTGGGAGGCCGAGGTGGGCGGATCACCTCAGGTTGGGAGTTCGAGACCAGCCTGGCCAACATGGTGAAACCCCATCTCTACTAAAAGTAGTCAGGTGTGGTGGCGGCGCCTGTAATCCCATCTACTTGGGAGGCTGAGGCAGAAGAATCACTTGAAGCCAGGAGGCAGAGTTTGCAGTGAGCCAAGATCACACCACTGCACTCCAGCCTGGGTGACAAAGCAAGACTCTGTCTAAAAAAAAAAAAAAAAATTACAAATGATTTTCCTTCAATCTGTTCAGTTCCTTTTACTTAAATATTTACTTTAACTTTGTCTTAAGCAACAAGATCTGTCAGATCACACAGTTAGTAAGTTAGTCATGCTGCTTTTTCTAATTCACATAAATAAATACATAAATGTTAAAACTAAAAACGTCAATCTGTGAGCCACCTAAAATCATCCTGTAACCCTCCTGTGGAATATGTTCATACTTTAAAAAATACTGATCTACTCTAATTTTCTTGTTTTGCTGATTGGAGTCAAAAGCCTAGAGAAGGTCATGAAGACCTCACACTGCTCAAGGTCATGAAGATCTCACGTCAGAGCCTTTTGTGTGCTTATTGGCCAGGGCTGGAATCACCTGCAGCTCTGTCTGCCTTCATACCCCCTTTCTCTACCATTGGAATCACTCGCTTCCCACACCTGCTGCCAAAACCGTATCTGACCACAATATCACCGCAAGTAAAGAAAATGTGTAAGAAGTATGAGCTCCATTATGAAAACAGAGTATGACAATAAAGGCATATTTGGCACATATTCACGAAGTGAATAAAACACTAAAAGGAAATACAGAAGATGCTAACTGGGATTGCTGGAAGACTGCAAATGATTTGGGTTTTGTCTTTTTTTGCTGTTCAGTGTTTTTCAATCTTCTGCAATGAGTATGGCCCATCACATTTAGTCAACATTTATTAAGCACCTTCTGCATGCTGGGCACTGTACAGGTGCTAGAGACCAAAGGCGGATAAAGCACAGCCTTGCCTTCCTGAAGCACTTAATCAGGTGGAAGGGAAAGAGCTGTGCAAACAGGTAACTGTATGACAACACGATACGGTCAATGACAGAGCTGTGTAGAGAATATTATGAGTGTGCAGAAAGGGGGTACTTATCCCAAACTGGGGTTAGTCTGAGGAGGTTTGCTGCAGAAGATGAATCTTAGAGAATGAGCAGGAATTTATCACAAAGGGTGGAGGCAGGACTGGGGTTAGCATTTCAGGCAAAAGGGCCAGCATTGGCAAAGGCAAGGTATGTGCAGCATCTAGCAGGCAACCCGCCTGGGCTGCTGGAGTGAGTTGGAGGTGGCAGGAGATGCTGGAGGGGACTTGAGTGGGGTGTCAGACTGTGGTGGGTCATTGAGGTAGCATTGAGTTTGGACTTTATCCTATAGGCAGTGAGATACCATTGAAAGGTTTCAAGCAGGAGTTTAACACAACTAGATTAGGGTTTTAACAAGAACACAGTGTGCAGAAAGAATCCAGCAGGCAGGAGACTGAAGGGGAGGAACCCGTGATAAGACTTGCGGGAGTCTAGCTTGGTGGTCCCGAAGTGGGGGTGGAGGCCAGGCGCGGTGGCTCATGCAATCCCAGCACTTTGGGAGGCCAAGGTGGGTGGATCCTTTGAGCTCAGGAGTTTGAGACCAGCCTGGGCAACATGGCAAAACCCCGTCTCTACCAAAAAATACAAAAAAATTAGCCAGGCATGGTGGCGCCTGCCTGTTGTCCCAGCTACTGGGGAGGCTGAGGTGGGAGGATCACTTGAGCCCGGGAGGCAGAGGTTGCAGTGAGTTGAGATTCAGCCACAGCATGCCAGCCTGGATGACAGAGTGAGACCCCATCTCTCACACACACACACAAAACAAAGCCGGGGTGGAGAGACATGTCACCCAGGGAGATGTACAAGATCCACTAGAGTATGTGAATAGTAGGATTTCATTTATATTTATCTTTCTCTTTTTCTTTTAAAAGATCAATTTTTATATGTTTATAATATATATTGGTACAGTAATATTATATGTGGATATAATAAAAACAAATTAACAGATGTTATTTATATTACATATACATACCAGGGAGTACATGCTTGAACACTTTTTAGTAATAGCAGTGTGAGATGGAAACAGTTTTGAGACCACTGGTCTGGGCAATAAATTAATTTTTACACTTAAAAAAGTTATTTGTTCCCATTATAAAAGCATTAACATTCACTCTAGAAAATTTGGACACTATGAAAAAGTAAAAAAAAAATTATCTAATCTTTCAAGATACATATTTATTTTTAATAATTATAAAAGTAAATCTCAGCATTTTGGAAGACCAAGGCAGGAGGACTGGTTCAAGACCAGCTTGGGCAACGTAATGAGACCCCCATCTCTACAAAAAAATTTTCAATTAGCTGAGCATTGTAGTGTACATTTATAGTTCCAGCTACTCAGGAGACTGAGGTGGGAGGATCCCTTGAGCCCAGAAGGTCAAGGCTACAGTGAGCCATGATTGTGCCACTGCACTCCAGCCTGGGGAACAGAGTGAGAACCTGCCTCAAAAAAATAAGTAAATAAAAATAAAATAAAACATGAGAGGAATATATAACCAGAAAGTCCCCTTTAGTCTCACCTCCCAGAGAAAACGACTCTTACCATAGGCATTGTCATTTTTGCTTATTTCCTTCTAGGTTTCTCTCGGGTAAGTGTTTTATAAAGGCATAGTCATAGCACATGTACAATTCTGTACCACCCTTTTCCAGTATCATTATATCACCCATTTTACCCTGCTGTTACAGAGCCATTAAGCTTACCATTTTTTAAATAAAACAATTATGTTCTATCAAGAGAATATACCACAATTTTATAAACTATCCCCTTAGTGTGGCACACATCAATGTTGTTGTCATTGTTTTTCTATTATGAATATGGCTGCTATGAACATCTTATTTATTTTTTATTATTATTATTTTTGTTTGAGACAGATTTCGCCCTTGTTGCCCAGGCTGGAGTGCAAAGGTGCAACCTTGGCTTACTGCAACCTTCACCTCCTGGGTTCAAGTGACTCTCCTGCCTCAGCCTCCTGAGTAGCTGGGAGTAAAGGTGCCCGCCACCACACCCGGTGGTGTGTTTAGTAGACTATGTTTACTAGAGACAGGGTTTCACCATGTTGGCCAGCTGGTCTTAAACTCCTGACCTCAGGTAATCCACCTGCCTCGGCCTCCCAAAGTGCTGGGATTACAGGCATGAGCCACCACGTCCAGCCTATTATTATTATTATTTTGAGATGGAATCTTGCTCTGCCACCCAGGCTGGAGTGCAATGGTGTAATTTTGGCTCACTTCAAACTCTGCCTCCCAGGTTCAAGTGATTCTCCTGTATCAGCCTCCCGAGTAGCTGGGATTACAGAGGCCCACTACCATGCCTGGCTAATTTTTGTATTTTTAGTAGAGGCAGGGTTTCACCATGTTGGCCAGCCTGGTCTCAAACTCCTGACCTCAGGTGATCCACTTGCCTTGGCCTCCCAAAGTGCTGGGATTACAGGAGTGAGCCACCACGCTCAGCCTTATTATTTTTTAACACACAGTTTCACTCTGTTACCCAGGCTGGAGTGCAGTGATGCCATCTCAGCTCACTGCAACCTCTGTCTCCCGGGTTCAAGCGATTCTCCTACCTCAGCCTCCTGAGTAGTTGGGATTACAGGCATGTGCCACCACGCCTGGCTAATTTTGGGTTTTTAGTAGAGATGGGGTTTTACTATGTTGGCCAGGTTGGTCTCAAACTCCTGACCTCAAGTGATCTGCCTGCCTCAGCTTCCCAAAGTGCTGGGATTATAGGCGTGAGCCATCGCACCCAACCCTGCAATGAACATCTTAATGCAGGGCTTTCTCCATATTTCGGCTCTATAAATTCACAGATGAATCTCTGTCTCAAAGTGTTGGGACAGTTTTATAGCACTTGAAATGTAATGCTAAAATTATTATCAAAAGGATTGAGCCTATCTAGAGTGTACCAACAACTCCCAGTTTCATTTCACCCTTGTCAGCAACAGGTATTATATTTTTCCTTCTTTTACTAAAATAACAGGTGAAAAATTGTTCATTTCACCTGATGGGACTTACGCACATTTCCAGTACTGACCTGGGGAATGCAATATTGAGCTTTAACAACTTTTTTATCATCTCGTCATCATTGTCAATCAGTTCATAAAATATTTCCTTCCTTATCCGTATCAACTCATTTCCCAGGCTCATCAGGATCAAGGGTCGTGTGTCGCATTCACCCTCTGGAAGGAAGGCCTGGTGAAGACCCTCGGGAGAAGTCACAGAAAGTTAGACCTCAGAGACTGGCCAGGTCTGCCCGCAGATTTTCATTCTTTTTTTTCTTTTATTTTTTTTTGAGACGGAGTTTCGCTGTTGTTGCCCAGGCTGGAGTGCAATGGCCCAAATCTCAGCTCACTGCAACCTCTGCCTCCCAGGTTCAAACGATTCTCCTGCCTCAGCCACCTGAGTAGCTGGGATTACAGGCATGCGCTACCTTTTGTATTTTGAGTAGAGATGGGGTTTCTCCATGTTGGTCAGGCTGGTCTCGAACTCCTGACCTCAGGTGATCTACCCGCCTCGGTCTCCCAAAGTGCTGGGATTACAGGCGTGAGCCACCGTGCCCAGCCTACCCACAGATTTTCTAGATGGGAAAAAGAAGGCCTCAAACAGGAGGTGAATTTATCTGGGATCACTGAGCAAATGACAGGCAGGAGAAATCCTGGGCCCCTTTTGCTACATCATATGGAATTCCTCTAACCGTGGAATTAGAAGAGCACCTAAATCAGATTACCCACTGTCCCACTCCAGCAATCTCACTGCCACTATTGCTCTCAAGTTTTCCCCAATGTCCAATTACAGCTTTTTGTTTTGTTTTGTTTTTGTTTTTGTTTTTGTCGAGCAAATCTCTTTTCTCTTCCTTAGGACTTACAACAAAAATCAAACAGCTAGGCACCAGGTGCAGTGGCTCACACCTGTAATCCCAGCACTTTGGGAGGCCCAGGCGGGTGGATCACTTGAGCCCAGGAGTTTGAGACCAGCCTGGGCAACATGGTGAAACCACATATCTACACAAATTATAAAAGTTAGCCAGATGTGATAGTGCATGCCTGTAGTCCCAGGCTGAGGTGGGAGGATTTCTTGAGCCCAGGAGGTAGAGGTTGCAGTGAGCCAAGATCGCGCCACTGCACTCCAGCCTGGGCAACAGAGCGAGAGACTATCCCAAAAAAGTAAAATAGGCCAGGTGTGGTGGCTCACACCTGTAATCCCAGCACTTTGGGAGGCTGAGGCAGGCTGATCACCTGAGGTCAGGAGTTTGAGACTAGCCTGGCCAACATGGTGAAACCCCACCTCTACTAATAATACAAAAATTAGGGCTGGGCGCAGTGGCTCATGCCTGTAATCCTAGAACTTTGGGAGGCTGAGGCGGGTGGATCACGAGATCAGGAGATCAAGACCATCCTGACGAACACGGTGAAAACCCGTCTCTACTAAAAATACAAAAAATTAGCCAGGCATGGTGGCACGTGCCTGTAGTTCCGGCTACTTGGGAGGCTAAGGCAGGAGAATTGCTTGAACCTGGGAGGCAGAGGTTGCAATGAGCCAAAATTGCGCCACTGCACTCCAGCCTGACGACAGAGCGAGACTCCATCTCAAAAAAAAAAAAAAAAAAAAAAGAAAAAAAAAAGAATTAGCCGGGCATGGTGATGGTGGCCGGTGCCTGTAATCCCAGCTACTTGGGAGGCTGAGGCAGGGGAATCATTTCAATCAGAGAGGTAGAGGTTGTGGTGAGCCAAGATTGTGCCACTGCACTCCAGCCTGGGTGACAGAGTGAAACTGTGACTCAAAAAAAAAAAAGTAAAATAAAAAATCAAACAGCCAGTCCTCTTCTGGACCTTATCTTTGCAGCCACCCACCCCACACTTTCCTGCAGGCCTCTGTTTCTCCTCCATCCCTCACAGACTTCGGTGGCCACAGGTCCTCCTCTCTCCAGCTGCCCTCCTGTTCCTTGGCTTGAATTCCTACTTTGTTCTATCTGGAAGGGAGATGGAAGTCCACAGGCATACTTGCTTCCGTGATGAAGGGTGCAATCCGCTTTTTAAGGAGACACCTGGGACAGGCAGAGCCAGGACTAGAATCCTTGTTGCTGAACTCCCAATCCAGTGCTCAGTCTTCAGCCTCTCAGCTGTTAATCAAGGCTCAGGCAAGGAGGGGCAGGGGCAGGAACGGTTAGTGGCCCCAGAGCCACCAATGCCAGCTGTATAGGGCTCAAGAAGAAAAAGGGCCACAAACCAAGAGGCCCACTCTGTGGAGGACACATGGGGTTGGGACTAATCCTGGATCCAAGTTGCTGTTGTTGAAGTACAATATACACATCTAATTTACCATCTTTACCATTTTTAAGCATACAGTTCACTGGAAATAAATACATGCATATTCTTTCTTTTCGTTCCCTCTCTTCCTCCCCATCCCAGCCTCTGGTAACCACCAATCTACTCCCTATCTTCATGAGATCCAGTTTTTAGGTCCCACATATGAGTGAGAACATACAATATTTGTCTTTCTGTGCTTGGCTTATTCCACTTAACATAACAGCCTCCAGTGCCATCCACGCTGCTGCAAATGACAGGATCTCATTCCTTTTTATGGCTGAATGATATTCCATTGTGTATATGTCCCACATTTTCCTTATCCATTCATCTGTTAACGGACACTTAGATTGATTCCATATTTTAAAATTGTACTTATGTGATTTGGGGCACACAGTACCTCCTGGGCCATTGCTCGCCTGTGAAATGCAGGTGAGAATATCTATCGACATGTCTCCGAAGGATTCTGAATTTGAAAGGAGATGTGAAGTGGGATCTGGAACACCCTCCCCACCTCCACCATTTGGGTTCTAGACCTTGAAATATGACCACGTACAAATTTTTGGGTGCTCTGAGCCCTGGCTTTGTCTCTCTTTGGCAAGACTGGGGTGGAGCTATGCCACCTTTCCTCTGAAGCTGCTGAGGGTCTACACGAGATGGCACATGTGAGAGTTCTCTGGGGGACATGAAGCACCTCGTGTGTCTCTCATGTTGAGTACAGTGGGAACAAAGGCCCTCCTAGTCAATGCCAGGACTTGCATAGAAACCAGAATGGCTGCTCTTTAGCCAGCTCCTACTCTGGAGAGGAAACATATATATATGAATTTACACCTTACAACCATCCTAGCATGTGGGGGTTATCCTCAGATGTGGAAAATGAGGTTCAGGAAAGGAAATTTACCTATCCACGGTCAATCATCTTATAATTACAATAGCAATGATGATGAAATGGTAATAATAGCACCAACAAACATTTATTGAGCACTCACTAAATTCCAGGCCCTTTTGTAGTTTTTGCATCTATAACCCATTTAACCCTCACCACAATCCAGTGAGCTGACTCCTATTCTTATTCTCATGTTACAGGTGAGGATGCTGAGGTTAAGAAAATTGTCCAACATCGGCCGGGCGCAGTGGCTCATGCCTGTAATCCCAGCACTTTGGGAGGCCGAGGTGGGCAGATCACGAGGTCAGGAGATCGAGACCATCCTGGCTAACATGGTGAAACCCCATCTCTATTAAAAATACAGAAAATTAGCCGGGCGTGGTGCGGGTGCTTGTAGTCCCAGCTACTTGGGAGGCTGAGGCAGGAGAATGGCATAAACTCGGGAGGCGGAGCTTGCAGTGTGCAAAGATCATGCCACTGCACTCCAGCCTGGGCGACACAGCGAGACTCCGTCTCAAGAAAAAAAAAAGAAAAAGAAAAGAAAAATTGTCTAACATCACACATCAGGAAAGCAATAAACCTAGGCTTTGAATCAGGTGGTCTGTCTTCAGAGTCTGTGCTTTCAGCAACTACAATGAGGAAACTGAGGCACAAACAGGTTAAGTAGCTTGCCCAAGGTAATGAGACATAAAGTGGCAGAGCCCAACCTTGAACCAGGGATCCACTCAGGAGCACTGCTGTCCTGCTTGCTCTCTCAGCCACCTCCAACCCACTTGCTGCATGCACACAGCTGGAGTCAGTTGCTTCTCTGGCTAGATGCTTCAAACAGCATCCCAAAGCACCTGGGATCAAATAAATCTCATGCCGCCTAAGGCCTGGGCTGTCTCACCCTTCCAAGCCCTCCATCTCAGCCTCATGTCACTGCTGCCTTGCTTAGTCTGTTCCAGCCACCCTGCCCTCCCTTCCAATCCCCCCAACACGCCTCCTCCCTCCTGCCTTGAACCTTGAACTTGCTGCTTGTCTGTCTTGAACACTTTTCTGCCAGGTCGTTCCATAGCTTATTCTTTTTTTTTTTTTTTTTTTTTTTCTTTTTTTGAGACAAGGTCTCACTCTGTCCCTAGGCTGGAGTGCAGTTGCATGATTTCAGCTCACTACAATCTCAGCCTCCTGGGCTCAAGGGATCCTCCTGCCTCAGCCTCCCGAGTAGCTGGGACTACAGGTGTGCACCACCACACCCGGCTAATTTTTGTTTTTGGTAGAGACGGGGTTTCATCATGTTGCCCAGGCTGGTCTCGAAATCCTGGCCTCAGCCATCCTCCTTCCTTGGCCTCCCAAAGTGCTGGGATTACAAGTGTGAGCCACTGTGCCCAGTCCCATAGCTTATTATTTTCATCATTCAGGTCTCAGCTTAAACATCACCTCCTCACAGCAGACTTCCCTTAGCTACCCCATTTAAGAACCTCCCCACCCACCCTGCTTTTCATTCCATTCCTAACAGCAATTTGTAACTTTCTATGTATTTACTAGTTATCTGTTTGTTGTCTGTCCTGACTAGATCATAAGCCCCATAAGGGCAGGAATTACGTCAGTCTACTCAGCCACAATGGCACTTTGTTCCATGCTTGGAGCATGGTAGGTGCTCAAGGAATATCTGCTGAATGAGTGACCCAAATGGAGCCACACAACTTTAGAGGTGGCAGCTCACCCAGATGAATCTCCTCATTTTCCCATGACATAGATTCAGAAAGGGAAAGTGATTTGCCCGTGGCCACACAGCTAACTATTAGAAGCAGAATGAAAATAAGAAATGCTGCTTGCCACCTCTCTTCTGCGCTGCCCATGGCTCTGGCCTGCCCAGTCTTGACCACCTCAGAGGCCTCAGCCTGCCTGTTCCTTGGAGAAGTTGGACTTCCTATATCTCCTGGCTCAAAACCTGGGTCCCTCCACCCTAGGCCCCACCCTCTGCTGCTCCCAGGGCTGACCCAGCTCCACACTGCTACTCCCAAGGGTGAGGACGATGTGACCCACCTTCCAGGGGGCGGGTTCAGTCAAGCAGTTACCACTCTCATTCTCCTACAGCTGAAGCCAGGGCCTCAACACAGGGAGCTCAGAGTCCTACCACAGGCACCTCACGAAGGCATCCGCAGACATTTTCTTCAAAGGGGTCATGTTAACAAATATTTGTTGAAGGCTTTCTATGTGCTGGCCCTATGTGGGAAGCAGCAGCCAGGTCCTTGTGCTAAGTCCCCACCCAAAGCCTTCCAGGACTTCTAGGAAATCAAGGCCTTACTCCCTGTTCCAGCATTGCAGGGCCTGGACAAAACAGACCCTGTTGTTCCTGTTCCTGACACAGCCTCCCCTCCTGTCACTGCCTACCAAACTGAGCAAGGCCTTTTCCATCCTCGTGCCTCCATCCTGCCCAGGCCTCCCTGTCCCTTAGTGCCCTGTGTTCATCTCTGAGCACCTTACTCTGAAACATTAATAAATTGAAGTGAAGCAGACACCACCTTCACTAACTCTAACAAAGACGTATAAATGTAAGATGTTAATAACAGGGGAAACTGGGCGTGGGGCATATGGGGACTCTCTGTACTATCTTCTCAATTTTTCTGTAAATCTAAAAACTGTTCTAAAAAATAAGACCACTAAAACAATGAATCCAGTAGTGGGGGCAGGGGGAGTGTGGGTGACCACGCTTGGCTGTGAGCTGATCACTATGGAGGCTGGGAGGCAGGTGACAGAGCTGAGTGGCAGGAGGAGCGGTGTGTGGGCGCAGAGGTGGGGCAGGCAGAAGGGCTTTCCAGGAGGAGCAATAGGCTGGAAGGCTGGAAATTACGCCCCTTGAAGAATGACCGAAGGAATGGAGGCCACTCTGCGTGAATATGAAAATAATTAACGGAACACTGGCACTGTGCCTGGCTACATAAATGTTGAATGAAAAACAAAACAGCATTCTTTAAATACCTAAGGGCATCACATGCTAAGGAAGTGGATTTCTTCTGTTTTGGGGAACAGGGCAGGGAGAGGAGAGGAGCTAGTTTAAAGTTGTAGGAGGCAATGTTTTACTAAACAAAAGGAAGAAATTTCTAAGAGCTAAAAAATAATCAGCATTGACAGAGGGCTGTGCTAGGGACTGGACCTCCCAGACAGTACTGGACTGACCTTCCCAGCCCTGAGGACATACAGGCTGGTGTGAGTGGAGGGAAGGAGCATGCACAGTCCACCATAACACAGGGGGAGAATGGCATAAGGACAACCTTGGAGATAGTGACAGAGGAACAGAGGAGAGGGCTTGGTGAGGGAACAGTTTCCCAGATGCTGAATAACCACACATGAGGCTTCAGGAGACAGCCCTCTGCAGGCACAGGGAGGCCGAAGGCCCATTGCTCCTCCTGAAATCCCTTCTCCTGCCCTACCTCTGCACCCGCACACTGCTCCTCCTCCTCTCATTCAGCTCTGGCACCTGCCACCCAGCTTCCATAGTGATCAGCTCATAGCCAAGCGTGGTCATCCATACTGCCCTCGCTCCCACAACTGCATTTTTTTTTTTTTTTTTTTGAGACAGGCTCTCATTCTATTGTTCAGATTGAAGTACAGTAACACAATCATGGCTCACTGCAGCCTCGACTTCACAGGGTCAAGCAATCCTCCCACCCCACCCTCCCAAGTAGCTGGGATCATAGGCAAATGTCACCATGCCCAGCTAACTTTTTAATTTTTTGTAGAGACAGGATTTCGCTTTGTTGCCCAAGCTGGTCTTGAACTCCTGGGCTTCAGCAGGTATGAGCCACCATGCCCAGCCTTGGATTCCTTTTTTTTTTTTTTTTTGAGACAGAGTCTTACTCTGTCACACAGGCTGGAGTGCAGTGGTGCAATCCTGGCTCACTGCAACCTCCACCTCCTGGGTTCAAGCGATTCTCCTGCCTCAGCTTCCCGAGTACCTGGGGTTACAGGTGTGTGCCACCACACCTGGCTAATTCTGTATTTTTAGTAGAGACAGGGTTTCACCATGTTGGCCAGGCTGGTCTCAAACTCCCAACCTCAGGTGATCCACCTGCCTCAGCCTCCCAAAGTGCTGGGATTACAGGCATGAACCACTGTGCCCGGCCTGGTGGTCTTATTTTCTAAAACAGTTTTAGATTTACAGGAAAATTGAGAAGATAGTACAGAGAGTCCCCATATACCCCACATCCAGTTTCCCACATCTTACATTGGTATGTCTTTGTTACAATTAGTGAACCTCTACTGCTACATTACTGTTAGCTAAAGTCAATGAGTTGCTTAGATTTCCTGTTTCACCTAATGCCCTTTTTCTATTCCACTATCTTATCCAGGATACAACATTACATTTAATAATAGGGCTCTTTAGGCTCCTCTTGGCTGTGGCATTTTCTCAGGCCATTTTTGATGACCTTGGCAGTTTTGAGGGTACTCATTGAGTATTTTGTGGGATGCCACAGTTAAAATTTGTCTCATGATTTTCCTCTAATCACGTCTCATGATTAGACAGGAGTTATAAGATATTGAGAGGATGGCCACAGAGGTTAAATGACATTTTCATCACATCCTGTCAAGGGACAATACTATTAACATGATGTTTTACTGTTGATGTTGGCCTTGATGATCTGGCTGTGTTTTTCAGATTTTTTCCATTGTAAAGTTACTTCATTCCCCCCTTGCCATACTGTACTCTTTGGAAGGAAGTCCTATGCATGGCCCACATTTAAGTAGAGAGTTAGGCACTCTCTCCTTTAAGACAGAGTATCTACATAAATTGCTTGAAATTTATTCTGCAGGGAGATTTGTCTCTTCTCCTCCATTTATTAATTCATTATTAATTCATTTATATCAATATGCACTCATGAATGTTTATTTTGTACTTTTGGTTATAATCCAACACTGCTTTATTTTGTTGTTCAAATTGTTTCAGCTTTGACCATTGGGAGATCTTTTAGGTGGCCCCCATATGTCCCTTGGACATGCTCCCATATTAAAGCAGTTCCTGCCCCCTCCCCTAGCTCTTCCTTACTTTCTGGCATTTACAATATGTTCTAGACTCATCCTGTGTATTTCCTGCCCTAGTCCTAGATTCAACCATTCTTCCAAAGAGCCCTTGTTCCTTTTATTGGGAAACTGTATTAGAAATCATGATCTGGTTTCTTGACATTGGCCTGGGCAATGGTTTTTTTTGGGGTATGACCCCAAAAACACAGGCAACAAAAGCAAAAATAGACAAATGAGATTGCATCAAACTAAAAAGCTCCTGCATAGCAAAGGAAACAACCAACAAAGTAAAAAGACAACCTAAAGAATGGTAGAAAATATTTGCAAGCCGTACATCTGATAAGGGGATAATAACTAAAATGTATAATGAACTTAAACAACACAGTCTCAAGAAATCAAACAGCCTGGTTAAGAAGTGGGCAAAAACTCTGAATAGACATTTCTCAAAGGAAGACATACAAATGACCAACAGGTATATGAAAAAAATGCTCAACATCATTGATCATCATGGAAATACAAATTGAAAATCCAATGAGATGTTGAGTCATACCTGTTAAAATGGTTACTATCAAAAAGACAAAATATGACAAATGTTGGCAAAGATTTGCAAAAAAGGGAACCCTCACACACTATTGGTGGGAATATAAATTAGTACAGCCATCATGAAAAACAGTATGGAGGCCAGGCACGATGGTTCACGCCTGTAATCCCAGCCCTTTGGGAGGCCAAGGTGGGAGTATTGCTTGAGGCCAGGAGTTCCAGACCAGCCTGGGCAACATAGTGAGACCCTGTCTCTAACGAAAAATAAAAAAAATTAGTTGGGCATGGCAGCACACACCTGTAGTCTCAGCTATTCAGAATACTGAGGTGAGAGGATTGGTTGGGCCCAGGAGTTCAAGGCTGCAGTGACCCATGATCACTTGCCACTGCACTCCAGCCTGAGTGACAGAGCAAGACCCTGTCTCTTAAAAAAAAAATAAAAGAGGCCAGGTCCAGTGGCTCATGCCTGTAATCCCAGCACTTTGGTAGGCCGAGGTGGGTGGACCATGAGGTCAGGAGTTCCAGACCAGCCTGGCCAACATGGTGAAACCCCGTCTCTACTAAAAATACAAAAAGTTAGTCAGGCATGGCGGCGTGTGCCTGTAATGCCAGCTACTCAGGAGGCAGAGGCAGGAGAATCACTTGAACCCAGGAGGCAGAGGTCACAGTGAGCCGAGATGGCGCCACTGCACTCCAGCCTGGGTGACAGAGAAAGACTCTGTCAAAAAAAAAAAAAAGAAAGAAAGAAAGAAAAGAAACCAACCAAGATCCAAGTGTTAAGTGTGCTCATTGCTGGAAGGGTAACATTTCTTTTAGGCCCTATTATCTGACAGAGCAAAACAGTTGTATGTTTCCACCCATACCTATACATATTTCCTTTTTTTTTTTTTGAGATGGAGTCTTGCTCTGTCACCTAGGCTGGAGTGCAGTGGCACAATCTCAGCTCACTGCAAGCTCTGCCTCCCGGGTTCCCGCCATTCTCCTGCCTCAGCCTCCTGAGTAGCTGGGATTACAGGTGCCTGCCACCACGCCCGGCTAATTTTTTTTGTACTTTTAGTAGAGACGGGGTTTCACTGTGTTAGCCAGGATGGTCTCGATCTCCTGACCTCGTGATCCGCCCTCCTCGGCCTCCCAAAGTGCTGGGATTACAGGCGTGAGCCACCACACCTGGCCTACCTATACATATTTCTATACATAATTATCTGTAAGTATATATTGAGTTAAATTTCAGTGACTACTGATGTTTTCAACTCTAATCCATTACTACATGGAGTATTCTAGGCTCCCCCTGCTTTCTATATATTCCTGCTTAAATTGTGAAAAACCTGGCTCCCACCCTCTGCCATCCATTTACTGAACTGATTTATTTCAGTGTTAACACTGTGTACATGTATAGTAGTAGAAGTATTGTTAATCCCTACCTTCATGACAAACAGCTTTATCACTAGGGCACAGTGCTCAGACACAGTTCCTTTTGCTTTAGTCTTACCAGTTCCACTCATTTCCAAAGTTACTTAAGTCAGCATCTTTTCCCCCCAACTCCTTCACAGAGATTGTTTCATACATTTATAATGGTTAGATTATCTTGTCATAGTTTGTATTCCTTCCTCAGATCCACTAACCTCCTAGATGATTTTTTTCTTTTTTCTTTTTTTGAGATGGAGTCTCGCTCTGTTGCCCAGGCTGGAGTGCAGTGGCGCGATCTCTGCTCACTGCAAGCTCCAACTCCCGGGTTCAAGCAACTCTTCTGCCTCAGCCTCCCGAGTAGCTGGAACTAAAGGCACCCACCACCACACCTGGCTAATTTTTTGTATTTTTAGTAGAGACGCGGTTTCATCATGTTAGCCAGGATGGTCTCAATCTCCTGATCTCGTGATCCACCTGCCTCGTACTCCCAAAGTGCTGGGATTACAGGCGTGAGCCACTATGCCTGGCTGATTTTTTTTCTTTTTTAACAAATTGCATACATTAAGATTCACTCTTTGTGCTGTAAAATTAAATAGGTTTTGACAAATGCTTTTGTATCCACCATTACAGTACCATAGAGAATAATTTTACTGCCCTAAAAGTCCCCTGTGCTTCACCTATTCATCCCATCTCCTGAACTCCAAACCTCTTGCAACCACTGATAATTTTACTATCTCTATAGTGTTTTTCTTTTCCAGAATGTCATAGAATTGGAATCATGCAATATTTAGCCTTTTCATAATGGATTTCTTAGAAATTGAATTCTTTTTTTTTTTTTTTTTTGAGACGGATTTTCACTCTTGTTGCCCAGGCTGGAGTGCAATGGCGCGATCTCAGCTCACTGCAACCTCCGCCTCCTAGGTTCAAGCAATTCTCCTGACACAGCCTCCCGAGTAGCTGGGATTACAGGTGTCCACCATGCCTGGCTAATTTTGCATTTTTAGTAGAGACAGGGTTTCTCCATGTTGGTCAGGCTGGTCTCGAACTCCCAACCTCAGGTGGCCTCCCAAAGTGTTGGGATTACAGGCGTGAGCCACGATGCCTGGCCTAGAAATTGAATTTTTTAGAAATTAGATTCTATAAAAATATTAGGTAATTTATGTATTTGTTATTAATTTTTTTTTTTTTGAGATGGAGTTTCGCTCTTGTCACCCAAGAGGAGTGCAGTGGCACAATCTCGGCTCACTTCAACCTCTGCCTCCTGAGTTCAAGCAATTCTTGTGCCTCAGCCTCCCAAATAGCTGGGATTTCAGGTGCCTGCCACCATACCTGGCTTTTTGGTTTGGGTTTTGGTTTTTTTTTTTGGAGACGGAGTTTCACTCTTGTCCCCCAGGCTTTAGTGCAACGTCACTATCTCAGCTCACTGCAACCTCCGCCTCCCAGGTTCAAGTGATTCTCTTGCCTCAGCCTCCCGAGTAGCTGGGATTACAGGTGTGTGCCACCATGCCTGGCTAATTTTTGTATTATTAGTAGAGATGGGGTTTCACCATGTTGGCCAGTCTGGTCTTGAACTCCTGACCTCAAGTGATCCAACCTGCCTCAGGCTCCCAAAGTGCTGGGATTACAGGCGTGAGCCACCATGCCTGGCCCCAGCTAATTTTTGTATTTTTAGCAGAGATGGAATTTCACCATGTTGGCCAGACTGGTCTCGAACTCCTGACCTCAAGTGATTCGCCCGCTTCAGCCTCCCAAAGTGCTGGGGCTACTGTGCCCAGCTGGTATTGTGTTTTTAAATGTCAAATTTCAATTGTTCATTGCTGGTATAAGGAAAGCAATGGACTCTCTATATTAATTTTGTATCCTGTGACCTTGCTATAATCTCATTAGTTTCAGGAGGTTTTTCTTTTTAAAAAAATTGTTTGGAATTATCTACATAGACAATAATGTTATCTGCAAACAAAGATAGTTTTATTTCTTACTTCCCAATCTGTATACCTTTTATTTCCTTTTCTTGAATGGACTAGCTAGGACTTTCAATACAATGTTGAATAGGAGTGGTAAGAGGGAACATCTTTGCCTTGTTCCTGGATTCAGCTGGGATTACAGGCGTACACCACCATGCCCAGCTAATTTTTGTATTTTTAGTAGAGACAGGGTTTCACCATGTTGGTCAGGCTGGTCTCAAACTCCTGACCTTGTGATCTGCCCACCTCGGCCTCTCATAGTGCTGGGATTACAGGTGTGAGCCACCGCGCCCGGCCTATTCTTATCACATCTTTACAAATCAACATAATTCCTTAATATCAAATATGGAGGGAAGTGTTTTTAAACCTTTACTGTCATTACTTAACATTCCAGCCCATTCATGTTACGTACTCCATGGTGAACAGAGCTCTTGGCACACTCACCAAAATTTCTCCCTGCTCCACAGTGTGCACCTTCACGTAGGCCCCCACTGCAGCCTCCTTGGGGAGCTCACCAGGCTTGATATTGATCATGGCACATTTGATCGACTGAGCAGGCCTGGATCTGAAATGTGACAGCTTGTTAGAGAGCTCATCTGTAACACAGTCTGCTCCTGAGGCCCTGGCTAATCAGCCCTCACTCTTCTGCACATGGAGGGCTCCCCTCCCTGGGGAATTCACAACTTCCCAGAAGGCGAGAAAACTCAAAATCAAGCCCTGACTCCCATTGTCAGGAATTGGAGGGTGCGAAAGAGGAGACTTGGGAGAGGAAGGTGATACAGGCCCTCCCCTTAAACACCTGAGGGCTGTTCTCCTGGAGGCAGGGGCTGATGATCCCATGCAGCCAAGCCAGGCCTAATGGGTGGGAAGTCCAGGCTGGCCCTCTCATGCTCAGCATGAGGAAGGAATTTCTTTCTTTTTTTTTTTCTTTTTTTTCTTTGAGACGGAGTCTCACTCTGTCGCCAGGCTCGAGTGCACTGATGGGATCTCTGCTCACTGCAACCTCCACTTCTGGAGTTCAAGTGATACTCATGCCTCAGCCTCCCAAGTAGCAGGGACTACAGGCACCCACCACCATGCCCAGCTAATTTTTAGCAGAGACAGGGTTTCACAATGTTGCCCAGGCTGGTCTCAAACTCCTGGCCTCAAGTGATCCACCCGCTTTGGCCTCCCAGAGTGCTGGGATTATAGGCGTAAGCCACTGCGCCCAGCCAAGAGGAAGGAATTTCTTTTCTTTTCTTTTTTTTTTTTTTTTTTGAGACAGAGTTTTGCTCTTGTCGCCCAGGCTGGAGTGCAGTGGCACAATCTTGGCTCACTGCAACCTAGATTCTTCAGAAGGATTATCCATAACGTCTCAAAAGTCACAGGGTGCTCGTTATGGAGGCCAGGAGCTTGGAAATGTTAACAGGCAAAGGACTCACGTGAAGTGGCCCTTGTAGGAATGCAGGGATTGTGACACTGGTGCCATTGTTAGTCTCATTATGACACTTCAATTTCAAAAGTAGCAGGGGGAGGGGGCTGTGCTGCTCTGGGCCCAGCAATGAGCTGATTCTAGGCTGGTCCCCACTGAGTCTCCTCTTCTGCTCTTCAGTCTCTCCAGAAAAAACAAAAGCACAGCACCCCAATGTGCATCTGCCTCATACCAGTCGTGACAATCATACCGATAACAACACTGAGCTGCTCAGGTTTGAATCCTGGCTCTGCCACTTTCTACCTGCGCAACCTGGAACAAACAACTCAATCTCTCCCCGTACCTTGGTTTTCTCACCTGAAAAATGGGAATGATTATAATAGTACTCGTAGAGTTGTTACAGAGATTAAATTAGATAATTCAGTACTGGGCACAGAAAAGGGGTTTTGTTTTGTTTTTGAGATGCAGTCTCGCTCTGTTGCACAGGCTGAAGTACAGTGGCGTGATCTCAGCTCACTGCAACCTCCGCCTCTTGGGTTCAAGCGATTCTTGTGCCTCAGCCTCCCAAGTAGCTGGAACTACAGGCATCCGCCACCACACCCAGCTAATTTTTGTATTTTTAGTAGAGACGGGGTTTCACCATGTTGGCCAGGCTGGTCACGAACTCCTGACCTCAGGCAATCCGCCCGCTTCAGCCGCCCAAAGTGTTGGGATTACAGGCATAAGCCACCATGCCCAGCCTGTTTCCTTTTTCTTTTTCTTTTTCTTCTTTTTTTAAGAGATAGGGTCGGTTGGGCGTGGTGGCTCATGCCTGTAATCCCAGCACTTTGGGAGGCCGAGGTGGGCGGATCACGAGGTCAGGAGACCGAGACCATCCTGGCTAATACGGTGAAACCTCGTCTCTACTAAAAATACAAAAAAATTAGCCAGACACAGTGGCAGGTGCCTGTAGTCCCAGCTACTCGGGAGGCTGAGGCAGGAAAATGGCGTGAACCCGGGAGGCGGAGCTTACAGTGAGCAGAGATCGCGCCACTGCACTCCAGCCTGGGCAACAGTGCAAGACTCCATCTCAAAAAAAAAAAAAAAGAGAGAGACAAGATCTTGCTCTGTTGCCCAGGCTGGGGTACAGTGACATGATCACAGCTCACTGCATGCAGCCTCAACTTCCTAGGCTCAAGCGACCCTCCTGTGTCAGCCTCCTGAGTAGCTAGGATTACAGGTATGTGCCACTATGCCCAGCTACAAAAAATACTCTGTAAGTGTTAACTATAATTATCATTATCTCATTTAATTGCTGGCTTGCAACAACCCCAAGAGTTAGATGCTATTATCTACCAAGAAATACAGCTTAGAGAGGTCAAGTCCCTTGACCTCTAAAATAAGAGCTAAAATAAGTGGCCAAGCCAGGCTTAATTCCAAACACAGGCTCTTATCTACTATGCTGTAACTGCCTTCCTTAGATGGACAGAATTTTCTGAAGCAGCTCAGAATCAAAAGGGCCCAGAAACACACAGACTGACAGAATGTCAGAGCCAGAAGATATGTCCAGCCCCTTCTTCCTTAAATGGGTTACTGAGGCCCTGAGAAAAGAAGTGGCTGAATGCCTGACGTAGCCTTGTGAGTTACAGGTGGAGAATGCAGGTCCTGGCTCTCAGACCCAGGACATCTCTAGGTTGCCTCATGCACAATCCTTTGGGATTGACCTGTGTCCTCCACCTTTGCCCCTTATCCGCATCCCTGACATTCTGCCATATAAGTATTATCTCCCTTTGCAACCACAATCTGGACCCGTCTATCTGCCCAGGGCTGAGCTTACTGGATCTTCGGGCCCAGCATCTTGGGGAGAGTGTCTCCTGAGGTTCTGATCTTCCTGCTGAAGCTTGTCCCCTGTAGCCCCCAGGCTTTTTTGAGATGTGGAAGTTTCAAGGAGCTAAAGTCTTGCAGAGGATATGATTTGATCTGGAATTCCTTAAATCTTTCCATAGGAGAGTATTCTGTTAGAGAAAGCACAGGAAAAGATACTTATGGATCTTTGCATATATGATGGTTATGGTGGTAGTAGTTGAAGCTTATCACAGGAACCTGCCTGGATGGTCTAGCACATGGGGAAATTTTTTAAAAAAAAAAGAAAGATAAAACACTGTGGCCTCCATGTAATGTCCCTGGGTGGCAGGCCCTGCGCTAGAGCCTTTACATCTATTACATCTGGAGAAGGGTGATTAACACACTTTAAGAGATAAGATGAACAGCAGAGAGCTCAAGTCACCCAGAAAAAGGTTAAAGCTTGGATTTGAACTCAGGTCTCTTGGATTCATTCCATTAACAGACCATATTTATCCCGGCCTTCAAACTGGGCTTTCAAATTGGGGCAGAGTCAGCAATAAGAGATAAATGGATGACTGGTCATGGAACTTTGGACAAGTCATATAAGCATCAGAGCCCTCTCATAGAACTATTGTAAGAATTACAGGCTGTGCATGGTAGTTCACATTTGTAATCCCAGCACTTTGGGAGATCAAAGTAGAGGATCACTTGAGCCCAGGAGTTCAAGACCAGCCTAGGCAACATGGCAAGACCTCATCTCTACAATAAATTAAAGAATTAGCCAGGCATGCTGGTGCACACCTGTAGCTCTAGCAACTGGGGACACTGAGATGGAAGGATTGCATGAGCCCAGGAAGTTGAGGCTGTAGTGAGCTGTGTTTACAACACTGTGTGCAGTCTGGGCAACAGTAAGACTTTGCCTCAAAAAAAAGAATTGCAGATAAAGTATGTGATATGCCTAGCACAGCACCGACATATAATAGGCCCTCCATGAGAGTTATTTAAAAAGATCACCAAGAGCCAGTTGCAGTGGTGCACACCTGAGTCCTAGCTACTCAGGAGGCTGAGGTAGGAGGATTGCTTGAGCCTAGGAGCTCAACTTCAGCCTGGGCAACATAGAAAGACCTCATCTCTTAAAATGAAATTTAAAAAAACTCGAAGGAAATATAATTCAGAAATAAAAAGGAGCAAACTACTCAGCATGCTAAGTAAAAGAAGCCAGAAACAAGAGTCCATACTGTATGATCTTATTTATTTATTTATTTATTTATTTATTTTTGAGAGGATTCTCACTCTGTCGCCCAGGCTGAAGTGCAGTGGTGCGATCTCTGCTCACTGCAAGCTCCACCTCCCAGGTTCATGCCATTCTCCTGTCTCAGCCTCCTGAGTAGCTGGGACTACAGGCGCCCACCACCACGCCCAGCTAATTTTCTGTATTTTTAGTAGAGACAGGGTTTCACCATGTTAGTCAGGATTGTCTCAATCTCCTGACCTCATGAGCCACCTGCCTCGGCCTCCCAGAGTGCTAGGATTACAGGCATGAGCCACCATGCCTGGCCTGTATGATCTCATTTATATGAAACCATAGGAAGACAAATCTAACCTATAATGATAGAAAACAAATCAGTGGTTGCCTAGGGCAAGGGTGAGGGGTAGAGATTGACTGGGAGGCGGCACAAGGGAACTTTGTGGGGTGATGGAAATGTTCTATAACTTGATTGTAGAGGTATAAATTTGTCATGGAACTATGGCCAGGCGCAGTGGCTCACGCCACTGTAATCCCACGCTTTGGAAGGCCAAGGCAGGAGGATCGCTTGAGCTCAGGAGTTCGAGACCAGTCTGGGCAACATGGCAAACCCCCGTCTCTACAAAACATACAAAAATTAGCAGGGTGTGGTGGCATGTGACTGTAGTCCCAGCTACTCAGGAGGCTAAAGTGGTAGGATTACTTGAGTCTGGGAGGTCAAGGTTGTATTGAGCCATGTTCATGCCACTGCACTCCAGACTGGGTGACAAAGTGAAACCTTGTCTCAAAAAGAATTTTTTTTCTAATTTGTCATTTAACTATACACATAAAATATGTGCACTCTATTATATAAAAATTATACGTCAAGAACATTGATTAAAAAAGAGATCTCCAGCCGGGTGTGGTGGCTCATGCCTATAATCCCAGCACTTTGGGAGGCCGAGGCGGGCAGATCAAGAGGTCAGGAGTTCGAGACCAGCCTGGCCAACATGGTGAAACCCCATCTCTACTAAAGATACAAAAAATTAGCTGGGCATGGTGGTGCATGCCTGTAATCCCAGCTACTCCAGAGGCTGAGGCAAGAGAATTGCTTGAACCTGGGAGGCAGAGGTTGCAGGGAGCCAAGATCGTGCCACTGCACTCCAGCCTGGGTGACAGGGCAAGACTCTATCTCAAAAAAAAAAAGAAAAAAAAAATCTCTAGTATGAGAATCAACTCTTCAAATTAATGTCTTTTGTTTGTTTTGTTTTGTTTTTGTTTTTTTGTTTTTGAGATGGAGTATTGCTCTGTCACCTAGGCTGGAGTGTAGTGGCTTGATCTCGGCTCACTGCAAGCTCCACCTCCCAAGTTCACACCATTCTCCTGCCTCAGCCTCCCAAGTAGCTGGGACTACAGGCGCCCGCCACCATGCCCGGCTAATTTTTCTGTATTTTTATTAGAGACAGCGTTTCACCGTGTTAGCCAGGATGATCTCGATCTCCTGACCTCGTGATCCGTCTACCTCGGCCTCCCAAAGTGCTGGGATTACAGGTGTGAGCCACCATGCCCGGCCCCTCAAATTAATGTTAATGGGAATAAATCCAAGTTCCACAAGCAGTAGGTCTGGCTTAACAAAACACATATAAAAAGCCCTGAGTTTGATCTTTCGGAAAGGCACTTCAACAACATCTACCAATGTTTTAAATGTATGTAGTCAGTATGCACTGGATTAACTATTTCAGGGGTCCCCAATCCCCTGGCCATGGACTGGTACAGGTCCGTGGCCTGTTAGGAATGAGGCTGTACAGCAGGAGATGAGTGGCAGGTGCATGAGCATTATCACCTGAGCTCCACCTCCTGTCAGATCAGTGGCGGCATTAGAGTCTCATAGGAGCACAAACCCTATTGAGAACTGTGCATGAGAGGCATCTAGGTTGTGTGCTCCATCTAATGCCTGATGATCAGAGGTGGAACAGTTTCATTCCAAAAGCGTTACCACCTGCCCCCATCTGTGAAAAAATTGTCTTCCACGAAACCAGCCTCTGGTGCCAAAAAGTTTGGGGACCGCTGAACTATTTGATCCAGTAATTCTCAGAATTTGTCTAATACGTTTCCTTGCACACAGATGCAAAGACAAACACACCAGGAAATCTGCCACAGTAGGGTAAACATTTGAAAAAGAATTCAAAATATCTGTAAAAGGTAATTAAATTAATTATGATATATGCATATAATAGAATAAAACTCAACTATTAAAAACATAGATCTAGACTTCTGCTTTTGCTTCCAGCCAAGATGGAATAACAGGGACTAAATTTTCTCTTCTACTTGAAAATATTGGACAACATTTATGGAAAAAATTGTTTTAAAGACATTGAAGGATAGATGCGGTGGCTCATGCCTGTAATCTCAGCACTTTGGGAGGCTGAGGTGGGAAGATCCCTTGAGGCCAGGAGTTCAAGACCAGCCTGAGCAACATAGTGAGACTCTATCTCTACAAAAAGATAAAAAATTAGGTGGGTGTGGTGGCTCATGCCTATAGTCCCAGCTACTCAGGAGAGGCGAGAGGACTGCTTGAGCCCAGGAGGTCCAGGCTGCAATTAGCTATGAACAGGTCACTGCACTCCAGCCTAGGTGACAGAGTGAGACCCTGTCTCAAAAAAAAAAAAAGACATTGAATATCAGGCAATAAAGGACAATCATCCATGATGCAAGACAGAAAACAAATGAGGTGAGCCCTACTACTGCCCCAGCATGCTGCCTAAAGATTTTCTGGGCCATGGTGCAGGGAGGGGGAACTCAGATGGAGCCCAGCAATCTCCTTGAATTGATGAGACAGAAGACATAGTCAGGGGAGGGCAAGGCAGCTAGAGTCCACAGAGCAGGGAACCAGAGAGAAGAGAGCTGCATAGAGACAGAACTCCAAAGATCTGCAGAGAGTTTCCCCTGAAGCTCAGCTGAGTATTAATCAGCACATGTGTATTGGGAAACTACCAGTGGTAGGCAGCCTCTGAGATGGCCACCAGTGAACCCCACCTCCTACTAGTCACACACTTGTGTAATACCCTCCCATTAAGTGTGGGTTGGGCTCACGTCTAACAGGATACAGCAGAAGTGATGAGATTTTATTTCTGACATTAGGTTATAAAAAAACTGTGGCTTCCATCTTGGGCATGTTCTCTGTTGCTCTCTCTCATTCTTGGGGAAACATGTCATGAAACTGCCCTGTAGAGACACCCATGAGGCCAGACACTTGGCCAATAGCCACGTGAGTTAGCCTGGAAGCAGGTCCCTCCCAGATGAGCCTTCAGATGAGACCACAACCCTGGCTGACAATGGCAACCTCAAGAGATTTTTTTTTTTTTTTCAGATGGAGTCCAGCTATGTTTTCCAAGCTGGTCTTGAATTCCTGGACTCAAATGATCCTCCTGCCTCAGCCTCCCAAGTAGCTGGTTCATAAGAGGTCTTGAGTCAGAAGCACCAAACTAAGCTGTGCCCAAATTTCTGACTCACAGAAATTGGGAGAAGTAAATGTCTGTTATTTTAAGTTGCTAAGTTTTGGGGCAATTTGTTACATAGTATACTACCCAAGGCTGGGGAAAGAATCACCCCAAATGATTAGAGGGATAAATCATCAGAGCTCAAACAGGACCAGAAATAGTCCTTTTCCCAATAACTAGAATAGAAAACCTCTCAAGTCATGGGGCATTCTGAAATACACAAAATGGTTTTACTTCACGAATGGGAAACTAGCTCTAGATTAAACACTGTTCTGACCCCACATAACAAATTTAAAAGCAAGCCTTGAAAAGATCAAAATACTTCCAAGTAACTACATCTTAACGTTCAGAAATATTTACAGGAATAAAAAATATGCAGTACTCAAAATTCACATTTTCTAGCATCCTATTAAAAAATCATGAAGGATACAAAGAAGTAGGAAAATATAAACTATATGAAAAGGAAACAATGGATTGAAACTGACTCAGAAATGACACATATGATGGAATTAGTACATAAGGGCATTGGAAGAGCTATTATAATTATATTCCAAGGAAAAAATATTGTGTATATTAAGTAGAGTTGTGGAAATTATAAAAAGACCCAAATCAAACTTTGAGATATAAAAACTAAAATGTCTAAAATGAAAAGTACACTAGGTGGGATTAACAGCAGATTAGACAATGCAGAAGGAGGATTAGAAAACTTGAAGACATAGCAATAGAAACTATCCAAAATGTCACAGAGGAAAAAAAAAAGAATAAAAAAAATGAACAGAACATCAGTGAGCTGTGAAACACAGCAATCCAATATACATGTTGCAATCCAATAATATATTGGATTGTAAGCAATCCAATATACATGTAATTGGAGTTCTCAAAGTGGAGGAGAGGGAGAGACAAATAATTTTTTTGAAAAAATCATGGTCAAAATATTCCAAATCAGATTTTAAAAATACAAACCCAGGAATCCCAGAAACTAAATGAACCTCAAGCACAGAAACATGACAAAAATTATACCAAGGCACAACATAATCAAATTGCTTAAAACTATTGATAAAAAAATTCAAAATCAGCCAAAGCAAAAAGGTACACTGTGTACAGAAAATATACAAGGTTATATAAAGAGTTTATACAAAAATAAAAATGTTGGCCAGGTGCAGTGGCTTATGCCTGTAATCCCAGCACTTTGGGAAGCCAAGGCAGGTGGATCACTTGAGGTCAGGTGTTTGAGACCAGCCTGGCCAACATGGCGAAACCCCATCTCTACTAAAAATACAAAAATTAGGCTCTCCCTCTCCCTCTCCTTCTCCGTCTCCCTCTCCCCACGGTCTCCCTCTCCCTCTCCCTCTTTCCACGGTTTCCCTCTGCTGCCCAGCCGAAGCTGGACTGTACTGCTGCCATCTCGGCTCACTGCAACCTCCCTGCCTGATTCTCCTGCCTCAGCCTGCCAAGTGCCTGCGATTGCAGGCGCGCACCGCCACGCCTGACTGGTTTTCGTATTTTTTTGGTGGAGACGGGGTTTCGCTGTGTTGGCCGGGCTGGTCTCCAGCTCCTAACCGCGAGTGATCCGCCAGCCTTGGCCTCCCGAGGTGCCGGGATTGCAGACGGAGTCCGGCTCACTCAGTGCTCAATGGTGCCCAGGCTGGAGTGCAGTGGCGTGATCTCAGCTCACTACAACCTCCACCACCCAGCCGCCTGCCTTGGCCTCCCAAAGTGCCGAGAGTGCAGCCTCTGCCCGGCCGCCACCCCGTCTGGGAAGTGAGGAGCGTCTCTGCCTGGCCGCCCATCGTCTGGGACGTGAGGAGCCCCTCTGCCTGGCTGCCCAGTCTGGGAAGTGAGGAGCGTCTCTGCCCGGCCGCCATCCCATCTAGGAAGTGAGGAGCGCCTCTTCCCGGCCGCCATCCCATCTACGAAGTGAGGAGCGTCTCTGCCCGGCCGCCCATCGTCTGAGATGTGGGGAGCGCCTCTGCCCCGCCACCCCGTCTGGGATGTGAGGAGCGCCTCTACCCGGCCGCGACCCCGTCTGGGAGGTGAGGAGCGTCTCTGCCCGGCCGCCCCGTCTGAGAAGTGAGGAGACCCTCCGCCTGGCAACCGCCCCATCTGAGAAGTGAGGAGCCCCTCCGCCTGGCAGCCGCCCCGTCTGAGAAGTGAGGAGCCCCTCCGCCCGGCAGCCACCCCGTCTGGGAAGTGAGGAGCGTCTCCGCCCAGCCGGCCGCCCCGTCCGGGAGGGAGGTGGGGGGGTCAGCCCCCCGCCCGGCCAGCCGCCCCGTCTGGGAGGTGAGGGGCGCCTCTGCCCGGCCGCCCCTACTGGGAAGTGAGGAGCCCCTCTGCCCGGCCAGCCGCCCTGTCCGGGAGGGAGGTGGGGGGGTCAGCCCCCCACCCTGCCAGCCGCCCCGCCCAGGAGGTGAGGGGCGCCTCTGCCCGGCCGCCCCTACTGGGAAGTGAGGAGCCCCTCTGCCCGGCCACCACCCCGTCTGGGAGGTGTACCCAACAGCTCATTGAGAACGGGCCATGATGACAATGGCGGTTTTGTGGAATAGAAAGGGGGGAAAGGTGGGGAAAACATTGAGAAATCGGATGGTTGCCGTGTCTGTGTAGAAAGAGGTAGACATGGGAGTCTTTTCATTTTGTTCTGTACTAAGAAAAATTCTTATCCTGTTGATCTGTGACCTTACCCCCAACCCTGTGCTCTCTGAAACATGTGCTGTGTCCACTCAGGGTTAAATGGATTAAGGGCGGTGCAAGATGTGCTTTGTTAAACAGATGCTTGAAGGCAGCATGCTCGTTAAGAGTCATCACCACTCCCTAATCTCAAATACCCAGGGACACAAACACTGCGGAAGGCCGCAGGGTCCTCTGCCTAGGAAAACCAGAGACCTTTGTTCACTTATCTGCTGACCTTCCCTCCACTATTGTCCTATGACCCTGCCAAATCCCCCTCTGCGAGAAACACCCAAGAATGATCAAAAAAAAAAAAAAAAAAAATTTCATACACAAATGAAAAAAAAAAAAATTAGCCAGGCGTGGTGGTGGACGCCTATAATCCCAGCTACTCGTGAGGCTGAGGCACAAGAATACTTGAAACTGGGAGGCGGAAGTTGCAGCTAGCCGAGGTTGTGCCATTGCACTCCAGCCTGGGTGACAAGAGCAAGACTCCATCTCAGAAACCAACAACAACAACAACAAATACAAAAATTAGCCAAGTATGGTAGCATATGCCTGTAGTCCCGGCTATTCAGGAGGCTGAGGCAGGGTAATCGCTTGAACCAGGGAGGTAGAGGTTGCAGTGAGCCGAGATTACACTATTGCACTCCAGCCTGCGTAACAGAGTGAGACTCTGTCTCAAAAATATAAATAAATAAATAAATAAAATGTTAACGGACTTCTTGTTGAAAACAATAAATAAAAATATGAACGGATTTGCTGAAAACAATGCAAGTCAAAAAAGACTTTAATGCAACATCTTTAAAGTAGTGAAAGAAAAAACCTGTCAACTTAGAATTTTATATCCAGCAAAAATTTCTTTCAAAAATGAAGATAAAATAGTTTTCAGACATAGAAAAGCTGAAATAATTCATCACTAACAGAGCTGAAATACAAGAAATGTTAAAGGAAGTACTTCAGGCAGAAGGAAGTGGTTATTAGGTAGAAATCTGGATCTATACAAAGGAACAAAGAACATCAGAAATAGTAACTATGTAGGTTAACATAAGAGTCTTTTCTTATTATTTTTTAAATATACAAAAAAGATACTTGTTTAAGCTGGGTATGGTGGCTGATGCCTGTAATCCCAGCACTTTGGGAGGCTGAGGCAGGTGGATTTCCTGAGGTCAGGAGTTCAAGACCAGCCTGGCCAACATAGTGAAACCCTGTCTCTACTAAAAATACACAAAATTAGCTGGGCATGGTGGCAGGCACCTATAATCCCAGCTACTAGGGAGGCTGAGGCAGAAGAATCACTTGAACCCAGGAGGTGGAGGTTGCAGTGAGCCGAGATCGTGCCATTGCACTCCAGCCTGGGCAACAGGAGCAAAACTCCGTCTCAAAAAAAAAAAAAAAGAAGATACTTGTTTAAAGCAAAAGTAATAACCATGTATGGTAAGGTTTTTAATATACATTAAAGTATAATATATCACAATAGCATAATATCTAGGAGGAGAAAATGGAAATATATCATTGTAAGATTCTGATTCTATACATGAAGTGGTATAATATCACTTAAAGGTAGACTGTGATAAGTTAAAAGTATATACAATGATCATAAAGCAACTGTGAAAATAATACCACAAACAGCTAATAAGCCAACAAAGAAAATAAGATTGAATTATACAAAATACATAATCCAAAAGGCAGGGAAAAACAGAAGAAAAAGGGAATAGATGTGACAAATAGAAAGAAAAATAGCAAGATGGTAGAGTCAAATCCAACCATAATCAATATTAACATTAAATGTCAATGATTAGGCATCTCAATAAAAATTGGGTCTTTCAGCAAGATCCAATTATATGCTGCCTTTAAGAAATTCACTTTTACATATAAAGACACAAATAGGTTAAACACAAAAGGATGGAAAAAGATATACCAAACTAATACTAATCAAGAGGAAGCTACACTAAATCAAAAGAAGTGGCTGAATTTACATCAGAAAAAGTAGGTTTTAGAGCAAAGAATATTACCAGGGACAAATAAGTTCATTTCATAATAATTAAGAGTTCAATCCCAAACATCTATGCATATAATAAAAGAGCTTCAAAATATATGAGGCAAAACAGACAGAAATACAAGGAGAAAAATATATCTATAATTATGGCTGGAGATTTTAACAACTCTATTAAGAATTTTTTTTTTTTTTTTTTTTTTTTTTGAGAGACACAGTCTTGCTCTGTCGCTCGGACTGGAGTGCAGTGGCGTGATCTTGGCTTACTGCAACCTCTGCCTCCCGGGTTCAAGCAATTCTCCTGCCTCAGCTTCCCAAGTAGCTGGGACTACAGGCATGCGCCACCATGCCCAGCTAATTTTTGTATTATTTTGGTAGAGACAGGGTTTCACTATATGTTGGCCAGGCTGGTCTCGAACTCCTGACCTCAGGTGATCTGCCCGCCTTGGCCTCCCAAAGTGCTGGGATTACACGCGTGAACCACCACGCCAGCCTCTATTAACAATTGATAGAGCAAGTAGACAGAAAGTTATAAGGGTACAGATGACTTGACCAATACTATCAACCAACTTCACCTACTTAACATTCATAGAACACTGCACCCCAAAACAGCAAGTTTTTTTCAAATGCAAATGAAACATTTACCAAGACAGACTATATTCTGGACCATAAAACAAGTTTTAATACATTTCAGAGGATTCAAATCATATAAAGTATGTTATCTTAGAATTCAATAACAGAGGCCAGGCGTGGTGGCTCACGCCTATAATCCCAGCACTTTGGGAGGCCGAGGCAGGCAGATCACCAGAGGTCAGGAGTTCAAGCCCAGCCTGGCCAACATGCTGAAACCCCATCTCTACTAAAATACAAAAATTAGCTGGGTTTGGTGGTGCATGCCTGTAATCCCAGCTACTCGGGAGGCTGAGGCAGGAGAATTGCTCGAACCTGGGGGGTGGAGGATGAAGTGAGCTGAGATTGTACCACTGCACTCCAGCCTGGGTGACAGAGCGAGACTCCCTCTCAAAAAAAAAAAAAAAAAAAGAAAAAGAAAAAAGAAATCAGTAACAGAAAGATAGGTGGATAATCCCCCAAATGCTTGGAAACTAAACACTCTTCTAAATATTCCATGGGTCAAAGAAGAAATCAAAAGAGAAATTTAAAGGTATTTTGAACTGAATAACATTGAAAATACAACATATCAAAATTTGTGGGATGCAACTTTTTCTCTGGTGGATTGACAGTGGAAAAGTGACAAACAAGAATTGACATGAGAAGAAACATTTACTGAGTACTTATAAGGCCTCATGCATACATCATCTCACTCTGCCTTCCTAGCAGCCTGTTGTGGTAATGATAACAAACATCTGCCATCTGCCTATGCAGCCAGGTAGTGTTCTAAGAGTTTTTATATATTAATTTGCTTAATGTCATTACAATCCTACGAGGTACGGACCATTATTTACATTTTACAGACTCTGAGGGCACTGGTGCACTTAGACATAGGGCCCACTTGCCCAGTATCACATCACTAATAAGAGAAGGACCCTGTATTCAAACAGAAGCAGTGGACTCCAAGCCTATGCTGCTAACCATGACACTACCCAAGGTAGATATGAAGAAACCAGGCCCAGAGACTTTGAGTACTCACCAAAGCTACCCAGCTAATAAATGGGACTCAAACCCAGCTCTGTTCAGCTCCAACCTCTCCTTTTTCCGCCCTTCTCCTCGCCACCCTGTGTTGGCCTCAGTTCTAATCTCAGGAGGACTGCTATATCTATAAGGCAATCCTTGGGGAGGAGGCCCCAGGATACACAGATTACAATCTCAAGGGAAGTGGGGGGAAGCATGCCAGTACTGAGCAGGAGGTAAGAGATAAGACATCTGAGCCACTGCAAATATCTGTTGAGGGCTGGGGTCCTTGACCCAAGTGGGTGACACAAAAAGATCTGCAGAGGATGGAAGGGGAAAAAAATAAATAAAAATGCCATTACAGAGCTGTGAATGGAAACAATACTACCCTAGAATCAGCAAGCCTGGTTATCACCCTGGCCAGTTCTAGAGGCTGCTACTTGACAACGTCTATGTCCAACAACAGGAAATGGAGAATGAAGAAGGCTGGAGATATTTATGAAGAGAAGAAAGTCTGGGCTTTGGAACCAGTTGTGCCTGGGTTAGAATCCCAACTCTACAGTCCTACATTGCTACTTATTTGCCCTATGAGCCAGTTTCCTCATGTGTCAGATGGTACAATCGTACCTTCTTAAAGAGTTATTAGGCCAGGTGCGGTGGCTCATGCCTGTAATCCCAACACTCTGGGAGGCCGAGGCAGTCGGATCACTTAAGGTCAGGAGTTCGAGACCAGCCTGGCCAACACAGTGAAATCCCATCTGTACTAAAAAAACAAAAATTGGCCGGGCATGGTGGCATGTGCCCGTAATCCCAGCTGCTCGGGATGCTGAGGCAGGAGAATTGCCTGAACCTGGGAGGCAGAGGTTGCAGTGAGCTGAGACTGCACCACTGCACTCCAGCCTGGGCAACAGAGTGAGACTCTGTCTCCAAAAAAAAAAAAAAAACAAAAAGAGAGCTATTATGAGAATTATGCAATATGTATAAACAGTCAAGCCCAATATAATAAACATACAATTAGAATTCAATAAATGATCACTGTTATTCATACTTGTTACTGAGTTGGGATAAGGCTGTGGAGAGTGCGCATACATTCACAGCCTAGGATGTGTCCAAACCACACACAGCAGCCAAAATATGTTTATCCATTAACTCTGTAATTCACTTCTGAGCACCTGCTAGATGCCAGGCATAATACGAAGCCCTGGGAATGCAAAGCCTTCATAGAGCTTATATTCTAGCAAGGGAAACAGATGTTTAATAAGCATTTCAGACTCAGTTGTATGATTTCAGTGGGGTTATATAACACAGAAGAGTACTTGAATGGTACTTGAAGGGTACTAGAATGGCATATAGCAGAGGATGGAAGATCTGGTCCAGCATGAGAAACCAGGAAGACTTCTTCAAGGAAGAATGTGTAGTCTAAGATCTCAAAGACAGAAGTGCTCCCTCTCCATGTGATGCCCTTTGCTGCCCCGGGACTCTGAAGAGTCCCCACCAGCAAGAAGTCCTTCACCAGATGCAGCCCCTCGACCTCAGATTCCCTAGCCTCCAGAACTATAAGAAATAAATTTCTTTTCTTTATAAGTTACCCAGTCTCAGATATTCAGTTATAGAAATAGAAAACTGACTAAGATACCATATGACCCAGAAATTCCACTCCTAGGCATATAGGTAATACCCAAGAGAACTGAAAAATATGTTCACACAAAAACTTGCATACAAATGTTCATAGCAACATTATTCAAAACAGCCAAAAAGTGAAAACAATCCAAATGTTCACCAACTGATAAGTGGACAAAAAAAATGTGGTATATGCATACATTAGAATATTATTCAGCCATAAAACAGAATGAAGAAATGATATCTGCTACAACATAAATAGACCTTGAAAACATGGTGCTCAGTGAAGGAAGTCAGATGCAAAAAGCCAAATAATGTATGATGCTATTTATATGAAAAGTCCATCACAGGCAAATCCAGAGACAGAATGAACAAATAAATAAATAAATTTTAAAAAGCAGAAGAGAGCTGGGTGAAAAAAAGGGTGGGGGATATGTGAGGCAAGGAGTTGATGGTCACGTGGGAGAACCTAAACAGCAAAAGGGAAAAGGCTCAATAAAAAAAAAAGGCTGGAAAGGAGGGCAGGGCCTTGCAGACTGGGTTTCCACCGCTGGTAGAAGGGTGCAGATGATATACGCTGTCAGGCTGGCTGACTAGATTTCTAAGGCTCTATGTGCTGGGAACTGGAAACAGGACAGGCCCAGGCGCCCCCTGCTGTCAGACAGGCCAAGGCAGCTTACCACTCAGGTGGGTCTTCAGAGGTCTGCCATCTATCAGCTCCAGGTGCTGCCAGATCCATCTACGGTAGGAAGGGGAGGCCCCAAGGTCCAACAGCCGCAGGACTTCACAGCTGCCCTGAACACAGCAAGGGACATAGGAAAAGGGTTAACCCCTAAGGCTCCAGGTAGGCCAGGCTTTGAAGAAAATCTCTCTTAATTGCATCTTATCCCATTTTGTTTTATTTGCTTAATGCAAGTGGTTTCAGGTTCTTTTTTCTTTTTTTTGAGATGGAGTCTCACTTTGTCACCCACGCTGGAGAGCAATGGGGCAATCTCGGCTCACTGCAACCTCTGCCTCCTGAGTTCAAGCGATTCTCCTGCCTCAGCCTCCTGAGTAGCTGGGATTATAGACATGTGCCACCATGCCCGGCTAATTTTTGTATTTTTAGTAGAGACGGGGTTTCACCATGTTGGCCAGGCTGGTCTCGAACTCCTGACCTCAAGCAATCTGCCTGCCTCGACCTCCCAAAGTGCTGGGATTACAGGTGTGAGCCACCACGCCCAGCCTGGTGCTTTTTTTTTTTCTTTTTTTTTTTTTAAATGAAAATGTTATTTACTCACCATACGAAGTTCAAGTAACTGAAGAAGCATAAGAACTAAATATAAGCCAGGCACGGTGGCTCACGGACTGTAATCCCAGCACTTTGGGAGGCTGATGTGGGAAGATCACTTGAGCCCAGGAGTTCAAGACCAGCCTGGCCAACATGGCAACACAAAATTATTTTGTCTCTACTAAAAATACAAAAATTAAGCCGGCCTTGTGGCTCACGCCTGTAATCCTAGCACTTTGGGAGGCTGAGGCAGGCAGATCACCTGAGGTCGGGAGTTCGAGACCAGCCTGACCAATATGGATAAACCCCGTCCCTACTAAAAATACAAAATTAGCCGGGTGTGGTGGCACATGCCTGTAATCCCAGCTATTCGGGAGGCTGAGGCAGGAGAATCGCTTGAACCCAGGAGGCAGAGGTTGCAGTGAGCCAAGATCGCATCATTGCACTGCAGCCTGGGCAACAAGAGCAAAACTCTGGCTCAAACAAAACAAAACAAACAAACAAAAAAAAACAAAATTAGCCGGGCATGGTGGCGCATGCCTGTAATCCCAGCTACTCAGGAGGCTGAGGCAGGAGAATCGAATCACTTGAACCCAGGAGGCGGAGGTTGCCATGAGCCAAGATCATGCCATTGCACTCCAGCCTGGGCAAGAAGAGTGAAATTCTGTCTCCAAAAAAAAAAAAAAAAAAAAAAAGATTAGCTGAATTAGCTGGGCATGGTGGTGCATGCCTGTAGTTCCAGCTACAGGAGTTCTTTGTACTGTTCTTATAATTTTTTTATAAATTTAAAATTATTCCAAAATTGAAAGTTTAAAAATATTCAAACCAGACATAAAAACATAGAGATAAAAACTACATTAATCCTGACACTCAGAAATAACTAGTAGTAACATATTAGTGAATATTATTTCAAACTTTTCTCTATGAACATATAAGATGTATATCTACAATTTTTCATCAACGAATTCATTTACATAAAACAGACTCTTGTAACTTTTTAAGAAACTCAATAATATATCAAATACCTCTTTTCATGCCAAACAATATGGTTCTATAGTATCATGTTTAATGGTCACATATTATTCTATGCACACCATAATTTATAAAATTAAAAATAACAAATATTCAGTTGAGCAAAAGAAGTCAGAAACAAGGAATACACACTGTATGATTCCATTTATATGAAGTTCAAAAACATGCAAAAGTAACCTGTGGTGACATAAGTCTTAAGAGTATTAAGCTTTGTGGGGGGATTTTGTCTAGGAAGGAGCACAGGAGAGCCTTCTGGAGTAGTGGAAATGTTTTTTATCTTGATTTGGGTAATGATCACTCAGGTGTATACATATATAAAAATTTATGAAGCTGTAAAGTTTAGATTTGAAATCTTTACTGCATACTTTTTTTTTTCTTTTTTTTGAGCTATAGGGGAACTGCAGGTGCCAGAGAAACAACATGAGCCCGGTTTCCTCAAGTATTTAGTAGGTCTTTAATTGCATCTATGGAGAGAACAGTTCCACTATGTGTCCCCCAGTGATAAACTGTTAGAAATGAGTTGAAAGTGTGCATTAAGTTTTCGATGCCATCAGGAAATCTTCTCTAGCTTTCTGAGGTCCCAGGGGTGTCCAGCCACCCGCAGCTGATTTTGCCCTCTAGTGGTAATATGAGTAAACTACAGGAGTCGGGACAGCTTGATCTCCCTCCCAGAGATGAACACTCAAAAAACGCTGGCCAGGCAGGAAAAAAAAAGAGAGAAAAGAGCAGTCCTTTAGAGGGGGCTGGTGCTTTTCATTTCCAACCAGGGTCGGGGGGTGGGGGAGGGGGTGCTGTACCAAAATATGGCTTGTTGTTGCCTGATCCTCTGAATTCTCAAAAGCCAGAAATCAGAATTTTTATATAAAATCTTCACATTGATGATTAAATCAGATTTTAATAAAACACTGTAAGGAACAAACCAGATTCATCTTCTGGCCAAGAGCTCCCTACCTTGCTGTCCTTTAGTGACTTCCGCATTATTTTTCTCAGAATGAAGGCTCAGCACCCCTGCATTAGAATCCCCTACAGCACTTGCTCAAATGCAGATTCCAGAGTTAATGAATCAATCTCTGGGGTGAGACAGCAAATCTGCCTTTTTAAAAAGCACCCTATGTGTTTGTATGCTTACCAAAGTTTGAGAATTCCTCCCTCAGGAAGCACCCTACATGTCTGGATGCTTACCAAAATTTGAAAATTCCTCCCTTAGGTCAGGGGTTCTCCTACATCAGTGTGCATTGGAATCGCCTGGAAGCCTTGTTAAAACACAGATCACTGAGCCCTTCCTCCTAGAGTTTTGGATTGAGTAGCTCTTGGGTGGGCCTGAGAATTTGCATTTTGAAATGAGTTCCCCGCCAGGCGCGGTGGTTCATGCCTGTAATCCCAGCACTTTGGGAGGCCGAGGAGGGTGGAACACCTGAGGTCAGGAGTTTGAGACCAGCCTGGCCAACATGGTGAAATCCCATCTCTACTAAAAATACAAAAATTAGCCAGGCCTGGTGGCGGGCACCTGTAATCCCAGCTACTCAGGAGGCTGAGGCAGGAGAATCACTTGAACCCAGGAGGTGGAGGTTGCAGTGAGCCAAGATCGTGCCATTGCACTCCAGCCTGGGCGACAGGAATGAAACTCCATCTCAAAAAAAAAAAATAAAAGAAGAAGAAATGAGTTCCCAAGTGCTGCTGGTGCTGCTGGTCCAGCCACCGCACTTTGAGAAGCACTGGATTGCGGGAGGAATGCTCACTGAGTAAGCATGTACTAAACTGATTCTCATCCTTACCAGACTTTATGGGGTGATTGGTACCATTTCACAGGTGAAGCAATGGAGGCAAAACAGATGAAGAACCACCCCCCGCTTTCTGCCAGTCAGAATGTAATCATTATGCTGATTAAAGAAAATATTGTAAAGGATTTCTATCCCTCACCACACATCCCCCCATCTTTTCTGGCTATATAGTATCAAAGAGCTTAGAGTTAAATTTGGAGAGATATGGCAGAGGTGATCACCTCAAAATTTTAGCACAGAGGAAGCAAATATCAAGGAGGAGAAGGAACTGCCAATTGATATCTGGCAATAAATCTTTTGCTACTTATATTAACTAGACTTGATTCTGTTCTCTGGGACTGAGCCGAGAATAACAACACACACACCACGCCCCTGGTGGTGCTGGTAAGTTTAACAACCAGCTCTCCTAAAAAACATATGCCTGCATATAAACCTGTTATACAGAATGTGTTACACACAATTTATAAATAATAAAATATACCATACAGGAAATTCCATACAGCCAATCAGCTCTCACAGAATTCTTTTGTGGGTTTTGGCTGAATCTTGTATCCATGGCCAGTTTATAGTTGCAACTCAAACATGATTGGACAAATGAAGTTGCATCCCAATCCATTCTCTTCCCAATAAATTCAATGTTATTAAATCTGACTTGTGATATACTGTTCTATTTCTCACCCTCACATAAATTATATTAAACTGAAATGTTTTTTAGCTTTAGCACTATGTACATCAGAACTTCATTTGTTCAATGGTATAACTTCTATGATGAATGAGATAATAGCTTTTTTTTTAAATTAATTTTTTTTGAGACTCTGTCACCCAGGCTGGAGAGCAGTGGCATGATCTCAGCTCACTGCAACCTTCACCTCCCAGGTTTAAGTGATTCTCCTGCCTCAGCCTCCTGAGTAGCTGGGACTATAGGTGCACACCACCACGCCTGGCTAGTTTTTGTATTTTTAGTAGAGATGGGGTTTTACCATGTTGGCCAGGCTGGTCTCAAACCCCTGGCCTCAAGTGATCCACCCGCCTCGGCCTCCCAAAGTGTTGAGATTACAGGCGTGAGCCACTGTACCCAGCCAGATAATAGCTTTTATTTGTTTTTATTTATTTTATTTTTTTGAGATGGAGTCTCATTCTGTTGCCCAGGCTGGAGTGCAGTGGTGAGATATTGGCTCACTGCAACCTCCACCTCCTAGGTTCAAGCAATTCTCCTGCCTCAGCCTCCAAGTAGCTGGGATTAGGCATGCGCCACCATGTCCAGCTAATTTTTATATTTTTAGTAGACATGAGGTTTCACCATGTTGGCCAGGCTAGTCTCGAACTCCTGACCTCAAGTGATCCATCCATCTCAGCCTTCCAAAGTGCTAGGATTACAGGTGTGAGCCACGGCGCCCGGAGCAATAATAGCTTTTAAATATTGTTAGACGATTTCATTCTCTTTGCAGTGTAGCAGCTATAGACCCAAGCCACTTTTAAATTTAATCTGCATTATAAGCATTTTCTTTTATCACTTTCCTAAGACAATCAGCAAAGCCCTAAACCAAGACCTGACTTAGGGTGTTTGCTGATTCCATTGTATAAATTATCCAACCATGGCTAATTGTAAGCTACCAACATGAGGTCACTGAATGTGGAGTGGGGAAGAGATGCTCACAATTGCATAGTATTTCTACCATAGAGACACAATAGACGTAACCTGAAGAGAAAAACTAGTAAAAATGCAGTAACATCAGTAGGAAATGATGAGTTTTCAGTATGTATTACCCTTGTTTTCTTTCTTTCCTTCTCTCTCTTGCTTGCTCCTTCCTTCCTTTCTTCTTTCCTTCCTTTCTTCCCCCTCCCCTCCCCTCCCCTCTTCTCTCTCTCTCTCTCTCTCTCTCCCTCTCTCATCTGTCTTTCTTTCTTAGAGATAGGGTCTTGCTATGTTGCCCAGGCTGCTTTCAAACTCCTGGGCTCAAATGATCTTCCTGCATGAGTCTCCTGAGTCGTTAAGACTATGGGCATCAGCCACCATGCCCAGCTCCTAATTTTCCATATAACTTATTTAATTGTAGGTTTATAGCATCTAATTTGTAATAATTACTATGTTTACCAAAATTCCTGAAAATTTAACAATCAGCTCTCATAGGCAGGTACAAGCCAGTGCCAGCACACAACCAATCTTGCTTCCTCCTTTTGCCTAATGGTTCAATATGTCAGGGCTCATCTCCCACCTCACCTCCTCCAGGAAGCCCTTCTTAAAGCCTCCAGCCTTTAGAGAGTTCCCTCTCCTGAAATCTTGTAACTTGCAGAGTTTGCACCAATCACTTGGTACTTGGCATTGACACTTTTCTTTGTCTATGTGTGGAATCTGGTGGAGGAGATCTATAAAGAGAGAAAACCAGTCTTTTTCATCTTTGTATCCCTCCAGAGCCTGGACCAATGTGTCATGACCTTGGCAAAAACTCAACAAATGCCTGTGGTGGCTTAATCTGTAAGAACCAGACAGAAAGGTCAGCCCAAATCCTAAATCCAAGTTCTTGAAAATATCTTTGCAGTCAGAGAGACTTGGGTTGAACCCTGCCTCTGCACTTCATCAGCTGTGTGACCTTGGATAACCACTTCACCTTACTGTGCCTCAGTTTCCTCCTCTGTAAAATGGGAATAATGACAATACTAACCTCCTCCGGGCTATAGAGACTAAAATGAGATGAAGCATGTGAAACATAGAACCTGGCATACAGTAAGCACTTGAGAAATGGGAGATTTTCTTTTCATTATCAACCAACAGAGAAGGTGGCAAAGGACGTGAAGCAATTTGCAAAAGATAAAATGTAGGTCATAAACAAACATGATAAATCTCACTAGTAATCAGAAAAAATATCAAATCCTCAGTATGGCAGCAATTGCGACCTATTAAACTAGAAAACTTTTGAAAAAATGACATGCAAGGCTGGCAGAGCTGTGATGGCACCAACAAAAATGTACATCCTGGACACTAGATAAGGTGGGGCTCTCCTTTTGGAATGCAATTTGTTGCAGGAGCCATAAAAATTACGATACTGAGAGTTGAGTCCAATCTCTGTCTCTGGCTGCAAGACTCCATTGCAGTGGTCCCTATACCTATGGCTATGGCCCCTTTGAATAAAGTCTGCCTTACAAAACAAAATCATGATACCAAGAAATTCCATTTTGAAACTCTACTCTGAGATGATGGGTTTATGGATGATTTCTTCCCTTTTTCCAGAAAGTTTCCTAATGTGGTCATATCACTTTTACAATTTAAAGATAATTTAAGGTTGGGTGTGGTGGCTAACATCTGTAATCCCAGCACTTTGGGAGGCTGAGGCAGGCAGATCACTTGAGGCCATGAGTTTGAAACCAGCCTGGCCAGTATGACGAAACCCCATCTCTACTAAAAATACAAAAAAAAATTAGCCAGGCATGGTGGCACATACCTATAGTCCTAGCTACTCTGGAGGCTGAGGCAGGAGAATCACTTGAACCCAGGAGGCAGAGGTTGCAGTGAGCCAAGATCTCGTCACTGCACTCCAGTTTGGGGCACAGAGTGAGCAAGACTCTGTCTCAAAAATAAATAGGCTGGGCCTGGTGGCTCATGCCTGTAATCCCAGCACTTTGGGAGGCCGAGGCAGGCAGATCACCTGAGGTCAGGAGATCGACACCAGCCTGTCCAACATGGTGAAACCCCGTCTCTACTAAAAGTACAAAAATTAGCCGGGCATGGTGGCAGGCACCTGTAATCTCAGCTACTCAGGAGGGTGAGGCAGAAGAATTGCTGAAACCCAGGAGGCAGAGGTTGCAGTGAGCCAAGATTGTGCCATTGCACTCCAGCCTGGGCTGACAACAGCGAGACTCTTGTCTCAAAATAAATAAATAAATAAATAAATAAATTTAAAAGTGATCTGGCATCACTAAGATTCAACAGCCAAATGCATAATTTAAATATGCATCTATATGTAAATAAGCATGCTTAGGAGCTCAAGGCGGGAGAATCCCTTGGTCCTCTTTCTAACACAATAGCCATATATCTAATGTCTCTAGCCATGCTCTGTGAGAGGCAGGCCTCTTACAGCTGGGACATGGAAACTCTGAGAAGGAAGTGAATTGCACAGGTTGCAGAAAAGGGCTCAAACTCTGACCATCAGGTCACAGGACATGATCTTAGGCATGCTCCTCAGAGGTTCACCCTCATCCCAACCCCCAGACTTTTCACCTTGCTGATAAACATGATGAAGGGTGACTCTCCAAAATCTTTTGAGATCAGCTGCCCATACGAGAACCTCTCTATCTTCGCCATGGCTACCAGCTGCCAGAGCTTCTCATCAGACCATGATGCAAACAGCTCCATCTTCCTGTGGGAAGAGCCTGTTAGAATTCATCAACTCCATCACACAAGGTGCCCAGACCTTAGCAATCTGCAGAGGGCACATACTCTTCTCCTGTGGAGGATGCCTGGGTGGAAGATTTCGCTGCTACCTGCCCAATTACCTGGCCTTGCCTGTAGCCATTCTCCTACCTGCTATCACCTTGGCTCCCTCCTCCTTTTCCCAAGGCCCTCCCCTCCAGCCAAGCTCCCCTCTTTACTGCTGCTCAGATGCCCCTGGGTGATCCAGCCTCTGTGCTTTTCTCACCTCTGCTCCTCCTTCCAAGAATCTTCTCCTCCTCCAGCCCTGCCATCCCTCCCCACCGTGGCTCATGAAGCTAGTCCCCACTCCAGCTCACAGCTGCTCTGTCCCCCAACTTAGCGGTTCTGGCCCTACCTTTGCTTTGGGCAGCTCATCCAACCCTTGTGTCCCCCTGGCCTGTTGGCTTCAAATCCTCAGCTCTGGGTCTGGAGAGTGGGACATGTCTGGACTCCACTCTTTCTGCCTGTTGCTCCCTGTGGGTGAACCCACCCCACTGTGACTGCCCCTTCCCCTGACCTTGAACACCACGTTCACAGGCTTGCCTGCCTTCATATGCTGCTCCAAGTGCTGCCAACAATCATCTCAGATTTTCTCACCTCCAACAGGTTAAGGGCTCAGAACTTAACTGACTCAGGTGGACTGAGTTCATTGAATCAGGTTAACTCAAGGTGACTCAGGCCTCAATGCGCGCACTGAGTTAAGGTCAGGGCACCAGAGGTGAACACGCTCAGTGCCATGTCAGGGACGAAGGTCTGAAGACACCAGAAGAAAAGTAGGGCCACCATAGAAGAAGTACCTACCACGCACCAAGCACTGGGCCATACACTTCCCATGATCATTCCATTCCATCCTCACCATGACCTTGGGAGAAGGGTATCCTTATCCCCATTTTACAGAGCAGGAGGCTAAAACACAGAGAAATGGCGTGACCTATCTAGGGTCACATCGCTGGTAACCTAAGAGCTGAGATTGGAGCCAGACCTATTTTTCCACAGTATGGAAAAAAAAAACAGCTCCTCCCTTTAGGACTAAATCCCCACTTTTCCAGGGGATGAAGCTACCTCTCTCAGCCCCAGCCACAGGAACCAGACCCCTCGGCCATCACACTTCTCTGTAGCTGTGCAGCCCTACAGCCCAAATTTTCAGGGCCAGTGCAGATACTTCATTGGATTTTTATTCCTTTTACATAAAGGCAAATAACTGAAGAGCAATTAAATGAGATTTCACTTGCATATCCTTACGTGGCCTTTCATGCACATAAGTATTCAAAAACCAAAAATCTTTTGCTATGTATGAGTTCTGCTTTTAAATATGATACCCAGTTACGGTGCTTACTTTCTGACTCACATGTGATTGTAATTATTTATATCCTGTTATTCACCTTACTCAATATTTATTTGTTGAGCACCTGCATGTGTCTGGCAGTGTGACAACATAAGGATTATAGTAGTGACAAAGACAGATCTATCTGGTCTCTGTCACCATACTGCTTACTGTCTGAGGGGGTATATAAACTGTAAAGAAATTACCATGCAATCAAGAATTATAGTTTGGGCCAGGCGCAGTGGCTTACGCCTGTAATCCCAGCACTTTGGGAGGCCAAGGTAGTCAGATCACTTGAGGCCAGGAGTTCAACACCACCCTGGCCAACATAGTGAAACCCCATCTCTACTAAAAATACAAAAAAGTTAGCTGGGAGTGATGGTGTATGACTGTAATTCCAGCTATGTGGGAGGCTGAGGCAGGAGAATTGCTTGAACCCAGGAGGCGGAGGTTGCAGTGAGATGAGATCATGCCACTGCACTCCAGCCTGGGCAACAGAGCAAGACCCTCTCTCAAAAAAAAAAAAAAAAGGAATTATAGTTTTATAGTTTGGGCTGAGCATGGGGGCTCATGTCTGTAATCCCAGCACTTTAGGAGGCCAAAGTGGCAGGATCACTTGAGACCAGGAGTTCAAGACCAGCCTGGGCAACATAACAAGATTCCATCTCTACAAATAATAGAACAATTAGCTGGATGTGGCAGCACACCTACAGTCCTAGCTACTAGGACCACACTCTGTTGCCCAGGCTGGAGTGCAGTGATGCGATCACAACTCACCACAGCCTCGAACTCCTGGGCCCAAGTGATCCTCCCACCTCAGCCTCCCAAGTAGCTGAAACTATAGGTATGTGCCACCACACCCAGCTAATTTTTTTTAATTTTTTATTTTGTAGGGACAGGATTTCACTATGTTGTCCAGGCTGGTCTTGAACTCCTGGGTTCAGGGATCCTCCCACCTTGGCCTCCTAAAGTGCTGGGATTACAGGAGTGAGCCACTGTGCCCAGTCCCGTGTTAGCTATTCTTACTATTACTTTCAATAAAGAAGGGATATTTGAGCTGAGACCCGAAGGGATAGTAGGAGTCTGCAGAGAGAGAAGGTGGGTACGAGGTGGGACTTCAGAGCATCCCAGACAGAGAGAACAGCAACCAGTATGTTTCCCACCAGGCCTAGGACAGACAAAGTCAGGCAGCTAATAAACACACAAGGGGAAAAAAATGTTGAATGAAGGCAGAGTTACCTAAAAAATTCAAACCGATACTGAGCATCCTTCTGAACTTCCTGGTCCAGCTTATTAGCAAAGAAGTCCTCCCGGTCAACAACCAGGAACTCCGTTTCTTCCATACAGACGATGGTGGACCTCCTCACTGAAGCATGCAGAACGTCCATTTCCTGTTGGGTGGACAGGGCAAGGGCAAGTGTGAGGCCACCTCCACTTCCTGTCCTCAGCCTTACACACATCTTCCGTGCCTCCATCTTCCCCCTGAATTCTCTCCTCACCAGACTGTGTGTTCCCTAGCCTCCTCTATTCTCCTGCACATTCTCCCACTGGGGCCCACTCCCCTTCTTCTTAATCTGCTGCTTATGGAAAAAGAGGCAACAGACCTGAACAGGCCAGAGGGGAGGAAGCTGGAGAGGCCTCACTATGGAGTCACTTCATCTCTAAAGGGCTGTATCAGGAACATACTTCTTAAACATCACAGATGAAGAGGCTGATCTTAGTCCAACTCAATTAGCATTTGACAGGTAAGGGGCCCACACGGGACACTGACTTGTACAGAGTACTAGGCAGGACTGGGCCTGGCTGAGAGGTTCTAGCAGAAGTCCTGTCACCTCCACCCACTCCACCCCAGGAAACTGGGTCCTTCCCCTGGGCTTACCCCAAAACAGCTACCCTTGTGCAGCAATTTCGGGTGGGGATCTAGGAAGGCACTGCTGCCATCCTCGTCCTTGGTTATTGCAACTGTGCCCAGGTAGATGAAATAAAAGCTGTTGCCCTTCTGCCCCTTCTTGATGATCACACGCCTGCGACCAAACCTGGGAAAAGACCACTGCTAGTTGATTGGGTAGTGACATGGGGGCAGGTCCAAGCTGAGAGGAGCTCTGGACTGGTTGTGCTCTTTGCTTTGGGATATAAGAGCACAGACTTGGACCAGAAGGGCCCTCAGGACAGCCCAGCCCTGCCAGTCAAGCTGGAGCCTTTCACTAACACCTATCCCGTTGCCTGCCTCGGTTGAACTGAAGCTTCCTGAGAGCAGAGTCTTTGCCAGTCTGGGTCACTGCTGCGTGTGCTTGGGCACAGTGAATGTTCATTGAACATAGTGGAATAAATGAGTGAACACATGCTGAAAGCAATGAATGGGTTAGTAGAGTCACTAAATGATTAGGAGGACTGGCTTTAGCGTTAGCCCAGGATCCAAATCCTGGTTCTGCTCTTAGCTGTGTGACACTGAGCAATGGATATCCCCTCTCTGATCCTTGGTTTCTCTTGTCTGTAAAATGCAGATGAGTATGCCTAGAATGAGACACAGATAATGGTCTTATCATAATTACCAGCAGCCCACTACCCAACTGGGCACCCTTGGGGTAGAGGTGCCCAGGCCCAGAGCGAACAAGGAGTTCTTAAACTCAGAGGGAAGTTTCTGTATTTCGTATGCAAGTCCAAATCTCAATTCTTTCGATATTTATTCTTTTCCTTCATTCATTCAATAAGTTAAATAAATATCAGTGGTGTCTGTTAGGTACCGTGAGGCCAGGTGTGGTGGCACACGCCTGTTAATCCCAGCACTTTGGGAGGCCAAGGTGGGAGGATCATTTGAGCCTAGGAGTTTGAGATAGGGACAGGGTCTCACTATGTTGCCTAGGCTGGTCTTGAACTCCTGGGCTCAAGGATCCTCCCACCTTGGCCTTGCAAAGTGCTGGGATTACAGGAGTAAGCCACTGTGCCCAGTCCCATGTTAGCTATTCTTACTATTACTATCAATAAGGAAGGGATATTTGAGCTGAGACCTGAAGTTGCCACATCCAGCTAATTGTTCTATTATTTGGAGAGTCGGAGTCTTGTTATGTTGCCCAGGCTGGTCTTGAACTCCTGGGTGGGCAACAAGGTGAAACCTCATCTCTACAAAAAATGCAAAGATTAGCCAAATGTGGGGGTGCACACCTGTAGTCCCAGCTGCCTGTAAGGCTGAGGTGGGAAGATCACCTGAGCCTGGGAGTTTAGGGCTATGGTGAGCCATGATCATACCACTGCACTCTGGCCTGGGTGACTCTGTCTCAAAAAAAAAAAAATTGGGCACAATGAACAACACAGACTTTGTTTTCAAAATTATGGTCACATACAGGATGTAAATAAGGTTTAAAAATGCTTTAAGAGATGTCAGTGCAGGCTACTTGAGGAGCACAGAGAAGGGGCCTTTATCCAAGCTTAGGAAGGTCAGACAAGGCTCTAGCATGGTGCTTGAAGTGAGTCATCCAGGTGGACAAAGAGATGGAAGAGGGTCCCAGGCACAGGGACCACCATGACCAAAGGTGCAGAGGTGGCCCAAAGCACGGCACATTCAAGGGATAACGTGTACTTCATAGGTAATGTGCACTTCACGGGAAAGGAAAATGGGAGAAGGCAAGTCAGGGGAGTGGTGGGAGAGAAATTCGACTGGTCCCACCATAAAGGGCCTCCAAAGCTCAGCTAAGTTTGGATTTTACCCAGGAGACAATGGGTAAAAAAAAGTCTGCCCTTTAGTCTCTGCCAGGACTGATGAGCAGCCATTGTGGAAGTGCCCCGATAGCAGGGCCATTGTCCCCAGCTCTGAGCTCATGGCCCTGCCCTCAGCAGTTCCTCCTCTTCCTCCTCCCCCTCCACACTGCCACCTTCTGCTCCTTCCTGACTCGCTGGCTTGACCAGCAGCAGGGGAACCAACACCCTGCTCAGGGCAGATGATACCCACTTTGTTCCATCAGTTTGTCCATGTTGCTCCCCTGCCTGCAATGGCCTTCCCTGTCTTCTCCACTATTCAGATCCTTTCAGGAACTCAGATCCTACTTCCTCCAGGAAGCCTTCCCTGACCCAGCCCCCAGCAGCATCTCCTCTTCTGACCTCTTAGAGAGTACTCACTGGCCTTGTGATTCTGTGGCAAACTCCTGAGGGAAGGGATCAGAGGACAGACAGAGGACCACACCAGGCTGGAGTCAGTACTGCCCAGCCTCCATTGTGGCTGTGGGCTTCATGAGCTACAAACCAGTATCAGCCTGGAATCTTTATCAATGTAGGAAAGAGGCAAGCCAGGCACGGTGGTACACGTCTGTAATCCCAGCATTTTGGGAGGCTGAGGTGGAAGAATCACTTGAGCTCAGGAGTTCAAGACCACCCTGAGCAACATAGTGAGACTATGTCTCTACAAAAAATAAAAAGTAAAATTAGCCAGGAATGGTGATGCCTACCCCTTGTCCCAGCTACAAAGGAGGCCGAGGTGGAAGGCTCATATGAACCTAGGAGGTAGAGGCTTCAGTGAGCTGTGATCACACCACTGCACTCCAGCCTGGTTGACAGGACGAGACCCATCTCAAAAAATAATAATAATAAAAAGAATAAAGAAAGAGGAGATGGCCCAGGTGATAATGACTAGCTGGGAGATAGCAGGAATATTCAGCTAGGAAATGAGATTTTGAAGATGAGGGAGCACAGGCACTGTTCACTGAAGTAAAGATGACTAGAGCTAGAGCCAGAAAGACCCTCAGAGACCATCAAGCTCAACCAACATTTTTGGGAAGGGGAAAGGGGGACCCAAGGAACCCACAGCTTGCTGAAAGTCACGGCAAGCCACAATCAAGTCAGAGCTAGAACCCGAATCTCCAAAAGCAGACATCTGTCGCTTTTGCTGTCAAGCATCTGGTCATATTTTTCCACCAATCACACCCTGATTCTCCTTTGGGAAACTACCCTTTCTCAACTCTCAATCAGAGCATCACTGACCTCAGTGGTAATTCAAGCAAAGCCAAGCTGTTTCAGAAAGAATTCATCCCAAGCTCTGATGGGCGTAACTGAAAAGAGCTTCAGCGCTGTTTCTTTTTGTCTGGGTGACCTAGGAGGAGCCATTTTCCCCCACAGAGCCTCAGTTTCCTCATCTGAAAAATGAGGGAATTGGACCAGATCCTCTCTGAGGTTTCTACTAGATCCTCTCCAGATTTAATGGCCCTTTAATTAAGAGTCTCAATAAGTGAGCGAGATAAAGGGTGCTGCGACCATAGCAGTGGGAGCTGAAGTGAATGGACAGAAGACTTCATTCATGGCTGACATTATGCAGAGGGGTGGGCAGGACCTGCCACACCTTCTCAGCCAGGCTCTTTTGCTCAGTCCAGCCTCAGCCTGGTGGCCAAGGGCTGTGCCCCTCACTGACCGTTCAAAGCGCATGACTTTGGCCAGGAGCAGCTGCAGGGGCTCTGCGTAGTTCCGATAGCTATCCAGAACCTGCAAGATGTTACAGACGGCCTGGATCTCATCCTCTGTTCTCCAGGAAGGCTTCTTCTGCATGATCTGAATGGCCTTTGGAGGAAAGTGACCCTGGGGAGAGAGGACCAGAGTGATACAGGGGACCCAGCAATTTCACCCATGGGCCAGCGGGCAACACCCCACAGTCCTGCTTGTACACTCTCCCGTTCCCTGTACCACAGTGGCTGACGTGATGAGTGCTTACTGTGTGTCAGGCACTGGGATAAACATTTTACACGCCCATCTCACTGCATCCTGCCAGCCCAAGAACTGTTATTCCATTTGACAGATGAAGAAACTCAGGCAGGATTAGGAGATCTGACACATATCAACGCTGACATCCCCCCGACCTGTGTTGTTCATTGACCTTCCCAGGCAATACAGGCTTCCCTGGGCTCCAGTGGTCCTGCAGAGTCTGCTCAGCACATACACATAGCAGTCAGGGGAGACCTTTGCCTCTGTCTCAGCCTAGAGCTCAGTGTGCTACAGGAGACTAACAAGCAAAGTGAACCTTCCAGAGACTATTAGCTAAAGCTTTTCTTCTCCAGTGAACCAGGCCTCATGGACCAGCACGTTCACCTACCACTCCCACCTGCTGAAGAAGTGACACTGTGAGTTGTGAACACCCTCAATGGCTTCTCTCCAGCCTCATCTCCTACCTCTCCCCTTTGTTCTCTACTCTGGAACTTTCTACCTGTCCCTGGCATGTGCTAAGCTCGGCTCTGTCTTGAGGTCTCTGCCTGGGCTGTTTTTTTCTGCCTGGAATATTTGTCCCCTGGGTTTTCTCGTGGACATGGCTGACTCATCATTCTGGTCTCAGCTCAGATGCTGCCACACCCTCAGTGAGTCCCCACTGGGTCGTCTTAGCTGAAAGAGTAGCCCCTTCCCCAGTAGGCTCTTGCTATAGGGTGAACGTCCCCTCCAAAACTTGTGTCAAAATATAATTGCCATTCTGACACTATTAAGAAGTGGACGCTGGGCACAGTGGCTCATGCCTATAATCCCAACACTTTGGGAGGCCAAGGCAGGGGGATCACTTGAGGCCAGGAGTTTGAGACCAGCCTAGGCAACATAGCAAGACCTTGTTTCTACAAAAAAATTTGTAAAACTGAGACCTTTAAGAGGTAATTAGGTTACAAGGGCTCTGCCTTAGTGAATGGATTAATGTAATTATCATGAAAGTGGGTAACTTACTAGTTAAGTCTCATCATAACTCCTAGTTAGCTCCTCAATGGCAGGCTGGGGATGTTACACAGCCTAATATTCCTCACAACCACACACAGATCTAGGCCTACCTTAGGAGCTCAAAAAATGTCTGGGATGGGGAAAAGGGAATACACTTCAAATAGGGCATAGGAGACTTGGCCCGTCTGCTTCTCAAACACCATTTCTCACCATTTTCCCTTCACTCACTGCAGGCCAGCCACACCCCTACTGTGTTCCTCCAGAGGACATGAAGGATCAAGAAAGAATGACTGACCATAATCCCACTACCCAAAATTAGCCATTAACATCTGGCATAATAACTTCCTCTATTTTTCTTAGGTGTAAGTAAAATTTTTAGAAATAACACATATTTTCCATTAGAAATCAGAACAACACAGATAGTTAAAATCCTCTTATATGTATACACCACCCCAATCCAGATCTGCTCCCCACCATCTGAGTTTACCACTTTTATGTATGCATATATATGTACCCACAGAATATATAAGACTATTTTGTATTTTAAAATTTACTGCTGGGCATAGTGGCTCATGCCTGTAATCCCAGTGCTTTGGGAGGCCAAGGCAGGAGGATCACTTGAGCCCAGGAGTTCGAAACCAGCCTGGGCAATATGGCAAGACCCTCATCTCTACAAAAAATTTAAGAATTAGCTGGGCATTGGGCCGGGCACGGTGGCTCTTGCCTATAATCCCAGCACTTTGGGAGGCCAAGGCGGACGGATCACGAGGTCAGGAGATCAAGACTACCCTGGCTAACACGGTGAAACCCCGTCTCTACTAAAAATACAAAAAATTAGCAGGGCGTGGTGGCAGGCGCCTTTAGTTCCAGCTACTCAGGAGGCTGAGGCAAGAGAATGGCGTGAACCCGGGAGGCAGAGCTTGTAGTGAGCCCAGATCGCTCCACTACACACCAGCCTGGGAGACAGAGCTCGACTCCGTCTCAAAAAAAAAAAAAAAAAATTAGCCAGGCGTAGTGGCACACACTTGCAGTCCTAGCTACTGGGGGGCACTAAAATGGGAGGACCGCTTGAGCCCAAGGAGGTTGAGGTTGCAGTGAGCTGTGATTGCATCACTGCACTTCAGCCTGGATGACACAGCAAGACTCTGTCTCAAAAACTAAAAATAAAAAATTTACATAAATGTCAAGACTGTAGACATCACTTGCACAATTTGCTTTTCTTCACTCAGTGTTTTTCTAAACAATGTTTTGTAAATGTATCCATTGTTTCCACTGTCTGACAGTTGCTGCAATAATTGAGTCTATGATTCTAAGCCTCTCTAATACTAAGGGTTGTCTGTGAGAAGTTTAGCGTTATTAGAAGCCCAATATGGACTATACTGAGGCTTAGTTGTCCATCAGAATCCAAATGCTGTGCTGAGGGGCAGGTTATATAACTATACATGTGTGTGTACTATATATTATATGTCATTTTTACTTAGATATAATTCACATGCCCTGGAAATCACCATTTAAAGTGTACAATTCAGTGTTTTTTAGTGTATTCACAGAGTTGTACAACAATCACCACACTGTTTTGGAAGCTTTTCATCACCCCAAAGAAACCCTATACTCATTAGCATCACTCAGAGGGCTGGGCTTGCTTTTTTGGGATGGGTTGGGGGCAGGGGGACAGGGTCTCACTCTGTCACCCAGACTGCAGTGCAGTGGCACAGTCATAGCTCACTGCGACCTCGATTTCCCAGGCTCCAGCAATCCTCGCACCTCAGCCTCCCAAAATTCTGGGATCACAGGTGTGAGCCACCGTGCCTAGCTAATTATTTTTATTTTTTAATTTTTAGTAGAGACAGGGTCTCACATGTTGCTCAGACTGGTCTAAAACTCCTGAGCTCAGGTAATCTTCCTGCCTCGGCCTCCCAAAGTGCTGAGATTACAAGCGTGAGCTAGCACATCTGGCCAAAGGGCTGGTTTTTAAAATGAGCCTCCAGCTGGGCTCAGCAGCGCACACCTGTAATGCCAGCTACTCAGAAGGCTGAGACGGGAGGATAAATTGGCTCTCTACTCTTCCCTGTGTTGGAACCAGAGTCAGGCATGATTCATTTGAGGACCACCTATAGGCCTTGCCCATAACAAAGAATTTTCCCTTTGTGCCCTCTTCCCGCCCTCTACTGCGGTGCACAGAATTGCCCTCATATCTAGAGTTCTGTGGCTCTCAGATAGGCCCCTAGTTTCTCCTGCCTGAAGGAAAGAGCCTGATTAAGCTTCAGTGCTCAGTGTCACACACTAGCCAGCCTGAAGAGCTGAAGAGTCACAGAGCTTGAATGACTTAACTGAGTATGCTTCATACACGAGGGGGCACGAAAAATAAGGCTGTGCCCAGGAGAGGCAAGCAACAGAAGCCATACCTGGGCTCCAAGAAGAGAAAGGGGTGGGGCAGGAGATGGGCACAGGTGGCCCTGATACCCATTATAAAGTTCTTTTCTTTCCCCTTCCACTGAGGAAAAAAACAACAACGTGGCTACTCCAAGCCAGGATCAAGTCAGGTCTGCATTGGTGAGAATTTCAGATGTTCCCTATAAATAGGTAGACTCTTTTAAATTTTAAATTGGATTTTAATATTTAATATCCAGGATATCATGGAGAGAAGCCAAGAAGATAACAATGATGAGATTGAAATTCAGGGAACAAGTCACACAGTCCAAAGCTCCCATGGATATAAAAGCATTCTCTCATCAAAATGAGAGGACTCTTTTTTAGAGAGGGGGCCTCGCTCTATCACCCAGACTGGAATGCAGTGATACGACCATAGCTCACTGCAGTCTTGAACTCCTGGCCTCAAGTGATCCTCCCACCTCAGCCTTCCGAGTGTCAACAGCTGCGCTGCACCTGAATAAGACTCTTTAAGGGTATCTGACACCCAGGTGTGAGAGGTGTGCCCAGCATCTCTCAGAGAATTCAGGGTAGAACCAGAATTCACACAGGTCAGCCCTTTCCCACCACCTGAATTCTTCCTCTCTCTGGGACTCTCACATCCTCTGCTTTATCTTTTCCTGCTGTTTTCCCACGGGTCCAAGCCCAGGAACTCTCTCCCATTGGTTCTGCTCAACTGTGCAGTGACAGCTGGTTCCTACATGCTCACAGTCTTGGAGCTCCAGGGCTGGAAGGAATCACTGAGATCAGCTATTTTATTGATGAGGAAACGAAGTGGCCAACCCAGGGTGACAAGCTGAGTTGGTGGCAGAGCCTAGACTGAAACCAGCTCTGCTGATACCCAGCCAGGGTTTCTTCCAAGCCAGGGTGCAGAAAGAAAATTCCCCCACAGCAAGTTTCGAGCTATGCATACCTCCTCTGCAATGAAGTCCATGGTATCAAATGTGACTCGGCTTTGCATCTTTTTCTGAAAGAAAGAGGGCAGGGAGAAGAGGGAGAATCAGCAAGACTGCCCCTAGAACTTTGCATCTAGAGCCCTCCTGTCTACCTGGACCACCATGGTGGGCAGGAAGCCATGGGAAACCTCATAGCAGCCGGCCCTTTCAGGCCTGCCTCTGCTCGAAGGCCCCAACTCAGCACTAGGCTTGGGTCCAGCATTTACAGCATATTATTGTGAAGGCAGAGAAATATGGGGGTGGGGAGAAGGAAAGGAGGATAAGGAGGAAACAGGAAAGGAGAGAGAAAAGGAAGGGGGAAAAGCAGCAAACAAACAAGCATAGAGGAGGAAGAAAAGGAAGAATAAAAAGAAAGGAACAGGCTGGGCGCGGTGGCTCACGCCTGTAATCCCAGCACTTTGGGAGGCCAAGGTGGGCGGATCACGAGGTCAGGAGATCGAGACCATCCTGGCTAACAAGGTGAAACCCCGTCTCTACTAAAAATACAAAAAATTAGCCGGGCGTGGTAGCGGGCGCCTGTAGTCCCAGCTACTCGGGAGGCTGAGGCAGGAGAATGGCGTGAACCCGGGAGGCGGAGCTTGCAGTGAGCCGAGATCGCGCCACTGCACTCCAGCCTGGGCAACAGAGCAAGACTCCATCTCAAAAAATAAAAAAAAAGAGGCCGGGCGCGGTGGCTCACGCCTGTAATCCCAGCACTTTGGGAGGCCGAGGCGGGCGGATCACGAGGTCAGGAGATCGAGACCATCCTGGCTAACAAGGTGAAACCCCGTCTCTACTAAAAATACAAAAAATTAGCCGGGCGTGGTAGCGGGCGCCTGTAGTCCCAGCTACTCGGGAGGCTGAGGCAGGAGAATGGCGTGAACCCGGGAGGCGGAGCTTGCAGTGAGCCGAGATCGCGCCACTGCACTCCAGCCTGGGCGACAGAGCGAGACTCCGTCTCAAAAAAAAAAAATAAAAAAAAATAAAAAAAATAAAAAAAAGAAAGGAACAAATGAAGCCAACCTTTGTTAAATGTCTTTAATGAGCCAAGCACAGTGTATCCTCCCTGCCTTACTCCATTTAGTCATCAGGACAAAGCAGGTTTTATTAAGCTCCATGTAGGACTGAGATGGTGAAGGAACTTGCCCAAGGATCACACAGCAAGTCAGTGGTCTAGCTGAGACCCCAACTCAAGGCTTTCAGCAAACCCAATTCCGTGTCTGGAGTGTGGCCTCAAGCCACATGTCATTTGTTCCTTAGACTCAGACCCGTCTCGCCCCCACAACGTGTTTATCCTTTGCATAGCCATGTGGTGCTTCTCAGGGAGACTACTGAAGGAAAGAGGCAGTGCTCAGAAACATCCAGATTCACACATCTACTGAAGCAGTCTAGGGCTCCCCACCTGATCCTGCACTCCAGCCGCCCAGTGCTCCGCCTGACAACCCTATGACCCTTATAGGCTGCCCTTGAGAGGCTTCTGCTCTGCTCAAGCCACTCTGGCTGGCCAATGTGGTTAGGCTTAGCCTCACATTCCCCTGACAACAAGTGACTCTGCATCTTAGCTTCCAACTGCCCCATGCATCAGGCCACGTCTTCTGGTAACCAAAGCCCTCTGATCTCCAGGGCCCATTGCATCACCATTACATGCCACCCTGAGAGTCAGGAGGTCCTTCCTGAGAGCTAACCTGAGTCTTTTGGTTACAGTTCTTCTACTCCATTCGTTTTTCATCTCAGCCCAACCACAGGGCTGCAGCCTTGTTTGGTTTGGCCAGCACAGGGTCTTAAAATATAATATTTGTATCTGAATGTCTTTAGATGAGGTGTATCTTTCCTCTCCAGCTGGCCTGCTGTATCTTAAACTCAGCTACATACACACTAGTTATATTACCTGCTGGCCCCTCAGAAACCAGTTTAAGGCTGCCTTTCCTTCCCCCATCACCAGCCCCGTATCCCCCTTTCTTTGGCCACTATCTGTCAGAAGCCCTTTAGGGAAATTTCTTGGAGTGAATCACTAGATGCAGAGGAGTGGGGACTGGCTCTAGTCATTCCTGAAACAACAGAAAAATGGGCAGGATTTGTCCAGGTGATTGCTGGGGAAACTTTGAAGCCCTGAGCAACACACCCAGTAGCAATGAAGATACCTCTGGGGAACTAGAACAAGTTAGCAGAAGGGTGACCAACTTTTCTGAGCTAAAGAAGGGCACATGATCTACCACTGGGATAAAATATTTTAAATTGGGACCTTCTAGGAAATCTAGAAACCTGGTCACCAGGCCAGGCACGGTGGCTCACGCCTGTAATCCCAGCACTTTGGGAGGCCGAGGCAGGTGGATCACGAGGTCAAGAGATCAAGACCATCCTGGCTAACAAGGTGAAACCCCGTCTCTACTAAAAATACAAAAAATTAGCTGGGTGTGGTGGCGGGTGCCTGTAGTCCCAGCTACTAGGGAGGCTGAGGCAGGAGAATGGTGTGAACCCGGGAGGTGGAGCTTGCAGTGAGCCAAGACGCGCCACTGCACTCCAGCCTGGGCAACAGAGCAAGACTCCGTCTCAAAAAAATAAAAGAAACATGGTCACCGCAGTGAACAAAGCCCTGAAAATGCCCCTGCACCGAAGTAGGGGTGTAGGAAAGAAAGTAGAGACGCGAATAGAGAGAGCGTGTGGGCATTTAGAAAACCCTGGTTATTGTGATTCCTGGATTGCTTCTGGCTCTTTTGATCACCATTGAAATGGAGACCACCTCTCTACTCCCAAGGTTTCTTTCCACATGGAGGGAGGTGTATTAGTAGAACACTACTGGCCTCTCTCCTTTTACATTGAGGAGTGACTTAAACTCTTTGATGAATTTGGAAAGAGAAAAACTAGGCATGATTGTCTCCTTCCCTCTCAGCCCATATTTTGCTCCACCTTTCCCTGCCATGAGTTTTGGCAGCAGGCCTGCTGTTGCAGTGGAGCCTGCCTTGGTCCAGCGTTGCCTGTGGCTAGGCATGTAAGGCTGTCTAAATCTGGGGTTCAGTATTAGGTAAACCTCTTGGTTGATGATGTAAGTCACCCTCTCCAACAGAAGTATGGCCATTAATAAAAGTGACCATTGGGTCTCTCATCTGCTTTTCCTTTTGTCTTCTTTCTCAGTTCTGAGCTTAGGCCAGGAAGTGGGATGCAATTTATTGGGCTTCTTTGAGCCCTCATAATCCTGCTGAGCCCAACTGCTTACATCCCAGAAGGAGAAGATAGGGTGCTTCCAGTGAGCAGTCTCAATGATTTGATATTCCCGGAATCCCCTGAGGCCTTGGCGGAACATTTTACACACTCGGATCATTATGATGATATCCATGGCGAGCTGGTACAGTCCCTATGGAAACAAAGCAAACAAGATCAATAGAAACCATCTGTTCTCAACAGTCAACAGCAGGCTGGATGGTGCTGAACAAGGTGAAATTTACCAGGATTAAATGCAGTAGTGTGCTGTAGTGTGCTGGAGTGATGGTTACATTTTCAGGAATTTTGCAAGCCTGCTGAAATTAAGTTGGTAACTTAAAACTGGCCATGGTAGGAGTACTTATGCCATAGAAATTGGCAGCTACTAGTCAGGACATCTCTCCCCAGAAGCTAGTTGTTATGCACCAGCAAACCAGCTAAATGTCAAATCCTTCAATTCCATCCACAAAATAAGTGGCACGACTAATTGCAGGCAGTATAGGTATGATGTACAGAGCCTGGATTTTAGAATCAGATAGATCTGAGGGAATAATGGTAAGAGGAATGCAACACTGCTGGCTGTCAAGATGAAGGAAGGGCCCACAAGCCAAGGAATGTGGGTGGCCTTTAGAAGCAGAAAAGGCCGTGAGCCTTGAGAAAGGAATGCTCACACCTTGATTTTAGAACAAGAACATCCATGTCAGACTTCTTGCCTACAGTACTGTAATATAATAAATTTGCTTTGTTTTAAGCCATCAAATTGTGGTAATTTGTTATGGCAGCCATAGAAAACTTATATAACACCTAATCCAAGATGGGCCACCCTACCTTTTCCCCAGGAATTTGGAATTAGACTGAGAACAAGTGAATACAGAAGATAGGGAAAAATCCAGGATGTAGAAGAATCTATAAATCAATGAACCTAGTTTCTTCAAAAAGTCAATTTCATGATGAAAAAAACAAGGCATGGGGGCTGCTCTAGATTAATAAAGATTCAAGAGACATACCAATGGTATGCTTCTTGATTGGATCCTGGTTCATGATAACAAGCTATAAAAGGCACCCTAGGCCAGGTGCGGTGGCTCACGCCTGTAATCCCAGCACTTTGGGAGGCCAAGGCGGGTGAATCACCTGAGGTCAGGAGTTTGAGACCAGCCTGACCAACACAGTGAAACTCCTTCTCTCCTAAAAATACAAAAATTAGCCTGGCATGGTGGTGCTTGCCTGTAGTCCCAGCTACTCGGGAGGCTGAGGCAGGAGAATCACTTGAACCTGGGAGGCAGAGGTTGCAGTGAGCTGAGATCGCGCCTCTGCACTACAGCCTGGGTGACAGAGCAAAGGCACTCTAGGGACAAATAAGGAAATTGAATATGACTGTACATTAGATAATATTAGGAAATCAGTGCCGATTTTCTTAGTATGATAGTGGTATTTGGTTATGTGGGTAATGTCATTATTTTTAAGAAAGATATGTCATAAAGTATGCAGCTTACTTTCAAACAATTCAGCAAACACATATACAAATACATAAAGCCAGGCTGGGCCCGGTGGCTCATGCCTGTAAACCCAGCACTTTGGGAGGCCGAGGCGGGCGGATCACGAGGTCAGGAGATCGAGACCATCCCGGCTAACACGGTGAAACCCCGTCTCTACTAAAAATACAAAAAATTAGCCGGGCGTAGTGGCGGGCGCCTGTAGTCCCAGCTACTTGGGAGGCTGAGGCAGGAGAATGGCGTGAACCCGGGAGGCGGAGCTTGCAGTGAGCCGAGATCCCGCCACTGCACTCCAGCCTGGGCGACAGAGCGAGACTCCGTCTCAAAAAAAAAAAAAAAGAAAAAGAAAAAAATGCAAAAACTAAATAAAAGTCTCTGTTTACTAACTTCTATTGAAAAGTACATCGTTAGCTAGGCACAGTGGCACTCGCCTGTAGTCCCAGCTACTCGGGAGGCCGAGGCAGAAGGATTGCTTGAGCCCAGGAGTTCAAGGTTGCAATGAGCTATGATCGTGCCACTGCACTCCAACCTGGGTAACAGAGCAAGACCCTGTAACAACAACAACAAAATGAAACAAACAAACAAACAAACAGCTCTGGCACAATGGCTCATGCCTGCAATCCTAGCACTTTGGGAGGCCAAGGTGGGCTGATCACTTGAGACCAGGAGTTTGAGACTAGTCTGGCCAACATGGTGAAATCCCATCTGCACTAAAAAAAACAAAAATTAGCCGGGCGTGGTGGTGGGCGCCTGTAATCCCAGCTACTCAGGAGGCTGAGGCACCAGGAGCACTTGAACCTGGGAGGTGGAGGTTGCAGTGAGCTGAAATTGCGCCACTGCACTCCAGCCTGGGCAACAGAGTGAGACTCTGTCTCAAAAAAATAAATAAAAACAAACAAAGGAAAAAAGAGAATGTTCTTTTTAAAGTGTATCATAAACAAAGTGAGACAACGAACTACAGACTGGAAAAATATACTTACTATGCATATAATCAACAAAGGATTACGATCCAAAATTTATTTTTTGTAATCCTACAAATCAAAAGAAAAATACAAATAACCCAATAGCAAAATGAGCAAAGGTAATTCAAAGGGAAAGTTCAAATTACCTATAAATTGTGAAAATATTGTTTTTATTCATTTGTATTTATATTTACATTGTTTGTAAAGAGGGGGTTTCACTTTGTTGCCCAGGCTGGTTTCCAACTCTGGCTTCAAGTGATCCTTCCACCTCAGCCTCCCAAAGTGCTGGGATTACAGGCATGAGCCTTCATGCCCCAGCCAAATTGTGAAACCATTTTTAACATTGCTAGAAATAATGGAAATGGAAATTAAAGTAATAACATGATACTATTTTGCACTTATCACTGGGAACTGGGAAACATGGTACAACCATGTTGAAGAGCAATTTGGCAACATTATATAAAGTTGAGGATGTGTGTACTTCACAATGGAAGAATTGTATGTACTTTATATGTCCTCTTCAGAGAAACATACATGTACAAGGGGATAGCCATGAGGGTAATCATGGCAACATTGTGTGTAACAGTGAATGGCTGAAAACAAATGTTCATTAGTAGGGATCGAAGGGATCAATACATTATGGTTCAGTCACAGGATTGAACACAGCACTAAGTCTGTGTGTGTCAATGTGGATAAAGCTGAAATGATTTTGAGTGGGAAAAAAGAACTATGATGCTATTTATGGTATCATTTTTAAACAGTGTGCCACATACTATATATTGTTTATGGATACATACACATGTGATAATATATAAAAATATAAACAGGAAGGGTGACACCAACTTCAGGAAAGTGGTTACTATTAAAGAGAAATAAAGGGGCATGGGATGGTAAAGAGCTTTCCCTACACCTGTAATGTTCTATTTCTTAAAAATTAGATATCTATGGAAATATGGGGAAAGGTACTTTATGAATAAAATTAATACTTACTGAGTACAATTTACTATTGTCAGGCATTATCCAAAGCACTATTCTGATATGTAAATCATTTAATCAGTAAATTTATGCAGTAGGTACTAGTATTATCATCTCACTTTACAGAGGAGAAAATAAAGGCACAGCAAACCAAGCAACTTGCCTGGGGTCACATGACTAATAGGTGATAGGGATTTAAACCTAGGTAGTCTGGCTCCAGAGTTCACAAGCTTAACCTATGACTCAATGTTGCTACCCTGACTCTATCCTCCCTCGTTCTCTCTGGATCTCATAATAGCAGGAAGAGTGGGTACAGAACAGGACTCAGTGGCTCTGAGTGTGGCTTATGGCTTGCCCAGTGTGGGGGGCTGGTAGGCTACAGGGCAGGGGTCCCTCCTTTGTGCCATGCTGTGACTCCAAAAGGTACAGGATGGCCACCATTCATCCAAGACCCCTCCTACACCTGCATCGACCTTCCTCAAAACACCTGTCTGTTCAGTCTTCTGCTCTTCCCTCCCAGGGCCCTTGCCCCTCCTCACCAGTTCCTTCTTCAGGAGCTGCCAGGCATAAGTTACCATATGTCTCCTCATGGTTCCTGTGCAGGCAAATGGCACAACTAGCCCCTTTGCCTTTCAAGGGGAGGACTACAAATTTTTCCCCAAAAATCCAGTAATACTAGAAACAAATAGATTTCCTCAGTAACAAGGCAAGAGCTCCACTCCACTCCTCCTACCATACCATCAGCTACTGGAAGCCCTGCTCTGAGAAAAATCATTCTCAGAATCTCCTAAGGTCACAATGAAAGATTCTGGAGGCAGGGGACACAGGGATTGGAATGTGGGAGTCTAACATTTATGGGATACTCACAGGCATTATCTCAGCTAATCCTCACAACCACCCAAACTTTTACTCAACTCCATACATAGGAGACTGGGGCTCAAAGTAGCTAAATGGCTGCCAGAGTCCTGGTGAGACAGGAGAATGGCACAACCCTGCTGACCAAAACAGGATCTAGGACCCCCTAGCTGTCCCCATCCCTCATTAACATAAGACACTCCTACCAGTGCCATGACAGTGTACAAATGTCTTGGCAATGACCAGGAAGTTGCTACCTCTTTCCTAGAAAACTCTAAAAACCCACTCCTTAATTTGCATTAACCTGCCCCTTAATTTGCATTAGCCTGCCCCTTAATTTGCATGTGATTGAAAGTGGGTAGGAATGCGTATACTACACTTGATCTCAGCCAAAAGGCTGAGAAGGGATTAGAGATGAGCATAAATACAGTTGCCAACATCTCATACACTGGGTATCGACTCCGGATTCATTGCCCATGAGTTAGCCCTGCCCCACAAGGAGAAGCACTATTCAATAAAAGATTGCTGTCTAACACCACTGGCTCACCCTTGAATTCCTTCCTTGGGCAAAGCCAAGAACTCTCCTAAGCTAAGTCTCAATTTGGGGGCTCACCTGTCCTGCAAAGATAGGGCTTTTTTGTTTTTTGAGACACTGTCTCACTTTGTTCCCAGGATGGAGTGCAGTGGCCCAATCTCAGCTCACTGCAACCTCTGCCTCCCAAATTCAAGTGATTCTCCTGCCTCAGCCGCCCAAGTAGCTAGGATTACAGGCGTGTGCCACCATGCCCGGCTGATTTTTGTATTTTTAGTAAAGACAGGCTTTCACCACGTTGCCCAGGCTGGTCTCAAGCTCCTGACCTCAAGTGATCCACCCACCTCAGCCTCCCAAAGTGCCGGGATTACAGGCATAAACCACCACTCCTGGCCAGGGCCTTTTTTTTTTTTTTTTTTTTAAGAAAGCAGTGTAGCTAAATGTCAGGTACACTTGCTCTCCATTTGTAGCATCCAATTAACAGAAGCAAGGTCTGGTCCAGCCTGGCCAATGTGGTGAAACCCCATCCCTACTAAAAATACAAAAAAATTAGCCGGGTGAGGTGGTGGGCACCTATAATCCCAGCTACTCGGGAGGCTGAGGTGGGAGGATCACTTGAACCCGGGAGGCAGAGGTTGCAGTCAGCCAAGATTGTGCCACTGCACTCCAGCCTGAACGACAGAGCAAGACTCTGTCTCAAAAAAAAAAAAAAAAAAAAAAAAAAAAGCGGGAGGGGGAATTGGCATAAATGGCATGCAGAGGAGGGAATGAGCAGGTGGGAGTCTCCATGACTCACTTTGGTGCCTTATCTACCGCCTGGTCGAGCTGCCACCATCTTGGGCAGAACTAGGTTGTAAAGTGGCCTTGTCTCGAGATACTCTCCAGGTGGGGCAGAGTTTCCTGGCAGGCATACTTTTGGTTGTAAATTGACTATTGTCTCTCAAGGCAATCTGGTGGGAGAGGTTTCTACTCTGGAGCTTTTAAGTAAGCACACAGATACACTTGCTCTAGGAGTGTCTGGTGAAGGGAAAGCAAAAGGTTATAACTGCATTTCTAATCAGCTAAGTAGGAAGTGGGGAACAGAAGAAAAACACAAAAGAGAAAGAAGAAAAAGATGATTTAAAAAGATAACTCATTCTCTATCTCATAGAAAAATGGGTGTACTTTGTTACAGCGGGAGGCTTCTAGGCTGGGAGTAGGTTCATCCAGCACCTTAGCCCAGGGACCACTCTGAGACTTAGAACTTGGAGGCCCTGGAACGTGGGTGCATAGTACTGTCCCATAAGTCTGGTTAAATCAGGACAATAAAAAAAAAACTCAGCAAAACAGAAGACCTCACCCAAATCAAGTGTCAAATATTGAATGGAACTTGGTGACTAGAACTCAAATCTCTGGAGTCCTTCTAAAGATATAGAAAAATATAGGCTCTAAAGTGCTTTTTTCTATTAAAGATGACAATTGAGTATCTCAATTTGCTCTTGCACCAGGATCCTCAGTAGAAAACTGTGATTTCAAGCATCACCTGCTCTGCCATTCCTATCCCGTGGGGTATATCTGTTAACTCTCCTCCAACTGATAGGTAGACAGAAGGACACTGAGTTCAGCAAAGATGGCTGGACAGCTGAGAAGAAAGACAAAGGCCACTCTTGGGGTGGGACAGTAATCACACACAGAGGTGAGAAGGGACAAAACTGGTTTTTCCCCCATACCATGAGAAAAGATGTAAAGAATTCAGAGAGAGAAAGAAGAGAAAGTTTTAGAAAGAGAGACAGAGAGATGAGGTATGGAGTTTTTGCCTCCCCCACTGCAAACCTAGTCTTAAGGAAGGAAATATAAGAGGATCCCCTTCAAAAGTGTAGGGGGCTTCTGAAAGAAACAACTGGGCCTGGAGAAAGCAAGAGAGATGGTAGGAGATGGCTATAGGCAGGAAGGGTGTCCCGTCAGTCCTCTGAACTGCCTGAGGATCCAAGAGTGACAAGGAAAGTATCCAGGCTCACAAGGGGCATCAGATGATGCCAGTACGACCTGATGAGACCCCAAAAATGTTTACTGCCAACCTCACCTCTTGCCAGCTGTGGTTGTACAATTTCTCTAGGAATTAGATCAGCTTTGGGGAAGAAGAAGCAGGAAGTTTGGAGAGCTATGAATGGGCCCAAGATGAATCAATAAGCCTGAAATTATATCCACTCAAAATTACTGGATTGGATCTCAATTTACCTGAAGACATCCTAAATTCAATTATCTGCAAGGAGGTGGGCTGGGGATTCAGAGTCACACATTTAAGTCAGTTCTAGAAACTAAGAAAGTTTCATTTCTCTTACAGTTCCTGATTTTATAACTGTAACTATTACAGGGTAGAATGCCAAAAAGAGCACTGGTCCTATTCCTATGTGATCTTAGGTAAGTCACTTAACTACTTGGGGCCTCATTTTCATAATGTATAAAATGGAGTTCGATTCAATTCCACAAACAATTTATGAGAAGATTCGGCCAAGCGCGGTGGCTCATGCCTGCAATCCCAACACTTTGGGAGGCTGATGCGGGTGGATCACCTGAGGTCAGGAGCTCAAGGCCAGCTCGTCCAACATGGTGAAACCCAGTATCTACTAAAAATACAAAAACTAGCCCAGTGTGGTGGCATGCACCTGTAATCCCAGCTACTCGGGAGGCTGAGGCGGGAGCATCATCTGAGCCTGGGAGGCGCAGGTTGCAGTGAGCCAAGATTGCACCACTCAAGCCTAGGTGACAGAATGAGACTCCGTCTCAAAAAAAAAAAAAAAAAGAGAGAGAGGGAGAGAGAAGATTCTTATTGTTTTGCTGATTATAAAAGCTATACAACAAATGCTTACAAAGCATATGAAGGTGAATAAGATGTGGTCCCTGCTTACCAGGAGTTCACAATATGGTGGGGAAGTAAAATCCTCAGAGAAAGTCTTGCTATAATAAAGCTATGAAAGATATATGAGGCCGGGCATGGTGGCTCACGTATGTAATCCCAGCACTTTGGGAGACCAAGGTGGACAGATCACGAGGTCAAGAGATTGAGATCATCCTGGCCAACATGATGAAACCCTGTCTCTACTAAAAATACAAAAATTAGCTGGGCTTTATAGCGGGAACCTGTAGTCCCAGCTACTTGGGAGGCTGAGGCAGGAGAATTGTTTGAACCTGGGAGGCAGAGGTTGCAGTGAGTCGAGATCATGGCACTGCACTCCAGCCTGGCAACAGAGTGAGACTCCGTCTCTTAAAAAAAAAAGATATATGAAGAGGTGGTTGGGTGCAGTGGCTCACGCCTATAATCCCAGCACTTTGGGAGGCTGAGGTGGGTGGATCACGAGGTCAGGAGATCGAGACCATCCTGGCTAACATGGTGAAACCCCATCTCTACTAAAAATACAAAAAAAAAAAATAGCCGGGCGTGGTGGCAGGCGCCTGTAGTCCCAGCTACTCGGGAGGCTGAGGCAGGTGAATCACTTGAACCCAGGAGGCAGAGGCTGCAGTGAGCCAAGATTGAGCCACTGCATTCCAGCCTGGGTGACAGAGATAGACTCTGTGGTTGGGAGTTTGAGACCAACCTGACCAACATGGAGAAACCCCATCTCTACTAAAAATACAAAATTAGCCGGGCATGGTGGCGCGGGCCTGTAATCCCAGCTATTAGGGAGGCCGAGACAGGAGAATCGCTTGAACCCAGGAGGCGGAAGTTGTGGTGAGCCGAGATCACACCACTGCACTCCAGCCTGGGCAACAAGAGCAAAACTCCATCTCAAAAAAAAAAAGAAAAAAAGATATATGAAGAAAGAGCAGGGTCTGTTCAGGGAGCATGAGACATAGCTAAAACGTGAGATGCTCAGGAGGTGTGGTTATGAGGAAGGAGGCTGGGCTGGCAGAGGCCATAAACTAGCTATGGCACGTGATGTGCCAAGTGAACTTGCAGACTGTTTTATTTGACCTGCATAGTGTTTTGGTTTAAATATTGCTCAAAATTAACTTGCTTGTCTTTAGTTGAGGTATTGGCTCTGTAATTCACCAAAGTCTTCACCTCACACAATTAAGTCATCTGCCAGGCATGTTACCTGTTTGCAACCCCCAGTATGGATCCATAGGGCCTCTTTCAGGTCAAAAATTCTCTATTTAGTGGTTGCAAAATGGCAGTTCACCGCCCATAGCTAGCCTACTGACATGTTTCAACAGAGGTTATTTTTAGGAATTTGAATGAGTCTTTTAACACTTAAATACTAGATTTTTATGAATAATCTTTTAGGAAAAAATAATTTACCAAAGTGACCCCAATAGAAACTATTTATTTATTTATTTATTTATTTTTGAGACAGAGTCTCTCTTTTGCCCAGGCTGGAGTGCAGTGGCACGACCCTGGCTTACTGCAACCTCTGCCTCCTGGGTTCAAGCGATTCTCCTGCGTCAGCCTCCTGAGTAGCTGGGATTACAGGCACCCACCATCGTGCCTGGCTAATTTTTGTATTTTTAGTAAAGACAGGGTTTCACCATGTTGGCCAGGCTGGTCTCGAACTCCTGACCTCAAGTGATCCGCCACCGTGACCGGCCGAAACCATTTAAGTAGACTAATTTTCTGATTTTATTTCCTTTTTTTTTTTTTTAATTTGGAGACAAGGTCTCACTCTATGCCCTAGGCCAGAGTGCAGTGGCATGATCACAGCTCACTGCAGCCTCTACCTTCCCAGACTCAGGTGATCCTCTCACCTCAGCCTCCAAGTAGTTGGGACCACAGGTGTGCACCACCATGACTGACTAATTTTTTAATTTGTAGAGATCTGGTCTCACTACGTTGCCCAGGCTGGTCTTGAACTCCTGGGCTCAAGCAGTCCTCCCACTTCAGCCTCTTAAAGTGCTGGGATTAGAGATGTGAGCCACCACGCCCAGCCTAAATAGATTAATTGTCATAGAAGTAGAGAAGCTGTAAAAGAGGTCTCTCACCACTACCACCACCTAAAAAGAAAAAAGCAGCTGGTCCTAAAGGTTTCACAGGCAACTCCAAACAACCTCAATGTTTCTTCAACCGTTCCAGAGCCTAAAAAGAAGGAAAACTACCAAATTATTGTAATGAACTGAGAACACTGACACTAAAACCTAATAGAGGTTGCACAAAAAAAGAAAGCTACAGATTCATCTCATTTATAAATATTGTTCTTAAAATCTTAAAATATAAGCAAATAGAATTCAGCAGTACCTGTAAAAATAACATATCATTCTGGGAGTGCAAAGATGGTTAATTATATAAACATAATTCATTATGTTAACATAGCTAAGGAGAATAATCACAGGATCTTCTATAAATTTTTGTTTTTTGACAGAGGTGCATGAACATGTCACCCCTATGGCCCAGTGGGGCTCCAATGTCCTGGGGACCTTAGTAAGACTGCAGGGGGCCGGGCGCGGTGGCTCACGCCTGTAATCCCAGCACTTTGGGAGTCCAAGACAGGCGGATCACAAGGTCAGGAGATTGAGACCACCCTGGATAACACGGTGAAACCCCATCTCTATCAAAAATACAAAAAAAATTAGCTGGGCGTGGTGGTGGGCGCCTGTAGTCCCAGCTACTCGGGAGGCTGAGGCAGGAGAATGGCGTGAACCCAGGAGATGGAGCTTGCAGTGAGCCGAGATCGTGCCACTGCACTCCAGCCTGGGCGACAGAGCAAGACTCTGTCTCAAAAAAAAAAAAAAAAAAAGACTGCAGGGAGCATGCCTCAGAATTGTCCACTTGAGAGCTGCTCCTGGAGGCATTAACTTCCCAGCCTTTCTGGGTTAAGCACTCCAGTGGCCAGAGGGTGACGGTGCTGAGAGTAGCAAGCTATCACATCAGCCTGTGCGGCAATGAGGGGTGCTGAGAAGATCCAGAAGGTTAATGCCAATAGAGAACGCTATGGCTGCAGGCCTTAGGGAGAGCTGGCAAAACTCGTACTTCTCCAAAGAAGCGGGCTACACCTTGAGGGCACAACTCACAACACCTTCAGTAGAACATTGGGATGGTGATGGACAGGCTGGCTCTGGGAGCCTCTCTGGTCCCACTGGGACCAAGGAGAAGTAGGGGAGTGGGGTGACCAGGGAAACACACAGATGTTCCATTTTTATAGCCCTACAGCTGCCAAGCTCCAACTGATCGGAAGAGGAGAGGGCTAAACCAATTCACATACTCACAAAAAACCCTGTCAGAAGAAGCTTCACTATGAAGCCAAGAGAATTCCTGCCAGCCTGGAATTCTACTCTAGTCCTTTCTCCACACACAATCCCACAAGCAGCTTGTCCAGAAGAACTCACTTCATCTAAAGGGGAGTTATAGTAAAAAAGAAATAACACAAGACTTATACAAATATATTACTGAAAAAAGCAGGAGAGGGAGGCAGGGAACAGGAAAAACAAATGGCAGATGAAAGACAATCACCAAAAAAAGAAAAATAAAAAAGCTAACATGAAACAGATGATAATCATGAACAACAAAGAAGTCAAAGGGCTTAATGAATTTTAAAACAAGAGATCAAAGCAAAGATGTAATAGTTCAAAGAAAAGACACTGAGACAGCCAGAGGAGACGACACTGGCAGAGCTCAGGAAAGAAGGGATTTTAAAAATAACCATCTCAGAAGAGAAGGTCATTCCAGAAACATCAAAAAGAAAGCTAGCCTTGCTGAGAACAGAAGATAGGACTGCAAAAAGCAAATGAAGGAGTTGGGAATGAATGATTTAAAAAGAGCCAAGAGGCCGGGCGTGGTGGCTCACGCCTGTCATCCCAGCACTTTGGGAGGCTGAGGCAGGTGGGTCACCTGAGGTCAGAGGTTGGAGACAAGCCTGGCTAACATGGTGAAAATCTGTCTCTACTAAAAATACAAAAAATTAACCGGGTGTGGTGGCAGGCGTCTGTAATCCCAGCTACTCGAGAGGCTGAGGCAAGAGAATAGCTTGAACCTGGGAGGCAGAGGTTGCAGTGAGCCAAGATCATGCCACCACACTCCAGCTGGGTGACAGAGCGAGAGGAAAGAAAAAGCGGGAGGAGGGGGGTGGCGACAGAGCAAGATGAAAGAAAAAGGGGAGGGGAGGGGAGAGGAGAGGAGAGGAGAGGAAAGGAAGAGAAGGGAAGAGAGGGGAAGAGAAGGGAAGAGAAGGGAAGGGAAGGGAAGGGAAGAGAAGGGAAGAGAAGGGAAGAGAATGGAAGAGAAGGGAAGAGAAGGGAAGAGAAGGGAAGAGAAGGGAAGAGAAGGGAAGAGAAGGGAAGAGAAGGGAAGAGAAGGGAAGAGAAGAGGAGTATGGCAGTATAGAGACAGAGAAAGTGAGAGGTAGGGGCAGGCACGGTGGCTCACGCCTGTAATCCCAGCACTTTGGGTGGCTAAGGCAGGAGGATTGTTTGGGCCCAGCAGTTTGAGGCCAGCCTGGGCAACATAGCGAGACCCTGTCTCTATAAAACAAACAAACAAACAAAAAAACAATTAGTGGGGCATGGCGGTACGCGCCTGTGGTCCCAGCTACTCACAAAGCTGAGGCAGAATAGTTTGAACCCAGGAGTTTGACGCTGCAGTGATCTAGGACTGCAACACTGCACTGAATTTTCTGAATAACTAATGACACTGAGCTTGGATGACAGACTCTGTCAAATGAAATACTAAGTGCTGATGAGGATGTAGAGCAACTAAAATTCTCATTCATTGCTGGGCCCTGGATTCTACCCTGGCTAGTACTTCTACTTTCTGAACTTTAGTTTGCCCATCTGTGAAGTAAAGGGGTTGTCCTAAGGTTCTATGAATCAAACACATGTCTATAGAAAGAAAGGTGGCAATATGTAGCAAAATATTTCAGTCAGTCCTCTTTTGGGATTACAGCTTAAGGAAGTACTGGTATCCCTTACCATCCAAGCTCTTGCTATCAGAATGCTTCCTTTTCAAACTCAGAGACCAAATAGATTTGATAGTAATAGATGCTTATAATTCAAAATCAGAACAAGCTTTAAGCAATATATGATTATCACATTATTTTAATGAAAAATCAGAAATAATCTAAGTGTTCAGCAATAAAGCAATATTCTTTACAGTGCATCCAGACTGAGTCTCCTAAAACACAAATCTGATCACATCCTTCCCCTGCTTTAAGTCCTTCCATGGTTCCTACTGTCTATGTTAAACGTGGGTTTGAATCCCAATCTTGCCATGGATTGGCTGAACCTGGGCAAGTTAATTAATCTCTCTAGACCTTAATTTCTCATCTGTAAATAAAGTATCACACATACACAGATGTTCAATAATGATATGGTTTGGCTGTATCCGCACCCAAATCTCATCTTGAATTGTAGCTCTCATAATTCCCACGTGTTGTGGGAAGGACTCAGTGGAAGATAATTCAATCATGGGGGTAGTTCCCCCATACTGTTCTCATGGTAGTGAATAAGTCTCACGAGATCTGATGGTTTTATAAGGGGAAACCCCTTTCACTTTCTCATTCTGTCTGCCTGCTGCCATCCATGTAAGATGTGACTTGCTCCTCCTTGTCTTCCACCACGATTGTGAGGCCTCCCTAGCCACGTGGAGCTGTGAGTTCATTAAACGTCTTTCCTTTATAAATTACCCAGTCTTGGGTATGTCTTTATTAGCAGCATGAGAACAGACTAATACACTAATAATAATATCAATGCCTGTGACTTTTAAAAATACTACATACTAGAACTTACATATTCAAGGAAGTATTATCTCTTCATAACCATCGGTTTTAAAAAAATGACGAAGTATATATTCTGTGCCAAACCCTGCACCAGTTCCCTTATATATATTTCTCCTCCTCGACTATTCAGAACCATCCTGTGTGGTAGTTACTATTTCCAGGCTCAGAAAGATAAGTGATTACCCAAAGCCATGTCATAAAATAACTCATAGCAGTTCTATTTGTAACAGCTCAAAGGTGGAGACAACCCAAATGTCCTTCAATGGATGGTTAAATATACCATGGTACATCTATACCATAGATTACTACTCAGCAATAAAAAGGACAAACTATTGATACAAGCAACCACTTGGGTGAATCTCCAGGGAATTGTGCCAAGTGGAAAGAGCCAAGCCCAAATGATTATACACTATATGATTCCAGGTATGTAACATTTTTTAAATAACACAGTTATAGACATGGAGAATAGATTAGTGGTTGCCTGTGGTTAGGGATAGGGGAAGGGAAGATGAATGGATGCAATTATAAAGAGATAGCACGAGGGATCTCTGTGGTGATCAGACAGTTCTAGATATTGTGGTAGTAGTTGCATTAATCCACACACGATAAAATTGCATAGACCTACACACACACACACACACACAAATGCATGTATGTAAAACTGGGAAAATGTGAATAAAGTCTGTGGATTGTACCAATGTCAATTTCCTGGTTTTGATATTGTACTATAGTTATGCAAGATGTTACCATTAGGGAAAACTGACTGAAGGGTACATGAAACCTCTCTGAACTATTTTTGCAACCTTCTATGAATCTATAATTATTTCCAAATAAAAAACTTATTTATTTTTTTGAGATGAAGTCTCACACTGTCACCCAGGCTGGAGTGCAGTGGCACGATCTCAGCTCACTGCAACCTCTGCCTCCCGGGTTCAAGTGATTCTTCTGCCTCAGCCTCCCAAGTAGCTCGGATTACAGGTACCTGCCACCATGCCCAGCTAATTTTTTGTATTTTTAGTAGATATGGGATTTCACTATATTGGCCAGGCTGGTCTCAAACTCCTGAACTCGTGATCCGCCTGCCTCGGCCTCCCAAAGTGCTGGGATTACAGGCATGAGCCACCATGCTTGGCCAATGAAAAGCTTTTTAAAAGACGTATTCTCCAGTGTGATGGCTCTGATAAAAAAGAAAATAAGTATCCAAGCTTCTTTTCCACAACCCTCAACAACCAAGTGCCATCAAAAGGCACTGAGGTCTCTGAAAGAGTCTGGGACTCATATGAGAGCTCTGCCTTCTCAGGGATGGTCTGCAATCCACATTTGTCCTCTTTCCTTTAATCAACACTGAAGCTACCTAGGAGTCAGGCCTTGTGTTGGAAGCTAAGTGATATGAGATGAATGAGTTATGATCCCTTCCCAAGTGAACTCCCAATCTAGGGATAAAGAGGCCTAATAAGATAAGAGTTTGGACTAAAAGTCAAAAGATTTCTGTCCTCATGAAACCACTTACTAGCTTTCTTATTTTGGACCAATCCTTCATCTTCTGACATCTTGGTTTCTCAATCTGCAAAATTCAAAAGAATGAAATATAAATGTATATTTTAAGCTTAATCTGGGACTTCTGGGAGGGTTCAAGGATATATGTAAATTACATGAAAGTAGATAACTGCATCCCTTTTCGAAGAAGAGGCATTATATGTTTTTTTTCAGATTCTGGGAATCTGAATGTTTTAACTTTTATCATGGACATTTTCAAGCATATACCAAAGTAGAGTGTACATACTGCCAATCTTTCAAGCCTTCTAAAGTGCTGAGATTACAGGCATGAGCCACCGAGCCCAGCTAATTTTTTGTATTTTTAGTAGAGACAGGGTTTCATCATGTTGCCCAGGCTGGTCTTGAACTCCTGAGCTCAGGTGATCCGCCTGCCTATGCCTCCCAAAGTGCTGGGATTACAGGCATGAGCCACCGCGCCCGGCCAACTACTGAGCCAATCTTGTTTCATTTATTCCCTCCACATTATTTTTTTACTGCTGAATCACTTTAAAGCAGGCTTACCGGCCCACAAAGGGCTGGATTTTTAAATTCCATTTCTAAGGGCCCTTCCAGTCTGACATTCAATGATTCTAATAGATCTCTCAGGTCCCTCCTCCTATCTCTAATAATTCACGATTTCAATAGGGATGGAAGAAATAGACTAGAGATCTAACATAACATCTCATGATTCCAGGTGCCACAAAAGTTCATTCCCTTTCACAAGAAGATAATAACTAAATTTTAAACATGGAATTCTAGGACATTTATGATTTAACCCCCACCAGTGTTCCAACCTCATCTCTCACCCCTTCTCCAGATCCCAACCACTTTCCCATATAGCCTGCAGTTTCCACAGTTTTGCTCCTACTCACTATGTGCCTTTGTACAGGCAGTACCTTCTACCTGGAATGTCCCTGAGCCCCACCCATTTTGTTCTTGAGTCTCAGCTTGAAGTCTCCTCCCCAGTGAAGACTTCTATCACCTCTTGCCTCCACAGAAGGGTTAGTGTGCTCCCTTAGGCCTAGAAACTGAGTACCTGTTACCACACAGGGAATAGCACTGTTGGTCACTCTGGGCAGCAAACCCAACTACTGAGGGGCCAGACAGAAGTCAAGGTTTGAAGCCAGTAGGCATAACAAACACTAAGACCCTGCTTTCTCACCTCTAAAAAGAAAAGAGAGAAAAATATCAACTCTAAATAAAGCAACAACCTGAGAGCAACAGTAAATGCAAACAACATTCTATTTCAGAGAACCATAGGGAATGGTTGAGATTGAGACCAAATGGGACAGAGTATCTTGTCTAAAGGAAGTCGTCTCTACTCAGTGTCAGCTGATTGTTGACCAGCAGGAATTTGGGTCCAGTGTGGCCAGCTCTTCCGTTTTTTCAAGAAAAATTAGAAATCCAGATTTGCATGTGAAATCTCCCAATTTTTACATGTCAGCAACTAAAAAACATTAAAGGCCCACTGCAACGACTTTCAAGGTTTTCAGGCTATGGAAATGATTTCATGAGGGTCCACTTCTACCCATCCAAAGGAAACATCCTATGGTAGGGGTAAGTTTTATATCAGGGCTAATGGCATGTTAATGGTTGTTAAACCTGCTCCTCCATCCTGCACGGGCTCAAAAGGACTGCAAGGTCATAGAAAACCTTTCATATGAGGCCCCTGTCCTTTGAGGGCCTCAGTTTCCCCTTCTGTAAAATGAGGATATAAAACCTATTTGTGGCCCGGCACGGTGGCTCACGCCTGTAATGCCAGCACTTTGGGAGGCTGAGGAGAGTGGATCACCTGAGGTCAAGAGTTCGAGACCAGTCTGGCCAACACGGTGAAACTCCATCTGTACCAAAAATATAAAATATTAGCCGGGTGTGGTGGTGGGCGCCTGTAATCCCAGCTACTCGGGAGGCGGAGGGAGGAGAATCGCTTGAACCCGGTAGGCGGAGGACTCAGTCTCAAAACAAAAACAAAAACAAAAACAAAACTATTTGTGAGTCAGCTACCAAACAGAAAACCACCTGGCCGAGGGCTGTCAGGGCCACGTGCTTTTACCTACATCATCTCACTGAATTCTCAATTACCTCTGAGAGGTAAGTTCTATTACATCCACATTTTACTGATAAGAAAACAGTAGCTCAGAGATAGCAAGCAGTTTACCTAATAAAAACAAGAGCAAACTTCTTAAAAGCCCTTTCTCTCCAACGGCTTAATTTATTTAATCCTCCTAACAACTCTGAGCTGGGTATCGTCAAAGGGGATTCCACCAAGGTAGCCTCACTCCAACACTCTAACCCAAGGCTGCTCAACAGAAATATAATGTAAACTGCACATGCAATTTAAATGTTTTTAGAAGCTGCATTTAAAAAGTAAAAACACAGGTGAAATTAATAACATTTTTATTTGACCCAATATATGCAAAACATTATATTCCAACATGTAATCAGTATTAAAAAGTATTGAGATAATTTTTACATCAGTTTTTTCGTACTAAGTCCCGTATTTTACAATATAGCACATCTCAATTCGCTATATTTCGAGGGTTATCAACTAGCTACGTTGCAAGAGCTGAGTCAACTCAGGAGGCCAGCGGCCACCATAAGGGGCAATGCATTTAGAGTTCACTTATTAAATGCTGACGTTAACAGAACCCACAGAGCCGCATTTCCCTTGGTTTCGGAGGACACGCGAAAAATAACAACAGCAAAGGGTTCTCGAGCATCTCCTTCGCGCCAGACGGTGTGTTGTACTTTGTCATCGTCGCAGTAAGGCCGGTGCTATCGCCCTCCTAGTTTGACCAAGCGAGAGGACTTTCTCCAGATGGGCCCCTCCCGAGAGAATGGTCGCCGTCCCGCTCTCCTGTTCGGGTCACCACCGGCCGGGCGCCACTCGAACGAGCCCCGGCCAGCCGTCACCCTAATCATTCCCGAAGGAGGGGCCATCAGAGCTACAGCTCATCAGGGTCAATCAGAAGGGGCGCCCGCACGCAAAGGTCACCTGCAAACCGAAGCGGCGCACGGATAAGGTCCGGGACTTGAAGTCTATCTCCAAACATTCAGGCTCCTCCTCCGACTCCTCCTCGAACTGGCGCTCAGAGGCGCCACCATTCGGAAGGAGCCCAGGCCACGCGCAGCTCGCCCTCCCGCACCGCGAGGGCAGCAGCCGCCTCATGCGACTCGAGAACGCTAGAGGGCGCCGCTTCCGGGAGCCCGCAAGCGGCTTCCGGGTGCTCGCGCGCCGACCTGGACGCAGAGAAGCCAGAGACTTTCGCTTCCGGCTGCCGCAGGCGCTTCGCTGGTGCAGGTAAGCTCCGCACACTCTCGGCCGGTCCCGAGTCCGACTCCCTCAAGGGTGACGCGAGCTCTGCCCTTTAACCGGAAACGTCTCCCTGCTCACCCCACCCCCGCGCAGACGCAGTGCTGAGCACACAGCTACCGGACAAAGAGTGACGCCCGGAGCTGGAGTTATGGCGGCTACGGAGCCGATCTTGGCGGCCACTGGGAGTCCCGCGGCGGTGCCACCGGAGAAACTGGAAGGAGCCGGTTCGAGCTCAGCCCCTGAGCGTAACTGTGTGGGCTCCTCGCTGCCAGAGGCCTCACCGCCTGCCCCTGAGCCTTCCAGTCCCAACGCCGCGGTCCCTGAAGCCATCCCTACGCCCCGAGCTGCGGCCTCCGCGGCCCTGGAGCTGCCTCTCGGGCCCGCACCCGTGAGCGTAGCGCCTCAGGCCGAAGCTGAAGCGCGCTCCACACCAGGCCCCGCCGGCTCTAGACTCGGTCCCGAGACGTTCCGCCAGCGTTTCCGGCAGTTCCGCTACCAGGATGCGGCGGGTCCCCGGGAGGCTTTCCGGCAGCTGCGGGAGCTGTCCCGCCAGTGGCTGCGGCCTGACATCCGCACCAAGGAGCAGATCGTGGAGATGCTGGTGCAAGAGCAGCTGCTCGCCATCCTGCCCGAGGCGGCTCGGGCCCGGCGGATCCGCCGCCGCACGGATGTGCGCATCACTGGCTGAGCGGTGGAGCTGCGGGCGGCCAGGGCCGGGCGCTCTGTGCGGACTGGGGCCATGATCGGGCCCGGGGGCCTGAGCCTGGGACCCCACCCCGTGTTAATGAAAAATGAGTTTTGGCAGCGCCTGTGGTCTGGTGTGTCTCTTTCATTCGTTCTTATTGGGTTTATTTTACCAAGCCTGTTTCCTACCGCCTTTCTGGCTGGTGGCGAAACGAAGTTGGGAGTCCGTAACAATAAGGCCTTCGTTGGCTATAGTGGGATCTTTAGATGTTGACTGAACCTAGGTTATCCCTCTACCACACATGGGAAGTTTTTCACCTGGGCTCCCAAGGACCCACTTGGGTTTCTTACACGCAAAATAGCTGGCTCTATTAAATGCTCACTTAACTGGCTACCTCTATACCAATATGGGCACCAACTTGCACCTGCCCTTTGGGTACAGGCTTCCCAAAATGTCCAAGTTACTGGGCCATTTTAATGTGAAGTGTTTACTGCACACCTTCACAGAGATAGGCTAGTTCTTGTGAGCTCTGGCTTATGCCGCCAGGCTTGCTCAACTTCCTTGCCAAATTTTAGGCCTGTGGTAGGAATAAAGCAGAACTAGTTGAAGTAATGGATTATTTACATTACTGAAGCTACTCATTTTAATGTCTCTCCGGCTGGCTCCCTTTTGGTGTTTAAACTAGCATAATCGTTTACAAAGGGAAGAAAGAATTTGGCAAATAATGAGGACCTGTTCTGAAATCTTAAACCTACTCTGTTTCCAGAGGCTTCTGCCCAACCAGGAAGGAGCTAGTTAGGGTCCATGGACAGCTTGGATTGGTCCCAGATAGGTCCTATTGCAGTGAGTGCCATTTGTTAATATAAGGAAGGCCAGACTTGTCTTCCTTGCACTGCTCTCAACAATCAAAATCAGCCTGCAGTTCACACCACAAAGCATGAGTGAGACTGGGCTGGAAGTTGGTGAGGGGCAATTTGCTTTTGAATATTAAAGACAGACAAATTGAGAAGTATTTTTGCATTCTTGGGATTTCTTGGCAGAGTTTGCACCTGCCTCCCTGGAAAAAGATAGTTGTTTAGAAGGTAAGAACAGCCTTCTTTAAAAGGTAATGTTTAAAGAAGATTAGAATAGGTGAAGAAGGACAAGCACAGTGGCTCACGCCTGTAATCCCAGCACTGTGGGAGGCAGAGGCGGTGGATCACTTGAGATCAGGAGTTCGAGACCAGCTTGACCAACATAGTGAAACCCCCATCTCTACTAAAAATAGAAAATTATCTGGGTGTAGTGGCACATGGCTGTAATCTCAGTACTTTGGGAAGCCAAGGCGGGCGGATCACTTAAGGTCAGGAGTTTGAGACCAGCCTGACCAACATGGTGAAACTGTCTTTCTACTAAAAATACAAAATTAGCCGGGCTTGGTGGCGCACGCCTGTAATCCCAGCTATTCGGGAGGCTGAGGCAGGAGAATCGCTTGAAACCAGGAGGCGGAGGTTGCAGCGAGCAGTGATCGCGCCATTGCACTCCAGCCTGGGCAACAAGAGCGAAACTCCGTCTCAAAAAAAAAAGAATGGTGAAGAACTTTATACAGTCATGCATCTCTTAATGGGGATGCGTTCTGAAAATGAGCCCTTAGGCAGTTTTATTGTGTGAGCCTCATAGAGTGCACTTATGCAAACTAGATGGTATAGCCTACACACACCTAGGCTTTGTGATAGAGCCTACTGCTCGTAGGCTACAAGCCTGTACAGCATGTTACTGTACTGAATACTATAGGCAGTAACAATGGTAAGTATTTGTGTATCTATACATAGAAATGGTTAAGTAAAAATATAGAATAGGCCGGGTGCGGTGGCTCACACCTGTAATCCCAGCACTTTGGGAGGCCGAGGTGAGCGGATCACGAAGTCAGGAGTTTGAGACTAGCCTGACCATCATGGTGAAACCCCATCTCTACTCAAAATACAAAAATTATCTGGGCTTGGTTGCGGGCAACTGTAATCCTAGCTACTCAGGAGGCTGAGGGAGGAGAATTGTTTGAACCTGGGAGGCGAAGGTTGCAGTGAGCTGAGATCGCGCCATTGCACACCAGCCTAGGCAACACGGTGAGGCTCCATCTCAAAAAAAAAAAAAAACATTTATATATATTTATATATGTATATATACACACATGCATATATACACATACACATATATATATGCATATATACATATACACACACACACACATATATATATATATATATAAAAGTAAAAAATAAGAGTTTGCGGGACTGGACATTGTTCTGGCTGGGTAAGTGGTGAGTGAATGTGAAGATGTAGGACGTTACTGTACGCTACTCCAGAATTTATATAAACACTGAACACATAGACTAATTTTTTTTTGTTTGAGAGAGGATCTCACTTTGTTGCCCAGGCTGGAGTACAGTGGCACAATCTAGGTTCACTGCAACTTCTGGCTCCCAGGCCTAGGTGATCCTCCTGCCTCAGCCTCCCAAGTAGCTAGGAATACAGGTGCATGCCACCATGCCTGGCTAATTTTTGTAGAGATGGGGTTTCACCATGTTGCCCAGGCTGGTCACGAACTACTAAACTTATTTTTTTTAATTTTCTTTCTACAATAATAAATTAGCCTTAGTTCACCATAACTTTTTGTTTTTGTTTTTTGTTTTGTTGAGACAGTTTCACTCTGTTGCCCAGGCTAGAGTGCAGTGGTACGATCTCGACTCACTGCAACCTCCTCCTCCTGGGTTCAAGCAATTCTCCTGCCTCAGCCTCCCAAGTAGCTGGGACTACAGGCATGCGCCACCATGCTAATTTTTGTATTCTTAGTAGAGATGGGGTTTTGCCATGTTTGCCAGGCTGGTCTTGAACTCCTGACCCCAGGTGATCTGGCCGCCTTGGCCTCCCAAAGTGCTGGGGTTACAAGCGTGAGCGACGGCACCCAGCCTTTTATTTAGAGACAGGGTCTCCATCCTCAGCCTCCCTAAGTGCTAGGATTACAGATCTGAGGCACCTTGCCTGACCAACTTTTATACTTTGTAAGCTTTTAAATTTTAACTTTGACTTCTGTAATAACACTTTGTGTTTACACACATGGTACAACTATACAAATATATTTTCTTTATATCCTTATTCTATGAGTTTTTTTCTAGTTTAAATTTTTTATATATATTTTACTTTTTAGATTTTTGTTAAACACTAAGACAAATCCACGCATTAGCCTAGGCCTATGCAGTAGGACCATCAGGACATCACTAGGTGATGGGAATTTTTCAGCTCCATTATAATCTTATGGGACCACCCTGTATATGGGGTCCATGGTTGACAGAAACGTTATATGATGCATGACTGTAACTCAACAATACGTAACTGAAACATAGCAACAAGAACCTGTTTTATTTTTTCCAAATACAGATACAGAAGTCTGCGTGTTTTGCAAATATTGCTTCAAAGCAACATTTCTATATACAGCGCCTTCTGTTCTAATAGCGCGTAAACATAGATATGTATCCACAGTGCAATGTTGGCTCATCAAGGATCCACCTTGCATACACTTACCACTTAAAGAAACAAAATGATTAGTCAAACCGGAACTATTTTTGTCAAGGTAATTTTTTATAGGTGGATAGTTTTTCTAAAGACAAAACTTAGGTAGTGCACATATTTCTTTCTTTTCTTTTATTTTTATTTTTTTGAGATGGAGTCTTGCAGTTGTCGCCCGAGCTGGAGTGCAATAGCGCAATCTCGGCTCACTTCAACCTCCGCCTCCCAGGTTCCAGCACCTCTCCTGCTTCAGCCTCCCAAGTAGCTGAGATTACAGGCGTCCGCCACCACGCCCAGCTAATTTTTGTACTTTTAGTAGAGACGGGGTTTCACCCTGTTGGCCAGGCTGGTCTCGAACTCCTGACCTCAGGTGATCCACCTGCCTCGGCCTCCCAAAGTGCTGGGATTACAGACGTGAGCCACTGCACCCAGCTGATAGTGCACATATTTCTAAATGGTAACAGCAATGTTTGCAAATAACGGTTTCCAGTGCTCCAACATAGGGTTAATTCACCTTGACCCAGGAATTGGGAATGGAGCCCCTCAACATGGCTTTAAATTAGGGAAGCACAATGAGGTTATAAGAACTTGGGGAGTCTTCTCTGCTTCCCTAAGAACAAAAGTCACAATGAATGAAAGGAGATTACTTCCTTTACCAAAAATTTAAACAATAATCCCAATAATGGCCAGTTGGCAAAATTAGGGCAATTCAGTTTCTGCTTACATCGTTGAACAAGACATGAAATTGACTACCTTAAAAGTTACAGCTTCCACAGATGTGATTAAAACTCAAATGTATTTTCAGAAAAGAAAAATCAGTAATCTAATAATACAACAATCATCACGCCTCACAGGTGTGGCTACAGAAAGCCATCCTGTTTCTTCCCTTTTCAGACTGCATGACAGAACTCTTACAATGCAGCTGTCTGAACGTGCATGCCATGCACGCCTGTGCATTTCTTCCCACGCCAGAAACACCAACGTTAGCAGTGAGAAACAGCCTCTTGTAGAGGAATCGTCGTTTTGTTATAGATGTTATAGCCACGTGTATTCTCTCTGATGGACAGCTATAGCAGATCAGCTTATACTTGTCCTATAATTCATTATATATCAAATGGTGAGCAAATCACTAGACAGAACATTCCCTGAAATAGATTTTAGTACAGAGGCCTGAATTCATGTCCACAATGACCTGTGCTTAACTATTCCAAAGGTCGCTAAAGATACTGTTACTACTATTGAGATATTATTGGCTACTTCACGTTTACATAGTAAATGTTTGCAGCATATAACATTACAGACTCATAAACCCATAATTAACTTATAAGTGTTAATGGACAACTGTGCTTTGATTTTTGCCTTTAGTGATAAGAAAACAAAGTAGTGAAATGGGTCACTCCTCAAAGCATGGAACATTTTAACTTTGCCTAGTAAGGAAAAACAAAACAAAATATAGCAATTACATGTGGAACCGTAACCTGCAAAAGTAACACAAATATTGTCTCAAAAGGTACAAATAGGTTGTACCTGGACCTTAAGCAGCATGATCACCTTGCTCTCACAAAATAATACAAACAGGAAATGTAAAATGTTAAAGTATAGTAACAAAACAATTCTGAAAACGCTGACTACTAAACACCCTTCAGGAAGGAGAAAAGTCGCACATGTAGAATTTGAAGTTTGTTTACAACAATATAAAATAAGGTAATTCCCCAAACCACATTCTTTGTAACAAATCTTTACAGTGAAAGAGTTTGAAATTTTGGGAAACATTTTTGGACATTAAATAGAACGGGGAAGCTGTCAATATTAAGAAGTGGGTAGAAAATGCTGTCCTTTGGGTTCCAGACCCTGCCTGCTTCGGTTTGGAATTCCTCCTAGATTCTTATTACTGTGAGTGAGATTCTAGTTCTTCCATAGGCTGTATGGGCTCTGCTACAAAAGCCATAACCCAGCCAGCTCTGGGGTGAAGGCATACAAACTTGTCCCCAGTACCATGAAGTCATGCAAGAGATGTGGTGAGAAAAGTGAAGAGTCCTAAGGAGAAAGCAGGGCAGCCAAGACTCTGCTCTTTCCCAACCTCCACAGCATGGTGAGCTCACAATATTCCTATGAAGCTAGAAAAGGAAAATGATGCCTGCTGCCCAAACACCATGCCAGGAAGAAACCAGGGAGTTGGCATGTGCCCCAACGTGATAGAAAAGTCAATTAAATAAACTCCAAATTGAATTTACAACTGTCTCCAACTAAACTTTTTTGGCTCTCATTCCGTTTATCATCAGTGGCACAATTTCAAGTGAAGTTTGTGCAAAAAGACTCTCTTCATTCAACGATGTGCACAGAAGAGGGGAATCCCAAGAGTCTATTTGCTACCTTTATGGCAGGCTTCGAGATCAGAGTGTCCTCCCGCAGCCAAAATGGCCTCTTTGTCCAATGTCCACCACACTCCTGGCCCAGATCCCTGAAGTCAGTCGGTGTCACGTGCATTCAGCATGCTAGGTTTATTTATTTAAATATGCGAAGCTCCTCCTGCAGGTGCCCCAGGATTGTGCCCCCATGAGTTTTGGGTGCCCAGTTTCATGTTGAGCAGCAGAGGGCGATCTGCTGCACCTTGCCCAGGTCCATCAGCAGCTGCTTGATACAATGCTTGAGCTGCGGAAGCCTGGCCAGCGGCTCAGGGGGCTCCAGTTCCCCAGTGTAGTCCAGCCAGCTCTCCAACACTGTCGGCAGAAGAGAGAGATGAGACCTAGTGAACTCCCAACACTTGATTTGCAAGAACATCAGCAAGCATTTCAGCACCTTATTCCATCAGACATGGGGCAAGGGAGGAAGGGCCATTTCAGCCTCCATGGGGCAAGGGAGGAAGGGCCATTTCAGCCAGCACTGTGTCAACACCTGCTCTACAAAGTGGTACTCCCAGGACAAAACACAAATGCTTTAGAGCAGCACAGTCCAAAAGAACTTTCTGCGATGATCAATGGTCCAAGTCTGTGTCATCCAATACAGTAGCCACTAGCCTTATGCAGCTATTGAGCGCTGGAAACATGGCTAATGCAACTGAGGAACTGAATTTTAAATTTTATTCAGTTTTGGTTAAACAGCCACACATTGCCAGAGGCTACTGTTACCAGAGTCTAGAAGTCTTGGAAGGAAGCACCTTTCTGAGTGTTACCACTCACTCTTTAAAAAGCTTTCCCAGCCGGGCGCGGTGGCACATGCCTATAATCCCAGCACTTTGGGAGGTCGAGGCGGGCAGATCACAAGGTCAAGAGATCAAGACCATCCTGGCCAACATGGTGAAACCCCATCTCCACTAAAAATACAAAAATTAGCCAGGCATGGTGGTGCCCGTCTGTAGTCCCAGCTACTCAGGAAGCTGAGGCAGGAGAATTGCTTGAACCCGGGAGGCGGAGGTCGCAGTGAGCCGAGATCGTGCCACTGCACTCCAGCCTGGCGACAAAGCGAGACTCCATCTCAAAAAATAAAATAAATAAAATAATAAAATAAAATAAAATAAAATAAATAAAATAAAATAAAATAAAATAAAATAAAAAATAAAAAGCTTTCCCATGTTGAAAATCAGAGAGCCTGGTGTTTTAGCATCCTGTCAAGAAAAATGAAAATCTATAGGGTCTTGAAAAGGTCTATTTGTATATCATAAACTCTGATTTGCTTCATATTAATTCCTGATTGATACGCAATCATCAGTGGCACAGAATACTCTGTTATTATTTTCTCCCTTTATTTATTTACTTATTTATTTATTTTTTTGAGATGGAGTCTCACTGTGTCGCCCAGGCTGGAGTGCAGTGGCGCCATCTCAGCTCACTGTAATCTCTGCCTCCTAGGTTCAAGCGATTCTCCTGCCTCAGCCTCCAAAGTAGCTGGGATTACAGGCATGTGCCACCACGCCCGGCGAATTTTTGTATTTTGGTCTCAAACTCCTGACCTCAGGTGATCCACCCACCTCGGCCTCCCAAACTGCTAGGATTACAGGCATGAGCCACTGGGCCTGGCCTTTTTTTTTCTTTTGAGACAGAGTTTCGCTCTTGTTGCCTGGGCTGGAGTACAATGGCAATGATCTCGACTCACTGCAACCTCCGCCTCCCGGGTACAGGCGATTCTCCTGCCTCAGCCTCCTGAGGAGATGGTATTACAGGCACACACCACCACGCCTGGCTAATTTTTGTTATTTTTAGTAGAGATGGGGTTTCATCATGTTGGCCAGGCTGGCCTCGAACTCCTGACCTCAGGTGATCCACCTGCCTTGGCCACTTTGAAAGTGCTAGGATTACAGGCATGAACCACCATGCAGGACCCCTTTAAATATTTAATGTAAGATTTCAGGTATTAATTAACATTATCATCATTGGTTCAATATCTAGAAAGCTGTCTTGCTTGTGAGAACAAGTATTTCTCTACAGAAAGATGTTTGTTCTTCCCTAAGCTACCCCCTAAAGCTCTGGCATTTGGGGAGAGACCATCTGGGAACCCTGCACCTTTGACAAGAACCACCCCCTGCAGGTAGCCCCTGTGCTATCCCAGCCTGCCTGTAGCCTTTCTAGTCCATGCACCAACCTGTACTGAGCACCTTCTGGACCCTGGAGTGCAGCAAAAGAAAGGCCCACCCAGTACCTCTTCATCAAGCAGCCTGCAACCTACTGCGCAATCCTCTCCTGTCCTCAGATGCAGCCCTACCTTCCTCTCCACCTTTCTAAATCCTCTGTTTCTTGTGAGCTATTCTTTAGGGAAGCCTTCCCCAACCCTATACCCTGAATCTGGTCCTTGTGTTACAGGTGCTATGATATCACATGTTCTCCTTTGAGCATTTACTATGGTTTGTCATTACAGGTAATGGGATGATTTGTTTAATATATGTCTCTCCCACTAGATCAAGTTCCACGAGGGCAAAGGCTGAGTCTGCCTTGCTTGCCACTATATCCCTAACACTCACCTGTGTCTGAAATGTGGCAAGCCTGCAACAAACACAGCGAGAGAAGGAATGTGTGGTCCAGCAAAGCGCCCTACCCATTGCTCTGGGCCCTATGTAGTTTATCCTCCTCCATCATATTTCTTGTTGGTATTTGGGGGTTCCAAGAAGGAGGAACCCTCTCTCTTCCTAATTCCAGCAAGTACAAGGACTTGGAAATAAGAAAAATAAGACCACCTCCTCAGACTTAAGCTTGAAAACCATTAGTAAAAGATCAGTCATGTGAGAGGAACTAGTGGCCTGCTGAGCAAGAAAACTGGATAGTGACCAGTTTCAAAACACCAGTAAGTCTTTAAAAAAAACTAGAAGGAGACAGGGGACTGTTCAGCAAACAGGCAGAAGAATAAATGGAGAGGCCGGACGTGCACGCCTGTAATCCCAACACCTTGGGAGGTCAAGGGAGGTGGATCACCTGAGGTCAGAAATTCAAGACAAGCCTGGCCAACATGGTGAAACCCCATCTCTATTAAAAATACAAAATCAGCCAGGTGTGGTGGCAGGCATCTGCCTGCTACTTGGGAGGCTGAGGAAGGAAGAGTCGCTTAAACCTGGGAGGCAGAGGCTTCAGTAAGCCGAGATCATGCCACTGTACTCCAGCCTGGGCGAGAAAGAGCAAGACTCCGTCTTAAAAAAATAAAATAAAATAAAAATAAATAAATGGACAAAAGGCAGTCAGGACTGGATGGGTCACTCCAACAGCAAAGAGAGTCAGTCAATCTTTTGCAAGATGATCCTACAGTTGCTGAGAGGCCCCTCTTAAGGTCACCCTAACTACCTTGGATCTAGTTCCAGGCTCACCAAAGACATCCCGATACTACGGTGGCCCAGGAGGCATGCACAGTGTGAAAGCGCACCAACGCTCAGACTGGAAGAGTCTAAGCCACTCAGTAGTGCCTGAGCTTGGTTAACAGGAGTGTGTGGAGTTCCTGAGATGGAAGCTGTCTGTCTAGGTCTGTTAGGCTGAAGAACAAAGCCAGGACTGTGGGAAGTCAACAGCATCTCCTCTGGACCCCAGCATCCAGCAGGCCACCCTCTCCATACCATGTGCTGCACCATCCCAAGTGTCTCTTTTAAAGATGCAGAACAGCTTCCAACTAGCATAGTGGTTGCTAGCAAGACAGAAGGTTACAGAGGAAAAAATTCTGTTCAAATACACTAAGATCATGTGTATAGAGACCACTGCTCACCAAGGCAACATTTTTTATTTAAGAAAATAATCTCTCTAATGCCAAAAGACTTTTTTACTTTTCATGGTCATTAAATATCCTTTGTCTTTTAGTTTTAAAGTACTGTTCAGGCTGGGTGCAGTGGCTCACACCTGTAATCCCAGCACTTTGGGAGCCCGAGGCAGGCAGATCATGAGGTCAGGAGATCGAGACCAGCCTGGCCAACATAGTGAAACCCCGTCTCTATTAAAAATACAAAAATTAGCCAGGCATGGCGGTGTGCACCTATAATCCCAGCTACTCGGGAGGCTGAAGCAGGAGAATTGCTTGAAGCCAGGAGGTGGAGGTTGTGGTGAGCCGAGATCGTGCCACTGCACTCCAGCCTGGGCAACAGACCGAGACTCCGTCTCAAAAATAAATAAATAAATAAATAAATAAAGTACTATTCATATAACTACATAAATAATTAAATAATGGCCAATTGTAAAACAATGGCATATATATATATATATTTCATATAATAGCTTACTAGGCTTTTTTTTTTTTTTTTTTAAAGAAATGGGGTCTTGCTCTGTCACCCAGGCTGGAGTACAGTGACACGATCATAGCTCACTGTAACCTTGAACTCCTTGGCCTCCCAAAGCACTGGGATTACAAGTGTGAGCCACCACGCCAGGTCAGCTTTTAAATTTTTTTAAATTTTTTATTTTCAGACTGAGTCTCACTCTGTTGCCCAGTCTGGAGTGCAGTGATATGATCTCAGCTCACTGCAACCTCCGCCTCCTAGATTCTGCTGCTTCAGCCTCCCAAGTAGCTAGGATTATACGTGTGCACCACCACACCCAGCTAAGCAGGCCGGCTTTTTAAAAAAGGAATGTTACATCCAAATTCCTATTTTAAAACTTGGTTATGAAAGCTTAGTTTAGGGCTGGGTACGGTGGCTCACGTCTATAATCCCAGCACTTTGGGAGGCCAAGGTGGGCGGATCATGAGGTCAGGAGATCGAGACCATCCTGGCTAACACAGTGAAACCCTGTCTCTACTAAAAATATAAAAAATTAGCCGGGCCTGGTGGCGGGCACCTGTAGTCCCAGCTACGCGGGAGGCTGAGGCAGGAGAATGGCGTGAACCCGGGAGGCGGAGCTTGCAGTGAGCTGAGATGGCACCACTGCACTCCAGCCCGGGCAACAGAGCGAGACTCCATCTCAAAAAAAAAAGAAAGAAAGAAAGCTTAGTTTATCTTGGTGTTTAAATAAAGAGTTGATTCCATAAAAAGGGATTTTGATTAATCTTAAATACTATGCAAAAGTCTGTTTACCTAAATAAAATCTTTAAGCTTTATCATTTATTTTAATGCTTTCTTGTTATCTCTCTCAGGGCCTAGAGTCTTAGAAATGTACAGAATATGTGGCTCTGAATTAGCAAGACACACAAGAGGTCATCTGTGAGGCCAAAGAAGGGGGTTCAGGCCTACCATCCTTGCCACACTGCCCATTCGGCAGGGCTAGAGAGGCCAAACCTGGCTGAAGAGAGGATTAAGGAAGTAAGATGTGAGTAGACTTTAACTTCTCCCTCAGGGAAGGTCCCTGTGGCAACAACCGAACATTCACCCTGTTTCCATGGTGCTAATCCTCTTTTCAGGGACTACAGAGCCACTCCTACTGCCATTCTCTCAAGAGCTACACTTTTTTGTCTAACATTATATCCTCCTTCAGCTCTCTAATAATATGTTTTTCACAGACAGTGGCATCAGTTACAATCCCTTTTTTTTAGTTTATTTTTTTAGAGACAGGGTCTGTGTTACACAGGCTGGAGTACCGTGACATAATCACAGCTCACTGCAGCCTCCAACTCCTGGGCTCAAGCAGTCCTCCCGCCTCAGCCTCCCAAGTAGCTGGGACTACACCCCTACACTTGGCTAGTTTTTTATTTTTTTGTAGAGACTGTGATGCCCAGGCTGGCCTCAAGCAATCCTCCCACCTTGACCTCCCAAAGTACTGGGATTATAGGTGTGAGCCACCACACCCAGCCTAGGTCTTGCTGTCTCTCTCACTGTCCTCCAACAGGGCAACTCTTTTTCCAGTCTAGCCAGATCATCCACCCTGAGTCCTCTCCAGTAGGAAACACCATCACTCTCCTTAAAGCTCAACTTCAGTCTCAGGAGTTTTAGGAAGCCCTCCTATTAGCACTCTCCTCCTCTGCATTGACATCAGCCACATGTGTCCCGGCCACACCTCATGGCATCACTTGTATAACAGATGGCATTTTCTCCTGAGTTATTTCATGTATGTTTTATATTCCCAGTTACAGTAAAAAATCATAGCCAGACTGTACCCAGAATCCTCAAACAACATTTCTTTTTTAACTGGGCTCCATTTTCAACATGAAAACAAATAATTAGGGAATATTTCAACAACCAAAACCGTCAACTTCCTGGAGAGAGACTGAACTTGATCATGTTCATCATCACCGGTTTGATCCTCCAGGCCTGTCCGTAACCACCAATATCTGGAAGGAATACTCAGGGCTATACAAATGACTCAGGCAAATTCTCAAATCTCTACTGGCTTACGAGGAGAAAGCTTCATTTTAGATTTTATCAAAGATTGGAATAAGAGGTTTTTCAGATTAAATCCTCAGATATCCTAAAACTCAAGTCAAAATTTTAATTTCTCACAGAACTTGTTTGTAAAGATTGGCTTAGATCACATATTTCCTGCAAGCAGGACTGCCAGTTGCCCTCTCTCTGCATACTCAACTTTACAGAAGGGATCAGACAAGTGAGGCAGGACCCAACATCATGCAGATCTTGCACCTGATAAATACTAAAAGTAAGGCTCATCCATCCTGAGGGGAGAATGGAGGTGGGGAGAGGCTGAAAAGAAGAGAAGCAAAGAGTACAGCGGTCCCTGTAAACTCAGACTGGGGGGTTCAGAAAGCAGCTCGTCTGGGGGTGCTCGACTGCATGCCAATGCACAGGGGGCCAATGAAGGAGCCCTACCATCCAACTCCTTCTCAATGGAGTCCATCCTGTGCGTAACTTCATCCTGAAGAGATTCCACATGGGTCAGCAGGTTAAACTGCCACTGGTGCTGGGAGCTCAGCAGCCCCTCTCCACCTCTGTCCAGCAGCTTCCGAGCAGGGGCTTCTTCTGGTAGGGCCTTTTTGGAGACATATTCCTTCACCTGGGGATGCAATGGCATGGAAATTACTGAATGGAGATAGCCCCTGGCCCATTTTTCAACCAGCCAGCATTTCCAGCCACCTGAAATACTAGCTGCAGTTTCAATACTCCAAATCCCTACCTCCCTTTCCTATTTCCCACTTAGGAACTGGGCAGGAGCTTGCCCACTGTACCAATTCCAACTACCTCAGGGTAGCACTCTAGCTCAGGGGACCCACAGCTGCTTCCTACTGACTGGGCCAATGTCCTAGCCTAAAGTAAGCCTCACAGAATGGCTTCCAGAGCCCTGAGAGGTGATTAGAGCAGGGCTAGTGCAGACAAGGGTTAGTACACGGGAGTCACACCAACGCGTTTCAAGTCTCAGCTCCATCTCCTGCGAATGTGCGAGTCTGGATGGACTACTTCATGTCTCTGAGCCTCTGCTTTCTCGGTGGGAGGATGGGGGTACTAAAACCTATTTGGAAGGTTCATGAGGATGAAATAGGGTAAGGCACATAAAAGCAAGGCCAGCTTACAGTCAGCTTACCATCAATGGAAAAGACTGTTAGCCCTGGTTGCTTTGCTGAGGCCCAGTATTTCCTGGCTTTGTTTTATGTGCCAGATACCTCTAGGAAACCTGCCTGATCCACAGGACCACAAACCTTTTCTAGGATTTGGTAACTCAACCTTTCATTCATCCATTTGAAATGAAATAGATTCTAGCCAATATTTATTTAGTACTTACTATGTGCAAAACTGAGGGATTTTACTGAGGGATTTTCACAAATATGTTCCACAGTAACTGAGGGGGCTTCACTGGCCCCATTCTACAGGCGAGAAAACAGGTCTGATCAGGAAAGTGAAGTAACCCGCTCAGAATCACACAGTAAGGGGCTGAGCTCAGAATTGAAACTGCGTCTGTCTCAAAAGACTGTGTTCTTACCACCTTGCCCAACACCGTTTAGACATAGTCAAGGGCACAAGGATGCATGAGATACAATCCCCTCCCTTGAGGGGCTTGTAATCTAGGATCCCCTTGGCACCATGCAGCAATGTATTTAACACTGGTGACACCAACCTGCAGGAGAAAGTCTGGGAAGTAAGGATGATGAGACAGAGAAACTCTCAAATCATACAAAGCCTCACTGACAACTGAGGACAGGGCACAATGAGCCTAGTGAGCAGTTAGAGATGAAAACACCGGCAACGAGGTGATACAAGGGGGTTCTAGAAGAGAATGACTTGAATAACAAAAAACCAAAAGTGGCTCTTGGGAAAACTGATGAAACCAGCAATATTTTGACAAAGTGTACCATTTTTACCACAGGGCTTCAAAGTTAAAAGTCAAAATAAAGCTATCATACAACTGGATTGAAAAAATTCTGCCTAACAAAACATTTGACTCATTGTTTGCTCATGCTAAGAATTAACATCTAGGTGCAATTATAATGCAAACTGCCTTAAAGAAAAGATGAGTTTTGCTAATCCATATCTCCTTGCTACTTCCCACCTCTCCCTCCCTCTGCACCCGCGCCCCCCACCCCACGTGCCACACTTGACTATGCCATTTTGTGGGTGCTTCCTGGAACCAAGGATCTTTGGCTTAAGTGGGCTCTCCTGACTTTGCACCCATTTTGGCAAACCAAAACATATCTATGGTAAGCAAATTTAAATACAGTTTTATTAATAAATATCTTCCATAGAGCATTCAAACTAGGAGGATAACTTGCAAGCATTCACGCAATGAATGAAGAACAAGTACAAGGCAGCCACATACCTTTGGGGAGCCGGGTTTGGGGTCACTGTCCCCCTTGCTCCTGTCTTGGTCTAGAGGCCAGCCCAGGCGCGGGGAAAGGGAATCATCGCCGTTCTCATGGAGGGGGTTGACCGCATCGTCGAGGGCAGAGCCCCTCGTCTCCACCACCAGCTTCTGCTCCACGGCAGGGTAATAGGCGCGGGGCTTCTGGTAGCAATGCTCACTGGTGATATAGGATTCCTCCACAGAACGCGGCAGGGGCAGGGCCAGGGGCCTGGGCTTCTCCACTGCCCCGTTCAAAGTTCTATAGCTTGGAGCTTCCTCCTTGCTCCTGGTGTCAGTGACAGGGATGTTTCTGAAATGAGATCTCCCCTCCCCTGAGTGCTGTTTCCAAGGCTGGCACCACAGCGGCAGATCAGGATGCTCCCGGCTTCTGTTGAGAGGACAAAGAGGACATGGGCTTTGGAGTAACTGGCACCATTGCAGGGGTTCTCAATTCCTAAATACTCTCCCAGTAGGGACAGCAGCTCCACCTGGGCCATCTGACCACACACTACCATTTGCTAAACAAGAGCGAATGTGAATCCGTGGTCTCCTAGGAGACCACTCCTTAGTGAGCTCCCACTGTGGTCACACACAGTGAGTGGGACTGGACTCTCAGTCAGAAGACCTGACTGGATTTCAACTCTGGGACAACTCACTCAACCAGCATCATTCCTACTTCCTCCTCTGTGAAACTGGGCTAATTATCTGTCTGATCTGTCTGCTATTGTAAACCAAAAATAAAATTCTAAGCCCCTCAACCAACCTGAATGGACCCCTCCTCTTGGCCAAGAGCATTCCAACATTAAACTGAAACACTAGTTCAGGCCATGATGGGAAGGGAGTCAGACAAGCCACATTATACCCTTCTCCCTTTGGAATTCATGCACAACTGACCAGCATTAACATTAAAACGGGCCGGGGGCGGTGGCTCACACCTGTAATCCCAGCACTTTGGGAGGCCGAGGCAGGAGGATCACGAGGTCAGGAGATCGAGACCATCCTGGCTAACACGGTGAAACCCCGCCTCTACTAAAATACAAAAAAAATTAGCTGGACGTGGTGGCGGGTGCCTGTTGTCCCAGCTACTTGGGAGGCTGAGGCAGGAGAATGCCGTGAACCCAGGAGGCAGAGCTTGCAGTGAGCCAAGATTGCGCCACTGCACTCCAGCCTGGGCGACAGCAAGACTCCGTCTCAAAAAACAAAACAAAACAAAACAACAACAACAACAAAACATTAAAATAGAGACCCTCAGACTGACAAAACAGACTGTAGCAATTAAGATACCAACATAACAGATAGCAGGTACTGAAAGAAATCAAAGTATTTTACCCCAAAATATATTTCTTTGACATATTTTGAACTAGCCCTGGAAGCTGTCTCTTGTGGGGAAATCTACATTCTATAGAGAACCTCCTTTCCTTTCCAGGTCCTTTCCTGATCCAGGAGAAAATTAAGGAAGAGTCTGGCACCTTTTTAGGTCTGATAAGAAACATTTACAATCTATTCTCTCTGAAGCCTGCTACCTGGAGGCTTCATCTACATGGTAAGAACCTTGGTCTCCACAACCCCTTATTTTAACCCAGACACTCCTTTCTTTCTTTCTTTTTTTTTTTTTTGAGACGGAGTTTCGCTCTTGTTGCCCAGGCTGGAGTGCAATGGTGCGATCTCGGCTCACCACAACCTCCACCTCCCAGGTTCAAGCGATTCTCCCTCCTCAGCCTCCCAAGTGGCTGGGATTACAGGCATGCGTCACCATGCCCAGCTAATTTTGTATTTTTAGTAGAGATGGAGTTTCTACATGTTGGTCAGGCTGGTCTCGAACTCCCAACCTCAGGTGATCCGCCCACCTCGACCTCCCAAAGTGCTGGGAGCCCAAAGGCGTGAGCCACCAAGCCTGGCGACTGGCCTTTAGATAATAACTTGACTCTTTAGATAATAACTTAACTCTTTCAACCAATTGCCAATCAGAAAATCTTTGAATCTACCTATGACCTGGAAGCCCACCCACCCCTCAAGTTGGTCTGCCTTTCTGGACCCAGCCAATGTACTTCTTATATGTATTGATGTCTTATGTCTCCCTAAAATGTGTGAGACCAAGCTGTATGTAGCCTGACCACCTTGGGCTCATGTTCTCAGGACTTCCTGAGGGTGTCTCACAAGTCAAGGTCCTCATATTTGGCTCAGAATAAATATCTTCAAGTATTTTACAGAATTTGACTCTTTTTGCCAACACCATCAAACACTGAGTTTCATAACAATTAAGTGAATTAATGGTGGTAAAGTGCTCTTCAAATGTGACTTACTAAAAATAACCTTAACTTATTAATAAACAGTCACAATGATCCCAGCATGTAATGGCATTTGATTACAAAAATGCAATGATTACCCAGGGGTTAAAAAAATAAAATCAACTGTCCTTTATGTATAGGTCATTAATGATAAAGCTTCTAAAAATTATTCTGAAAATTTATTCGCACCATTCCAAAGAAAAAAGTTTGTTATTAAAGAAAAGAACAGGGATTCTTATCCTTTTTAGGGCCAGACTCCTGTGAGCATCTACTGAAAGCTGTGCCTCCATGTATGTGCACATAAAATGCTGTGGATGCCTTCCTGTACCTTCCTGTGAAAGTGGAAGTGGTCATATACATGAAGGCATAGAGCGATGTTACAGAACTAAAATTCTGCTCCCAAGGGCCTGCAACTATCCCGTCTCAGCTCTCCCACTCCAGCAATCCCATACCACTGCTAGCCACTAAGGAAGAGGGGAAACAATTGGCATCAATTGTTTGGGATACCTCCAGACAGGGTATCAGCCTGTCCCAGGAGCCTACCCAGGACCCAGACACACCACTAAAACTGCTCAGGGGAAATGGGAGTCATTGTTAACTTTCAGGTCCACTACCTGTTAACATGGAACACACGAACCATAGTACAGACCTGCTCTTTATTAAAAAAACCATTAAAGTCTCTGCTTCCTCCCACCTACAATTTTCATCCTTCCAACTGCGATCTGAAGGTGCTACTTCTCGCAAGCATGACCCTGCCATTTCCTTGTAAGCCCTGTCAGTCATGAAGAAGGTAAGCACAGCCATCCAGGCCATGTTTTTTATGATGACAGATGCTCTGAAGTTACTCCCAGTTTTATTGTTTGTCTTCGAAAATAAATTCACCAGGTCACTGGGGAACAATATTTCTGAGAATAAAGACCCAGAGCCCATGACAACAGAGACCATCCATGAATACAGAGACATACTGGGGCCACCTTCCCCTTTCCCAGGATCTTTTCTCCATTTGTAAGAAGTACCAAGATCTTCCTATGCCCTCTTCTGAATTGCTAGAAGACAGATTTAATTCTACTACAAACAAAGTAATTTCTCTAAAGATGGAGGATCTAGATGAGGATTCAGAAGGGACAAGGGGCTAGGCACAGTGGCTCATGCCTGTAATCCCAGCACTTTAGGAGGCCGAGGCAGACAAAGCACTTGAGCCCAGGAGTTCGAGACCACCCTGGGCAACATGGCAAAACCCAGTCTCTACTAAAAATATGAAAACTAGCCAGGTGCGGTGGTACATGCCTGCAATCCCAGCTACTGGGGAGGCTGAGGCATAAGAATCGCTTGAACTCGGGAGGCAGAAGTTGTAGTGAGCCGCGATCATACCACTGCACTCCAGCCTGGGTGACAGAGTGAGACCCTTGTCTCAAAAACATAAAAAAAGAAAGGGCAAGGCTTCAGAATATGGGCCAGGGCCAGGAACACTGGCATTTCTGTAAGAAAAAAGAGAACAGCATCTGACAGAACCCTCAAATGAAAAGAAATGCAGGCGCCTATAGTCCCAGCTACTCAGGAGGCTGAGGTGGGAGGATAACAATTATTATTTTTAAAAAGTTCAGCCCTATTAAGACTGTCGAGAAGAAAATAATAAAAATAAAAGAAATATGAGCCAGACACAGTGGCTTACACCTATAACCCCAGCACTTTGGGAGGGCAAGGCAGGTAGATCACTTGACCAGCCTGGGCAACACAGAAAGACTCCATCTCTTAAAAAAAAAAAATTTTTTTTTAAAGAAATATAGCTAAGTTTACAATCAGGAGCAGCCCCTGAGGTTTCCCAGGCACTCACGTGGACCACCATCCACCTACTTCATTTAATTGCTGCCATCTCATTAAAAACAAATTCATTTGGTTTACATGGGGTTACGTTTTCCTGTTTTATGAAATGTGAGGAAATAGCTAGTCTCTGACATCCTATCCAGGGCCGTCATTTGGTTCAGTTCACCTCAACAGATTCTGCCACAGCAACTGCTAATTGCCCCAGCATCCAACCTCTCCTCCTTTTATCCCCACCCCCACCCCTACTTCTAAGTATAAGCAGGGCCTGTGGCCACCTGCCCAGCCTGCCCTGCCATTAGGCCTGTCCATGAAACTATTTGCCCTCCCTCTTCTTTCTCTCTTTTCCCCCTCCTGGGGACTGGGGTAGAGCTGAAATGCAGGTGAAACTGCTTCAACCATGCAAATGGGGGGTATCCCAAGAGAATGCCAGAGCAATAAGACAAAAGGAACCTAAGACCATGCAGATAAGGGGAACCCTAAGAGAATGCTGGAGCCGTAAGACAGAAGGAAACAAAGTTCCCAACCCAACGGATGGAATCCTGGAGAAAGGTCTCCTACCTAGCCTAGATCCCTGCCTAGCCTTGAACCATTCATTTATATGAGAAAGAAACTTCTGTTTTGTTTGAGCCTCTATGTGGGGGGTCCTTGTTATAGCACCTCAGCTTTTACCCAAACCAACGCAGACCCAATGTTCCCTCCTCCACCACCTTTGTCACGCAGATCTTGAAGCCAGGCCTCTGTGTGCCAGAGAGCACAAGAGGAAGCAGATTCCCATCTCACCATCTCAGGGTCCTGATACTCCACTCTGCCTGACACCAGGCCTCCTCTAGGCCTGATCAGCACAAAGGAAATCCTATCCAGGAGCAGCCTATCAAGTCTTAACTCACTCATCGCACTAGTCTGCCACTGTTTACAACTTAAATAAAAGCAGTCCCTGACACAGACTATACTAAAACCAAAAGAAAGCTCACAAGGTCATGCAGTATCACATAGAGAGACAGTTCGAAAAGTACCTGACAGAGCCAGGATTTGGATTCTAGTCCAGGCTCCACCCATGGAAACCATGGAAGAGGCCTACCCCACTCAAGGCCCTGTTGCTGTATTTGGTAAAGTAGGGTAGGTTATAACAGCCAAGAGACCGACCGGGCACAGTGGCCCACGCCTGTTATCACAGCACTTTGGGAGGCCGAGATGGGCAGATCAGTTGAGGCCAGGAGCTCGAGACCAGCCTGGCCAACATGGTGAAACCCCATCTCTACTAAAAATACAAAAATTAGGCCAGGCGCAGTGGCTCATGCCTGTAATCTCAGCACTTTGGGAGGCTGAGGCAGGTGGATCGCAAGGTCAGTAGATCGAGACCATCCTGGCTAACACGGTGAAACACTGTATCTACTAAAAATACAAAAAAATTAGCCGGGCGTGGTGGCAGGCGCCTGTAGTCCCAGCTACTCGGGAGGCTGAGGCAGGAGAATGGCGTGAACCCAGGAGGCAGAGCTTGCAGTAAGCCAAGATCATGCCACTGGACTCCAGCCTGGGTGACAGAGCGAGACTCGGTCTCAAAAAAAAAAAAAAATTATCCAGGTGTGGTGGCATGTGCCTGTAATCCTAGCAACTCAGGAGTTTAAGGCAGGAGAATCGCTTGAACCCAGGAGGTGGAGGTAGCAGTGAGCCAAGATCACGCCACTGCACTCCAGCCTGGGTGACAGAGCGAGGCTCTGTCTCAGAAAAAAAAAAAAAAGAATGAGCTGAGTTGCTTGAGCCCAGGAGCTTGAGGCTGCAGTGCTTGATGATCGCACCTGTGAGTAGCCACTGCACTTCAGCCTGGGAAATAAAGCAAGACTCCATCTCTTGTTAAAAAAAAAAAAAAGGAATATTTAGCATGAAAGGGATAAACAAAATGTGGCATACACATAAAACAAGTTATTACTCAGCCTTAAAAAGGGAGGAAATTCTTACATATGCTATAACACGGATGAACTTTGAGGACACTATGCTAAGTGAAATAAGCCAGTCACAAAAAGACAAACACTATATGACTCCACTTACATGAGGTCTCTAGAGAAGTCAAATTCAGAGAGGCAGAAAGTAGAATACTGGTTGTCAGGGGCTTTGGGGAAAGGGAAATGGAGAGCTGTTGGTAAAGGGTATAGAACTTCAGTTTCACAAGGGTTTTAGAGACTGGTTGTAAAACAACATGAATGACAACTGTGCAGAGCTGTACACTTAAAAATGGTTAAGATGGGGCCGGGTGCAGTGGCTCACACCTGTAATCCCAGAAATTTCGGAGGCCGAGGTGGGTGGATCACCTGAGGTCAGGAGTTTAAGGCCAGCCTGGCCAACATGGTGAAACCCTGTCTCTACTAAAAATACAAAAATTAGCCGGGTGTGGTGGCGTGCGCCTGTATTCCCAGCTACTCAGGAGGCTGAGGCAGGAGAATCACTTGAATCTGGGAGGCAGAAGTTGCAGTGAGCCGAGATCACACCACTGCACTCCAGCCTGGGCGACAGAGCGAGACTCTGTCTCAAAAAAAAAAAAAAAAAAAATGGTTAAGATGGTAAATTTTATATTATGTATATCTTACAGCAATTAAAAACAAATAACTCAGCCAGGTACAGTGGCTCGTGCCTGTAATCCCAGCACTTTGGGAGCCCGAGGTGGGTGGATCACTTGAGGTCAGGAGTTCAAGACCAGCCTGGCCAACATGGTAAAACCCTATATCTACAGAAAACACAAAAAATTAGCCAGGCATGGTGGCATGCGCCTGTAGTCCCAACTACTTGGGAGGCTGAAGTGGGAGAATCGCTTGAACCCAGGAGGTGGAGGCTGCAGTGAGCCATGATCTCACCACTGCACTCCAGCCTGGGTGACAGAGTGAGACTCCATCTCAAAAAAAAAAAAAAACACTCAGAACTGTATGCCAAAACAAAAAACAAACCAAAATACACACACCATGTATTGATTCTGGTGGTGGCTTCACGGCTGCATACAATGTCAAAATTCAATGAACTCTTTTTTTTTTTGAGACGGAGTTTCGCTCTTATTGCCCAGGCTGGAGTGCAATGGCACGATCTCAGCTCACCACAACCTCCGCCTCCCGGGTTCAAGCGATGCTCCCGCCTCAGCCTCCCAAGTAGCTGAGATTACAGGCGCACACCAGCACGCCTAGCTAATTTTTGTAATTTCAGTAGAGACAGGGTTTCACCATGTTGGTCAGGCTGGTCTCGAACTCCTTACCTCATGATCCGCCTACCTCGGCCTCCCAAAGTGCTGGGATTACAGGCATGAGCCACCATGCCCGGCCTCAATGAACTCTTAAAGTGGATGAACCTAATTATATGTAAGATATTACTCAATAAAGTTTTTTTTTTTTTAAAGAATGTTTATCCTGAAACTGATAATTTTTAGTAAAGGTCTCAAACTCAGTTTTATGATTTGATTGCTTTGGTAGCTTTCCAATTTCTCAGATTTACTCAGCCCCCAGACCATGCCAAACAGACTGCTCCCAGCACTGCAGGTGCCACACTTACTGCAAGATGCTCATCTTGAGCTGCAGGCCATGCAGAACCTCAATCACTCTCTGCACATCACCAAGAAGCTGGTGGGTGGCCACGATCTTCTTGGCATTCTGATGGGAGTAGTTCTCTTCTAGAAATGCCAGGCCATGCATATGTCCCCTGCTCAGCCACTCCTTGTCATACCAGTACTTGAAGCCAGGCCTCTGACCTACAGCAGTGACAACAAGAGGGTTAAAACAAGGCCTGAAGGAAACCCAGGCCATTTCATCACTCTCACACAATTATCATACCAACTACTGGAAGAACAGATTAGTATACTCATTTTGTTCATTTATTCATCCAGTGTACATTTTCTTGGCACCTACCATATGCTGGGCTCTCTATTAGGTAGTGGGGATAAGGTAGTGAATAAGGCATGTACTTCCTCATTTCCTGGAACTGGCCAGAGGTGAGCTGGGCACCTAGATTATCTCCAAATTTATATCATAATATTCTCTCCCCTACTTAAAACCTTCCACTGCCTCCTACTGCTCAAAGGAGAATACCCAAAGCCCCAACTCTCTAACTCTGGCTTACTGAGGCCCACAGGACCCAGTTCCTTCCTGTCTTCCCCTCCATACCTTTACACTGGCCTCATTTCAGTTTCTGAAACACATCAAACTCTTTCCAGCCTCAAGACCTTCACTTGCGCATCCCTTCTGTCTGCAGCACTATTCCCTAAGCCTTTGCAGGGTTGGCTCCTTACCACCTCCTCAGAAAGGCTTTTATTTTTTTCCTGCTTTGTTGGCAGGGTCTCACTCTGTTGCCCAGGCTACAGTGCAGTGGCATGATCATGGCTCACTGCAGCCTCAGCCTCCCTGGGCTCAGGTGATCCTCCCACCTCAGCCTCCCGAGTATCTGGGACTACAGGTGTGCACCACCATGCCTGGCTAATTTTTCTTTCTTTCTTTCATTTTTTTTTGATGGGGTTTTGCCATGTTGCCCAGGAGTGGGGCCTTCTGCTACTTCCCAAAGTTGAGAGCATCATCAGTGCCTCAAGTCGTCTTATCAATTTTCCCGTCACGGCATTCATCACTACCTTACACAGTCTTGTTTACTTAACTTGTTTTAACTTCTGTTTCTGGCTCCCAACCCAATTAAGAGCCGAAAGAGTAGGAACTATCTTGTTCATGGTTGTATCCCCAGTGCCTGGCAAAAGGCATCTTGAATGGACTTATCAAATGAATGGAAAGATGCCTCAAGTCCCCCTGCAAATGTACCTTCTACCACCTAACTCAACAGATGATCAGGCCCCTTCCCTTCTCTGTACCTGTTATCCATTCATTAGAACAACATAGGAACTGGATGGCTTCAGCCATCCTATTTGTTACAGGGCTCCTTAGGAAGGACTGAAAACAAAAGCACATGTGACTTATCAACATGACCTGCTCCAAAGTCCCAGGGAAAAGCTTTCTACCAGACTGTTGTTCGACTGTCAATATCTATAAAAACCTTGAAACACCCAGGTGATTCCTATTAAGGTCTTTGAGCTACTTCTGGCTTTACTAATACACATGGTGGGGATACACCTTGATTCTGTTAAAACTATTTTTAAGTAGCCTTTAAAAAACGAATCTGTTAAACTTTTGGTCCAGCCCTCTGCAGAGTCAGTCTATAAAGGTAGACCCTGTGGCAGACATGCTGTGCTCAGTTCAAGGAAGAGTCTATTCACAGTATTGGCGATTAAAGTCGTAGAAGTTCAGTAAGTGCACAGGATTTGATGAAGATGGTGTGTGTGACTTCTAAAGAAGGAAAAGTAGAGAGAAAGACACAGTAGGGAAAAAAAGATTTTTAAAAGGTATGCTAAGGAGCCTTCAGGAATATATGGGGGAACCCCAGAGGCAGCTGCTGCAGGCAGTGCCTAGAGCAGCAGGATTCAGAGCTGCACTACCTGTTTTACAAGGCAAAGGTATGAGACAACTGGTTCTCATCGCCTGTCTGGCATTAGCTGGTGGCGTGATCTTGGGCCAGTCATGTCCCTTCTGGACTTGTGTTTGTTCACCTGTCAAATCTTCTGACTATTCTTTCCTTGGGATAAAGGGACAAGTGGAGGCAGATGCTTCTAGTACAAGGAGACAGTGTCACAACAGAGGCCTTCAGGCCCAGAGGGGACCTGCATGCTGTTAAATGAACTGGTGGCCAGTCCCTCCCTAGACAACCAACAAAATCAAGAGATCTGGCTCTGCAAACCAGTTCTAATTCCAATTTGCTTTATGAGGAAAGTCAACTGTATCCTCAAGGATCAATTTCTTCCTCATAAGCAAAACTGGGAGTAGGAGAACCAGGCCCACCTTATCGGACAGAAAGGAGTAACGGAAGCAGAGGCTCTCAAGCACTGTCTAGCTCTAAAGGAATCAGGGGACTAGAGCTGAGGGAGAACCTTACAAGTGGTAATGGGAGACAATGTCACCATCCCATGGAAACCAAGACAATGAACTGCATATTTACAATCCACCCCTTCTAGAAAGGAGCAATCAAGAGCCACAGGTGACCCCTATAGCCATGGAACTAACTGATCCTGCTAAGGAATTAAGTCACTGCTCAGGGTGGCAACAGGCTCTACCCAACCATGCCTTCCTCCTTCCCCTCAAGGGCATTTCTCCCTTCAGGATGGCAGTGATGTGATGAAGGGCAGATGTTGCCACAGGGGGCAAAGGCAAGTTTCTAACCCTCCAATAGCCCCCAAAAGCCAAAGACAGAGCCCACACGCCCATCCTCATGAGTCCTCAAGAAAAGGAAAAGGTGCCACTTCGGCAGCACATACACTAAAACAGGAACAATACAGAGAAGATTAGCATGGCCCCTACACAAGGATGACACTCAAACTTGTGAAGTTTCTACATTTTTCTACACAGCTTCAATCAGGCAGGATGAAAGTTCTGGAGATCTGCTGTACGACATTGTGCTTATAGTTATTAACAACAATACTGTATTGTTGAGGGTAGATCTCATGCTTTTTTTTTTTTTTTTTTTTTTTTGAGACGAAGTTTCGCTCTTGTTGCCCTGGCTGGAGTGCACTGGCATGATCTCGGCTCACTGCAACCTCCGCCACCTGGGTTCAAGTGATTCTCCTGCCTCAGCCTCCCAAGTAGCTGGGGTTACAGGCGCCTGTCACCATGCCCAGCTAATTTTTGTATTTTTAGTAGAGATGGAGTTTCACCACATTGGCCAGGCTGGTCTCGAACTCCTGATCTCAGTTGATTCACCCGCCTTGGCCTCCCAAAGTGCTGGGATTACAGGCGTGAGCCACTGCGCCCGGCCTCATGCATTTTTTTTAAACCATAATTAAAGAAAAGGAAAAGTTCTAGCTCAAGGCCAGGCCTTCCACTAGGTGGGCCCCTTCACACGTGTGCTCTTATTGCTACGTTCAGGATAGCTGGCCACAAGGCAGGATAGCAACAGAGGCGAGGAGGAGCTGGAGTCTAGCCGATGCTGAAGAAATGAGTCTCAAGACCGCAGACATTTAGAATGTGTCACAGCCAGCTGTGCCAAGGAAAAGGCTACATACTGTTATATCCCTGACTCCAGAAATCTCTACCTGGAGGGTCTTGGCAAACATAACAGGTGTATTTCTCGGGCACATTTTCTTCCAGTAATCCCATGCAGACCCCATGCTGCCAGCACTGGCACTCTTCACACTGTTAGAATTAAAGAAGCAACAAAAATTAAACTCAGAAGGTGTTCTCCATCCAAAAGTAAGACCCACCTGCTGAGGGGAGGGGCATGGGAGGATAGAAGGAGAGGGGAGGAAGGAGCACTCCCTCCTGACTAACGTGGAACTGAGCTGCTGCCACACATCTGGAACTGCACTGTCCAGTATGGTAGCCACTAGCCACATGTGGCTCTACATTGAAATTAACAAGGTAAGCTAAAAATTCAGTTCCTCAGTCCCACGAGTGACATCTTAAAGCTGAGTTTGAATTATGGCTCAGACACTCATTAGCTGTGTGACTTTGCACAGGTTAGTTCTCCTGGGCTTTATTTTCCCCATCTGCAAAATGGGATACACAATTCCTACCCTCCTCCTGGGGCTGTTTGTGAAGATTCAATGGGTCATATGTAAAAGCTCCTATTACAGAGCCCAGCACATAGCTTTATGTAATAAGCTACTATTAATACTATTAACCACTAATGAGCAAACCAATTCACTAAGACCCCTGCTGGAGTAATCATGGGTTAGTACTTTGCATTTATTCTCTCTAAACCTTACCAAAGATCACATAGCTATTGAAAGGCAAAGGTGGATAAGAACATAACCTGACTCGTTGCTAAACCAGTTCTTTCAACCCAAGGCTCCACTTCCTTCCCTGAGTATTGAGGGGACAGGGGGAGAGGGCCAGAAGGCAGAGAGGGAAAGGAGGGAGTTGACAATGAGGGTTGCACTGGGAGACATGTGGACAGCCTGAGGATAGTAGGTCTGAGAGCTAAGGGTCCAGAGGAGGGAATGAAAAGGAAAGGCGAACTCCCGAGGAGATACTAGGGCACTTCAAGCAATTCCAAACCAGGACCCTAAACCTTTAACTACCCAACCAAACAAATTAGCCCTAGAAGGTGGACAGTGAGCTTCCTGACATGACCTTGATGGTGGCCCACCAGCCTGGCCACAAGGGACTAGAAATCCAGAGCTCAGATGGTCCTCAACCACTGGGAGTCACATAGGTCCTGGCATCAAGAGGGCTTCCCTGAGCAGATATAAGGCCTCTAGGAAGTTAATCACATCAGAATCAATGTGGGCAGAGCGGGAAGACAGGCTTTAGATATCTGTTTTAGATTCTTCAATTTACAGATGAGGAAACTAAGGCTCAGAGAAGATATGTAAAGTGACAAAAAGGCGGTCAGTAGCAGAAAACAGACTAACAATTAAAAATGAAAGTCTGTCGGCCGGGCGCGGTGGCTCACGCTTGTAATCCCAGCACTTTGGGAGGCCGAGGCGGGCGGATCACGAGGTCAGGAGATCGAGACCATCCTGGCTAACACAGTGAAACCCCGTCTCTACTAAAAATACAAAAAAAATTAGCCGGGCGTGGTGGCGGGCGCCTGTAGTCCCAGCTACTCGGGAGGCTGAGGCAGGAGAATGGCGTGAACCTGGGAGGCGGAGCTTGCAGTGAGCCGAGATTGCGCCACTGCACTCCCACCTGGGCCACAGAGCGAGACTCCGTCTCAAAAAAAAAAAAAAAAAAAAAAAAATGAAAGTCTGTCTCACCAATGACTTCATGTTTTGAAAACCAGGATTCACCAAAAATGAATCAAATACAGTTCAGTTTCAAAATGGTAACTTTTTTTTTTTTTTTTTTTTGAGATGGAGTCTCACTCTGTCACCCAGGCTGGAGTGCAGTGGGACAATCTCGGCTCACTGCAACCTCTGCCTCCCAGGTTCAAGCCATTCTCCTGCCTCAGCCTCCTGAGTAGCTGGGACTATAGGCACATGCCACCATGCCCAGCTAATTTTTTGTATTTTTAGTAGAGATGGGGTTTTACCGTGTTAGCCAGAATGGTCTCGATCTCATAACCTCATGATCCGCCTGCCTCGGCCTCCCAAAGTGCTGGGATTATAGGCATGAGCCACCGCGCCTGGCCAATGATAACTTTTTCCATGTGCGTGTAGCTAAAACACATTATTCCTTTAAATTAAGAAATGAATGAGAATAATAAACAAACTAAAAGATAAAATACCTAAGAATAACCATAAGCATGTATTGCCTCTCTAAAAAAAAAAAAAATGTAAATACTATTTGAAGAACACACACAGAGACTTAAGTCAATGTACAGTGCACCCTGTTCCTGGACAGCAAGAGTTAACATATGGATATCAATTATCCTTGGGTTAATTTATAAAAAGAATGTAGTCCCGGCCAAGCACAGTGGCTCATGCCTGTAATCCCAGCCAGCACTTTGGGAGGCCGAGGCGGGGGGATCACTTAAGGTCAGAAGTTCAAGATCAGCCTGGCCAACATGTTTGAAACCCCATCTCCACTAAAAATACAAAAATTAGGGAGGCATGGTGGCAGGCGCCTGTAATCTCAGCTACTTGGGAGGCTGAAGCAGGTTCAAAATTGCTTGAACCTAGGAGGCGGAGGTTGCAGTGAGCCAAGATCACGCTACTACACTCCAGCCTGGGCAACAGAGCGAGATTCCATATCAGAAAAAAAAAAAAAAAGTCTCAATAAAATAATAAATTAATAGCTTCAGAACTAGAAAAAATTCTAAAATTAACAGCTGGGAAATGTGTGAAAAAGAAAGAGCAATATGGAGACACTAGCCATACCAGATATTTTAAAAATATTATAAAGGTACAATAATTAAAATAGAATTGTACGAGCAAATATACAGACAGATGAATCGCTGAAAGAGAGAACCAGAAAAGGATTCAAATGCATTTAGAAATGAAGTAAATAAAGGTGGCATTTCAAACAGTGAGGTATGGTATTAGTACAATGGGGAGCCATAGTTCTCACTATATACCTGGCAAAATTTCAGGTGGATCAAATATTTATATAGCTTAAAAAAAAGAAAAATGGGCCAGGCGCAGTGGCTCTTGTCTATAATCCCCGCACTTTGGGAGGCCGAGGCGGGAGGATATCCTGAAGTCAGGAGTTGGTCACCTGAGGTCAGCCTGGCCAACATGGTGAGACCTCATCTCTACTAACAATACAAAAAATTAGCCAGGTGTGGTGGTACACACCTGTAGTCCCAGCTACTCAGGAGGCTGAGGCAGGAGGATCACTTGAACCCAGGAGAGGAAGGTTGCAGTGAACCAAGATCATGCCACTGCACTCCAGCCTGGGTGACAGAGCGAATCTCCGTCAAAAAAATAAAATAAAATAAAGTAAAATAAAATGTGATCCAACCATTATGCAGAAAATAAAATGGTTTTTAATTTACATATTGCTAAATGAAAAAAGATGTTAAAAATACTATACATGCGGCCAGGCACAGTGGTTTATGCCTGTAATTCCAGAACTTTGGGAGGCCGAGGTGGGCGGATCACCTGAGGTCGGGAATTCAAGACCAGCCTGACCAACATGGAGAAACCCTGCCTCTACTAAAAATACAAAATTAGCCAAGCGTGGTGGTGCATGCCTGTAATCCCAGCTACTCGGGAGGCTGAGGCAGGAGAATCACTTGAACCTGGGAGGTGGAGGTTGTAGTGAGCCGAGATCACACCATTGCACTACCCCAGCCTGGGCGACAAGAGCAAAACTCCATCGCAAAAAAAAAAAAAAAAGAAAAGAAAAGAAAAGAAAATACTATACATAAAATGCAAACATTTGCATTTAGACAAAGAGATGGTTGCAAAGCAATGTGAATGTACTTAACATCACTGACTTGCATACTTAAAAATGGTTATAATGGTAACTTTTAGGCAGGGCAGGGTGGCTCACACCTGTAATCCTAGCACTTTGGGAGGCTGAGGAGGAAGGGTCATTTGAGGCCAGGAGTTTGAGACCAGCCTGAAAAACATAGCAAGATTCCATCTCTACAAAAAAAAATTAAAGAAATTAGCAAGGTGTGATGTTGTGTGCATGTAGTCTCAGCTACTTAGAAGGCTGAGGTGGAACAATCACTTGAGCCCAGGAGCTGGAGGCTGCCATGAGCTGTGATTGTGCCTCTGTACTCCATCCTGGGTGACAAAGCAAGATCCTGTCTCAAAATAGGAAAATATAAAAATAAAAAGGGTAACTTTTAATGTTATGTGTATTTTACCAAAAAATTTTTAAAAGGAAACAATACATTTGCTATTGTTTGTTTAGCCATAGAATGTTTCTGGAAGGATATACAAGAAACTGATAAGGGCTGACTCTACGGAATGGGTAGTTGGGGATAAGGTGGGGATAAGGTATTTCTCTGTGTGCTTTCTGGACTTTGAATTATGTCAGTGCATTAGGTACCAACAAATAATATGAATTTTAAAATAACCAAAACTTTCAAATGGGCTTCTTTGTTTAAATTTTTATTTACTTAATTTTTATTTAATTTCTTGTAGAAACGGGGTCTCTCTATGTTGCCCAAGCTGGTTTTGAACTCCTGGACTCAAGTGATCCTTCCGCTTCAGCCTTCCAAAGTGCTAGGATTACGGGTGTGAGCCACAGTGCTAGGCCATTAAAATGGGCTTCTTTTTAAAACTGCTATAAAATCTTTACTGGAGTTGGACACTTAATACATATTAATACTTGTTGTTGTAGGGCAAAGGTCAGCAAACTACAGCCCATGTGCCAATGCCAGCTTGACTTGTTTTGTAAATAAAGTATTATGTGAACACAGCCATACGCATTTGTTTAGGGGTTTTTGTTTGTTTGTTTTTTGAGACAGGGTCTCACTCTATTGAACAGGTTGTAGTGCAGTGGTACAATCTCATCTCCCTGCAGCCTTGACTGCCCAGGCTTAAGTGATCCACCCACCTCAGCCTCCTGAGAAGCTGGGACTACAAGTGTGCACCATCACAATTAACTAATTTTTGTATTTTTTGTAGAGACAGGGTTTGCCACGTTGCCCAGGCTGGTCTTGAACTCCTGGCCTAAAGTGATCTGCCCACCTCAGCCTCCCAAAGTGCTAGTATTACAGATGTGAGCCACTGCAGCCAACCATACAGGTGAAAATTTGTTTTACATATTGCCTACAGCTGCTCAAAGAAGAATCCAGTAGGTGCAACAAGGCCATATGGCCCTCAAAACCTAAAAATTTATTATCTAGCCATTTAAGAAAAAGCTTAACAAAACATGCTCTACAGCGATTAAAATAATTTAAATATCAAATGTATTTCCTGTTCATTTTTATGTGGTAGCCAGATTTCTCAAATACCGTATTTATTAAGTAGGATTTTAACCTTCCAGTGATTTAAATTAGCACTGGTAAATAAGATAAAATAGTGATATACATGAACAATGTTGATACTACTCATATAATGACAATGATCCAAAAAGTTATTTCTCTATAGTAATACATGCACTTCTAGAAAACACACTCTAAATGTATTCTAGGGTTATTCAAAATATCAATTTAAGGTAAAGATTTAAGAAAAATTTATTCCTGTCTTCCTAATTAGATGGTGAATACATTTTAAAAGTTTAAACTGTATTTGTTCTAGCTAGCTCCCTCTAAACTTATGCCTTTTGATAAAGTTATTGAGTAGAAAAGGTACGTTGCTCACAGTGACAGGACAGTCAGAAACCGTCCCTCCTTAACACAAAGCCAGGTGGGCACTCTTGGTTCAGGTGGACAGCACAGAAAAGTCCTCTGGAACAAAAGCCAAGAAGCTCTGAAGTGAGCTTGAGACACAAGGTCTTGTGGAGCCTGGGAAGCAGGAGATCAAGTTGGCTCCTGACTCTGCCATGCTCATGGTGGCCCCAATTGCCCCGAAATTAGTTTCTTCATATAGCACATAATGGCATATTAACCTCTACCCTCAAACACACCAAGATCCTTGCTACTTATAGAAAAGTCAATAGAGAAAGTACCAGAGTGGATCAGAAATGGGTTACATACTGTTAGACAGAATAGCCCTGCCAGGAGGGACATTCATTACTCACCCACTGAAGATTTTAACAGGCAGATAAAGGGCAAATCTGTCAGACTAACAAGGCCTGGAACTGAGCATATGCTCAAGGATGACAGAGTAGAAACTAAAGATCTTCAACATCCTTTTAAAAACAAACTTAAAAAAAATCTACTAAAAAATGATAGTCTTCATGTTATATAACATTTTTTTTCTTTTCTTTTTTTTGGGGGGGAGGGTGGGGACAGGGTCTCATTCTGTCACCCAGGCTGGAGTGCAACAGAATAACCAGGGCTCGCTGCAGCCTTGAACTCCCAGGCTCAAGTGATCATCCTACTTCAGTCTCTGGAGTAGTTGGGTCTGCTGGCATGCATCACCATGCCCAGCTAATTTTTTAATTTTTTTGTAGAGGTAGGATCTTGCTATGTTTCCAGGGCTGGTCTCGAACTCCTGGGCTCAAGCAATCCTCCCGCCTCTGCCTCCCAAAATTCTGGGATTACAGCATGCCCAACCAACAATTATCTAATAGTAGTCCACAGGGCTTCAGAGAGTCTGCAAAATGTGTGTGTTTTTAAGGTAGGACAATTAAAAAAAAAAAGATGCACACTCAAACATGTTCCAAGCCATATGTTAAGACAATGAAGCCCGCCACCACACATAATTTTGTATTGCTAGGATAGCTCAGTATTATGTTGACCTCAAAACGGAGCTTGTCCTCCCATCTCTGATTAATCAAAGTAACTACACAGCATGCTGTTCAGGAAAAGTCACCCTGACAATGGCCATGTGCATCACGCTTGTCTCACTGTTGTATAACCAAATAGAGAAAAACAAATGAGCCACTGAAGTGCTCCAAGTCAGCAACTGTCTGTCACTCATAATTCTGACAGCATATTAGAATCATGGGAATATGCCCACCATTCACATGTCCGACCTCACAAGTAAAGATTATCCATTTTGAACTTTCAAAACTATTGCTGTTACCTGTTACACATTTTGGGGTTCTATGAAACAGTCCATTAGGAAAAGGGGTTCTGATATTCAAAAATGTTTGAAAACCACTGAACCAAGGTTTAATAAAGGTCTTAAATATCAGGTACCCTTGAATCCCAGAGGTTACTATGAAGGCTATTCAAAAAGACAAGACTCTCCCTCAGCCTAAAGTGTGGGTATGTATGTGTGTATGTACATGCGCATGTCCACTGGTGGTGCTGGGGAAGGGTTGGTCAGCCAGGCTAGATGGTACTATTATGTTTCAAAAACAAATTTTTCTTGTTTCACTTCTCAACTGTAAATGTAAATCCCCGTAGCTAAGGCCGCATAGGGAAAGAGCACTTGACTGGGTGCCCTGGGTTCAAATCATAATCTGATGACTTATTTAATGGTTCTACAACAATGAAAGAAATCATATCTTCGTAATTTTGTTTTCCCAAATAAGTGACTTGAGATCGCCTTGTTAGAGGTGAGATGGTATTTCTGAAAACACTCCAGAAACTTTAAATCACTACTCAGCTGTACCCAGTTACCTTAGCTCCATAGAGTTGCTTTAGTTCTATTAACAAAAAGAGCACGACTGTGGTACATCCATAGCATGGAATACTACCGGACAATAAGAATAAATGACTACTGAAACACACAACAACATGGATGAATCTCAAGGATATTATACAGAGTAAAAAAGGCCTCTCTCAAAAAGATACATACCACGTGATTCCATTAACCAAGAATCATAAATTACATAATTATAGACAGTTGAAACAGTTTAGTGTTTCCAGGGTTAGGGATAAGTATGGCTACAAAGTATGGGTACCAGGAGGGAATCTCATGGTCTTAGTATACCTCAGTACCTTGATTGCGGGAGTGATTACACAAGGCTGTACTTGTAATGAAAGCACACAGAGCTATATGCACACACAAATGAGTATGTGTATATCACTGATAAAATCTGAATAAGCTCTAGTGATTATGCCAATGTCAAATGGTTTTGTAGTTTTGATATCCTACTGTGGGTTTATGGGCTTTTGCCATGGGAGGAAGACCAGCAGAGGAATTCATGGGACTCTCCTGTACACCTCTTTACAATCTCCTGTGAATCTATAATTATTTCAAAATAAAAGTGTTTTCTAAAAGCCCTGGGAAAATAAAAGGCAAAAAAGCAAATACATCTACTCATCTCTAGTTGTTCTGAAAGTTTAAAGAGCTACGGAAAAGTCCCAATGTTTCAAGAAATAAAAGGAAAGGGGATTGTTGAGTATAAAGACAACAAATTCAAAGATGAGAGGAAAAAATGTAACTGTATATTAAGTCAAGATCCAAAAGTGAATTTCAAAAATCCATGCCATGCAGATCACAAGGTCAAGAGTTCAAGACCAGCCTAGCCAATATGGTGAAACACCGTCTCTACTAAAAATACAAAAATTAGCCGGGCATGGTGGCAGGCGCCTATAGTCCCAGCTACTCAGGGGGCTGAGGCAGGAGAATCGCTTGAACCCGGGAGGCAGAGGTTGCAGTGAGCCGAGATTGCGCCATTGCACTCCAGCCTGGGTGACAGAGGGAGACTCCGTCTCAAAAAAAAAAAAAAAAAAAAATTACCATAACAAAAATATTTTGCCAGGCGCGGTGGCTCACGCCTGTAATCCCAATACTTTGGGAGGCCAAGGCAGGTGGATCACCTGAGGTCGGGAGTTCCAGACAAGCCTGACCAACATGGAGAAACCGCTTCTCTACTGAAAATACAAAAATTAGCCGGGCGTGGTAGCACATGCCTGTAATCCCAGCTACTCGGGCAGTGGAGGCAGGCGAATCGCTTGAACCTGGGAGGCAGAGGGTGGTGGTGAGCCGAAATCGCGCCATTGCACTCCAGCCTGGGAAACAAGTGCAAAACTCCGTCTCAAAAAGAAAAAAAAAACCAAACCCATGCCATGCCAACCTACAGTACTGAAAGGGCAAGGAAATAATATTCTATCACAGAAAGCAAGCCAAAGGGGCTGGGCCTGTTTCTCATAATCTCAATAGGCTATACAGATTCTTATTGGACAATGGGCAGCCACCCCCTTTACTGGGAACAATCCCTGAACCCCCATTAACGCTATAATATAACACAGGTGGGCCCCAGGCAGTCTTTTTGCCCCTGTCGATAATCTGTAAGCTCTACTACCACCAGATCAGACAACTAGACCAGGGGAGAGCATTTGATCCATAACAAACCTCTTTCCCCTCTGGCCACAGGTGACTGTTCCAAAAACTAATATCTGATCTAAATTTGGCTGGAATTACTTACTCAGAAATTTAGAACTGGGACTAAGATTCTGACCTTGGTCTACCTAGCCTCTTGAACACAAAAATGTAAAATTGGGGCGAGGCCAAAGGTGGCCATTTTGCATTTTCCAAGAAAATAAGCAAGGAATAAAATAAAAAAGAACCAAAAGGACTCCAGAGAAGCAGGAAACAAGGCAGACCAAGGCCCTCAAGATGGAATTCCAGGTTCTGAGCCTGAAAGCAGCCCTGCCTCTGAGCCCTAGGACCCAGTCTATTTTCCCAACAATATTTGTACTTGCCCCTAAAAAAAAATCCTAACCAATATAACCATGACTTTTAAAAACTCAGCTTCCCAAGCCAGTTGGGCAGCTGTCAAGACACCCAGGGAACTTGTGACACCCTTAGGAGCCAGCCAGCCAGCGCCACCTCTCCCAGAACTGCAATTTACAGACAAGGGACAGGGCAGGCAGGTGCTGGCCAGGCATGGTTTCCCCAAGCAGGTAAGGAGGTCCCACCCACCACAGGCACATCTCAGAGATGAAGATGACAGACTCAAATGTCAGGAAAATAAAGAAAAAGAAACATAGAAGTTATAAAGCCAGCCTGCATGACTTTGGATCTTAAAGAAAATTTACCTCAAAGAGAAGATAAGAGTCCATGGGAAGATTAAACTGCCACTCCAAAGATTTCAGTCCCTGCTGTTCAACTCCTCACTTTGTGACCACAGGCAAGGCCCTTCCCATTTGCGGGTCCCAGCTGCCTCAAGCAGAGCATGAGAGGTTTAGACTCAGTGATCCCTAAAGTCCTCTCTTACTCCATCAATGGACTATGTATGGCAGCCTGGAACTCTGAGGAAGCCAAACGAAAAAGAGAAGCTCAGTCTGCTGCCGTTCGTGCTGTGTTTCTGGGGCTCTGCTATGACTTGCCATTGTTGCTGGCCTCAAAATTCCCTCCAAGGACCAGTTTGTGCTTCTCTAGACCTGTTTCCTGGAAGCTCTGCCTACCTGAATCATGAAGTCATTTTCCTCCTGGACCTCACAGATGCAGCGGACCACCTCGAAGTCATAGCGGTCATCCCCATCAAGTTCCTCATCTGGGTTGGTGGTCACATCCACATCTTGGCCATACTCATCATCACTCCAGAGAAAGCTCTCAGAAGAGGACTCACTCAAATTATCCTCCTCTACGAGGAAAGGGAAAACAACAGTTACTATTTTAGGTTATAAAATTAAAAAACCTTTGATTGTCAAGAATGAAAAATGACATTATAGTCCCATACCTCCAAACAAGAACATTCATAGGGCAAGGAAACGAGGATGCCAATCTGTCCTTGGATCTGTCATTTAGTAACAGCCCAAACGAAGCATGCTGCCTGGCAGTGAACTCAACTCCACTTCCTCATTTCACTGAGAGAATGAAGCCCAACGGCAGTGGCTACTCAAGATCATAGAACTCAGTGGCAGAGGAGCTACAACTCCCCATGAACCACACAGGCCACCATCCCTGACAACTCTAACATGTTCTTCAGCCTCACTCCATCCAGTCAGGACCTGGCTTACAGTCTGTCTGTATCCAGAGCTACCTTTAAAACTCTGTAAACAAAGGCTGAGCATGGTGGTTCATGCCTCTAATACCAGCATTTTGGGAGGCCGAAGGAGGAGGATTGCTTGCACTCAAGAGTTCAAGTCAAGCCTGGGCAACATGGCAAAACCCCATCTCCACTAAAAGAAAAAAAAAATTAGCTGGGCACGGTGATGCACGTCTACAGTCCCAGCTACTGAGGAGGCTGAGGCAGGAGGATCCCTTGAGCCTGCGAGTTTGAGGCTGCAGTGAGCTATGATCACACCACTGCACTCCATCCTGGGTGACAGCGTGAGACTTTGTCTCAAAAGACAAACAGGCTGGGCACAGTGGCTCACGCCTGTAATCCCAGCACTTTAGGAGGCCAAGGTGGGCCGATCACTTGAGCCTAGGATTTGAGACCAGCCTGGCCAACGTGGTGAAACCCTGTCTCTACTAAAAATACAAAAAAATTAGCTAGGTGTGGTGGTGTGCGCCTGTAATCCCAGCTATGGGGAGGCTGAGGCAGGAGAATCACTTGAACCCAGGAGGCAGAGGTTGCAGTGAGCCAAGATCACGCCACTGCACTCCAGCCTGGGTGACAGAGTGAGACTCCGTCTCAAAAACAAAAATCAAAAACAAAAACTCTATAGACAGTGAGGAATGAGGAAGAGGAAGATTCCAGGGATAATCAGAGGCAGAATCACTTGATGCCTGATTAGTTATAATCACAGCTAACTTTTACTAAGCGCTTGTTCTGAAGCAGATACTGTTCTAAGTCAGGCATAACTATTAATATTTTATTGCACTTCACAGATATTGTATATTATTTTACAAATTGAAGGTGTGTGGCAGCAACCCTGAAAGTCTACTGACACCATTATTGCAAAAGCAAATACTTTGTGTCTGTCAGCATTTTTAAGCAATAAAATATTGTTTTACTTTTTATTATTTTTATTTTATTTACTTATTTTTGAGACAGGGTCTCATTCTTTCTCCCAGAGTGCAGTGGCATGATCACAGCTCACTGCAGCCTTGACCTCCTGGGCTGAGGTGTTCCTCCCACCTGAGCCTCCTAAGTAGCTGAGATTACAGGTGCATGCCACAACAACCGGCTAACTTTTTTTGTATTTTTTGTAGAGGCAAGGTTTGCCATGTTGCCCAGGCTGGTCTTGAACTTCTGGGGTCAAGCAATCCACCCGCCTCAGCCTCCCAGAGTGTTGGGATTACAGGTGTGGGACATTGCACCCAGCTTTCATTTTTTAAATTGTCAGTTAACATAATGAAATGTATTGCTAGTTCAAATTTTTGAACATTACATCAAAACAAGATTGATCTAATGAACACATATGTCACATTTTTCAGGACATATGGAATAACTAAACTAATTTTATTTCAAAGAAAGTTTTAAGAAATGTAACAGTCCAGGCACGGTGGCTCATGCCTGTAATCCCAGCACTTTGGGAGGTCGAAGTGGGTGGATCACAAGGTCAGGAGTTCAAGACCAGCCTGACCAACATGGTGAAACCCTGTGTATACTAAAAATACAAAAATTAGCCAGGCGTGGTGGCGTACACCTGTAATCCCAGCAACTTGGGAGGTTGAGACAGGAGAATTGCTTGAATCCAGGAGGCAGAGGTTGCAGTGAGCCAAGATCGCGCCACTGCACTCCAGCCTGGGCAACAGAGTGAGACTCTGTCTCAAAAACAAAAACAAAGCAAAACAAAACAAAACAAAACAAAATATATATATATATTTTAAAATATAAATTATATATATAAACCCTTTCTCAAGAGGGCTCAAAGATATGTTTTAAGAGTCGTGTGTGTGAACAAATACCATCATTCACCTGCACATCCACTTACACTTCAATGCCTTCATATGTACCATCCTGTAGCAGGACACACTGGCCAATGCAGCAAGTGAGAAGGCTTTTCAATGCCAGCAGGACTTTGTAACACCTGGGTGAGTGGGTGCCTCCCTTCCAGGGCCCATATTAGGTTGAGCACATATATATATGTGTGTAAGTGTGTGTATATCTATATATATATATATAAAACATTTTACCTTTTTTTTTACATATATACATATATATATGTATATGTATATATATAACATATTTTACTGTTTTTTTTTTTTTTTTGAGACGGAGTCTGGCTTTGTCACCCAGGCTGGAGTGAAGTGGCATGATCTTGGCTCGCTGCAACCTCTGCCTCCCAGATTCAAACGATTCTCCTGCCTCAACCTCCCGAGTAGCTGGGATTACAAGGCAGACACCACCACGCCTGGCTAAGTTTTTGTATTTTTGCAGAGATGGGTTTCACCATGTTGGCCAGGCTGGTCTCAAACTTCTGGGCTCAAGTGACCCACCTGCCTCACCTCACAAAGTGTAGGGATTACAAGTGTGAGCCACCGCGCCTGGCCACCAATTTTTACATTGAATAATTTTTCTATTGAGTTGAGTTCTTATATATTCCAGCTACTAATCTCTTGTTGATGAATAGTTTACAAATATTTTCTTTCATTCAGTAGGTTTTCGGTTCATTCTATTAATCGTTTAGTTTGCTGTGCATAAGCTTTTCAGCTTGATGCAATCCCACTTGTCCATTTCTTTATTTATTGTCTATGCTTTTGAGGACTTACTCCAAAAAACTTGACATTTCTCAACACAACAATATTTTCCAATTAAGGTATATGCATTGTTTTAGACATATGCTACTGAACACTTAAGAGACTACAATATAGTATAAACATAAGTTTTGTAAACACTGGGAAAATAAAAATTATGTCTGACTAGCTTTATTTGTTTTATTGTAGTGGCCTAGAACCAAACCCATAATATCTCCCAGGTATGCTTGTATTTTCCAATAAATGATCAGCAAATGATCAGGACAGAAGAGCCTCCTTACCCAATGCTTTCACTTTCCCTTTGTGGTGTCCAGATTCTGGGCCATGAAGCTGCGGGCTCATATGGACCCCTGGCTTGTGTGAGGACCCACACCTGGTAACAGCAAATGCCTTGGGTGGAGAAGGTTCCTGGGAGGTGTCACTGATCTCCTCACTGCAGGGGCATTCTGGAAGAACAGGATCAGGAAGGAATGAATAACCCTAGTTAACACTGGTGCATTCTAGAATCAATCTCATCCAACCAACAAGCCTCCTTTTCAAGCAGCACAAAGGCTCAGGGACAATTCAACCAAAAAGAGGTGTGGAGAGCAGATGAAGGGGCCCAAACACCTCCTCTTAAGTATTGACCCTCTCCTCTTTTTCTGATAAGATTGTTTTTCTAAGCTAGAAGATACACCAAGAATAAAACGTGGCATCCTTTAAGTCCCAAGTCAGAATATATAGATTTTTCTAAACATTTTTGTGAGGGCTAGACACAGTTTTTAAGAAGGGAATCCTTTCTCAAGAGGGCTCAAAGATGTGTTTTAAGAGTCGTGTGTGTGAACAAATACCATCATTCACCTGCACATCTGCTTACACTTCGATGCCTTCATCTGTACCATCCTGCAGCAGGGCACACTGGCCAAGGCAGCAAGTGAGAAGGCTTTTCAATGCCAGCAGGACTTTGTAACACCTGGGTGAGTGGATGCCTCCCCTTCCAGGGCCCATACTAGGTTGAGCCCACAAGCCCTGGTAAGAGACTATTGGTCCTTCCTCTGCTCAGCGCAGGCCCAGAGGCCATAATGGGAGAAAGCAACCCCTCCCCATTCATAGTAAGGAAACCTAAGTGAAACCCTCAGGAAAAAAAATTACCAGGTTTGGTTTTCTTTTTCTTTTTCTTTTTCTTCTTTGGCTTCACTCTCACAAACTCCTTGAATTTCTTCTCTTTATTCTTTTCCTTGTCTTTTGTAGCTAGAATTAAACACAAATGTTGGCATTTTAACATTTTGTTTTCAATGCTGGGGTGCTTATTCTTCTCCTAAGCAAGCATGTCCGATGGGTCTGGCTCTGCCTGGGAAGTCTGGAGCAGATTGCTCCAGTCTGGAGGCAGAGCCACGCCTCCATCACTTAGCCTTTCAGTCCAGCTCAGCACACTCTGGCCCATGGCCCGTCATTGTAAATGGATTTTAGTGAAACATGCCATGTTCATTGGTTACGTGTCTTTCACACTTCAACAGCAGAGCTGAAAAGTGAGGACAGAGACCTTTCAACCCCAAGGTTGAAAAGTATTTATTATCTGGCCCTTTACAGACAAGTTTGCAAAACTCTACTTAGATCACTGCTCCTCAACCCTGGCTACATACTGGAATCACCTGGGGATCTGATTTTTGTTGTTTTCATCGCCATGTCACCCAGGCTGGAGTGCAGTGGCGCGATCTCAGCTCACTGCAACCTCCGCCTCCCGGGTTCAAGCGATTCTCCTGCCTCAGCCTCCAGAGTAGCTGGGACTACAGACACACGCCACCACACCTGGCTAAATTTTGTATTTTTAGTAGAGATGGGGTTTCACTATTTCGGCCAGGCTGGTCTTGAACTCCTGACCTCAGGTGATCCAGCCGCCTCAGCTTCCCAAAGTGCTGGGATTATAGGTGTGAGCCACCGCATCCAGCCAGGATTCTGTTGCTTGTTTCATTCTTTTTCTAAAAATTGAGGTACCATTCATATAACATAAAATTATTTTTAAATGAACAGTTCATGCCTTCTAAATACCAAAACTTTATCCTCTCTACTCTACAACAAAACTCCTTAAGATGTCAATCCTCCCTGTCCAAACTTCTCCCTTCACAGTTTTTCCTAATTACATTCTAAAAAGCTTCCCACCTACCACTCTACTGAGATCAGTTTTCAAAATTAATAGCTTCACCATTGAAAAATCCAGTCATTGCTGGGTGCGGTGGCTCACGCCTGTAATCCCAGCACTTTGGGAGGCCCAGGCGGGCAGATCACAAGGTCAGGAGTTCAAGACCAGCCTGACCAACATGGTGAAACCCCGTCTCTCTAAAAATACAAAAATTAGCTGGGTCTGGTGGTGTGTGCCTGTAATCCCAGCTACTCAGGAGGCTGAGGCAGGAGAATCGCTTGAACACGGGAGGCGGAGGCTGCAGTGAGCCGAGATCATGTCATTGCACTCCAGCCTGGCGACAGAGCGAGACTCCATCTCAAAGAAAAAAAAAAAAAAGAAAGAAAGAAAAATTCAGTCGTAGCCGGGCACGGTGGCTCATGCCTGTAATCCCAGCACTTTGGGAGGCCAAGGCAGGTGAATCACCTGAGGTCAGGAGCTTGAGATCAGCCTGGCCCACATGGCAAAACCCCGTCTCTACTAAAAATATAAAAATTAGTCAGGCGTGGTGGCAGATGCCTGTAATCCCAGCTACTTGGGAGGCTGAGGCAGAAGAATTGCTCGAATCGGGGAGGCGGAGGTTGCAGTGAGCCCAGATCGCACCATTGCACTCCAGCCTGGGTGACAGAGTGGGAATCTGTCTCCAAAACAAACAAACAAAAAAATCCAGTCGTTTCTTCTTCTCTTACCAAATATATTTATAGGATTTCAAGTAATTCACCATGCCTTACTTTTTAGATATCAACAAGAGTTTATACGTACATATATCCTATGACCTTGCCATCCACTACAACATATTCATTCAAGAGAAAGCATCACTTACGTCCACATAGAGACTTATACATGAAGACTCATAGCAGTTTTAGTTGTAATCGCCCCAAACTGAAAACTGCCCAAATGTCCATCAAGTGAATGTACAAATAATTCATGATGTATCCACACAATGGAAGACTTTTCAGCAATAAAGGTAGGAACAGCAGGCCGGGCGCAGTGGCTCATGCCGGTAATCCCAGCACTTTGGGAGGCCAAGGCGGGCGGATCACGAGGTCAGGAGATTGAGACCATCCTGGCTAACATGGTAAAACCCTGTCTCTACTAAAAATACAGAAAAAATTAGCCGGGCGTGGTAGCGGGCGCCTGTAGTCCCAGCTACTGGGGAGGCTGAGGCAGGAGAATGGCGTGAACCCAGGAGGCGGAGCTTGCAGTGAGCTGAGGTCTGGCCACTGCACTCCAGCCTGGGCGACAGTGCAAGACTCCGTCTCAAAAAATAAAAATAGAAAAAAAGGTACGAACAGCAACATAAGTGAATCTCAAAGTATGCTGGGTGAAAGGAGCCAGACAAAACAAGTGCGCACTGCAGGATTCCATTTCTACAATAGTCTGCAAAATGAAAACAAACCATCTGGGCATGCTGGCTCACTCCCAGCACTTTGGGAGGCCAAGGTAGGCAGATCAGCTGGGGTCAGGAGTTCAAGACCAGCATGACCAATACGATAAAACCCCATCTGTACTAAAAATACAAAAATTAGCTGGGTGTGGTGGCTCATGCCTGTAATCCCAGCTACTTGGGAGGCTGAGGCAGGAGAATCGCTTGAGCCCAGGAGGCAGAGGTTGTAGTGAGTTGAGATCGTGCCACTTCACTCCAGCCTGGGCAACACAGCGACTCCATCTCGGGGGGGAAGAAAAAAGAGAGAAAACACACCACAAGTAACAGTAAGCAGAATAGTGGTTGCCTGGAGCTCAGGGGGAGGGGAGAGGTGGGAAGGAGGAACTAAAAAGGGGCATGAGGAAAGTTTGGGAGGGAATGGAATATGTTTACTATCTTGATTGTGGTGATAGTTGGGTATAAACATATGTCAAATCTCACCAATTATACCATTTAAATATGTGTAGTTCATTGTACAATTAAGTCTCGATACAGCTGTAAAGAAAAACAACCAATTCAGTTGCATTTAGTACATTCACAATGTTGTACGACCACTTTGATATAGTTCTAAGAACATTTCCATCACTCCAAAGTAAAACCCTTTACCATTAAGCAGCATTTCCCCTCCCCTAAGCCCTTCCCCTCAGCCCCACCAACCTGCATCTGACTCCATGGGCTTATCTACTCTGGATATCTCATAAATATGGAACCATACAATATGTGACCTTTTGTGTCTGGTTTCTTTCATTTAGCATGATGTTTTCAAGGATATCAGGATTTTTAAAACTTTCCAAGTGATTCTGATATGGAATCAAGATATCCACAAAGCAGGTGTGAGGCAGGGTAGACAATCAGATTCCATTTTAACTAAGCACTTGTGTGCAAGGAAACCACAAATATCTCATTTAATCCTTACAACAACTTGTGTGTATATCATTCCCATTTTACAGGCCGGGAAACTGAAGCTCAGAGAGGTGAAATCACCCACCTGACATCACATAGGTATTTAAAAGCAAATTGGTCTGACTCTCCAGCACCATGTCTCCTCTGCAACCCAGGCCCCTCTCCCAAATTAGCACTTGGTAACCATCAGAAAGGAAGAGTGGGCTGTGCCTACTGGCTGGCAAGCCTGGAATCTATAGGCAGAGTTGATCTACTGGCTAGAGAACATAGGACTTAAGGGTATTTGAGCTCCTTAACTTTTAAAATACCCTGCAACTAGAAAGAAAGTCAACAAACATGAAAGCTGGAGAGAACTTAGACCAATTTGTAAAAGCACTCATTTTTAAAACCAAAAACCCAAGGCCCAAAGACAGCAGACTGGCAAAACATGGTCAGATGCCTTCTGAATTTCAAAAAAGCTATCAGTCATTTTTACTTTTCATTGATCCTGAGAACAGGGTCTTCCCCAAACATAAAAACAAAACTCATTTTTACACAGTTTGACTACCACCGTATTATTAGCCATGGTTTCAATTCATTTAGGCAACAGATACCATGCATATACTATGTTCCAGGCACATTCTAGGGAGGAGGGATATTGCAATGAACAAAGACAGATAACACCCCCTGTCCCTCACAGAGCTACATTCTATTCAGTTGGTGCAAAAGAATTGCTGTTTTTGCCACTGAAAGTCACAGCAAAAACCACAATTACTTTTGCACCAACCTAAAAAGCTGATGGGGCAGCAAACTATGAATAGGAGGGAATTTCCTCAACTGGATAAAGAACTTCTTTGCAGCCAACTTCATACTTAATGGTAAGAAATTGGATGCTTTCCCCTTAAGATCAGGAACAAAGCAAGGTGCCTCTCTCTCTACTCCTATTCAACATTTTACTGGAAATCTTAGCGAGTGGAATAAGCCAGAAAAGGAAATAAAAGCTCTACAGATTGAAATGGAAGAAATAACACTATCTTTGTTTGCAGATGATCTGTCTATGTAGAATATCCCAAAGAATTGATCAAAACAAAGACTGCCAGAACAGCACTTACAGCAAGGTTACAAGACACAAAGTTAATATACAACAATCTATTGCTTTTCTATATGCCAGCAATGAATAACTGGAATTTGAAATAAAGAAATAGCAAGGAGATCTGTATGGCTCCAATGGAACTGAAATTAGAATTAGGTTGAGTAAGGGAAAGAAGCAGATGGAGGCTAGCAGCAGAACATGATGAAGGGCCCTGTGAGGAAGTTGGCTTTTACTATGAGTGATTTAGGGAGCCACTGGAAGGATCTCAGCAAAGGAGGGATATTATCTGTTGTACCTTCACCCACACTCCTCCACAACACACACACAGACTGCTCCCTGATCCAGTTTTTATTTGTAAATTCAGGTTTTAGTGACCTCCAACTAAAGTAATTATACCCATCAGCTTAGTGAAATGCTAACAGAATTTATCTTGTCAGCAGCAGAACTGCCTGAAGCAGCAACATAATCTAGGTCCTAAATCCTTGAGACAGAGAGGGCAAGATGTAGAGGAAAACTGCCCAATGCTAGGGCATACCTGGTTATCTGGCTAAAGATAGTGGTCATTTGTAAACTCCAGTGGCAGAACTTGCAGGCCCTAGAAAAGACACAGAGAATTGCCCAGCAAGGACTGAGCTAAGGCAGGTGAGTCCCTGAGGAACAGGAGTAGACAAGGTGACAACAGGCAGAAATCCCCAGACTGCCAGGTGCACAGGAAGTCTCCTGCAGGGAGGCACTCCTATCTCCCACTCCAGGGCCTGGGACAGGCACTCTTCCCTGGAATCATAAAAGACAGCAGAGCCTCAAAGTGAGAGTATGGGCTTCACAACAGATTCAAATCATGGCTCCACCACCTGCTAGAGCTGTAAATATTGGTTCAAATTAATCCATCTCATCTGCACCTTAGTTTCTAATCTATAAATTAGGCATTATAGATGCCTAATATGCCAACATTAGAGCATCCAAATTCTTAAAACAAGTACTTCCAGACCTAAAGAAAGACTTAGTCACATAATTTTAGTGGGGGACTTCAACACCCCTCTGACACAGCATTAGAAAGATCATCGAGGCAAAAAACAAAGAAATACTGGACTTAAATCCAGCAATGACAAACTATACATTCCACCCATCTGCAAATGGCAAATAATCTAAAATTGACCACATGCTTGGCCATAAACCAAGTATCAGTGAATTCAAATCATTGAAATCATATCAACCACACTCTGAGACCACAGTGGAATAACTGCATAAATTAGGCATAACAGCACCCACCTCAGAGGGTTTGTTCTGATAACTAAATAAGACAATACAAGTAACGAACTTGGAACAGCGCCCAGCACATGAAGTACTCAAATGTCAGCTGTTATTATCTTGCTTGCAATATTCTTTCCCTGGAAAGCAGTGCTGGTCGCTGGTCTGCTGTCAACTCTCTCTCTGGACAGCTTTACCAATTGTTCCATGACCCACAGAGCATGTACTGGCTGTGGAGCTTCCTCCCGGCTGCCCTGACTAGGTTGGACAAAGAGTGACTTCCTGCCAGGCTCTGGATCAGAGAGCAGCTTGTCACCTAAGCAGGGTGAGGCTTTCCTCCAGGATGGCCACTTGTCCTCTCCCCAAGCTGCAGGTGTCCATCAGGAGAAATACCAGAGGCCCTCTTGCTCCTCCATACAGCTGACTCTTGAGTATTCCATCCAGTCACTGATTTATGAGAGCAGAGGGACAACTGTCATCAGACCGCCGCTTCCAGGAGGGAAAAGAATAGCATCACCACCACCTATGGGGTAACTGCTTGTACACCACAGAGCTCAGCCACGAGGCTGGGACAAGCACTGACCAGAGCATGTTCTGATCTGCACAAGGGGGTGGTAGCTCAAGGGCAGACAGAAGCAGATATGGGCTTGGAGGGGTTCTCTCTGCCTATCAGAGAAGTGGTAGTCAGGGTCTGCCACTGTCATTTCACCATGTCTACCTTCCCAATCTCATCTCCTATCAGTCCCCTACCATGAGTCCCACCCAGATACCAACCCAGGATGGCCCTCCAATAACCCCTCCCTCCTCAAGCCCTGCATTCTTCTTAGCTCATGTGGTAAAGGCTGCAGTGCCCTTCCCAACACTATTTCTCCACTTCTTCCATAGGAAGAGTTCATGTTCCATGTTCCCTTGAGAGAGGGGTGGCAGATGTTCTGCCTATCGGATACAAGAAGTGATGTGTGGCACTTCTGGGTTGTGCCTTAAAAGAAAGGAGCATACTTTCCCTTCACTTCCCTTCCCAGCAGCTGAAAGATAAGCAAGGCAGGGAGCCATTTTGGACACCAAAGAAGAGCAGCACCTGGGGCAACAACGGGGAGAAAGCAAGGCCCAGGAACCTTCAGAGCCTGGTGGAACAACGGGGAGAAAGCAAGGCCCAGGGACCTTCAGATCCTGGTGGAAAAACGGGGAGAAAGCAAGGCCCAGGGACCTTTAGAGCCTGGTGGAACAATGGGGAGAAAGCAAGGCCCGGGGACCTTCAGAGCCTGAGCACAGCCACCATGGGTAACTTGCAGTTCATCCTGAGAGGGAAATAAACTTCTCTGATTTTAGCCAGCTATGTTGTTCTCTCTGTTATGGCACTATAATCCATATTCTAATTAAGCTCACACTGCTCTTTTTGTTTTAAGGGGAGGAGGACATGTTCCTGCGATAAGGCCAGTGTAGTCCCATGAGAAAAGGTGTGGATGGCAATGAAGAGGTGCCCACTCCAGTGCCCCAAGGCTCACTTTGGCCTAAAACTGAGGTTTACCCAGGGTGAGAGCACGACTCAAACAGATGTAGCAATAAGTAATAATAAGCACAGGAGAGGCCCTCTTTGACACTAGAAAATTCTTTCTGAGCCTAACCTGTATTCAGGACTGAACTCACCTAAGTAGAAAGAAACCCAAGGGAGCCTGAGCTGGCTACTGGAAGAGAATTTATTAAGTGACTCTGGTATACTGAGAAACCTCATTTGGAAAAGCAAATCTAAACTGACCTTCTAAATTCATTTTGCAACTAAAGGCTTGGCTGAGAGCAGAAGAACCATATGAGTGACAGGATTACAGAAGGCTGGCATCAGAAGGGGCACCTTAGGGACAGATGATTGGTTTATTCCCCTTGATGCCTCTGAACCCTTGCTATGCCTATTCCTGGCACAGGGATGCTTTTCCTCTTCCCGGCTTCTGGTCCAATTCCTATCTAGCCTCACTCCTTAAGGCGTGGGTTAGTCTGCTCAGGCTGTTATAACAAAACATTATGTTATATGTGGCTTAAACAACAGATATTTCTTTCTCACAGTTCTGGAGGTTGGAAACTACAAGATCAAGGTGCCAGACTATTTGGTTCCCAGTGAGGCCCCTCTTCCCAGTTTGCAGATGGCCATCTTCTTGCTACATCCTCACATGGGGGGATAGGGGGAGCTCTGATCTCTTCCTATAATGCCACTAATCCCATCATGAAGGCCCCAACCTCATGACATCATTTAAACTTAATTATTGCCAAATACCATCACACTGAGGGTTAGGACTTCAACAGATGAATTTTAGGGAGGAAGGCAGGACACAATTCAATTCACAGCAAGGCCTAACTCAAATGTCACCTTCTCCTCTCAACAGTCCAGCTCCTACCCTACAGGCAAAATCTGAATCTGTGTTCCCACAGCACTTTACATGTTCCTAACACAGAACTTAGCTTTCTCACGTTGTTTATGAGCTTTTCTCCCCACATGAAAGGGCCTGGTCTCATGCATACCTAGCTCTACATCATCACTTTAGAAATGAGGAGATCAGCCAGGCACGGTGGCTCATCTCTGTAATCCCAGCACTTTGGGAGGCCAAGGCAGGCAGATCATCTGAGGTCGGGAGTTTGAGACCAGCCTGACCAACACGGAGAAGCCCAGTCTCTACTAAAAATACAAAATTAGCCAGGCATGGTGGTGCACGCCTGTAATCCCAGCTACTCGGGAGGCTGAGGCAGGAGAATCATTTGAATCCGGGAGGCGGAGGTTGTGGTGAGCCAAGATCGCACTATTGCACTCCAGCCTGGGCAACAAGAGTGAAACTTCATCTCAAACAAACAAAAAAAAAGAAAGAGAAAGAAAGAAAAGAAAGGAAGGAAGGAAGGAAGGAAGGAAGGAAGGAAGGAGAAAAGAAATCAGATCTGTGAAGAGACCTGCCTGAGATCACAAAGGGAACAGTGGCAGGTTGCTACTAAGATCAGTCTACGGACTCTCAGACCAGAACTACTACTTCTGCCCAACCTTACCAACCCAGATATTGAGGAGTCCAAAGCCAAGAAATCTCTGCAGGGTACTTTCGAGTCCCAGTGGTTTTGCTGGAAGCCCCAGGAATCTCCATCAGAGAAATCCATGAGAACCCAAGTTCGGGACCACTTGAGGCCAGGAGTTCAAGACCAGCCTGGACAACATGGCAAAACCCCATCTGTACTAAAAATACAAAAATTAGCTGGGTGTGGTGGTGAATGCCTGTAATACCAGCTATTTGGGAGGCTGAGGCAGGAGAATTGCTTGAACCCCGAAGGCAGAGGTTGCAGTGAGCCAAGATCACGCCACTGCACTCCAGGCTGGGCAACAGAGTGAGATTCTGTCTCAAAAAAAAAAAAAAAAAAAAAAAAATCAGAGCATTCAGCATAAAGGGGGTACTTTTTTACAGTTACTATTATCACGCAGCACAAATCCTATAATATTCTGTTTTTCACTTAAGCAGAATGTCAAGTTCACACTGCCTGTAAACTAAAACACAGGCTGCCTGGTATCAGAGTCCCACTGTGAAACGTCTCCCAGTGAAACGTCTCCCCAACTGAACTCCCCACACTGTCTGAAATTCCACCCTGATAAGAGCATTCTCAGAAGCCTGAGGTGAAACCACAATACTATTAAGTTGGTTCTATTCTTTCAAATTTTTGGTTATCAGATTAGTCAAGTATCCAGTAAAACCCTGACAAACTGGGGCAAGGCTTTGATGGGAGAAAGGTAAGGGGTGATGCCTGGAACAGGGGTGCCTTCTGGAGAGCTGCAGCAGAATAAGGCAGCCACACTACAGAATCTTCAGCATACACTACTATGTTCACTCTCATTGATAGCCAGCTACGTGATAAACACTGAACATGTCTACTGAGCCCCATCCACATATGATAATACCGAGGCTCTTGCTGGTTAGTGGCACAGTCAGGGCTGGTGGCCAGGCTTTCAATTTTCCATCTGGATCACAGCAAGATGGATGGTCTAGTTCCTTCGGTCTGGTAACTGCTAAACGTATCAGCAATGAGGCATGGGAGATACATTTGGGTAATCGCCATGTTGTCTAGGAGGCTGTGTCCACTTGACATGTGGATGGGGGTACATTCCTTCCTGGCTGCACAAATCCTGCCCTCACTGAGAGGGTACAGAAATGATCAGACTGTGCCCTCACTGAGAGGGTACAGAAATGATCAAACAGTGGGTGAGTGGTCTGTGTGGCACATTCTGCTGCTAAATTGATCAATTTTACAAAGGACCACTTTAAACAAATTAAAACATAAGGACTTAAAAAACCTTTTGGCAACAAGTTAAAGCATAGGGATTTAAAAGACTCTTGTTTCCCTTAAAGCATTTTATAATTGTCCAACCCTACTAGTCTAGTGAGTATACAGCAGGCCTTATTTTTAAAAACTGGTAAACAAAAATCTCCAATTCACCAAGAAATTTCCAAATCCCATTGAAAAGGATCCTTCAGTATTAACAGAGAGAATAAAATCCCAGGTCAGTATAATGCATGAGACCCAAGAGGGAGACATGAAAGTAGAAAATCAATTACTCAAAAAAAAAAAAAAAAAAGAAAGGATAGGAAAGGAAAGGAAAGGAAACGAAAATCACTCAAAAAAAAAAAAAAAGAAAAAAGAAAAGAAAATCAGTCACTCAGGCTTCTTAATTATACCAAAATGGCAATGTCTTGTCTATTGGTTTTGTAGCTCATCAGTGGTTGGCTGAGTTCAGAACTCAGATCTCTGACTGCCTGGGTAAATGCTTTCACTGAGATAAAGAGACTGTGTATTCAGAGTTTATTATAGGCCAGACATTTTACAAAGCATTTCCCCTTGGGTCATTTAGTGTAACAAAGTTATGAGGTAGGTAGTACTATTATCTCTATTTCACAGATGGGAAAATTGAAGTTTCGCAAGTTCTCTGCCCAAGGTCCTGGAGCAAGCAAGCGGTAGAGCCTGTATTCAAACTCAGGTGAGCTGACACATATTACTCAACATAAACCAAGTCATGCAAGTACAGTTAACCAAGAATCCCAAAGCCAGGTGGTAGATCAGCATCTGGCCAGGAATACCTGCCCCACGCTCAGGTGCATTATACTGAGCAAAGTCCCTCCTCAGACAATTACCATGAACAGGGAGAGGCAGAGGCACTATGTCCTAGCACAGAGAGCACACACCACGATGGTCAGGCAAGCAGGACTTCCATGGGTCCCTCAATGGCCTCCTGCCTGTCAAGCCTTAGCCTTTGGAACAACCTAACTCTGGTGGCTTTGTGCTGTCTGGGGTAGGCTGCACTCTACTTCCAGTGTTGTACCCTCATCCTGCCCAGATGTCAATCCATTACGATATCCAGCACCTGCTATTTCTACTGGCTCCTGACACCTCAATGACCTCCATTTACTCAACATAATCTCCAGTCCTTCAGTGCTGGTTGTTTCTACAGTGCTGCAGAGCCCATGGGATACTGTAGTGACTCAAGATGACTCAACATAATTCCTCCCCAACAGCACTCAGAATCCAGCTAGAGAGCTCACACAAATGTACCCAACTCAGCCACATATGGCTGGATGAGAAGGATGAAATTCTAGAAAGCAAGGGGAAGAAGGAAATCCACTTCCCCACACCAGGCCTTGAAACAGGCTTATTAAAAAGATTAGCTCACAAACTAATCACAAGAACTCAGGTTTACACAGGCTTATTAAAAAGATTAGCTCACAAACTAATCACAAGAACTCAGGTTTACACTCAGAGACAGTGAGGTCTGGAGACCTGAAGAGAGTCCAACAGTGACTGAGGCAACAGATGGGATTCACAACCCATGTGCCCAGCTCCAAAACTTATGCTTTGCAGAAGCATCATTCTGTCCTTACATATTATTTAGCAAGAGAGTGATATAATCAGGTCTGTACTCTTAAAGATCGATCCGATGGCAAAATGATGGATAACCACAGTGAGTAAAGAATGATGGGAGGAAAACTGATTAAGAAATGACCACAACAACCAGGGCAAGAGAAGAAACCTAGATTAGTGCCATGGGACTGAAAAGGAGATTAATTTGGAGGTAAGTCAGATAAAAGGAAACAAACAAACATTAAAATCCTCTCAATTACATTCATTATTTCAAGTAAAAAGCCCAATCCTTTATCTTGGTATCTCTCTGCAGTTTCTTACATTCTTACTGCATTTTTACCATTTCCAAGTATATGTTTTAAGCACACTTTTTTTTTTTTTTTTTTTAGACAGAGTTTTGCTCTGTCATCCAAGCTGGAGTGCAGTGTCACGATCTTGGCTCACTGCAACCTCTGTTTCCTAGGTTCAAGCGATTCTCCTGCCTCAGCCTCCTGAGTGGCTGGGATTACAGGCACCTGCCACCACGCCTGGCTAATTTTTGTATTTTTAATAGAGACGGGGTTTCATCATATTGGCCAGGCTGGTCTCGAACTCCTGACCTCAGGCGATCCACCTCCCAAAGTGCTGGGATTTCAGGTGTGAGCCACTATGTCCGCCTAAGCATGCTTTTTATTGAGGCATAAAACATACACAGAAAAGTACACACAAATAAACACATAAACCAATACTTTTTCATAAATGAACACACCTGTATAACCACCATGCAGATCAGGAAACAGAACATTTCGGAGCCCTAGAAGACTCCCTCCTGCCCAGTTTCCAGTCCTACCCACCTCCTCCCAAAGGTAACTACTGTCCTGACCTCAAATACCATAGATTATTTTTCTTACTCATTTTTGAACTTTATATAAGCAGAACCATACAATCTGCATGAGTTTATGCTAGCTTATTTGGTTGTTGTTTTGAGATGGAGTCTCACTCAGTCGCCCAGGCTGGAGTGCAGTGGCATGATCTCGGTTCACTGCAACCTCTGCCTCCTGGGTTCAAACAATTCTCCTGCCTCAACCTCCAGAGTAGCTCGGATTACAGGCATGCACCACCAAGCCCGGCTAATTTTTTTGTATATTTAGTAGAGACGGGGTTTCACCATGTTAAGTAAGGCTGGTCTCGAACTCCTGACCTCAGGTGATCCTCCTGCCTTGGCCTCCCAAAGCACTGGAATTATAGGCATGAGACACTGTGCCTGGCCTCACATTATATTTTTAATGGATAATACAGCACATACAAAGTCTTGACAGCATAAATGAAGGTTGACCCCTCGGAGGGTCAGAGTTCACCTTAGTCTGCATGGCTCTGCCCCTGTCCTGAAACCTGATTGTATACTCTACTGGGAACACTGCCAGATGTCCTAGGAGTTCCATATACCATTTAAGACCTACACATTTTAATAGAAAACCTCTAAGCCAAGAAGTAGGTAGTGATATTACAATAGCAAGTAAAAAGCTGGGAAGATTATATAATTTATTGGAAATCCATTAATTCTTCTGAAATTCCCCTGGAAACATGTAATTTTTCAATTTCTGTAAGCTTTAGAAGATATTTCCTAAAAGGTTCTCTGTAATAAGTTATAAAATGAGATTTTATGGTAACCCCTATTATGGTTTCTATGCAAAACAAACAGTGCTATTATAAATATCTTCAGTTGCACTTAAGATGAAACAGGATTCACATTTGGACCCAGCAGTAGAATCACATATCACCTTTTGGTTATCGTGCTCTTTTGTGCTGCTGGCAAGGAAAACGCACAGGTTTGGGAGAGTGGGACGATGGCACCCATGCTGCTCTGAGCACGAGTTCTCCTGCTGGCTTCTGAATAAGGTCCCTTTGCTTGACTGTCCCCACTCATACTGGAAGCAGCAAGGCCTTCAGAGGCTAAGCGATTTTTCAAGGTAATTCTCAGTTAGGTGTTCCTGCTTCCTGTAGGAAGGCCACAGCTCCGTGGCACAGCCCAGAGGATCACTTAATATGTTCAGTCCTGTGGGATTCAACTGGAACAGACAAACCTAATGCCTGCTTTGTGTGTCAGAAAACACAAGCACTGTGGCCAAGCAACTGAGCCATCCATGACACAATGAAGAATGAAGATACTTACTTGGGGAACTGGCAGAGACCCGCTTCCTGGTCAGGGTCTCCTGGCTGGGCTTGTCTGAAGCTGAAGGGCCCCTGGTTTGGACATGCCTCTTTCCCGGGCTCTCTTCTGGCTCCAGTGACTTCTCCATTCCATGGAAATACTTCATGTGATAGTGCAACAGTTTGGCTTTGCGGAAAAATTTTAAACAGTCCACAACTTTGCATCTAAACTTATGGTCTAGGTCGACAGCTGGTGCATTAGATGACCCAAAATCATCTGTTTTCTTAAAAGTATTTGTTACTGAAAAAAATAAAAACAAAAGCAAAGGTTCCTTGTATTTATCCCAGTTATTACAAAACATGCATTAACACATGACAACTGAGGGTGAAAGACTAGCGTGCAAATGTAGCCTGAGACATCAGACTGCCATTACCTCCTCAAATTACTGTTTAGAGAGAATGAAAACAACTTCAGGTCAAATAAGACTCAATTGTGATTCATCTTTAGGAAGAAGAAATCAACATGTTTATTTTAAACAGTCGTACAAGTTTTCAGGGTTTCATATACTTTAAGGAAAAATCCTTAAAAAGATAAAAATAAAAATAAAAATAAAGGATCTCAGGTCAAGCAGAGCAGCTCACACTTGTAATCCTAGTACTTTGGGAGGCCAAGGCAGGTGGATCACTCGAGATCAGGAGTTCATGACCAGCCTGACCAACATGGTAAAACCCCATCTTTATTAAAAATACAAAAGAAATGGGCTGGGCATGGTGGTTCACACCTGTAATCCCAGCACTTTGGGAGGCCAAGGGAGGCAGATCGCCTGAGGTCAGGAGTTCGAGACCAGCCTGGCCAATATGGTGAAACCCTGTCTCTACTAAAAATACAAAAATTAGCCAGGCATGATGGCAGGTGCCTGTAATCCCAGCTACTTGGGAGGCTGAGGCAGGAGAATTGCTTGAACCCGGGAGGCGGAGGTTGCAGTAAGTCGAGATCATGCCATTGCACTCCAGCCTGGGAGACAAGAGCAAGACTTTGACTCAAACAAAAAACAAACAAACAAAAAAATTAGCCAGGCATGGTGGAGCACATCTGTAATTCTAGCTATTCGGGAGGCTGAGGCACGATAATTGCTTGAACCCGAAGGCAGAAGTTGCAGTGAGCTGAGATCATGCCACTGTGCTCCACCCTGGTCAACAGAGCCAGACTCTGTCTCAAAAAAAATAAAAAATAAATAAAATAAATAAAATCAAGGATCTCAAGCTAGCACTTATGAGTTGGATCAGACTTACATTTACTACCATCCTGGTACCTATCTGTGTGGACGGAAATAGGGAACATTCCTCAGTATCTCTCTATGAAACCTAAGAGATTTTACGTCAGTTTTTGTGCAAGGAAAGTGTAACAGTTACAAAGGTTTTAGTATTGAGTCTTTGAGATTTCAACACGTACTTTGTTTTACAATATACTTTGTCTGATCAAAAGGATCCAGATTTGGTGGGTGCAGTGGCTCACGCCTGTAATCTCAGCACTTTGGGAGGCCGAGGTGGGCGGATCACCTGAGGTCAGGAGTTCGGACCAGCCTGGACAACATGGTGAAACCCCATCTCTACTAAAAATACAAAAATTAGCTGGGCATGGTGGCACATGCCTGTAATCCCAGCTACTCGGGAGGTTGAGGCAGAAGAATCGCTTGAACCTGGGAGGCGGAGGTTGCAGTGAGCCAAGATCACACCACCGCACTACAGCCTGGGTGACAGAGCAAGACTCTGTCTCAAAAAACAAAACAAAACAAAAAAAAAACACCGGGCGTGGTGGCTCACACCTGTAATCCCAGCACTTTAGGAGGCCGAGGCAGGCAGATCACAAGGTCAGGAGATTGAGACCATCCTGGCTAACATGGTGAAACCCTGTCTCTACTAAAAATACAACAAAATTAGTCGGGCGTGGTGTCGGGCACCTGTAGTCCCAGCTACCCAGAAGGCTGAAACAGGAGAATGGCTTGAACCCAGGAGGCGGAGTTTGCAGTGAGCCGAGATCGCACCTCTGCACTCGAGCCTGGGCGACAGAGCAAGACCCCGTCTCAGAAAAAAAAAAAAAAAAAAAAAAAGGGATCCAGAATAGGAGGAATAAGTTCTAGCATTCTACAGCACTATGGGGGAACTATAATTAATAACAATTTATTGTATATTTTCAAATAGCTAGAAAAGCAGATTTTGAATGTTCTGAACACAAAGAAATAAATGCTCAAGGTGACAGATTTGCCAATTATCCTGATTTAATCATTATACATCGTATACATGTAAGGAAATATCACTGTACCACATGAATATGTAAAATTATTACATGTCAATTAAAAATAATAATAAATGAGGCCAAGGCAAGAGGATCACTTGAGGCCAGGATCCTCAAGACCAGTGTAGACAACTCAGCAAGACCCCATCTCTACAAAAAAAAAAATTTTGTTAATTAGCCAGGCATGATGGCATGTGCCTATAGTCCCAGCTACCCAGAAAGCTCAGGTGGGAGGATCCCTTGAGCCCAGCAGGTTGAGGCTGCAGTGAGCCATGACTGTACCACTGCACTCCAGCCTGGGCAACAAAGTAAGACCCTGTCTCAAAAATGTATGAATAACAATAATAATAAATGCAAAACAAACAACAACAAAAAGGACCCAGAGACTGCAAGAAAAACCAGCTAACTAAATGGAGGTGGAAGGCATAAGGAGGACTCATAGGACTCAATGATCAATTTCAAAGAGACAATAAAAGCATGACCCTAAAAGACAAATAAGCAGAAGGCAATAGTCGGTCAGGCACCAATGACAAAAAGTAAACCCATCACAAGGACTTTTTTTTTTTTTTTTTTTTGAGACGGAGTCTTGCTCTTTGTCCAGGCTGGAGTGCAATGGTGAGATCTCGGCTCACTGCAACCTCCACCTCCCCAGTTCAAGCGATTCTCCAGCCTCAGCCTCCTGAGTAGCTGGGATTACAGATGCCCACCACCACGTCCAGTTTTTTTTTTTTCATAGCTTTAGTAGAGACTGGTCCAGCCTGGTCTCGAACTCCTGACTTCAAGTGATCCGCCTGCCTCAGCCTCCCAGAGTGCTGGAATTACAGGTGTGAGCCACCGCCCCCAGGCCACAAGAACCTCTTGTGTGTTAGAAATGCAGTTTATTGAGGACTCCCTTTAGAATGTCTTCCCACCAACAAAAAATCACATTAAGTCATTCCTATGCTACAGATTTGGTCACCCAAGAATATATTATATTAAATGGATCTTTTTTTAAAAAATTAGGAATTCGGTATGCAATGAATGGCCCTTTCTTGAGTTAATCAGATTTTTCGTAAACACAATCACACAATCTCCACTGGAAGCAGGTAGCCTGTTAAACCTTTGGTAAGTATTATGATTACTTTTTCAAGTGTCATCCCATAATCAGAGGTAATTTTAAAACTCTTAAATTTGATCTAAATTATACTCTACACTTCAAAATTAGGTTTGGTTGTCTGAAGGATGCTGTTATAGAGCCAATTTAAACCAACAAAAACCTATACACACACACACACACACACACACACACACACATCCCAAAGCATAATGCCTTAAAATCACTTTCTACCTATAACAAGAGATATAAAAGATGCCAGATCAATTAGTTGCAGGTAAGAGAAGAAAAAGTTGGCCAGGCGCGATGGCTCACGCCTGTAATCCTAGCACTTTGGGAGACCAAGGCAGGCGGATCATATGACGTCGGGAATTCCAGACCAGCCTGGCTAACATGGTGAAACCCCATTTCCACTAAAAATATAAAAAATTAGCTGGGCGTGGTGGCATGCATCTATAATCCCAGCAACTCCGGAGGCTGAGGCAGGAGAATCACTTGAACCTGGGAGGCGAAGGTTGCAGTAGCTGAGATCGCGCCATTGCATTCTGGCTTGGGCAATAAGAGTGAAACTCTGTCTCAAAAAAAAAAAAAAAAAAAAAAGGAGAAGCAAAAGTGACACGATGTGAAACAGAATACACACTTCTCAGACAAATAATTGGACAGGAAAAGTATGTCAGTGGAGAAGTTCAAAACACAAAACTTTAATACATCCAATTCTTTCCTAAAACAAAAAATAGTTTATTTTGGAATATCCTTCCCTTGATCTATATTAGGTTAAATCATATAAACTTGCCATTTTGTAGGCTAAAAAAGACTAAGGCTGGAACCCTGTGCAGTGGCTCACGACTATAATTCCAGCACTTTGGGAAACTGAGGCGGGCAGATCACTTGCAGTCAGGAGTTCAAGACCAGCCTGGCCAACATGGCGAAACCCCATCTCTACTAAAATACAAAAATTAGCGGGGCACGGTGGCTCACACCTGTAATCCCAGCACTTTGAGAGGCTGAGGTGGGCAGATCACTTGAGGTCAAGAGTTTGAGACCAGCCTGGCCAACATGGTAAAACCTTGTCTCAAATAAAATTATAAAAATTAGCCAGGCATGGTGGCACATGCCTGTAGTCCCAGCTACTTGGGAAGCTGAGGTGGAAGAATTGCTTGAACCCAGGAGGCAGAGGTTGCAGTGGGTCAAGATCACGCCACTGTACCCCAGCCTGGGCGACAGAGCGAGACTTTGTCTCAAAAAAAAAAGAAGAAGAAAAATTAGCTGGGCATGGTGCGCGCCTGTAGATCCAGCTTACTCAGGAGGCCGAGGCAGGAGAATCACTTGAACCAGGAGGTCGAGATCGCAGTGAGCCGAGATTGTGCCATTGCACTCTAGCCTGGGTGACAAGAGTGAGACTCCGTCTCAAAAACAAAAACAAAAACTTGCACTCTTGTGTATACACAATGGTCATCTACATAAATCAAACAGTACAGGGGCTAAGTGTGGGTTCTGCAGCTGGACAGCCTATTTCAAAACCGAGTTCTTCCACCTACACCCCTTGCCTCAGTTTCCTCATGTGCAGGATGGAGACGATAATGGTAACAACTTCGCTGAGTTGTGAGAATTAAATAAATTACATGCAAAGAGCTTAGAAAGGTGTACGGCACATAAGTGCTCAATATTATCTACTATGACTATTCAATGTCATTTTAAATTTCAGGAATTAACCTGATCATAAGCAGAAGAGGGGAAGTGTCCACCACCCACAGCCTCACTGCATGCTCATGCCAGAGGCAGTATGGTATAGTACAAAAAGCACAACATTTAATCCCAGGTCTACCTTTCATTAGCAGCATAAATTAGCTGTGCAAGCTAGTCTAATTATCCAGATTCTTAAGGGAAGAATACCACCTATTTCAAAGATTTGGAGAAAAGGTTATGGATAATGTATGTACTTGGCACAAAGTAGGTGATCAACACATGGAAGCCATTATCATTTCAAATATAAAATACATCATAAGCAGGCTTATGTTATTTCTGGAACATGGCTGGAGACAGCTATTATAATTATCAACCAAGTGTGAAACATTTCTTCAACCAGTCTTCATATGCCCTGGCTGGGACGCATATCACCCTGAAAGCACTTCATTTCGTCTACGTCCTCCTGAAAGTGTGAAATTCAAAACCAACCACAAGGTTCCTAGTATGACTATTCACATTTCAGTGTGATTATTATCTCCACCTTTTGGGACATCTTTTACTATGACACCTAAAGATTTTCTTTTGTAATACTCTATACAATGCAGGATAGTACCAAGCTTGTTCCACCAAAATACTGAACATTGTTTTATCTTTTTAAAACATAAATAACAGTACATGTTGGCGGGGCACAGTGGCTCATGCCTGTAATCCCAGCATTTTGGGAAGCCAAGGCAGGCAGATCACCTGAGGTCAGGAGTTCAAGACCAGCCTGGCCAACATGGTGAAACCCCATCTCTACTAAAAATACAAAAAATTAGCTGGGCGTGGTGGCAGGTGCCTGTAATCCCAGCTACTCGGGGGGCTGAGGCAGGAGAATCACTTGAACCTGCTAGGTGGAGGTTGAAATGAGCTGCGATCACACCATTGCACTGCAGCCTGGGCAACAAGAGCCAAACTCTGTCTGAAAACAAAAAAAGAAAAAAGCCATGGCCGGCTGGGAGTGGTGGCTCATGCCTGTAATCCTAGTACTTTAGGAGACCGAGGTGGGTGAATCACTTGAGGTAAGGAGTTCAAGACAAGCCTGGCCAACATGGCAAAACCCCGTCTCTACTAAAAATACAAAAATTAGCTAGCTGTGGTGGCGTGTGCCTGTAATCCCAGCTACCTGGGAGGCTGAGGCAGGTGAATTGCTTGAACCCAGGTGGCGGAGGTTGCAATGAGCCAAGATCACACCATTGACCTGGGTGACAAGAGCGAAACTCCATCTCAAAAAAAAAAAAAAGTCATGGCCAAACTATCTGTTGAAAGATAGATATGACTGGACTAATAATCAGACTAATAATCTGCCAATCTAGTAAACCTTTCAAAGCAAGCGAGTTTAGTTTACAGGTTAAAAATTCCCCCTGCAAAAGCAAAATCCTTGATTCCTCACAGCTAAGCAAAAGTTAGTACAGCTGAAACTCCAAAGGAGCGCCAGCTTGGCACTCAGGTGGACCAGCTGCCTCTGACAGGCAGTACTAGGATCAGAGAGGCTCAAGTGAGCACGGATGCTCCTCAGGAGGGAAGACACTGCCAGGTGCCACTATCACAAAGATCCTGGCCAAACCAAAGGCTCTTTTCAATTTGGCAACACTAAGACAAAGTAGTTTCTGTTTTCTCTGATGGAATAAACATCAAAAGAAGATTTGAGCATTACAAATCTTTAACCATGGAAACTCAGGAAGTAAGATTTCCCAGTGAAATCAGTGAAGTATAACTCACTGTGATACAAGCAAGCTCTTCTGATTATAAGCCAGTTGATAATCTACCCTGCACTGCTGGAAAAAACAATCAACACAAGCATCAGAGTGAGAAAAGCTGCAAACAGGGTATGAATCAGTAATGCATACTAGCCTGTGATAAAATATGATAAATTACACAATTTGCTATAATTTCAGAACCACAAATCAAAAAGTAGATTCTTCCAGAAGTAGAGCTCTAAAGAAAAAAAAGTAGATAAAAATATTATATATGAATAAAATGTTTATGTTAACTTTTTAATGATGAGAAAATGTTTAGGATATGTTAAATTATAATATAACAAAAAAGGCCAGACGTGGTGGCTCATGCCTGTAATCCCAACACTTCGGGAGGCTGAGGCAGGTGGAGCACCTGAGGTCAGGAGTTCGAGACCTGCCTGAGCAGCATGGTGAAACCCCATCTCTACTAAAAATACAAAATTGGCCGGGTGCGGTGGCTCACGCCTGTAATCCTAGCACTTTGGGAGGCCAAGGTGGGCAGATCATTTGAGGTCGGGAGTTCAAGACCAGCCTGACCAACATGGTGAAACCCCGTCTCTACTAAAAATACAAAAAAAAAAAAAAAAAAAAAATCAGCCAGGCGTGGTGGTGCATGCCTGTAGTCCCATCTACTCGGGAGGCTGAAGCAGGAGAATCGCTTGAACCTGGGAGGCAAAGGTTGCAGTGAACCAATATCACGCCACTGTACTTGAAACTGGGCGAAAGAACGAGACTGTCCCCCGCTTAAAAAAAACAAAAAAACAAAAAAAAACAAAAAAAATTAGCTGGGGGTGGTGGCGGATGCCTGTAATCCCAGCTTCTCAGGAGGCTGAGGCAGGTGAATCGCTTGAACCCGGTAGGCGGAGGTTGCAGTGAGCCAAGATTGCCCACTGCACTCCAGCCTGGGCAACACAGTGACAAACTCTGTCTCAAAAAGTACATAAATAAATAAATAATATATAAAAAATAGAATAACAAAAAAGACACATAAACACCAAGACTTAAGCAATCGTCCCTTTCTCGTGAAGGTTTTGCAAATTGGACTATTTTACTTTTGAACCCAAATATTTAGAGACATGAAAAATTATATTTTCTAGACTTCACAACCTTATCCTAATTTTTGCACAGCCAAAAGGAGCCCTCTGTATGCACAATAAAGGCTGCCAGTTCAGCCAGTCTAGGCCATGTGGTTCCCTCTATTTGGCATGTTGTTCCCACATGCAAACCAAGTCTTGCTCATCCTTCAAATACCACCTCCTTGCACAATGCCTTCACCCCGGTCTCTCAGCAGAAAAGATTCTGTCCTGCCTCGAAGAATTCCTGTAAGTATTTTATGGATCCTGTAGTCCTTCCCTTTCTATTTGTATAACAGTTGGTTTTGTTTATTCCTTTTTCTAAAATGTTGAAATACCCAATGTGCTGCCTTTTTTTTTTTTTTTTTGACATAGAGTCTCTCTCTGTCGCCCAGGCTGGAGTGCAGTGGCATGATCTCAGCTCACTGCAACCTCCGCCTCCTGGGTTCAAGCGATTCTTCTGCCTCAGCCTCCCAAGTAGCTGGGATTACAGGCGCCTGCCATCACGCCCAGCTAATTTTTGTATTTTTAGTACAGACCGGGTTTCGTCATTTACGACAGGCTGGTCTCAAACTCCTGACTGCAAGTGATCCACCCACCTTGGCCTCCCAAAGTGCTGGGATTACAGGCATGAGCCACTGTACCCGGCCTGGAATGTGCTGCATTCTTTACTTCTCTTACTTATGTTAGTGTACTGTCACATCAAACATGGGAGCTAGCCTCTCCAAGACTGTTTCCTCATTGTTAAATGGGAATAAGAATACTTATTTCACAACTCTCCTATATGTTTCCATGAGGCAGTTAAAGACAAAACCCAGTTTTGTTTAGTTTTGTTTTGTTTTATTGTTGTTTGTTTTGTTTTTGAGACAGAGTCTCACTCTCTCACCCAGGCTGAAATGCAGTGGAACGATCTCGGGTCACTGCAACCTCCACCTCCGGGTTCAAGTGATTCTCCTACCTCAGCCTCCCGAGTAGCTAGGATTAGAGATGTGTGCCACCATGCCTGGCTAATTATTTTGTATTTTTAGTAGAGATGGGGTTTCACTCTGTTGGCCAGGCTGGTCTCGAACTCCTGACCTCAGGTGATCTGCCCACTTCGGCTTCCTGAAGTGTTGGGATTACAAGGCGTGAGGCACTGTGCCTGGCCACAAAACCCAGTATTAACAGCAAGAGGTTACTTGAATATTATTTGTCATTATTGTTGTCACTGACCTCACAGTTGTTTGCTCAAAACAATCAAAGTTATGCATAATTCTAGCCAAGGGACCATGTGTCACTGGTACAATCTGCAAAATTCTAACATCTAATTGCCCTCCTTTATTAATCAAACAATGAAGGATTAGTGATAATTAATAAAATCACAATAGGAACATTAAAATTATGCATTCAGCAAAAATATCCTACATTTTAAAATAGGTCAGGTGTAGTGGCTCGTGCCTGTAATTCCAGCACTTTGGGAGGCCAAGGTGGGTGGATAACTTGAGCCCAGGAGTTTAAGACCAGCCTGAGCAACATAGTGAGACCCCCATCTCTACGAAAAAATACAAAAAGTAGATGGGTGTGGTGGCATGCACCCATAGTCTCGGCTACTCAGGAGACTGAGGCAGGAGGACAGGCTGAACCCAGGAGGTCGATGCTGCAGTGAGCCATGATCCTACCACTGCACTCCAGCTTGGGCAACAGTGAGACAGAACTGTCTCAAAAATAAATAAATAGGGCCAGGGATGGTGGCTCATGCCTGTAATCCCAGCACTTTGGGAGGCCAAGTTGGGTGGATCACTTGAGGTCAGGAGTTCAAGACCAGCCTGGACAACATGAGGAAACCCTGTCTCTACCAAAAAATACAAAAATTAGCCAGGCATGGTGGTGCATGCTTCTAGTCCCAGCTACTTGGGAGGCTAAGGTGAGAGAATCACTTGAACCTGGGGACAGAGGTTGCAGTGAGACGAGATTGCACCACTGAGACTCCAGCCTAAGCAACAGAGTGAGACCCTGTCTCAAAAATAATTTTAAAATAATTAATTAATTAATTAAGAAACAGAATATGCATGGTATAACTATGCGAAATAAAACTCAAAATATGGCCAAGCACAGTGGCTCATGCGTGTAATCTCAGCACTCTAGGAGGCTGAGATGGGCAGATCACTTGAGGTCAGGAGTTGAAGACCAGCCTGGCCAACATGGTGAAACTCTATCTCTACTAAAAATCCAAAAATTTATCCGGGCGTGGTGGTGCGTGCCTATTGTCCCAGCTACTCGGGAGGCTGAGGCACAAAAATTGCTCGAACCCAGGAGGTGGAGGTTGCAGTGAGCTGAGATTGTGCCACTGCACTCCAGCCTGGGTGACAGAGTGAGACTCTGTCTCAAAATAAAAATAAAAATAAAAAATAAAACCCAAAATATTACGAGCAAAATAGAAAATTATGTATAGCACCAGGCACGGTGGCTCACGCCTATAATCTCAGCACGTTGGGAGGACAAGGTGGGCGAATCACAAAGTCAGGAGTTCGAGACTAGCCTGGCTAACATGACAAAACCCCGTCTCTACTAAAAATACAAAAGTTAGCTGAGCGTGGTGGTGTGCACCTATAATCCCAGCTACTCAGGAGGCTGAGGCAGGAGAATCGCTTGAGCCCAGAGGCAGAGGGTGCAGTAAGCCAAGATTGTGCCAGTGCACTCCAGCCTAGGTGACACAGCGAGACTCCATTTCAAAAAAAAAAAAAAAAAAAAAAAAAGAAACTAAGAGGGCCACTGGTTGTCAAATGGGCCTGCTGGGCCAAAGTCTACATAAATCCCAGTCTCACACACAGGTATGTATTCCCCTATGGGAGGACAGTTCATTTAGAACATACATGGCAGCAGCTGGTGACACCACTAAGTGACATCATCCACCCTTAGCATACTAATATGGTTCTTGTCAACATGAGAGCAGTTACTCAGAGACAGAGGGCAGAAGACATGTAAATTATTAATTAAAAAAAAAAAAAAAAGAGATGAGGGTCTCCCTATGTTGCCCAAGGCTGATCTCCAACTCCTTGGCTCAAGTGATCTTCCTGCCTCAGCCTCCCAGAGTGCTGGGATTACAGGCATGAGCCACCATGCCCAGAAGAAAATATTGTAAATTAAATCTTAAAGTTGCTGGTTCAAAAGTGAGGGGGAACTCAATTACTCTTGGGATAAGGTCATCTACTGAAACCAGTTTATTCCTCTTTTAAAAGCAGTATGAAAATCACTATTTCCAAGTAGTTACTGATATTATCATTTACCTGCTCTGTCCTCTCCCTCCTGTTTAACAAATTATTGTTAGGAGGAATCAAGAAAAAGCACAGAGCTCTCTCCTGGGCATCCAGGCTCAAAATCTCAACAGTCACCCTTTGCTCTTGTTGTTCCTAAATTACTACTATACTTTGGTATGTGCAGAGAAAAATGGTCCACAAATTTTGCTTTTAATAATGGTTACCCTAGGCCAGGCGTGGTGGCTCACACCTGTAATCCCAACACTTTGAGAGGTCAAGGTGGGTGGGTCACCTGAGGTCGGGAGTTGGAGACCAGCCTGACCAACATGGAGAAACCCCATTTCTACTAAAAAATACAAAATTAGCCGGGCATGGTGGTGCAAGCCTATAATCCCAGCTACTCAGGAGGCTGAAGCAGGAGAATTGCTTGAACCAGGGAGGCGGAGGTTGCGGTGGGCCGAGATCGCACCATTGCACTCCAGCCTGGGCAACAAGAGCGAAACTCTGTCTCAGAAAAAAAAAAAAAAAAAAGGTAACCCTAAGCAGTGTTTTCTTTATCTATTTTCGGGGGAGGGTGTGGAGTTAAACCCTAAAATGTTTCCTAATAATCCCTGCCTCCTGGTATTCACGCCCTGATATAATCTCTTCCTCTTGAGTGTGGGCAGAACCTGTAACTTCTTCTTTTTTTTTTTTTTTTTTTTAATTCAGTCTTTGTAGACATGTCAAAAATTGCCATTGCCAACCTATGTTGTAAGTTGTCACTTTGGTGTATTGGGAAAATTTTCAATTATTTTAATAATCATGCCTCAGATAAACCTCATTGGCTAGGATACTGCCACTGGGCAAAGCTGTAACCTGTCTCTAACAGAATATGGCGAAGGAGACAGTATGTCACTTTCATGATTGTATTAGGTAAGACTACAGTGTCTGTCTTACTAGGAAACACTCTTCCTTGCTGTCTTAGTGAAACAAGCTGCTACATTGTGAGCTACTCTATATGAAGCAAGGAACTGAGTGCACCAGCAAAAACCAAGGCCCTCAGTCTGACAGTCTAGAAGGACTGAATGCCGCCAACCATCAGGTAAGCCTGAAACCCTCCCCAGTAGAGTGCTCAGATGAGAATACAGCCTGAGCCAACCCTTGGATTGTAAGCTTGCAGAGGACCAAGCTATGCTTGAACTCCTCACCCACAGAAACTGTGAGAAAACAAATGTGTTGTTTCAGCTACTGTATTTGTGGTAATACTGTCACACAGCAATAGATAATATAGAGGGGGATCAGCAGCCCACTCATTTTCTATATATACTTGAGTAATGTTTTATACTTTTCCTTTTATAGTAAGCATACACTATGTTTATACTTTAAAAAAAGTTTGTAAATTGTTTTCTGAAATTTGGCTTAGAAATAAATATCCTATTTAATATTTTGTGTACCCATTGCCAGTATCAGATGACCTCACAACTGGATGACTATGATTAGATTATGATGATGGTGATATTCCGTCTGGCTGGCAATGCTCAGTCTGGCATTCAAGGCCCACGTCACTCCAATAGTGGCATCTTGCTTCCAAACGCACCTCCCATTCATCCATAAGGAGGCCTCAGCTCCTGCTCCAGCAACTGCTTCATGCTCTCGCAGTTCACACCCCTGCTTGGCCTGTGCCCTCTTCCTGCCATTCCTCCCTGGCTCAGCCAAGTCTTCACTTCCATCCAGACCCAGCTCACTCCACAAACAGAAAGACATCCAGATGGCCCTGGCTCTCAGGGACCACATGCCATCAATTCCTGCCACAAATGACTATCTGCTCTACCTCATCATCAGCACTTAACATCTGCTCCTGGATCCTGTTATTTGTCACTTCTCCAGCCAGGGGAAAAGAGCCACTTCTCATTGTCATGTGTTCCCTCAGGACCAAGGCCCAACACAGTTGCTATTCTTGTCGGCAATCACGCCATGTGGCCCAGCAGTTTGATACCTTTTTGATATATATTTCACATAATATAATGAATAAAATATTTTTCATGTCTATGAAGGAATAATTTTTTCAGCTTGAAGCATCAAAAAGCAATCAAAGATTAGCGAAGGCCAGGCACAGTGGCTCACACCTGTAATCCCAACACTTTGGGAGGGTGAGGCAGGCGGATCACTTGAGGTCAAGAGTTCAAGACCAGCCTGGACCAGTCTCTACTAAAGCTACAAAAAAAAAGCTGGGCATGGTGGTGGGCACCTGTAATCCCAGCTATTTGGGAGGCTGAGGCAGGAGAATCACTTGAACCCAGGAGGCGGAGGTTGCAGTGAGCTGAGATCTCATCAGTGCACTCCAGCCTGGGCAACAGAGTGAGACTCTGTCTCAAAAAAAAAAAAAAAAAGTATTTACTGACATAATCTCAAGATTATAATTTTTTGGCATTAAAATAAATAATGATAGAAACAGATTATAACCCATAGAACGACATAAGAATCCATGAGCCCATGCAGATAAACAAACAAGGAAAGGAAGGAAAGAAGTGAGATTAAACCCCCCTAAGGCAGAATATAAACTAATACATGTTGAAAGAATGATGAAAGTTAGATATCACCATTTGGCAGCCATCACAGTAAAAATTGTTTCAGGCAAGAAATACCAGTAGATGCTAAAATAATGGGTGAAAGTTTGATGAGGAAATAAGATATTTACATAGTCTCAATGTTTCTCTCACAAGAAATGTATTCATTATAAAGGGGGTAATAACAGCTTTATAGTAGAAAAAGCTGGTAGATACTACCTTAGGTAAGTGATAAAAGTTAATGTCACCAGTAAATGGGACAAACAGGTTTTCATGTGCTTCCTGATAGAATGCACCTGAAAAGGTCACAACATCACTTACGTGGTATTTCTGTGGAAAGTGAATAACCCAAATCAAATTATGAGGATACATCAGAAAAACCCAAATTGAGGGATATCATATTCAGAAATGTAATGTCAAGGTCATAAAAGACAAAAACTGAAGATCTCATTTTTAAAAAGTAAAAAAAAAAAAAAAAAAAAAAAAAAAAAAAAAGCTTATTCCCCTGTCCCCCACTCCAGTAAAAAAAGTAGAAGACTGAAGGTCTGTTTCAGATTAAAGAAGACAAAAGAAATATGACAGCTGAATTCAACGTGTGTATCTGGATTGGATCTTGACCAGAAATAAAAAAAATTTACCCCCATTTTTTCCACAAAGAACATTATTAGAACAAATGGCAAAGTTTTTAAAAGGTGTTGATTTTGATTATATTGTGGGAATGAAAGAGGATGTCCTTGTTTTCAGGAAATACACACTGAAATATTCAGGGCTAAAGGTCTGCAATTTATTTTCAAACAATTCAAAAACTACATTAAAAAATCTGGGAGAGGGCTGGGCATGGTGGCTCATGCCTGTAATCCCAGTACTTTGGGAGGCCAAGGTGGGTAGATCACTTGAGGTCAGGAGTTCGAGACCAGCTTGACCAACATGGTGAAACTCCATCTCTACTAAAAGTACAAAAAAAATTAGCCAGGCGTGGTGGCGTGTGCCTGTAATTCCAGCTACTCGGGAGGCAGAGACAGGAGAATTGCTTGAACCCAGGAGGTGGAGGTTGCAGTGAGCCAAGATCTCATCACTGCACTCCAGCTTGGGCGAAAGAGTGAGAATCCATCTCAAAAAATGAAATAAAATAAAATCTGGGAGAGAATAATAAAGCTAACATGGTAAATTGCTAGCAATTGGGGAATCTATATTTTCCAACATAGGGAAAGGTATAAGGGAAATCTTTTTGCTATTTTTGCAACTTTTTTATAAATCTGAAATTATTTTTTGTCATTCTTTTAACCCATGCTACATAGATGTATAAGTCTAAATTATTTCAAAATAAAAACTTCCTAAAAATATATTCAGGAAAAAATATGCATCTACATACGTAGGAAAAATACTTTGAAGCCACAAATACTCAAGTGGAAGGAAAGGAACCACACCGACATATAGTCCTGGTGAACATTTCAAGGCTAGCCCCTGGAATGCAGATCTCTGCACTCAGCCCCCACAGAAATCACTGAGCACTCATTCCACAAGGTGGCAGAGCTGCCCCAAATGCCAGAGTTAGGTTGGAACAGCTAGCCCTAGACTAGATGTGTTGCCCTCCCAGCTCCTCCTCCTCCTGCTGCCCATGAGCCTCCTTCACACCAATTTCTCAGATTGTGACTCCATCTCGGTTTAAAAACGCAAGACTATGGCACCGACTCAGGAAAGCAACACTAAACAGTGACTAACGCAGCATCCCAGCTTCCAGGGACCTGGCTGGATGCTTCTGAAGATGGTCATGGTCCCGCCCTATTTCCGCTTACTTACGTTAATACATTCCTGGTGAATGAGTTCTCAACAACCTCCCTTTCCCCCAGCAATCTTTCTGGATCGTCCTGTACTCACACCACTAAACCTATGTTTCCAAAGAAACACCAGAAACACCATTCAGTTTCCAGATCAAGACATTTTCCACAACTCAAAGAATTCAAAAGGCACCACCCAGTCCTGGAGTACTGACATCACTTGTACCACACACCACCCTCCAAATCTAGCCACCCTACTAAGCCTCTTACTCTGAGTGTACACACTGCTTTAATGAGTGCCCCGAGAGCAGAAGTTTGCATCACATACTGTGCAATGCCCCTAAAGGCAGGGACTCTGTTCATTTCACTTGATTTATATAGCACCCAGCATCTTATCAGATGGAATTAGGCACTCAGCAGGAAAACAACAGTTACAGACTCTGGGCCAGACACACTGGCTCACACCTGTAATTCCAGCACTTTGGGAAGCCGAGGCAAGTGGATCGGTTGAGCTCAGGAGTTTGAGACCAGCCTGGGCAAAATGGCAAAACCCTGTCTCTACAAAAAATACAAAAATTAGCCAGGAGTGACGGCGAGTGCCTGTGGTCCCAATGATTTAGGAGGCTGAACAGTGGGGAGGATCACTGAAGCTCTGGAAGTCAACACTGCAGTGAGCCGTGACAGCGCCACTGCATTCCAGCCTGGATGACAGAGTGAGACCCTGTCTCAAACAAAAATTTAATTTAATTTTACCAACCTCTACAATACTGACCATTAGGAAGTGTGCCACTCTAGCTAACTCACTCCTTCATGCCAAATATTAGGCTCTTTGTCTGTAAAACAGGGAGAATTAATAGGGAAAAGTTAGAAAGAACTTAAATATCTTTCAGCAGGGGCTAGGTAAATAAATTATGGAACATCCATACAATGAAATAAATTATACGTAATTGTTTTTGTTTTTGTTTTTCCAGAGACAGGGTCTCACTCTGTTGTCAAGGCTGGAGTGCAGTGGTAGGATCATAGCTCACTGCAACACCGAATGCCTGGGCTTAGAGAGATCCTCCCATGTCAGCCTCCCGAGTAGCTGGGACTACAGGCGTGTGCCACAATGCCTAGCTAATTATATTCTTTTTCTTTTTTCTTTTTTTTTTTTTTTTGAGACAGAGTGTCGTTCTGTCACCCAGGCTGGAGTGCAATAACGTGATCTTGGCTCACTGCAACCTCCGCCTCCCACGCTCAAGCAATTCTCCTCTCTCAGCCTCCTGAGTAGCTGGGACTACAGGCACACACCACCGCACCTGGCTAAACTTTTGTATTTTTAGTAGAAACAGGGTTTTGCCATGTTGTCCAGGCTGGTCTCCAACTCCTGACCTCAGGTGATCTGCCTGCCTTGGCCTCCAAAAGTGCTGGGATTACAGACTTGAGCCACTGTGCCTGGCCTAATTATATGTAATTGTGAAAGAAGATAGGGCTGGGCATAGTGACTCACACCTCCAATCCCACCACTTTGGGAGGCCAAGGCGGAGGCCCAGAGTTCAAGACTAGCATGGTCAATATATCTAGACCCTGTCTCCACAAAAAATTTAAAAATTAGCCAGGCTTGGTGCCACATGTCTGTAGTCCTAGCTACTCAGCAGGCTGAGGTGGAAAGATGGCTTAAGCCCAGGAGGTTGAGGCTGCAGTGAGCTATGATCATGCCATTACACTCCAGCCTGGATGACAGAGCAAAACCCTTCTCAAACAAATAAATGAATGAATACATAAATAAATATTACCCATCACATTACTGATATGTTCCCAATGGATCTACTTGCTCTGGCTGGGGATAAAAAGTACTCAATAAAAGTGTGCTTGAACAAGGCCCAGAGGTAGGAGTGTAACAATACATATACCATGTAACCACCATGGAATGTAAATTCAGGTTAGACAAGAGAATTTCACAAGTGTAATAACATTCTATGGTATATAAAAGTTTGGGTACACTGTCTGGCCAAACCAGCTTGCTCTTAAGTCATTAATCAAAACCATTATGGGTAATTTGTTCAGTTTAATGTTTACAATTCTTATGGAAAAAATAAGCAATGAACACATTTAAAAAGTGTTCATTTACCTTTGCATGAGTGCTTAAAATAAATATTTCTATTTCAAGATGACATTTAAAAATTATTCTAATATAACAGCAGCAAAAATATAGTTTGCAATTACTAAAGAACTCAACTAGAATCCGTAAGTTATGCCTGCAGGATAGCAAGGAGGCCATGTGGCTGCAGCAGAATCAATAGGAAGGTGAGGCAACAGGTGGCCAGAAGAAGCTGGGCCCTGCAGGCCAGTGTATGGCCCTGAGGCCCTCATGACCAAATACTAACAGTAGTGGGCCATGGGACTATGGGAGACAAGAATGTTAGTTGAATTATCCTTGTATATTTCTGGAGTTCTTTTCAAATTTATGAATATTTTTTCAATTGCCCAAAAAAAGCATATAGAATAAAAACAAGATGACTGCCATAAATGGGGTGAAAGGCAAAAACTGATAAAGTCTGAAGAAGGTCCTGATTTTGAAAATTATACTGTGGTAATGTAGAAGAATGTCCTTGTCTTTAGGAAATATGGAATATTTTTTTCTTTTTCTTTTTTTTTTTTTTTTTAGACAGAGTCTTGCTCTGTCGCCCAGGCTGGAGTGCAGTGGTGCTATCTCAGCTCACTGCAACCTCCACCTCCTGGGTTCAAGCAATTCGCCCACCTCAGCCTCCCAAGTAGCTGGGATTACAGGCGCACACCACCATGCCCAGCTAATTAAATATGGGATTTTCTAAAAAGTACTTAGGGAGGCCGGGTGCGGTGGCTCACGCCTATAATCCCAGCACTTTGTGAGGCCAAGGTGGGTGGATCACCTGAGGTCAGGAGTTCAAGACTAGCCTGGCCAACATGGTGAAACCCAGCCTCTACTAAAAATACAAAAATTAGTCGGGCATGGTAGCACGTGCCTGTAATCCAAGCTACTCAGGAGGCTGAGGCAGGAGAATCTCTTAAACCCAGGAGGCGAAGGTTGCAGTGAGCAGAAATCGCACCACTACACTCCAGCCTGGGTGACAAGAGCGAGAAACTCCGTCTCAGAAAAAAAAAAAAAAAAAAAAAAGGTATTTAGAGATAAAGGTCTGGAACTTATTTTTAAACAATTCAGAAAAAGTACTTTCTAAAAAAAAATTTTTAATTTTTGTTTTCTTTGAGACAGAGTCTCGCTCTGTCATTTAGGCTGGAGTACAGTGGCACAATCTTGGCTCACTGCAATCTCCGCCTCCCGAGCTCAAGAGATTCTCCTGCCTCAGCCTCTCGAGTAGCTAGGACTACAAGCATGTGCCATCACGCCTGACTAATTTTTTTATTTTTGTAGAGAAAGGGTTTCACTATGTTGGCCAGGCTGGTCTCGAACTCCTGACCTCAAGTGATCTGCCCGCGTCAGCCTCCCAAAGTGCTGGAATTACAGGCATGAGCCACCGCATCCCATCTAGAAAAAGTACTTTAAAGAGTAGAATAATAAAGTAAATATGGTAAATTGCTAGCAATTGGGGAATTTGGTTAAAGGTATATTCTTTGTACCATTTTTTAACAACATTTTTAATAACAAATTATTTCAAAATAAAAACTTCTTTAAAATATATGCAGAAAAAATACCTTATGGCCACAAAATAGCTAAATGGAAGGAAAGCAATCCTGCCAACACAGGCTATCTCCCTATCCTGAAAATGAAGCATTTTTCAGTTTCTCAGTAAATTCCTCAAAGCAACCAACCTCAGTTTGGCAGCAACTTACCCCACCTTAACCCACTTCAGGAAGTCTGCAATTACCTCAAAACACATACCTGACAGTCTCAGAAATCGCCCTATGGTCATGCTGTGCTAGCTGCTTTGCCTCCATTTTCAAATGCCTAACTGCTGCCCATCCTTCAGGTTCCCGTGCAAGTACCGCCTTCTTCCATCCCTGCCGCTAAAGCACCAACCTAAGTATCACCTCTCCCCAAGAGGCAAATAGCAAATCCAAATAGCAGTTAATGAACACTAAGTCCAAGAGTGCCCACTCATCTTTGCATACGCAACAGTTAGCAGTCCTAGGCATATGGTAAAGGCTCAGTAAGTGAGTTGAAGTCAATTAATTTCTTTCTCTCTCTCCTTTCTCTTTCTCTCTTTCTTTCCTTCTTTCACAGGGTCTCACTCTGTCACAGCTCTGGAGCACAGTGTTGCCATGATCATGGCTTATTATAGCTTTGACCTCCTGGGCTCAATCGATTCTCCCACCTCAGCCTCACAAGTAGCTGGGATTACACGCACATGCCACCACACCCGGCTAATTTGGTTTTTTGGGGTTTTATTCTGTTTTGTTTTGGAGGGTTTTTTTTTTTTTTTTGGAGAGATGGGGTTTCACCATGTTGCCCAGGCTGGTCTTGAAGAGGTCAATTTGTTTTTTTGTTTTTTTTTTGACATGGCTCACTTACTTTAATAATAATACATATACCATGTAACCACCATGGAATGTAAATTCAGGTTAGACAGGAGAATTTCACAAGTGTAATAACATTCGATGGTATATAAAAGTTTGGGTACACTGTCTGGCCAAACCAGCTTGCTCTTAGGTCATTAATCAAAACTACTGTAGGTAATTTGTTCAGTTTAATGTTTACGATTGTTACAGAAAAAATAAGCAAAGCACACATTTAAACAGTGTTCATTTACCTTTGCATGAGTGCTTAAAATACATATTTCTATTTCAAGATGACATTCAAAAATTATTCTAATATAACAACAGCAAAAATATAATTTGCAATTACTAAAGAACTAAACTAGAATCCATAAGTTATTCTCATGTTTACAATTGTGATTCTTTAATAAATACTACCATTATGCAGCTGTATTGTAAGTTTTCCAGATTTGGTTTAAATACATGCACATATATATATTGTCAGTTGTGGGAAGCTTTACAAGTTATAGTCCATGCACTTTTTGGACAGAGTTCTAAAAGAGCCAGCCAGTCCACAAAACAGGCAAAAAAAAAGTTAAATTAACTAGGGCAAATAGGACTCTTCTATAACATCCAAAATATGTGAGATTCTGCAGCAAACTGGGAGTACTTCAGGGTTGGCCTGTTATCTTCCTTAGAACTAAGTTCATCTTAACAATTTAAGAAGGTGGACATTCAACACCATCAAGTGCATTTAGGTGACATGTTTCTTTTAAGTTAACTTGACTTCCTTGAATGACCTAGTTAGTAAACTAGTCACTAGTAATTCAGTCAACAGGCAAATCAAGCCTGCAAGAAAGGAAGCCAATATTCAAAATGCCGTGTTACCATCTAAACCCATACAAATTAGTTTATTTTCAACAATAATACGTAACTTCAATAATGAGACGTCTAACTAAAACAAGCTCCTCCTACAAGAGCAAGACAGCGTCTCTTCTTCTAAGGCTTAGGTTTTGCCCAGAATTCTCGATACATGATATAACAACAGTCATTGCTCCTACAACAAAGCCTTGGGCTGCCACACCCATGTGGATCAGATGAAGGGACATTTTAGTATTTCCCCTGCTCTTCAATTTGTATAATCCATATGCAACAATTGCTGCAAAACCTTCTATTCCAACAAGTACGAATGGTGCCTCTTTAGCTTTTTGAATAAGTTTGGATCCCTGATCTTCATCATATGAATTCAGAAAGGGAAACATCTGTGTTTGTCGACATAGTGATTGCTTAAACAATCTCCCTAGAGCAAGAAAATCTCGCACACGCCAACCTGAAGAGGTCCATTTCTATGTAGCAGGCACACATTTTCACTGTCATTCTTCTCTCTATTCTCATAGTTTCATTCTAAGTTTGTCATGACATCATCTTACTTTCTTGTATCATAGGTATCTGAAGTCTCATCCATTCGTCTGGACAGAAAGACCTGGAAGGGCCTAGAACAGATGTCGCATTCATCTCTCTAACCCCCAGAATAATGAATTCTCTATCAGTTTCCATCACAATACATACTTGATGATATGAAAAACCATAGACACACACAATTTCCCAAACTAAAATGGCTGTAGATCTATGACTCTCCTGCTCAAGAAACCATAGAGAACACAAATTCATTAAAGCTAAAATACTATAGGCATTACACTAAATCTTAACTGGTTAATTTAAAAGTAAATAATTTGCAAAAACTATTATAGTCATCATGCTAAATCTTAACTAGTTAATTTATAAGTAAATCATCTGTTAATTTTTGATACTTCAGTGACAATTCATTCGTTTTATAACTAACAACAAACACAGCAAGATTTCATGGGTTAGAATCACTGATCTGGATCCTGTGGCAAAGTGTCCCACTTCTACCAGGTATTTAGTAAAAAGAACTTAACTGAATGGACCTGTACTTCTATTTGTTTTTCTCTCTTGTTTATTCTGTGCTTCTTGTAGAGTATCAACCAATGAGACAGCTTAGAATAGGGTCTGAGGCTGAAGCAGGAGATCACTTGAGACCAGGAGTTAGAGGCTGCAGTGACCTAAGATCATACCACTGTACTACAGCGTGGGCAAAAGAGTGAGACTCCACCTTCAAAAAAAAAAAAAAGAAAGTGGGAGGCTGAGACAGGAGAATCACTTGAACCTGGGAGGCGGAGGTTGCAGTGAGCCGAAATCACACCACTGCACTCCAGCCTAGGCAACACAGTGAGACTGTCTCAAAAATAAAAAATAAAAATAAAAAAAGAAAAAAAAGAAAAGAAAGAAAAGAATAGGGTCTGGCATTGGCACTTACTAGGCACTTGCTAAATATTTGCAGCAGCCCATTTTCAGATAATAATATGACCTCCAAACTTTTTTTTTTTTTTTGAGATGGAGTCTCACTCTTTTTTTTTTTTTTTTTTTTTTTTGAGATGGAGTCTCTCAGGCTGGAGAGCAGTGGCACGATCTCGGCAAACTGCAACCTCTTCCTCCCAGGTTCAAGCAATTCTCCTGCCTCAGCCTCCCAAGTATCCAGGATTACAGGCGCCCACCACCATGCCCAGCAAATTTTTGTATCTTTTTTTTTTTTTTTTTTTTTTTTGAGACAGAGTCTCACTCTGTCGCCCAGGCTGGAGTGCAGTGGCATGATCTAGGCTCACTGCAAGCTCCGCCTCCCAGGTTTACGCCATTCTCCTGCCTCAGCCTCCCAAGTAGCTGGGACTACAGGCGCCAGCCACCACGCCCGGCCAATTTTTTTGTATTTTTAGTAGAGACGGGGTTTCACCGTGTTAGACAGGATGGTCTTGATCTCCTGACCTTGTGATCCGCCTGCCTCGGCCTCCCAAAGTGCTGGGATTACAGGCATGAGACACTGCGCCCGGCCAAATTTTTGTATCTTTAGTAGAGATGGGGTTTCACCATGTTGGCCAGGCTGGTCTCTAACTCCTGACGTCAGGTGATCTGCCCGTCTTGGCCTCCCAAAGTGCTAGAATTACAGGCGTGAGCCACCACGCCCAGCCTGAGACCTCTAAACTTCTAGGGGAATTACTAACTTCTGTTTTACTGCATAAATGAATGCTTGCCCAATTACAACAGTCACAACTGCATTCGTCTCTGGCTTTTTAATTTTTTTATTTTTGAGATAGAGTCTCGCTCTGTCACCTAAGCTGGGTGCAGGGGCGCAATCTCGGCTCACTGCAACCTCCACCTCCCAGGTTCAAGCAACTCTCCTGCCTCAGCCTCCCGAGTAGCTAGGATTACAGGCGCCTGCCACCATACCCGGCTAATTTTTGTATTTTTGGTAGAGATGGGGTTTCACCATGTTGGCCAGGCTGGTCTCGAACTCCTGACCTCAAGTGATCTGCCCACCTCGGCCTCCCAAAGTCCTGGGATTACAGGCATGAGCCACCAGGCCCGGCCATCTCTTCTGGCTTTTAAGTCACTAAAGCAAAAAGCAAATACCTCATTCAAAAAAAAAAATACAGTAATGGGTTCCATGCTATATTTATTCCTCTTGGCTCAAGCTCAAAGTAATTTGACCTCCACCCTTACTATTAACCCTCTTGGAAAATAGATAAGTGCTTCAATCAGTTGCAATGGTTTCAAAATTATTCCCTTAGAAAGGCTACTGTGAGACCTTTGTAAGGATGCAGACGACGACATGAAATCTCATCATCATCCTTTTCCCCTAGACTCACCTGTCCCACCCTTACTATACTTGATTCTGTCCTCTCCACAATCCAGAAACATAATTAGGTTAGCTAACACAAGACAGAAATTATGTATGTGTATATTTTGGGAAAAAGTATAGCCCAAGACCCCATAAAATACGTAAACTTTACAAAAGGCACTGGAGTTAGCTTCTAATCTAGTCTCCTCACTTATATGCATGGCGTGTTTCCTAGTGGTGTAGGAACAATTAACTACAAATTTCAAGTGACGTCTAACATACCACTACCCTTAAGACAACATAATTAAAAGCTTAGTCTGCTGAGTCACAGGGGATGTGGCTGTCATCTAGAGTTCTCCCTGCCAAGACAGACAACTAAATTCCGAGATTAAATTTCCACCTCATTTACATATGAACTTTAGTAATTTGCCCCACATGTCAGAAGAGCAGGCTGGGAAGAAAAGAGCCCTGACACTAAGAGGAGGAGTAGCAAAAAAAGGAAGATCCCTTGCCCCGACAAGCCCTCGAGGCTGAAGCACAACACTATGGACGAAGCTAGACAGAGAACTAAGAGAACAGCCGCCGAGATGAGCTAGGAATGAATACTTCGGTACTCTTTTAATTTTTTTTTTTTCTTTTTTGAGATGGAATCTCACTCTGTCACCCAGGCTGGAGTGCAGTGGTGCGATCTCAACTCACTGCAACCTCTGCCTTCTGGGTTTAAGCAATTCTCCTGTCTCAATCTCCAGAGTAGCTGGGACTACAGGCGTGCGCCACCAAGCCCAGCAAATTTTTGTATTTTTAGTAGAGACGGGGTTTCACCATGTTGGCCAGGCTGGTCTCGAATTCCTGACCTCAAATGATCTGCCCGCCTAGGCATCCGAGAGTGCTGGGATTACAGGCGTGAGCCACCACCCCTGGCCAATTTTTTAAAATATTTTAGGAGATAGGGTCTTCCTCTGTCACCCAGGCTGGCAGTGGTACAATCACAGCTCAAGGCAGCCTCGACCTCCCTGGTTCAAGTGATCCTCCCACCTCCGCCTCCCAAGTAGCTGGGACTATAGGCATGAACCATCATGCCAGGCTAATTTTTTTATTTTTTGAAGAGGGAGGGTCTCACTATGTTGATGCAAGGCCTTCAATATAGCGAGTCTTGAACTCCTGGCCTCAAGTGACCCTCCAGTCTCAACCTCCCAGAGTGCTGAGATTCACTATTTTCAAACAGCTGCTCTACTACATTTATGTTAACTATATAGCATCTGGCCAAGAAAAAAAAAAACTATTCAAAAAAAAATTTTTTAAGTTATCCAAATAAAAAGTAGACAATTCTATAGACACACAGTCTTATTTGTTTGTTTTTTAACTAAAAGTTGAGAAAAGAAAAAAAATTAGCTGGACATGGTGGCACACGCCTGTAGTCCCAGCTACTCAAGTGACTGAGACAGGAGGATCACTTGAGCCCAGGAGGTCCAGGCTGCTCTGAGCTGTGATTGTGCCACTGCACTCCAGCCTGGGAAACAGAGTGAGACTCTATCTTTAAAAAAAAAAAGTCAAGTTTTAACAAAAACCAGAAGAATTTGTCATCAGGAACCTATAAGAAAATCTGAAGGAAATTCTTCATGCTGAAAAGAAATCTTCGAAGAAATAAAGAACATTGGAAATAGGCATGTGTAAATATGACTGTCGCTTTTTGCCTTATCGTCTTTAACATACATAATTGTGTAAAGCAAAACTTATAATACTACATTATGAAATTTATAGCAGGCCAGGTGTGGTGGCTCACGCCTATAATCACAGTACTTTGGGAAGTCAAGGCGGGTAGATCACTTGACGTCAGGAGTTCCAGACCAGCTTGACCAACATGGTGAAACCCCATCTCTACTAAAAATACAAAAAAAATTTAGCCAGGCGTGGTGGCACATGCCTGTAATCCCAGCTACTTGGGAGGCTGAGGCAGGAGAATCACTTGAATCTGGGAAGTGGAGGTTGCAGTGAGCCAAGATCGTGCCATTGCACTCCACCTGGGCAACAAGAGTGAAATGCCATCTCAAAAAAATATGTAAATAAAAAATTTTTTAAAAAGGAATTTATAGCATATACAGATATAATTCATGTGACAACTACAACATGGGGGAGGTTAATGGAACATTTTTACATAAAGTGGTTAAATATTAACTCTAAGTGAACTGTGAGAAGTTAAGGATGTATACCATAATCCATAGAGTAACCTCTTTCAAAATGCTAGAAATACAGCTAAAAGCTAACAGATGAATTAAAATGAAATTCTTAAAAAATCAGTTAACCTAAAAAACAAGAAACAAAACAACAAAACACAAATAATATAAACAGACAACCAGCCTGGCCAACATGGTGAAACCCCGTCTCTACTAAAAAATACAAAAATTAGCCGATTGTGGTGGTGGGTGCCTATAATCCCAGCTACTCAGGAGGCTGAAGCAGATGAATCGCTTCAACCCGGGAGGCAGACGTTGCAGTGAGCAGAAATCGCACCACTGCACTCCAGCCTGGGCGATAGAGCAAGACTCTGTCTTAAAAAAAAAAAAAAAAAAAACAAAAAAACAGACAAAACACAGCCAAATGTTAGCCTAAAAACCAACCATATCAACAATTACATTTAGGCCAGAAATAGTGGCTCACACCTGTAATCCTAGCACTTTGGGAGGCCGAGGTGGGCAGATCACCTGTGGTCAGGAGTTCGAGGCCAACCTGGTCAACACGGAGAGACCCTGTCTCTACTAAAAATACAAAAATTAGCTGGGCGTGGTGGCACACTCCTGTAATCCCAGCTACTCGGGAGGCTGAGACATGAGAGTTGCTTGAACCCAGGAGGCAGAGGTTGAAGTGAGTGGAGATCAACCACTGCACTCCAGCCTGTGTGACAAAGCAAGATTCTGTCTCAAAAAAAAAAAAAATTATAAATGTGTATGCATCTAAAAGATCTTCAAAATACACAAAGCAAAAATGACAAAATTAAAGGGAGAAATGAACAAATCCACAATAACAGAGATTTTAACAACCTAACAACCTTCTCTTAGAAATTGACAGAACTAGACCAAAAGGAAAAAAACCCCACAAAAATCAATTTATCAGAGAAACACCATCAACTACCTTGATCTAACTGACAGATACAGAACAAACACATGACAACGGTAAAATACACATTCTTTTCAAGTGCATATGAAACATTCACCAGGACAGATCATATGCTGGACCATAAATTAAATCGCAACAAATATAAAAAGATTGAAATCCTACAGAGTATGTTCTCTGACCACAGTAAAACTATATTAGAAATCAATAGCAATAAGGTATCTACAAAAACATAAAATACTTCAAACTGAAACAACATACTTCTAAGTAACCCATGGTCAACAAATAAATCACAAGATATATTAAATTGAACAAAAATAAAAACACAACGTATCAAAATGTGTAGGATGCTGCTAAAGCAGTTCTCAGTGGGAAATGTATAATTTCATTATTTATTTATTTATTTAGACTGAGTCTCGCTCTGCTGCCCAGGCTGGAGTGCAATGGCATGATCTTGGCTCACCGCAACCTCCGCCTCCTGGGTTCAAGCAATTCTCCTGCCTCAGCTTCCCGAGTAGCTGGGACTACAGGTGCCTGCCACCATGCCCAGCTAATTTTTGTATTTTTAGTAGAGTCGGGGTTTCACCATGCTGGCCAGGCTGGTCTCGAACTCTCCACCTCAGGCAATCCACCCACCTCGGCCTCCCAAAGTGCTGGGATTACAGGCATGAGCCATCGCGCCCAGCCAGAAATTTATAACTTTAAATACTCATATTAGGAAGAAAGATCTTTTCACCAGGTAATGAAAAAAAAAAGGAAGAAAGATCTAAAATCAATTAGGTAAAGTTCTAGAAAAAATTGAAGGAAGAAAGCAAGATCAAAACAGAAATCAATTATATTTTTAAAAATAAACAATAGAGAAAATTGAAGTAAAAAGTTAGTTCTTTGAAAACAAAATAGATAAAGCCCTAGTCATACTAAGAGAGGGAACACAAATTATCAAAATCAGAAATGAAAGGAGCATAACATTAAAATGATAAGGGAATATTAATAAAAGGTGAAAAACAACAACAGAAAAGTCATTTTTTTTTTTTTAGTTCACAAAGCATAAGCAAAAGTGTATATAAAAAGAGGATTAATTTAACTCTAAATATGAACCTTCCACAGTCGAAATCTCTTGTAATTCCACAAGGGGAGAAGTCGGTTCTGTTTTCATCGTGTTTTCTCCCATTGATGGGCAGTTCAACTCCAAGCCTGCAGCCCCGGATCCATCCCCAAAGGAGTGGCAAGTCAGTGCAGATGAGACCTGGCCAGCTTCCAAAGCAGACTTCAACTGACCTAGAAGAAAAAAAGAAAGTTTGGGGGAAATATACATGTATGTAATTCTGAAATCAAAAGTCCTACAACAGTCTAAGAAAGCCAGGGACTTTTTAGAGGAAGGAATTAATCTAAAACATAAAAGCATACATTCACAGGTTCCCATACATACAGGCTGGCTTGTGAGCTTCTCAAAGAAAGAGGTTAAAGTGAAAGGAAAAATAGCTGGAAGTATAAACACAAAGGCACGAATGAGATGGCAGCAGAGAGAGAGAAGCAGGGCTCTTCGAACAGTGTACCTCCAGGCCAACACTGAACGGTAGATAAGCAAAACCAACCACAAATGCATCCAGAAAGTATGTCTATTGAATAAATCATCAGTGAAGAGCAATACATTATAAAAACACTGCAGCACATTCAATAGTTTGATTTCAAGACAATTTAATACTTGTGGAAGGCAGAACATAATGATTTACATTGATTCTCACTAAATAGGAACCAGGTTGGCAAGACAATTCCTGAACAGACTGACTCACCTTCTTCAGATTCCTTGGTACTAGACAACGTGTCTTGCAAAGGATCCGTATCAACCAAATCTGATACAACCAAGTCAGGATCTAGGATCTCATGGGTCCCATTAGTGGACAGCCTGGAGGAACGTCTCCTCGATAAGTCTTTGTCAGTGTTTTCCGAGTAGTTTTTTGACTTTTCCTGGGCTATTAAACCATTAAGAGAGTTGTAGTCAAGAGACCAACAAGAAGAAATAACTGTGCTACTACAGATTTCAGGGCTGGATGTCTCTAAAAGGACTTTACAGAGAGACTACTGGAATGTTAGAGTAGTGATAAAAGGAAATACCCTTTACTAGTTTACAGTTTTAAGTAAGGGAAAAGTGTCCCTGCCAGGATAGAATTTCACTTCTTTAAGGATTCATGGTCTGAAAACATGTGCTAGGTCATGTCCGAATCTTGACAACTATGTTCTATTTTGGGGCTTCCCAAATGTACTAACTTGCAAAGTCGACTTAAAAAGGTTTATAAGAGCCTTACTTAGAGCTATCACAAATCCTTTTTGGAGCCAACAGGATACTATTTTATTTTAAATTTATTTAAACATTTGAGCCAACTCACTCCAGAGGGTATTTTTTTAAATCAATAAATAGTATTTTATTTTGTATTTTTATTTTTTATAGGACAGAGTCTCACTCTATCACCCAGGCTGGAGGGCAGTGGCACAGTCTTGGCTCACTGCAACCTCTGCCTCCCAAGTTCAAACAATTCTCCTGCCTCAGCCTCCCAAGTAGCTGGGATTACAGGCACCCGCCACCACACCCGGCTAATTTTTTTTTTTTTTTTTTTTTTTTTTTTGAGACGGAGTCTCGCTCTCTCGCCCAGGCTGGAGTGCAGTGGCGCGATCTCGGCTCACTGCTAGCTCCGCCTCCCGGGTTCATGCCATTCTTCTGCCTCAGCCTCCTGAATAGCTGGGACTACAGGTGCCTGCCACAACACCCGGCTAATTTTTTATATTTTTAGTAGAGATGGGGTTTCACCATGTTAGCCAAGATGGTCTCAATCTCCCGTCCTCATGATCTGCCCACCTCAGCCTCCCAAAGTGCTGGGATTACAGGCGTGAGCTACCGCGCCTGGCCACACCCGGCTAATTTTTATATTTTTAGTAAAGATAGGGTTTCACCATGTTGGCCAGGCTGTTCTCAAACTCCTGACCTCAGATGATCCACCCACCTCAGCCTCCCAAACTGCTGGGATTACAGGCATGAGCCACTGCGCCAGGCCAATAAGTAGTATTTTTAAAGTTTCACTCTGCATATGAAACCCATCCCTTCCTAAGCCATTAAATTTCCAGTGGCATCCAAATCAAATGTGATTTATGGATATGGAGATGATACCACAGAACCCAACATTAGTACAGTTTGTGCTTTGGGATTTATTTTTCTTCTAGCAAAAACTCCTTCTGATCCAACTGCATCCAACTCACATTACCTCATGTGACCAGAGACAAACATTAGAGCCTATAGGGAATGGGGGACAGGATGAATATAGAGGAAGTTGACCCAAACAACGTCAAATTCTAGCCACACATAAACAAACTGTAGACTCACATGAATTTTTGTCAAGCCGAGGACGTTTTAATGGGACTTCACATCCTTTTGATATTTTCCTTCTTCTCAGTTCCAATGTTATTGGTTGCAAAGTTTGAGAGTTTGAATCCACAGCTACCATGTTTATAAAACCACACAAAAAAAGATACATAATTTCTTAGTGTCTGTCATTTTTATATATAAATAAAACATATATACATATATATATGCAGAAATCACTGCATTATAAATGGGCCATCAAAAGGGCATTCTTACTTAAGATAAAAGAAAAAAAGTAAAATGAGTGAGAAATTACTTCCTTACAGGAGATGGTGATACCTTGCCAATTGACCTCCTGAATCTTTTCTATGATCCAGCTCCAGTTTTCAACCTCTACTTGCTACATTAATTATCTTAGCACTGGGCCTAGTTTTGAGGGTACAAGAAAAATGTCCAAGAGAATTTGTGGATTTTTTTTTTTTGAGATGGAGTCTCGCTCTGTCACCCAAGCTGGAGTGCAGTGCCGCGATCTCTGCTCACTGCAACCTCCGCCTCCCAGGTGCAAACGATTCTCCTGCCTCAGCCTCCGGAGTAGGTGGGATTACAGGCACCCGACACCACACCCGGCTAATTTTTGTAATTTTAGTAGAGTCACGGTTTCCCCATGTTGGTCAGGCTGGTCTCAAATTCCTGACCTCAAGTGATCCAGCTGCCTCGTCCTCCCAAAGTTCTGGGATTACAAGCATGAGCCATGAGACCCAGCCGAGAATTTGTATTTTCTTAAACAAAATCCTAAAAAAATTCTTGGGAGACTATGCTAGTTAACAGTCAATGTTTCAGGCAAGGCTGCTGGTCCCCAGCAAACCCAGCTCTGACATAATTTAGCAGTACAGACGCTAAGCCTTTGAAGAGTACTTACTATTTAGATTTTGTTTGCTTGCTTGCTTGCTTGCTTGCTTGTTTTTTTGAGATGAAGTCTGGGTCTGTTGCCCAGGCTAGAGTGCAGTGGCACGATCTCGGCTCACTGCTACCTCTGCCTCCTGGGTTCAAGTGATTGTCCTGCCTCAGCCTTCCCTGTAGCTGGGATTACAGGCACCTGCCATACCTAGCAAAATTTTTTTTTTTTTGTATTTTTAATAGAGATGGGGTTTCACCATGTTGGCCAGGCTGGTCTTGAACTCCTGACATCAAGTGATCTGCCCGCCTCAGCCTCCCAAAGTGCTGAGATTACAGGTGTGAGCCACCTGCCCAGCATAGTATTTACTATTAACTTTTTTTTGAGATAGAGTTTTGCTCTCGTTGCCCAGGCTGGACTGCAATGGTGCGATCTCAGCTCACCGCAAGCTCTGCCTCCCGGGTTCAAGTGATTCTCCTGCCTCAGCCTCCCAAGTAGCTGGGATTACAGGCATGCGCCACCACACCTGGCTAATTTTGTATCTTTAGTAGAGACAGGGTTTCTCCATGTTGGTCAGGCTGTTCTCGAACTCCTGACCTCAGGTGATCTGCCTGCCTTGACCTCCCAAAGTGCTGAGATTACAGGCGTGAGCCACCATGCCCAGCCCTTACTATTTTGTTTTAAACCTACCACCTAAGAAGCTTACCCCAAATCAGAAAAGATGAGAATTGAAAAGGCAGGCAGAAGAAAGAAACTGGGAAGTTGGGCAGGAAGGCAGAGCTAAGGGGTCTCAGGAAGGGTGAAAGGAGGAGAGAGAAGAGGAAGGAGGAAAGGAAGAGGGAAGAAGAGAAGTAAATGGGAGGAAAAGAGGAAGGGAAGGGAGAAAGATGAGAAGAGGGGAAGAGGGACAGAAAAGACTCATCTAAGACCTGTAGCTTCAGGTCGGTCAAATGGCTCAACAAGACACGGCCTGAAGTGTGAGGAAGCAAACCAGAGAAGACTGTTGAACTCTGAGGCTCTTCCTGTGTTCCAACTTCCCAATGGGCCAATATTATTTTGTTCCAACTGGCAGAACTTGGAAATCCCACACATTCCAAGTTAAACATAAATACAAACAGGCTGGGTGTGGTGGCTCACGCCTGTAATCCCAGCACTTTGGGAGGCAGAGACAGGCAGATCACTTGAGCTCAGGAGTTCAAGACTAGCATAGCCAACATGGTGAAACCCTGTCTCTACTAAACATACAAAAAATTAGCCAGGCATGGTGGCACATGCCTGTAGTCCCAGCTACTTGGGAGGCTGAGGCACAAGAATCACTTGAACCCAGGAGGCGGTGGTTACAATGAGCCGAGATCATGCCACTGCACTCCAGCCTGGGAGACAGAGTAAGACTCCATCTCAAAAAAATAAAAATTAAAATATATATAAACAACCCTCTCTAAATAGCTCAGATCCTGTTCCCAATCAAGTCTATACAATCTAGGGTGCTCAAGGAAGGCTCTACAAATCAATGAACTTATTCCAAGTAATGTTTTAAGGGGATGTGAACAATATATGGGATACTTGGCAAGTCTTCTTCCCTTTGATACCGTATATAAATAGGAGCTGACTGTACAGAACTTGAGTGTTTCCCAAACTCTTCTTACAGTATAAGTCATCTGGGAAGCTTGTTAACAATTCATATTCCCAGATTCCCATCCAGACAGTCTGACTGGAAAAGAACTGAGGCATGGCTGGAATCTGTTTTCACAAATGCCTTGGGCAAGGATTAACCATAAACTTAGAAAACATCCCTTCTATATTAAATTTATCCTACTCATTATGAAATCCTACACTTATAAAAATATAAAAACTGAATGTCCTTGTTCTTATCTCAATGGAGTCATGTGGCTTCAAAGGAGCAGTCTGCTTGTTGGGGTACAACTACTTCTGTACATACCTTCTGGAGGGTATAAGCCAGGGCATGAATACCTAAAGGAGAATTAGTTTCAAAACACTCAATTCTCATACATACTCTTTCCTAAACTGAGCTAAGGACATGTCAGATTTCTGCCTAAGGACATGTCAGATTTCTGCCAGTTTACATTTTCCACCTCTCCTTGTATAATAACTGCCTTTAACTGCCCTTCTCCCACTTTACATAAAAGGGCCTGCCTCTCACTCATCCCACATCTTAACATGGTGCTCAGCCTGGAGGTTTAAAACTTCCAGATTTTCTCAACTGGGGTTCCCCATCTGAACAGAGATATATTTTCTCTGTTTTCCTAAGGGTGGTATACAGCTAGTACCATTCTCAATGCACTAAGGTCAATCCATCACAGATCAAGGATGCCTTGGGTATTGTGGCTTCTCTCCCAAAACTCAGTTGAGAAAGCCAGTGAACATAAAGTCAGTGCTGTCCAACAGAAATATACTAAGAGTGCAAGCCACATGTAATTTTATTTTATTTTATTATTTTTTGTTTTTTTGAGATGGAGTCTCGCTCTGTCACCCAAGCTGGAGAGCAGTGGTGCGATATCGGCTCACTGTAACCTCTGCCTCCTGGGTTCAAGAGATTCTCCTGCCTCAGCCTCCCAAGTAGGTGGGATTACAGGTGCATGCCACCACGCTCATCTAATTTTTGTGTTGTTAGTAGAGATGGGGGTTTCACCATGTTGGCCAGGCTGGTCTCGAACTCCTGACCTCAGGTGACCCACCCATGTTGGTCTCCCAGAATGCTGGGATTACAGGCATGAACCACCATGCCCGGCCAATTTTTGTATTTTTAGTGGAGACGGGATTTCACCATGTTGGCCAGCCTGGTCTCAAATTCCTGAGCCACCACGCCTGGCCAATTTTGAATTTTTTACTCATCACATAAGAGGGTTTGGTTTTTAAGTGCCAGGCATGGTGGCTCATGCCTGTAATCTCAGCACTTTCAGAGGCCAAGGCAGGATTGCTTGCTTGAGGCCCAGAGATTGAGACAAACCTGGGCAACATAGTGAAACCCTGTCTCTACAAGAAATAAATTAGCTGGGCATGGTGGCATGTGCCTGTAGTCCCAGCTACTCAGGAGGCTGAGATAGGAGCATCGCTTGAGCCTAGGAGGTGGAGAATGGAGTGAGCCACAATCACGCCACTGCACTCCAGCCTAGGTAACAGAGTGAGACCCTGTCAAAAAAAAAAAAAAAAAAAAAAAAACACAACTTAAAAAGTTAATTTAAATACTATTTTATTTAATCCAGTACTTTAAAAAAAATTTTTTTTTTAAACTGGGCTCAGCAACCTTCCTGCCTCAGACTCTGGAATCGCTGGGACTACAAGCACGTGCCACCACTCTCAGCCAATTTTTTCATTTTTTGTAGAGATGAGGTCTCACTATGTTGCCAAGGCTGGTCTCGAACTTCTGGACTCAAGTGATCCTCCCTCATCAGCCTCCCAAAGTGCTGGCATGATTACAGGGATGAGGCACTGCACCCAGCCTCTAAAAACATTTCAACATGGAATCAATTTTTTTTTGTTTTGTCGCCCAAGCTGGAATGCAGTGGCCCGATCTCAGCTCACTGCAACCTCCGCCTCCTGGGTTTCAAGCAATTCTCTTGCCTCAGCCTCCTGAGTAGCTGGGATTACAGGCACCCACCACCAAGCCTGGCTAATTTGTCTTTATATTTTTTCAGTAGAGACGGGGTTTCACCATGTTGGCCAGGCTGGTCTCAAACTCCTAACCTCAAGTAATCCACCCGCCTGGACCTCCCAAACCACTGAGATTACAGGCCCAGCCGTAATCAGTATTTTAAAATCGAGGTGTGTTACATTCTTTTTTTGAACTAAGTATTTGAAATCTAGCATTTACTTACACTTACAGCATATCTCAATTCAGACTAGCTACATTTCAAGTAGTCAATAGCCCCATGCAGCTAGTGGCTACCATACTAGACAGCAGAGGTCTAGGCCCTATTTAGGCCTACAGACAATTGCAGCACCCTCAGCTCTTGAGGGCAAAACCCAGTTACAAGCACTACAGGGAAAGATCCCTTATTTCATATAGAGACAAATCAACCTATTATATAATTTCCTATCTTACAATGAGTACTAATACACTTATGTGAAGTAAGTTAAATTTTTTTCCACAGAAATTAAGTCTGATAGTCTGATTTGATAAGGAAGACTGGCTTTGCATTCTCTACATCGTTAGGGAATAATGAAAAGGTTTGCTCTGTAGTTCCACAGTTTTGATGAAAATATTTGTGTGTGTGTGTGTGTGTGTGTGTGTGTGTGTGTGTGTGTGTGTTTTGAGATGGGGTGTCACTACATTGTCCAGGCTGGTTTGGAATTCTTGGGCTCAAGCAATCCTCCCACCTCAGCCTCCTGAGTAGCTGGGACAACAAACATGCACCAACGCACTCAGCCTTCATGTTTTGTATTTTAAATGTATCCACTGCAGCTATTTAAACTTGTGAGAAAAAGATAAATACTGCTTTAAAACGTGCTAGGGGATTCACAGTTTTTCAACTGAACACATAAAGAATGCACAATCAAGAATGTCTGAAGGTCACTGCACATATTAATCAATGGCAGGCTCAGTCCAGAGAACCGGGGGGGCCTCTTCATGCCATTGAATTGATTTGGAGAACGAGTGTTTGGCTTAGGAAGAAATCAGGGCTTGTTTCATTCTTGGTTATTCTAGAAGAATTCCAAATTTTAAGTTTTTTAATAACTGCATTCTTCCCTAAATCTATACCCTCTAACCTTGACTCTTACCAATTAGCCATCTCGGCTTTTTATTTAGACTGTGAAAATTTCTAATCAATAATCACTCTCCAAGGAGCTCAATTTCAAAATGCACCCATGCTTTTCTAGTTTCAATGTTCCTTTGTCCCCATCTCCTTCAGAAGCCCATACCTTTTTACTATTACTTTTCTTTCATGTCTGTCTCATTAAAACTCTATTTCCTGATTCTAGATTCTATTAAGCTGACTTAAACTGAGATCATTTGAAAAAGCATAAGCAAAAGGCCTCGGTTTATCAGGTTTTATCATATAAGCTGAAGTATCTAGTCAACAGTTAACCACTACTTTAGCAAACTCAGTTATGAACATGCTTCCCAACTTAGATTCACTTGGATATGTACCTCACTTAAATTCAGCTTCATGAACACAACTTGTTTCCAGATCATAAGACAATTCAAAATCAGTCACAAAAATAAACGATTGACGTACACAAGTTACAAAGAACCACAAAGGGCCACAGAAGAATACTCTGGCATTGCCCATTGCAGAGCCCACTTAAAAAACTCACCAGTAGGAGCTATGGAAGGGGGTCTGCCTCGTTTTCTTTTGGGTTCCCTCAAGTTTTCTTGTGGACTCTTCACAATGTCATTTTCAGGTTTCTTATCCACTTGGGCATCTCCAGAATACTCTCTGTCATTTTCGGAAATGTTTTCCTTGTCTTCCTTCTCGTTCTTGGGAAGACTTTTCTCTGACACTTTCCCCTTTTCAGAACAGATTAACTTTCCTTCTTTATCAGGCTGCTTGGGTCGCTTTTCTGTCTTTAAGGGTTTATCTTCTTTGTCTTTCTTCACATTCACTGTTGCTTTTCTCTGTTCTTTAAACTTCTCTCGTTTATCAGGAGATGATGAAAGACTTTTGTGATCTGTTTCTTTAGGCCTAGCATTACCCACAATATTCTAAAATGAGCAAAATAGCGATGAAACACTTCGTGATTACTTGCAAATACAAAATTAGGAGTTTCTTACAAACTTATGAAGACAAACAAAGAAATTAAAACAAGACATACGCCAGATCACATATACAAAGCACCACTGACAACAGCCACCTGTACTGAGTTGAGAACCAATCCTTAAACTTAAAACAATTCAATTATTCCGGAGACAGTGCAATCTCCCTTATTATGACGAATAAGTCACTAGAAAATAAAATTCTGGGTTTTTGTTTGTTTTTGTTTCTGAGACAGAGTCTCTCTCTGTTGCCCAGGCTGGAATGCAGTGGCACAATCATGGCTCATGCAGCCTCGACCTCCCAGGCCCAAGCGATCCTCCCATCTCAGCCTTCTGAGTAGCTGGGACCACAGGCATGTTTCACCACACCCAGCTAAGTTTTTTATTGTTATTTTTTGTAGCAATAGGGTCTCCCTATGTTGCCCAGGCTGGTCTCAAACTCCTGGGCTCAAGCAATCCTCCTGCCTCAGCCTCCTAAAGTATTGGGATTGTAGGCATGAGTCACCATGCCTGGCCTTAAAATTCTGGAAAGCAATCTTTCTGACAAAGGTGTTCGAAGAAAATGCCTTCATGCTCTGTCCTTATCCCCAGCATGACTATACTGACCCAGAGCTTTTCAGAGGCCTGGTTCAGTTTGCCAGCAAATGCTGATGTCTTGTCTATAGAAAAACAAAAACTGATAACTGGAAGCTTAACAGGAAAACTATAAAGATTATCCAACCCAGAACCAGGGTCTCTGCTTTCTCTATCAGGTAAAGGCTGTGCTCAGTTCAACAAGCCACCTACTATGTTCCTGAGCTACTTGGAGTTTTTGTCTATTGGTAGGAAATACCGCTTCTTAGTTATGTTCTCCCTAAATTACATTCTTTAAAATTCACACTAAAAATCGAGGGTCCTCTATTGTGACTGTTTCATAATAAGGCCAGGTCTGAAAGCTCTAGAGATTCCAAAACTATAATTAAGTTTATTTGTGTACATATCTCTCTTCTAGGACCTCAAAAGAGCAGAGACCACCATACTATGTTCATATGGGATGCCCAGCACCTAGCACACACTAGGCACATAGGTTTTCACTGGAAGCAGGAAGGAGTACCTAAATACTCAACAAATAAAAGTTTAATTTGTTCTACAGGGAAAAATAATAAACAAGGAAATATTTTTTCAAGTCCCCCAAACTATTCTGAAAGCAGCCAGGTTTGAGAACAGGCATTCTCGGTAACAGCCAGCAGAAATATAAACTGAAATTGCCCTTCTTGTTGGGAGTTCAGGGAGGAGATGGCAATTTGAGTCAAAACTAAAAAGGTTATACCTTTGAACTAGAATAAATTCCTAGAAATAAAATTAGCTAAAATAATAATCAGACTTGTGTACCTGGATTTACAAATATCCTTAATGACCATTTGGGAATTGGTTACACAAAGTAGTTACATACATATTACAGAATACTACATAGCTGTTAAAAATTATATTCTCAGAATATTAAGGAACATGGGGAAATGTTAGTTAAAAGAGCAGTACTATATTAATGTACCACAACTCCAATTTTGAAAATAAATAAATACACACACGTACGTTTAATAAAAAACACAGAAAGATGTATACATCAAATTGTTAAGTCAAGTTACACACCAAAACGTTAAGAACAATGATATCTGTTTGATGGAATTATAGTTTTTATTTTCTTTGTGCTTTGTACTTATATATTTTTCTACAGTAAACGTATTATAACTTCAAAAACATAAGTGTTACTAATATAGAGACTATCAAAACATTTATAAGGCAGTGCAGTCCTACAGAAAAAAAAAAAAAACTCAATCTATTCCAATAGTATACGAAAAACCTTTGAAATTGCCCATGACAGATAACTCTAGCCAAACCACTGTACCCTCTTGGAAAAGAAGCCAAGTCCAGGAGCCTTGGGCCTGTGCTTAAGGGCCTACCGGGCTAAGGTCAGACACTCAGAGGCCATTGGGAAATGAGAAATGAAGCATGGCACCCAGAAATCCTCACTGGGTAAGGCACCCACCTCCAAGCCAAAGCACTGTGAGTGCTATCCATCAATTTACTGAGTATCGCAGAGTAAACAGATGAACAATTGTTATCTAGAGCCCTGGACTTCCACTTGGGAAGGTTCTGGATATAACCTGCCAATTCTGGACAAGTTTATAATTCTGTCCTCTATATTAACTCGTTCTACAAACCTAACACAAAAATTGCCAAATTTAAGGCCAAAATAATGTTTTAGAGTACTGTATGGCTCCTTACATGCCAGAGAGACAAGTGAACAAAGAAAAAGCATCATCAGGGCCAAAGCTTTATGTAATAATTTTGTTAATTTTCTGAAAAGGAAAACCAGCAAAAGGCAAAAACATTCTTGAGGTTACCACTAAAGGTATCATGTATCAAAATCCTTTGAATCGGCTGGGCATGGTGGCTCATGCCCTGTAATCTCAGCACTTTGGGAGGCCAAGGTAGGCAGATCACCCGAGGTCAGGACTTCAAGACCAGCCTGGCCAACATGGTGAAACCCCCATCTCTATTAAAAATACAAAAATTAGCTGGGCATAGTGGTGCATGCCTGTAGTCCCGGCTACTCAGGAGGCTGAGGAAGGAGAATTGCTTGAACCCGGGAGGTGGAGTTTACAGTGAGCCTAGATTGCATCACTGTACTCCAGCCTAGGCTACAGAGTGAGACTCCATCTCAAAAAAAAAAAAAAAAAAAAATTTCTTAGAAACTTATGAATAGGCCAGACATGGTGGCCCACACCTGTAATCCCAGCACTTTAGGAGTCCAAGGTGGGCGGATCACTTGAGGTCAGGAGTTCAGGACCACCCTGGCCAACATGGTGAAACCCCGTCTACTAAAAATACAAAAATTAGCCAGGCGTAGTGGCACATGCCTGTAATCCCAGCAAATCAGAAGGCTGAGACGAGAATCACTTTAACTTGGGAGGCGGAGTTTGCACTGAGCAGAGATTGGGCCACTGCACTTCAGTCTGGGTGACAGACAGAGACTCGGTCTCAAAAAAAACACAACTTACAAATATACATACAGAAGAATTCATTAAAAATCTCTGATAAGTAGAATCATTTCATCATCACAAAGACACAACAGAGGGCCAGGCGCAATGGCTCATGCCTGTAATCCTAGCATTTTGGGAGGCCGAGGTGGGCAGATTGCCTGAACTCAGGAGTTTGAGACCAGCCTGGACAACGTGGTGAAACCCTGTCTCTACCAAAATACAAAAAATGAGCCGGGCGTGGTGGCACGCGCCTAGTCTCAGCTACTTGGGAGGCTGAGGCAGGAGAATCACTTGAACTGGGGAGGCGGGGAAGTTGCAGTGGGCCAAGATTGCGCCACTGCACACCAGCCCAGGCAACAGAACAAGACTCTGTCTCCAAAAAAAAAAAAACCAAAAACCAAAGACACAACAGGTTATAGCATCACCAAATATTGTCACATCAACTACTATCCAAGCAGATGAGTAGCAAGTTATGATGCCTCAGTGATAAAATCTTTTACTAAATTGCTAAATTAGCTGTCTCAACAGCTGAAATTAGTAATAATCAGGATTTTTAAAAAGACTAATATCCAAATTTTGATCTCTATTTTCCCCTCAACTATTAAAACATAAACACGAAAAAGACAAAAGGGGAAAAATCATGAAGAAAGTAGGCAACACTTCTAGATGGCCCGTATCTATGCAAACCATATTTCCAGTACCAAAACTGAGGCCCCATGCTCAGGCAAGTACATGCATGGTGACTGGAACAACAGGATACCAAAATCACAAACCAGGCACATCTAGCACAAGTGGCTGCCAAATCTGTGCCAAATGATAGCTCTGTAAACCACCAAGTAATGGTCCTAAGCTAAAAGACAGAGCTAGATGGACAGAAAACATACTGGAGGTCTCCTCAAGCAATTCAACAAGTTTCCTGTATGGCTAACAGCTCTTGTGGGGCGCAGGGCACAGAGAGAAGAAAAGAATAACCATTGTTGAAAAAAGATTAGGAGAACAGAATATAGGCAATGGTATCCAAGCATTTGGCACTTTTGAAAAAAAATCTCTGTTAAAAGGAAACAGTGGCCAGACACAGTGGCTCACACCTGTAATCCCAGCACCTTGGGAGGCCAAGGCAGGTGGATCACCTGAGGTCAGGAGTTCGAGACCAGCCTGACCAATACGGTGAAACCCCGTCTCTACTAAAAATACAAAAAAATTAGCCAGGCATGGTGGCGTGCGCCTATAATCCCAGCAACTCAGGAGGCTGAGACAGGAGAATTGCTTGAACCCAGGAGGTAGAGGTTGCAGTGAGCCAAGATCGCACCATTGTACTCCAGCCTGGGCGACAGAGCGGGACTCTGTTTCTAAATAAACAAATAAATAAATAGGAAACAGCAAAGAGACAAATATTTACAACTTCTGAAAACTTGTGTATTATTTTCTGGTGAAATTGTGTCAGATGGAGGAAATAAACACTTGCTATCATAAACAAATGTAATGTCTTTATTTGAGGAAACAAAACTACAATGTTAGCATTATTCATAACACAAAGCACAAAACCACATTTCTCACCTGATCTTTGGAAAAAGCTTTGACATGAATATGTTTGACAGTCTGAACTACTCCATCATAAAATTTCACAGTGTAAGTACCTAAAATTCAAGAAGATATCATGATTTTAACTCACAATTTCATGAAAAGTGGTAACTTTTCAAAGTATAAACACAAGGGATCTCCAACCACATAATAAGCTTATAGGAGTTTAAAACTGTTTAAGAATCATATTCAGTCTTACTTATGTCCAAGATAACAGTATGCTTATCTTCATTTCTTAGTTAAGATTAGTTTTCTACCTACGTAAATTGAAATCCATCAAAAAAATAAACTTGTTTTTAGATGCTTCATTAAAATAAAAAAAATTTCACTGAATTTAAGTGAAGAACAAAGAGCAGTAAAACAATTAAGAAAGTGAGTAAAATGCAGACTTATTTATTCCTTGGTGAATTTTTCACTTTTATAATTTAATCTTTACGTTCCGGGATCGGGGGCAGTAATAGCTCTCAAGTTTTAAAAGGAACATCATGGCTCACGCCTGTAATCCCAGCACTTTGGGAGGCCGAGGCAGGCGGATGACAAGGTCAGGAGTTCGAGACCAGCCTGGCCAACATAGTGAAACCTGTCTCTACTAAAAATACAAAAAATTAGCCGCGCTTGGTGGCAGGCACCTGTAATCCCAGCTACTCGGGAGGCTGAGGCAGGAGAATCACTTGAACTGAGGAGGCGGAGGTTGCAGTGAGCCAAGATCCTGCCATCGCACTCCACTCCAGGCTAGGCAACAGAGCAAGACTCCTTCTCCAAAAAAAAAACAAAAAAAAAAAAAAAAAAAAAAAAGGAACATCATTCAGCTAAAGGTATTGTGTTTCAAGAGATGTGTTCTATTTCCACAACTCAAAATCCATTTGAATTATGTTCATGATACAATGTTCTAAAATAGAGACTTGGTCAAAACACAAAATGTTTGCTGCTACATTGTTAGTTTTTTTCTGCTACACTGTTAGTTTTTTCCCATTAGAAAAAAATTATTCAATAAAGATCCGTCCCTGCTAAAAACCTTAAGCTGGAAACCCAGATAATCTTATCTTCCCAAATAAGGTGTCCAACTACAGAAGTTCTCATTAGTTGTACCCAAACAACACTTTCAAATTTTGCATCTTAGAGCCAATTCATGCCCCACCCATTTTTGCCCCAGGGATTTAAAATAATCACAATTAATCTTGTCAAGATTCAGTAAACCATTGGTAATCACGTAATGGTTTCCACTAGTAAACAGGTTTTTCTCTTTTTAGAACCAATTCCCCCACCCCCTGCAAAAAACCCTGAGGCCTGGGAGCCGAAGAATGCAACAACAAAGTTAAGACCTGGTTTTCTCCTTCTGATACATTCTCTTCCCACACCCCTCCACCGCCAGTCCTCAACAGGGCCTAGTCAATGGCTAATCACGGGTACCAAATGAAGTCCAAAAGTATTCAACCTCCAACACAATCTGACCCCAATAATTTTCCAAACCTTATTTCCCATTACCACCATCCAATACCCACCAACTCAAAGTGACAAGCTACCCACTGAAACTGCCAGCGACACTTCTAACTCCACATCTGTATTAAAAGTGTTTTCCTTCTGGGAATGTGCCACTCACTGATCTTTAAGTGCCTGGCTCAAATACCCACAACAGTTCTGTAAAAGCTTCCGGGCTTTTCAGCTACTAATGATTACCCCCGATCTGAACTTCTTAGGCTCATTTGGCACCAGCCTACAGAGCTTCAAACTTAGGTCTACCTTCATATAAGTACAGATCACAACTCAAAAGCAGGCTCTTCAAGGCCAGAGACCATAACTTATACCACTTTCTTCCACACACAGTACCTGCCTCAGAGTAAACCAGTGCTTCTCAAAGTGTGGTCCCACAGCAGCAGCATGAGCAACTCCTGGGAACTCATTAGAAATGCAAGTTACCAGTCCCACCTCAGATACACTGAAACAGCAACTGGGAACAGGGCACAGGAATGTGCATTTTTAACAACTCCTCCAGGTGATTCTGATGTACACCAAAGTCCAAGAACCACTGCCATAGACAATTAGTAATTACCTACTGACCTTTATTCCTGGTAATTACAAAATAAAGGTGATTATTTGTCACAGGTGTCACCAATACATGACGAAACTAGCTAGCAAGACATAGACAAACTTTGATGTTCTCACCTATTTGTAGGAGCTAAAAATTAAAACAATTGAACTTACGGAGATAGAGAGTAGAGGGAGGGTTACCAGAGGCTAGGAAGGGTAGTAGGCAGGGGTGGGGGAACGTGTCGATGGTTAAGGGGTACAAAAAAGTTAGAAAGAATGAGTAAGATCTAGTATTTGCTAGCACAACAGGGTGACTATAGTCAAAAATAATTGTACATTTTAAAATAACTTGGCCAGGTGTGATGGCTCACGCCTGTAATCCCAGCACTTTGGGAGACCGAGGCGGGTGAATCACTTGAGGTCAGGAGTTCAAGACCTGTCTGGCCAACATGGTGAAACCCTGTCTCTACTGAAAAAATGCAAAAAACATTAGCCAGGTATGGTGGTGGGCACCTGCAATCCCAGCTACTCAGGAGGCTGAGGCAAGAGAATCGCCTGAACCCAGGAAGTGGAGGTTGCAGTGAGCCAAGATCACACCACTGCACTCCAGACTGGGTGACAGAATGAAACTCTGCCTAAAAAAAATAAAAAATAAAAATAAAATAACTACATAATTGGATTGTTTGTAACAAAGGATAAATGCTTGGCGTGATATATACCCCCATTTACCCTGATGTGATTATTACACATTGCATACCTGTATCAAGATATCTCATGTAACTCATAAATACATACACCCACTTATGTACCCACAAAAATTAAAAATTTTTAAAAAAATTAAAAATATAAAAAAAAGAAACTGGCTAGCAAACAAGATATAAAGATACATAGTTATGCCTGGTTGGGTTAAAACATCAGCAATTAGATGACAACAACAATTAGATGAACAGGCTATGATAAAAGGATAAGAACATAAAAGGATAAGAGCATAAACAATTATCTACACAGGCAGCTCAGCAATGACTTATGAGTACTTACAACAAAGGTCTGGGTTCCTGTTTTTACCTGCCTATATTGTCAGGGTGTTGGCAAGCAAAGCAGTTATGATAAACAATGCTATGGAATTCTAAACAGAACCCTCTCAAGCAACCATGGTGCAACTCTGGCAAGTCTGGGGACGGAGATGGGGGGATGGGAGTTTTAAGACTCCAGTTATCTTGAAATCTTAAATATTATGTGTGCCAACAAACCACCCAAGACTCTACTTTCAACTATTTTATCAACAAAGTTAGTTCAGGATCAGTTACATCAAAATGAAAACTGCCATTTTTACAGGCATTTCCAACATCCAAAAGTCAATATTGAGTAATGTTACCTAACAGTCCAACATTTTCAGCTACTTGGAGTTAATTTTGAAGCTTACTCCTGATGGCAGATTCCAGAAGGAGGACTTACATAAAAGGAACCTGAGTTCCATGATTAAGTCTGAGACAGCTATCTTTGGAATCCAAGCCTGTCTACTGACCTCCAACCAATTTTTTCCCACCACCCCGCACTGCCTATTGCTCAAGCTCCTCAGTCTAATTCCAAACCACAGACCCATTTCAGAGTGCTGAAATGACCCAAACTATGGCCAAAGGTGCTAAGGGATGACCGTCCTTAGATATATCTCGGTCTTTGATCCTTTTAACTTCCAAAGGACTACAAAGGATCATCTTGAAACTTTCATGCTAAACACAGCCTAACTTGGGCTTCAATAAATCAGACAGAATAATGGACAACAGAGAGGCCCACATTTTACTCAGATGGTTTCATGTATATTACTAAAAGATTGTCTTCACATGGAATCCTCCCGTAGGTAGCTAATAATAGAGTTCTCCTGTGGCCACAAACACTACCTAACAAACAACATGTAAATGAAGGAACTCAAAATAAGTGTATCCTGTTCCATCTCCTCTAACGTGACAGAAGGGCTACCTGCCTCAGACTCCCTCAAGGAGTTTTTGTCCTTAGACTTTAAGATGAAACAAAGATTCCTGGTCTTGCCCCTCTGAGGGTTAAGGACTCAGCATTGCAGACAATCTTATAGCAGTCAGTAACACTAAAAGGGTTCTAAGAACAAAACTGAGATGCATAACAAGCTCATGTTCTCTAGGACCAAAGACATAGGGATAATACATGGGTGATTTTGGATTGGACAGATTTCTGTTGCTCATGAAATCTACCACAGCCAATATTCCAGGGCCTCTTTTTTTCTTAGAAACAGGGTCTTCATCGGCCGGGCATGGTGGCTCACGCCTGTAATCCCAGCACTTTGGGAGGTGGAGGCGGGCGGATCACTTGAGGTCAGGAGTTCAAGACCAGTCTGGCCAATGTGGTGAAACCCCATCTCTACAAAAATACAAAAATTAGCTGGGCATGATGGTGAGTGCCTGTAATCCCAGCTACTCGGGAGGCTGAGGCAGAAGAATCACTCGAACCTGGGAGGCAGAGGTTGTAGTGATCTGACATCGCGCCACTGCACTCCAGCCTGGGCAACAGAGCAAGACTCCATCTCAAAAAAAAAAAAAAAGAAAGAAATAGGGTCTTCGTCACCCATCCTGGAGTGTAGTGGTACGAACCTAGCTCACTGCAGCCTCAAACTCCTGGGCTCAAGCAATCCTACTGTCTCTGCCTCACAAGTGGCTGGGACTACAGGCATGCACCAACATGTCCAGCCAATTTTTTATTTTTTAGTTTTTTGTAGAGATAGCGGGGCATTGGGGTCTATGTTACCCAGGCTGGTCTCAAACTCCCAGCCTCAAACAATCCTGCCTCCTCAACTTCCAAAAGCACTGGAATTACAGATGTGTGCCATCCTGCCCAGCGTCCAGGGCTTCTTTTCTATCTCATTCACTCTTCGGAAGTCAGATTATTCCAGAATGCCACAGATGGAAAACGGAGGGTTTTCAAACATGTTTTCTCAGGCTGGTCTGAAAGTAGTGAGTTATCTCAATTGATGGTTCACAGTTAGTTACAGATCGAACTTGTTGTTCTACTCTTTCCTTTCTTCTCACAACTGCTTTCAACTAGTCTTTTCTTTTTTTTTCTTTCTTTTTTTTTTTTTTTTGAGACGAGTCTTGCTCTGTTGCCCAGGCTGGAGTGCAGTGGCTCGACCTTGGCTCACTGCAACCTCCGCCTCCTGGATTCAAGTGATTCTCCTGCCTCAGCCTCCCGAGTAGCTGAGATTACAGGTGCGCGCCACCAAGCCCAGCTACTTTTTGTATTTTTAGTAGAGACGGGTTTCACCATGTTGGACAGGCTGGTCTTGAACTCCTGACCTCAGGTGATCCACCTGCCTCGACCTCCAAAAGTGCTGGGATTACAGGCGTCAGCCACCACGCCTGGACTGGCCCTTTTTAGAAAAAAAAAAAAAGGAAAAAAAGATTAGTCAGGTCGGGCACGGTGGCTCACGCCTGTAATTCCAATACTTTGGGAGACCGACGCGGGTGGATCATGAGGTCAGGAGTTCAAGACCAGCCTAACCAACACGGTGAAACCCCGTCTCTACTAAAAATGCAAATATTAGCCAGGCGTGGTGGCACACACCTGTAATCCCAGCTACTCGGGAGGCTGACACAGGAGAATCACTTGAACCCAGGAGGCGGAGGTTGCAGTGAGCTGAGATCGAGCCACTGCACTCCAGCATGGGCAACAGAGGGAGACTCCGTCTCAAAAAAAAAAAAAAGTTTTCTTGAAGTCCTTAGGCTTCCACAGATTGAGGGGTGGGGATGTGCATATGTTTGTGGGCATGCCTTCCCCTCCCTCTAAGTATTTTCTTCTTAGCAATTTTACATTTTGGGTTTAGGTTCTGTGGCCAATACAACACTCATCTATTCCCACTCCCTCTTTGACTTCTAACTGCTCAAAAGAGTCCAGAGCAAAGGCAGTGAACCGCCCATAATCACTGAGCAGGAGCTGGGACCAGACCCTGTCTCCCAACCATGGTTCTCAAGACAACACCGGCTCCAGAAAGTGCAGACCACTACATCCACTCTCGCATTCTATCAGTGAACACCTGGACCTAATTGACAACACCTGCCCTCTTAGGAAAACCCTGCTCCAAAGAGGCAGCCTGGTACTGTGGGAACGACAGTTTAGGGACTCTGTAGAACCACAGACCTCCATGCAGATCTCAGCTCTACCATCCAAGCGCTTTATAACCTCAAGCAGTTTCCCCCTGTGAGCTTAGTTCCTCATCTGCAAAATAAGAATGGGGTTAATGGCAATAACCTTTCCATGTTTGTGTAAAGACTAAATACGATAAGATATGGAAACAACCTAGCACAGGGCCTGTCACAGACCAAGGGATCAATACCACCAAGTCACCCTAAAAGGGAAGCACAGCACATTGACATCTTTTTTTTTTTTTTGGAGACGGAGTCTCGCTCTGTCACCCAGGCTAGAGTGCAGTATGGTGCAATCTCAGCTCACTGCAACTTCTGCCTCCTGAGTTCAAGCGATTCTTCTGTCTCAGCCTCCCGAGTAGCTGGGACTACAGGCACATGCTACCACGCCAGGTTAATTTTTCTATTTTTAGTAGATACTAGGTTTCACCATGCTGGCCAGGCTGGTCTTGAACTCCTGACCTCAGGTAATCCGCTGCCCCGGCCCCTCAAAGTGCTGGGATTACAGGCATAAGCCACTGCGCCTGGCCAGACATTGACATCGTTAAAGGCTATCTAGGCAAAAAAAAAGGGGCGGGGTGGGGGTTGGGGGGGAAGCACAATCCCTCTTCCCCCAATAGAAGAAAACAGCCAAGCTAGCACCTGCACGTGTGGGCCTAAATCTTCCTTTTCTCTTTCTACAAAGCTGTTCACACAGTATCAGCCTCCCCACATTTCAAATGTAGAATCAGTTACAGCATGAAGAAAACAAAAAATAAGAGCTGCTTCAGCCAGAGACTCTAGAAACAAGATCATTTCCATAGCATCTCCTGTTATAAATGCAGACTTCAGTCACTGCCCCAGAGACTGAACTGGCAGGGTAGGTAGGGGACATGACCCAAAAATATGCATATTTTTTAGGAAGAAGGAGCTGATTTACCTGCTCATTCAAGTTAAAGAACCACAGATCAACAGAAAGGACCAATTCCCCATTTTGTCATAAATGCTAACCTACACAGTAGTTTCCTTAAAGAAAATCACTTACAGAGCAGAGTTGTACACTACTGGGGGCAAAAAGCCCTGACAGACAACTGACTCTGCTAATCCTTGTGTGAAAAAAAGGGGAGATTCGGGAGGCTGAGGCGGGTGGATCATTTGAGGTCAGGAGTTCCAGACCAGCCTGGCCAATACAGTGAAACTCTGTCTCTCCTACAAATGCAAAAATTAAAGCAGCAGCTTCATTGCTGCAGTTCTATCTTCACCTTCACGATGTTTCCCTTGGTCAAAAACAAACTCAGTCATCTCCAAGTTCGAAGCATTCAGCAAACAATGGCAAGGCAGAGCCACCAGAAACATACACCTGATTTTCATAACAAATATGGTAATACTGTATTAGCTAGTGGACCCACTTTCTGTATTGCTATGTGGACATATATAACAACACAAATTGGAATAGAATGGAACCCATCCCCTGTTGGCAGAGTCACCCCCCAAAATGGAGAGAACAGTAATCATACCAGCTGATGTAATAATGAATTGTTTAAAAAACAGCTCATAGAGACTCCGTCTCAAAAAAAAAAAAAAAAAAAAAAAAAAAAACAGCTCATAATTGATGCCAAGTTAAAGCACTGTGTACCCATTAAGATATGGCATTAATGAAGAAATAAAGTACATTTGAAACCTTAAAAATATATATATATATATAAATTAGCCAGGTGTGGTGTGGCATGTGCCTGTAGTCCCAGCTGCTCAGGAGGCTGAGGCAGGAGAATTGCTTGAACCCAGGAGGTGGAGGTTGCAGTGAGCAGAGATTGTGCCACTGCACTCCAGCCTGGACAACAGAGCAAGATTCTGTCACCAAAAAAAAAAAAAAAAAAAAAAAAAAAAACGGAGGGGGAAGCTAAGCAGCCCCAGCAAAGAGGTGAGGTCAGCTCACCAGAGATGGCTTCCAAACAAAGATTCCCTGAAAGTAGAAACCCATCTTTTACTGTCTTTTGTAACAACACAGACTGAGGGTCTAACAAGGCTACCAACTGCCGCTGCCTTCGTACTAAATAATGCTTAATCTCCACTGCTGAAGAACCACTCCAGGTGAAAAAAGCTAAATAATATGGCATTATATGCCCTATTTTCCGAGTGCTAACAGACTTCCTTAAGAAACTAAAGTTGTTATTTAGTTCTGATTCAATCATGCCAGACTCCTCAGTGCCAGCAGCTGCCACTTCCACACTCTGGCTACAGTCCCCACCCACCAGCCTGCTCAACACTCAGCTTTAGCAAAACATCCAAGGAGATTAAGAGTGGCAAGAAAATCAGACCAAGCCTTCTAAAGATAAATCTACAAGGCATGACTTCACTATATCCCCTGCCTCCTCCTGGCAGCACCAACAAGACATAAGTGACATTTACAGGAAATAAAGGGGCCGCCTTGCCGGCAGAGCTTCTCCTCGCAGGGCCATTAAGCTGGTGGCCACTGCTACGAATGAACCTGAGGCACAGCAGAAAATACCAAGGAAAGAGTGAAAAGAGAGACTAGCATTGTCGCTCCCAATCCCACAAGTAATCCCACAGTGAATCGTGATGAAGCACAAACTGACCATCAGCTCTAATCCAAACCTAATCATTTTTGAAATCATTATTTCAAAGAGTTTCTGATCCATCCCACACACAAACACAAAACCTTATAGAGACAGGTGCCTACCATGATTAACCTGCACCATCCTGCCCTGCCTCCTCCTGGTAGCTCTATTTCAGCACCTACTTCATTCTACTTTGAAGCAGGTCTTCTTTTGTTTTACTTCATGATGCCAAGCTCTGGGCTCTGCAGGTATTAGATCTAAACAGTAGATTACTAAGCCTTCATTGCCTCCACCAAGACACCTTCCCACCCCTCTTAGAGGCATTAATTATCTTCATCTCTGAATCAGACATAGATCTGAGCTCCTACAAAGGCTAGCTTTCCTTCACAATCTGGGTGGCCAATAGTACTACCCAGCCTGCCCCACTAACTTTCTGTTTCAGGATTGCCCCTCTCCCATATCCTCTCCTCCCTCTTCCAGTTAGTCCCAAAAACCAGTCAATGTGTCAGCATAATACAGGACTTCAGACCCAAGAACCTCAGGACAACAGGTTTTGGCAGAAATTTCCATTCATTTTCATGTCCTTCAATTAACTAAATTTCACTGGACAGAATATGGAGCTTCAGAAACAAGATATTAGCGTTGCAAATGACCATTTTAGGAACTATCATAGCCTCGAGACTCTCCCTCCTATAATTTTAGCTTATGGAGGAAGCACAACTGAAAAGACTTTTTTTTTTTTTTTTTAAGAGACAGAGTCTCGTTCTGCTGCCCAGGCTGGAGTACAATGACACTATCATAGCTTGCTGTAGCCTCAAACTCCTGGGCTCAAGGGATCTTCCCACCTCAGCCATGCGAGTAGCTAGGACTACAGGAACATGTCACCACACTCATCTAATTTTTTTTTCATAGTGAGATGAGGTCTCACTATGTTGCCCAGGCTGGTCTCAAATTCCTGGCCTCAAGTGATCCTCCCACGAGAGCCTCCCAAACTGCTGGGATTACAGGCAAGAACCATCGTGTTTGGCCTGAAAAATACTTTTCTAAAAAGTTGCGGCTGGGCATGGTGGCTCACGCTTATAATCCCAAAACTTTGGGAGGCCGAGGTGGGTGGATCACATGAGACCAGCCTGGCCAACATAGCGAAACCCCGTCTCTACTAAAAATACAAAATTTAGCTGACCGTGGTGCACGTTGGTAATCCCAGCTACTCGGGAGGCTGAGGCAGGAGAATCGCTTGAACTCAGGAGATGGAGGTTGCAGTGAGCTGAGCTGGCACCACTGCACTCCAGCCTGGGCAACAGAGCAAGACTCTGTCCCAAAAAAGAACAAGAAAAAAAAAATCATTCTCAGACAAAACTTGGTCAGCCTGAGGCCCAGCAGTTAGCAGAGTATTAATAAATATCTGAATAACTTCATCAAATGAAAAGTCAGGCTGGCCTAATAGTCAACCCTACAGTGGCATCAAGAGGCCTGACTTCCCTAAACACTCACTTCAGAGATCATGGAGACCACACACACCCTAGTGGAATGTGCTTACAATGGTATCACTGGGACCCAGACTCTATTCTCCAGGTGCCAGGATCCTGACCGTACATATTATCCTCATAACTCTTTGTCTGCCCTTTTACTAGCAAAATTGAGCCTCTATTAGTCAAGTTCCCCATCCTGTCTCTTCACATGTTCAACTCTGGCAAATGAAACCCAACTCAGTGCTCTAAATTCCGGCATCCCAGTTTCCACTAGCAACTCCAATGTTACAGACCACCCTCAGTCACCTTGCATCTAGAAAGCACATTTTTTAAAGTTTGTTAGTGTTCATTTAATTTCTAAGCTATTCACAAATATTCAGGACTATGTCATCAATTATATTAGGAACTCCTAGACAGCAAGTACCTGCATACTTCCAGGCAGAGTGACAGATGAACTGTGACTGTTTTAGAAAACAATGACTGAAATTCAGGGGGTAAAAAGTCAAACTATCTTTTTTGTCCAGTTTTCTTTACACTTATAATTTCTACCCAACTCCTGACATAGTGATTAACTTGAATAAAGCGGATACCTAGGCAGTAAATAAATACTGAAAATATACTATCAAGCTCTGATATTACAAACATCCCCCCCCACCACCTAAGTCATGAGTAAAAACAACTACAACTCAAATGCCTTACCATCCTTGTTAACAGCAGTGACTTTGGCCGGGTAAAAACGACAATCAGACCAGCAAGCAAGGACCTGCTCATTTATTTGAAATTCCTAAAAAACATAAAAAAAAAAAAAAGATCCTGTTACCAACCTAATTTCACAGGACATACAGGACATACCAGATCTCATAAAAGAAGCTGGGATTGATAAGAAAGTGTGAAGGGAAAGTAGCTGTTGAGATGGAGGAAGATATTTCTGTTGTTCAACACTAGGAGTTGCTATAATTTCGGTGTCATTTGTCCTCACCAAAAGTAAACGTTTTCAGTGCAGCAGTGTTGAAAATGGGGCCTATGAGAGGTGTTTGGGTCATGGTAGCAGATCCCTCATGAATAGATTAATGCTGTCTCACAGGAGTGACTTCTCGCTCTCCTGGGAATGGATTCATTCCCAAGAAAGCAAGTTGTTACAAAGCAAGTCTCCTTCTGTTTGGTCCCTCTCTTCACACTTGTCTCCCTTTTTGACCTTCCACCATGTATGACACAGCATGAAAGCTGATGCCAGAAGCCAGTACCATGCACTTGAACTTCCCAGCCTGCAGAATTGTGAGCTAAACAAACCTCTTTTCTTTATAAATTACCTAGTCTCAGGTATTCTATTATAGCAACACAGAAAAGACTAAGACAGGAGTCAAAACAAAAGGGCTGGGACACAAGACCTCAATAAGCCCAAGAGGTCTGGGCAGGCACAGAACAGCACTGATGATAATTCCACCCTAACCAGCATACATTCTGAAAATGAGTCTAAGAGGCCAGGACTACTAGAATACACATCCAGTATAGGAGTCAGAAGATATGAGGCTACTTCATACTCAGGGAAGCAGCATTTAATGCCATCTACACTTCTAAAGGGTCTTTTGCCAGGGAAAGCAACCATTCACCTTTAATATTTTATACTCTTTTCCCAGCACACAGTTTGCACTGATAAATTTTGTACAATGGGCCAGGTGCAGTGGCTCACACCTGTAATCCCAGCACTCTGGGAGGTCAAGGTGGGCAGATCACCTGAGATCAGCCTGGCCAACATGGTGAAACCCCGTCTCTACTAAAAATACAAAAATTAGCCTGTGTGGTGGCGGCCACCTGTAATCCCAGCTTCTCGATGGCTGAGGCAGGAGAATCACTTGAACCCAGGAGGTGGAGGTTGCAGTGAGCCGAGATTGCGCCATTGCACTCCAGGCTGGGTGATACAGTGAGACTCTGTCTCAAAAAAAAAAAAAAATTTGTAGAATGAACACTGAAAAGTCAAATGGAACAATACTGAATAATCCTTAATTGGGAAAAAGAAAAAAAAGGCCAGCAATAGTTCAAGTTCCCTAATAGGGTTAAAACAGAAAATAAGCCGGACACAGTGGCTCGTGCCTGTAATCCCAGCACTTTGGGAGGCTGGGGAAGGTGGATCACCTGAGGCCAGGAGTCTGGCCAACATGATGAACTCCCACCTCTACTAAAAATACAAACATTAGCCAGGTGTGGTTGGATGCGTCTGTAGTCCAAGCTACTCAGAAAGCTAAGACTCGAGAATCACTTGAACCCGAAAGACAGGTTGCAGTGAGTCAAGATCATGCCACTGCACTCCAGCCTCGGCCATACAGTAAGACTGCCTCAAAAAAAAAAAAAAAAAGAAAGAAAAATAGAAGGCAGGGCTGAGTCTGAGTCAGATCCAAAAGCAGCAGGACCATTATAGATGTCTCAATGCCTGTTTAAAAACCTTAAAACTAGCCAGGCACAAGGGCACACGCCTATAATCCCAGGACTTTGGGAGGTACGAAGGATCTTCCTTCTTTGGCAGAAAGATCCCTTAAGGCCAGGAGTTCAAGACCAGCCTGGGCAACATAATAAGACCTTGTCTCTACAAAAAAAATTTTTTAATTAGTCAGGCACAGTGGTACATGCCTATAGTCCCAGGTACTCAGGAGGCTGAGGAAGGAGGATTGCTTGAGCCCAAGAGGTCAAGGCTACATTAAGCCAAGACTGCACCACTGCACTTCAGACTGGGCGACAGAGCAAGAAAACGTCTCTTTAAAAAAAAACAAAAAAAGATGAGTTAATGGGTGCAGCACACCAACATGGCACACGTATACATATGTAACAAACCTGCACATTGTGCACATGTACCCTAGAACTTAAAGTATAATAAAAAAATTAATAAATAAAATTAAAAAAATAAAACAAACTGTTATTACAGGAACAGAAAAAAAAAACACCATAAATGAAGCTTCAAAAGATATGCTAATTGAAGTAAGTCAGACCCGAAATGTTACATACAGTATGATTTTATTTCAAATGAAAAACCAAACAAAAATAGGACTATAAACAGAAAATAGATAGATCAGTGGCAAGCCAGGGTCCAGAACTGGTCCAGGACTGGCTGGTGAAGACTGAATGAAAAGCAATTTGAGGGAGAGCTTCTTTTTGTCATAATGAAAATATTGTGTATCATATGGCAGTGGCTATCTGACAATATAAATTTGCAAAACTTATTAAACTATACAGTTTAAAATGGGTGATTTTTATATCACAAATTTAAATGCTTATTAAATTTAAGCTTATTACACAAAACTTATGAAATCATACACTTAAAATGGGTATAGCTAATTTAAATAAAGTTAGTTAAAAAACAAGAGTCTATAGTGCCTTCACCCTTGTTTTAATATGATAAAATTTCTAAAAATATTCTAAATTAGGGCTTAATCTGTAATCTTAAAATATCATTATTTTATGATTTCTTTGCTTCTTTTCTAAAGTTGATAACCCTCTTTGGACTCGATATCTTCTTCTTAGGATGAACTTTATATTTTATTGTTTCAGCCTGTGTGTGTGTGTGTGTGTGTGTGTGTGTGTGTGTGTGTGTGTGTGTGGTGATGGTGAAGAAAAATGGGAGATTCTCAGGGTGGGAATTTTATAATGACAGAGTGAGGAGCTTGACAAATCTTTGGCAAGAAAGCAAAAATAAAGCTGGACAACATTATCAAAAAAAAAAAAAACCAAAAAAAAAAAACCGGCTGGGCGCGGTGGCTCACACCTGTAATGCCAGGACTTTGAGAGGCCGAGGCAGGCGGATCACGAGGTCAGGAAATCGAGACCATCATGGCTAACACAGTGAAACCCCATCTGTACTAAAAATACAAAAAATTAGCCAGGTGTGGTGGCACGCACCTGTAGTCCCAGCTACTCAGGAGGATAAGGCAGGGGAATCGCTTGAACCCAGGAGATGGAGGTTGCAGTGAGGTGAGATCGAGCCACTGCACTCCAGCCTGAGCAACAGAGCAAGACCCCGTCTCAAAAACAAACCAAAAAAACGGCTCTTGAGCTACTTGCTTGAGCCCGCTCCCACTCTGTGGAGTGTACTTTCATTTCAATAAATCTGTGCTTTCACTGCTTAAAACAAAACAAAACAAAAAAACCTTAAAACTAATACTTCATACTGCATTTTGAAGTCAGTAAAAGCTCCAGGCATAGAGATAAAATTTAGAAAAATGGAATACAGTCCAATCAATTCCAAGTTCTTTAAGGGCTTATAAAAGACTCTGCAGGACGAGCTTACACCTATAATCCTAGCACTGTGGGAGACCAAGGCGGGAGGATCACTTGAGCCCGGAGTTCAAGACCAGCCTGGGCAACAATACGAGACACTGTCTCTATAAAAAAATTTAAAAATTAGCCGGGTGTGGTGGGCCCGTGGTCCCAGCTACTTGGGAAGTTGAAGTGGAAAGATCGCTTGAGCCTGGGAGATTGAGGCTGCAGTGAGCCATGATTGCACCACTGCATTCCCGTCTGGGCAACAGAGCAAGACCCTGTCTCAAAAGAAGAAGACCTTGCATATGAGACTTAGTACAACGTTCTACATGGAATGATCACTTTTTTTTTTTTTTTTTTTTTTGAGATGGAATATCACTCTGTCACCCGGGCTGGAGTGGAGTGGCATGATCATCTTGGCTCACTGCAACCTCCGCCTCCTGGGTTCAAGCGATTCTCCTGCCTCAGCCTCCCGAGTAGCTGGTATTACAGGCGCCCGCCACTATATCCAGCTAATTTTTTGTATTTTTAGTAGAGGTGGGGTTTCACCATGTTGGCCAGGCTGGTCTCAAACTCCCGATCTTGTGATTTGCCTGTCTCCGCCTCCCAAAGTGCTGGGATTACAGGTGTGAGCCACCACGCCTGGCCAGAATGATCACTTAACAAAAGACCAGACAGCTTAACAAAAGATCAGAAGATCTACAATGTGCCAGGCAGTGTTCTAGAAGTTAGGGATACAATGCCGTAAAATTGGTCAGGAGTTTGAGACCAGCCTGGCCAAGATGGCAAAACCCCATCTCTACTAAAAATACAAAAATTAGCCAGGGTGGGCACCTGTAATCCCAGCTACTAGGGAGGCTGAGGCACGAGAATCGCTTGAACCCGAGAGGTGGAGACTGCAGTGAGCAGAGACTGCACCACTGCACTCCAGCCTGGGCAACACAGCGAGACTCCGTCTCAAAAAACAAACAAACAAAATTGGGATTCTTCAAGAGCCCCAGGTGTCATAGAGATCTCAGGGTTACAACTATAGGCCTAAATAAGAACTGGTCTCCAGCTGCTACTAACATCAAAGATTGAAACACAAACAGCCCAATGGCTGACCTTGCATACTACAGAACTTCCCAGATTTGTTACTCACAGAAGATCCATCCTCTTCATGCAAGCCCTCTTTCCTCAGCTGTATTTTCTCTAAAGGGCGTAAATAAGGACTGTCCCAGCAGAACCACTCATCATAACGATGGTTCCAACGCTTGAAATGGATGAGTACTTTTCCTTCCTCGTAGTCAATGTCTTCTATGTGAGCTGGATACCTGAGTCAGAAAAAAAAAAATTGGCATTCCTTTAATACCCACCCCAAATATCCAAATATCCATAATGGTACATTTCCAAACCTCTTCCCAAAGGAGAAGGTTACCAGGCCTACCGTTTAGAGACTCTGTGTAGTTGGGTCAAATCACAAATTATGGAGGGTAACAGACTTGAGGTCCAAATCCTAACCTGCATATTCCTTAGTTTATGAACTATTTTATTTTATTTTATTTTTGAGACAGAGTCTCGCTCTGTCACCCAGGCTGGAGTGCAGTGGTGTGATCTTGGCTCACCGCAACCTCCTGGGTTCAAGCAATTCTCCCTGCCTCAGCCTCCCGAGTAGCGGGGATTACAGCGCCCGCCACCATGCCCAGCTAATTTTTGTATTTTTAGTAGAGATGGGGTTTCGCCATGTTGGCCAGGCTGGTCTCGAACTCCCGACCTTAGGTGATCTGCCCGCCTCAACCTCCCAGAGTGCTGAGATTACAAGGGTGAACCACTGTGCCCGGCCAGTTTATGAACCATTAAATTAAACTTTCAGAGCCTGAGTTCCCTCATGTAAAGTGGAAGAAGCACACTGGGTTGTAGTGTGGATTAAACAAGATGACATACACAGAAGACTTGAGCACACAAGAGGCAGGAAGAAAACATTAAGGATTTAACAACTAGATTAGATTTTACATGTGCCAATAAATCAGAATGACCATGCAACCCAGACTGTATCAGACAGTCTCAATTTTAAGCATTTATAAGCAATATAATGGAATACTGTGCAGTTTTTTTGGTTGTTGTTTGTTTGTTTTTTTGAGACAGGGTCTCGCTCTGTCGCTATGCTGGAGGGCAGTGGCGCGATCTCAGCTCTCTGCAACCTCCACCTCCCTGATTCAAGTGATTCTCCTGCCTCAGCTTCCTGAGTATCTGGGACTACAGGTACGTGCCACCACACCCAGCTAATTTTTGTATTTTTAGTAGAAACGGGATTTCACCATGTTGGCCAGGATGGTCTCGATCTCTTGACCTCATGATCCGCCCACCTCAGCCTCCCAAAGTGCTAGCATTACAGGCATGAGCCACCGTGCCCAGCCTTATACTACGCGGTTATTAAAAAGAACAAGATGATTTTATCTGTCAAGATATGGAAAGCTCTTCTAAGATATACAGTTATATGATTCAGAACACTGTATATGCTAAGCTATTGTTTCGTTTTATTTTGATTGATTGATTGATTGATTGAGACAGGGTCTCACTCTGTCACCCAGGCCGAAGTACAGTGGCGTGATCTCGGCTCACTGCAACCTCCCTCTCCCCAGCTCGTGTCCCTCCAGCCTCAGCCTCCCAAGTAGTTGAGACTACAGGCACACACCACCATACAGTGCTAATTTTTGTATTTTTTGTAGAGATGGAGTTCTGTTACGTTGCCCAGGCTGGTCTCAAACTCCTGGGCTCAAGCTATCTGCCCAGGATAGCAGATCCTGGCTCAGCCTCCCCAAATGCTGGAATTACAGGCATGAGCTACCACACCTGACTTACTTTTTAAAGAGGAGAAAAAAGGATATGTATTCACATATGCTTATATATGCATAAAGTATCTGGAAGGATGCCCAAGAAACAACAAAGGTTACTTGTGGAAAAGTGTGGTCAGTTCAGTAGATGGTTTCTTTCAACCTCCATTCAACCTTCTTTCTAGACTGAGAGTTAGGAAAATCAACAACTACATTTCCCTGACTTCCTTACAATTGGTGGCCAAGGTCATAAAGACCCTTGGGTTAGTGGCCAGGTCCAGTACAAGGCCTATCAAGCTTCCACACACATGTAAATCATCAAGGTATCCTGTTGAAATGAAGATTCTGATTCAGTATGCCAAGCTGGGGCCTAAGAGCTCTCACAAGCTCCCAGATGTTGCTGCTGCTGCTGCTGCTGCTGGTCTGCAATAAGCCAGAGCCTAATGTCTAATCATCAGTTTCATGCATGTCAAGCAGCAGTGGTGCAGATGGCAGTGCCAGTAGTGACTTCCTGACCAGATCACAGCTACGATTGTGGGCCTTTCAAGATGATACCCTAAGGGCAGCCTCCTTGAGTCCCACTCTTCCAGCCCTTCCAACAACTTTAAAAGTACCCAATTCCCCACGTTAAATCCTTTTGTGGTTAAAATACTCGGGCTGGTTTCTGTTTCCAGCATTTATTCCTGACACAAGAGAGGTATCTGGATAAGAGGTGGGAAGGGGCAAAAATAGGAGGGAGACTTTTTGCAGTATACCTTATAATACCTTTTTATTTCAACTATATAAAGGTATTGCTCATTCCAAAAAATAAACGGTTAAAAATAAAGAAAAATATTGTATGCAGTTTTTCTCTGAAAACACTTGTATTAATCAAATAGCTATTCTAGACTGAAAAAGTTTACATTCTATCTGTATTTTCTCCCTGCAACCTGGTTTGTACCACTTCCTTCCTTTCTTATATCCAGCACCTAGTACAGTGCTGTCCTAATAAACACATGCTACCTACCTAAATGAACAGGCCTGCTTTCTTGTGTCTGTATACTGTGTACTTTTCAACCCACACTAGCACCCTCTAAGGCAGTTTGCTTGGCATTAACTTATTGCAGTACTTTGCACATACTAGGTACTCAATAAATGTTTAGCAAATGAATTCCACTCCTCTTATTCTTCCCAAAGGTCATGTATTCTGTCAGTTTTTAAATTCCAACATTCTCAGACTCCAGCAACCTATTCCAATTTCACTCCTCAAGTTCAGGCCCCCATCACTTCATGTGTGTATTCCTCACAGAGGACTGGAAGGGTATGTTTTCCATAATTCCTAATTGCTACTATGCATACCTTACTTGCTCAAAAATATTAACAAAAGACATAAACAGCCCTGAAACTAGTCTTCCTACTCCAATCCAAATGACAGCTGCTATAAATACAAGATATCTTGACAACAGACTGGCTAATTGTCTGATCTGACAAATGAAATAGTACAATTGTAGGAGACAAGAGAGGATTCCCTAAATCCACTCCTCTCTGTAAAATGGGGAGAAGGACATCAATATGGCAATTATATATCTCTTACCCTCTCATTCATTCAGCCTACCTGAGGCTAGTAAACCTCTCTAAAATAACACAATCTGTCTTAACACATTCCTATTCAAACCACTTTCTTTTTTTTTTTTTTTTTTTTTGAGATGGAATCTCGTTCTGTCACCCAGGATGGAGTGCAGTGGCACGATCTTAGCTCACTGCAAGCTCCGCCTCCTGGGTTCATGCCATTCTCCTGCCTCAGCCTCCCAAGTAGCTGGGACTACAGGCGCCCGCCACCACGCCCGGCTAATTTTTTTGTATTTTTAGTAGACACGAGGTTTCACCATGTTAGCCAGGATGGTCTCGATCTCCTGATCTCGTGATCCGCCCCCCTCGGCCTCCCAAAGTGCTGGTACTACAGGTGTGAGCCACTGCTCCTGGCTTCAAACCACTTTCTTTAATGGTTTACTATCTCTAGCAACAGCTTTCTCACACAGGGTCCTTGGACTAAGGCAGGAAATTTTCTTTACACGGAAATCACTTTTTTTTTTTTTTTTTGAGACAGGGTCTCGCTCTGTTTCCCAGGCTGGAGTGCAGTGGCACCACCATGGCACACTACAGCTTTGAACTCCTGACCTCAAGTGATCCTCCCACGTCAGCCACCAGAGTAGCTGGGACTACAGGCTCATACCACCATGCCCAGCTAATTTATTGGGTTTTTTTTTTTGTAGAGGTGGAGTCTCACTATGTTGCCCAGGCTGGTCTTGAACACCTGGGCTCAAGTATCCTCCTGCGTCAGCCTCCCAAAGTGCTGAGATTACAGGCATGAACCACCACGTCCCGCTTGAAATCGCATTCTTTCTAACTTTTAGTATTTAAATATACCTTCTAAGTTAAAACGATAACAACTGTTTTTAATACCCTTCCTAATATCACACAGCCTTCAAAAAGAATAAGGCAGCTCTATGTATTGATTTTACTTTATTTTTTTAATGTATTGATTTTAAAAGATTTCTAAGAAATGTGGGAGGTAAACTCAAAGATGTCAAACAGTATTTGAATGCACTACCATTTATGTGGGGGAAGGGAGAGAGCCAGTACAGTCATACCTGTTTTTAAATGCGTGGGCTACCTCGGGAAGGAGGATCAAGTAACCCGGTTTGCCTCCCGGAAGGGGAACTGGATAGTTTTAAGCAACTGGAGAGGAAGCATGAGACTCATTTTATTTGCTGTATATCCTTTTGGACATTTTGAATGCTGTACCATGAGCACATATTAACTATTAAAAGTACATAATTACATACTTATTTTAAATGTCCTTATTTGGCAAAATTAAAAGTTGGCAACCTCAGGGAAAACCTTAAATTCTTTTGGATATGCACTGGTCGGAAGTCAGGATTCATAGAATCAAGTGTGAACTCCTAGGCCAGCAACTCCACTCACTCTGAAGGGTCTTTACGTCCTCAGCTAATGTAAAGCTTCTCCCTCATTCAAAAAAAACTTTATTGGGCACACATATCCAACTCTCTGCAGACCTAAACAAACCCCTCCAAGAGGCTCAATAGTAGCCAAGGCGCAAAATTTTCCAAAGATTAAGTGGTCCTCCCCACTTCCCTAAAGTGTGACAAAGATGCAAGTCACTTACGGCGGTGGGGACCCAATTACATTTCAGAGAAGAGGGAGGCTGCAAAAACCATCTTAGAGATCAACCTGGTAAGATTTAGTGGATCACAACTCTGCCTGCCTTGGCGACAGCTTAGCTTCATCAGTCAACAGGAATTTATTAAGTGCTTTTGATCTGACCAGCCAATTCTAAGTCTTGGAAGGGATTATACAAACATGTGTTCTGGCCCCTGCCCTTGAGGAGAACTAGACACATAAATGGATTAGGCTTTAAAACTATTAGGTTGAACCACATTTAATTGCTGATAATCAACTGCTTTTTACCTACCAAAATAGCAATTTTATCTGGTTCAACCTAAATATATGGACAACCATAAAGCAGGCTGAAGATGATGAGACAGAGTTAACAAAAGAGATGTGAATGGAATTTGTACAGGCAGAAAAGGAAGAGAGAATTTCTAGCTTCCCTGTGTAACTAAGAGCCACTGATGAGACTCTAGTTTCCAAACTAACATTGCAGCTGGGAGTTACATTTCCAACCAGCGGGAATACTGGCCAGAAAGGGGCAGATAATCAAACTAATAACAAAAATTAGCTCTTAGGAGGAGATAGGGATTAGGAATAACCAAGAGATTTTTGCTTTAGTGTGAATTTTTTTAAAAATTTAGTTAAATATTACTTGTATAAGTAAAAAATAAGTACTTTTTGGGGTTTTGTGTTTTTTTTGTTTTTGTTTTTGTTTCTTGTTTTGTTTTTGAGACAGGGTCTTACTGTGTCACCCAGGATGGGGTACAGTGGTGCAATCTCCACTCACTGCAGCCTCAACCTACCAGGCTCAGGTGATCCACCTCAGCCTCCTGAGTAGCTGGGACTACAGGCTCACGCCACCATGCTCGGCTAAGATACTTTTTTGGTATTTTTTGTAGAAACGGGGTTTTGCCATGTTGCTCAGGCTGGTCTCAAATTCCTGGGCTCAAGCGATCGCTGGCCTTGGCCTCTGAAAGTGCTAGGATTACAGGTGTGAGCCACTGCACCCAGCCAAAAAATAAATACTTTTAAATTAAAAGTTTTTTTTTTTTTTTTTGAGACGGAGTCTCCCTGTCACCCAGGCTGGAGTGCAGTGGTGTGATCTCGGCTCACTGCAGGCTCTGCCCCGCCGGGGGTTCACGCCATTCTCCCGCCTCAGCCTCCCGAGTAGCTGGGACTACAGGCACCTGCCACCTTGCCCGGCTAATTTTTTGTATTTTTAGTAGAAATGGGGTTTCACCGTGTTAGCCAGGATGGTCTCGATCTCCTGACCTCGTGATCCGCCCGCCTCGGCCTCCCAAAGTGCTGCGATTACAGGCGTGAGCCACTGCGCCCGGCAAATTAAAAGTTTAAAAAACTTTTTTAAAGATATCAACCGATAGCTTCATGAATATTATGTTTATGTGCTGCTATGGCACACCCACAAAATGGCATATTATGTAGCCACAAGAAAGAATGAAGACACACTCTATGAACTGATACAGAAAGACTTCCATGACACATTAAGTTTTTAAAAAACAAGCTACAGAATAGTGCATATCTTATGATACCTTTTGTGTTATAGAAGAGGAAAATAAGAATATTGGCTGGGCATAGTGGCTCATGTCTATAATCCCAGCACTTTGGGAGGCCAAGATGAGAGTATCACTTTGAAGCCAGGAGTTTGAGACCAGCCTGAACAAGACAGCAAGACCCCATCTCTAAAAAAAAAAAGTTAAAAAAAAAATTTGCTATGAGTAGTGGTGTGTGCCTGTTGTCCCAGCTACTCAGAAGACTGAGGCAGGAAGATCACTTGAGCCAAAGAGTTCAAAGCTGCAGTGAACTATAATTGTGCCACTGCACTCTACTCTGGGGACAGAGTGAGACCCCCATCTAAAAAACAGGTAATAATAAATTTTTAGAATTTTCAGCCTTTGTCAAGAAGATTATAAAAGTTTTCTCTTTTATTTTATCTTATTTTATTTGTTTTTTTGAGATGAAGTCTCATGCTGTTGCCCAGGCTGGAGTGCAGTGGTGTGATCTTGGCTCACTGCAACCTCTGCCTCCCGGGTTCAAGTGATTCTCCCACCTCAGCCTCCCCAGTAGCTGGGACTACAGGTACACGCCACCACGCCTGGCTAATTTTTTGTATTTTTAGTAGAGACGGGTTTCATCATGTTGGCCAGGCTGGTCTCAAACTCCTGACCTCAAGTGATCTACCCACCTCAGCTTCTCAAAGTGCTGGGATTATAGGCGTGAGCCACTGTGCCCGGACTCTTTTATTCTGTAAATATAATGAACTGATAGATTTCTTAAATTTAAGTTATCATTACTCTGCTAGAATAAATCATATTTGGTTTCATGCATCATTCATTTAATAAGTCTCTACTTGGTGTTCCAGGATTTTATTGACAAGAATTGTACCTCTTATAAATGAGATCTGTCCAAGTGTTCTTGTATTATGCCCTTCCTGCCCAGTTTCAGTATTAGGCTATGATAATCTCATACAACAAACTAAAATGCTTTATTTCATTTTCTATGAAACCACCTACTCTGAGGGCCTTCTCAGAAGGTAGTTCTTTATCTACCTTTCCCATCACTTCTATGGTTACTAGTCTGATCAAGTTTCCTACCTCTTCTTTTTTTTTGAGATGGCATCTCGCTCTGTCGCCCAGACTGGAGTGCAGTGGCGTGTTCTCAGCTCACTGCAACCTCTGACTCCCAGGTTTAAGCGATTCTCCTGCCTCAGCCTCCTGAGTAGCTAGGACTACAGGCGCCCGCCACCACACCCAGCTAATTTTTATATTTTTAATAGAGACGGGGTTTCAGCATGTTGGCCAGGATGGTCTCAATCTCTTGACCTCGTGATCCGCCCGCCTCAGCCTCCCAAAGTGCTGGGATTACAGGCATGAGCCACCACACCCGGCCTCCTACCTCTTCTTGAGTCAATTTTTCCTAAACTGATAAGAGAGTTTGAAATGATAATCAGGTACAACTTAAATGTTCAAAAATCAATAGTTTTCCTCAGAAGAAAGAGTTCAAGAGTCAACAAAAATGTTTCAAACTCAAGTCACAAACAAGATTTTTAAATGGCTAATATAAACACAAGGCTGCTAAGCACTTTACAGGGCAGGAACTATGCCCTATGAACTTCATTATTCAACAAACATTCCTGAGTTTGTATTATGAGACAAACAAACTGCTAGGTCCTGGAGACACAGAATAGATGACCAATCATCAGAGCCCCTAGGGTGGCAAGAGCCCAAAGAGAAGTTTGGTGAGCTCCATGAGATTTCCCACTCCTCTCCACAAGCAAAAAGATCAGGAACACTCTGGATCTCAGGAAGAAAGGAGAGAAAAAGAAGCATAGCTGGCTGGGCGCAGTGGCTCACACCTGTAATCCCAGCACTTTGGGAGGCTGAGGCGGGCGGATCACCCACGGTTGGGAGTTCGAGACCAGTCTGACCAACATGGAGAAACCCCGTCTCTACTAAAAATACAAAATTAGCTGGGTGTGCTGGCGCATGCCTATAATCCCAGCTACTCGAGAGGCTGAGGCAGGAGAATTGCTTTATCTGGGAGGTGGAGGTTGTGGTGAGCCGAGATCGCACCACTGCACTCCAGACTGGGAAACAAGAGCGAAACTCCGTCTCAAAAAAAAAAAAAAAAAAAAAACCATAGCTGTAGAATGAACCAGCCTGCCTATATCCCATAACCAGGACTAGACAGAAGAGAGGCATTATCTCTCCTCCATGTCCAGCCCAGGCTGGACAGTCTGGGTTTCTGCTGCTCTTCCCTGCCCCCTTCTAAAGCACTTGAATAAACCCTCCCGCCTTTTTATTTATTTATTTATTTATTTATTTTTGAGACGGAATCTCACTCTGTCGCCCAGGCTGGAGTACAGTGGCATGATCTCGGCTCACTGCAACCTCTGTCTCCCGGGTTCAAGCAATTCCCCTGCCTCAGCCTCCAGAGTAGCTGGGATTACAGGTGTGCGCCACCATGCCTGGCCAATTTTTGTATTTTTAGTAGAGACGGGGTTTCACCATGTTGGCCAGGCTGGTCTTGAACTCCTGACTTCGTGATCTGCCCGCCTCAGCCTCCCAAAGTGCTGGGATTACAGGCATGAACCGCTGTGCCTGGTCTATTTTTTATTTTTTTTAACCCTTCATTCTAAAGCCCACATTAAACTTTTTCATCAGAGTCCCATTTTTTCTAACTAGAGGGTTGGGAAAGGGTTCAGAGAAGACTTAGCCTTTGGATCAAACCTTCAGAGATCAAGAGTCTGAATCTCCCCCAGGGTATCCTGCATATATTAGACATTCAATAAAGGTTCACCAGATGTAATTTTTAAAAAGATCTGGAGCCACAAAACAGCAATAGAAATATATAAACAAACCAAGATGAATCATCAAAATAAACCAGTGATATTCATGTTGTAGATGTCAAGAGGACAAACATACCCCAGTATGGGAACTCTTAATTTGGAGGGGATATATGCACATGGTGGTCACCATGACAAAATTAGTCACAAAACTGTTTTCCAAAGGCCAAAAAGCATCAAAAACTCTCATCTAAAATTCAACCTGGAAAGGACAGATAAGCAAAAATTCATAATAAATAAGGTTACCGTAATAAGCTTAATTTAAGCAAGTCAGATAACTGGTCACTAAGCCAACCAAGAAGCCACAGAAGACCAGTATAGCCAATGTCAAATGGAAAAGGACAAGGAGAATGAACAGAAATCAGCAGAAGAAAAATTCATTGAACCATAATTCCACAAACATTTTCTGAGTACCTGCTCTGGGCCAGGAAGTATATTAGGGTTTAGAAATACAGAATCAAATCTACTTTTTTTTTTTTTTTTTTTTTGAGATGGAGTCTCACTCTGTCACCCAGGCTGGAGTACAGTGGTGTGATCTCAGCTCACTACAGCCTCCACCTCCCAGGTTCAAGTGTTTCTCCTGCCTCAACCTCCCAAGTAGCTGGGACTACAGGTGCCCACCACCACGCCCAGCTAACATTTTTTGTATTTTTAGTAGAGACAGGGTTTCACTATGTTGGCCAGGCTGGTCTCGAACTCCTGACCTCGTGATCCACCTGCCTTGGCCTCCCAAAGTGCTGGGAATACAGGCGTGAGCCACCACATCTGGCCAGAACCAAATCTATTAAGATGCATGATCACAGCAACTGGCAGAGGATGACAGGCCCTACGTTACAACACACAGTAGACTTTCAATTCCTCAAACACACCACACACCTTCCCATACCGAGTATGCTCCCGTTACCTGAAACAACAATCCCTGCCCACTCTTCCCAGGCAACATCCTTATCCTCCCATAGCCTCAGAATCTCTGACTACACTATCTCAAGTAGCCCCCATTTCTTTCCAGTCTGTGTCAGTTTCCTATATGTTTCCTTCATAGCATTTACCCTAATCTGTCATTATTTCATTTGTTTGTGTTTATGGCCTGCTTCCCCAGGAGACAACAGGCACTGCTAGAGGCATCTGTCTCTTACTTACTACAGTATAGTCTGGGGGAATAAAAGTATCTAAGTATGTCTATAGGTACAAATAATTGTAATAAAGTATACCAGGTGCAACAACAGAGGACTCCTTAAGGTAGAGTAAGATACAGAGGTGCAAAAGGGGAGAGGGAGAGGAAGGGGATCGAGTGAGAGGAGGGCCCAAGACAACCCTGGGGAAGAGGAGACACTTGATCTCCATTCTGAAAGATGAGTAGGCATTTTCCAGCTGATCAAAGAGGCAGTGAAGCTGGGGAGAGTTTCTGAGAGAAGATGTAATAGGAGTAAATCAGCATAGTACAGAGGAAAGCAGGCAAAAAAGAGGACAAGGAAATTCAAGGGGATAGAGGAAACAACAACTCCGTTTGAGGGGCCAGGAGGATCTTATGGATGGGCTGCTGAGCCCTAAATGAATGTTTGCCAAGAGCAGTCCACGGACCACTGCGTGTTGGTGAACACAGAGCTGCTGGTCCACAAGGTCTCCATGAGGGATGAAGAATATTATATTGTGCTTTTCTGTAATCTGGACCCTCTTTACCAGAGCTTCCCAGCTGAGGTACCACAAATGGGTTACAAGTGGGCAATGACATGAAGAACGTTGAGATACCAGATGACCACCATATAATCAAGAACTACTAGAAAATTTTAGTGTGTAAGGCTGGGCGCAGTGGCCCATACCTGTAATCCCAGTGCTTTCAGAGGCCAAGGCAGGAGGCCAGGAGTTCAAGACCAGCCTGGGCAGCATAGGAAGACTCCGTCTCTACAAAAAGTTTTAAAAATTAGCCAGGCCTGTAGTCCTAGCTACTTAAGAGGTTGGAGTTGGGGGATCACTTGAGCCCAAGAGTTTGAGGCTGCAGTGAGCTATGATCACAACACCACTGCACTCCAGCCTGGGCAAGAAAGTGAGACCCTATTTCTAAAAAAATTTAATCAGCCCAGCACAATGGCTCATGCCTATAATCCCAGCACTTTGGGTGGCTGAAGGAGGATCCCCTGAGCCCAGGAGTTTGAGATCAGTATGGGAAACATAGGGAGACCCCATCTGTCTGTACAAAAAAAAATTTTTTTAATTAGCCAGATGTGGTGATGCATGCCTGTAGTCCCAGTTACTCAAGAGGCTGAGGTGAGAGGATCACTGGAGCCCAGAAGGTTGAGGCTGTGTTGAGTCATGATCGCACTACTGAACTCCACCCTGGGTGATAGAGTGAGACCCAAAATAAATAAATGAGAAGGAAAGGAGGGAGGGAGGGAGGAAGAGAGGGAGGGAGGGAAGGAAGAAAGAAATAACTTTAGTGTGTATATTTGTAACTAACCTGGCATTATAAAATCACTCCCACATAGTAGCTGGGACAACTTTATATGTCTGCAGATTTGGCACTTATTCCTTCAAAAGGTAGATTTTAATCGTTTTATCCTTGAATATGGCCTCATTTCTAACAAGTAGAATGTGGCAAAAGTGATGGTGTGGGACTTCCAAAGCTGGGTTATAAAAAGCACTGCAGCAGGACAGGGGAGAGAGAATATCAGGAAGAAGAGCTAATGGATGCTGGGCTTAATAGCTAGGTGATGGGATGATCTGTGCAGCAAACTACCATGGTACAAGTTTACCTATGCAACAAACCTGCAAATCTTGCACATGTACCCCAGAACTTAAAAAAAAAAAGTTGAAGGGAAAAAAAAAGCAAACTTCTGAATTAATAAAGTGATGGATTATCTAACTATAAAGTTGATGTGAAAAAGAAAAAAAAGCACTGCAGCAATTCCACTTCTGGGTATATATCCAAAAACACTGAACACAAGGACTCAAACAGATGTCTGTACTCCAGAATTCACACAGCATTACTCACAACAGTCAAAAGACAACCCAGTAGTCAAAAAGCCACCCAAGTGTCTAATACATGAATAGATAAAATGTGGTATATCCATACAATGGAATATTATTCAGCCTTAAAAAGGAATAAAACTCTAATACATGCTACAACACAGATGAACCTTGAGGACTTATGCTAAGTGAAATAAGCCACTTGAAGGACAAATACTGCATGATTCCATTCATCTGAGTTATCTAGAGTAGCCAGATTAATGAAAGCAGAATAGAGGTTACCAGGAGCTAAGGGGAGAAGGGATGAGGCAGTTGCTGATTAATAGATACAGGGTTTCAGTTTGGAGAGATGAAAAAATCAGGCCGGGCACGGTGGCTCACACCTGTAATCCCAGCACTCTGGGAGGCCGAGGCAGGTGGACTGCCTGAACTCGGGAGTTTGAGACCAGCCTGGGCAACATGGTGAAACCCCGTCTCTACTAAAATACAAAAAATTAGCCAGGCATGGCGGCATGCGCCTGTAGCCCCAGCTACTTGGGAGGCTGAGGCAGCAGAACTGCTTGAACCCAGGAGGCAGACGTTGCAGTGAGCTGAGATCGCACCACTGCACTCCAGCCTAGGTGACAGAGCGAAACTCCATCTCAAAAAAAAAAAGAAAAAGAAAAAATCTTGGGCTGGGCGTGGTGGCTCACACCTATAATCCCAATACTTTGAGAGGCCAAGGCAGGAAGATTGCTTGAGGCCAGGAGAGACAGGGTTTCCACGTTACCTAGGCTGGTCTCAAACTCCTGGGCTCATGCAATATGCCTGCCTCAGCCTCCCAAAGTGCTGGGATTATAGGCATGAGCCATGGCGCACGGCTAAGGCCAGGAGTTTGAGACCAACATAAACAACATAGTGAGATTTTATCTCACTATGAAAAATTTTAGGTCAGGCTCAGTGGCTCATGCCTGTAATCCCAGCACTTTGGGAGGCTGAGGCAGGTGGATCACCAAAGGTGAGGAGTTTCAGACCAGCCATGGCCAACATGGTGAAACATCATCTCTACTAAAAATACAAAAATTAGCCAGGCGTGGTGGCACAAGCCTATAATCCCAGCTACTCGGGAGGCTGAGGCATGAGAATCACCGGGAGGCAGAAGCTGCAGTGAGCTGAGATCGCACCACTGCACTCCAGCCTGGCAACAGAGTGAGAATCTATCACCAAGAAAAAAAGAAAAAAGAAAGAAAGAAAATATTTTGGAGAAGTAGGCTGGTAATGGTTGCAGAACAGTGTGAATGTATTTAACGCTACAGAACTGTACTGCACACCTAAAAATGATTAAAATACTAAATTTTATGTTGTATGTATTTTACCACAAGCATATACACAAAGCACTGCTGCTTCTGCCCTGCACTCTCTCAGATTCCCTGTTCTAGGGTAAGTCAGGTGCTACATCGTGAGAACATTCTAGATGTCTATGGAGAGGTTCACATGACAAGGAACTGAGGCCACCTGTCAGGAACCAGCACCAACTTGCCAGCCCTGTGAGTGAGCCCCCTTGGATGCAGCCTTTATGAGATCCTGGGCCAGAAGCCCCCTCAACCCCCCATTACGCCGCTCCTGAATTCCTGGCCCATAGACACCTAGAGAATAATAAATGTTTATTGTTTTAGGACACTAAATTTTGAGAAAATGTGTTACACAGCACTAAGTAGCTAACAAAGTTGCATTTTGCTAGACTGCTTTGGTATCTAGAAATGGAGTCTATCAATAGTTTATAGGTTAGAGGTGCCAGTCCTCATGTTTTCAGGTTTGAGAAACACTGCTCTAAGCTACAAGATAAGCCAACATGTCCTAGGGCTCCACCAAGGGAGAGAGAGGGCTGTAAGACAGTAAAGCACTGCCACTGCTGGCATGACTCCATGTGCACAGCCAGAAGGCAGAGAACAGTACAGGTCTAATTCAGGGAAACAGTGTTGACATGCCTGCCCTATATGACCTTAAGCCCCAGGAAGGCTTGCCGCTCAGAGTCTTGCTGCATCTGTGTAAAATTAAGCTGCCTAATACTACATACCGTGCACGTGCTTAAACTAGAGCAGCCAGACAGTGCTTGGCAGGAATCTGTTTTGTTCCCCCCTATATACCAGAAATACTAACTAAAGAAACATCATGGGGCCGGGGAGAAAAAAACAGAAAGGATGACAATTTCCTTCCGAATTCCCACTACAACTCATCAGTGTTCACCCACATGGCTATTAGTAATTAATGAGGCTGGGCGCGGTGGCTCACACCTATAATCCCAGCACTTTGAGAAGCCAAGGCGGGCGGATCACCTGAAGCCTGGAGTTCGAGACCAGCCTGACTAAAATGGAGAAACTCCGTCTCTACTAAAAATACAAAATTAGCCTGGGCATGGTGGCACATGCCTGTAATCCCAGCTACTCGGGAGGCTGAGGCAGGAGAATTGCTTGAACCCAGGAGGCGGAGGTTGTGGTGGGCCGAGATCATGCCATTGCACTCCAGCCTGGGCAACAAGAGCGAAACTCTGTCTCAGAAATAAATAAATAAATAAATAAATAAAACTAATGAGTGCAGCTTACTCTAGGGTTTGTAAACTATCTTTATCTAAGGTATCTCACTTGATCATGCCATGAAGACTTAAGGAGTCATTATTATTACTGCCCCCTTTTTACATTCATGGAAATGGAGCCTCAAAGAGAATGACTAGGAAGAGGCACAATCAAGATCGATATCTACATCTAACTCTAAACCCGGTGAAGAGCCTTCTGCTTTTTTTTTTTTTTTTTTCTGAGATGGAGTCTCGCTCTGTTGCCCAGGCTGGAGCGCAGTGGCGTCATCTTGGCTCACTGCAAGCTCCGCCTCCCGGGTTCACACCATTCTCCTGCCTCAGCCTCCCGAGTAGCTGGACTACAGGCACCCGCCACCACGCCCAGCCAATTTTTTGTATTTTTAATAGTGACAGGGTTTCACCGTGTTAGCCAGGATGGTCTCGATCTCCTGACCTCATGATCCACCCACCTCAGCCTCCCAAAGTGCTGGGATTACAGGCGTGAGCCACCGCACCCGGCTATGAGCCTTCTGCTCTTAACTGGACTCCACATGTAAACATTCCTGCAGTCACCACATCCACATGGGTGTCTTTTGTCTTAGCCATGTAATAGTCTACTTAACTGCGTGGCTAGCCCAGAATTTGACTTAACTTTCCCCCAGAGGTTAAGCATTCAGACTGCTTCCAGATTCTTTGCTATATAAACAGTTTGTCTGCAAACATACAGCACTCATTTTACTTCAAGAATCAGAAAATTACCCAGACGTGGTGGCGCATGCCTGTAATCCCAGCTACTTGGGAGGCTGAGGCAGGAGAATCACCTGAACCCAGGAGGCAGAGGTTGCGGTGAGCCAAAATCGTACCATTGCACTCCAGCCTGGGCGACAAGAGCGAAAAAAAATCAGAGCTTGCCTCTATTCCTGGCTCAGGGCACATACCAGAAGCAAAATACTTCTATGCACAAAAGGAACATTCTAAGCCATCACCAGCCTTTGCTGGAGAGGAGATGGGGATGGAAGATATATTTAGTAAAAAACAAAAGGCTGACTATTAAACTGCAGAAAAACTGCTATTTTGAATGCCTTAACTCTTTCCCTACCCCTTCACCACTTCCATTAATCAACATCTGATATAAGAAAGGTCTTAAATTTATCTTTCCTCTCTATCTCAATCATTTCTTACCAGCAACAACTGAACAGTCAGTATGTACACATCACCCCTAAACCCCTTCTATCAGTACCCAGCAGAATGCCTGATACAGAGCCACTCAGCAAATATCTTATGACAGAATGAACACTGCCAATTTTCTGTTACTAAGAAGGATCAAAACATGTCTCTCTCCTGCTTAAATTTTCACTCTTCAGTTCAATCTCCCACCACTCCTGTTACCTCCCTGGATTCTCAGAACACACCAAGTTCTTTCAAGCCCTGAATATTTTTGCTGATGTTATTCCTTCTGCCTTCTCCCCCTGCCACTCTCTTCCTGGAAATCTTCTCATTCTTTAATTTCACTTCCTTGCATATGCCCTCAAATTACTGGCGACTCTCTTCCTCATCACAACTGCCACCCAACCCTGGTTATTTCAGACTCCACATTCTCCATTCCTGTACCCAGACAGCTAAATGTGGCTAGAGAAAACACTCAACATGCTGATGGGTCTCACTTTAAATGCATGTCTAGGCCAGGTGCAGTGGCTCACACCTGTAATCCCAGCACTTTGGGAGGCCGACGCGGGCAGATCACCTGGGGTCAAGAGTTCGAGCCCGGCCTGGCCAACATGGCGAAACCCCATCTGTACTGAAAATACAAAAATTAGTCGAGTGTGGTGGCGGGCACCTGTAATCCCAGCTACTCAGGAGGCTGAGGCAGGAGATCACTTGAACCCAGGAGGCGGAGGTTGCAGTAAGCCGAGAACGTGCCACTGCCATCCAGCCTGGGGGACAAGAGCGAAACTGTCTCAAACACACATACATACATATATAAAATGCATATCTGCAAACAGGTATTAAACAGTAATTCTCTTTGGGGGTAGGAGAGGGACAAAAAAGCTTCCGGAGTGCCCATAATGGTCCATATCTTGATTTGGGTGGTGGCTATAGAAGTGTATACATATGTAAAAGTTCATCAAGCTACACATTTAGGGTTTATACACTCTACTATAAATTAAAACTCAACAAAAAGTATTTTTAAAATAAAAGTGTAAGAGCTGGGTGCTATAGTGCATGCCTATAATCCCAACTACACAGGAGGCTGAGGCAAGAGAGCTGCTTGAGCCAAAGAATTGAAGGCTGTAGTGTATTTCATGGCACTCGTAAATAGCCATTGTACTCCAGCCTGGGCAACAAAGCAAGACCCTCTCTCTAAAAATAATTAACCTAATTATAGAGTAGCAATTTTGCACTCTTCTTAATTCAATGTCTTATACCTTTAAGGAGCCAGGAAAATTAATATCAAAAAAGTTTTTAGCCAGGCATGGTAGCTTACACCTGTAACCCCAGTGCTTTGGGAGGCCGAGGCAGGAGGATAACTTGAGGCCAGGAGTTTGAGGCCTGTCATTAGCTACTGAGTAAAGTGGAGCCTGAGGAGGGAGTGCAAACTCCTAAATATTTCATACCTTATCTTCTTTCCTCAAACCTAAGCCCTCCCTGTCCTGATCTCAGTCTCAGCTGATAATTTTACTTCTTATTGAATGTAAAAAATAGCTGGGCACGGTGGTATGCACCTGCAGTCCCAACTACCCAGGAGGCCTGAGGCAGGACAATCACTTGAGCCCAGGAGTTTGAGTCCAGTCTGGGCCAATACCAAGACTCCCATCTCTTCAAAATAAAAACAAACAGGATTCCCATTGCTGGTGGGAGTGTAAAATGGTGCAGCTACTACGAAAAGCAATTTAGCAGTTCCTCAAAAGGTTAAACAGAATTACCATATGATCTGACAATTCCATCTTAGGTATATACCCATATGATGTAAAATCATATGTCCACACAAATGTGTACTCACAATACCCAAAAAGAAGAAACACTGTAAATACCCAACAACTGATGAATGGGAAAACAAAATATGGTATACTCATATAATGGAATTATTCATCCACAAAAAGCAGTAACGTACAACATAGATGAACCTTGAAAATAGCATGCTAAGTGAAAGCAGCTAGTCACCTACTGTATGACTCCATATCTATGAAATGTCCAGAACAGGCATATATATAGAGGGAAAGTAAATTCGTGTTTGCCTAGGCTGGGAAGGGCAGGGAGGAAATAGGGTCTGACTGCTAATGTGTATGAGGTTTCTTTTTGGGATAATGAGAATTCTGGAATTAGATAGTGGTGACAATTGTACAACTTTGTAAATACACTGAAAACCATTGAATTATTGAATTGTATGCTTTGAAATGGTAAATTTTTTTTTTTTTTTGAGACAGAGTCTCACTCTGTCACCAGGCTGGAGTGCAATGGCGTGATCTTGGCTCACTGAAACCTCTGCCTCCCGGGTTCAAGCGATTCTACTGCCTCAGCCTCCCGAGTAGCTGGGACTACAGGCACATGCCACCACACCCAGCTAATTTTTGTATTTTTAGTAGAGACAGGGTTTCACCATGTTGGCCAGGATGATCTCGATCTCTTGACCTTGTGATCCGCCCACCTCAGCCTCCCAAAGTGCTTGGATTACAGGCGTGAGCCACCACACCCAGCCTAAAAGGATGAATTTTATAACATGTAAACTATATCTCAATTTTTTAAAACAGTTAATTAAAAAAAAAGGAGAGAAAAAAAAGAATCCCACCAAGTGCTGACAACAATGCAGAGCAACTGGAATTCTCATACATTCCTGACATTCCTGGTGGAAATGCAAAATGGTACAGAGACTCTGAAAAAGTTTGGCGGTTTCTCACCTGGTTAAACATACACTTACATGACCCAGCAATCCAGCTCGCTGGTATTTATCCAAGAGAAATGATAACTTATATTCTCATAAAAACCTATATATAAATGTTTATTCATATTAACCCAAAACTGGAAACAATCCATATGTCTTTGAACACATAAACAGATAAGCTGTGGTATATCCATCCAATGGAATACTTACTACTTGGTTCTAAAAGCAACAACCCTTTATTTTGCTCATGCAAAAATACGGGTGAGTCTCAAATGCATTACGCTAAGTTTAAGAAGCCAAATCCAAAAGGCTATGTACTGAATAATTCCATTATAACACACTATGGAAAAGGCAAAACTGTATAGACAAAGGACAGATCAGTGGGTGACAGGAGCTGGAGGTGCCAGGAGAGGCTGATTACAAATGGACATGAGGAAATTCTGTGGGTAACAGAAGTGCTTTATATCTTTTTTTTTCTTTCTTCACCCCTTTTTTTTTTTTTTTTTTTTTTGAGACAGGGTCTCGCTCTATCACACAGGCTGGAGTTGGAGTGCAGCGGTACAATCACAGCTTGCTGCAGCCTTGACCTCCTGGGCTCAAGCAGTCTTCCTCCCACCCCAGCCTCCTGAGTAGCTAAAACTATAGACACACACCACCACACCCAGCTATTATTATTACTTTTATTATGGTTTTTTTTTTTTTTTTTTGAGAGACGAAGTCCCATTATGTTGCTTAGGCTTGTCTTGAACTCCTGGGCTCAAGCAATCCTCCCACGTTGTCCTCCCAAGGTGCTGGGATTATAGGCATGAGTCACCATTCCCGGCCCATATCTTGATTGTGGTGGGGCTTGCGTGAACTGTCAAATTTGGCAAAACTCAACTGTATTCTGAAAAAGAGCGAATTTTACTATGGGTTGAGCATCTCAAATCCAAACATCCAAAATCCGAAACTTTTTGAGCATCAAGTTGTCTTTTTATGAATATTGTACTTTTTTTGTACTTTTGTAACTTTTATGGATTTTGACAAATGTATAATGTACACATATGGATTTTGATAAATGTGTAACATACACATATACATTATACATTTGTCAAAATCCATAAACAATACAACACCAGCAGCAAACCTTAATGCAAACTATGGTCCTTGGGTGGTACTGAGGTGTCAATATTGGTTCATCAACTGTAATAAATGTACCACTCTGGTGCAGGATGTTGAAAGTGGGGGAGGCTGGAGGGAGAACACAGGAATATGGGAACTTGATACATTCTTTTTTTTTTTTTTTTTTTTTTTTTTTAGAAGCAGGGTCTTGCTCTGTGACCCTGTGACCCAAGCTGCCATGCAGTGGCATAATCATGGCTCACTGTAGCCTCAAACTCCTGGGCTCATGCGATCCTCCCACCTCAGCCTCCCAAGTAGCTAGGACTACAGGTGCAAGCCACCCCCTACCCCAGCTAATTTGTTTTATTTTTTGTAGAGACAGGGTCTTGCAATGGTGTCCAGGCTGGTCTCAAACTCCTGGGCTCAAGCAATCCTTCCACCTCAGCCTCCCAAAGTGCTGGGATTACAGGCATAAACCACTGTGCCCAGCCAGAACTCTGTACTTTCTGCTCAATTTTGCTGTGAACCTAAAACTGCTCTAAAATATAGTCTATTTTTTTAATCCCATTTACTCATTACCAACTCCCAAATTCCTTTACTTTTTTTCTTTTTTTTTTTGAAACAGGGTCTTGCTCTGTTACCCAAGCACAATCATACAGTATAGCAGCACAATCATAGCTCACTGCAGCCTTGACCTCCCTAGCTCAAGTGATCCTCCTACCTCAGCCTCCCCAGTAGCTGGGACCACAAGCTCACACCACCATGCCCAGCTAGGTTTCTTGGGGTTTTTGTGTATATATGTGTTGTAAGACAGAGTCTCACTATGTTGCACAGGTTGGTCTCGATCTTGGGATTCAAGCGATCTTCCGTCTTGGCCTCCCAAAGTCCTGGGATTACAGGCGTGAGCCACCGCACTCAGCCCAACTCCCAGATGTCTATCTCTAACCCAGGGCTCACACTTGAACATCTGACTCTGTTATTCAACTATCCATTCAACATCTCCACTTAGTCATCTCAAAGGAATCTCATATATTTAACATGCCCAAAACCAAACTGCTTATCATCTCCCTAGAACCTAGTTCTACTGAAGTCTACCCCATTTCAGCATGTGGTAATTCCATCTACTGGTACCGAGAGAAAAAGCCCTTGGAGTCATCCTTGACTCTTCTCTATCTCTTACATGTCGTCAGCAAATCTGTCAGCTGTACCTTCAAAAATTATACAGACGCTGATCACTTCTCATCAACTCCCCCACTGCTTTTTAGTTCAAACAACTATCATCTTTCACATGGACTAATACAAAAGATCCTTGCTCTTCTTGTTTCTGCCCATGGCTGCCTACAGCATATTCTACACACAATAACCACAGCAACTTTATTTTTTTGAGACAGGGTCTGGCTCTGTCACCTGGGATGGAGTGAAGTGGCACCATCTCAGCTCACTGCAACCTCTGCCCCTCAGGTTCAAGTGATTCTCCCACTTCAACCTCCCAAGTAGCTGGGACCACGGGTACACACCACCATGCCTGGCTTTTTTTTTTTTTTTTGTATTTTTGGTAGAGACAGCGTTTTGCTATATTGCCTAGGCTCACAGCCCCTTTTTTTTTTTTGACAGAGTTTCGCTCTTGTTGCCTAGACTGGAATGCAGTGGCACAATCTCAGCTCACTGCATCCTCCACCTCCCGGGTTCAAGCAATTCTCCTGCCTCAGCTTCCTGAGTAACTGGGATTACAGGCGCCCACCAACACTCCAGGCTAATTTTTTGTATTTTTAGTACATGTCAGCCAGGCTGGTCTCAAACTCCTGGCCTCAAATGATCCACCCACCTCGGCCTCCCAAACTGCTGGGATTACAGGTGCGAGCCACTGCACCTGGCCCACAGCCACTTTTAATACTTGAAATCAGATAACATTGATTCCCTGTTTAAGACCTTTCAATGACTTACTATCACATTTAGAATAAAGTCCAAACTCCTTATTATGGCCGATCTGGCCCCTGCTGACCTTTCTGGGCTCACCTCCTACCTCTGGCCTCTCACTCTCTACCCTCCCAGCCACATGTTCCTACCTATTATTGCTTGAATGCCCTGCTTGCTCCTACGCCAGGGCTTCTGCCTTGGCTGCCTCTGTCTGCAACCCTCTCTCCTCTGGATACTAACATGACTCACTCCCTCACTTACTTTAGGACTCTATTTAAATGTCTGTCAGAGAGATCTCCTCTGTTCACCCTCTATATAAAAAAAGCAAAACACATACACACATAGAGGCACTCTACCCACTTGAAAGTACTTATTCTGGCCAGGTGTGATGGCTCACACCAGTAATCCCAACACTTTGGGAGGCTGAGGCAGGCAGATCACGAGGTCAGGAGATCGAGACTAACCTGGCTAACACAGTGAAACCCCATCTCTACTAAAAAATACAAAAAATTAGCCGGGCATGGTGGCAGGCACCTGTAGTCCCAGCTACTTGGGAGGCTGAGGCAGGAGAATGGTGTGAACCTGGGAGGCGGAGCTTGCAGTGAGCCAAGATCATGCCACTGCACTCCAGCCTGGGTGGCAGAGTGAGACTCCATCTCACAAAAAAAAAAAAAAAAAAAGTACTTATTCCACTTTCTAGCATTTATCACCACCTAACATTATCTATATATATCAGTCTGCTGGTTTCTGTTCTATCCACCTCCACTGGAATGTCAGCTTCTAAAGATCAGGGACTATGTCTGTCCTAATCACCACTATTTCTCCAGCATCTAGCATTGAATGAATGACTTGGCATCAAAAGTCATCTTTCTGAAGCCTTCTGAAATTCCCACATATGAAATTAACTATTCTCCCCTAGGGGTTTTTGTAAATGAACTTTGTACAGAGTAAATATCTCCTCATAATATATTTAATTTCAGGGACTTTATTCTAGGTACTGAACACATGCGTGGGGATCAAAGCCACACCCGACCATGCTCAGAAGCCAACTAGCTAGACTCAAATCCTAAATTCACCATTTACAGCTACATAGCACTGGAAAACTTAACTGCTTTCTGCTTCTATTTCCTCATATATAAAGTAGAATAAAAGTACCCCCTTCATAGCATCTAAAGGATTAAAGGAGGTATAACATATAAAGCCTTTAGATTTGTGCCTGGCACAGAGTAAATCACTCAATAAATGTGAGTCACTAGCAAAGACATAAGCATTAGAATACATGATTAACGACCCTTGGCTATCAATACTAAAAACCAAAGCCAAATACTTGACTCGTCTCTGAACATCTTGAAGTACTTATTTTCCTTCATTTCATAGCACCTAGTGTACCACCTGACTCACAGCATTCAATACATGTTTGTGGAAAGCTCAGAAAAGATTGCTTAAAAACACACACACACACACACACACACACACAGATGGTGTAAGGAGTAAAGAGGTATGAACCAGAAACTCAGATGAGATCAGTACAAATAACCCTAATGAAAAAGAAACCAAAAATGATCTAAGGACATTATGAAACTCAGATTTTTAAATCTTCTGTACAAGAAATGGAAGCGAACTATGATCAACTTAAATAGAAACACAGTAGTGGAAAGGTACCAGAGTGTCAGGAAAGCAACAGAAGGAGCTTTTTCGTTGTGTTTGGAGCAAGAACAGGGAAGGCCAGCCTACTTCTTGGAACAGATGGCACACTCCTGACAGATGACAGGAAGAAGGCGAAGGCAGCAGAGCAAGCAGATTCTATTCTATCCACCAAGTATCACTACTAGGAAACTGCAGCCTCTCAGATTTTAGTTCATCTATAAAACGCAGGAAGCAAATAGGGAAGGCAGGGCTGGGCACAGTGGTTCACGCCTGTAATCCCAGCACTTTGGGAGGCTGAGGCGGGCAGATCACCTGAGGTCAGGAGTTCGAGACCAGGCTGTTCAACATGGTGAAACCATGTCTCTACTAAAAATACAAAAATTAGCTGGGTGTGGTGGTGCATGCCTGTAATCCCAGCTACACAGGAGGCTGAAGCAGGAGAATCGCTGGAACCCAGGAGATGGAGGCTGCAGTGAACCGAGATAGGGCCACTGCTCTCCAGCCTGGGCAGCAGAGCAAGACTGTCTCAAAACAAAACAAAACAAAACAAAAACAGGGAAGGCAGGATTACCCCTTCTACAGAGAAGAAAATGGACATGCTGAAAGTTCACCCCAAAGTGGTAGATTAAAAATTAGAATATAGGCCAGGTGCAGTGGCTCATGCCTGTAATCCCAACACTTTGGGAGGCCAAGGTAGGAAGATCACTTGAGCCCTGGAGTTTGAGACCAGCCTAAGCAACACAGCGAGACTCAGTCTCTATAACAAATACAAAAATGAGCCAGGTGCAGTGGCATGCACCTATAGTCCCAGCCTACTCAGGAGGCTGAGGTGGGAGGATCACTTGAGCCCAAGAGTACCAGGCTACAGTTATGATCACACCACTGCACTCCAGCCTTGGTGACAGAGCAAAACTCTGTCTCAAAAATGCTAGGCCAGGCACCTGTAATCCCAGCACTTTGGGAGGATGAGGTGGGTGCACTGCTTGAGCCCAGAAGTTTAAGACCAGCCTGGGCAACATGGCAAACCCCACCTCTACAAAAAATACAAAACTTAGCCAAGGGTGGCGGCACATGCCTGTAGTCCCAGCTACTCAGGAGGCTGAAGTAGGAGGATCATGGCTCACTGCAGCCTCAACCTCTCAGGCTCAAGCAATCCTTCCACCTCAGCTAATTTTTTGTTTTGTTTTGTTTTGTTTTGTTTTTTGAGACGGAGTCTTGCTCTGTCACCCAGGCTGAAGTGCAGTGTCGCAATTTCGGCTCACTACAACCTCCACCTCCTGGGTTCAAGCAAGCCTCCCACCTCAGCCTCCTGAGTAGCTAGGATTACAGGCATGCGCCTAATTTTTTTTGTACTTTTAGTAGAGACGGAGTTTCACCATGTTGGCCAGGCTGGTCTCGAACTCCTGAACTCAAGTAATCTGCCCACCTAGGCCTCCTAAAGTGCTGGGATTACAGGTGTGAGCCACCATGCCTGTAATTTAATTATAATTAAATTTATACTTTAATTATAAAAATATAATTTTTATATTTTTTTGTAGAGATGGGGTTTTGTCATGTTGCCCAGGCTTGTCTTGAACTCCTGGGCTCAAGTGATCTGCCTACTTCAGCCTCTAAACATGCTAGGATCACAGGCATAAGCCACAACACCTGGCCAAAAAATAATTTTATTTTTTAAATTTTTTTGAGACAGGGTATCACTCTGTCACCCAGGATGGAATGCAGTGGCACGATCTGGGCTCACTGCAACCTCCGCTTCCCGGGCTCAAAGGATTCTCTAGCCTGTCTCCTGAGTAGCTGGGACTACAGCCAGGAGCTACCAACACCCAGCTAACTTTTTTATTTTTTGTAGAAACAGGTTTTTGCCATGTTGCCCCCAGCTGTCGTTGAACTCCTGAGCTCAAAGCAATATGCCCACCTTGGCCTCCCAAAGTGCTGGGATTGCAGGTGTGGGACACCATGCCTGGCCCCAAAAATAATTTAAATGCAGAAATAGGTCTGGCGTGGTGGCTCACGCCTGTAATCCCAGCACTTTGGGAGGCCGAGGCAGGTGGATCACCTGAGGTCGGGAGATCAAGACTAGCCTGGCCAACCTAGTGAAACCCCATCTTTACTAAAAATACAAAAATTAGCTGGGCGCCGTGGCAGGGGCCCGTAATCCCTCCTATTTGGGAGGCTGAGGCAAGAGAATCTCTTGAACCCAGGAGGCGGAGATTGCAGTGAGCTGAGATCACGCCATTGCACTCCAGCCTGGGTGACAGAATGAGACTCTGTCTCAAATAAATAAATAAATAAATGCGGAAATAAAATTAGACTGTAGGAGTATTTAAAAAAAAAAGAAAGAACTGTTAGTTCACATAACAGATTAAAAAAAAACAACAACAACACTTATGGCCAGGCGCAGTGGCTCACGTCTGTAATCCCAGCACTTTGGGAGGACAAGGAGGGTGGATCATGAGATCAGGAGTTCGAGACCAGCCTGACCAACATGGTGAAACCATGTCTCTACTAAAAATACAAAAAATTAGCCAGGCGTAGTGGTGCACGCCTGTAATCCCACTACTCACGAGGCTGAGGCAAGAGAATCGCTAGAACCCAGGAGGCAGAGGTTGCAGTAAGCCGAAATTGCACCACTGCACTCGAGCCTGGGCAACAGAGCAAGACTCCATCTCAAAGAAGAAGAAAAAAAAAAAACTCATTTAATTTTGGATTAAGTTTATGACATAAATCGGCCGGGCGCAGTGGCTCACGCCTATAATTCCAGCACTTTCGGAGGCTGAGGCGGGCGAATCATAAGGTCAGGAGTTCAAGACCAGTCTGGCCAACACAGTGAAACCCGAACTCTACTAAAATTACAAAATAAAATTAGCTGGGTGTGGTGGCAGGCACCTGTATTCCCAGCTACATGGGAGGCTGAGGCTGGAGAATCGCTTGAACCCCGGAGGCAGAGGTTGCAGTGACCGGAGATTGCGCCATTGCACTCCAGCCTGGATGACAACAGCAAAATTCCGTCTCAAAAAAAAAAAAAACTTAAAAAAAGTTTATGACATAAATCAAATATAATTTGTCCTGAGTAAGATATACATTTTTCAAATGTCAAAAAATCCTTAAAATTCACTCAGTATACTTGTTAATAGTAATATTGATATTGTAACTTTAAAACTATTTCACATATAACACAGAATAAGGCAAGTAGGTTAAAGTATGATTAGGAACAAAGATTTTCGGGCCGGGTGCAGTGGCTCACGCCTGTAATCCCAGAACTTTGGGAGGCTGAGGTAAGTGGATCACGAGGTCAAGAGATCGAGACCATCCTGGCCAACGTGGTAAAACCCCACCTCCACTAAAAATACAAAAATCGGCTGGGCATGGTGGCGCGTGCCTGTAGTTCCAGCTACTCAGGAGACTGAGGCAGGAGAATCACTTGAACCCCGGAGATGGAGGTTGCTGTGAGCTGAGATCCAGCCCCTGCAGTCTAGTCTGGGGGACTGAGCGGGTCTCCATCTCAAAAATAAACAAATATATAAATGCCTTTTGTCAATTATATCTCAATAAAGCTGGAGGGGGAATATATATGTATTTCCAAAACGATTTTGCTTGTTTGTTTGTTTTTTTGAGACAGAGTCTCAACTGCAATCTTGGCTCACTACAACTTCTGCCTTCTGGGCTCAGGTGATCCTCTTACCTAGGCCTCCCAAGTAGCTGGAATTACAGGCATGCCAGGCGCGGTGGCTGACGCCTGTAATCCCAGCACTTTGGGAGGCTGAGGCGGGTGGAACACGAGGTCAGGAGACCGAGACCATCCTGGCTAACACAGTGAAACCCTGCCTCTACTAAAAATACAAAAAATTAGCCAGGCATGGTGGCATGCGCCTGTAGTCCCAGCTACTCAGGAGACTGAGGCAGGAGAATCACCTGAACCAGGGAGGTGGAGGTTGCAGTGAGCTGAGATCACTCGCGCTACACTCCAGCCTGGGAGACACACAGCAAGACTCTGCCTCAAAAAAAAAAGAATAAAAGAATTACAGGCACATGCCACAATGTCCAGCTAATTTTTTGTATTTTAAGTAGAGACATGGATTCGTCATAATGGCCAGGCTGGTCTCCAACTCCTGACCTCAAGTGATCTGCCCACCTCAGCCTCTCAAAGTGCCCAGATTACAAGCATGAGTCACCGTGTCTGGCCATATTTTGAGTTTCATTTAGCATAGTTACACCATGCATATTCTATGTTAGTTCTTTTTGTTTCATCTATTTATTTACTTATTTATTTATAATTTTTCGGGGGACAGAGTCTCCCTCTGTCACCCAGGATGGAGTCCAGTGTCGCAATCTCAGCTCACTGCAACCTCTGCCTCCTTTGGCTCAAGCAATTTTCCTGCCTCAACCTCCCGAGTAGCTGGAATTACAGGCACCTGCCACCACACCCGGCTAATTTTTGTATTTTTAGTAGAGACGGGGTTTCATCATGTTGGCCAGTTTGGTCTCAAACTCCTGACCTCAGGTGATCCGCCCACCTTAGCCTCCCAAAGTGCTGGGAATACAGGCTTGAGCTACTATGCATGGCCTATTTATTTATTTATTTATTTTATTTTTTTTTTTTTTTTTTGAGACGGAGTCTCGCTCTGTCGCCCAGGCTGGAGTGCAGTGGCGGGATCTCGGCTCATTGCAAGCTCCGCCTCCCGGGTTCACGCCATTCTCCTGCCTCAGCCTCCCAAGTAGCTGGGACTACAGGCACCCGCCACTACGCCTGGCTAATTTTTTGTATTTTTAGTAGAGACGGGGTTTCACCGTTTTAGCCGGGATGGTCTCGATCTCCTGACCTCGTGATCCACCTGCCTCGGCCTCCCAAAGTGCTGGGATTACAGGCGTGAGCCACCGCGCCCGGCCTATTTATTTATTTTTGAGACAGTGTCTTACTCTGTTACCCAGGCCTGATATTTCCAACTTAAATTTAATATTATAGGCCGGGCGCAGCGGTTCACGCCTGTAATCCCAGCACCGTGAGAGGCCAAGGCAGGCGGATCACTTGAGGTCAGGAGTTCGAGACCAGCCTGGCCAAGAGGGTGAAACCCCATCTCTACTAAAAATACAAAATTAGCCAGGCATGGTGGCATGCGCCTGTAGTCCCAGCTACTTGGGAGGCTGAGGCAGGAGAATTGCTTGAACTAGGGAGGCAGAGGTTGCAGTGAGCCGAGATCGTACCACTGCACTCCAGCCTGGGAGACAGACCAAGACTATCTCAAAAAAATAAATAAATAAATTGGAAGTATCAAAGTGAACTCACATTTTTTCAAAAAATAGATTTCTTACCCCCATCTACTAAAAAGTTGTTTAAGACAATGACATCCTAGCAGCAATAAACACACCCAGTGCCCAGAGCTAAATTTCTTTTTTTAAAAACCAATGTTTTATTTTATTTATTTATTTATTTATTTTATTTAGAGATAGAGTCTTATTCTTATCACCCAAGCAGTGGTGTGATCATAGCTAACTGCAGCCTCAACCTCAGAGGTCAATTTCCTTTTTTTTTTTTTTTTTTTTTTTTCTGAGACGGAGTCTCACTCTGTCACCCAGGCTGGAGTGCAATGGTGTGATCTTGGCTCACACACAGGCTGGAGTGCAATGGTGTGATCTTGGCTCACACACAGGCTGGAGTGCAATGGCGCTATCTCGGCTCACTGCAACCTCCACCTCCCAGGCTCAAACAATTCTCCTGCCTCAGCCTCCTGAGTAGCTGAGACTACAAGTGCGTGCCACCACGCCTGGCTAATTTTTGTATTTTTCGTAGAGACAGGGTTTCACTATGTTGACCAGGCTTGTCTGGAACTCCTGACCTTCTGATCCACCTGCCTAGGCCTCCCAAAGTGCTGGGATTACAGGCGTGAGCCACCGTGCCCAGCTCAGAGGTCAATTTCTAAATACCCTTTCCTAATTAAAGAAACCAAGCCTTGGAGAACCAGCTGCGTCCAGGGTCTGGGATAAGAAAAGTAGAAAGTAAGTTTGGGGTTTCTAGTAGTGCCAGAAAACAAGAAAATGCTAAGGGACTAACAGGAATTGTCAAAAGAACAAAGGAGCTAGTTTAAACAGCATCCCACTGGACAAATTTGGGATAATTTTAGCACAAAATTAATAATAATGAATGGAATTGACTACACCACCACACTCAATAATCTTATTCCTAAGTGCACTTTAAAAGAATAAAAATGGGCCGGGCGCGGTGGCTCACCGCGCCTGTAATCCCAGCACTTTGGGAGGCCGAGATGGGCAGATCACGAGGCCAGGAGATCGAGACCATCCTGGCTAACAGGGTGAAACCCAGTCTCTACTAAAAAATACAAAAAAAATTAGCCGGGCGTGGTGGCGGGCGCCTGTAGTCCCAGCTCTCGGGAGGCCGAGGCAGGAGAATGGCGTGAACCTGAGAGGCAGAGCTTGCAGTGAGCCAAGATCGCACCACTGTGCTCCAGCCTGGGCGACAGAGGGAGACTCTGTATCAAAAATAATAATAATAAAAATGAAAGCTGTTCGTACAGAAGAACATCACCTAATATAACAGAATGACAAAACTAGAATATTACCATTTTTCCATCTCCAGAGTAATAACTGATTCAGGCAGGGATTATCAATGGATGCTAAATCATTAGGTAAATGATGTGGGGGGATAATAGGATATTGACACGTACCAGAGTATCCCCACAGATTATCTACTACTTGCACAAGGAAAAATACACCTTTATAATGGTGAGAGATGGAAGTCATTACCTTATCCAAGTGATACACGGAACAGTGGGACGACCTAGCTTTATGTGTCCCCCGATGTGATGCAATATGAAACACACGGCATTACCACTGAAACACTCTGCAAAAAAAATGTTTAATCTGAAGTCTAGACCTCATTTCCAGTTTACGGGAAATAGAAGAGAATACAAGAAACAAGTTAAACTCACCATGATAAAACAATGTGACTAAACCAGAATGTGGGACATTCTAAAAAACAACTGTTCGGAACTCTTAAAAATTAAACAAATAATGTTGTGAAGGGGAAAAATTTTTTTATTTTTTTGAGACGGAGTCTCGCTCTGTCTCCCAGGCTGGAGTGCAGTGGCTCGATCTCTGCTCACTGCAAGCTCTGCCTCCCGGGAAGAAGAAAGATTATCATGGAATCAAAGCAACTAAAGAGACATAAAAATAAAAAAGTAATGTGGATCCTGTCTGGAAAAATACTATAAGGGACATTTTTGGAACAACAAGAACATCTGAATATCTCTGGATATTAGATATTATAAAATTATTGCTAAATTAAATAAGTATATAAAACAAATGGGTTAACAATTAGTGAATACAGGTGGAAGGTATAATGTCCTCTCAACTTTTCATTATGTTAGAAAATTTTCTTAATAAAAAGCAGGGGCCGGGCGCTGTGGCTCATGCCTGTAATCCCAGCACTTTGGGAGGCTGAGGCGGGTGGATCACGAGGTCAGGAGATCGAGACCATCCTGGCTAACACGGTGAAACCCCGTCTCTATTAAAAAAATACAAAAAAATTAGCCGGGCGTGGTGGCGGGTGCCTGTAGTCCCAGCTACTCGGGAGGCTGAGGCAGGAGAATGGTGGGAACCCGGGAGGCAGAGCTTGCAGTGAGCAGAGATCGAGCCACTGCACTCCAGCCTGGGAGACAGAGCGAGACTCCGTCTCAAAAAAATTAAAAAATAAAAATAAATAAATAAATAAAAAGCAGGGACTGGGCCGGGCACAGTGGCACATGCCTATAATCCCAGCACTTTGGGAGGCCAAGGCAGGTGGATCACCTGAGGCCAGGAGTTCTCAACCAGCCTAACATGGTGAAACCCTGTCCCTACTAAATACAAAAAAAATTAGCTGAGCGTGGTGGCGCATGCATGTAATCCGAGCTGCTTGGGAGACTGAGACAGAAGAATCGCTTGTACCAGGGAGGCAGAGGTTGCAGTGAGCCGAGATTGTGCCATTGCACTCCAGCCTAGGCAACAAAAGCAAAACTCCATCTCAAAAAAAAAAAAAAGCTGGGACTTAGTTTCTTTAGGGCCCAAAAATAAGAACAAATAATTCAAGGATTCAGAGGCAAGAAGTCACAAGGACATAAGCAATTAAAAAGTGGGCCCTAGCCCAACGTGGTGGCTCACGCCTGTAATGTGAGCACTTTGGGAGGCCGAGGTGGACAGATCATGAGGTCAAGAGATCAAGATCATCTTGGCCAACATAGTGAAACCCCATGTCTACTAAAAATACAAAAATTAGCTGGGCGTGGTGACGCACACCTGTAGTCCCAGCTACTCGGGAGGCTGAGGCAGGAGAATCGCTTGAACCCTGGAGGCGGAGGTTGCAGTGAGCCGAGATCACGCCACTGCACTCCAGCCTGGCGACAGAGCAAGACTCTGTCTCAAAAAAATGAAAATAAAAAAAAAGTGGAACCTAATTCCCACACATTTCATTTCAATGGACTGAAAATACACACATACACACACAGAGAGACACAGACACACACAAAAAATATGGTTGTACCTTGCAGCAATACTATCTACTATAATGTAAGCAAATCACTTACCAGGGTGAAAACATAACCACTTTCAGTCTAGAGATAATAAAACAAACGCTCCATTGTTTTTGGCAAAGCATTCAAAGTCAAAGATTTTACCAAACAATTAAATGTCCAGTACTCTAGATTAGGAAATCAGGTGAACATAATCAGAATGCATTTTCCAGTGTTTTGTTTTGTTTTGTTTTTTGATTTAGGAGTCAGGAACATTCAGACACTCTGGAGAAATTTGGTTATTACAAAAATGCTATGAACTCAGTCTACTTTGATTCAAACCCTAGTCCTACCACTGTGTGACCTTGGGCAAATAACTTCATCTCTCTGAGACTCCTTTTTCTTACTGCTAAAATGAGGCTCATAAGAGCACCCACATGAGGGTACTCTCCCACTTGAAGACAGGTAGTCTCCCTCTCAGTGTGGCAGGGCTTTTATGGGTTCAGAATGGGGAATGTATGCTGATTGGTTTGTGCATATAACAAAAAGGCTAAAACAAAGGCGTCACTCAAAGGTGGGCATGACAGTGTAAAAAACCAATCAGGGAAGAGTAAATACATGTAAAACAGGTGAAGGGTGGGGATCAATCAGAGGAAACCTTGCCGAACTGGAAGAGAGGTTCTCAATCCAGTCCGTGGATTTACCCAGGACTTGTAGCTTGGCTTTCAGGCTTTAAACTGTCTTTGGAGGCCAGGCACAGTGGCTCATGCCTATAATCCCAGCACTTTGGGAGGCGGAGGCGGGCAGATCACCTGAGGTCACGAGTTTGAGACCAGCCTGGCCAACATAATGAAACCCCATCTCTACTAGAAATACAAAAATTAGCTGGGTGTGGTGGCACCTGCCTGTAGTCCCAGCTACTTGGGAGGCTGAAGCAGAAGAATCGCTTGAACTCAGGAGGCGGAGGTTGCAGTGAGCTGAGATCGCGCCACTGCACTCCAGCCTAGGCGACAAGAGCAAAACTCCGTCTCAAAAAATAAATAAACAAACAAACAAACTGTCCTTGGTTTGACAGTCAGGTTTCACCAGGGAACTGTCCCTATCTGCCTAGGCATTTGACTGCCACCTGCGGCTATCAGCACAATTGCAGCTCACTGCAACCTCAAACTCCTAGGCTCAAGCAGTCCTCCTGCCTCAGCCTCCCAAGTAGCTGGGACTTCAGGCATGTACCACCATGCCCAGAATTTTTTTTTTTTTTTTGAGACAGGGTCTCATTATATTGTCCAGGCTGGTCTTGAAATCCTTGACTCAATCAATCCTCCCACCTCACCCTCCCAAAGTGCTGGGATTACAGGCATGAGTCACCATGCCCAGCTGGATTATCTTTTTTTTTTTTTTTGAGACAAAGTCTTGCTCTGTCACCCAGGCTGAAGTGTAGTGGCACAATCTCAGCTCACTGCAACCTCTGCCTCCCAGGTTCAAACGATTCTCCTGCCTCAGCCTCCCAAGTAGCTTGGACTACAGGCGCACACCACCATGTCTGACTGATTTTTGTACTTTTAGTAGAGACAGGGTTTCACCATGTTGGCCAGGCTGGTCTCAAACTGCTGACCTCAGGTGATCCACCAGGCTTGGCCTCCCAAAATGCTGGGATTCCAGGTGTGAGCCACCACACCAGGCCCAGAATATCTTTTAAATGTTAAGTTGAAACTTTGTTTTTTTTTTCTTCCAAGACAGAGCTTTGCTCTGTCGCCCAGGCTGGAGTACAATGGCGTCGTGATGTTGGCTCACTGCAACCTCCACCTCCCAGGTTTAAGCAATTCTCTTGCCTCAGACTCAGGGGTAGCTGGGATTATAGGCATGTGCCACCACACCCAACTAATTTATTTTGTATTTTTAGTAGAGACGGGGTTTCACCATGCTGGTCTTGAACTCCTGACTTCATGATCCACCCGCCTTGGCCTCCCAAAGTGCTGGGATTACGGGCATGAGCCACTGCATCTGGCCAAATGTTAAGTTTAAAATTTGTTCCTAGAAATTTGTACAAGATGGCCATAACGTTTTCCTCTTTTCCATAAAGACACGGTTAAGAAAAAAAAAAATTGGGGCCAGGTGCGGTGGCTCACGCCTGTAATCCCAGCACGTTGGGAGGCCGAGGCGAGCAGATCACGAGGTCAGGAGATCGAGACCATCCTGGCCAACATGGTGAAGCCCCGTCTCTACTAAAAATAGAAAAAATTAGCCAGGCGTGGTGGCGGGCGCCTGTAGTCCCAGCTACTCGGGAGGCTGAGGCAGGAGAATGGCACGAACCCAGGAGTCAGAGCTTGCAGTGAGCCAAGATGCACCACTGCACTCCAGCCTGGGAGACAGGGCGAGACTCCGTCTCAAAAAATAAAAATAAAAATAAATAAATAAATGAAGATTAAAGGGGAAAATACGCATGGCCAGTTAATTAGATGCCCAAAAGCATTAAATTCAACATTACTCAGGCTGAAAAAAAAAAAACTTCCAGCAAACAAGGAATAGGCATGAACTTCTTTAATCTGACTAAACACATCTACTATGATCCTATGATAAACATCATACTTAATGGTGAACTCTCGGATGCGTTCCTGTTAAAGTCAAACAACAAACTATGGAAGGCTGCTATCATCACTGTCATTTAACATCTTGCTGCTATGATCCTAGTCAATGAACACAGAAGGGAAAACGGGAAGGAAAGAAAAAAAGTAAGGAAGGAAGAAAGGAAAAGAAATGAGAAGCAGAGGATTGGAAAGGAAGAGGCAAAACAGTTGTTTGCAGATACATGATGGTCTATGTAGAAAATCCAAAAGAACCATTAAGATGAACATGAAAATGGAGAAAGGTTTCTGTGTAAGACCAGATACAAGACTCAATAGCAATAAAGACTCATGTACCCATTACACATGGCCGCTTTTGCTTCCTCTATCTTCCCACCCTTTTCCCCCTTCATATTATCTCCTTTTTCTTCCTACTGCATATAATTACAGAATCTTCATATTATCTTGAAGCAAATCACAATGTATCATTTTATTCATAAATGTAGGTATATAATCTCTAAGAAATAAGAACTCTTAAAAAACAAAATTACAATATCACTTCCACATCTAAAATGTTAACGATTCTTTAATATCAAATAACCAATCAATGTTCAAACTTCCAACAATCTCATAAATGTCATAAATCTTTTTTAAGCAGTCTGCTTTTGTTTTCAAACTATATAAAATCCACATACTGAATTTGGTTAACAATATTCCTTCATGCCAGCAATAACCAAAGAGAAAAAATATATATATAAAGATCTGGCCAGGTGCAGTGGCTCACGCCTGTTATCCCAGCACTTTAGGAAGCCGAGGTGAGCAGATCACCTGAGGTCAGGAGTTCAAGACCAGCCTGGCCAAAATGGCAAAACCCCGCCTCTACTAAAACATACAAAAATTCCAGGCATGGTGGCGGGCATCTGTAATCCCAGCTACTCGGGAGTCTGAGGCAGGGAGAACTGCTTGAGCCTGGGAGGCGGAGGTTGCAGTGAGCCCAAATCGCTCTACTGCACTTTAGCCTGGGTGACAGAGCAAGACTTCATCTCAAAAAAAAAAAAAAAAAAAAGATCCATTCATAGAAGCAACAAAAACTAGACAGTACTTAGGAATAAATCTAACAGATAACATGCAAAATCTTTATGGAGGTTATAAAACATCACTAAAGTTCATAAAGTAAAACATGAATAAGTATAAAGATGTATTTTCATGAATGAAAACTTTTTATCAAGATACCAATTAAATACAATTTACTTCAAAACTCCAAAAACACTTTTCAAGACACTCAACAATACTACAAAAATTCACATTAAAGAGTAAAGGTTGACCGGGTGCAGTGGCTCATGCCTGTAATCCCAGCACTTTGGGAGGCCAAGGCGGGCAGATCACAAGGTCAGGAGATCGAGACCATCCTGGCTAACACAGTGAAACTCCGTCTCTGCTAAAAATACAAAAAATTAGCCGGGCGTGGTGGCAGGCACCTGTAGTCCCAGCTACCCGGGAGGCTGAGGCAGGAGAATGGCGTGAACCCGGGAGGCGGAGCTTGCAATGAGCCAAGATCGTGCCACTGCACTCCAGCCTGGGCGACTGAGCAAGATTCCGTCTCAAAAAAAAAAAAAAAAAAAAAAGAGTAAAGGTCTAAGAATACAACAAATAAAATAAAACCTGTCTTACCAGATATCAAGAGTTATGTTAAAGCAATATCAATTAAATAATGTGTTATTACAAGCACAGGAGTAAACATAAATCAATGGAATAGACTAAAGATCTGAGAACAGGCCTATGTAAATATGAGGCTTAGTACATACAAGTGGTATTGCAGGTCAATAGGGAAAGAATGGACTATTCTAAACATGATATTGGAGCAACTGGTTATTCATTGAATTAAAAAATAATAATTAGATACAAGTTCATACTACACATAAAATGAATTCCAGGTGGATTAAAAACCTAAATATGTGCCAGGCATGGTGACTCACGCTTGTAATCCCAGCACTTTGGGAAGCCGAGGCAGGTGAAACACTTGAGGTCAGGAGTTCAAGACCAGCTTGGCCAACATAGTGAAACCTCATCTCCACTAAAAATACAAAAAATTAGCCTAGCATGATGGTATGTGCTGGTAGTCCCATCTGCTCAGAAGGCTGAGGTGAGAGGATCACCTGAGCCTGGAAGTCAAGGCTGCAATGAGTTGTAACTGCACCACTACACCCCAGCCTAGGCAACAGAGTGAGACATATCAAAAAAAAAAAAAAAAAAATGCCAGGCATGGTGGCTCACGCTTGTAATCCCAGCACTTTGGGAAGCTGAGGAGGGCAGATCACAAGGTCAGGAGTTCCAGACCATCCTGGCCAACACAGTGAAACCCTGTCTCTACTAAAAATACAAAAATTAGCTGGGTGTGGTGGCGGGCGCCTGTAATCCCAGTTACTCAGGAGGCTGAGGCAGGAGAATCGCTTGAACCCAGGAGGAGGTGGAGGTTGCAGTGAGCCAAGATTGTGCCACTGCACTCCAGACTGGGCGACAGAGCAAGACTCTGTCCCAAACGAAAAAAAAAAGAACTGAAAAAAATACCAGAGTATAATGCATGTATTAAGGTTAAATACTACTTCATAAAATTTGTGTTTCAGTTAAATTTATATAGATCAGGTATGGTGACTTATGCCTGTAACCCCAGCATTTTGGGAGGCCAAGGCAGGAGGATCACCTGAGCCCAGGAATTCGAGATCAGCCTTGGCAACATAGTGAGACCTCATCTCTACTAAAAATTTAAAAATTAATCAGGCGTGTGGCTGGGCATAGTGGCTCACACCTATAATCCCAGCACTTTGGGAAGCCAAGGCGGGCAGATCACGAGGTAAATCTTGGCTAACACAGTGAAACCCCGTCTCTACTAAAATTACAAAAAATTAGCCGGGAAGCTAAGGCAGGAGAATGGCGTGAACCCGGGAGGCGGAGCTTGCAGTGAGCCGAGATTGCGCCACTGCACTCCAGCCTGGGCGACAGAGCAAGACTCCATCTCAAAATAATAATAATAATAATAATAATAATAATAATAATAATAATAAAAAATCAGGCGTGGTGGCATGTGCCTGTGGTCCCAGCTGAAGCAGGAGGACTGCTTAAGCCAAGGGAGGTCAAAGCTGCAATGAGCTCTGTTCCCACCACTGCACTCCAACCTGAGCAACAGAATGAGACCTTGTCTGGAAAAATAAAAATAGGCCGGGTGCCATGGATCTGGCCTGTGGTCCCAGCACTCAGGAGGCCGAGTTGGGCAGATCGCCTGAGGCCAGGAGTTCAAGACCAGCCTGGCCAACATGGTGAAACACCGGCTCTACTAGAAATAAAAAAAAAATAGCCAGGCATGGTGGCACACACCTATAATCCCACATACTCAGGAGGCTGAGGCACGAGAATCGCTTGAACCTGGGAGGCGGAGATTGCAGTGAGCCAAGATCACGACCCTGCATTACAGCCTAGGCAACAAAGTGAGACGCTGTCTCGACAGCGTTTCAAAAAAATAATAATAAAAACAAAATAAAAATAAATTTTTATGTACATATGGTTGAGTACCACACTGGATTTAAAATACATTTCTTACTGTAGGTTGTGGTCAAAAGCCACTGCCCAAGTAAAAGTCTGTGTATGTGCACAAAGAGACATTCACACAGCACTGTGTCTCAGGTGAAAAACTGGAATTTAAGCACCCATTTAAAAAAAAATACAATAAAAAATAATAAATAAATAAACGGGCCAGGAGCGGTGGCTCACACCTGTAATCCCAGCACTTTGGGAGGCCAAGGTGGGTGGATCACCTGAGGTCACAAATTTGAGACCAGCCTGGCCAAAATGGCGAAACCCCATCTCTACTAAAAGTACATAAATTAGGCTGGGCGCGGTGGCTCACGCCTGTAATCCCAGCACTTTGGGAGACCGAGGAGGGTGGATCACGAGGTCAGGAGATCGCAACCATCCTGGCTAACACCGTGAAACCCCGTCTCTACTAAAAAAATACAAAAAAATTAGTTGGGCATGGTGGTGGGTGCCTGTAGTCCCAGCTGCTCGGGAGGCTGAGGCAGGAGAATGGCGTGAACCCAGGAGGCAGTGCTTGCAGTGAGGAGAGATCGAGCCACTGCACTCCAGCCTGGGCGACTGAGCAAGACTACGTCTCAAAAAAAAAAAAAAAAAAAAAACATACAGTAGCTTGGCAAGGTGGGCACCTGTAATCCCAGCTGAGGCTGAACTGCTTGAACCCAGGAGGCGGATGTTGCAATGAGCCAAGATTGTGCCACCACACTCCAGCCTGGGTGACAGAGCTAGACTCCATCATAAATAAATAAACAAACAAACAAACGTCCATTAGTAGGGGACTAGATAAACAAAATGTGGTATATTCATACAATAAAACTCTATACAGAAGTTAAGATGTAGTCCCAGATACATGGAGGGCTAAGGCAGGAGGATCACTTGAGCCCAGGAGTTGGAGGCCACAGTGAACTATGATTGTGCCATTACACTCCAGCCTGAGCAATAGAGTAAGACCCTATATCAGGGGTGGGCGAGGAGGGTGCGGAGTTAAGTATGGGTAAATCACAAAAACATATTGAATATAAAAAACAAAGACACAGAAAAAAAACAAGTTGTATGATACTACTTATATAATATATATACATACAATATATAATATATATACACACACGCAGTATATTATATATATACACACACACACACACACACATATATATATACTGAAACCAAAAAAGGAACTAATTATAGATAATACAAATAGCCCAAAAACAGGCAGGCTTGGTGGCTCACGCCTGTAATCCCAGCACTTTGGGAGGCCGAGGCAGGCAGATCATCTGAGGTCAGGAGTTGGAGACCAGCCTGGCCAACATGGTGAAACCCTGTCTCTACTAAAAATACAAAAAATTGGCCGGGCATCGTGGTGCATGCCTGTAATCTCAGCAACTCAGAAGGCTGAGGCAGAGGAATTGCTTGAACCTAGGAGGCAAAGACTGCAGTGAGCCGAGATCACGCCACTACACTCCAGCCTGAATGAAAGAGCAAGACTCTTGTCTCCAAAAAAAAAAAATAGCCCAAAAACAACTGTGTTGAAAATGTACCTAATTACCTAATTATTTTTTCTTTTTTCTTTTTTTTTTTTTTCCGGGACGGAGTCTCGCTCAGTCACCCAGGCTGGAGTGCAGTGGCGCGATCTTGGCTCAATGCAGCCTCCACCTCCCAGGTTCAAGTGATTCTCCTGCCTCAGCCTCCTGAGTAGCTAGGACTACATGCGTGCACCATCATGCCCGGCTAATTTTTATATTTTTAGTAAAGACGGGGTTTCATTATGTTGGCCAGACTGGTCTTGAACTCCTGACCTCGTGATCCGCCCACCTCAGCCTCCCAAAGTGCTGGGATTATAGGCGTGAGCCACCACAACTGGCCAAGTGTACCTAATTCTTTTTTTTTTTTTTTTTTCAGACCGAGTCTCACTCTGTTGCCCAGGCTGGAGTGCAGTGGTGCAATCTCGGCTCACTGCAACCTCCACCTCCCGGGTTCAAGCAATTCTCCTGGCTCAGCCTCCCGAGAAGCTGGGATTACAGGCATGCACCACCATGCCCGGCTAATTTTTTGTATTTTTAGTAGAGACGGGGTTTCGCCACTTTAGCCAGGCTGGTCTCGAACTCCAGACCTCAGGTGATCCACCCACCTCGGCCTCCCAAAGTGCTGGGATTACAGGCGTGAGCCACCGCGCCCAGCCAAGTGTACCTAATTCTAATAGCAAAGACAGTTTTCTGTACCAGCTGCTTCTATGCCTCTCTTCTCCTGTCTTATCTTCCTACACCTGAAGAGCTGATCAATCTATTTTGAAAGAATCTCAAAAAGGGTTAAACTCTTCCTTCTTTAGCTCAAAAAGGAATTAGCCAGGCATGGTGGCACACATCTGCAATACCAGCTACTCAGGAGGCTGAGGCACGAGAACTGCTTGAACCTGGGAGGCAGAGGTTGCAGTGAGCCAAGATCTGCCTGGGTGACAGAGCGAATCTCTGTCTAAAAAAAAAAAACAAAAACCCTTAAAGAGGTATAAGTTCTGAAAACCCCACGCTCACCTTGAGCACCAAAAAATGACCAAATTCTAGGATGCCCTCAACCACAACAATCACTTCACAGTCTATAAGGTCTTTCCTTACATATTCTATCATTTGATTCTCAGAATAACCCTATGAGGTCAATATTACCAATACCCACATTTATAGATAAGCCAATGCACAAAGCAGCTAATTACCAGCCAGAGGTCACAAGTCAATGACACAGCTGGGACTATAACCCCTCAGCTTCTGAACCTAATCACCCTGACAGTGTGCCCTTACATGATGACTGTATTTCAACATACAAGATCATGCCCAGAAAATAGGATGGGGTGTTCACAACACATGAGCTGCTCCAATCGAACCCCTTTTTCTTCACTATTCCATCCCTGATCTTTCCTCTTTTTTCAGACAGGCAGCCAGGAGCAAGAGAGCTGCCACTATTAACTCTTCCCTTCCCTGTAGCCATTCCTGCTTCTTTTTCCCAGAACTCTTTCAGATGAACAGGCAAAAGGGGGAAACAAATATATACAGGGGGTTACAGGACAGTCACCCTGACACTGGGATCCCTGCATCAAAGAGAAAAGACTGACATTTCCTCACATCTTCCAAGAGTCAGGAAGTAGAAAAACACCACAAAAAAAGCCTAAGCTACCACTCTATCAGTGCTGGCAAAAATCCTTTACTGAAGGGCTTTAATTAACAGAAAAATGTAAAAGTACCAGTTTTTTAAACGGTCCCGGGCTTCCAACTGGGCTCCCACTTCAAAGCTGATTCCTCGTCTGTTAGGTGGATGCTTTGTCATTTTCAGTCATCAACGGGGCTGCCTTTATTCTCCTGAAAAAGCCAATTAAATATTTATGAAACTTAGGCAAAGTCCACCCAGAGTGTAGCATCATTCACTACACATAAAAAAACAGGCATTATTCAAAACACAAAGCTCCATGAAACCCTGTTGGTGTCCTCATTCTAACACAGGTGTGTCTTCCACTGGTTCCTATTCCTCCATCGTGCAGCTTCCTGTGGTTTCTGGAACTAAGAAGACCCTCCCTCAACACTGCTTACCACTCACCTACAAGGGCCAAGGGCCACCCCTCAGAACTACAAAAAAACAACTGCTTTCACAGTTAAATTCAGTCATCTGCTGATGCATTATTCAACAAATATTTGCTCAGCGACTATTTAAGGAAACAATCAAGACCAAAAGAGACACAGCTCCTGCCCTCAAGAACCCTTCAGTCTACCGGGGAAACACAAAAATTTAGCCAGCAAACTGATAAATAACTGCAAACTGTAATTGCAATGAAATTTAAAGAGTTACAAAGGAAGCAAACAAATGCCAGGCACAGTAATGTATGCCTATAGCCCCAGCTACTTGGAAGGCAGAGCCAAGTTGTTTCTTTGAGCCCAGGAGTTCAAGACCAGCCTGAGAAACATAGCAAACGCTCGTCTCTTAAAAACAAAAAAAATTAAAAACGAAGCAAACAAAAGTTGAGATATTAATACTTGGTGCTACTTTTGGAAGGCTGTACGAGGTCTGTTTATTTATTTATTTTTTGAGACAGAGTCATACTCTTTTACCCAGGCTGAGTGCAGTGGTGCCATCTCAGCTCACCGTATCCTCCACCTCCCAGGTTCAAGCAATTCTGGAGCCTAGGCCTCCTGAGTAGCTGGGACTACAGGCGCATGCCACCACACCCAGCTAATTTTTGTATTTTGAGTAGAGATTGGGTTTCACCATGTTGGCCAGGCTGGTATCAAACACCTGACCTCAAGTGATCTGCCCACATCAACCTCCCAAAGTGCTGGTATTACAGGCGTGAACCACTGCGCCCAGAATTGTTTATACTTTCTTTGATCTATGTATATTTCCTACTTCTTTTTTTGTTTGTTGGTTTGTTTTTTGAGGAGTCTCGCTCTTGTCGCCCAGGCTGGAGTGCAATGGCATGATCTCGGCTTACTGCAACCTCTGCTTCTCGGGTTCAAGTGATTCTCCTGCCTCAGCCTCCCAAGTAGCTGGGATTGCAGGCACCTGCCACCATGCCCAGCTATATTTCCTACTTCTTGAGTCCATTCTGATCATTTGTATTTTCCTATAAGTTTTACCCAGATTTTTTTTTAATCATAGAACAATAAAACAGTAAAAATATTCACGTTTAATTCCTTTAATTGCCTTTGAATCTGAAGTCACAATTTGAATCTCTCCTTTCTCAATCCTGTCTCGTGTACTCGTGCTGCAATGAATAAAATTTATATTTATGATCAGAACCAAACAGTAAAGCCAATTTCCTTTTGATGGAAAAAAAAGGTGTACTGGATTAGGCCATTTACAAGAAAAGTGGCCCCCATAAAAGAACACTTCCGGCCGGGTGCGGTGACTCAAGCCTGTAATCCCAACACTTTGGGAAGCCGAGGCAGGCGGATCACAAGGTCAGGAGTTTGAGACCAGCCTGGCCAACATGGTGAAACCCCATCTCTACTAAAAATACAAAATTAGTGGGGCGCGGCGGCAGGCGCCTGTAATCCCAGCTACTTGGGAGGCTGAGGCAGAAGAATAGCTTGAACCTGGGAGGCGGAGGTTGCAGTGAGCCGAGATCACGCCACTGCACTCCAGCCTGGGTGACAGAGCAAGACTCCATCTTGAAAAAGAAAAAAAAAAAGAACACTTCTTGTGATCACTGAGGTAATTAATCTACTAATCTGCAGGGTCCTAAATGCTATCGGAGGAGCTAGTGGTGGTTCTGATGGACATGTAGCCACTCTGAACTCTAAGGGCACTTGAACAGGCCACTTCCTTACAGCAGACTTACCCCAGCCTAACTCTTTCCTCCCACTAAACTCTGGACTTTTTAAAATTTTTTTTAGACAGGGTCTCATTCTGTTGTCCAGGCTGGAATGCAGTGGCGCTATCATAGCTCACTGCAGCCTCAGACTCCTGGGCTCAAGCAATACTCCTGCCTCAGCCTCCCGAGTAGCTGGAATCACAGGCATGCGTCAGCACACCCAGCTTTTTTTTTTTTTTTTTTTTTTTTTTTTGCAGAGAGAGTATCTATGTTCCTAGGCTGATCTCAAACTCCTGGGTTCAAGCAATCCTCCCGCCTGGGCCTCCCAAAGTGCTGGGATTACAGGATTACAAGCACGAGCCACTGCATCCAGCCTTATACTTTGGCTCTTGACAGCCTACACTGCCCAAGCAATGCCAGAGCACTGCCAGAGCAATGCCTGCCTCCTACCAGAACACTTTCTTTGCAATAAATGAGTATGGAAAAAAATCACAGAAGTGAGTACATGTCTAATGTTTAATAGCAGCACATTTTATGAAGAATTTGCTTGCAATATATTACATAAAAAGGCAGGATGCAAAATTGTACCACATGGAGCTCACATTAAAACTCATACACAGCCAGATGAGGTGGCTCAGGCTTATAATCCCAGCTACTGAAAAGGCTGAGGCAGGAGGATCGCTTGAGCCCAGGAGGTTGAGACTGCAGTGAGTTATGATTGTGCCACTGTACTCCAGCCTGAGTGACAGAGCAAGAACCTGTCTCTTTAAAAAACAAAAACAAAAAAAAAAGGCCAGGCATGGTGGCTCATGCCTATAATCCCAGAACTTTGGGAGGCCGAGGCTGCCGGATCACCTGAGGTCAGGAGTTTGAGACCAGCCTAACCAACATGCAGAAACCCCGTCTCTACTAAAAATACAAAATTAGCCAGGCATGGTGGCACATGCCTGTAATTCCAGCTACCTGGGAGGCTGAGGCAGGAGAATCACTTGAACCCAGGAGGTGGAGGTTCCAGTGAGCCAAGATCGCACCATTACATTCTAGCCTGGGCAACAAGAGTGAAATTCTGTCTCAAAAAAAAAAGAAAAGAAAAGAAAAGAAAAAAACTCATATGAATTTATTTTTTTGGAGACAAGGTCTTGCTCACTCTGTCACTCAGGCTGGTCTACAGTGGCTCAAACCTGGATCACTGTAGCCTCGACTTCCTGGGCTCATGTGATCCTCCTTACTCAGCCTCCCAAGCACCTGGGACTACAGGTGCAAGCCACCACACCCAGCTAATTTGTTATCTGGTAGAGACAGGGTCTTGCTATGTGTTTGTCTGGGCTGGTCTCAAACTCCCAGGTTCAAGTGATCCTCCTGACTCAGCCTCCCAAAGTGCTGGAATTAGAGGCATGAGCCATGGTACCCAGCCACTGATTCTTTTGTAAAGACAGGAAGAAAAAAATAAGTTATAGGTTATTGGTGATTGTTCCTTTCTTCTTAAATACTTTCCTAAATTTTAGTTTTTCACAATGAAAATTTTTCACAAGTGTATAATGTAAAGGATTATACATGTGAAGGACAATAAGCTATCTATTAAACAACCCATTCCAGGCTAGGCGCAGTGGCTCATGCCTGTAGTCCCAGCACTTTGGGAGGTCGAGGTGGGAGGATCACAAGGTCAAGAGATCGAGACAATCCTAGCCAACATGGTGAAACCCCGTCTCTACTAAAAATACAAAAATTAGCCGGGCATGGTGGTGGGAACCTGTAATCCCAGCTACTCAGGAGGCTGAGGCAGGAGAATCACTTGAACCCAGGAGGCGGAGGTTGCAGTGAGTTGACATCGTGCCACTGCAAACCAGTCTGGGTGACAGAGCAAGATTCCATCTCAAAAAAAAAAAAAAGCCAAAAAACAAAAACAAACAAAAAAAACCACCAAAGAAGTAATTGTCAGCAGGAATTATCTAGATGATAAAATTTTATTTTATTCTGGTGGTGGGGTTGCTTCTTTATGTTTCTTCATATTTTTTTCTTTTTTTTTTTTTTGAGACAGGGTCTCACTCTGTCGCCCAGACTGGAGTGCAGTGGCACGATCTCAGCTCACTGTAACCTCCGCCTCCTAGGCTCAAGCAATTCTCCCACCTCAGTCTCCTGAGTAGCTGTGATTACAGGCATATGCCACTACTGCCCAGCTAATTTTTGCATTTTTAGTAGAGACAGAGTTTCACCATGTTGGCCAGGCTGGTCTTGAATTCCTGACCTCAAATGATGCACCCACCTTGGCCTCCCAAAGTGCTGGGATTACAGGCATGAGCCACCACGCCCGGCCCATTTTTTTCTTTTAAGGTTATTTAAATATGCAAATTTTTGGCCAGGTACACTGGCTCATGCCTATAATCCCAGCACTTTGGGAGGCTGAGTATAGGCCCATGCCTGTAATCCCAGCATTTTGGGAGGCCAAGGGGCAGGTAGCTTGAATCTAAGAGTTCAAGACCAGCCTGGGCAACTTGGTGAAATGTCATCTCTACAAAAAATCCAAAAAAAAACCTGCAAATTTTTTAAATGCAAGAATTTAATTCTTACACTATTTTACTATTTACTGGATCTTCACAACTGCCAGATTATATAATTAGGACTAATGTAATGTTACCATGGTATACAAGTAAAATTAAGTTACAGGGAGGAAACTGACATGCAGAGGTGCTAGCCAATTTCAAGGTCCTCTGAGGCAGGAGAAATCCCTCTTATCAAAAGTAACAGGATGTACGCAGAAGTAGACAAAGTACTTCTCAAAGGTCCTTCCTCTTTCTCTGACCAAAGTCGTTGCTATGCTTATATTCATATCTTTAGATATAAACATAACTTGAATACAGGAAGATAAAGCAACTGGATGCTTTTCAAATGTTGTGTCAAAATTATCACACCATTATATAACAAGCAGAAATACCTAATTTTTTAGAAAAGACAAAACCTAACACTGGTCCAGCTGTGGGGAAACAGGTACACTAGAACACCTCCTGGGGTCCTGACCATGGCCATCTTTTTATACCTTAATCTAGAAGCAAAGAACAACCTGTGGAACTGCTTATACTCTTGGACTCAGCCATTTCAAGCTGAAGAATACAGTCCAGGATAAAAATAAATCATTTGTGAAAATGAGAAAAACCAATAGCTCTTTACATAAGATTCTGGGCAAACTGGATGTAGTTCATCCATTAAAAAACAAGAGAATATTTAATCAAAATTCATTACAGTAGGACTACATTATAAACTCAACAAATATGTAATAAATTAAATAAAGAATGCTATTAAGCTACTACTATGATAAAGATATAAACTAACTTTACAGAGAGTAGATGTAAAATAACCTTATCCAAACTAACAAAACCCGCATAAAAAAAAAATGTATAGTCTGGGTGCGGTGGCTCACGCCTGCAATCCCAGCACTTTGGGAGGCCAAGGCGGGCGGATCATGAGGTCAAGAGATCAAGACCACCCAGGTAAACATAGTGAAACCCCGTCTCCACTAAAAAATACAAAAATTAGCTGGGCATGGTGGTGCGCACCTGTAGTCCCAGCTACTCAGGAGGCTGAGGCAGAACAATCACTTCAACCCTGCAGGTGGAGGTTGCAGTGAGCTGAGATCACACGACTGCACTCCAGCCTGGGCGACAGAGTGAGACTGTCTCAAAAAAAAAATTTATAATAATTAAACTTACATATATTAACCAATTTAATCCTTACAAAAATCACAGAAGTACTATATTAATCCCCATTATAAAGATGAGGAAAAAGAAAGTTAAGGACACTCACATAGTAAGGAGCTGAGCCAGCAATCGAACCTCAGTCCAGTAGCTCCTGAGTTCAGATTCTTACCCCAAGTTTATTTACAAGCTACATTGTTGAGCTCTGTTTCTTCACTTATGATATGGGGATAATGGCCCCTATCGTGGGTGCTATGAGAATTAAATGAGAAAGGTCTGCAAAACCCCTATTAAAATATCTAACACAAAGTAGGTAGTCAGCTGGGCGCAGTGGCTCACACCTATAATCCCAACACTTTGGGAGGGCAAAGTGGGCAGATCACTTGAGGTCAGGAGTTCGAGACCAGCCTGGCCAATGTGGTGAAACCCTGTCTCTACTAAAAAAATACAGAAATTAGCCAGGCATCATGGCACACACCTATAATCCCAGCTACTCAGGAGGGTGAGGCAGAAGAATTGCTTGAACCAGGGGATGAAGGTTGCAGTAAGCCAAGATGGCACCACTGCACTCTAGCCCAGGCATCAGAGTGAGATTCGTCTCAAAAAAAAACAAGTAGGTACTCAATAAATGATAGCAGATTTTTCTTCCTTTTTTTTTTTTTTTTAAGACAGAGTCTCGCTCTGTCCCCAGGCTACAGTGCAATGGTGCAATCTCAGCTCACTGCAACCTCCTCCTCCCGGGTTCAAGCGATTCTCCTGCCTCAGCCTCCCAAGTAGCTGGGATTACAGGAGCACACCACCACACCCAGCTAATTTTTGTATTTTTAGTAGAGACAGGGTATTGCCATGTTGGCCAGGCTGGTCTCAAACTCATGACCTCAGGTGATTTGCCCACCTCAGCCTCCCAAAGTGCTGAGATTACAGGTGTGAGCCACCACGCCCATATTTTCTGAATTCATATCACATTTACAGTTAATGTACTGACAAAGACTCTGGGTTTTATTTTGGGAGAGGCAAAAGAGTACTGTCGCTATGGTAACTGGAAGTCTTGCCCTCAGCAATCCCTTTGTGCTCAGGGAAAAGAGGGACAACAAAGAATTAAAAGTGATAGATGGGTATGGAACAAGACCTTTCAGTGAATCAGCTCTGGGACAGGAGTAGAGGGAAATAAACTCTGGAACTTTCGAGGAAAAAAGTCTCTGGGACTCTCAAGGAATAAAATGCCAACCACCAGAAACTACAGAACAGGCTTTGGGATAATCTAATGGTGCTCACCACAAGGCTGGGATTCAACCTCCATTAAAGGGTGACAGTGCCTTTTAACTCAATACAACCACTTTAAATTGAGGGACACTTCAGGTGAAAGACCAGCTTAAATCTTTATGCCCCCCTCATTCAAGAAATATTCATTGAGAGCCTGCTGTGTGCCAGGTACTGGAAATAGACAATGGGAGGACAAGGCACCCGGACCCTGTTCTCTAGTGGGGAAGGCAGCTAAGAAACAAGATAAGCACATACATAAGGGTCATTTCTTTTTTCTTTTTTTTTTTTTTTTGAGACAGAGTTTTGCTCTTGTTGCCCAGGCTGGAGTGCAGTGGCACGATCTCGGCTCACTGCAACCTCCATCTCCCAGGTTCAAGAGATTCTCCTGCTTCAGCCTCCTGGTAGCTAGGATTACAGGTATGTGCCACCACGCCTGGCTAATTTTTGTATTTTTAGCAGAGAAGGGGTTTCTCCATATTGGTCAGGCTGGTCTCGAACTCCTGACCTCAGGCGATCCACCCACCTCAGCCTCCCAAAGTGCTGGGGATTACAGGTGTGAGCCACCGCGCCTGGCCTTTTTTTTTTTTTTTTTTTTTTGAGACAGAGTCCCGCTCTTGTCGCCCAGCCCAGCGTGCAAGGTGCAATCTCGGCTCTCTGCAACCTCCGCCTCCCAGGTTCAAGCATCTCCTGCCTCACCCTCCCCAGTAGCTGGGATTACAGGCGTGCACCACCATGCCTGGCTAATTTTTGTATTTTTAGTAGAGACAGTGTTTCGCCATGTTGGCCAGGCTGGTCTCGAACTCCTGACCTCCAGTGATCCACCAACCTCAGCCTCCCAAAGTGCTGCGATTACAGGCATGAGCCACTGCGCCATGCGAGCATATAAAGATCATTTCTGACAGAGATAAGTAATTGTGGGAAAAACAACAAAATAATGTGAACCAGCGACATGGAAAGGACTATTTTAGATACGGCTGTTAGAAAGGACTCTCAAGACAGGCACAATGGCTCACGCCTGTAATCCCAGCACTTTGGGAGGCCGAGGCAGGTGGATCACCTGAGGTCAGGAGTTCGAGACCAGCCTGGCCAATATGGTGAAACCCCGTCTCTACTAAAAATACAAAAATTAGCCAGGCTTAGTGGTGGGCACCTGTAGTCCCACCTACTTGGGAGGCTGAGGCAGGAGAATTGCTTGAACCCAGGAGGTGGAGGTTGCAGTGAGCCAAGATCATGCCACTGCACTCCAGCCTGGGTGACAGAGCGAGACTCTTGTCTCAAAAAAAAAAAAAAAGAAAAAGAAAGGACTCTCTGAGGAACTGAGGTCTAAGCAGAGAACTAGGTGACAAGAAGGAGATCTAAAGGAAGTGACTTCTAAGCAAAGGCAACTACTACAGGCAAAGAATCTCCGGCAGAAAGGAGCTTTCCCCACACACAGCTTGAACCTAGAAGGTTGAGACTTCCCACAGCCCATGCTGCTGTCCCAAGAAAGCATAAACAATTTTAGCCGGTCCAGTGATACCTGGGTCTCCCAGGAAGAAGCCTCCAAGAGGACCTTTTGCCAAAGTTCTGCCGTGGAGGAAGGCCAGGGAATGCCTAGGGATGGGTGCACAGACAGGTTTTAGACTCAGATTCTAACCAATTCTGGCTCCAGGCATTGTTGGCTGAGCGACGACAAGAAAAATCACTGAGCCTGTTTGCCCAGCTATAAGATGGGATCAACAGCCCCAATTTCCTAGGGTTGTTGTGAAGAATAAGTGAGCTAATGGATGTCAAGTGCTTAGCATAGCAAACTCTAAATGGTACTGGTGATGGCAATGGTGGTATACTAGCAAAAAGGACATCAGACACAAAGAATTATAGTCAATATTATTAAAAATTAACAAACAGTATCCAATATACTAAAGTGCATAAAGAGCGTATCTTTAGTCGTAGGGAAGTGACAAATTGGTTCAAGTAGGACCTCTTCCCAGGTCACACTAGAAGAAAGGGAATTAGTCCCTTTTACTTGACAAGGTAGGGAAGGAGGGAGGAAAGGCAGAAGAGGTAAGGAGGAAGAAAAAGAAAGGAAGGAAGGAAGGGCAGGCAAGAATGAAAAGAGGGAAGAAGCCAGGCACGGTGGCTCACGCCTGTAATCCCAACACTTTGGGAGGTCGAGGAGGGCGGATCACCAGAGTTCAGTAGTTTGAGACCAGCCTGGCCAACATGGTGAAACCCCGTCTCTACTAAAAATACAAAAAATTAGCCGGGCGTGGTGGCAGGTGCCTGTAATCCCAGTTACTCAAGAGGCTGAGGCAGGAGAATTGCTTGAGCCCAGAAGGTGGAGGTTGCAATGAGCCAAGATCGAGCCACTGCACTCCAGCCTGGCGACAGAGCAAGACTCTGTCGTAAAAAAAAGAAGAGTGAAGAAAGAAATAGGCCTCAAAACTTCACCCACTTTCTTCCCAGATACTTGAAATGCTTTCTGCAAGAGTCAAGCTTTGCCTTCCATAATTAAAATGCAAAGAGACAGCAAACATGAGTTGAGTTTACTCATTCCAAACTACTGAGAATGAGTCGATTAAATCAGTGGATTTTCCCAGAAGCAGTGGAAAGGGCCTGTGCCAGGGTTGGCCCTAAAATGTATCTGCTGTATGACCTTTCGCATATTACTCAATTTCACTGAGCTAATCATCTTACCCTTACAAGTTCCTTCTCCTTTTGTCCCCATCAAATAAGCCCTCAAGATTGGCAAGTGTGCCAAACTAGAAACATGGGCACTTCCCTTACCTCCTTCTCCTTCCCTCACCTCCCACACTCGGACAACATTTTGTAGGACCTGCTTCTAAGTCTCAGCCATTGCCAAGTGGATGCCCAGTTCAGCCCTGCATCAGTTCTAATCTTGATTACTCCAGCAGCTCTTGACAGAGCTCCAATCCTCCAGCTATACCTTCCCCAGATCCAAATCAATACTGTCTCATGAGATGACATCTTCTCAGTGGTTATTTTATGACAAATACTATTCTAAGATACATATATACACACAATTCTAAGATATATATATATATATATATATATACACTATTCTAAGATATATATGTATATACTATTCTAAGATAGATAGATAGATAGATAGATAGATAGATAGATAGATAGATAGATAGATAGATAGATACTATTCTGGTATATATATACATATATATAAAAACTATATCAGCCCATTTAGTGTCTACCTCTTAGGTTTGTAATGAGGATTATTCCCATTTTATGGATGTGAAAACTGAGGTTCACAAAGTAAGTTTCCCAAATACCAAGGCTAGTCAGGTATTGGGACAAGGAATTGAACCGAGGTAAGGCTGACTCCAGTTAATTACACTGTTGCCAATCTTCATCACTGCTGCTACAGTGATATTTCTAAAATGTAAGTATGATCATAAGACTTCTATTTTAAAACAGTTCAGGCCGGACGCGGTGGCTCACGCCTGTAATCCCAACACTTTGGGAGGCTGAGGCAGGTGGATCACAAGGTCAGGAGTTCAAGACCAGCCTGGCCAACATGGTGAAACCTCGCCTCTACTAAAAATACAAAAATTAGCCGGGCATGGTGGCACACGCCTGTAATTCCAGCTACTCAGGAGGCTGAGACAGGAGAATCGCTCGAACCCAGGAGGTGGAGGTTGCAGTGAGCCAAGATCGCGCCACTGCAGTCCAGCCTGGGCAACAGAGCAAGGCTCTGTCTCAAAAAACAAAAACAAACAAACAAAAAAAACAGTTCAGCGGCTCCCCTACAGAACCATATTCAAGGTACTCAGCGCAGCATTTGGGCCATTAGTGAGTTAGCCATTATAACCAAGCCAAAAGAAACTCTCTTTTGGAGCTTAAAAGGAGAGAAGCAGGCAAGCTTTAGCAGAGGGGCTGTGGGACACAGCGGTTATGAGCCAGAACTCTGGAATAAGAGTGCCTGAGTTTGGACCTCAGCCCCACCACTTTCCAGATAAACTTGCACAAGTCATTTCCTCTCTGAGCTTCAGGCTCCCCATCTGTAAAATGAGGATATCACCAGCACCTACTTCAAACCATCATATAGGTGTTGTGAAGATAAAAGTTATTAGCACAGGTCAGGCCCGGTGGCTCACACCTGTAATCCCAGCACTTTGGGAGGCTGAGGCAGGCGGATCACCTGAGGTCAGGAGTTTGAGACCAGCCTTGTCAACATGGTGAAATCCCGCCTCTACTAAAAACACAAGAATTAGCCAGGCGTGGTGGCATGCGCCTGTAATCCCACCTACAGGGGAGGCTGAGGAAGGAGAATCGCTTGAACCCAAAAGGCAGAGGTTGCAGTGAGCCGGGATCACACCATTGCACTCCAGCCGGGATGACAGAGCGAGACTCCGTCAAAAAAAAAAAAGTTATTTAGCAGAGCCTGGCACACAATAAGCTTGCAGGGTTACTACTGTTCTTGCTGGGCATGGTGGCTCATGCATGTAATTCTAGCATTTTAGGAGGCAGAGGCGGGCGGATCACCTGAGATCAGAAATTCAAGACCAGCCTGGCCAATGTGGTGAAAACCCATCTCTACTAAACACAAAAAAAAATCAGCTGGGGATGGTGGCAGACGCCTGTAATCCCAGCTACTCAGGAGGCTGAGGCAGGAGAATTGCCTGAACCCGGGAGGCGGAGGTTGCAGTGAGCTGAGATCGAGCCACTGCACTCCGGACTGGGGAACAAGAGTAAAACTGTGTATAAAAAAAAAGGGGGGGGGGGGGGCGGGGGCTGGGCGCCATGGCTCACGCCTGCAATCCCACCACTTTGTGGGGCACAGGCAGGCGGATCATGAGGTCAGGAGTTCGAGACCAGCCTAGCCGACATGGTGAAACCCTGTCTCCACTAAAAATATAAAAAATTAGCCAGGCATGGTGGTGCACGCCTGTAGTCCTAGCTACTCAGGAGGCTAAGGCAGGAGAATTGCTTGAACCCGGCAGGTGGAGGTTACAGTGAGCCGAGATCCCGCCACTGCACTCCAGCCTGGAAGACAGAGCAAGACTGCGTCACAAAAAAAGAAAAAGAAAAAGAAAAAAGGGTTATTACTGTTCTTACCACCCATACTCCTGCCACATCCAAACACCCTGCAGTTCCGACCTCCAGGGCCTTTGTATAAACAAGCTGCTTTTGTTTTTTTTTTTTTTTTGATGGAGTCTTGCACTGTCACCCAGGCTGGAGTGCAATGGCACAATCTTGGCTCACTGCAACCTCTGTCTCCCAGATTCAAGCGACTCTCCTGCCTCAGCCTCCCAAGTAGCTGGAATTACAGGAGCAAGCCACCATGCCAGGCTAATTTTTGTATTTTTACTAGAGACGGGCTAGTCTCTAGTTTCACCATGTTGGCCAGGGTGGTCTCGAACTCCTGACCAGGTGATCTGCCCCCTCCCTCACTAAGCCTCCCAAAGTGCTGGGGTTAAAGGCATAAGCCACTGCACCTGGCCAAACAAGCTGCTTTCTCTTCCTGGTCCTTCATGACCAGGATTAGCCATTGGAACCTCCCTGAAGGACTTCCTTCACACCTGCATTCTCCCATGGCAACCTAACCTACCCTCTGGGCCACAGCATTCATCACTCTATGCTGAAACTGCCTATCTAAGCAGATCTCTCCCAAGAGGCAATTAACTCCTCATAGGCATCCCCAGCATCTAACAAGCAGTGCCCTTAACATGGTGGTCAAATGTTTGTTAAATGATATAACCTGGCCAGGCGTGGTGGCTCACGCCAGTAATCCCAGCACTTTGGGAGGCCAAGGTGGGTGGATCGCCTGACGTCAGTTCAAGAACACCCTGGCTAAAATGGCAAAACCCCATCTCTAGTAAAAATACAAAAATTAGCCAGGCGTGGTGGTGTACACCGGTAATCCCAGCTACTCAGGAGGCTGAGGCAGGAGAAACGCTTGAACATGGGAGGTGGAGGTTGCAGTGAGCAGAGATCATGCCATTGCACTCCAGCCTGGGCAACAGAGCGAGACTACGTCTCAAAAAAAAAGAGGTAACCTCAGCCTTCTCACTGGCAAAATGGAAATAAAAACAGAAAAGAGGCCAGGTGCAATTGCTCACACCTGTAATCCCAGTACTTTGGAAGGCCAAGGTGAGAGGATCACTTGAGTGAGGCCAGGAGTTTGAAGCCAGCCTGGGCAACATAGTGAGATCTCAACTCTACAAAAAATAAAAAAAATAGGCCAGGCACAGTGGCTCACACCTGTAATCCCAGCACTTTGGGAGGCCGAGGAGGGTGGATCACGAGGTTAGGAGATCGAGACCATCCTGGCTAACATGAGGAAACCCTGTCTCTACTAAAAACACAAAAAATTAGCCGGGCGTGGTGGCGGGCGCCTGTAGTCCCAGCTACTCAGGAGGCTGAGGCAGGAGAATGGCATGAACCTGGGAGGCGGAGCTTGCAGTGAGCCGAGATCGCGCCACTGCACTCCAGCCTGGGCAACAGAGCAAGACTCCGTCTCAAAAAATAAATAAATAAACAAATAAATAAAAATATAGAGCTGCGCTAGGTAGCTCACACCTGTAATCCCAGCACTTTGGGAGGCCAAGGCAGGTGGATCACTTAAGGCCAGGAGTTCAAGACCAGCCTGGCCAAAATGGTGAAACCCTGACTCTACTAAAAACACAGAAATTAGCCGGGTGTGGTGCCAAGGGCCTGTAATCCCAGCTACCAGGGAGGCTGAGGCAGGAGAATCACTTGAACCCAGGCGGAGGTTGCAGTGAGCAAAGATTGCGCCACTGCATTCCAGCCAGGGAGACAGAGCGAAACTCTGTCTCAAAAAGTAAAAATAAAAATAAAAAAATAGGCTGGGCGCGGTGGCTCATGCCTGTAATCCCAGCACTTTGAGAGGCAGAGGTGGGCACAGAGCGAGACCAGCCTGACCAACATGGTGAAACCTCGTCTAGACTAAAAATACAAAATTAACTGGCATGGTGGTGCTTCCCTGTAATCCCAGCTACTTGGGAGGCTGAGGCAGGAGAATCGCTTGAACCCAGGAGGCGGAGATTGCAGTGAGCAGAGATTGTGCCACTGCACTCCAGCCAGGGAGACAGAGCGAAACTCTGTCTCAAAAAGTAAAAATAAAAATAAAAAAATAGGCTGGGCGCGGTGGCTCACGCCTGTAATCCCAGCACTTTGAGAGGTGGAGGCGGGCAGATCACCTGAGATCGGGAGTTAGAGACCAGCCTGACCAACATGGTGAAACCTCGTCTAGACTAAAAATACAAAATTAACTGGGCATGGTGGTGCATCCCTGTAATCCCAGCTACTCAAGAGGCTGAGGCAGGAGAATCGCTTGAACCTGGGAGGCAGAGGTTGCAGTGAGCCGAGATCACATCATTGCACTGCAGCCTGGGCAACAAGAGTGAAACTCTGTCTGAAATAAATAAATAAATAAATAAATAAATAAATAAATAATTAGCCAGGCACAGTGACACACACCTGTCGTCCTAGCTACTCAGGAGGCTGAGGCTGGAGAATCACTTGAGCCCAGGGGTTCAAGGCTGCAGTGAACTATGATTGCACCACCGTACTCCAGCTTGGGCAACAGAGCAAGAGACCCTGTCTCCAAAAAAAAAAAAAAAAAACAGGAAAGAGATCAATATCATCCACCTCAATGGGTATATAGATTCAAGAAGATAATCACATGGAGGTTCTTTGAAGAGTGTTATCCACAGGTAAACGTGGGAACTATTATTACTCCTTGCGTGCAGAGGAAGGCAAAGCATGCGGAATGAAGCAACTGAAGACTGATCACAGTTTTATCCCTGGGGCTTAAGAAAAGCTGTATCCATTTCTTCAGGCACTGGGGGCTCCAATCTATCAATACTCTACACTCTCTGAGTGATATAGTCTATAGCTCTGGAGTGAGTTTTGAGACGGAGTCAAGCTCTGTCGCCAAGCTAGAGTGCAGTGGCTCAATCTCGGCTCACTGCAACCTCCACCTCCTTGGTTCAAGTGATTCTCCTGCCTCAGCCTCCCAAGTAGTTGAAACTACAGGCGTGCACCACCAAACTGGGCTAATTTTTTGTATTTTAGTAGAGACAGGGTTTCACCATGTTGGCCAGCATAGTCTCGATCTCCTGGCCTTGTGATCCACCCGCCTCGGCCTCCCAAACTGCTGGGATGACAGGCATGAGCCACTGCTCACAGCCTAGGGGAAGTCTTATTTATTTATTTATTTATTGAGACGGAGTCGCGCTGTGTCACCAGGCTGGAATGCAGTGGCGCGATCTCGGCTCACTGGAACCTCCAACTCTCTAGTTCAAGCGATTCTCCTGCCTCAGCCTCCTGAGTAGCTGCGATTACAGGCACACGCCACCACACCCAACTAATTTTTTTTTGTATTTTTAGTAGAGACGGGGTTTTACCATGTTGACCAGGATGGTCTCGATCTCCTGACCTCGTGATCCACCTGCCTCGGCCTCCCAAAGTGCTGGGATTACAGGCGTGAGCCACCACGCCCAGCTGGGAAGTCTTTTTTTAAACACACCTGACCAGCTATCCTTACAAGATTTGTTTTTTTTTTTGTTTTTTTTTTTTTTGAGATGGAGTTGCGCTCTGTCGCCCAGGCTGGGGTGCAGTGGTGCAATCTCAGCTCACTGCAACCTCCGCCTCCCGGGTTCAAGCGATTCTCCTGCCTCAGCCTCCCAAGTAGCTGAGATGACAGGCACCTGCAACCATGCCCAGCTAATTTTTTGTATTTTTAGTAGAGACGGGATTTCACTGTGTTGGCCAGGCTGGTCTCAGCCTCCCAAAGTGCTGGGATTACAAGCGTGAGCCACCACACCCGGCCTATTCTTACAGAATTTCTTAATTGAAATATCACCATATTACAAAGGAAAACAATTTGGAGATGAAATCATTACTCAACAGGGCCTTGAGAGACATTTTCATGCCTATGGAGTTTTAAATACCTAAGATATTTATGAGACAATTCATTAATTCCCTTATCTTGGCAGGGTGTGGTGGCTCACACCAGTAATCCCAGCACATTGGGAGGCTGAGGCGGGAGGATCACCTGAGGTCAGGAGTTCGAGACCAGCCTGGCCAACGTGGTGAAACCCCATCTCTACTAAAAATATAAAAATTAGCCCGGCATGGTGGTAGGAGCCCGTAGCACCACCTACTCGGGAGGCTAAGGCAGGAGAATCGCTTGAACCCAGGAGGCAGAGGTTGCAGTGAGCCAAGATTGTGCCACTGCACTCCAGCCTGGGTGACAAGAGCAAAACTCTGTCTCAAAAATAAATAAATAAATAAAAGTCCATTTTCCTTTAAGTATGAATTTTTATTCCTAGCCTTTATTATTAATACCAGGAAATATTCAACATTTACTGATTTATCACCACATGCTAAATCCTTGACAAACATCTCATTCCCAACAATGCAGAGAAGTCAGCAGTATTTTACGAAGGAGTATAAACAATAAACAACTTGCCCAAAGTCACCTGGCTAGATAGAAGAGCTGGGACTTCAGAAGCAAGACCTCCTTCCTCCAAAACCCACTACCCTCTTTTTTTTTTTTTAAGACAGGGTCTGTTTCTGTGGCCCAGGTTGGAGTGAAGCGGCATGATCCTGGCTCACTGCAACCTTTGCCTCCCAGGCTCAAACCATCCTCCCCACCTCAGCTCCCCCAGTGCTGGGACTACAGGCACGTGCCACCACCCCTTCCTCATTTTTGTATTTTTTATAGAGGCGGGGTTTTGCCACATTGCCGAGGCTAGTCTCGAACTCCTCAGCTCAAGTGATCTGCCCACCTAAGCTTCCCAAAGTGCTGGAATTACAGGTGTGAGCCACCGCACCCGGCCCCCACTAACCTTTATTGCTTTTAAAAACAAGGGACTGAGTGCAGTGGCTCATGCCTGTAATCCCAATACTTTGGGATGCTGAGGTGGGCAGATCACCTGAGGTCAGGAGTTCAAGACCAGCCTGGCCAACATGGTGAAACTCCATCTCTGTTAACAACATAAAAATTAGCTGGGCATAGTGGCACACGCCTGTATTCCCAGCTACTTGGCAGGCTGAGGCAGGAGAATCTCTTGAGCCCGGAAGGCAGAGGTTGCAGTAAGCAGAGATCATGCCACCACACTCCAGCCTGGGAGACACAGTGAGACTCCATCTCAAAAAAAAAAAAAAAAAAAAAGTCTTTGGGATATTTCAACATTAAAAATATTAAGGGATTACTGTTAGTTTTGTGTGTGTGAAAATGAGGGGAAAAAAAATGTGGCCGGGTGCAGTGGCTCACGCCTGTAATCCCAGCATTTTGGGAGGCCGAGGCAGGCAGATCACAAGGTCAGGAGTTCAAGACCAGCCTGGCTAATATGGTGAAACCCCATCTCTACTAAAAATACAAAAATTAGCCGGGCGTGGTGGCAGGCACCTGTAGTCACAGCTAGTCGGGAGGTTAAGGCAGGAGAATCGCTTGAACCCTGGAGGTGGAGGTTGCAGTGAACCGAGATTGTGCCACTGCACTCCAGCCTGGGGGACAGAGCGATACACTGTCTCAAAAAAAAAAAAAACACACAAACAAACGTAAGGGCGGGACAGTGGCTCATGCCTATAATCCCAGTACTTTGGTTTGGTTTTGTTTTAAGACGGAGTTTCACTCTTGTTGCCCAGGCTAGAGTGCAATGGCACGATCTCGGCTCACCACAACCTCCGCCTCCTGGGTTCAAGCGATTCTCCTGCCTCAGCCTCCCAAGAGTAGCTGAGATTACAGGCATGTGCCACCATGCCCGGCTAATTTTTTGTATTTTTAGTAGAGATGGGGTTTCTCCATGTTGGTCAAGCTGGTCTCGAACTCCTGACCTCAGGTGATCCGCCCACCTCGGCCTCCCAAAATGCTGGGATTACAGGAGTGAGGCACCATGCCCGGCCAATCCCAGTACTTTGGAAGGCCGAGGCAGGAGAATCACTTGAGCCCAAGAGTTTGAGATCAGCCTAGGCAACATAGCAAGACCTCGTCTCTATAAATAATAAAAAAAAAAAAAAAATTAGCCAAGCGCGGTGGCATACACCTGTAGTCCCAACTACTCACGAGGATGAGGCAGGAGGATCCCTTGAACCCAGGAGGTTGAAGCTGCAAGACAGCTGTGATTGTGCCACTGCACTCCAACCTGAGCAACAGAGTGAGAGTCCATCATAAAGAAAAAAAAAAAGTAAGAGTCTTTTTCTTTGGCATACACTACTGATAAAGTTATGGATGAAATACAAACTAACAAGGCCCACTGAAGGGCCCATGGAGGAATTTTACACACATTTTCTGAGAGGAATAAAACAAAAGTAATAATGGTAACATATACTCAACTCCTCATAAATCTTCAAGCCAGGAAAACTCTATAAACTATGTTTTCTTTTTCTTTTCTTTTTTTTATTTTTAAACACAGGCTCTCACTGTCACCCACACTGGAGTACAGTGGCAGGATCATAGCTCACTGCAGCCTTGAACTCCTGGGTTCAAGCAATCCTTCCACCTCAGCTTCCCAAGGAGCTGGGACTACAAGGCGTGCACCACCATGCCAAACTAATTTTTTTTTTTTCTGTGTTATAGAGATGAGGTTTCACTCTGTGGCCAGGACTGGTCTCAAACTCCTGGCTTCAAGCAGTCCTCCTGCCTTGGCCTCCCAGAGTGCTGGGATTACAGGCATGAGCCACTGTGCCCAGCCAAACCAGGTTTCTTTAATTTCCTTTACAGATTAGGAAATGGAGGGAAAGGGTAACATTTACTGATATTTCCAATGACTGATGTCAGACAGTTATGATAATACTTGGGTGAGGAAACAGGCTCATATAGGTTAAGTAACTTGCTAGGCTGGAAAGTTCTGCCTCCAATGTGCATAACACAATGAAAGGTTCAAGAGGTTTAAGCCATATGCCCAAATTACATTTGGCCCCAAGAGAGTGGCAAATACAGGCACTCAAACTCAGGCATTCCACCTCCAAATCCTACATCCTCACCACCACATACCATGCAGCCTGGACATGAAAAGTGACCTCTTGGCCAGGCACAGTGGCCTGTAATCCTAGCACTTTGGGAGGCCGAGGAGAGTGGATCACTTGAGGTCAGGAGTTCAAGACTAGCTTGGCGAATATGGTGAAAACCCATCTCTTCCAAAAATACAAAAATTAGCCGGGCATGGTGGCATCCGCCTGTAATCCTAGCTACTCGGGAGGCTGAGGCAGGAGAATTGCTTGAATCCAGGAGGCAGAGGTTGCAGTCAGCTCTGAGATGATGTCACTGCATTCCAGCCTGGAGAACAGAGTGAGAATGTCTCAAAAAGAGAAGAAAAAAAAAAGAAAAAAAGAAAAAAAAAACAAAACAAGAAAAAGAAAAGTGGCCTCTTTAATTACCTTGCCTTTACAAGTTGCACATGTCTAATTATCATATAGGTCACAGCACGACCAATTTCCTACTCATCAAAGCACATTACACAGAATTCAATACTCCATGGAACCAAGGGACAGTCAAGCAACCCAAACCAGTCATGCCCAGGAGCCTCAAAAAAGGCAGAAAAGTATTCAAAAACATGGAGACAGAAAGTAGAATGGTAGCTGCTGGGGCTGGGAGGAGGTTCATGAAAGAGGGAGTCAGTGTTTAATGGGTACAGAGTTATAATTTTTTTTTTTTTTGAGATGGAGTCTCGCTCTGTCACCTAGGCTGGAGTGCAGTGCAGCAATCCTGGCTCAGTGCAACCTCCACCCGCCCCCGCGTTCAAACAGTTCTCCTGCTTCAGGCTCCCTAGTGGCTGGGATCACAGGCATGTGCTACCACGCCCAGCTAATTTTTGTATTTTTAGTAGAGATGGGGTTTTGCCATGATGGCCAGGCTGGCCTCGAACTCCTGACCTCAAGTGATCTACCTGCCTCAGCCTCCCGAAGTGCTGGGATTACAGGCATGAGCCACTGGACCCGGCCCAGAGTTTCAATTTTGAGGAGTTACGGAGATGGAGAGTGGTGATGGTTGCACAACATTATTTAATACCAGTAAGCTATATAACTTAAAAATGGTTAAAATGGCAAATTTTATATTATGTGTATCTGACCACGACAACAACAACAACAAAAATTGAAGAAGAAAGAAAAATGTAGAAAGGCAGCTTGAGTTGGGAGAACTGGGCTTCTACAATTAAAGGATGTTTTGCATGGTCAAGAATGAAGGCCAGGCACAGTGGCTCACGCCTGTAATCCCAGCACTTTGGGAGGCTGAGGCGGGCGGAGACCAACCTGGCTAATACGGTGAAACCCGTCTCTATCAAAAATATGAAAATTAGCCGGATGTGGTGGTGCAGGCCTATAATCCCAGCTACTCAGGAGGCTGAGGCATGAGAATCACTTGAACCCCAGAGAAGGAGGTTGCAGTGAGCCAAGATCGTGTCACTGCACTTCAGCCTGGGTGACAGAGCAAGAATCCATCTCAGAAAAAAAAAAAAGAATAAAATCTTGCTCACGCCTGTAATCCCAGCACTTTAGGCCGAGGTGGGTGGAGCACCTGAGGTCAGGGGTTCGAGACCAGACTGACCAACATGGTAAAACTCCATCTCTACTAACAACAGAAAATTAGCCAGGCGTGTTGGCACATGCCTGTAATCCCAGCTACTTGGGAGGCTGAGGTAAGAGAATCACTTGAACTCGGGAGGCGGAGGTTGCAGTGAGCCAAGATCGTGCCATTGCACTCCAGCCTGGGCTACAAGGTGAAACTCCATCTCAAAAAAAAAAAAAAAAAAAAAAGGGCCAGGCACCAGTGGCTCATGTCTGTAATCCCAGCACTTTGGGAGGCCAAGGCTGGTGGATCATCTGAGATCAGGAGTTCAAGACCAGCCTGGGCAACATGGTGAAACCCCGTCTCTACTAAAAATATAAAAGATTAGCCGGGTGTGGTGGTGTTCGCCTGTAATCCCAGGTACTCAGGAGGCTGAGGCAGGAGAATCACTTGAACCCGGGAGGCGGAGGCTGCAGTGAGCCAAGATCATGCCACTGCCTTCCAGCCTGGGAGACAGAGTCAGACTCTGTCTCAAAAAAAAAAAAAGAAAAGAAAAAAAAGAAAAAAGAATGAGCCAGGCATGGTGGCTCATGCCTGTAATCCTAGCACTTTGGGAGGCCGAGGCGGATGGATTATGAGGTCAGCAGATCGAGACCATCCTGGCTAACATGGCGAAACCCCTGTCTCTACTAAAAATACAAAAAATTAGCCGGGCATCGTGGAGGGCATCTGTAGTCCCAGCTACTCAGGAGGCTGAGGCAGGAGAATGGCGTAAACCCGGGAGGCGGAGCTTGCAGTGAGCTGAGATTGTGCCACTGCACTCCAGCCTGGGCAACAATGTGAGACTCCGTCCCAAAAAAAAAAAAAAAAAAAAAAGAAATCTGGGGTGAGGGTGGCAAAGTGCCTCAGTGCTGGTTTCCAGGCTGCCACCTGTTTGATTTGTAGTTAAAATGACTTACTCAAATTTCTAGGGGAAAAAGCACGTTAGCTAGAGAGAGAGGGATGTAAGAGCACTGGGACAGGAGGCAAAGAAACCTGGACTCCAATCGAGGCCCTGCTTATTAGCCAAATGACCTTGGACAAATTACTCATCTCAGTTTCCTCCTCTGTTAGGACAGGATAATAGGTCAGATGTAAGGATTCAATGACATTTAAGACAGTGCTCCAAAAATGCTAGCTATAGTTATCATTATTGTAAAATGCCCACATTTCCAGACCAAGTTTCCACAACCTCGAAATCCCAACACCTGTGCACCTGTAGAAGCAAGAAAGGCATTGGCCGGGCACAGTGGCTCACGCCTGTAATCCCAGCAGTTTGGGAGGCCGAGGCGGGTGGATCACTTGAGGTCAGGAGTTCAAGACTAGCCTGGCGAACATGGTGAAACTCCATCTCTACTAAAAATACAAAAAATTACCCAGGCATGGTGGCGGGCACCTGTAATCCCAGCTACTCAGGAGGCTGAGGCAGGAGAATTGCTTGAACCCAGGAGACAGAGGTTGCAGTGTGCCGAGGTTGCACCACTGCACTTCTGGGCGACAGAGTGAGACTCCGCCTCAACAAAAAAAAAAAAAGAAAGAAAGGAATGTCAATCCACCAGCTATGGACTTTTTCCATATGAGAAAGAGACCTCTTGAAAATCAGGTCTCTACTAGGACAGAGACCCCCAAATATCCTTCTAAGATACCTGGAAGTCAGCCTTTAAAATCTGAGAATTATGTTCCTGACATGGAATAAACTATCACTGAATAAAAACCTTGGTTTAGGCCAGGCGCAGTGGCTCACACCTGTAAACCTAGCACTTTGGGAGGCCCTGGCAGGCGGATCATGAGGTCAGGAGTTCGAGACCAGCCTGGCCAATATGATGAAAGCCAGTCTCTACCAAAAATATAAAAGATTAGCAGGGTGAGGTGGCACACACCTGTAGTACCAGCTACTTGGGAGGCTGAAGCAGGAGAATCACTTGAATCCGGGAGGCAGAGGTTGCAGTGAGCCGAGATTGCACCATTGTACTCTAGCCTGGGCAACGAAGTGAGACTCCACCTCAAAAAAAAAACAAAAAACAAAACAAAACAAAAAAAAACCCTTTGTTTAAATCCCAAGCCCCTCCTCTTGCTCCTTCCCCAAAGTTCACTGATTCAGGCTCCACCACTCTTTCCTAAAACTGTCCTATTTACATTTAGTCACTCATATTAGGCTTCTAAAATTGTACAGGATTTCTGCCAGCTCATTAGTTCCATTATTTGGCAAAAGAGAGGAAGGTCCAGGTAGGACCTAGCCCAAGATCTAGCAAAGTTGTCAAAGCATTATTACAAATTAAGGGTTCAATTTTTTTTTTTTTTTTTTGAGACACAGTTTCACTCTTGTTGCCCAGGCTGAAGCGCAGTGGTGTAATCTCGGCTCACTGCAACCTCTGCCTCTCGGGTTCAAGCCATTCTCCTGCCTCAGCCTCCCTAGTAGCTGGGATGACAGGCACCTGCCACCACGCCTGACTAATTTTTTGTATTTTTAGTAGAGACGGAGTTTCACTGTGTGTTAGCCAGGCTGGTCTTGAACTCCTGACTTCAGGTGATCCATCCGACTTGGCCTCCCAAAGTGCTGGGATTACAGGCGTGAGCCACAGTGCCTGTCTCAATTTTCATTAGGTTACCCTATAGTCAATAGCCTGTAAGGGGCAGTCACTGGCAAAGATGGATTAGACAAAGACATCACCCTCCTTTTCTCTAGGCTCATAATCCAATCAAGGATCTTGACTAAGCATACATTTTGGTTTAAAGAATGTTTATCAAGAAAAATGTCCCAGCTTAACCAACATAGTGAAACCTTGTCTCTACTAAAACTACAAAAAATTAGTTGGGCATGGTGGTGCGCACCTATAATCCCAGCTACTCAGGAGGCTGAGGCACAAGAATCGCTTGAATTCAGGATGCACAGGTTGCAGTAAGCCAAGACTGCGCCACTACACTCCAGCCTAGGCAACAGAGCAAGACCCTTTCTCAAAATAAATAAATAAATAAAATTAATAAAAAGACTTTATCAAGAAAAATGTAAACATCCTCCCTATTATTTCTTAGGAAGATGATGAAAGAAGAAAACTCCAGAGGTTAAATATACCTTTAAGTCCTGACTTCCAAGCCCCCTCAGCAACTGTCTTTGACAATAATCAGGTGCTCTCAAAGAACTGTTGGTTTTATTCATTTGTTAAGTTATTTGAAATACAGATTTCTTATCATTATCCTTAACAATTCCTTGTTCTGGGTTTTGTGGCTGTGTGTTCCTAGAAGAGCACTTGGAAGCAATGGGGTCTCGTGCTGTCACCCAGCTGTAGTGCAGTGGTACAATCCTAGCTCACTGCAGACTCTGAACTCCCTCGTCAGCCTCCCAAGGAGCTGGGACTACAAGCACGCACCACCATGCCTGACTACTTTTTTGTTTTTGGTGGGGGAGTAGAGACAGGAATCTCACTTTGTTGCCCAGGCTGGTCTTGAACTCCTGGCTTCAAGCAATCCTCCCACTCTGGCCTCCCAAAGTGTTGGGATTACAGGCGTAAGCCACTGCACCCACCCAACCACGAGTAATTGTCAAATGGTATTTGCACTTAGGATACACTTTCAAACTTCAGAAAGGAAGTTTAAGCACCTTTACAATCCAGGAAGACATACCAGGCAACTGATTCCCACAGATACAGGAGATCTTGGGGAAGGGGACTAAAAACATTACATCTCATACTTTCCCCAAATCCCAGCCAAAGGCAAACAACCTGCTTGCTTCCTCTTTAAATTTCATGCCACCTGCCCTGCTAATTCAAACCAAAAAACAAAGCTGTGGTATGGAGGAAATGAAGTCCCTTTTTAAGTATACATTAGATAAGAGAACTGACAAGTAAATACGGGGTATATAAGGTACAGACTCCTTCTTGGTAAGGCAGAGAAGTCACAAACATTGAATGGAGAACTCAGGAAGACTTCTTTGAGGATTTCAGGTAGTTCTGAATGAAATACAGCATGGAACTGGAAGAAGACATGGAAGCAAGAAGAACGCTGAAGTTGGGTTGAGAACAAGCTGGCTGCCTCAGCTAGAAAAAAAGATAATGGCAGAAGTGACTTGGACAAGGGAATAACTGGCAGGCTGCCCAAGGGAGCACATGAAAGAAATCAGATCTGCTGCAACAAGCTACCACAGGCAATGGGGTTTCTAAGCAAGGTAGCGACCAAGATTCAGCCAGGGTGGACATTGCAGATCATCAGCCCCTCATTTTACAAATGGGGAGAAGCAGGCCCATAGCATTAAGTGACTTGCCTGAGGTCTCACAGTAAATGGAAGAGCTAGGACTAGAGCCAAATCCAGATCAAATCCGTTACTGAATAGGATCTGACACTCATGTGAGGAATAGGGGTTGGAGGAGGACAGGGACACAAAATAGTCTAGTCATTCAGGTTTGTCCTGATTAGGGCTGGCAACAGGATCACGTGGAAGAGGGCCAGACAGGTGACAGCCAGGGAAATAGGTACAGATGATCCAACACACTTAGAAAGGAAAAACACTTTCAGAGGTAGTCTTTGTCTCCAAAAAAATTTTTTGAAAAAAGGAAAAACCCACTTGAGACTTAGAATAGATTAGACATGTGGGTACAAAAGGAGAAAGATCATCATAAAGCATGATCACCATCAAAGAATATCATCTTCTCCCCAGCATTTGTCTTTCTGGAGCACCCATTTAGAGAAAGCCAGAAGCTTCCATTCGAGGTCGGGGAACATAGCTTTATCCTGGCTTTTCCTGGCCCATTTCCAGAACCCAGAAAACCAAGAAGGACTCTTTGGAAATTCCAACACCTGTGACCCACTGATTTGGGGTATCACAGACTCCCTACTCATGGTAGGATGAGGAACCAGACAGACAAGCTGGCTATGCAGTATTTATTAGAATGATTCTATATCAATAATTATGTTCACATTCAAGTAAGAAATATGTAACCATTTAAATTTGGCAATAGCCAGGCATGGCAGCTCACACCTATAATCCCAACACTTTGGGAAGCTAAGGTGGAGGACTGCTTGAGCCCAGAAGTTCAAGACCAACCTGGGCAAAATGGCAAGATCTCATCTCTACAAAAAATTTAAAATTAGCCAGGTGTGGTGGCACGTGCCAGTGGTCCCTGAAACTCAAGAGGCTGAGGGGAGGATCGCTTGAGCCCAGAAGGTTGAGGCTGCAGTAAGCCGTGATCACACCACTGCACTCCAGCTTGGGTGACAGAATGAGACCCTGTCCCCACCCAAAATATATATATATACACACAGAAACCAAACTCCTGGAGAAGTTTTGGCCTTTTTTTTTTTTTTTTTTTTGGAGACAGAGTCTCACTCTGTGGCCCAGGCTGGAGTGCAGTGGTGCAATTTTGGCTCACTGCAACCTCCGCCTCCCGGGTTCAAGCAAGTATTCTGCCTCAGCCTCCCATGTAGCTGGGATTACAGGTGCCTGCCACCACACCCAGGTAATTTTTCTATTTTTAGTAGAGACAGGGTTTCACTGTGTTAGCCAGACTGGTCTCGAACTCCTGACCTCGTGATCTGCCCGCCTCAGCTCCCAAAGTGCTGGGATTACAAGCATGAGCCACCGTGCCCAGCCAGTTTTGGCCAATATTTAAAAAGCTATGTGCTAGAATAACTAATTGAGTATAACTAATAAAGGGGACTATGGCCTTGTACAAACTTTTAAGGGATGTGTGTCTGGATAAAGATAAAATAAAAAAATATAAGGCTAACCACCACCTTCCTATTTTCACAGAGAAACTTTGTCTTCGTGTATGAAACCTCACTACTAAAAGTGTAGTTCAGTAACATCAGCATCACCTGCAAATCAGAAATGCATTCAGGTCCCATCCTAGATCTACCAAATCAGAATCAGCATTTCAACAAGACCCCTGGGTGACTTACATGCACATTCAAGTTTGAGAAGCACTGGTGTAGAATACTTTAAGGGTGCACTGTACGGCAGTACACAGATAAAGTATCAAGCAGCCAAAGAAAGAGACAAAGTATCTGTTCACTTTCAGTATACTATATTTTATTAGGTACTGCTCAGACAGACCTCCAGTGATTTTTATAAATTTGGTACTTCCTAATGGCCACATCATCTAACTGTGGGATCTATTTCATTTCTGGAAATAACACAACTTAGTTCTAGGGCTTTCATGCACATGAAATATAAAACAGCTTAGTTGTTCTGAAAACATGACAATGGTTAATTTTATTCAAGTCCCAACACTGAGTTCAGAGCACTTCTCCATAGGCCCCATTAATCTCTCCAGGTTTCTGGGAGTATCATTAAATCCCTCGGCATCCTTAAGAAGCAGGTGCTTAGCAAACATCCAGTTTCCAAATGAGAGTCAGAGGGGCTTGATCCTGAAAGTGTAGTATTTTCCTGCCTTGTCCTACTGGTATAGCTTCTTGGACCTAAAATCTCTCTCCTGCTGAGGCCTCATGCAGCTGCACACTCAAGTACTTCCCAAAAGGAAGAAAGGTCAGAGGTATCATTATCCCCAAGCACTTGGAATTCCAGCTGTGGAGAAATTAATCTGGTTGGGGGTTCAGGCTGAGAAGCCCTGAATAAGATCTGTAAAGGCAGAAGGAAACACAAAAGAAAGAACTATTGAGGCTCTTAAGAGATAGGAGGTCCCAGATATTTGCAGATTTTAATGTGAGGATTGGGGGTAAAGATTGACAAGAGGTTGGCCGGGCTTGGTGGCTCACGCCTGTAATCCCAGCACTTTGGGAGGCGGAGGCGGGTGGATCACGAGGTCAGGAGATCGAGACCACAGTGAAACCCCGTCTCTACTAAAAACAAAAAAATTAGACGGGCGCGGTGTGGTGGGTGCCTGTAGTCCCAGCTGCTCGGGAGGCTGAGGCAGGAGAATGTCGTGAACCCGGGAGGCGGAGCTTGCACTGAGCCGAGATCGCGCCACTGCACTCCAGCCTGGGCGACAGAGCGAGACTCTGTCTCAAAAAAAAAAAAAGAAGATTGACAAGAGGATGATTGGGAGAGAAAAATATCCATTTCCCCACCGACACCCCAGGGACAAGAACAAAAAGAGTATCCAAGGGATTCCTCCAAACGACATCTTTTCTTCATAAAAGATAGTAAGAAAGCCAATATAGGGAAGAAGTTTATGGGCTAGAAGCAGTGCTGGAAAAATCTGAGAGTTTTGTTTGTTTTTGTTTTCCAGCACAAGGAGATAAAGCAAAGGAGAAAACAGTATGCACCTAAACAGAATCTTAGGTCTTCTAGAAGTAAACCACCAGGAGGATTCAGAGTCCTGTGATTAACCAAAGAAATGGTTTCCACTTTGAATCCAGCGCTGGGGGCCCAGGCAGTCCTAGACTTGAGGCCACCTCCAGCACAAGGAAAATCTTTATAGCCACTAGGTAAACAGAACAATTCCAAAGAAAGACAGAAACCAGAAAAATGTTTGGGGATTGGGCAAGCCAAGAGAGAAGAGATCCTGCTAGCGGAAAGATAAAAGATAGGCCTATCAAAAACAATGTGCTGGTAGCCCTTTAGGAGAGGAATCCTTCCCTGGGAGGAGAGGAGAATTCAGGAGGTGTGACTCTGGGAAGTGTGCTCAGAAGAAAAGCCCGCAGAAGCACAGAGAAAAGTGCCGTGCTGAACAAAGATACGCACTCGCCAGAGGAAGAGGAAATGGGTGCACTGACCAGACTGGGGAAAGCACCTCAAGGGGAGTGTGGCTCCAAAAAGGGAAGGAAACTGAGGAATGAAAATGTCTTGGATGACAGAAAAGCTAAACAGGGTAGGAAGGCATGCTCAAAACCACAGACCACTCGCCACCTGGAAATGAGAGGACTCACAAAAAGGTGTGCCCCCCAAATTTAAGAAGCATCTGGAAAGTGGCTGCACTCTGAGAGTTGTATAACTAAAAGGGGTTCACCTCGTACATTTGGGGGGCACAAGAAACAAATATACTCCCAGATATGAAAATGAGTCTCCTTCAGGAAATAAGGTAGTTTGATTTGGGGAACACGTGAAAAGTGTGTAACCCCAATAATACAGTCTCGGGAGAAGGCAGTGAATTCCCTTATTTGTGAAACTGGAAATAAGTACCCATAAACTTCAAAATTTGGACATTGTTTTCGGCCCAACCTCAGGTTTGAAGGGCTGAGGAAAGGAAGTGGCCCCTAAATGTAAGAAATTCCAGAAGGCATGCTGTCAGATTTGGGACCTGGAAAAGGGGAATTCTTCCTTGGAGTAGAGGGGATACAAGAAAGTATCCCAAAACTTTAGCTAATGGACCCCAGATCTGAGGACCCGATAACAGGGTGAACCTCTAAATTGGAACGGAAATGCAGAATCAAATTGGAGGCCCGAAAAAAGGAATGTGCTCCCACTTTGGGGGCTGACGGAAGAGGGTACGCCCTAAATTTGGGGGGGGGAGGGCTTTTAGAAATTTAGATAAAATTCCAGAGCTAGAGCTTAAGAAAGGGGGTGTGCCGCCCAGTTTTCAAAACTATAGAGAAAAGGGACACTCCCATATTTGGGGTCTTGAGAAAGGAATGTGCTCCCCAGAATAGGATAAAAAAAGCCAATTTTAAAAAACATATTCCCAAAGCGCAAGGCAATAGCAGAGGCTGCTGATGAGGCTCTAGGTGCCCACACAGCTCAGGCTCGGGCCCTAGGGCTTACCCGCACCCCCAACACGGCCCGCTCCGCGCCCCGGGCCCGCACCCCACGGCCCAGCCCCCTCGGGCGGCGCTGATTGGCGGCAGCCGCCGCCACTCTTGCGGGTAGCCCCGGGGATTGGGCACCGCTCGCACGCCCGCCACGCTCTCAGCAGCAGTCCCAGGGCCTCCCTCCAGGCTGGGCGAGCGGGGCCAGGCGGGGAGCGGGGCCGGGCAGGGGACCGAAGCAGCGGTGGCGTCCGTCGCCGTCCCCGCCCGCACGGCGCGCGCGCAGCGCGGGCCCGGCCCAACCCGGCCCGGCCGGCCGGCTTCGCCTGGCCGCGAGCTCACCTCACGGCCCCACTCCGGCTGCGCCGCTCCAGGACCAACCGACAGAAGGACTCTGCGTGCTCTGCACCACGTGACCCCCGGGACGCGCCCAGCGTATGCCCCGCCCCCCACACACACGCATCATCGCCACCACCGAGTGACGTAAGGTCCCAGCTGCCCCGCCCCCTGCCCCGTCTGCCCGATCACTGTGGCAACGGCCTGCGCAGGCCACGCCCACTACCCTGACGCGCGGGAAACAGGCCCGCGCCCTAGCAGGAACACGAAGTCCCCACTCACTCGTAATCACTGAGATCACCGAAGCCGGGGAATGGACGCTATCCATCACCCGTTAATTTTGCCACCTAAATGCGTCTCAAAGCTTCCCATTTCTCCATCGAAGCGACCACCATCTCTCTCCAAGATGAAGATGGTTTCCACCCTATTACTCTTCGCCGTTCTAATCCATTCTTCGTACACCGGCAGAGAGGTCTTTTCAAAACGCCATCCCCTGCTCAAAGCTCGTTTCCCTCCCTACTCCGGATTAAGATCTAACTCTTCACCTAGACTATCTACCAGGCTCTTCAAAGTCTGGACCTGACCTGCTGCTTTCTTATCCTCACGAATCCAGCTCCCCCACATTCTCAGTGTCCTTCAACTCCGCTAACAATCCAGGTTCTTCTCATCTCAGAGCCTTTGCACTCATTTCTCCCCCACTTTATCATTAACTCCTAGAAAGGTTTCCAATTGCTGCTAAGGATAAGGAGCTGTATTTTCTCTGGGGACGAAGGTCGGAGTTGAAGCCACCCCAAAAGAATATGAGACCAGGAGCAGTGGCTCACGCCTGTAATCCCAACACTATGAGAGGCTGAGGTGGGTAGATCACTTGAGCTCAGGAGTTCGAGACCAGCCTGGGCAACATAGCTAGACCCCCGTCTCTCCAAGAAATACAACAATTAGCCAGGCGTGAACGTGCGCACCTGTGGTCCCAGCTCAACCTTCTGAGTAGCTGGGACTGCAGGCCCATGCCACCATGCCTAGCTAATTTTTTTTTTTTTTTGAGACACGGTCTCACTGTGTCACCCAGGCTGGAGTGCAGTGGCGCAGTCTCGGCTCCTCATAACCTCCACCTCCTAGGCCCAAGCAATTCTCCCACCTCAGTCTCCCAGATAGCTGGAACCACAGGTGTGCACCTGGCTAATTTTTGCATTTTTTTGTAGAGACGCAGTTTCACGATGTTGCCCAGGCTGGTCTTGAATTCCTGGGCTCAAGCAGTCCACCCACCTCAGCCTCCCAGAGTGCTGGAATTAACACCGTACTTGGCCACTTTTTTTTTTTTTTTTTGAGATAGAGTCTCGCTCTGTAGCCCAGACGGGAGTGCAGTGGTGCGATCTTGGCTCACTGCAACCTCTGCCTCCCGGGTTCAAGCAATTCTTTGCCTCAGCCTCCCAAGTAGCTGGGATTACAGGCGCACGCCGCCACGCCCAGCTAATTTTTTATATTTTTTTTAGTAGAGACGGGTTTTCACCATCTTGGCCAGGCTGGTCTTGAACTCCTGACCTCATGATCCGCGCGCCTCGGCCTCCTAAAATACTGCGATTACAAGCGTGAGCCACCGTGCCCGGCCGAGTTTTTTTTTTTTTTTTTTTAGAGACAGGGTCTCACTTTGTTGACCAGGCTGGTCTCAAACTCCTTGGCTCAAGTGATCCTCCTGCCTCAGCCTCCAGAAATGCTGGAATTACAGGCCTCAGCCAGCAAATCCAGCCTGAGGGGTGCTTTTTAAACCAGGGCTGGAAACTAAGGAGGGTATTGCCTCAGTTGAGGTAGTCAGGGCAAAGAGCAGCCCTTAGGTAGAGACACTGTGGAACCAGGGACAAAAGCTTCAGCTACACTTGCTTGGGCAGTACATGTATTCTATTAAAATTGTAACATGGCTGGGCGCGGTGGCTCACGCATGTAATCCCAGCACTTTGGGAGGCCAAGACGGGCAGATTACCTGAGGTGAGGAGTTCGAGACCAGCCTGGCCAACATGGTGAAACCCTCTCTCTACTAAAAATGCAAAAATTAGCCAGGTGTGGTGGTGCATGCCTGTAGTCCCAGCTACTTGAGAGGCTGAGGCAGGAGAATGACTTGAACCCTGGAGGCAGAGGTTGCAGTGAGCCGAGATAGCACCACTGCACTCTAGCCTGGGTGATAGAGCAAGATTCCATCTCAAAAAATAATAATAAAATAAAATAAAATTGTAACAATACAGAAAAGATTCACATGACCCCTGCATAAGGATAAGCATGCAAATTCATGATACATTTCATACTTTTTAAAAAATCAGCAATTTGAGAATCAGTGCCACTCAGTCAAGTAAGTGCTCACATATAGGAAGGGCCTTCCCAAGATCCTCTGGGTTTATGTTTATTAATATGAAATTGCTCAGATGTCAGTGGCTATGGTAGCACACAAAGAACTTTTTGCCCCCCAACCACAATAATGCCAAGAACTCCAGACTCTGTAGCCCCGTATAAATATAGCATGTTTCTTTACTTATTCAACCTGCATTTACCGAGAGTCAAATTCAAGATGGGCACCAAACACTCAGAGCACAATGAGACTTAGGCCCTGCTCTCGAGGAGCTCACAGACTGGTGAAGTAATCATGGCAAGCAAAAGAGAAATATGTTACAAGGGCCCCTGAGCTACAACAGGAGTGCAGGCTTGGAAAACAAACAGGCACAAGGACAGCTCCACCAAGAAAGAGCAACAACAGCTGCTGCCCCCAGCAACACTGCGCACCACTGCTGTGATTCAATCTTAGTATCCCTTTGTCTTTGAGTCACTCACTCAAGAGGCAAGGTCTTGGCCAGCAGCCACTGTCGATTGGCCAATCTCAGGTCACATGGATGAGTCCAGCCTGCCAGGGAAAGAAGAGAGGAATGACCTGCCCCTAAGGGTACTCCCCAAGATGGGAAGTGAGGGTTGGAAGGAGACTGACACTGATCAGGGAAAAATAACTGAATACAGATGAGAAAAAAGTACCTTGTGAGCTAAGCTCTTTCTGATGTAAAAACTTGCAGAAATTTGACTTACCAGCTTCTTCTGAACTGAATATTAATGGAATGCTAGCCAGAGAGCTCCAGTTTACAAGATTTTGGTCTAAAGTCCACTGACTTTAGACCAGAAGTAACATCTACCTTCTGCCTTAAGATCCTCCCCAGCATCTTACTAATACTGTATTTCAAAACTGTAGTCCCAGCCCATAAGCTGAGAGCTCCACAATGAAACCCTGTGTGCATCCATACAAAGTATAGGATAGCACAAAAAGCATCTACCTGCATGGAAGAGTTGTCACTCTCTGTAGGCATTGCTTTTCTTCAATATTCACTTTTTTTACTCAATGGGATAATATATATCTACCAACGCAGAATTGTCACGTTTAAGTTCAATAATATGTGAGAAAATGTACTGAACTACAAAGTTCTATACAACTTCATTTCTAATTTCTTTTTTACTAGATTCAGCATATTCAAAATATTCCTAGCTAAAGAGAAGCAGAATTAAAGATCCAACATGAGATAAAATATTCAATTAGGAAACTGATCTTTCTCAATGTCTACCCAGCAAACCTCTATACTCTATCCTTATGCAACCCTAAAGCACTTACAGTGAGTCTGTTAAGGGAAAAGAGGGAAACTAAAACAGAAAAGTAAGCCCTCTAGATCTCACAGACCCCATGTACTGAGTATCACCAAACTTGAGCATGTCAGTCCCCAAAAGCAGGAACTGGGGTGTGATCTCTGCAGCACCAAGCTGAGTGTGAGAACTCAGGAAGCCGGAAACCACAGTCACAGTAGCATCTGAAAGGTCCAAGACCTCAACAAGGCACCAGAGGCCCAAGGGAAGCAGGTTGTCTTGGCCCTGGCCGGACGTCTCTCCAGTCTGGGCTCCACGGAAAGTTCCCGAACTCCCCAGGCCTTCACTGCTCTCCAAGTGAGGGGGAGGAGAATTAACTAGGAATTCCAAATTACTTCCTGCATTTTGCATGATTACAAGGAGGGAGGGAGCAGTCGGAAGGAAAGGAAAGCATTTTGTATTCTTGTCCTAGTCACTAAAAAGGCTGATAAGGCCAGGCACAGAAGCTCACGCCTGTAATCCTAACACTCTGAGAGGCCAAGGCAGGCGAATCACTTGAAGTCAGGAGTTCGAGACCAGCCTGGCCAAAATGGTGAAACCCCATCTCTACTAAAATACAAAAATTAGCTGGGCGTGGTGGTACATGCCTGTAATCCCAGCTACTGGGGAGGCTGAGGCAGGAGAATTGCTTGAACCCGGGAGGCAGAGGTTGCAGTGAACCAAGATCATCATGCCACTGCACTCTAGCCTGGGCGACAGAGCCAGACTCTGTCTCAAAAAAAAAAAAAAAAGGAGGGGGGGCCAGGCTTGGTGGCTCACTCCTGTAATCTCAGCACTTTGGGCGGCCAAGGCCGGCACATCACCTGAGGGCAGGAGTTGGAGACCAGCCTGGCCAACACGGTGAAACCCCATCTCTACTAAAATACAAAAATTTGCCAGGCGTCGTGGCGCATCCTGTAATCCCAGCGACTCGGGAGGCTGAGGCGGCAGAATCGCTTGAACCCAGAAGGCAGAAGTTGCAGTGAGCTGGGATCACACCATTGCACTCCAGTCACTGTTACCTGTAATTTAAACATACCTAATAAATATTTCTTGTGGGTTAAAATTCTTACGAGCCTAGAGATAAAGGGAAACGGGGAGGATTTTCGCCTCAGGGACTAAGAGAATGGAGGTTATAAAGAGGTAAATTAAACAAACAGTCTTGGAATATCCAGGTAATCCACTTCAGTCTCCAAACTTCTTGTAATTTAATTTTAAACAGTTAATGTTGTCACATGGTTCAAATACTGGAAATTACATAAACGTTGTACAATACAAAGTCTCCCTGAAATTCTTGTCCCTCATTGGTCCAGTTCCAATTGGTAAACATGACACTTACTTTTTTAATGAATCGTTTGTGTCAGGATCTTGCTCTGTTGCCCAGGCTGGAGTGCAGCGCCACGATCACAGCTTACTGCAGCTTCAAACTCCTGGGCTCAAGCAGTCCTCCCACCTCAGCCTCCCAAGTAGCTGGGACTACAGGTGCACACCATCAGTATTTCTTTACATATATATAAGCAAACTTTGATACAGTTCTTATATTGATCCTTTAACACAAAAGGAACATTTATTCATGTTGTTGTTCACCTTACTTTTTTCATTAAACAAAACTTGTTTTTTTTAGAGACAGAGTCTCACTCTGTCGCCCAGGCTGGAGTGCAGTGGGGTGATCTTGGCTCACTGCAAGCTCCGCCTCCCAGGTTCACGCCATTCTCCTGCCTCAGCCTCCCAAGTAGCTGGGAGTACAGGCGCCCACCACCATGCCCAGCTAATTTTTGTATTTTTAGTAGAGACGGGGTTTCACCATGTTAGCCAAGATGGTCTCGATCTCCTGACCTCATGATCCTCCTGCCTCAGCCTCCCAAAGTGCTGGAATTACAGACATGAGCCACTGCGCCCAGCCGAAATTTTTTTTTCTTTTTTTTTTTGAGATGGAGTTTTGTTCTTCTCACCCAGGCTGGAGTGCAGTGGAGCAATCTCAGTTCACTGCAACCTCTGCCTTCCAGGTTCTATCGATTCTCCTACGTAGCCAAGATGGTCTTGATCTCCTGACCTCGTTATCCTCCTGCGCAGCCTCCCAAGTAACTGGGATTACAGGTGTCCACCACTATGCCGGGCTAATTTTTGTATTTTTAGTATTTTGTATTTTAGCCAGGATGATCTCGATCTCCTGACCTCATGATCTGCCCACCTCAGCCTCCCAAAGCGCTGGGATTACAGGCGTGAGCCATTACACCTGGCCTAATTTGATTTATTTTCTTACATAATTGTATTTGCTTTTACCATCAGATTGTGAACTTCTCTGGGAACAGGACTGCTTCTTGTTTATCTCGATCCCCCCAGCTCCTAGCATCCTGCCTAGAATGTGCTGGTTGTTTAACAACTATTTGTTGAATTGATTGGAGTTGCTTTGGAGATGCATCAGTGGAGAGCCAGAGGAAGGAAGGATGAAAGTATTTCCAGAAATAGAGCACATTACTCGGTGAAAATAAAATATAGACAGGGGCATGCTTTTTTTTCTTTTTTCCTATTTTTTTTTTTTAACATAGAGACGGGGTCTCGCTATGTGGCCCAGACTGATCTCAGACTCCTGGGCTCAAGCAATTCTCCTGCCTTGGCCTCCCAAAGTGCTGGGATTACAGGTGTGAACCACCACATCCAGCCAAGCATTTTGTTTTTTTATTTATTTATTTTATTTTATTTTATTTTATTTTATTTTATTTTATTTTATTCTTGAGACAGAGTCTCACTCTGTTGCCCAGGCTGGAGTGCAGTGGCGAGGTATCAGCTCACAGCAACCTCTGCCTCCCAGGTTCAAGCAATTCTTTTTCCTCAGCGTCCTGAGTAACTGGGATTGCAGGTGCCTGCCACCATGCCCAGCTAATTTTTTTTGTATTTTTAGTAGAGATGGCGTTTCATCATGTTGGCCAGACTAGTCTCAAACTCCTGACCTCATGATCTGCCGGCCTCAGCCTCCCAAAGCACTGGGATTTAAAGCATGAGCCACTGCACCCAGCCCTAATTTTTTTATTTTTTTAAGACATTGTCTCACTCTGTCACCCAGGCTGGAGTACAGTGGTGACATCTCGGCTTGCCACAACCTCTGCCTCCAGGGTTCAAGCAATTCTCATGCCTCAGCCTCTTGAGTAGCTGGGATTACAGGTATGCACCACCACACCTGGCTAATTTTCATATTTTTAGTAGAGTCAGGGTTTCACCATGTTGGCCAGGCTGGTTTCAAGCCATCTGTCGGCCTCAGCCTAACAAAGAGCTGGAATTACAGCAATGAGCCACCGTGCCTGGCTGGGCATGTTTTCATGCATACAGGAATTCTGTATGAAAGTGAGTTGCATGGGTGGGGTAGAGAGTTGAGCAGATTCCATTAGAATGGCAGATAAGAGGCTGGCAGGGTGGCTGACACCTGTAATCCCAGCACTTTGGGAGGCCAAGGTGGGTGGATCATTGAGGTCAGGAGCTTGAGACCAGCTGGGCCAACATGGTGAAACCATATATCTACTAAAATACAAAAATTAGCTGGGCGTGGCCAGGCATAGTGGCTCACGCCTGTAATCCCAGCATTTTGGGAGACTGAGGTAGACGAATCATGATGTCAGGAGTTTGAGACCAGCCTGGCTAACATGGTGAAACCGTGTGTCTACTAAAAGTACAAATATTAGCCTGGTGTGGTGGTGCATGCCTGTAATCCCAGGTACTCAGGAGGCTGAGGCAGGAACTGAGGCAGTGAGCGGAGATCATGTCACTGCACCCCAGCCTGGGCGACAGAGTGAGACTCTGTCTCAAAAAAAAAAAAAAAAAAAAAAAAAGGGCAGATAAGAGCTAATCTGTGAAAGGACATGATGAAAGGATATTTTTTTTTGAGATTAAATTTTGCTCTTTTTGCCCAAACTGGAGTGCAACGGCATGACCTCAGCTCACTGCAAACTGCGCGTCCCTGGTTCAAGTGATTCTCCTGCCTCAGCCTCCAAAGTAGCTGGGATTATAGGCACCCGCTACAACACCTGGCTAATTTTTTAATTATTTTATTTTATTTTATTTTATTTTTTTGAGACATAGTTTCTCTCTTGTTGCCCAGGCTGGAGTGCAATGGTATGACCTTGGCTCACCACAACTTCCACCTCCCAAGGCGATTCCCCTGCCTCAGCCTCCAGAGTAGCTGGGATTACAGGCATGTGCCACCATGCCAGGCTGGTTTTGTATTTTTAGTAGAGATAGGGTTTTTCTACGCTGGTCAGGCTGGTCTTGAACTCCTGACCTCAGGTGATCCAACTGCCTCGGCCTCCCAAAGTGCTGGAATTACAGGCATGAGCCACTGCACCCAGATTGTGGCTTTTATTTTTTTTAAGAAATGTTGGCTGGGCATGGTGGCTCACGCCTGTAATCCCAGCACTTTGGGAGGCCGAGGCGGGCGGATCACAATGTCAAGAGATCAAGACCATCCTGGCCAACATGGTGAAACCCCGTCTCTACTAAAAATACAAAAATTAGCTGGGCGTGGTGGTGTGTGACTGTAGTCTCAGCTACTCTCGGGAGGCTGAGGCAGGAGAAACGCTTGAACCCAGGAGGTGGAGGTTGCAGTGAGCTGAGATCATGCCACTGCACTCCAGCCTGGCGACAGAGTGAGAGACTCCATCCCAAAAAAAAAAAAAAAAAAAAAAAAAAAAAAAAAAAAAAAAAGAAGGGTTTTGGAGTTTTTTAAATACAATTTTATTTTTTTTAATTAATTAATTTATTTATTTTTGAGACGGATTCTTACTCTGTTGCCCAGGCTGGAGTGCAATGGTGCAGTCTTGGCTCACTGCAACCTCCGTCTCCTGGGCTCATGCGATTCTCCTGCCTCAGCCTCCGGAGTAACTGGGATTACAAGCATGCACTACCACACCTGGCTAATTTTTGTATTTTTAGTAGAGGTGGGGTTTCACCATGTTGGCCAGGCTAGTCTGGACTCCTGACCTCAGGTGATCTGCCTGCCTCAGCATCCCAAAGTGCTGGGATTACAGGTGTGAGCCACCGCACCCGGCTAAAAAAAATAATTTTTATTTTAGCCAGGTATTTGAAGATTTCTGCCTTCAGTTTACTTCCTCTAATAAATAGGCTCCCCTGAAAATGAAAGGAGATAGGGAAGAGGAGGAGGGGCAATGATGTAGCTTGTAGGATAAATAACTCTGAAAATAATAAAGGGTGAAGGCTGGACGCAGTGGCTCATGGCTCTAATCCCAGCACTTTGGGAGGCGAAGGCAGGTGGATCACAAGGACAGGAGTTCCAGACCAGCTTGGCCAACATGGTGAAACCGCATCTCTACTAAAGTTACAAAAAATTAGCCGGGTGTGGTGGTGGTGGTGCGCGCCTGTAATCCCAGCTACTCGGGAGGCTAAGGCAGGAGCCTCTGCTTGAACCCGGGAGGCGGAGGTTGCAGTGAGCTGAGATGTCGCCATTGCACTCCAGCCTGAGCGACAGGGCAAGACTCTGTCCCCAAAAAAAAAAAAAAAAAAAAAAAGAATAAAGGCTGAAAAGAGTTTGGTGCTTGTGAAGTAGTCGTGGGTTGGGGCGAGGGGATAGGACAATGACATAGTCAAGGAAAGCAGGGAAAATGGAACAAGGCGTGAGAGTACCTGTCAGTGCCTGTTTTTCCATAATTGTTCCTCCAGTGACTTTCTTTAGTGGTGCTATTTAGAGTGTGGAATTTGGAATTCAGATTGGACTTCAGATACCTTTTTAGGCCCAAGGGAAGTATGCACTAGGCTGGGGAGGGTGAAATGAAGGAAGCAAGATTTCAAATCTGTAAGTGTAGGGTGACAGTGAAGGGAGAGAGAGCCTTAGGGTCTTGGTGAGTCAGTAAGCAGACAAGAAGGGATTCGCAGAGGTCCGGGTGGCAGAGCATTAATTATCAACATTTCTTTTCCTTCTTTTTTTTTTTTTTTGGAGATAGAGTTTTGCTCTTGTTGCCTAGGCTGGAGTGCAGTGGCGTGATCTCAGCTCACCGCAACCTCCAACTCCCGAGTTTGAGCGATTCTCCTTAATCCCAAGAGAATCCCAAATAGCTGGGATTATAGGTATGCGCCACCATGCCCAGCTAATTTTATATTTTTACTAGAGACAGGGCTTCTCCATGTTGGCCAAGCTGGTCTCAAACTCCGGACCTCTGGTGATCCACCCGCCTTGGCCTCCCAAAGTGCTGGGATTACATCGCGCCCAGCAATTATCAACATTTCTACTGTCCTCCTTTTTTTTAACCTCAAATGCACATAATTACACAGATAACACTCAATCATGCTTTTGTTTCTTGGCACCCAATTCCCACTAAGCCAGACACAGCCCCACTTTTTCCTTTCTTTTTGGTTTTTGTCTTGTTTTTTGAATATAAAAGGATGTTTATTGAAGCATGGTTTATAACAATGGAAAAGTTGTGATTGACTATCAGTAGGGAAATTATTTATTGCAACATTGTTTATAAACATATAAACATTGAAAACAAAGTAAATGAATGGCTCCTCTTTGTTATTCTTCTTCTTTTTTCTTTTTTTCTTTGAGACAGAGTCTTGCTCTGTTGCCCAGGCTGGAGTGCACTGGCGTCCTGCCTCAGCCTCCCCGGTAGCTGGGAATACAGGCACGTGCCACCACGCCTGGCTAAATTTTTTTTTTTTTTTAAACGGAGTCTCGCTCTTTCACCAGGCTGGAGTGCAGTGGCGTAATCTTGGCTCACTGCAACCTCCGCCTCCCTTCTGTCTCAGCCTCCTGAGTAGCTGGGACTACAGGCAAGCGCCACAATGCACAGCTAATTTTTGTATAGGCACAGGGTTTCACCATATCGGCCAGGATGGTCTAGATCTCTTGACCTCATGATCTGCCTGCCTCGGCCTCCCAAAGTGCTGGGATTACAGGCGTGAGCCACTGCGCCCGGCCTAATTTTTTGTATTTTTAGTAGAGATGGGGTTTCACTGCGTTAGCCCAGGATGGTCTAGATCTCCTGACCTCCTGATTCGCTGGCCTTGGCCCCCCAACATGCTGGAATTACAGGTGTGAGCCACCACACCTGACCTGTTACTCTTCTTTAGCTTCCATTCTGTCTCAATTCCCTAACGCTTCTGAGACTACCCATGTGTATATGTATATCCATGAATAAAATATAAATATTTTATGTACTTGAATTTATAATATTTTCTTTAATGTCTTGTCCTTTTTGTGTGTTCAGAATATTTCCCACACAAGATCATCACGATAATTTCCAAAACTTCTCTTTTTATTTTATATATTTATTTAAGAGACAAAGTCTGGCTTTTTAGCCCTGGCTGGAGTGCAGTGGCACGATCATAACTCACTGCAGCCTCGACCTTTCCTGACCAAGTGATCCTCCCACCTCAGCCTCCCAAGTGGCTGGAACTACAGATGCATGCCATTATGCCTGGCTAACTTTAATTTTTAAATTATTTTTATTATTTAAAAATTTTATTTATTGATGTATTTTTTGAGATGGAGCCTTGCTTTGTTGCTCAGACTGGAGTGCTGTGGTGTGATATTGGCTCACTGCAACCTCCATCTCCTGGGTTCAAGAGATCCTCCCATCTAAGCCTCCCAAGTAGCTGGGACTACAGGTGTGAGCCACCTCATCCGGCTAAGTTTTGTATTATTTTTGTAGACAGAGAGTTTCACCATGTTGCCCAGGCTGGTCTTGAACTGCTGGGCTCTAGTGATCTGTCTGCCTCAGCCTCCCAAAGTGCTGGGATTATAGGCATGAGCCACCACACCTGGCCTTTTAAATTTTTTTGTAGAGACAGGGTCTCACCATGTTGCACAGGCTGGTCTTGAATTCCTGGGCTCAAGTGATCCTCTAGCCTTGGCTTCCCAAAGTGCTGAGCTTATAGGCAGAAAATTGGAAGTCACCCACATGGCCATCAATAGGGGACTGATTAAGCAAATTATAATATGTCCACACAAGGAATACTATGCAGCAGTAACATAAAACAAAATAATAAGGACCTTATATTTATTCCATTGTATAAAATATATTGTTGGGCTGGGCACAGTGTTTCATGCCTGTAATTCCAGCACTTTGGGAGGCTAAGGCAGGTGGTCAGGGGTTCGAGACCAGCCTGGCCAACATGGTGAAACCCCATCTCTACTAAAAGAATACAAAAAAAATCAGCTGGGCATGGTGGCGCACACCTGTAATCCCAGCTACTCGGGAGGCTAAAGCAGGAGAATCACTTGAACCCAGGATCCAGAGTTTGCAGTGAGCCAAGATCATGCCAGTACACTCCAGCTTGAGCAACAGAACAAGACTCTGCCTCAAAAAACAAACAAAAAAACTTTATGAAGTAGCCAGGTGTGATGGCAAGTGCCTGTAGTCCCAACTACTTGGGAAGCTGAGGTGAGAGAATTGCTTGAGTCCAGGAGTTTGAGGTTACAGTGAGCCATGATTGTGCCACTGCATTCCACTGGGTGACAGAGCCAGACTGTCTCAAAATAACTAAGTAAGGAACTAAATAAATATAAGAAAATGTAGAGTGTCTTTTTGTTGTTGTTGTTTTGAGACAGAGTTTCACTCTTGTTGCCCAGGCTGGAGTGCAGTGGTGTGACCTCGGCTCACTGCAACCTCCGCCCCCTGGGTTCAAGTGATTCTCCTGCCTCAGTCTCCTGAGTAGCTGGGATTACAGGCATGCGCCACCACGCCTGGCTATTTTTTTTTAAATTATTCTTAGTAGAGAAGGGGTTTCACCATGTTGCACAGGCTGGTCTCGGACTCCTGAACTTGTGATCTGCCTGCCTTGGCCTTCCAAAGCGCTGGGATTACAAGCGTGAGCCACCCCGCCCAGCCCCTATTTTTCTGTTTTTAGTAGAGACGAGGTTTCACCATATTGGCCAGGTTGATCTCAAACTCCTGACCTCAGGTGATCCACCCACCTCAGCCTCTCAAAGTGCTGGGATTACAGGTGTGAGGCACCACACCCAGCCAGATCTATCTATCTATCTTTCTTCCTTCCTTCTTTTTTTTTTTTTTTTGACGGAATTTTGCTCTTGTCGCCCAGGCTGGAGTGCAATGGCACGATCTTGGCTCACTGCAACCTCCTTCTCCCAAGTGCAAACAATTCTTCTGCCTCAGCCTACTGAGTAGCTAGGATTACAGGTGCCCACCACCATGCCCAGCTAATTTTTGTATTTTTAGTAGAGACGTTGTTTTACCATGTTGGCCAGCCTGGTCTTGAACTCCTGATCTCAGGTGATTCACCTGCCTCTGCCTCCCAAAGTGCTGGGATTACAGGCGTGATCCACCAGGTCTGGCCCCGGCCAGGTATCCCGGCCAGGTATTTCTTAAACAATAAGATTTGAAAGTCAGGCTTGGCATGGTGGCTTACATTTTGGGAGGCTAAAGCAGGAGAATTGCTTGAGCCCAGGTGTTCCAGACCAGCCTAAACAACATAGTGGGACCTGATCTCTATATAAAAATCGCTGAGGAATAAAAAATAAAGGCCAGGTATAGTGACTCACGCCTGTAATCCCAGCACTTTATTGAGGCTGAGGTAGGCAGATCACTTGAAGACAGGAGTTCGAGATCAGCCTGACCAACACAGTGAATTTCCATCTCTACTAAAGAAATACAAAAATCAGCTGGGCGTAGTGGTGAGCGCCTGTAATCCCAGCTACTCAGGAGGCCAAGACAGGAGAATCGCTTGAACCCAGGAGGCGGAGGTTGCAGTGAGCGAGATCGAGCCACTGAACTCTAGCCTGGGCGACAGTGTGAGATTCTGTCTCAAAAATAAATAAATAAATAAATAAATAAATAGAAATAAAAATAAACATTTTTTAAAAATAAAGATAAAGACATGGAAGTCCAAATTATTCCTTCATTCATGGACTGCAGAATGAATGTTGTTTTAGCAGGCATGTATATCTTGTATATCTCCTTGTATATCTCCCTGAGAGCTTTTGGGTGACCAGGTGCATTGTCAATGAGCAGTAATAGTTTGAAAGGAATCTTTTTTTTTTTTTTTTTTTCTGAGTAGTACGTCTCAACAGTGGGCTTGAAATATTCAATAAACTATGTTGTAAACAGATGTGCTGTCATCCAGGCTTTATTGTTCCATTTATAGAACATAGGCAGAGAAGACTCAGCATAACTCTTTTTGTTTTGTTTTGTTTTGTTTTGAGATGGAGTCTTGCTCTGTCGCCCAGGCTGGAGTGCAGTGGCAACGATCTTGGCTCACTGCAACTTCCTCCTCCCAAGTTCAAGCAATTCTCCTGCCTCAGCCTCCCGAGTAGCTGAGATTACAGGTGCCTGCTTCCATGCCCGGCTAATTTTTGTATTTTTAGTAGAGACGGGTTTCACCATGTTGGCCAGGCTGTTCTGGAATGCCTGACTTTGTGATCCACCCGCCTTGGCCTCCCAAAATGCTGGGATTACAGGCATGAGCCACCGCGCCCGGCCAATAGTTTATATTTATTGAATACTTGGGGCATTAGACAGGCACTGTGGTAAATGCTTCACACATATTATCTTACTTAATCCTTTCCACATTTATTCTACTTAATCCTCAGAGCCGTCTGTGAGGCTAGAGAAACAAATTTAACTGAGAGTTTAAGTAAACTGTGCAGAATTACATTATGTAATTGAATGGATTAGAACCCATGTTTGTTCCTTCTTGCTCTATACCTACTCTTCTCTATTATAATTGGTAGGCAATTTTTTTGGATCAGAGTTAATTTGAGTAAAGAAGTTTCAGTATAACTGTAGGACAACAAAGAGATGTGAGTAGGCATATGAGTGTGACTGGGCATATAATTATAAAAACAAACGCCTATTGGCTTTTCAAGAAAGACATTATGAATTAACTGGATGGATAATTTTAACTGAGGATAATGGAAAAGACACATTAGAAGGCAGCACTTGAACTGGACCTTGAAGGATAAATAACAATCCTTATATATTAGTCAAGGTCCTGTAAGGAGGTAGAAATCACATGGCATTTGGACAGAGACAGTGTAACTTAGTGGATTGTTAACTAAGTAACTGAAGAAGTAAAAGGCGAAACCTAAAGTTTCATGGTGGTAGTAACTGTAGGAACAGCTACCACCCCTAGGGCTGAGGGAACAAAAGGAAGAGGTTGGAGTTATTAAAACATAGAAATTTAGAGGGGGAGTGGCCAAACACAGCCGACACTCAGACCTCTGAGGAGGAGGTATTGATTGACAGGTGCTCGTGTCTCTGAACTCAGAGGAAGAACCCCAAGGGGTAGAAACCAGACTTGTGAGTATGGGGCATTGGGCAGCCAGGTGCTGGTATCTCTGAAGAAGAGGCAATGAGACTAGTTCTGTAAGTGTTGAAAAAACTGCTGGGCATGGAGGTTCATATCTGTAATCAGCACTTTGGGAGGCCAAGGTGGGAGGATTGCTTGTGCCCACGAGTTCAAGATCAGGCTGGGCAACAAAGTGAGGCCCCATGTCTATAAAAATAAAAATTAGGCCAGGCGTGTGGCTTACGCCTGTAATCCCAACACTTTGGGAGGCTGAGGCGGGGGGATCACGAGGTCAGGAGTTCGAGACCAGCCTGACCAACATAGTAAAAACCCGTTTCTACTAAAAATACAAAAATTAGCCGGGTGTGGTGGTGTGTACCTGTAATCCCAGCTACTGGAGGGGCTGAGGCAAAAGAATCGCTTGAACCCGGGGGGCAAAGGTTGCAGTGAGTCGAGATCTAACCACTGCACTCCAGCCAGGGTGACAGAGCAAGACTCCATCTAAACAACCACAACAACAACAAACCAGACTCACCTTCCCTGGCTTAGAAGGTATTACATGGTTGGGCTCTTCCTAAGCATCTTTGCTATAGCCACATGGTCTTCCTGTAGTCCTTAAAGACACCATGCTTCATTCTGCTGCAAGGCTATTGCACAGTCTATTATTTGCCAGGAATATTCTTTACCTGTTATACGCTGCTCCTCAAATCTTACTTTTTTTTTTTTGTTTTTTTTTTTTTTTTTTTGAGATCAGCCCATCTCAGCCTCCCAAGGTGCTGGGATTACCGGTGTGAGCCACCGAGCTTGGCCCAAATCTTCCTCTTATTTGCTCTTATAGCACCATAAATGTCTCTTATAGCAATTGTCACAGTTGTGCATCTTCATTTATTTATATAGTCTTTTTTTTTCTTTTTTTTTTGAGTCTCGCTCTGTCTACGAGGCTGGAGTGCAGTGGCATGATCTCAGCTCACTGCAACCTCCACCACCTGGATTCAAGGGATTCTCCTTCCTCAGCTTCCTGAGTAGCTGGGAATATAGATATGTGTCACCATGCTCAGCTAATTTTTTTGTATTTTTAGTGGAGACAGGGTTTTGCCATGTTGGCCAGGCTGGTCTTGAACTCCTGACCTCAGGTGATCCACCTGGCTCATCCTTCCAAAGTGTTGGGATTACAGGCCTGAGCCACTGTGCTTAGCCCTATTCATATAGTCTTTTGATCAATGCCTGCCTCTTCCAAGAAGGTTTGTTAGCTCCAGGAGGGCAGGGGCCATGACTGTTTTTTGCACTCCATTGTTTGTTTTACCAGTGCCTAGTTTAGTGACTGGCACATAGTAGACTGCCACACATATACATATAGAATATATGGCTGGGCATGGGGGCTCATGCCTGTAATCCCAGCACTTTGGGAGGCCAAGGCGGGTGGATCACAAGGTCAGGCGTTGAAGACCAGCCTGGCCAAGATGGTGAAACCCATTTCTACTAAAAATACAAAAAAATTAGCTGGGCGTGGTGGTGGGGGCTTGTAATCTCAGCTACTCAGGAGGCTGAAGCAGAGAATTGCTTGAACCCAGGAGGCAGAGGTTGCAGTGAGCCCAGATTGCACCACTGCACTCCAGCCTGGGCGACAGATTGAGACTCCGTCTCAATTAAAAAATATATATATATGTATATATATAAAATACATATGTAGTAAATATATATAATATATATGCGTAAATATACATATATTCATGTATATGTATATTCATGTATATGTATATACATATATTCATGTATATGTATATTCATGTATATGTATATACATATATATGTGTGTGTATATATATATATATATATATATATATATATATATATATGGAATTACTTCAATATTCTGCAAGTGCAGAATGTAGCCATGACATGAGAAGAGGTGGGTATTTGAAAGCAGGGATTTGGGTGGGCACAGTGGCTCATGCCTGTAATCCCAGCACTTTGGGAGGCTGAGGTGGGCGGATCACTTGAGGTCAGGAGTTCAAGACCAGCCTGGCCAACATGGTGAAACCCGTCTCTACTAAAAATAGAAAACAATTAGCTGGACGTGGTGACTCGTGCCTGTAATCCTAGCTACTCGGGCTGCTGAGGCAGAAGAACGGCTTGAGCCCAGGAGGCGGGGGTTGCAGTGAGCCGAGATCGCGCCACTGTACTCCAGCCTGGGCGACAGAGCAAGACTCTGTCTCAAAAAAAAAAAAAAAGAAGAAGAAGAAGAAAGCAGGGATTTGAGTCTCTTTTGGTTTTTTTGTGTGTGGGTTTTTTTTTTTTTCTTTGAGATGCAGTCTTGCTCTGTCACTCAGGCTGGAGTACAGTGGCACGATCTTGGCTCACTGCAACCTCTGCCTCCAGGGTTCAAGGGATTCTCCTGTCTCAGCCTCCCGAGTAGCTGGGACTACAGGCACGCGCCACCACACCTAATTTTTGTATTTTTAGTAGAGACGGGGTTTCACCATACTGGCCAGGCTGGTCTCAAACTCCTGACCTCATGATCTGCCCACCTCTGCCTCCCAAAGTGTTTGGATGACAGGCGTGAGCTATTGCGCCTGGCTGAGGGTTTTCATTTCATTGATCATCCAGCATCTCGCTCTTGATTCTAGAGGTTCTGAGAAGGTCCCTTGTTTCTTTCCTTTTTTTAAAATATCTTTCTTTTTTTTTTTTCCTTAGGAGACAGGGTCTTAATCTGCTGCCCAGGGTGAAATGCAGCAGTGCCATCATAGCTGACTGCCACCTCAAACTTTTGGGTTCCAGCAATCCTCCCACTTCGTCCTCCCATGTAGCTGGGACTACAGGTGCATGTCACCATGCCCTGCTAGGTTTTTTTGTTTTTGTTTTTGTTTTTGTTTTAAGATAGGGTCAAGGCCAGGAGAGGTAGCTTACCCCTGTAATCCTAGCACTTTAGGCAGCCAAGGTAGGCAGATTGTTTGAGCCCAAGAGTTTGAAACCAGCCTTGGCAACACAGAAAAACCCTATCTCTACCAAAAAAGACATGAAGATTAGCTGGGCATGGTGGCATACACCTGTCATCCCAGCCACACCTGGGAGGATTGCTTATACCCAGGAGGCAGAGTTGCAGTGAGATCAATCATACCAGGCCACTGCAATCTAGCCTGGGTGACAGAGCAAGACCCTTGTCTCAAAACCACAACAACAACAACAAGTAAAAAAAGATAGGGTTCCTCTCTGTTGCTCAGGCTGGCCTTGAGAACTCCTAATTTCAAGCCATCCTCCCCCTTGGCCTCCCAAAGTATTGGGATTACAGGCATGAACCACTGCACCCAGTCTATTCTCTTTTTATTGAGATAAGATTCACATAAAATAAAATTAACCATTAATCATATTAAAGTGTTCAATTCTTGGCATTTACATCCACAATGTTGTGCAACCTTCTCCAATGTCTAGTTCTGGTAAATTCTTTTTTTTTTTTTCCATAATTTCTTTTAAATTCTTTTTGACTTTTTCTCCTGGTCTTCTGTTATCCTTTCTGCAGGTCACTTCTTCAACCCCTTCATTTTCCTGGTTTGTAGTTTGCTTATCTTCGTTCTACATATGAATCCTTCCATAAGTTGTACCAAAAGTATCATTGGAGATATTTTTCTTCTTCTTTGGCTTGAGAGCTTTTGGCATTTTCATAGATAATGTATAAAGGTCATCGGATGCCAGGTGTGTCCTCCTCAGAACCAGATTCAATGAGGGTCCTATCTCTTCCAATTCAATCCGTGGTGTTCTGCAACCAGATTTCTTCAACAGCAACTTATATCTTCGAAAGTAAATCTTCCCATTCAGTGCAGTGAAGTGCAGAACATATTCTAATCCAGCCAGGCAGATATTTGATACTGTGGGGCCTCTGAAGAAATCAGTAAGAAGACTTTTTAGTCTTCTGTAATCTTCTGTTACATTGAAATCATCACCAGCAAATATTAGCATGGGTTTTGTTCCCTCAGGACATTTACTGTTCTTAATGTCTTTTAGAGAGACAAAATTCTCAATACCTAATTCAATCATATCCAGCACATGGTAGTCATACATATGACCTATTACTAGATTATTTGGCCGCTTCTTATTATAGGAGCCAAACATGAATAAAGAACAATCTGACTTCTTTGAAAGTAATTCCAGTGATGTCTGATCCTCAAAAGGTCTTGTAACATTTTTCTTTTTATACAGTACACCGTATGGTTTTTTCAGTGCACACACATCTTTAAGTACTTGTGTCACTGTTGCGTTTGCATTTCCCCCTTTAATCAGCATTGCATTTTTAATATTTTCATTGAGTTTTGGTTCTCTCTTCTCAAGGAATCTCTTGACTCTTTTCATTTTGGGCTTTACAACTCGATCCAGAGCATCTATCGCTACCACTACCTGGAACTCTTAACTAGGTGGATCTAGTTCTGGTAAATTCTTATTACCCCAACAGGAAACCTTATAGCCATTAAGTAGTCACCCCACATTCCTCCTTCCCTCCAGCTCCTGGCAAAGACCAATCTGGTTTCTTTTTTTTTTTTTTGAGACGGAGTCTCTCTCTGTCACCCAGGCTGGAGTGCAGTGGTGCTATGTCGGCTCACTGCAACCTCTGCCTCCCGGGTTCAAGAGATTCTCCTACCTCAGCCTCCTGAGTAGCTAGGATTATAGGCACCTGCCACCACGCCCGACTAATTTTTTGTATTTTTAGTAGAGATGGGGTTTCACCGTGTTAACCAGGATGGTCTTGATCTCCTGACCTCCTGATCTGCCCACCTCAGCCCCCCAGAGTGCTGGGATTACAGGAGTGAGCCACTGCACCCGGCCTACCAATCTGATTTCTGACTCTATGGATTTATCTACTCTGGATGTTTCATATAAATGGTTTCAAGCAATACGTGACCTTTTGTGTCTGGCTTCTTTCACTTAGCATAGTGTTTTCAAGGTTCATCTACATTATAGCATGTATCAGTATTTCGTTTTTATGGCGGAATAATATTCCATTGTCTGAATATACTACATTTTGTTTATCCATTCATCAGTTGGTAGGCATTTGGGTTGTTTTCATTTTTTGGCTATGGTGAGCAGTGCGGCTATGAACACTTGTGTATGAGTAATTATTTGACTGTCTGTTTTTTTGTTTTGAGATGGAGTCTTGCTCTGTCTCCCAGGCTGGAGTGCAGTGGTGTGATCTTGGCTCACTGCAACCTCCACCTCCTAGGTTCAAGTGATCCTCCCACCTCAGCCTCCGAAGTAGCTGGGATTATAGACGCTACCATGCCTGGCTAATTTTTGTATTTTTGGTAGAGACAGGGTTTCACCTTGTTGATCAGGCTGGTCTCGAACTCCTTTCAAGTGATCTGCCCGCCTTAGCCTCCCAAAGTGCTGGGATTACAGGTATGAACCACTGTGCCCAGCCAAATGTCTGTTCTAAATTATTTTGTTATGCCTAGGAATGTATTTGCTGGGTCATAGAGTAACTCCATGTTTAACTTTTTGAGTAACTGCCAAACTGTTCTCTATAGCAGCTATATCATTAATATGTAAACATTGATACCAATAAACTATAAGGGTTCCAATTTCTCCACATTCTTACCAAAATCCCATGTTGGTTTTTTGTGTTTGTTTGTTTGTTTTGAGATGGAGTCTCACTCTGTTGCCCAGACTAGAGTGCAGTGGCGCAATCTCCACCCACTGCAACCTCCTCCTCCTGGGTTCAAGCAGTTCTCCTGCCTCAGCCTCCCGAGTAGCTGGGATTACAGGTGCACACAACCTCGCCTGGCTAATTTTTGTATTTTTAGTAGAGATGGGGTTTCACCATGTTGGTCAGGCTGGTCTTGAACTCCTGACCTCGTGATCCCCCCACCTCAGCCTCTCAAAGTGTTGGGATTACAGGCTTGAGCCACTGCGCCCGGCATCCCTTGCTCCTTTACAACAATAGCATACAATTCATGTCTATGATGCACATATTCCAACTCTGATGTTTCATTTATATATTGAGATGGCATCTGGTTATTTATTTCACTTATTTTAGAGATGGAGTCTCACTGTGTTTCCCAGGCTGTACATGAATTCCGGGGCTCAAGAAGTCCTCCCACCTCAGCCTCCTGAGTAGCTGAGATTACAGGTTCCTGCCACCTAGGTAGGCTAGGGAGCTGGTTATTTAGAGATGTTTGGGCAAGATGTATGTCTGTAGACCTCTTACAGAAAATGACTGTTAAGAACCTATTTTTTTCAGACCCCAAAAGAATGAGTTTATTAGCTACATCCTTTCAGAGATGCTGTGTCTTTCTGGGCTATTCATTGTACAAGGTCATTCATTCATATCATGAAATCACATGCCTTTCATTCAAAACCACTATTGAGTTGATGCTTCTTTTGTTTGCCATCCTTCATTTTCAAGGTATATCTCCATCATGTGATGCCTTGTCAGCAGAATCTTCCTCTCTATTGCTAGATTTGCTTAATTCCTAAATCTTTTGCAATGCTGTGCCCGACTGCATTATTTTTGCTTCTGTTAGCAGATGTTTTTAAACAATACTCTGCCTCCTAATTTGCAATGGTTTATCCATTTCTCCGGTTGTCAAATCAGGATATTTTGGGACAAAATATACTGCTTTCTCTGACCCTCTGTGCCTGTGTCTGCTATTTCTTTACTTAATAAAGTTAACAGAACATTACCCGATTTGTAAGCATTTGTCAGAACTAATCTATTGGTACATTTAAGATTTGTGTGTTTTGCCATATGTAAATATTATGTCATTTAAAAATATTGTGAACACTATTAAACTCTAGTTAAGATTAAAAAAAAAACTCTAGTTAAGATTATGCAATGCTGAAGTGTTTAGAAATAAAGTATACTGATGTCTGCAATTTGCTTTGAAAAGCACACAGAAATTAGGTTGGATGAATGGATGGACAAAGGGATAGATGAATATGTGATATAGCAAACATTGAAAAATGTTAAACGTAAAATAGATGGTGGGCATCTGTACTATTCTCTCAACCTCTGTTTGAGAATATTCATAATAAAATGTTGGAAAAAAATCTCCCTAACTGCTCTGATAAAATACATAAATCAGCTACTTTCAGAAGCAGATTCTGTGATCACTTCCATTATAGTCTGATCATTTCAATGTATTTCATTCAAGGAAATAAACAAGGCTGGGAGCGGTGGCTCACGCCTGTAATCCCAGCACTTTGAGAGGCCGAGGCAGGCGGATCACCTGAGGCCAGGAGTTCGAGACCAGCCTGGCCAACATGGTGAAACCCCGTCTCTACTAAAAATACAAAAATTAGCCAGGCATGGTGGCATGCACCTGTAATCCCAGCTATTTGGGAGGCTGAGGCAGGAGAATCCCTTGAACCCAGGAGGTTGCAGTGAGTGAAGATCGCACCACTGCCCTCCAGCCTGGGCAAAAGAGCAAAACTCTGGCTCAAAAAAAAAAAAAAAAAAAAAAAGGAAATAAACTGATATAGAGGAATAAATGGGATTTTTATATAGAAAAAGGTTTATAATGTGTGAAGTGTTATGTAAATATGCTATTATTAATACTATTAGCCAGGTTAGGTGGCTCACACCTATAATCCCGGCATTTTGGGAGGCTGAGGTGGGATGATTGCTTCAGACCAGGAATTCAAGACCAGGCTGGGCAACACAGAGAGATCCTGTCTCTATGAAAGAAAAAAAATAGCCAGGTGTAGTGGCGTGTGCCTGTAGTCCTAGCTACTTGGTAGGTTGAGGTGGGATGATCTCTTGAGCCCAGGTGTTTGAGGCTGCAATGAACTATGATCATGCCACCAAACAATGCCTGCTGGGCGACACTGCCAGACTCCATCTTTTTTCTCAGACAGGGTCTTGCTATGATGACCAGGGTGGTCTCAAACTCCTGGGTTCAAGTGATCCTCTGCCTTGGCCTCCCAAAGTGGTGGCATTATAGGTGTGAGCCACCGTGCCTGGCCGAGACCCTGACTTTTGATGTTTAAAGCATTGAGTTTATGCAAAATCTTATTAGTACAATGCAAAACAGTATCTTGAATATGGTTTTACATTCCTTCAGGTGTTCTCAATAAACTGGAAACCCTTGAAGGAAAAAGGATTATCCTTTTGATTAGCTGTGGGCTCGCAAATTTTCTTTTTTTTTTCTTTTGTTTTTTTGAATTGGAGTCTCGCACCATCGCCTGGACTGGAGTGCAGTGATGCGATCTCGGCTCACTGCAACCTCTGCCTCCCAGGTTCAAGGGATTCAGCCTCCTAAATAGCTGGGATTACAGGTGCCCGCCAGCACGCCCAGGTAATTTTTTGTATTTTTAGTAGAGATAGGTTTTCACTATGTTGGCCAGGCTAGTCTCCAACGCCTGACCTCATGATCCACCTGCCTCAGCCTTCCAAAGTCCTGGGAATGCAGGCATCAGCCACGGCACCTGGCCACAAATTGTCTTAATGAGTATTTCACCTACCTAATGTACTAAATAAACACTGAATGAATCAGTAAACAGTATATTTCACTGATAAGCTCTAAATGAGTGTTGTAAATTACATTTTTTTTTTTTTTGAGACAGGGTCTTGCTCTGTCACCCAGGCTGGAGTGCAGTGGCATGACCTCGGCTCATTGCAAGCTCCACGTCCCGGGTTCACGCCATTCTCCTGTCTCAGCCTCCCAAGTAGCTGGGACTACAGGCACTCGCCACCATGCCTGGCTAATTTTTTTGAATTTTTGGTAGAGACAAGGTTTCACTGTGTTAGCCAGGATGGTCTCGATCTCCTGACCTTGTTATCCGCCCATCTCGGCCTCCCAAAGTGCTGGGATTACAGGCGTGAGCCACCGCGCCCGGCCGTAAATTACATTTTATGTTACCGTGTATTGAATCTTTTTGCTTTTATTTTTAATCTAAAGTAGCATTTTGGGCAATCCTTTTGGCCATGGAATGGACACATGGGCTATTATGAGTGCCCCTTAATTTTTTTCATTGCCGTAACTATGATGAGTTCAAAACATTTTACTTTTTTGACCAAAGATGAAACTCTGACAGAAAGCATCAGTTATTTCCCTATCTAGTTCACATCGGATCTAACGAAATTATCTTGAGTTTGAGGACAGGATTTTTGACAGTGATCCCAAGCAAAGTTAATGTGGTATCAACCTCAAGTAAGTGGCCAGGGATGTACCCTTGAAAGATTTCTTCTTTTTTTTTTGAGACAGTCTCCCACTGTCGCCCGAGCTGGAGTGCAATGGCGCAATCTCGGCTCACTGCAACCTCCAACTCCCGGGTTCAAGTGATTCTCCTGCCTCAGCCTCCCGAGAAGCTGGGATGACAGGCGCCCGCCACCACACCCTGCTAATTTTTTGTATTTTTAGTAGAGACGGGATTTCATCATGTTGGTCAGGCTGGTCTCAAACTCCTGACCTCAGGTGATCTGCCCACCTTGGCCTCCCAAAGTGCTGGGATTACAGGTTTGAGCCACCACGCCCGGCCTAGATTTCTTCTTAAAAACTAATCATTCTGCCAGGCACGGCGACTCACACCTGTAATCCCAGCACTTTAGGAGGCCAAGGAGGGCTGATCACTTGAGGCCAGGAGTTTGAGACCAGCTGGGTCGACATGGCAAAACCCCATATGCACTAACAATACAAAAATTACCTGGGCCCACTTGGTCGAAATCCCAGCTACTCAGGAGGCTGAGACATGAGAATTGCTTGAATCCAGGAGGTGGAGGTTGCTGTGAGCTGAGATCTTGCCACTGCACTGCAGCGTGGGCAACAGAGTGAGACTATTTCAAAAAAACAAAAAACCAAGCTGGGTGTGGTGGCTCACGCCTGTAATACCAGCACTTTGGGAGGCCAAAGTGGGCGGATCACCTGAGGTCAGGAGTTCAAGATCAGCCTGGTCAACATGGTGAAACCCCGTCTCTACTAAAAATACAAATATTAGCCGGGAGTGGTGGCGCATACCTATGGTCCCGCTGCTTTGGGAGGCTAAGGCAGGAGAATCACTTGAACCTGGGAGAAGGAGACTGAAGTAAGCTGAGATCAAGCCACTGCACTCCACTCCAGCTTGGGTGGATTGAGTGAGTATCCGTCTCAAAAAAAACAAGCAACAGGCCGGGCATGTTGGCTCATGCCTGTAATCCCAGCACTTTCGGAGGCCAAGGTGGGTGGATCACCTGAGATCAGGAATTCAAAAACAGCCTGGCCAACATGGTGAAACCCCATCTCTACAAAAAAATTAGCCAGGCATGGTGGCAGGTGCCCGTAATCCCAGCTACTTAGGAGGCTGAGGCAGGAGAATCGCTTGAACCCAGGAGGCGGAGGTTGCAGTGAGCCAAGGTTGCGCTACAGCACTCCAGCCTGGGCAACAGAGCGAGACTCCATCTCAAAAAAAAAAAAAAAAAACCTAATGATTCACTTCGGGAAGCTAAGCCAAGAGTTTGAGCCTGCAGTAAACCATGTAAACCATAACTAAGTCTCTGCACTCCAAGCAGCCTGGGAGATGGTGCAAGACTGTCTCAAAAAACATGATTCACAAATTTAAGTTAAAACCTTTGGATATGTCACTAGAATACCCTTGACATTGTGCCAATAGACAGGCAAGTATTTAAAACAATTCAATCAGTCAGTAGATTGATGAGATAATCAAGTGCAGAAGGAACCTGGGTGGGGAGATACAATTTCATCTGCCTAAATCAGGCAAAGGTCACATGAGTGTTAAAATTAATTACATCTATATGAAATGGGCTTAAGTTTCCCATTGTCCTAGTGATATGGGGAAAAAAAAAGGGTCAGGCATGCTGGCTCACGCCTGTAATCCCAGCACTTAAGGAGGCATAGAGGAGAGGATCCCTTGAGCCAGGAGTTGGGGACCAGCCTGGACAACATGGCAAAAACCCAACTCTACAAAAAATACTAAAATTACCTGGGCCTGGTGGCATGTGCTTGTAGTCCCAGCTACTTGGGAGGCTGAGATGGGAGGATCTCTTGAGCTCAGGAGGTCAAGGCTGCAGTAAGCTGTGATTTTGCCGCTGTACTCTAGCATGGGTGACAAAGTGACACTGTTTCAAGAAAGAAAAAGGCCGGGCGAGGTGGCTCACGCCTATAATCCCAGCACTTTGGGAGGCCGAGGCAGGCAATTCCCTTGAGGTCAGGAGTTCGAGACCAGCCTGGGTAACATGATGAAACCCCATCTCTACCAAAAATACAAAAAATTAGCCGGGTGTGGTGGCATGCTCCTGTAATCCCAGCTACTTGGGAGGCTGACGCAGGAGAATTGCTTGAACCTGGGAGGCGGAGGTTGCAGTGAGCTGAGATTGTGCCATTGCACTCCAACTTGGGCGACAGAGCGAGACTCCATCTCGAAAAAAAAAAAAATATATATATATACATATATATACACACATGCACACACACACACACACACATATATATATATAGAGAGAGAGAGAGAGCGTGAGCCAAGAACGCGCCATTGCACTCCAGCCTGGGCAACAAGAGTGAAACTCTGTCTCAAAAAAAAAAAAAAAGAAAAGAAATGTTAAATGCTTGAGGTGATGGATTACCCCAATTACTCTGATTTGATTATTACACATAATATGCCTTTATCAAAACATCACATTTGAAGCCCAAATCTCTACAAAAAAAAATTTTTTTTTTGAGAAAGAGTTTCGCTCTTGTTGCCCAGGCTGGAGTGCAATGGCGTGATCTCGGCTCACTGCAACCTCCGCCTCTCAGGTTCAAGTGATTCTCCTGCCCCAGCCTCCCAAATAGATGGGATTACAGGCATGCGCCACCACGCCTGGCTAATTTTGTATTTTTAGTAGAGACGGGGTTTCTTTATGTTGGTCAGCCTGGTTGCAAACCCTCAATCTCAGGTGATCCACCTATCTCGGCCTCCCAAAGTGCTGGGATTATAGGAGTAAGTCATCACACCCAGCCCAAAAAATTTTTAAAAAATTAAGCTGGGCATGGTGATGTGCACTTGTTTTTCTAGCTAATTGGGAGGCTGAGCTGGGAGGATTGCTTGAGCCCAGGAATGCAAGGTTACAGTAATCTATGATGTTGCCACTGCACTTCAGCCTGTGGGACAGTGTGAGACCCTGTCTCAATTAAAAAACGAAACAATTCTACTTGCTGTAGATTGTTGGGGACAAAAAACAAAACAAAACCAAACCACATGTATCTGATAAACATATACATTTAAAATGTACCCTTAATAATTAAAAAATTAAAAATCCACATTGGTAAAATACATTTAGTTTTCAGCCAAATTCTCTAAGTATATTCATTACCTTTTTGGCTCTATTTCAAGCTCTATTCCTCCATCTTTTGAAAGCAAAATGATGAAAGGGGAATTAATTTACATAGAAAGTTCATGAACCAGAGTTAGTGAAGTTTTGTAAAGTGAATGAGAAGCATCTTATGTTCGTGATATTTTCTTTTGTGTTAAGAGACAGGGTCTTGCTCTGCAGCCCAGGCTGGGGTGAAGTGGCACGTGATTCTAGCTGACTGCAGTCTTGAAGTCCTGGGCCCAAGCTATCCTCCCATCTCAGCCTCCTGAGTAGTTGGAACTACAGACATGCATCACCACGTCTGGCTAATTTTAAATTTTTTGTAGAGACAGGGTCTTGCTATATTGTCCAGGCTGGTCTCAAACTCCTGGACTCAAGCAATCCTCCTGCCTTGGCCTCTCAAAGTGCTGGGATAACAGGCCATGAGCCGCCATGCCTGGGGATATTTTCTTTTAAACATAAAAAATACTTGTTTCAGAAACTTGATTTTTCCAAACGGCTTTTCTTGATGATCTGCTAAGTTGCCATATTGCCTCTGATGGTCCTTGAGCAGAAAACTATTTAAGGGACCTTAAATCATCAAGCGACTTAGAGCTTAAATCCTTCCTCTTCCCAAACAAGAAGTCTAGCGGTTAAGGTCAAATTCTGTCATGTCATGTTCCTAAACAAACAAGAAAAACCAAGTGCCATCTTCATGCTTTCATTTTGCACTAGTCATAATACTGGAATTACCGAGGGGCAGGAAGAGATAGCAAAGGTTAGCTTGCTTTATTTCTGACATATTATGCTTCAATTTCCTGTGACAGTTTTCTTTTCTTTCTTTTTCTTTCTTTTTTTTTTGAGATGGAGTCTCGATCTCTGTCACCCAGGCTGGAGTGCAATGGCATGATCTCAGCTCACTGCAACCTCTGCCTCCCAGGTTCAAGTGATTCTCCTGCCTCAGCCTCCCGAGTAGCTGGGAATTGCAGGCGCCTGCCACCTAGTTTTTTTTTTATTTTTAGTAGAGACAGGGTTTCGCCATGTTGGTCAGGTCTTGAACTCCTGACCTCAGGCGGTCCACCCGCGTCGGCCTCCCAAAGTGCTGGGATTAGATGCATGAGCCACTGCGCCCAGCCTCCAGAGCGAGACTGTCTCAGAAATAAAATAAAAAGAGGATCTGAATTTTCAGAAAAAGGATTAAGGGAGTATTCTAACTACAAAATAACTGTTATTAATAATCCTCTAAGATAAATCCTAACCTGTGTGTAAAGTTAACCTGAGAGGCAAAACCACTTAACATCTATATTTGCTCTAAATAATTTTGTTTAGCAGAAACAGAAGTTAGCTGTTTTGAAGATCAAATATTTACCAGGCGTTTTACAGACATTATATCATTTAATCTTCACTATAGCCCTTCTGAGCCTTCATTCATTAATTTACTGAGGGTCCACTTGGGCAGACATGCCCTGCTAACCTCTAAAAATTCAGTACTGAGCATTACCTGCCTTCCTCAGTCTCAAGTAGCTTAGACTAGCTACTAAGTACGTCCTCTTTTAAATCAGGAAATGAAAGATCCCCTCTGAGAGGTTAATTTGCTTGTCCAAGGTCACACAGTGTTGCAGCAGCTAGTTACACTAATCAAGGCGTCTCATTTCCAATCTTTTCTGCCCTCAATCATTAGACTGTTAAGATTAGAGGGTAAGATTTTTGCTTTGAAGACTTCTTTCCAGTTTTTTTTCCCAGCATCTAGGAGGAAACCTCACACAGTACTGACCAAAGAACAAATGGCTAATTCATACTCTAATTACCTGGCATCTAGAAGACTTCAGGGGAGAGGAGCCAGGTCCCAGGGGGAAGGGGGCCTTTTTTTTTTTGTTGGGGGGGTGTCTTATTTTTTCACCAAATCGTCCAGTAATATTCAGGAAGGGGAACATTTTTGAAGGAACGGTAGCAACCCTGACACAAGAGCTGATTAAATTCGGGGCACAAAACTGATCCCATGCCAAGGGAAGCAAGAGTTTATTTTTTCCACCTTTTTTTTGCTTTTCTCCACTATTTCCAAGGTTGTTTCAAAGCTCGACAGTGGAGGCCGCGCCATTGGCTCCAAATGACAGGGAAATCTATTTTTATTATCTCCCCCTCTCCCCCTACCCCTAAAGATCTCTTCTTCTGGCCTTCTGATACACTTTTCCACTTCCTCTCCACCCTCAGCGGATAATCTGAATATGGCCGTTTTATCCTATCGCCATAAGGACTAGGTTGCCTTATGGCGACCTTGACAGCCATCTGTGTGGGAGGCCGGAGCGGGGGCGATCGGCTGTGCCGGAGGAATCTTCAGATGGCCGTGAGGAGGCGCCACGAGGGGGAGGTGACCGCTGAGCTCCACTCAGCGAAGAGCTCTCTGAAAGATTGACAGGCAGCCTACCAACTGTCTTTGCCCTAGAGACCCGCTCTGTCTCGCGAGATTTGGGTGCTTACGCGGAGGGGGAGTGAAAGGCGCCTCACTGAATGGGGGATGGGAATATCTGTGGCGCAATCATTGCGCGAGATTGGGCTACGGTCGCCGGAGCCATACTTAGGTCTCGCGATACTTCGGCCGCTCAAATTTGGAGCTTGGGGCAGCTTCTCGCGAGAGCCCGTGCTGAGGGCTCTGTGAGGCCCCGTGTGTTTGTGTGTGTGTATGTGTGCTGGTGAATGTGAGTACAGGGAAGCAGCGGCCGCCATTTCAGGGAGCTTGTCGACGCTGTCGCAGGGGTGGATCCTGAGCTGCCGAAGCCGCCGTCCTGCTCTCCCGCGTGGGCTTCTCTAATTCCATTGTTTTTTTTAGATTCTCTCGGGCCTAGCCGTCCTTGGAACCCGATATTCGGGCTGGGCGGTTCCGCGGCCTGGGCCTAGGGGCTTAACAGTAGCAACAGAAGCGGCGGCGGCGGCAGCAGCAGCAGCAGCAGCAGCAATCTCTTCCCGAACACGAGCACCACAGGCGCCCGAAGGCCGGAACAGGTACGGGGCGTTGCGGACCCGCGTATTATCTCAGCTTTCTCGAGGTTTGGCTCCATTTTGGGCTGAGGGGCGCTTTTGGAGGTCTTTAGCGACCGGGGTGGGGGGTGGTTTTCGAGAAATCGGCCCTGTTTCAGTGACCGCGCCCTTATTTTCCAGTCGGGTATAGTCTGGATTCTTGGGGCGGTAGGGACCCCCGAGAGGCCGCGGTAGAATGGTGACCTGTCTCCTTCGAGGCCTGGGCCGGCCGCGACCTCCCAACATGGCGCCAGTTGAACGCTGCCTTGGCTCATAACCCCTCCCAATGGAGGGAGTTTCTCTTTGCCCCTAAAATGGCAGCGCGGGTTTTTGCCCGGAAAGAGGCGCTCTCGTTCGGGTCTCCCAGTTTCTGTTTTTGGAGTTGACAGCAGAGTTTTAAATATTGGATATTGAAGTCTTCATTTTCGTGTGTTTCGTGTAAGAGGCGTTTTGGATTTACTTACGTAAGCCAAACCTGGTTAAAGTGCATGTCACTTTAGTCATTAATTGTAGGGCTTTTGGAGGTTTTTCTTAAGTTTTCGAGTGTGTCGGCTGAGAAGAAAAATTCAGTCGATTTGAAAAACGTTTACCAGGCCGGGCGCGGTGGCTCACGCCTGTAATCCCAGCAGTTTGGGAGGCAGAGGCAGGCGGATCACTTGAGGTTAGGAGTTCGAGACCAACCTCATCAACATGGTGAAACCCCGTCTCTACCAAAAATACAAAAATTAGCCGGGCGTGGTGGCAGGCGCCTGTGATCCCAGCTATTCGGGAGGTGAGGTGGTAGGATCGCTGGAACCTGGGAGGCGGAGCTTGCAGTGAGCCGAGATCGCGCTACTGCACTTCAGCCTGGGCAACTAGAGCGAAACTCCGTCTCAAAAAAAAAAAAAAAAAAAAAGAAAAATGTTTACTCACGGAATCGTCTTGTTCTTTTCCTAGGCGTTTAGAGAAAATGTTAGACGATATAGGCAACAAGAGTGAAACTTGTTTCACATTGTAAGAGAAATGTTTACTCAAGAAATTGTCTTGTTCTCTTCCTAGGCGTTTAGAGAAAATGGCAGACGATATTGATATTGAAGCAATGCTTGAGGCTCCTTACAAGAAGGTGAGAAAAAACATGTCGGTGAGGTTTATATATTTCTTAATTTAGCATTATTCACGAAACTACTGCTGAAATGTAAACTAACCTCCCCGGAGCCCTCTTGATTTATCTTATCAGAGATGCATTACGTGTAACTTACAAAAGTAAATATATGCTATTGATGTAATAATATTGTGCAGTAGTTTCACTTCAGCGTGATGAATAAATGCCCATCTATCTCTCTTTGTAGACTTGCCTAACGATATCTCACCTCTACTCCCATGAATTCACCTTTGATTCCAGTGTGAACTGTCAATCATAAGGTAGTAATTGAGTGACTTATCGCTGTACCGTGGTCCCCTAGGTAAAATGACTCAACTAAGAATTACCACCTCCAGTTTGGTATAGCAAAAAGGTGAATGTAGTGGTTTGGGAAAAAGCAGGGGTCCAAGAATAACAAAGCATGACCAGTCTGTGGCAAGTTAAATCTTCTAACAGTCTTATAAGAAGAAATGGGTGAGATTTTAAAATTTATGTATCTATGTAAGACTGGTGATAGTAAATCTTAAAACAGTCCAGTGGCAATCTGCTGCTCAGTTAATAATTACTAAAATTCTTGGATCCCTGAATAGAAATTAAAAAAAAAAAATACAAGAGGCAGTAGAGTCAATACAAGCTTAATACAAGCTTAGAGTAAATACAAGCTTAGAGTCACTTGATGACTGTTTTACTGTTCTCCATATTGTTTTTATTTTTAATTAGGCCCTACCATAGTATTTCACACTAAAAACAAAGGAATTATATTGGCTAATATAGTCTTTGACTCATTTCGGTATCTCAGTAAAAGTAAACTGTCTTTTCATTGTTTCACCAGTTGGTGGTGAAAATAGCAGTATGCATGCATTATCACTGGTGTCACAAACTGTAAGCTTTGTAAGTTAGCACTTTACTCCTATAGCTGATGTAATCAAACTTTAAAATAAACATTTCACTAAACCTTTTAAAAATAATACATTTGTTTTGGATTGTATAGCACGACCATGTGGTACCAATTTGGATGAATTCTTGATAGATTTAAATAGTGTATGTAATTTTGTAATGCTTAGACTCTTGAAGAGCTACTTTCTGTTTTAATGTTAAGATTCTTGTGTCTTAGTTTTTTTTAACATGGATGTAATTCCATGTAAACAGGTATGGAAGTAGGAAATGTTTAGGCTGGACTTGGTGGATTATTAATTGACTTTCTTGGGTTCTTGGGAGTCAACATTACTAAAGCAGTGTGAATCCCTGTTTGCTTCAGGGCGAGATGTGTGACAGAGGTGGCATCAAGCTCTTACAGTCCCAACCCTCCAACGGAAATGGGCGAAGATCTCAGGAATGGCATCGGTCACAGGAAATCGATAGTGGCTGGCTGCTAGCATGGCCACTTGGGGCTTAGGCAGAAATAGAGCCATGGTACTGACCAAAGGGACCATAGCACATGGAATAAAACTCAAAACAGGACTTCATGTTTTATGGAAATTATATTTAACCACTTCAACATTGTAAATCTGGATAACTTTTAATATCTAAACTATATAAGAAAGTAAAATTTAACATGTTAATATGGAAAATTTTTTTATTTTTGTATCTTGATGACTTAAATGTAAGCAACAAAGTGGTTAAACACATACCCATCTAAATTTTTTTATAGCCTTCCATGTTAAACTATAAGTAAATAATTAGTTTTAAAATTGTTTTGTATTTTCTTATTCCTGTTCCCTTTACCCTTTGACAACTTGAAATGTTACCACTTCGTCCTCATGATGTTCTTCTATCAACCCTGCTTAGGATGAGAACAAGTTGAGCAGTGCCAACGGCCATGAAGAACGTAGCAAAAAGTGAGTTTTAAGAAGGGGCTTGGGGGAGGGTGGTGAGCTTTTTTGTGGTTTTAGACCTTAAGTTGTGTTCCTGTGGCTAAAGTATACAAAATTCTCTTCTGAAGCTTTTCTTTGCTGCTTTTAGAAAATTGGTTCTTTGCCTTTTGAGACAAACTCTTGGAGGAACTGTGGATTTTTTTGCTTAGATTTCAGAATATAGTTTCAGATACCTTCCCCTCCAAGTCCATCATGACAATCTGGTGACAAGTTCTGTATTAGAGGTTGTCTTGTTTTAAATTTGTTAACTTTGGTTTGATATTTGGTTATCTTACTGATAAAACTGTTATATATCCATTGATCTTAAAAGGTAGAAAGAGTTAAATTAGGTGATAACTAGGCCATGGAAAGTATTGTTTGCCCTAAAGTGCCGAAGGAGTCAAAGCTGTGAATTATTTCTGCAACTTGCTGCTCAGAGGCCCTTTTGGAAGTGATGGAACAGGTACTTAAGTACTTCTAAAGGTGGCTTTCATTATCTTAGGCCTTTTAAACTCTAGACTTAACAGGGTGGGGATTTTGGAAATTATGAATATATCTGTACACTTTATTTGGGTAAGATGAGTGACTCAATAGAACTCTGCTATAGACTAGTACAGAAAACAGTGTACGAAAAGTCTTAGGTAACAGATATGATGAGATCCACTTTTTTTTTTTCTTTTCTTGTGAGTCGGAGTCTTGCTCTGTAGCCCAGGCTGGAGCGCAGTGGCGCAGTCTGGGCTCACTGCAACCTCCGCCTCCTGGGTTCAAGTGATTCTTTGATTTTTTTTTTTTTCTTTGACATGGAGTCTGGCAGTGTCGCCCAGGCTGGGGTGCAGTGGTTCTATCACGGCTCACTGCAACCACTGCCTCCCAGATTCAAGTGATTCCCCTGCCTCAGCCTCCGATTAGCTGGGACTACAGGCGCGCGCCATCACGCCTGGCTAATTTTTTTTTTATTTTTAGTAGAGAGGGAGTTTCACCGTGTTAGCCAGAATGGTCTCCATCTCCTGACCTCTCATGATCCTCCTGCTGTGGCCTCCCAAAGTGTTGGGATTACAGGTGTGAGCCACCGCGCCTGGCCTTTTTTTTTTTTTTTTTTTTTTTGACACGGAGTCTTGCTCTGTTGCCCAGGCTGGAGTGCAGTGGTGTGATCTCTGCTCACTGCAAGCTCCGCCTCCTGGGTTCATGCTATTCTCCTGCCTCAGCCTCCCAGGTAGCAGGGACTACAGGCGCCTGCCACCATGCCTGGCTAATTTTTTGTAATTTTAGTAGAGACAGGGTTTCATTGTGTTAGCCAGAATTGACCTTGTGATCCGCCTGCCTTGGCCTCCAAAAGTGCTGGGATTACAGGTGTGAGCCACCGTGCCCAGCCTCTGTCTTTATTTTTTCTTTGAGACAGAGTTTCGTTTTTGTCACCCAGGCTGGAGCGCCATGACACGATCTCAGCTCACAGCAACCTCTGCCTCCTGGGTTCAGGCAGTTCTCCTGCCTCAGCCTCCCGAGTAGCTGGGATTACAGGTTCCTGCCACCACGCCTGGCTAATTTTTTTTTTTTTTTTTTTTTGAGATGGAGTTTCAGTCTGTTGCCCAGGCTGGAGTGCAGTGGCGCAGTCTTGGCTCACTGCAACCTCTGCCACCCGGGCTTAAGCGATTCTTCCGCCTCAGCCTCCCGAGCAGCTGGGATTACAGGTGCCTGCCACCGCACCTGGCTAATTTTTGTACTTTTGGTAGAGATGGGGATTCACCATCCTGGCCAGGCTGGTCTTCAACTCCTGACCTCGTGATCCACCTGCCTTGGCCTCCCAAAGTGCTGGGATTACAGGCGTGAGCCATCATGCCCAGCCAATTTTTGTGTTTTTAGTAGAGACAGGGTTTCACGATGTTGGCCAGGATGGTCTCCATCTCTTGACCTCATGATCCGCCCGCCTTGGCTTCCCAAAGTGCTGGGATTACAGGCGTGAGACATGGACCCAACTGAGACTCCGTCTTAAAAAAAAAGTCTGGGCTTGGCGTGGTGGCTCACACCTGTAATCCCAGCACTTTGGGAGGCTCAGGCGGGTGGATCACAAGGTCAGGAGATCGAGACCATCCTGGCCAACATGGTGAAACCCCGTCTCTACTAAAAATACAAAAATTAGCTGGGCGTGGTGGTGCACGCCTGTAGTCCCAGCTACTCTCGGGAGGCTGAGGCAGGAGAATCGCTTGAACCTGGGAGGCAGAGGTTGTAATGAGCTGAGATTATGCCATTGTACTCCAGCCTGGAGACAGAGCGAGACTCCGTCTCAAACAAACATAAAAATCTGTCATACTTACGACCTTATGTTAATGAAAAACGAGAGAAAAATAGCCATTTATTTGATTTCTTTTTGGCTCTTTTCCTCCTAAGATCCCTAAATGCTTCATAGTAAGTATGTCAGTCTTTCTCACTACAACTGTGTTAGGTAGGTTGATAAAATTTCATAAAACAGATGAGAAAATATATAATGTTATTCAGGGCTTGTTAAGCCACTATTTTTTTTTTTTGTAGTTCCCCTAAAATAATGTGGTAATGGATTAAAAATGATATAATTTGTAGAAAATGTGCTCCTTTTTTCTGGTATAAGCTTGGATGGGAGTCATTTATAGTTCCTCACCAATCACAAGAAATTGTGGGGATCAGGTTGGGTTTAGTCTTGATGTGGGATCTGATGCAACCAACCAGAGGTATGGTTTATGTCATCTGGTTTTAGACTTTCTGCCACAGTAATGGTTTCCTAATGTTTTTGTTTTGCAATTCTCTAATCAAAAGAAAACCCAGGAAGGTGTATCCATATAAATTGACATAAATTATCCAATTTAGGTGTCAGGCCGAGTGGCTAAAGATTTCGCTTCAAGTGCCAGAAGGATAAGAACGTACACTTTTGGGTACAGACCTTCGTTACTGTACCATTGTCTCATGTCGCTTTTTGCCACTAAGGTCATCTCCGGTGTCTACTTGTTTTTATCCTGTGTATAAGCTGATTAAGGCTACAAGCTTTTACAAGGAAGCTGAGCATCAAGTTCTCCATGTGTGATATTCGGTGGCCTTTGTCTAATGTAGAGAACCACAGGACTAAATAGGAGAATGGACAATTTTCTTTAACCATGAGATTGTCTAAGGGAAGATCCTTTCAAAACACTTTGGTAATCTTAAAATACTTTCCAGTCAGACTTCTCGTCAATTATAGGTGATAAATAAATGATTCCCTTGTTCAATCAGGACTCTTGATTTTCTGAAGGAACTTTATGTTTCAAATTAATTTTAAAGTTACCTGGAAGAAAATTTTTGTATTTAGGAATAGATATAAAACATACAGAACACTCTGCTTTAAACCTTTAGTACTAAATTAAATTTCTTAACCAAAGGAAAGTGCCGTGTTGCATTTTTCATTCTAAAACTTCATTGTCTTAAAAGCCACATTGAGCTATAGTTTGTTAGGTAGTAGAAAAATGGCATGTTCTGAGAAACAGTTGACTGAGTATAAATTTTTTTAATTGTATAATTCTGATTCTTAACATACACTTCATAGTATCCTAGAATAGTAAAAGGAACAAAGTTATTGTGACACAGACTGGTTGTCAACCTATTTTCTGAAGAGCTGTAAACCTGAGTTTTTGCATATGTCAAGGTATGCATCCTAAGTGCTTGAGCTTGCCCTCATGGGAATATTATTTGTTAAAGTAACCAGTTTTGCAAAGTCTAAATCAGCGTCCATTCCGTTAAGCTCTTTAGAGAATTACTCAATAAAAGATAACATTAAAATGACACAGTTGAAATATATTGGCTACTGTGGTGTGGATTATCTATAAATTTTGGAATAAATGACTTTTCTATTTTTTTTCTTATTTTCCAGAATACTTTGCATTAAAAATTTAGATCTTCTTACATGGAAGAGGTCAAATCCAGTTATAGCAAAACACCTTTACTGCAGAGGCCATATAACCAAAAAGTCCAAAGGCCCAGCCCAGTGGACCATTTACTTCAGTGATGTTCAGTACAAAATTTCACTGCCATTAAAGACTTTGGAAAGTCCCTTTTAAGTTGTAACAGGATTTGACTATTAGTGTGGATTTCGATAACCCTTCTTTAGTTAATGTAATAAATGCTCTTTGAAGCTGGAAATATACTGGTTTCTTGCACCCTTGTAGTTTTCTCTGGGCTTTTATGCAAAAGATTGTATTTTCTGAATGTCTTAGTATGTTGCTGTCTTTTTACCTGCCTGGGGTTGCCTTCAGATGTGGGTGAGGACTTGTTTACAAAAAGTCCTAGAAGACCTTAAGTTAAAATTAGCTCTCCAATTTTCAAGTGTTTTCTTTTGGCAGAATAAGTTTTGGGTCCTATGAGAGGTAAATAGGTTGGTTGCCTCTCTTGCTATAGCCCATCTAGAGCAGAACAAAAACTTTGTTTTTGAGGGGGATGGAGTTACTTTTTACCTTGTTCCCTAATTGAATATATTTAGGACTTTTGGTTTTAGAAATCTCAGAGTTCTATAGTTGGAATAGTGTCACAGAGATAGTGTTAGGTTTCTTAGGCAACAAAATTGGAGTGTTACCTATTGCCCATCTGGGCATGGCTTTGATGAGTTCTATATAAATAATGAGTGTAGCCTAATTTTCTGTCATGTGCTACCTAGCATATACATTTCTGACAGTCAGGTGGATTATCTTGAAATTTTAGACAAACTTTCTGCCTCCTTGGAAAGCTCTACATCTCCTTGTGATTGGAGTGTGGGTTTCAAGATTCCAGAAGGTGGGTGTCTTCATTTTCTATTTTCAATGCACTCTAAAGATGACCTGCTTACAGGTTCTCTGAGGCAGACCTCAGTTGCTCTTGTGATATGTAACTTTGCTTTGATAAGGAATAAACAATTACATATCCAGATAATGATACAGAATTGTCAAAATGTTTAATCATTAAGCCACTACAAATAGACATTTTCGTGGAATAAACTGATTTTGAAATGTCTTTCAATTTATATTGAAATATCTGAAGGCACCTCTAAAATTTGGGTGATGACACAGAGGTATAGATTATAAGATTTAATTATGAATGGGTGGTATACTGTGAAGACTACGGAAGTGAGCAGAAAGATATGTTTGGCTTTTTTGGTTTTTAGTTAGAGATTTTAAAAAGGTCTGTGAAGGTCAAGTTGATCATTGGTTTTGATTGCATCCCACAGGTTTCTATAAACTGGCTTAAAAATGGCATACTCCATTTTCTGGTGTATTCATTGTAACTTTAGGAAGTATTTGAAATGGTCACATTAAAGTCTAGGAATGTCAAATTGTATTTTAATGCGTTAGTTCTTTTTCTTTTTCTTTTTTTTTGGAGACAGTCTTGCTCTGTTGCTCAGGCTGGAGTACAGTGGCATGATTTCGGCTCACTCCAACCTCTGCCTCCCAGGTTCAAGCGATTCTCCTGCCTCAGCCTCCACAGTAGCTGGAACTACAGGCCTGTGCCACCACGACCCACTACTTCTTGCATTTTTTAGTAGAGATGGGTTTTCACCGTGTCGACTAGGCTGGTCTTGAACTCCTGACCTCAGGTGACCTGCCTTCCTCAGCCTCCCAAAGTGCTGAGATTACAGGTGTGAGCCACCGCACTTGGAGTTGGGTTTTTTTTTTTTTTTTTGAGATGGTGTTTTGCTCTTTTTGCCCAGGCTGGAGTGCAATGGCATGGTCTCAGCTTGCTGCAACCTCCACCTCCCGGGTTCAAGCAATTCTCTTGCTTCAGCCTCCCAAGTAGCTGTGATTACCGGCATGCACCATCAGGCCTGGCTAATTTTTGTATTTTTGGTAGAGAGGGGATTTCACCGTGTTGGCCGGGCTGGTCTCAAACTCCTGACCTCAAGTGATCTGCCTGCCTCGGCCTCCCAAAGGGTTGGGATTACAGGCGTGAGCCACTGCACTGGCCTGCATTAGTTCTTATTGTCCTTTGTCATTACGGTTTTGCCCATGAAAACCAAAATGTTGATGTCTATGTGACCCTTTGAACGTGTTAAATATTTCCATATGTAAATGGGGGCAAAATTGACTTAATGGTAAATTACTATATTTGATGAAAATTTTTATAAATGAACCAGTACTAGTACTTGAATGTGAAAATATTCTATTGTAAGTTTGTTTTATTAATTTATTTTGTGGATTACAGTAATGCTTTTGTTGGCCTGTTGTATGACAAACTATTTAAAGGTTCACATTTTGATTTGTATTTGCCAACAAGCCCTTTTGCTTGTTAAAGCTATAGCTAACTCTCAGGAGATAATTGCAGTTCTACTCTTAGAGGATGGTGTCTTTCAAATAATGTCTTGTCTGCTGATTTTCAGTAATGTTAATATAAGGCAAAAGGGATATTGTTTACTATACGTAGCAATTTTTTTAGACAGAGTCTTACTCTGTCGCCCAGGCTGGAGTACCAGTGGCGGGATCTTGGCTCACTGCAACCTCCGCTTCCCGGGTTTGAGCAATTCTCCTGCCTTAGCCTCCCGAGTAGCTGGGACTACAGGCGCACGGTACTATGCCCGGCTAATTTTTGTATTTTTATTAGGGACGGGGTTTCACTACATTGGCCAGACTGGTCTTGAACTCCTGACCTTGTGATCTGCCTGCCTCGGCCTACCAAAGTGCTGAGATTACAGGATTTTTTTTTTTTTTTAAGTATGATTATGTACCATTGTATCATAGTAAAACTAGCCAAAGAAATTTATGAAAGGATGAAAAAATGATTCTGGCCATAAAAGGTAGTATATTTTGGTGGGTTCTTAAGCCAGCATGATAATGGCGAGTTTTTTTCTTCTCAGGAGGAAAAAAAGCAAGAGCAGAAGTCGTAGTCATGAACGAAAGAGAAGCAAAAGTAAGGAACGGAAGCGAAGTAGAGACAGAGAAAGGAAAAAGAGCAAAAGCCGTGAAAGAAAGCGAAGTAGAAGCAAAGAGAGGCGACGGAGCCGCTCAAGAAGTCGAGATCGAAGATTTAGAGGCCGCTACAGAAGTCCTTAGTATGTAACTATAGTTATGATTTTGGTTTGAGGGTTATTCTCTGGGTATTCAGATGGCAGTTTAACTTGAGTGATTTGAATTGTGAATTTTTATTTTTTTAATGATTGGTTAAAAAGTATTGAATTAAGGATATTGGCATTGAATACTAGTAAAGTGAAAATACAGTGCATAGACAAATAAGTAAAAATTTGCTTTTACTAGGCATACTGACTATTTTCTGTTAAACTATCAGAGTTTCTAAATTGTATGCCAGTCAACGCAAACTGGATGAAAGCACTAGAGTGCTTGAAAAAGATGACATTGTAGTGCCCAAATACCTAAGAAAGCTTAACAAGTGTCTGGGCTGTTACAGTATTTGCTAAATACATATTTACTTAAAATTGTAAAGTTCTGATGAATACTAAGTTACACATGTATAATTAGTTAACAGTAAATAAAAAGTCTGTCACCGTGGCTGTTTTCAGCTGAAATGTCAGGCCAGTTGTGAATTTGTTGTGTATGCTCATTGATAAAGATCCTTTTTTGGGCTCATCTGTATTTAAGGTTTGTTAATAATAATAAAAGGTATTCCAAACTAAAAGTGTTTTGAAGATTAGATCACTAGAAATTTGGATGTGGATATTTAAAGTTGGAAACAAATATATTATGGTTATTAAATAACTATATTAACCACCTACAATTCTAAGGATTGCATCTAGCAATCTTTAATGCTTTATGAGGTTAATTCCTCTTAATAAACACAGTGCTGTAAACTCTGGGATATATTAAAAATAACCCTTCTAACTTCTAAGATTTGAATGGTTAAGGATGGAATTCAAAGACAAACAGACCCGAATCACTTGGGCAAGATACTTAATCCCCTAAGCTAAGCATTTGTTTTCTAACCTTTTAAGGAGATAATAAGTTTCAGATAAGCTATTAATGAGTAATGAATGAGAAGAAAATGTAAAGTGCTCAGAGGACTTAATGGATTCATGAAATGTTTTGGCATTACATGAATTCCGATTCTGGCTCTTTTATCTTTAAAATAAAAAGAATTAAACTCCGTGATGCTGGTTTCCTCCAAGCTGCTTATTTCATTAACTTTTTAATAGCTGAAAATGGGACCACAATGCTATTTTAATTTCGAATGCTGTACAACATTAGGAACTTCTCTGCTTTTGTCCCATTTATCAAGATTCTGAGCATTTTTAAAATGGGATTATGTTAAATCTTTTTACCAGGATGAACTAAATAAGGGGAAAGGAATTAGCTTAATTCCTTTGAGTGATGGATACTTTGTTTGCTGGGATCATGGCTTAACTTTAATAAAAAATTACTTAGTTCTTAATGTTGGGTTTGAGGCTGTAACTCAGAATATTTTATAATTAAAGGGGAAAGAAAATAGCTTATAACTAATTACTTGAGAACTGTAATACATCCAGTAAATGATTCTCAGTCATCAGCATTAGTCTGAATTGCAAAGGGTCAAGTTAATATAAAGTGTTTTATTTGGAAATACTTGCATGTTGTAGGTAGGCATGGTGTTCATGAAAACTAATTCAAATGTGTGGATCACAGGCCACTATGTATTTATTTATTTCGCTGTTCTTCTGGAATAAGTTAGCAGGATGAGCACTAATGGACAACTGGCTAGTCCCTTTAAGTTAGCCTGGTCTTTAAAAAGTCACAAAAACTGTTACTACAGAATAATTACCTTTATGATCTTTGTGAAAACACTCTGTTAGTCCTGACAAGTCCTCACAAAATTTTTCTAGAGAATTGGTAAATTACCTTCACATGTTCACGATGGAATATTTTTGCAACAAACAACTGAAGTATGTAGTGTGTTAAGTGGTGTCATGCTGTCTTAAGAGTTACTGGTGAATGGGGAAATACCTAAGTTGCATGACTAAAGAATTCACTTTAGTTTTTAAAAGAAGTCTTTCAAAAAGAAGATGTATATGAAAATTGTATATGTACATGTACACACATAGATTCCCAAGAGAGGATCTGCAAAGATACACACCAAATTGTTAACCATAGTTACTGCTGGTGTGAGGGAAGTTCAGAGGGATTTATTTTTTATATATGTGTGTGTGTGTTTTTTTTTTTTTAATTCTCAAGACTGTATATATATATGTAGCTTACAAAGATATCTAAAGTCTGAAAATGGGTGTGTGCATTTTCAGAATCTAAAAATTTTGAGGCTGTAACCTTTGGTCTTGGCACCTCTCAGTGGTCCAGGATGGATAAATACAAGGGCAGCTTGCCTGGGAATAAAGTTAAGAGACAAGTATTTTTGTTTCCTCTTCATAACTGAGGTGGAAAAGCAGTAGCCTAAACAATGTTAGTCTTGCTGGAGAGCGCATGAATGCGATCTTAGCAAGACCCTAAACCTGTAACTAGTGTAATTTTGTGTTTCCTTTTTAGCTCCGGACCAAAATTTAACAGTGCCATCCGAGGAAAGATTGGGTTGCCTCATAGCATCAAATTAAGGTTTTTAAACATACTTCTGAATTGTTTAAATTGTTTTTCAAGGAACTAACATGCTGTACTTGTTTGGATAACTTCTGAAACTTTTTAACTTTGCAGCAGACGACGTTCCCGAAGCAAAAGTCCATTCAGAAAAGACAAGAGCCCTGTGAGGTAGTTTACTTCTTTAAAGCCTTTAGCTCTTAAAAAGCTTTTGCAGCTTATGGTACTGTTAAATTTGATGATATTTAGTAATTTGGACCATATTAAATCTTGCTTTTGCTTTCTTTTGCACTTCCAGTACTTTAAGGTCAAGTGAATTTCTACTGAGTTTTCAGTAGTTTTCACTTTAATTTCATATAATTAAAGCAACAGTTATATATTTATTTATTTATTTATTTATTTATTTTGAGACGGAGTCTCACTCAGTCACCCAGGATGGAGTGCAGTAGTGCAGTCTTGGCTTACTGCAACCTCCGCCTCCTGGGTTCAAGCAGTTCTTCTACCTCAGCCCTCCAAGTAGCTGGGATTACAGGCATGCACCACCATGCCTCGCTATTTTTTTATTTTAGTAGCGATGGGATTTCACCATGTTGGCTAGCCTAGTGTTGAGCTCCGGACCTCAGATGGTCCACCCACCTTGGCCTCTCAAAGTGGTAGGATTGCAGGTGTGAGCCAACACACCCGGCCACAAAAGTTATTTATTTATGAGATGGAGTCTCGCTCTGTCACCCAGGCTGGAGTGCAGTGGTGGGATCTCGGCTCACTGCAACCTCTGCCTCCTGGGTTCAAGTGATTCTCCTGCCTCAGCCTCCCGAGTAGCTGGGAGTACAGGCATGTGCCACAATGCCCGGCAAATTTTTGTATTTTAAGTAGAGACGGGGTTTCACCATGTTGGTCAGGCTGGTCTTGAACTCCTGAGCTCATGATCTGCCCTCCTCAGCCTCCCAAAGTGCTGGGATTACAGGCAGGAGCCACCACTCCCAGTCTAAAGTTATTTTAATGTAATCTTATTTTCCTATTTTAATTAAAATAAACTTTTTGCATTTATTATTTTTAATGGACATGTAATGATTATGTATATGGGTAATACAGTTACGTTTTGATACATGTATACAGTGTAATGATCAAATCGGGTAATTAGCTTATTCGTGTTAAATGTTTCTTTGTGTTGGCAACGTAGCAGTTATATCAAACTTTACACTTAACTTTGGAATTAATAAATAATGAGTTATTTGAAATAGCCTCGTGGAGAAGTAGTTGTAACAGTAAGTTTTACTATTTGGCTGTCCTGAGGAAAACTATTTCATCTCAGAAGTCTTAGTGATTTGAATTGTTACTCCTAGGTTCTTCAATGAAGTTTCCATGGATTATTTTACTCTTAAAAATAAGAATTGTAGGCCAGGCCCGGTGGCTCACGCGGGTAATCCCAGCACTTTGGGAGACTGAGGTGGGTGGATCCACAAGGTCAAGAGATCGAGACCAGCCTGGCTAACATGGTGAAACCCTGCCTCTACTAAAACTACAAAAATTAGGCCAGGCGTGGTGGTGGCTCACGCCTGTAATCCCAGCACTCTGGAAGGCCGAGGCAGGCGGATCACCTGAGGTCAGAAGTTCAAGACCAGCCTGGCCATGGTGAAACCCTGTCTGTACTAAAAAATACAAAAAATTAGCTGGGCGTGGTGGTGTGCACCTGTCATCCCAGCTACTCGGGAGGCTGAGGCAGGAGAATCGCTTGAACCCAAGAGGCGGAGGTTGCAGTGAGCCGAGATCGCGCCATTGCACTCCAGCCTGGGCAACAAGAGCGAAACTCTGTCTCAAAAAAAAAAAAAAAATACAAAAATTAGCTGGGCATGGTGGTGTGCACCTGTAGTCCCAGCTACTTGGGATGCTGAGGCAAGAGAATCACTTGAACCCAGGAGGCAAGGGTTGCAGTAAGCTGAGATTGCGCCACTGCTCTCCAGCCTGGTGACAGAGCAAGACTGTCTACAAAAAAAAAGGGAACTGTATTTGTTCAGTCTACGATTTCGGTTCAAGGAATATTTTGTCAGGTGGTAGCATTGTGGGTGTTTTTTTTTTTTTTTGAGACCCCCGGCTAGAAAGCATTTGCTTTTTTATTTTTATTTTTTATTTTTTGAGGTAGGGTTTCTCTTTGTCACCCAGGCTATAGTGCAGTGACGCAATCATGTCTCACTGCAGTTTCTAATGGCCGGTCATAAGCAATCCCACCCAGGTTAGCCTCCCGAGTAGCTGGGACTATAGGTGCAGCCACCATGCCCTGCTAATTTTTCTATTTTTTTTTTGTAGAGACAAGGTTTTGCCATGTTGCTCAGTTGGTCTGAAAATCCAGGGCCAAGCAATCTGCACGCTACTCCCGGCCTTAAAAGCTTTTGTGCCTGGCGTGGTGGCTCATGCCTGTAACAATAAGGTCAGGATATCGAGACCAGCCTGACCAACATGGTGAAACCCCATCTCTACTAATAAAGTACAAAAATTAGCCGGATGTAGTGGCGCGTGCGTGTAATCCCAGTTACTCGGGAAGAGAGGCAGGAGAATTGCTTGAACCCGTGAGATGGAGGTTGTGATGAGCCAAGATCACACCACTGCACTCCAGCCTGGGTGACAGCTAGACTGCGTTTCCAAAAAGAAAAAAAAGCTTTTGTGACAAATCTTACAGGTGGAGCGACCACCCCAACCCCCGTACATCCTGAGAGTGTCCAAAAAATGGAAAAGATCGTGTTTAGGCTTACATCTTAAAGGATGACTTACAACCTTAATTGATATTTTGTAACAGAGATGATGTTAATAGACACTGTATCTAAATTTGTAAAGTAGAATTTGTAGAATCATTTGGGGTTTCACTTCAAGTTTGCCATTTGTGATTGTCAAACTTAATTTGACTTTACAATTACATGGTTTTGTTGTAAAGAATCATCCATTACACTGATTTTGGATCAGTCTGGCATTTGTGATTGGTCTGGTGATATGTTTTATGACTATGATTAAACTGTCAGGCTTCTGGTTGACCCTTGTTTTAGAAAAATTACCCTTTTTGGGCCAGGCGTGGTGGCTGACGCCTACAATCCGAGTACTTTTGGAGGCCGAGGCGGGTGGATCACGAGATCAGGAGATCAAGACCATCCTGGCTAACACAGTGGAATCCCATGTCTACTAAAAATACAGAAAATTAGCCAGGCATGGTGGCACACACCTGTAGTCCCAGCTACTCGGGAGGCTGAGGCAGAAGAATTGCTTGAACCCTGGAGGCGGAGGTTGCAGTGAGCCGAGATTGCGCCACTGCACTCCAGCCTGAGTGACAGTGAGACTCCATCTCAAAAACAAAAAAAGAAAAGAAAAATTACTTTTTTTGAGATGGTAAGGCCAGTAGACTTCTGTGCTAATGCCATGTAAGATGTGATTACAAGAAACAGTAAACCTTAGTTTTTAGAAGGAATTGAGTTACATTGAATAGTTTTATGCGCATTTTTTGTCAATAGATCTTACTGAAAATGGGCTTGGGTTGGCCGGGTGCGGTGCCTCATGCCTGTAATCCCAGCACTTTGGGAGGCCGAGGCGGGCACATCACCTGAGATCAAAAGTTGGAGACCAGCCTGGCCAACATGGTGAAACCACATCTCTACTTAAAATACAAAAATTAGCTGGGTGTGGTGGCAGGCGCCTGTAGTCCCAGCTACTCAGGAGGCTGAGGCAGCAGAATTGCTTGAACTCAGGGAGGCGGAGGTTGTGGTGAGCCAAGATGGCGCCGTTGCACTCCAAGCCTGGGGGACAAGAACAAGACTTCCTCTGGAAAAAAAAAAAAAAAAAAAAGAAAATGGGTTTGGGAATTATGACAAACCAGTTTCACAGCTTACTCTGTTTACTGAACATGTTTGAGAATTATTTTAGGCCAGGCGTAGTGGCTCACACCTGTTATCCCACCACTTTGGGAGGCCAAGGCAGGCGGATCATCTGAGGTCAGGAGTTCGAGACCAGCCTAGTTAACATGGTGAAATGCCGTAGCTATGGGGGAGTTTAGGGCAAAAGGATTGCTTGAGATCAGTAGTTCAAGACCAACTTGTGCAGCATAGCAAGACCTGGTTTCTAAAGATGGAAATATTGTTGTGGAGTTGGGAAAGGAGTGAGGGTACAGTATATACTGCTCAGGTGACAGGTACACTAAAATCTCAGAATTCACCATTAAAGAACTCATCTATGTAACCAAAACCCACCTGTACCTGAAAACCTGTTGAACTATATGAAGAAATAAAAAAGATAAAAATTATTTTAAAATCTGTTATGAAATTAATTTTATATGTTTTACTCCTATTAGAGAACCTATTGATAATTTAACTCCTGAGGAAAGAGATGCAAGGACAGTCTTCTGTATGCAGCTGGCGGCAAGAATTCGACCAAGGGATTTGGAAGAGTTTTTCTCTACAGTAGGAAAGGTAATCTTAACCTGTTTAGGGAGGTCAAGTAGGTAGAAATTGCAAGAGAAAACATGTAAACATCAAATACTTCATTTGATTTAGTAGCAGTATTTGTTTGTGGTAATGTTTCCATTTTGCCTCTTGTAGTATTGGAGTTGATAAATGTTACTACAAATTTGTTCAAAGATAAAGATAGGATATAGGAATTGTCCTACAGATTTACTTTTTTAATTAAATTTTTAAAAATACCTTCATCCTTCAACAGTGTCTCTTGAAATAATTCTACATGTGTTACAATGGATGTTTGCACAAACAACTGTGTTTTCTTTCTAGGTTCGAGATGTGAGGATGATTTCTGACAGAAATTCAAGACGTTCCAAAGGAATTGCTTATGTGGAGTTCGTCGATGTTAGCTCAGTGCCTCTAGCAATAGGATTAACTGGCCAACGAGTTTTAGGCGTGCCAATCATAGTACAGGCATCACAGGTAATTTTTTTGTTGGTTAAGAGTTTGATTATTGGTGGTGTTGAAAGCCTCCTGTTGCATGGTATAGTGCTGTTGTGTTCTGTGACTGCTGCTCATTACGTTGAGTCGGATGTTTTCAGGACTTTTTTTTTTTTTTTAACTTTGCGTTTATTAACATTGATACAGTTTTCTCAAGACTGTCGTCCTGTCGTTTCTCCTTGTGTTTGAAATGTAATGATTTTGCCTTTTTTTTGTTTTGTTTTTGAGATGGAGTCTCTCTCACCAGGCTGGAGTGCAATGGCATGATCGCTGCTCACTGCAACCTCCACCTCCTGGGTTCAAGCGATTCTCCTGCCTCAGCCTCCTGAGTAGCTGGGATTACAGGAGCCTGCCACCACGTTCGGCTACTTTTTGTGTTTTTAGTAGAGATGGGGTTTCATCATGTTGGCCAGGCTAGTATTGAACTCCTGACCTCAGGTGATCCACCTGCCCCAGCCTTCCAAAGTGCTGAGATTACAGTTGTGAGCCACCACACCTGGCCTTGTTTTTGAGATAGGGTCTCACTTCTGTTGCCAGGGCTGGAGTGCAGTGAGATAATCACAGCTCACTGTAGCCTTGACCTGCTGGGCTCAAGCAGTCTTTTCTCCCCAGTCTCCTGAGTAGCTAGGTCTACAGGTGCGTGCCACCACTCCCAGCTAATTTTTAAATTTTTTTAAGAAACAGGGTCTTGCCATGTTGCTCAGGCTGGTTTCAAACTGTCATGCTCAAGTGATCCTCTGGCCTGGGCCTCCTGAAGTGTTAGGATCACTTGAGCCGCACAGCGCTTTGACAGCATTTAATATTTTAGTATTTTGGCTGGGCGCGATGGCTCATGCCTGTAATCCCAGCACTTTGGGAGGTTGAGGCGGGCGGATCACCTGAGGTCAGGAGTTCGAGACCAGCCTGGCCAACATGGTGAAACCTTGTCTCTACTAAAATGCAAAAATTAGCTGGGCATGGTGTCAGGCACTTGTAATCCCAGCTACTCAGGAGGCCGAGGCAGGAGAATTGCTTAAACCCAGGAGGCAGAGGTTGCAGTGAGGCAAGATCACGCCATTGCACTGCAGCCTGGGCGACAAGAACCAAGACTGTGTCTCAAAAAGAAAAAAGAGTTACTCAAATTATTTCCTATGTTGGAAGACAAACTTAGTGGCTGGGTGTGCATTGGCGGGACCCAGGGCTGAGAAGTAGCATATTAAGTGAGGTTTTAAATTCATGCAGCAACCTGTTGTAGAGCAGTACTATCCAATGTACTCTAGTTTGTTACAAGAGAAGCCTGTGTTAGAATGCAAATGGACAACTTTTCTTTTTTTTTTTTTTTGAGGCGATCTTGGTTATGGAGGGATGACAGCTGACTCAAAATGTTTGCTTGGTGATACAGTTTTATGTTATGGCATATACACCTTATTTTATCACAAACAACTACGTTCGGTTATACCAATCTCAAGAGTATTTTAGTGAATGTTGGTTGTGTCTAACAATTCCAGGAAGCATTTTTCTCTGTATTTAGTATTTGTGGTATCAGAATGCATCTTAAGATTGTTGTCAAGAATGTAGGTTCATGATTCATTTTAGGTGTGAAATGTAGCCTGCTTACTTTTTTTTTTTTTTTTCTCTTGAGACGGAGTCTCGCTCTGTCGCCCAGGCTGTAGTGCAGTGGGGCGATCTTGGCTCACTGCAAGCTCCGTCTCCTGGGTTCACGCCATTCTCCTGCCTGAGTCTCTCAAGTAGCTGAGACTACAGGTGCCTGCCACCACGCCCGGCTAATTTTTTTGTATTTTTAGTAGAGACGGGGTTTCACTGTGTTAACCAGGATGGTCTTGATCTCCTGACCTCGTGATCCGTCCGCCTCGGCCTCCCAAAGTGCTAGGATTACAGGCGTGAGACACTGCACCCGGCCAGCCTGCTTACTTTATATGTGACTGGCATGTGCTCTGAAAACATTCTAAAATAAGCAGGGTATGATGTGGGGTGTGCTGTAGTCCCTGGCAGTCTCTAGTGGATGAGAAGGAAGGATGATCACTTAAGTTTAGGAGTTCAAGACCAGCTTGGGCAACATAGTGTGAGACTGTCTCAAAAAAAAAAAAAAAAAAGCCTCTAAATAAACTTTTTATTTTTATTTTTTTTTTTATTTTTATTTTTTTTGAGACTGAGTCTCACTCTGTCACCCAGGCTGGAGTGCAGTGGTGTGATCTCGTCTCACTGCAAGCTCTGCCTCCTGGGTTCATGCCATTCTCCTGCCTCAGCCTCCTGAGTAGCTGGGACTACAGGTGCCCACCACCGCACCCGGCTAATTTTTTCTATATTTGGTAGAGATGGTGTTTCACTGTGTTAGCCAGTATGGTCTTGATCTCTTGATGTCGTGATCTGGCTGCTTTAGCCTACTAAAGTGCTGGGATTACAGGTGTGAGCCATCGTGCCCAGCCAAAAACTGTACTCTTGAAGCTGTAACTCCCTAATTTCCTGCAGGCCCTTGGTAAAATGTTATCTACCTCCTCTTTCTGAATTTTGCATATTCTAGATGCCTCCTATTAAGTTGATATGTAGTATCTGACTTACGTAGGGTAGTATTTTTATCACTCTAAACTTTAACATTAGTTGTTATGCAAATGGAAGGTGTATGTCTTTAAACTGCTGTGTGTTATCTCTGTGTGACGTGTATTTTGTCTTCTAGGCAGAAAAAAACAGAGCTGCAGCAATGGCAAACAATTTACAAAAGGGAAGTGCTGGACCTATGAGGCTTTATGTGGGCTCATTACACTTCAACATAACTGAAGATATGCTTCGTGGGATCTTTGAGCCTTTTGGAAGAGTAAGTCCAGGTTCTTCAATGAATCTTCAGTAGGTTGTTGATCTGAGTATAACTACATAATTTCTGTATGTCTTGCTTTGTTATCTTTCTGTGAGTTAATATTAAGAGGATAAGGGCTGGTTTTATAAAAATTTCTGTGACAACATAGATTAAAATAGGTCACTTGATAGATTCTTAAAAGAATGTTACTGTTATTCATAATGCCATGTGAAATGCATAATGGGTATTAGAGTTAATAAAAAGTCCACATTGGCTGGGCATGGTGGCTCATGCCTGTAATCCCAGCTACTTGGGGTGCTGAGGCAGGAGGATGACATTAGCCCAGGATTTCAAGGTTGCAGTGAGCCATGATTATGCCACTTCACTCCACCTTGGGTAACAGTGTGATCCTGTGTCAAAAGAAGGAAAATTGTTAAATCATACGAAGACTATTATTTTTTAGTAGGATTTTTTTTAAAAGATTGTTTTTAAAAGAAAGTTGAATATCTTAAGATTCTTTTCTGTTGGCCGGGTGCGGTGGCTCACACCTGTAACCCCAGCATTTTGGGAGGGAGGCCGAGGTGGGCAGATTATGAGATCAAGACCATCCTGGCCAACATGGTAAAACCACGTCTCTGTTAAAAATACAAAAATTAGCTGGGCGTGTTGGTGCGTCTCTGTGTTCCCAGCTACTCGGGAGGCCGAGGCAGCAGAATTTCTCCCTTGAATATAGGAGGCAGAGGTTGCAGTGAGCTGGGATGGCACCACTGCACTCCAGCCTGGCCTGGCGAGACCCTTACCTTTAAAAAGACATTACTCTGTCTCCCTGGTTATGTGCTCAGTTCCAGGCCTTGGTAGCCTGATTAGATTTGCCCTTTTTCTGTCTGTTGAAATCTTCAGTGGGTGAATGCCCCTCTGGCAAGGCTGTTCTGCCTAACAGTATGTGACCCACTTCTGATCCACTCTGGTACTTTCTCCATTGACTTTTTGAGACAGAGTCTTATTCTGCTGCCCAGGCTGGAGTGCAGTGGCACAATCTCGCCTCGCTGCAAACTCCTCCTCTCTGTGTTCAAGCGATTCTCTTGCTTTAGCCTTCCGAGTAGTTGGGTTTACAGGTGCCTGCCATCATGCTCGACTAATTTTTTTTTTTTTTTTTAGAGACAGGGCTTTACCATGTTGGCCAAGTTGGTCTCATACTCCTGACCTCAGGTGATCTGCTTCGGCCTCCTAAAGTGCTGGGATTACAGGTGTGAGCCACTGGACCTGGCCTCCATTGACTTTTCTATCAGTAACATGGATCTTAGGTGGAGGTTGACATGCCATTATGTGCTATATGGAGAAATGAAGTTCAGAGCAGTTGGGGCCACATGAGCTGTTACATGGCAAAGTGAGGAACCAACTTGATCTGCTTCACAGGCGCCACGAGGCCTTGTGTCTGGCATTGTGGTCTTGAGCTCAATTCAGAGCAGCTTGGCTTTTGTTCTAGAGGACTTTGTGCTATCTACCTAAACCAAGAGTGTCCAACTAGTTCTGTGTTGAGGAGAGAAAGTTGCCAAGACTGTCCTGTCACTGTGAGGAATGAACCTTTTCCACTCAATAATTTTAGCAAAAGGCATAAATTTAAAAGGAGCTAGATAGAACAAATAAAATTTAACTTTTAAAAATATATTCACTGGCCAGGTGCAGTGGCTCACACCTGTAATCCCATCTCTTTGTTTGGGAGGCCGAGGCAAGTGGATCGCTTGAGGTCAGGAGTTTGAGACCAGCTTGGCCAACGTGGTAAAACCTTGTCTCTACTAAAAATAGAAAAATTAGGTGGGTGTGGTGGCGCATCCCTCTAATCCCAGCTACTTAAGAGGCTGAGGCAGGAGAGTCACTTGAACCCGGGTGGCAGAGATTGCAGTGAGCCGAGATCACGCCTGGATAACAGAGCCAGAGTGTCTCCGAAAGAAAAGAAAAAGAATAATCATGGATATTTGAGAAATCTGTGTACCATATAAAAATTAACATCAGGAAACAGTTGATATTTAAATTATTTTTATTACTCTAGAGTCTGATTTGTCAAACTATTTCTTAAATTTTGAGATGGGAGTTTCACTCCTTGCGCCTAGGCTGGAGTGCAGTGGTGCAGTCTCGGCTCACTGCAACCTCCGCCTCCCAGGTTCAATTGATTCTCCTGCCTCAGCCTCCTGAGTAGCTGGGATTACAGGCTCTGACCACAACGCCCAGCTAATTTTTGGTGTGTTGGTCAGGTTGGTCTCGAACTCTTGACCTCAGGTGATCTACCCGCCTCGGTGTCCCAAAGTGTTGTCATTACAGGCGTGAGCCACTGCGCCCAGACCCATTTTAGGTTTTCAGTGCCATATGGTCTTGTTGCAAGTACTCAACTCTCTTCCAAACAGCTGTAAGCTATTAAGAAATTGAGTATGGGCCAGGCACAGTGGCTCATGCCTGTGATCCCTGCACTTTTGGGGGCCGAGTCGGGTGGATCACTTGAGGTGAGGAGTTCGAGACCAGTCTGGCCAGCATGGTGAAACCTCTTCTCTACTAAAAATATAAAAATTAGCCGGTCTTGGGTGGCATATGCCTGTAGTTCCAGCTTACTCTGGAGGCTCAGACAGGAGAAAGATTTATAAAACAAGTCAAGCTGGAGTTGGTTCATGGGGTATATGTAGTTTGCTTACCTTTGCCCCAGAACAATTAGTATGCATTAAGTGCCCAACTCCAGTAAACATAATGTAGCAGCTTTAATAAGAAGCCCTTTTTAAAGGTTTATTTTATTATTTTTTTTGGAGTCTGAGTCCTGCGCTGTCACCCAGGCTGGAGTGCGATAGCTCACTGCAACCTCTGCCTCCCAGGTTCAAGCAATTCTTCTACAGCTTCCCTAGCAGCTGGGATTATAGGTGCATGCCGCCATGCCTGGCTTTTTTTTTTTTTTTTTTTTTTTGAGATGGAGTATTGCTCTTGTTGCCCAGGCTGGAGTGCAATGGCATGATCTCAGCTCACCATAACCCCCATCTCCCAGGTTCAAGCGATTCTCCTGCCTCAGCCTCCCAAGTAGCTGGGATTACAGGCATGCGGCACCACACCCTGCTAATTTTGTATTTTTAGTAGAGACAGGGTTTTTCTCCATGTTGGTCAGGCTGGTCTCAAACTCCTGACCTCTGGTGATTCGCCCTCCTCGGCCTCCCAAAGTGGTGGGATTACAGGCATGAGTCACGGAGCCCAACCTACTTTTTTGTGTTTTAGTAGAGACAGGGTTTCACCGTGGTGCCCAGGCTGGTCTCGAACTCCTGAGCTCAGATAGTCTGCCCATGTCAGCTCACACCTACAGGTGGGAGCCACCGAGCCCAGCCTAAATGTTTATATTGTTTACTTTTTGCTAGCTAATGCTCCTAGAATATCTTATCCCTATCATAGTCCCACTTCATCCACGACTACTCCTTTTCTAGAGGCAGCCCTTACCCGTTTTTTTTTTGTTTTGTTTTGTTTTTTATATCCTTCCATAGACTTTCTGTGGCTTAGCAAATACTAGCAAATAAACTTTGTTTCTTTTTTAAAATTTTGGTAAAATATACTTAACATTAAAAGTTCGTTCCTTGGGCTGGGCGCAGTGGCTCATGCCTGTAATCCCAGCACTTTGGGAGGCCGAGGCGGGTGGATCACGAGGTCAGGAGATCAAGACCATCCTGGCAAACTCGGTGAAACCCCGTCTATACTAAAAATACAAAAAATTTAGCTGGGCGTGGTGGTGGGTGCCTGTAGTCCCAGCTACTTGGGAGGCTGAGGCAGGAGAATGGTGTGAACCCGGGAGGCAGAGCTCGCAGTGAGCCAAGATCACACCACTGCACTCCAGCCTGCGCCACAGAGCGAGACTCCGTCTCAAAAAAAAAAAAAGTTCCTTTCTTGTTTGAGACAGAGTCTCCCTCTGTGACTGAGGCTGGAGTGCAACAGCATGATGCAAGCTCACTGTGTAGCGTCCACCTCCTTAACATGCGATCCTCCTGCCTCCCAAAGTGCTCGGATTACAGACCTGAGCCAACCCACCTGGCTGGATGCTCTGTTTTAATTTTTCATACCTTTTTTTAAATGGACAGCTAAATCAGGAGATTGTGTTACAGTTCACTGATTGAACGTAAACTCAATGGTTTTTAGTTAGTACAATTCACAGAATTGTGCAGTTATTGCCAAATTCATTGTATATTGCCAAATTCATTCCATTTTTACGATTCTGTCTGGTATAATTGGAAATTACTGCTTGGTGTTTTTAGCACAATGGGAAGGAAACGTTGATTTTGTTTCTACCTTCTATTGGTAATTTACGAAGGATTTCTGGTTTTCAGTGGTTTAGTATTGATATAAAAATTAATCTTAGGTTACAATCATAGTTTTTTTTTCTCCCCTCTGCTCCCCAGTGCATAATTTCTCGCTTGGGAAGTTTCTAGAGTTTGTTTTTTTTTTTTGTTTTTGTTTTGTTTTTTGAGACCAAGTCTCGCTCTGTTGTCCAGGCTGGAGTACAGTGGCGTGCTCTGGGGTCATTGCAACCTCTGCCTCCCGGGTTCAAGCAATTCTTCTGCTTCAGCATTCCAAGTAGCTGGGCGTACAGGCATGCGCCACCAAGCCCAGACAATTTTTGTATTTTTGGTGGAGACCTGATTTCGTCATGTTGGCCAGGCTGGTCCCAAACTCCTGACCTCAGGTGATCCGCCTCCCTCAACCTCCCAAAATGCTGGGATTACAGGCGCCGACCACCACGCCCAGCCTAATTTTTTTCATTTTACATATAAAATTATAGTTTCTAGACTTAAAAAAGACTTCTTGGTGATGAGGTTTTGTGATAAGTCTTCTATTTTGGAGGATGAGGAGACTGGTAGATTTTTAAAACCATGTCTCAGGGAAGAAAGTAGTTTTGTACTCTGCTTTTAAGTTATAGTAATTATGCTTTTCAATTATAGATTGAAAGTATCCAGCTGATGATGGACAGTGAAACTGGTCGATCCAAGGGATATGGATTTATTACAGTAAGTAATTACCATAATTATATTACTTAGGGTTTTTTTTTTTTTAAACTACATTTGCTGTGTTGCTCAGATTAGTCTCTAGCTCCTGGCCTTAAATGATGTCCCACCTTAGCCTTCCAAACTGCTGGGATTACAGGACTGAGCCTCTGTGTCCGATCAAAAAAGTTTTTTTCACAACAAAGGGTAATATGCCCTTGTAACAAAAGGCAGGCACAGCTCACACATGAATGTGAAAACCAAATCATCACACTTAGGTACTCCTAAAATTTTTTGATCCAAGTTGCATAGTAGAAGTACAATAATAGTTAATAATGGTGGGGAAGGTGGCATGTTTAATATTTTCAAGTGCTTTAAATTAGTTTTTGTGGCCGGGCGCGGTGGCTTATGCCTGTAATCCCAGCACTTTGGGAGGCCGAGGCGGGTGGATCACCTGAGATTAGGAGTTTGAGACCAGCCTGGCCAACATGGCGAAACCCCGTCTCTAGTAAAAATACAAAAATTAGCCAAGCATGGTGGTGCTCAACTGTAATCCCACCTACTTGTGAGGCTGAGGCAGGAGAATTGCTTGAACCCAGGATATGGAGATTGCAGTGAGCCAAGATTGTGCTATTGCGCTGCAGTGCTCCAGCCTGGGCAACAGAGTAAGACTCTGCCTTGAAAAAAAATAAAACTATAAATAAATAAATATAAAATAATTTAAGAAAATAGGTTTATTAGGTTCTGCAGGCCATGCAAACATGACACTAACAGCTGCTCAGAGTCTGTGGTGGCCTCAGGAAGCTGTTACTTGTGCTTCGCAAAGCCTTTACTTGTTATTGCTTGGAGGAGCAGGTGTGTCACTTGGAGAGAGGGAGAGGAAGAGAGAGGAAGACATCCTGTGAAGTAACAGAGCAAGGACCCTCGCCTATTAGCAGGGGGAGTGCACCAAGCCATTCATGAGGGATCTGCCTTGTCATACCTCTTGCCAAGTCACACTTTCCACAGTGGGGATCACATTTCAACCTGAGGTTTAGAGGGGACAAGGATCCAAATTATATTACTGTGTTCCTATTTTCCTTTACTATGTGCTATATATACATATAGGGGTCAGCCAGCTATTCATATAATTGAATGTTTTATACGTTCATCTCTGATAACCTTTTGACACATTCTTAACAGTTAAATAAATGAAGGTCTGTTAACGATTCTTTTTTACTAAAGATCCTTTTTTTAATGTACATACCTCACAACCAAGACCAGAATTGTCTTGTCAAAAGTGTTTTTGGGCTGTGTGTGGTGGCTCACGCCTGTGATGCCAGCACTTTGGGAGGCTGAGAGCGGTAGATCACCTGAGGTCAGGAGATCAAGACCATCCTGGCCAACATGGTGCAACCTTGTCTCTACTAAAAATATAAAAAATTAACCGGGCGTGGTGGCGGGCGCCTATAATCCTAGCATCTAGGGAGGATGAGGAAGAATTGCCTAAACCTAGGAGGCAGAGGTTGCAATGAGCCGAGATGGTGCCACTCATGTATATGAAACTCATCCATGGTGGAACTTTTTTCAGATGTGTGAGCTCTGTAACCTTTTAAGGTCCTGGAAACATAGTATTTTTAAAAGTACACTGTATATCTCTATCAGGAAATTAAAATTGTTAGCTTATATCTACATTTCAATAAAATGTAAGCCTGTTGCTATGTTGATAGCAAATCTGTTTAACTTACTGGTCATTAGGCTGTTACGTACGTCAATGAACTGGTGAAAGGAGAAAATTTATGAAACATAGCTCACCAATTTTATTTTTTTATTCTAGTAACTTTAGTGTGGATATTTTCCACCTTTTCTTTTTCTCCAGATAAGCCATTGTGGGTATATGTGTAAACCAAAATTTTATATATATGTAATTTATATCAAGTTATGTATTTATTTGCTTGTGTATGAAGTATTTATGTTTTATATATGAGGATTATATTGACTATTTTGTCCCTGGGCACATTTTTGTTAGAAAAGTACTAAATTCTACCTCAGGTGGTCTGCCTGCCTCGGCCTCTCCAAGTGTTGAGATTACAGGTGTGAGCCACTGCACCCAGCCAGTTTTCACATTTTCTAACCACAATCCCCATGTTCTCAAATATAAAGCTGTCATTACTTGTAATATCTTTTATTTAAACTACCACATCAACAAGCCTAATTTGCGTTAGCTAGCGTCGTCATCATGTATGTTGTGTTTGCTACTTACAGCTTGCAGTTTCTACCTTAGTATTCAGAAGTAATTATTGAATATGCTAAAAATATAAATATATTTTTAAGTATAGTTTGTATTTTAAAAATTAAAGCACTGTCTCCTGTCCTTGCCTCCCCTATCATGTAGTTTTCTGACTCAGAATGTGCCAAAAAGGCTTTGGAACAACTTAATGGATTTGAACTAGCAGGAAGACCAATGAAAGTTGGTCATGTTACTGAACGTACTGATGCTTCGAGTGCTAGTTCATTTTTGGACAGTGATGAACTGGAAAGGACTGGAATTGATTTGGGAACAACTGGTCGTCTTCAGTTAATGGCAAGACTTGCAGAGGGTAAGTGTTTCTTGCTATTACGAATGATTTACTGTGGGTATTGTAGTGGAAAAGAAAGGTAGCCATGTAAACTAAGAAAGGGAAAAAGATTTTATCTTATTTTGTAGTTGGCGTTATCCTTGGTCACACTGCATATTATTTTATAGATGATGTGCCTTGTATTAATGTATGGAAATCTATATTATGTGTTTTGAATGCCACAGTATAAGTTGCAAGATTTCTTTTCCTTTATGTAGTGTTTATATGTCATACTTAGGAATAAATTTAGTTGCAGCTATTATAATGTTACAAGTTTTTCTTTTTGTAATTTCTTATTTTTTGATGCAGGGTCTGGCTCTGTTGCCCAATTTGGAGTGCAGTTGTGCGATCCTGGCTCACCGCAACCTCTGCCTCTTTGGCTGAAGCCATCCTCCCACCCTAATCTCTAAATAGCTGGGACTAACAGTTGCAAACAACCACCACCACGCCTGGCTAATTTCTGTGGTGGTTTTTTTTTTTTTTTTTTTTTTTTTTTTTTTGTGTTGGTTGGTTGGTTGGTTGTTTTTAAGAGATGGGGTTTCTGCCGGGTGCGGTAGCTTACAACTGTAATCCCAGCAGTTTGGGAGGCTGTGGCGGGTGGATCACCTAAGTTCAGGAGTTCGAGACCAGCCTGACCAGCACGGAGAAACCCTATCTCTGCTAAAAATAAAAAATTAGCCGGTCATGGTGGCGCATACCTGTAATCCCAGCTACTCAGGAGGCTGAGGCAGGAGAATCACTTGAACTTGGGAGGGGGAGGTTGCAGTGAGCCGAGATTGCGCCATTGCACTCCAGCCTGTGCAACAAGAGCCTGTGCAACAAGAGCGATACTCCATCTCAAAAAAAAAAGAGAGTTTCACAATTGTTGCCCAGGTTGGTCTCGATCTCTGGGATTTAAGTGAACCACCTCCCTTGGCCTCCCAGAGTGCTAGCTAAGTTACAGGCGTCAACCACCACACTCGGCCCTCCTTGCAATTTATTTTAGTGAAGTGATCATGATATTAATGACCCAGGAAACTTCGTTTCTCTGCTCTCAACATAGTAGGAACTTTAAGACTATTCTTTTACAGGTACAGGTTTGCAGATTCCGCCAGCAGCACAGCAAGCTCTACAGATGAGTGGCTCTTTGGCATTTGGTGCTGTGGCAGGTAGGAATTGAATCTTTTCTAATTTTAAATCGTTTTTTCATCTAATTCGAAAATTTTCCAAATTTTTACATTTAAAAGGACTTACTGAGAATTCAATTCATCAAGTACTTATAGCCTGTTAGTTTGTAGTCTTCTATTTAAGGAAGTGGAGACATAGGGTAGAATTAACCATGCATCAAAATGAGTTGTCAGGACAGTTTTAAACCCTGCACCCCAGTTTTTAGTCGAAATTCATTGACATAAGTTTATTTTCAAATATATCAGTTTTATTGAATACTACAAGGTGTATATTGTTTGATCGAAAAAATATTTATAATATTAGAATTTAGAAAATATCAGAGGCACTTAAAAAAGCTTTACTTAAAACTATTGTAGTAGTAAGAGTGTTGAGACAGTTATTTTTCTTTATAGTACATAAAAATTTAAGATCATGAATTGGGAGGTGGAGCTTTTGGAGGCAACAGGAAAAGAAGGGTGAATTGACGTTTTTACAATTATGTATAAAGGGATTTAGTTCATAAAACACTCATTCCCCTGTGCCCCCCAACCCCCCGCCCCCTTTTTTTTTTTTTTTTTTTTTTTTGGATAACAGTAGACTTGCTCTGTTGCCCAGGCTGGAGTGCAGTGGTGCAGTCTCGGCTCACTGCAACCTGTGCCTCCTGGGTTCAAGCAGTTCTCGTGCCTCAGCCTCCCAAGTAGCAGGGATATTTTTAGTAGAGATGGGGTTTCACCATGTTGGCCAGGCTAGTCTTAAACACCTTACCTCAAGTGATCTGCCCACCTTGGCCTCTCAAAGTGCTGGGCTTACAGATGTGAGCCACTGCGTTCGGCCCTCATTTCTTAATTACCTGTAACTTTTACATTGACCCAAATCTGGGAGATAGGATAGGATCTAATTTTGAAATGTCAAAGACGTGCTTTTAGAACATCATAAGAAGAACCTTTTGTTATTTTGTTGGTGGGGGATGGAGTCTCACTCTGTGGCTCAACCTCTTCCTCCTGGGTTCAAGGAATTCTGGTGCCTCAGCCTCCCACATAGCTGGGATCACAGACATTTCCCACCACACCCAGCTAATTTTTGTATTTTTAGTAGAGACCTGCCTGCCTTGACCTCCCAAAATCCTGGGTTACAGGCATGAGCCCCCTCACCTGGCTGGTCCTTTGACCTTATATATATATACGAAGTGAGACTGTAACTGAGAAGATAGATTTTAGACCCTGGTAGTACCACATCTGAAAGTACGAAGAGGTCCTGTGGTTGCTTCATGATTTTCTTCTAAATTGAAAGCTCAATATTCAATTAAAGTAGAAGACGACTTTTGTTTTTACATTTATTTTTTCACTGTTTTGCCTTCTTAGTGGTTGTTCTTAAGTGTGTGAGTACCTTTAGAAAACCTGCATTTGGTTTCATTTCCTTTCTATAAATTGTATGACTTATTTTGAAATTTGACAAGCAGTTACTCCCTAGAATTTCTGACAGCGAAGCCAGTTTATACTTACAAGAATCAGAACCAGTAAGGCATTTGTGTATTTAACAGTCATTTGATCCCTCCTCAAGTTATCTTTATTCCATTGGATTAACACATAATTTATTTTGAGCTTATAGTGTTAGCTATTCGATCCTTTACAGTGAGTAATTGTCGATTGCTACTTGCTCTAATTGATAGTAAACTCATTACCTAGAGTTTATTATTACAGTTTGAAAGGTTTTTTTTTAACCAGAAAACTGTTTACCTGTATTGCTTCTCATTGTTCATAATGTTCTTTGACAACTAAGAAAATTTTTAGTTCATGTTCTAGGTATTCCACTAAAGGGTGGTGAAAGATTTCTTCCTGCCTTCAGGGAATTGATACAGTGACAAAGGGGTCATTTATAGACAATTTTCTTACACCCTGGATGCTGTATCAGATACGTTGATTTGCTCTTAATGTCTTCAGTTAACTGAAGATTATCCACTGTTAAATATCAGTTCTACCGTTAGCCTTTATTTCTTTTATTATGGATGAATGTACCTCTTGGGTTCTTTCTCATCGTGTAGTATATATTAAGATTGTTTGAATGTAGCCAGCTAAAATCCTAAAGCTCCATATGGATTCCTGACAATAGTGTCCCTACCCTTTATCTATGTATCTAGTTACATTCCCTTTTTTAGTGCTGGTGGTGGTAGAGATGATTTTAAAGATCATTCTGTTTTATTAGCCTTGCTATAAATTTCTTCTGCATTAATAACACTCATGTTTTAGGTGAATATCTGTGTAACTGGATATTTTTCTCCAGATGGTGGTCATTAAAATATTACATATAACTTGCTGAAATAAAATTGTTGAGTGTTTACTGTGTTTGAGGTGCTTGTCCCCTAAGTCTTTTAAAGCTATTGGGTGAAACTAGGGATGGGTCATCACTATATCCACATTATTTTATTCTGCCAGTTTGATAGGCCCTTTCTAAAATAGGTTAGAGTCCTTATCTTTATGAAAACCATGCTTTATTTTTCACTTTGTCACAAATGATATGACAAATCATTTTTGAAATTATGATTGGGTTGGTAGACAAAATAGCATGGATTTCTGATATCTATACATTTTTTCCCATTTTAGGAAAAAAAAGACAAATTCTGTTATTATTTAAAGTTTATTGACACTGTTCACATGGTCCTATCTTCAAGTTCCTTCAGTATACACCAGTTACATTTCTTCAGCTCCCTGAGATGCCAATTTTGAGCACCTAGGACCCAGGTATTTTATCCCAATATAACTTGGGCTGCAGATCCCTGTACATTTTTGCCCATGTTGCAAGAAACCCATATATGTGGTAATAAAGTGTTGCAGTTGAATCAAATTTTAATGAAAATCAGGTTACTGAATCAAAATTTTGATGTCATATATTTCTATAAAAAGAACTTCAAGAGAGCATTATAGCACTGTGGCAGACTTACTGTTCAGACTTGCTACTGTTTCACTCTGTAGCAGCTTTCAGATGGCGTCCACTGTAGAAATCTAACGATTATATGAGAAAATATATTGGTCACATCCCTCTTATTTTTAATACTGATTAGATGTTTTCATTTTCCTAAACTTCATAGCTTTTAAGAAAACTCCAGAGATTTTTATTTCTGCCTTGCTAAATTTTTACACTAGGCCAGGAAATCAATAATCAAGTTGCCCCATTATGGGCTAGATTTGACAAGTTAAATCTTTGAAAAGTCCTTAAAAAAATAATATATGCATACTGTTGGAATGGTGTATTTCCCAATGGTGATGTTCTTCCTAAATTGGGAAATCATGGAAACTGTTACAGCTTTTTGATGTGCAGTATTTACAATTTTATAATATCCTTTTAAAGTGTTAAGTACTATGGCCACTAAAAATATAAATACTTGCATTTCCCAAGTACTTGGAATTGAATTCTCAAGATCAGGGTTTTTCACTCATTTTCTGACCGGTGTGCTTCCCTTTCCCCATTTCCCATTATTCCCAGCTGTATAGTAGTGTAGTGAAAATCACTTGAGATGTGGAAGAGTAGTCTAGTCTAGGAAGAGAGAGGGAAAAGTAAGTTTCCCAGGATAAGAGGGGGAAAAAAGGCCCCAAAGCCTTCTCAATGAGGAATGGGGAAGGAGGTTTTGCTGCCAGGTTTTACTAAGTGCATTTGAATGAACCCTGCTATTGTAGTCCTCTTTTATTAATGCTTTCCTGACATTTACCCTGTTAGTTGAGGCTCTTCATTGTTCCTGCACTGAGCTGTAGAATTCTCTTTTGTTATAGATTTGCAAACAAGACTTTCCCAGCAGACTGAAGGTGAGTTGAAGTGTTCATATTTTTTATTTTTGTCTTTGAAATAGAATTAAATGTAGTAAGACAGTTTTCTATATTTATTGTCATATTTTTATACCAGTAATTTGGACCAAATTTTGACACAGTGACACATAGTGGTATATTCATAGTAATCTGTCTGTATTTCAGAAGACCTAACCCAAATTAATGGACTTAAAAAAAATCAAAATAACAATTTTTTTTTTTGCTTTAGTTTGCTTAAAATTTTCAACCTTGTTTTTGTTTTATGCCTACCTGTGTGTTCTAAGTGTTGATAAGTTGCATATAGAAGTCAGGAAATGAAGTATTCTCTTATTAACGAGTAGGCAAGTATTTTAGAACCTGGAATCTGGAAGTTGTCTTAGTATAAAGTTGTGAATCATGCTATAAAACTCACCTTTTTTTGCTTAAGACATAGTACTCAGTGATTTATTTAAGCCAGTACCAAGCAATAAGAGGTTTATACATACTTAAATTACATGCACATTTCAGAGAAACCATTCATTAAGTAGGCTATGATTTCTTGTTTTTAGTTATCACTAAATCTCTGTTGCTTGACATGAGCATTTTGCTGTTAATGTAAGTTCTATATCTTTTGTAGGAGTATGCTTAATGTTTAGGGAAATGATTATGAGAAAGATATGTCATGTTCCATCACAGTCAAGAATTAAATTTTTTCACAAACAAGATGCTTCTAATCAGTGCTGTTTTGTTAAGAGATTTTTAAAAGATTTTCCTAGATTTACTGTGTTCTGCATTGATCTAGCTTGAACGTGAATGTTTGTATAGTACGTTTTCTTAATATTTTTTAGTATTCATAGTATATAATCATACTAAACTTGAGAAACTGGAAGAATCAAGTCTTCCTCAGTTCTGTTTAGACTTTCTAGTTTTTTTTAAGGATACTTCCATATCTTCTGTAAGCTACACAGTGAGCTTCATTTTTGCACAGTTATAATACACTCTCGAATCTTTAACTTTTTTCCAGCAGAATTTGACATGTTATATTAAAATTTTGTTTTATTTAAAATAAAACTTTATGAAAGAAAAAACTTATATGTTACAGAGAAGCTAAAGCACCTGTAATGCTACCAGAAAGTTATCATTTATGATATATTTCATGCACAGCCCTAATTTCTCGGTGTAATATTTCTGATACTTTAAGTGATCGTTTATTTTAATTACCATAATTTCTAATGCACTGTTTTATCCTTAGCTTTGTTTGTTATTATGTTTTGGAATGAAATTTGGTCAGATAATATGATTACGGTGAGTTCTGTAACAGCTACTGGTAATATTTTTGTAAATCACGTGAAAGCATTGGAGCAACTGTCTTGGAAAATGCTCTTTAAACTTCAAACCCCAGTATGTTTTGGTAGTAGTGGATATTACACATATATGCTGCTCTTTTCAGTGTTCTTTTATTGTGCGAAAACATTTTTAAAACATTTGATTTATTAATAGGATTTATTTTTAATAGGATTGTTAATAGGATTTATTTTTCTAGGACATTGTCTTTAAACACTTGGATGATTTTATATGTCTTAATTCTTTAATAATTTGTAGATTTAAAAAACTTCGTGGGCAGAAAGCGAAGAAATAGGAAAGGATATAGATTTATTTGGCATTTCAAAGGATTTTGTTTTATTATCCCCTCTTATTTGGGTATAAACTCAAATCTATTTTATCCTTCATCTGTTTGGATTGATGTGTATTGAGATTTTGTCTAATTGAACTGATTTTGATAACACATAAAGTTTAATTTCCCTGTTAAAATAGGACTCCCAAATTTCTGAATGTCTGTTTCAAGTATTAGGTTACCTCAGTTTTCTGGCACCTAAAAGCTACTGATAACATACATTAGTAGCAATATTAAATAAGGTAAAATAACTCCAGTGACATCCTAGTTACATGCTTGGGGTGGGTTTTTGGTTTCGTTTTAAAGTATTTATGAGGGATACTTTCATGCATTTTCCATGAAACTAATTTTTCTCTTTCTTTTTTTAGCTTCAGCTTTAGCTGCAGCTGCCTCTGTTCAGCCACTTGCAACACAATGTTTCCAACTCTCTAACATGTTTAACCCTCAAACGTAAGTAATGGACTTTATTCTTGATATTTCCTATCAAGGCGTCAATAGAGTTGTTTTATATATTTCTCTTTTTTTTTTTTTTTTTTTTTTTTAAGATGGAGTTTCGCTCTTGTTGTCTAGGCTGGAGTGCAATGGCGCGATCTTGGCTTACTGCAACCTCCGCCTCCTGGGTTCAAGCGATTCTCCTGCCTCAGCCTTCCGAGTGGCTGGGATTACAGGCATGCGCCACCACACCTGGCTAATTTTGTAGTTTTAGTAGAGATGGGGTTTCACCATGTTGGTCAGGCTGGTCTCAAACTCCCGACCTGAGGTGATCCGCCCACCTTAGCCTACCAAAGTGCTGGGATTACAGGCATGAGCCACCGGGCCCGGCCTGGTATTTCCGTATTTCATTTGAAACTGCATAGTTTTGATCCTTTTAAAATAATTTTTCGGCCAGGTGCGGAAACTATGCCTAGCTAGTGATTAGGATGCTAATAACTATTAGCATTAGAATGCTAGTAACTATGCCTAGCTAGTGATTAGAATGCTATTTTTTAACTCTTCTCATTGGTTTTATAAATCATATTTATAATATAGTACATCCAATCAAAATGTAGATTTTTGTTTCGATTTCAATAAGTTACATTTCATATAATGACAATTGTATGACTGTTTCATCCAAAGAGTCTTGAATTCTTTTGTTTTCCCAGTACCAAATTTACTTTAGTTTTATCTATGAAATGGTGATAAACTTTCGTTGTAAGTATCATTTGATAGCATTGAAGTATTTAACTTTTTTTGTTGGAGCCAGAGTCTCAGTCTAGGTTGGAGTATAGTGGCGCCACCGGCTCTATCTTAGCTCACTGCAACCTCCATCTCCCAGGTTCAAGCAGTTCTCATGCCTTTCGAGTAGCTGGGATTACAAGTGCACACCACCACGCCCAACTACTTTTGTGTTTTTAGTAGAGACAGGGTTTTGCCGTGTTGGCCAGGCTGGTCTCGAACTCCTGACCTTAAGTGATCTGCTCGCTTCAGCATCCGAAAGTGCTGGGATTACAGGCGTGTGCCATGATGCCTGGCTGATTTTTGTATTTTTATAGTAGAGCTGGGGTTTCGCCATGTTGGCCAGGCTGGTCTTGAACTCCTGACCTCAAGTGATGTGCCCGCCTCAGCTTCCCAAAGTGCTGAAATTACAGGCATGAGCTGCTGCGCCTGGCCCATTTAACTATTTAAAAGTCACTTTCAAGTTATGCAGAGTCATAAAGTAGGATGGGATCAATATTTTCTATCTTATTTTGCTTTGATTTTCCCCAGAGCCCTATCTGTATCTTTTAACTTTTTTTTTTTTTTGAGACGGAGTTACCTAGGCTGGCATGCAGGGATTTGATACTGGCTCACTGCAACCTCAGCCTCCTAGGCTCAAGCGATTCTCCTGCTTCAGCCTCTTGAATAGCTGGGATTTCAGGCATCTGCCACCACTCGTGGCTAAATTTTGGATTTTCAGTAGAGACCGGATTTCTCCATCATGGCCAGGCTGGTCTCAAACTCCTGATCTCTGGTGATCTGCCCACTTCGGCCTCCCAAAGTGCTGGGATTACAGGCATGAGTCACCGCGCCCGGCCTCATTGAAAATTTATTTTTCAATACCAGACTGCAGTGTTCTTTGGGGCAGAGACGTTCTGTCAATGTGCTTTTTTTCCAAAGTATTTTTTTTAATTCATAGAATATTTAAATTTTTTGATACATTTGTAAATATATAGTTTGTTAGTTTCAATAGTATTTAAGAGTCCTTAATACTTTCTTACAGAGAAGAAGAAGTTGGATGGGATACCGAGATTAAGGATGATGTGATTGAAGAATGTAATAAACATGGAGGAGTTATTCATATTTATGTTGACAAAAATTCAGCTCAGGTATTTTCATCTTTTTTTATAAATGATGTTAGGTTGTTCGTCTCTACCTTAATCTTCGCACATTATGTGGTGCATGTTATGGTTAACCGTCTTCCATTATAGTTTTTGTGTGTGTGTGCCTGAAAGTAGCTTTAATATAGTGGCTAAATAAACCCTCCAAAATAAAAGAAAATCAGTAACAATTTGATCAGGGTATGAGAGGATTTCTAGTAATGCTCAAAGCTTGCCATGAAATCTTGGCATCTTGATTCATTCTTAGGCTGCATACAAATCGTAGAGAAAAGATAAAACGGCAAATTTGAGAGTAGAAGTCATTTTTTAATAAAATTCTAGTATACCTATTAGCCAGTGGAACCATTATGGTAAACCAGTTTGTGGTTATAGAGCACTAAGTTTCTACAGGCAACTTGAATAAACATAACTTGGGTCCATTTTGCATACAGCAACATCTTTACCTTTTTTTTCATTTTTTCTGTAGGGCAATGTGTATGTGAAGTGCCCATCAATTGCTGCAGCTATTGCTGCTGTCAATGCATTGCATGGCAGGTGGTTTGCTGGTGAGTTTGAATTTATTTTTTGACTGATTGTTATTAAGGCTCTATAATGAAGATGCTAAACCCAACATGTCTGTTTCTTTTAATAGGTAAAATGATAACAGCAGCATATGTACCTCTTCCAACTTACCACAACCTGTTTCCTGATTCTATGACAGCAACACAGCTACTGGTTCCAAGTAGACGATGAAGGAAGATATAGTCCCTTATGTATATAGCTTTTTTTCTTTCTTGAGAATTCATCTTGAGTTATCTTTTATTTAGATAAAAATAAAGAGGCAAGGATCTACTGTCATTTGTATGCAATTTCCTGTTACCTTGAAAAAATAAAAATGTTAACAGGAATGCAGTGTGCTCATTCTCCCTAAATAGTAAATCCCACTGTATACAAAACTGTTCTCTTGTTCTGCCTTTTAAAATGTTCATGTAGAAAATTAATGAACTATAGGAATAGCTCTAGGAGAACAAATGTGCTTTCTGTAAAAAGGCAGACCAGGGATGTAATGTTTTTAATGTTTCAGAAGCCTAACTTTTTACACAGTGGTTACATTTCACATTTCACTAATGTTGATATTTGGCTGATGGTTGAGCAGTTTCTGAAATACACATTTAGTGTATGGAAATACAAGACAGCTAAAGGGCTGTTTGGTTAGCATCTCATCTTGCATTCTGATCAATTGGCAAGAAAGGGAGATTTCAAAATTATATTTCTTGATGGTATCTTTTCAATTAATGTATCTGTAAAAGTTTCTTTGTAAATACTATGTGTTCTGGTGTGTCTTAAAATTCCAAACAAAATGATCCCTGCATTTCCTGAAGATGTTTAAACGTGAGAGTCTGGTAGGCAAAGCAGTCTGAGAAAGAAATAGGAAATGCAGAAATAGGTTTTGTCTGGTTGCATATAATCTTTGCTCTTTTTAAGCTCTGTGAGCTCTGAAATATATTTTTGGGTTACTTCAGTGTGTTTGACAAGACAGCTTGATATTTCTATCAAACAAATGACTTTCATATTGCAACAATCTTTGTAAGAACCACTCAAATAAAAGTCTCTTAAAAAGGCCACAGGAGATCTTCATTTTTCAAATGTTTTAAAGTTACAGAAATTTGAGAACAGAATTAGCTTCTTTTAGTCTCAATTCAGTACTTGCCTCTTGGGAAAATGTTCCGAGTCTGCGGAAACTTGCCCTCACGTTGTCCCCCATGAATTCCTTTATTCTATTAGAGTCTAGCCCTGTGTATTTTAGAAGAATGTATCAAAACTGAGGGGTTTACCAAAAAGAAAAGGAAACAGCCTGGCCTTAAAACCTGGGCATTCTTGGTCTCCTGCATTGTCTGGGCATATTTATGAAGAAATTTTCACCATTTACAATACATACTTAACAAAATGGCTTAACTTCAAACTGGTTTCCAAAATTGATTTATATATTAATATATTAAATAAGGTGCATATATTACTGTATTAAGGGGTTTTGAGCTTTCATACTAGTTGGGAAGCAAGCTGTCACCATTTATACTCAATTCTCTTCAACTGTTTATCTCTTGGTAAATCTTTTGAGTAGGAAATGCTGCTCCTAGCTTATCTTCAAATACTGAGTTCCTTACCTCATTTGTTCAACTTTTTTTTTTGTTAGCATTGAAGCACAAGTTTTACAGGCTTATTCAGAATTTCATATCAGTCGTTTTGTTTGACATTTATCCCAATAATTGTTCTAGTGATTTAATTTGTATGGAAACTCCCAAGGTTCAATTTCTTTTTCTTTTTGAGATGGAGTCTTGCTCTTTGGCCCAGGCTGGAGTGCAGTGATGTGATCTCAGCTCCATCTCCCAGGTTCAAGCAATTCTCCCACCTCAGTCTCCTGAAGAGCTGGGACAGGTGCGCACCACCGTGCCCAGCTAATTTTTGTATTTTTAGCAGAGACGGTGTTAGCCCGGCTGGTCTCACACTGACCTCAAGTGATCTGTCCGCCTTGGCCTCCCAAAGTGCCGGGATTACAGGCATGAGCCACCGCGCCCAGCCTCATTGAAAATTTACTTTTCAATACCAGACTGCAGAGTTCTTTGGGGCAGAGACACTCTGTCAGTGTGCTCTTTTTCCAAAGTATCTCCTGCTATCAGTTTTTCCCCTTGAACCAAGTCTTCCTAACAAATTTGTTGTGTCATTGCTTTCTAGGGAACTGGACCAGCAAATGTGGCCTTTAGTGGTTAATCTCATCTGTGCCAAAATTTAGTTGCTACCAGAGTGAAATTTGGTGTGTAAATAATGTTCAGAGGAAATGTGGTTGGAGTGTAGTAACTTGAATAGTGTCGTGCATAGAAAACAGCTCATTCTGAGTGAAACTGTTTATGTCCAATCAGTTCCTGAGTCAGCATCCCACTGGTTCGAAAATCTGTAACTAATCTGGTAATGTCCTTAATTTCCTCCTGCCTGTCAGTGTTCCAAAGTGTTCATCTAGTTTTCTTTTATCTTTATAATAATTACTACCATCTTTGAAAGTTCTGTTTAAGAAATGCTTAATGGGCAATGCGGGTTAGTAACTCCAGGGTCTGCGTGGCCTGGGCAGGTGAGATGGACAACTGCCTCATTACAGAAGCTTTTTATCATCAAACTAGTAAGTTTTGTGGAGGGCAAGCTATATAGATTGTTGATGAGTGGTTAGAAAATCATCTGGAATTTAGCCAGTTGAGAAGCTACAGAAGTTTCTATTTTTTTTTACAGTGGATGAACTGTTTTGCTTTTTCTGATAAAGCCACTAGGTATATCTAAATAACAACCTCGGGCTGGACGTGGTGCCTTATGCCTGTATATGTGAACACTGGGAGGCGGAGGCGGGTGGATCATGAGGTCAAGAGTTTGAGACCAGCCTGGCCAACACAGTGAAACCCCGTCTCTACTAAGAATACAAATTTTTTTTGTTTTGAGACAGAGTCTCGCTCTGTCGCCCAGGCTGGAGTGCAATGGCTCGATCTCAGCTCACTGCAACCTCCACCTTCTGGGTTCAAGCGATTCTCCTGCCTCAGCCTCCCGAGTAGCTGGGAATACAGGCGCGTGTCAACACACCCGGCTTAAGTTTTTGTATTTTTAGTAGAGACGGGGTGTCACCGTGTTACCCAAGATGGTCTCCATCTCCTGACCTTGTGATCCACCAGCCTTTGCCTCCCAAAGTGCTGGGATTACAGGCATAAGCCACCGCGCCCAGCCTAACAATACAAAATTTAGCTAGGCATGGTGGCACGTGCCTGTTATCACAGCTACTCGGGAGGCTGAGGCAGGAGAAACGCTTGAACACAGGAGGCAGAAGTTGCGGTAAGCCGAGATCGTGCCACTGCACTCCAACCTGGGCGACCAAGGAAACAACCAACCTCAGGATGAACATTGCTTTGGAAATAATGCAATGTGTGACCTTGAGGAAATTTCGGCTTATAAATCCATTTTTTGAAGTAGTTTTTCTCCTTTAAAATGGTGACCGTAGTAACAAGCACAGAGTTGTACTGAGTAATTAGTTGAATAGTATCTATGGAAAATACTAGACACTCCCAAGTTTTCCAATTTTGGATTAAGAGAGGCAGGCCTTGTGAAAGAGATACTAACCCTAGTCATTACGTTAGTCCATCTCTTTAGTGCAGAAGATCCTTGGCAAAGCTGGATAATAGGCTGAGAGAAGAATATTCCTTTAAGAGAGGGACACTGACTACTCAAAGACTTTCTTTTATTAGTACATGGGCTGGGATTGATGGGAAGGGACAGATGTAGTTGGCAACCATGGTTAGCATCGGATGCCCATCCCAATGGCCATGAATGTGCCAAAGGTGCCGCCACTCTGCATCATGGTTTTCCCAATGCCGCCCATCAGCTCTCGACCCCGCATTCCGATCCTGAGGAGGAAACCAAGATGGAGCTATTTGGTAACAAAAATATCAGAAAGAGTATTAACTGCTCCTTTCCAATTTTTTGCTAACACTAGTCTAGCAACCCCTACATCTGATTTTCCACTTACTGGATATTATATCTTACTACCTGGGGTGGGTAATGAGAAGGAAAAAGATCCATCTGGGTCTCCAGGGTATTTTTCTGGTGGATGTCGTATTAACTGCCTTCAGTTTGTGGGAGGCAGCAGATGCAGTGTAAAATACATAGAGAAACCAGCTTTTTTGACTGGTGTTGCCTGCAGTTTAAGACCCAATAAAGACATCTGTCTTTTAGTTTCTTGGTGTTAATGATTTTGGAGTAAGGTGGGGGTTCAAGAGTCAGCTCTACAATTTACACATAGTGTCAAGTGTAAAATGGGCATCTCAACATTATTTACAGGATTTTGAAAACTACAGTATTTAGCACAGTGCTTAACATAGAGTAAGTGCTCTGTAAATGATAATTTACAATCTAGGGATATGGCAATAACAGCCTCTAAATGTGAAAATGACCTTTAGAGTGTAAAGTTTAACTGCTTTATCTCTGTATCCTGTATCCAGAATAGTAAAACCGCTGAACGAGTTTCTTTCCTTATGCGCAATTGGAAAAAAAAATAAAAGCAACAGTAGTAACTAGTTACTGAGCACTTAATATGTGCCAGATGCTGTGCAAAGTGTGCTGATCGAATTTTTACAACTCTATAAGTTAGATGCTACTGTCTTCATTCTACACTTAAGGAAACCCAGTCTCCAACTTGCCTAAAGTCACCGAACCAGTAAGAAAAGGGCCAGAAAGCATTTTGACTCTAAAGCTCAAATTCTTAAGCACTGACGCTTCCAACCTGACTTTACAGATTGAAGGTGGTTTGGAATGAGTCTGGCTCGCGAGGGGACAGAGAGGGAAGTCGAAAGAAGGAGGCTGTGTTCAGGCTCCAGGCCGAATGGGGCAGGGCCGGAAGGTCTGGTTGTCCTGCCCAGAGATCACCGCCCGCGCCCCTCACCTGAGACAGGAAAAGGTGCCGAAGAGCGCCCCGGCCGCCATGCCCACGGCGCAACCCATCACGAAGCCCATTTTGACACGGTCGAAGCAGCTTGGCTGGGACTGTCCGTAGGGACCCACGGCCACCGGCATCTGCGGGGGATAGGAAAGTGTGGGCCCAGGCGCTGGCCCAAGAGTCGGGCGGGGACGGAAGCGGTAGGCTGGGAAGTGGGCCCAAGGGCTCAGGGGAAGTAAGGGAAGGAAAATCAGTGGGTAGCCCGACTCCACCACCCTCTTCGCGTTCCGGCCCCGCGTCGCCCGGCGCCTACCTCACCTCGCTCGCGGGCTGGGTCGCTCAGCTCTACGTCTCTCACGGAAAACGACGGGGAGGGCGCTCGCGGCCCGATGAATCGCTTCCGGAGCGCCGGGCAGCACTTCCGGGAGCCTGGGGCCCAGGACTGCAGCGGCTTCGGAAGGTGGGCTCTGCCAGCGGGACCATGCTGCTCCGAGCCGCTTGGAGGCGGGCGGCAGTGGCGGTGACAGCGGCTCCAGGGCCGAAGCCCGCGGCGCCCACTCGGGGGCTGCGCCTGCGCGGTACGCTCGGGTCCCGCTCTCCGGGAGGCGCGGACCTGTCCCCTCCGCGCGGCGACGCAACTGAATATTCCGGAGCCTTCCTGTCCACCCTGCTGCCCAGACCCTCTGACCCTTCTCTCAAATGACACATCCCTCAAACTTTCTTAGGCGGGTCCCCGAACGGTTGACCCCGGCGCACCACCCCTCGCACCCTGCGCGACAGGCCCCCAGAGCCGTGGAGGCGCGTCCTTCAGACCGCTCCTGGCCAAGTTACAGATGCTGCTCCGGGCTCCCGTGCAGACCGTTACCTTCGGTCAGAAGGGACTGCACCTACTCTGGCTCCACGTTCCTTCTAAACGTCTTTGCCCTTTAGAGCCTTCCTTCCTACGATACCATTTGAATATCAACTCAACACCCCCTCCAGGAACCCTCTCTCCCTCTCCCTTACCTCCTTTTACAGCGTGTCAGGTATCTGGTGTTGTTTTCTTTCCATTGAGATTCGACCCTAGCATCCCTTACACTTATCTCACCTCCAGCCAGATTTTTCCTTCTGCCCTTTGGATGCCATGCGTTCATAGTTGCCTTCGGTCTTACTTGGCTACTCCGTTCCATTTTTTATCAGTTGGAGACCGTGCTCCTCAGTCTGCGGTTCCCGCAGATACAGCCGCTGCCCCGGAGGTGGGGCCAGTGCTGCGACCTCTCTATATGGATGTGCAAGCTACAACTCCTCTGGTAAGGATGAAGCTTTTCCCAAGGCTGCTTATAGGAAGTAAATGATGGGCGTGATCACGCAAAGAAATGGCTGAATCCCTGGAGAAGTGAGAGCCGTGAAGGTGTGCTGGAAAAAGCACTGAGCGAGGAGTCGGGAGGCTTAAATTCGAGGCCACTGGCATTGGCTTTACTACTCACTAGCAATTGACCTTGGTCAGATCACTTCAGCGCAGGCTCTATAGTATTAGTTAAAAGCATGGGCTCTGGAATGAGCAGAACGGCCACTTAGTAACTGTGTGAACTTGGACAAGTATTAAACGGGTTAAAAGACTAATGCAAGTTTTCACCAATGTGTGACCAGGGGTGTTTGCCTAGGCCCTGTCCTGTCCCAGCCCCTTATAGATCACATTACCTGGCAGGAATGGAAACACCAGCAGAAACAGATGTCGGAACAAGGCAGTGTTTGTAGACTACCTGAGGGGAGGCAGAACAATCCGAGTTGGGATGGGTTGTGAGTGGGAGTGTATTAGGTTGATATTTGGTGGGTAGTTTTGTGGGAACAAAAGAATGTTTGAGGCCTCCTCTAGGCAGTGCCTGAGGGGTTGAGAGTGTCTTAAGGCAGGGTGGCCAGGTCTGAGGGGTGGAGTGGGACCTGAATTGACGATGCGCTCAAGGAAAATGATCTGTTCTGTTGTGTTCAGGACCCCCGGGTGCTTGATGCCATGCTCCCTTACCTAATCAACTACTATGGGAACCCACACTCCCGGACACATGCTTATGGCTGGGAGAGTGAGGCAGCCATGGAACGTGCTCGTCAGGTTAGTACACAGGAGTCTAGGAGGTTCTAAGGTCAAAGAGGGGCAGTGGCCTGTGGGAGGCATTTCTTTCTTGGTAGGTGTGCATGGAGGTAGAAATGGTTTTGGATTCTTTCTGGAAGAGATTCAAAGAGCAGCCTTGGAGTTTGACTGCAGGCATTTGATTGGTTCCCATATTTCCTGGCTAAATGACTTGGGCAAGTTATCTAATTTCTTTGAGCCTTATTTTCCTCATTTAAAACAGAGATTGTGGTAGTTTCTACTCTGTAGGGTTACTGGGTGGATTAAATAAGACAATGCTGATAAAGTGTTTATTACCACAACATCTGTAAGTAAGAAGTACTATAAATAGTAAGAGCTCAATAGTTCTTTTTTTTTTTTTTTATGAGATGGAGTTTTCACATTTGTTGCCCAGACTGGAGTGCAGTGGCGCACGATCTTGGCTCACTGCAACCTCTGCCTCCCGGGTTCAAGTGATTCTGCTGCCTCAGCCTCCCAAGTAATTGGGATTACAGGCACACGCCACCATGCCTAGCTAATATTTTTGTATTTTTATTTATTTATTTATTTACTATTATTTGAGACAGAGTTTTGCTCTTGTTACCCAGGCTGCAGTGCAGTGGCACGATCTCGGCTCACTGCAACCTCTGCCTCCCGGGTTCAAGCAGTTCTCCTACCTCAGCCTCCCAAGTAGCTGGGATTACAGGCATGCGCCACCACACCCGGGTAAATTTGTATTTTTAGTAGAGACGGGGTTTCTCCATGTTGGTCAGGCTGGTCTTGAATTCCCGACCTCAGGTGATCCACCTGCCTCAGCCTCCCAAAGTGCTGGGATTACAGGCTTGAGCCACCATGCCCGGCCTAATATTTTTGTATTCTTAGTAGAAATGGAGTTTCACCATGTTGGCCAGGTTGGTCTCGAACTCCTGACCTCAGGTGATCTTTCCACCTCGGCCTCCCAAAGTGCTGGGGTTACAGGAGTGACCCACCACACCTGGCCAATAGTTCATTAAAAAAAAAAAGTTATTATTTTGCATTGGGCTGGAAAAGAGCCTGGGATCTGGGATATAACTAGAATCTGATTCTTGTAGGTGCAGACCTTCATCCAGGGCAATTTGGTGGAATGCAGTGGAGCTCTTCTTGCTCCAGGGCTGTCCCACCTGTGTCTGCAGCTCTATTTCTGCCTGGGGAACTGATGTTATATATCTCTGTTTCTTGGCTTGCAGCAAGTAGCATCTCTGATTGGAGCTGATCCTCGTGAGATCATTTTTACTAGTGGTGCTACTGAATCCAACAACATAGCAATTAAGGTAAGAGAAGGGAACCAGAGGGTGTATGTGGGCTTTCCTGACCTAGGAGATAGTGTCCCTCCATCATTTGGACTCGTATATGTATTTCGCAGCCATCCATCCCCACCCCATTGTGAAGAGAAGGCTTGCAGTCTTTCTGATTTGTTGCTTCCTTTAACCCTTTGCAGTCTACTCTTTCTTAAGTCTTTGCTGCTGTTGGTCTGAGTTGAGTGAGGCAGTTGGATAGCAAAGGAGGTGGCCCTCAGGCCATTAACCACTTGTTTTTTTTTTGTCTGGCAGTTACTTCAGAGAGTGGATAATGGTGATTGAACCTTTTCTCCATTCTTCTTTTTTTTTTTGATACATAGTCTCACTCTGTCGCCAGGCTGGAGTGCAGTGGCGCAATCTCAGCTCACTGCAAACTCCACCTCCCAGGTTCAAGTGATTCTCCTGCCTCAGCCTCCAGAGTAGCTGGGAGTACAGGTGCCCGCCACCATGCCCAACTAATTTTTATATTTTTAGTAGAGATGGGGTTTCACCATATTGGCCAGGATGATCTCAATCTCTTGACCTGATGATCCTCCCATCTCGACCTCCCAAAGTGCTGGGATTACAGGTGTGAGCCACCGTACCCGGCCTTTCTCCATTCTTTTTATCTAGTAACAACAAGTTATATATGTGATTTCAGGGCTGTCCTCCTCTCAGCCTTCCTTTTTCTTTCTGATCAGATCTATTTGCAACAAGTTCCTCCTGTTTCTTTAGATATCTCCATTTTGAAGTGCTTGTCTTTGTGGTGCCCTCTGCAGGCATTCACATGGTCACCCATTCTGGGATCAGTCATTTTGTCCTGGGTACATAGAAGATCTTTGGTGCTAATGCAAGGAAAAGGTACTTTTAGTAGTCACGTTGGTGTTTCATAGAACATAGTCAGATTTCACTGGGCCTGGTTGCCAGGATTATGTGAGTAAATGCCAAGGCTCTGAGAAATTGTGGCTTGCTGTACTTTGAACTCTGGCTCCACTTGCTCTCATCTTTGTCTTTGAACTGTGCTGCCAGTGTTGGTTTCTTTGACCTTGGCCTGAATATAGGAGGCCTAGGACGGGCTTCAGGGTCATCAGCACTCTGCCTGATCATGTTAACAGGAAGGCATCCTTCCTTGGGACTGCAGAGACCAGAGAGTCGGGGTGAAGGTTCCTCCAAAGGTGGAGATGGTTTCTGAAATGGAGAGCATTTTCAAAACTTCGAAAATATTTTCTTTGGAAGTCTCCACAGATTCCAAACCAACAGGTCAAGGATCGCTAAGAGTACCTGTGATGATGTTTCTTTTAATCTCCATGATTGGTAGAGTAAAATAATCTATAAATTGTTAAAGAAATCTACATCATGGGTAACTGAGATAAAATAAGGTGGGTGGGTGGTGAAATGTCATTTAAATGAAATTTTTATAAACAACTGTAACATTTTGAACTATCATCACCATCCCACAACCATTTTTTCTTTTTTTTTTTTTAGACTGAGTCTCACTCTGTCATCCAGGCTGGAGTGCAGTGGCACGATCTTGACTCACTGCAAGCTCCGCCTCCTGGGTTCACGCCATTCTCCTGCCTCAGCCTCCTGAGTAGCTGGGACTACAGGCGCCCTCCACCACACCCGGCTAATTTTTTGTATTTTTAGTAGAGACAGGGTTTCACTGTGTTAGCCAGAATGGTCTCGATCTCCTGACCTCGTGATCCGCCCTCCTCGGCCTCCCAAAGTGCCCCACAACCATTTTTACTTACTGATGTAAATACTTTTTAGGATAAAATAGAGTATAAATCAATTATAAATGTTTCTCATTTATGTTCTTTGTCCTCATGAACAGACCATTTTTACATAGTTATAATTTTGTCCTATATGGTTTAATATTCTGCTTTTATTTTATTTATGTGTTTATTTTTTATAAGACAGGGTCTCAGCCGGGCCCAGTGGCTTACACCTGTAATCCCAGCACTTTGGGAGGCTGAGACCGGCAGATCATCTGAGATCAGGAGTTCGAGACCAGCCTGACCAACATGGTAAAACCCCGTCTCTACTAAAAATGCAAAAACTACCTGGGTGTGGTGGCACACCCCTGTAGTCCTAGCTACTTGGAAGGCTGAGGCAGGAGAATCAGTTGAACCCAGGAGGCAGAGGTTGCAGTTGCAGTGGGCCGAGATTGCGCCATTGCACTGTAGCAACAAGGGCGAAACTCTGTCTCAAAAAAAAAAAAAAAAAAGACATGGTCTCATTCTGTCACCTAGGCTGGGGTGCAGTTGCACAATCACAGCTCACTGGAGCCTTGAACTCCTGGACTCAAGCAATCCTCTCATCTTAGCCTCCCAAGTAGCTAGGCTTACAGGCGTGTACTAGCACGCCTGTCTAATTTTGTTATTTTAATTTATTTATTTATTTTTTTTTGAGATGGAGCCTGGCTCTGTCGCCCAGGCTGGAGTGCAGTGGCGTGATCTCAGCTCACTGCAAGCTCTGCCTCCTGGGTTCACGCCATTCTCCTGCCTCAGCCTCCTGAGTAGGTAGGACTACAGGCTCCCACCACCACGCCTGGCTAATTTTTCTATTTTTAGTAGAGATGGGGTTTCACCATGTTAGCCAAGATGGTCTCGATCTCCTGACCTTGTGATCCGCCTGCCTTGGCCAACCGAAGTGCTGGTTTTACAGGTGTGAACCACCGCGCCCGGCCTGTTATTTTAATTTTTGTAGAGATGCGGCTCTCATTATGTTGCCCAGGCTGGTCTTGAACTCCTGGGCTCATGTGATCCTCCTGCCTTTGCCTCCCAAAGTTCTGGGATTACTGGCTTGAGCCACTGCACCTGGCTTTTTATTCTGCTGTTAAAGGTAATAGTCTTTTATAAGCTCTGGGGAGAGATGCACATTTTCTTTCCAAGTTTTTAATTTTTGAAAAATAATTCTGTCACATATGGTGTGTTTTTTTAAAACCAATGGAAAGATTTAAAATGAAGTGTAGGCCGGGTGCAGTGGGTCAAGCCTGTGATCTTAGCACATTGGGAGGCCGAGGCAGGCAGGTTGTCTGAGCTCAGGAGTTCGAGACCATCCTGGGCAAAATGGTGAAACACCATCTCTACTAAAAAATACAAAAAATTAGCTGGGTGTGGTGGCTGTAGTCCCAGCTACTCGGGAGGCTGAGACAAGAGAATTGCTTGAACTCGGGAGGCAGAGGTTGCAGTGGGCCGAGACCACACCACTGCACTCCAGCCTGGGTGACAGAATGAGACCGTCTCAAAAAATAAATAAACAAAAATAAAATAAAATGAAGTGTAAATCTTCCTCTCCTTCCCCAAGGACCCCAGTCCCTGATCCTGTTCTGCAAAGTTGATACTGTTAATTCTTTTTTTTTTTCCCAAGGGGGAGTCTTGCTGTGTCACCCAGGCTGGAGTGCAGTGCCGTAATCTTGGCTTACTACAACTTCTGCCTCCAGGGTTCAAGCGATTCTCCTGCCTCATCTTCCTGAGTAGCTGGGATTACAGGAGCCTGCTACCACACCCAGCTAATTTTTGTATTTTTAGTAGAGACGGGGTTTCGCCATGTTGACTAGGCTGGTCTCAAACTTCTGACCTCAGGTGATCCACCTGCCTCAGTCTCCCAAAGTGCTGGGATTACAGGTGTGAACCACTGCTCCTGGCCCATTTTTTTTTCTTTTTTCTGTTTTTTGAGACAGAGTCTTGATCTCACCTAGGCTGGAGTGCAGTAGCCAGATCTCAGCTCACTGCAGCCTTGACCTCCTTGGCTCAGGTGATCCTCCTGAGTAGCTGGGACTACAGATGTGTACCACCACGCCAGGCTAATTTTTTTTTTTTTTTTTTTTTTTTTTTTTTTAGTATAGATGATGTTGCTCAGGCTGGTCTTGAACTCCTGAGCTCAAGCGATCCTCCTGCCTTAGTCTCCCAAAGTGGTGGGATTATAGGCATTAGCCACCACCACATCCAGCCCCCTTTTTTTTTTTTAATTAATTAATTTATTTATTTATTTTGAGATGGAGTCTCACCCTGTCGCCCAGGCTAGAGTGTAGGGGCATGATCTCGGCTCACTGCAACCTCTGCCTCCCAGGTTCAAGCGATTCTCCTGCCTCATCCTCCTGAGTAGCCGGGATTACAGGTGCGTGCCACCACACCTCGCTAATTTTTGTATTTTTATTTTTATTTATTTATTTATTTTTTGAGACAGAGTTTTGCTCTTGTTGCCCAGGCTGAAGTGCAATGGCGTGACCTCGGCTCACTGCAGCCTCCAACTCCTGGGTTCAAGCGATTCTCCTGCCTCAGCCTCCAGAGTATCTGGGATTACAGGCATGTACTACCACGCCTGGCTAATTTTTGTATTTTTTTTAGTAGAGACGGAGTTTTTCCATGTTGGTCAGGCTGGTCTTGAACTCCCGACCTTAGGTGACCCTCCCTTCTCGGCCTCCCAAAGTGTTGGAATTACAGGTGTGAGCCACCGCGCCTGGCCATTTTTGTATTTTTAGTAGAGATGGGGTTCCACCATGTTCGTCAGGCTGGTCTCAAACTCCTGACCTCGTGATCCACCTGCCTGAGCCTCCCAAAGTGGAGGGATTACAGGCATGAGCCACTGCACCTGGCGTTCTTTTTTTTTTTTTTTTTTTTTTTTTTTGAGATGCAGTCTCGCTCTGTTGCCCAGGCTGGAGTGCAATAGCACTCTTGGCTCACTGCAACCTCTGCCTCCTGATTTCAAGTGATTCCCCTCCCTCAGCCTCCTGAGTAGTTGGGATTACAGGTGCGTGCCACCGGGCCTGGCTTATTTTTTAATTTTTAGTAGAGATGGGGTTTCCCCATGTTGGCCAGGCTGGTCTCAAACTCCTGACCTTAGATGATCCACCTGCCTCGGCCTCCCAAAGTGCTCGGATTACAGTCGTGAGGCACTGCACCTGGCCGCTTTTTTTTTTTCTTCAATGAGATAAATGTTTTTTTTAGTTTCTTGTAATAGTTGAAATTCCAGGAATTTTTAAATGTACCTTTATTGTTTCTTGTGATATTAACAGTAATACCTACTCATGACTTGTTTACTGTTATATCACTGGCACCTAGAAAATTACTTGGGATACTGGAGGTGCTAAATATTGGTTAAATGAATGAATCATAAATTCCAATAATATAGAGTAGAACTCTAAACACATTTTCACTGCTAATTTGCTGTATATTTCTCCAGATTTTTAAATACCTACATTAATCTGTATACTATTATTATTTTAATAGATTTTATTTTTTATAGCAGTTTTAGGTTCACAGCAAAATTGAAAGGAAGGTATAGAAATTTCCTATATATGCCCTGCCCCCAGGTATGCACAGCCTTCTGCCATTATTAGCATCCTCCATCAAGTGGTACATTTGTTGCAATTGATGACCTGATATTGATACATCATTATCACCCAAAGTCCATAGCTTATATTAGGATTCACTGGTGTTGTACATTCTATGGGTTTGGACAAATGTGATTTATTCTAGTGAATTATTGAACTTGACCGGGCTTCGGGAAGCCCTGAATTTGTATTTGACTGGGCAGAAGTATGGGTAGCTTGAGACCCCTGGGACTTATGTCTGGTATCTGAACTAGGGGCAGTCTTGTACGATTGAGCCCTTAACCCATGGGGTTTTCACTAAGTCTGGAGAGTTAGCCTCAGAATTGAATTATAGGATACTCAGTTGGTATGAGAGAACTGGTGTTGGAGCATACTGTTCTTGCCCACTTTTCCTTTACAAATGAGATTGAAGTCATTGCTGTCTCTCTGAGTATGTTCTCCTTCCATCTGTCACCACCAATTTCTAGGGGGTGGCCCGATTCTACAGGTCACGGAAAAAGCACTTGATCACCACCCAGACAGAACACAAATGTGTCTTGGACTCCTGCCGTTCACTGGAAGCTGAGGGCTTTCAGGTCACCTACCTCCCAGTGCAGAAGAGTGGGATCATTGACCTAAAGGTAGGAGTGGCTATTGGCAGGAGGAGCAAAAATGGAGGAGCCTGGCTTCAGCTTGTAAATTTCTCTCTTGGGCCCTAGCTGGAGCTTGAAGGAATAGATCTAACAGTTAGGATGAAGTTTAGAGAAATAAGCCTGGCAGAGAACGAGATCATGTTCCCCTTGAGTGTGTACTGTCCTCCTTTTCTCTGGAGGACTTGTTTCTTTTTCTTTTTTTTGAGATGGAGTCTCACTCTTTTGCCCAGGCTAGAGTGCAGTGGCTTGATCTCAGCTCTCTGCAACCTCTGGAGGACTTGTTACTTCTTTTTTTTATTTTGAGACAGAGTTTGGCTCTTATAACTCAGGCTGGAATGCAGTGGCGCGATCTCGGCTCACTGCAACCTCCGCCTCCTGGGTTCTAATGATTCTCCTGCCTCACCCTCCCGAGTAGCTGGGATTACAGACGCATGCCACCAGGCCCAGTTAATTTTTTTTTTTTTTTTTTTTGAGGCAGAGTCTCATTCTGTCACCTAGGCAGGAGTGCAGTGGCACTCCACTGCAACCTCCACCTCCCGGGTTCAAGTGATTCTCCTGCCTCAGCCTCCTGAGTAGCTGGGACTACAGGCACGTGCCACCACACCTGGCTAATTTTTTTTTTTTTTTTTTTTAAAACAGAGTCTCGCTGTATTGCCAGGCTGGAGTGCAGTGGCGCGATCTTGGCTCACTGCAACCTCTGCCTCCCGGGTTCAAGCGACTCCCCTGCCTCGGCCTCCCAAGTAGCTGGGATTACAGGCATGCACCACCACGCCTTGCTAGTGTTTTTTTGTATTTTAGTAGAGACGGGGTTTCACCATGTTAGCCAGGATGGTCTCTATCTCCTGACCTCGTGATCCACCCACTTCGGCCTCCCAAAGTGCTGGGATTACAGGCGTGAGCCACCGTGCCCGGCCACACTTGGCTAATTTTTTATATTTTTAGTAGAGATGGGGTTTCACCATATTGGCCAGGCTGGTCTCGAACTCCTGACCTCGTGATCCACCTGCCTCGGCCTCCCAAAGTGCTGGGATTACAGGCATGAGCCGCCATGCCTGGCTCTAATTTTTGTATTTTTAGTAGAGACAGAGTTTCACCATGTTGGTCAGGCTGGTCTTGACCTTTTGACCTCAGGTGATCCACCCATCTCGGACTCCCAGAGTGCTGGGATTACAGGCATGAGCCACTGTACCTGGCCTGGAGGACATGTTTCTTGCATTTGTTGGTGTTTTCTGGTTTGTATGGGAGCCACTGGCCACATGTGCAGGATGCCAGGGACTCACATTCACCATGGCAAAGCTCTGGCCTCCTCCTTCCCTGCACTGATGCTTCTCATCCTGCTAAAGAAGTAGTGTCATTTTCTTGAATCTTATCCACCAGATTTTGGATATCAGCATTCCTAGACAAATCCTAACATGCTGTTTGTAGATGGACCCCTCAATCCAAACTCCAAAGTGTTCTCATCATTCATTATTTCCTCTCTTTTTCATCTTATTTACATTCAGTCATCAATCAGTAACATTTATATCTATGGCCATTTCCTTATAATGTCTCTGGAATTATACTTTTCCCTCCCTCACTCCCACCTTCCCTTCTTCCCTCCCTGCCTCCCTTCCTTCCTTTCTCCCTCTTTTCCCTCCCTCCCTCTTTTCCTCCCTCCCTCTCTCTCTCTCTCCCTCTGTCTTTCTTTTTTTGGAGACAGGGTCTTGCTGAGTTGTCCAGGCTGGAGTGCAGTGGTATGGTCATAGCTCACTGTGGCCTCAGACTTCTGGGCTCATAGCTCACTGCGGCCTCAGACTCCTGGGCTCACCTCACCTGGCTAAATTTTTATTTTTGTTTTGTTTTTTGAGATGGAATATTGCCTTGTCTCCCAGGCTGGAATGCAGTGGCACGATCTTGGCTCACTGAAACCACTGCTTCCTGGGTTCAAACGATTCTCCCACCTTAGCCTACCGAGCAGCAAGGACTACAGGCATACACCACCACACCCAGATAATTTTTTTGTATTTTTAGTAGAGAAAGGGTTTTATCATCTTGGCCAGGCTGGTCTCAAACTCCTGACCTCAAATGATCCACCCGTCTTGGCCCCCCAAAGTGCTGGGATTATAGGCAAGAGCCACTGCAGCTGGCCTGGCTAAATTTTTTTTTTTTCTTGAGATGGAGTTTCACTCTTGTCACCCAGGCTGGAGTGCAATGGCACGATCTTGGCTCGTTGCAACCTCTGCCTCCCGGGTTCAAGTGATTCTCCTGCCTCAGCCTCTCAAGTAGCCGAGATTACAGGCATGTGCCACCACCACGCCCAGCTAATTTTTTTGTATTATTAGTAGAGTCAGGGTTTCACCATGTTGGCCAGGCTAGTCTCTAACTCCTTACTTATGGTGATCTGCCCACCCTGGCCTCCCAAAGTGCTGAGATTATAGACGTGAGCCACTGTGCCTGGCCAGCCTGCTAAATTTTTAAACATTTTTTATAGAGGCAACATCTCAGTACATTCTCCAGGCTGGTGGTGAACTCCTGGACTCAAGTGATCCTCCTACCTTGGCCTCCCAAAGCACTGGGATTACAGATGTGAGCCACCTTTCTCGGCCTCCTCTCATTTCTTTGTTTGGATTGTATCCTGCATCTTAGCTGCCTCTGGACTTTAATCTCTGTTGCCTGAACTAGTCCTTTTGTAGGGTCCAGCCCCACAGGGTCGGTGGGTTTTCTCCCCATGTGCAGAGACGAGAGAGCGTAGAAATAAAGACACAAGACAGAGATAAAAGAAAAGACAGCTGGGCCCAGGGGACCACTACCACCAAGGCACGGAGACTGGTAGTGGCCCCGAATGCCAGCCTGCGCTGATATTTATTGGATACAAGACAAAGGGGCAGGGTAAGGAGTGTGAGCCATCTCTAATGATAGGTAAGGTCACGTGGGTCACGTGTCCATTGGACAGGGGGCCCTTCCCTGCCTGGCAGCCAAGGCAGAGAGAGAGAGAGAGAGAGAGAGGAGAGAGAGAGAGACAGCTTACGCCATTATTTCTGCTTATCAGAGACTTTTAGTACTTTCACTAATTTGCTACTGCTAACGAAAAGGCAGAGCCAGGTGTACAGGATGGAACATGAAGACAGACTAGGAGTGTGACCACTGAAGCACAGCATCACAGGGAGACGGTTAGGCCTCCAGATAACTGCGGGCAGGCCTGATGTCAGGCCCTCCACAAGAGGTGGAGGAGTAGAGTCTTCTCTAAACTCCCCCGGGGAAAGGGGGATTCCCTTTCCTGGTCTGCTAAGTAGTGGGTGTTTTTCCTTGACACTGACGCTACCGCTAGACCATGGTCTGCTTGGCAAAGGGCGTCTTCCCAGATGCTGGCGTTACCGCTAGACCAAGGAGCCCTCTGGTGGCCCTGTCCACGCATAACAGAAGGCTCGCCTCTTGTCTTCTGGTCACTTCTCACTATGTCCCCTCAGCTCCTATCTCTGTATGGCCTGGTTTTTCCTAGGTTATGATTGTAGAGCGAGGATTATTATAATATTAGAATAAAGAGTAATCACTACAAACTAATGATTAATGATATTCATATATAATCATATCTAAGATCTATATCTAGTATAACTATTCTTATTTTATATATTTTATTATACTGGAACAGCTCGTGCCCTTGGTCTCTTGCCTCGGCACCTGGGTGGCTTGCTGCCCACACCTTTAGCAACAACCTTCCAGTGTGTCCTGCACATCCTCATCAGACTTTATTTCTAAAGTACTTATTTGGCCTTTTCTCACTTTACTCAAAAATCTTGAGAGATTTCCCATTTCCTTTGACATGAATTATAACTTCATTTTGCCTGATATTCAGAGTTCTTTACATGGTGCCTTTTTAAGCACTTAGAAATTTCTGATGTAATTCACATACCATAACATTCATCTTTTGAAATTATACAATTCACTGGCTTTTAATGTATTCACAGTTTCCAACAATCATCACTGTCATATTCCAGGACATTTTCATCACTTCATAAAAGAAAGCTATGTATTTTTCTTTTGTCATTTGCACTTTTTTTTTTTTTTTTTTTTGAGATGGAGTTTCGCTCTTATTGCCCAGGCTGGAGTGCAATGGCATGCTCTCTGCTCACCACAACCTCCGCCTCCCGGGTTCAAGCGATTTTCCTGCCTCAGCCTTCTGAGTAGCTGTAATCCCAGCACTTTGGGAGGCGGATCACCTGAGGTCGGGAGTTGGAGGCCGAGGTGACCAGTTCATCTGAGGTCAGAAGTTCAAGACCAGCCTGGCCAACATGGTGAAACCCCGTCTCTACTAAAAAATACAAAAATTAGCCGGGTGTGGTTGAGGGCGCCTGTAATCCCAGCTACTTGGGAGGGTGAGGCAGCAGAATTGCTTGAACCCAGGAGGCGGAGGTTGCAGTGAGCCGAGATCGTGCCATTGCACTCTAGCCTGGGTGACAAAAGCAAGACTCCATCTCAAAAAAAAAATAAAGAAAGAATTCATTTTGAAATCCAAGGTCATGGAGTTTTACCCCTGTGTTTCTTTTTTTTTTTTTTTTGCGGGGGGGTACTGAATTTCGCTCTTGTTGCCCAGGCTGGAGTGCAGTGGCGCGATCTCAGCTCATCGCAACCTCCGCCTCCCGGGTTCAAGCAATTCTCCTGACTTAGCCTCCTCAGTAGCTGGGATTATAGGCATGCGCTACCACACCTGGCTAATTTTGTATTTTTAGTAGAGATGGGGTTTCACCATGTTGGTCAGGCTGGTCTCAAGTGCCTGACCTCAGGTGATCCGCCTGTCTCGGCCTCTCAAAATGCTGGGATTACAGGCGTGAGCCACTGCGCCCGGCTGCTATATATATATATATAAAATATTTTATATATATAATATATAATTTTTTTTTATGAGACATGGTCTTGCTCTGTTGCCCAGGCTGGAGTGCAGTGACATGACCTCGGCTCACTGCAGTCTCCGCCTTCTAAGTTCAAGCGATTCTTGTGCCTATGCATCCTAAGCAGCTAGAACTAGAGATGTGTGCCACCACACCTGGCTATATATTTATTTATGAATGAGAGAGGAACTTGCTCTGGAACCACCAAGGCTTACAGCAGCCTTGACCTCCTAGGCTCAAATGATCCTCCCACCTCAGCCTCCTTCCTGAGTAGCTGGAACTATAGGCGCAGGCTATGATGCCCAGCTAATTTTTTTCTTTTTTCTTTTTGTAGAGACAGGGTCTCCCTTGGCCAGGTGCTGTGGCTCATGCCTATAATCCCAGCACTTTGGGGGCCAAGGTGGGTGGATCACCTGAAGTCAGGAGTTCGAGACTAGCCTGGCCAACATGGTAAAACCCCGTCTCTACTAAAAATACAAAAATTAGCCGGGTGTGGTGGTGTCTGCCCATAATCTCGGCTACTCAGGAGGCTGAGGTAGGAGAACCACTTGAACCTGGGAGGCGGAGGTTGCAGTGAGTGAGACCCCGCCACTGCACTCCACCTTGGGAAACAGAGCAAGACTCCATCTGAAGAAAAAAGAGACAGGGTCTCCCTATGTTGCAAGGCTGGTCTCAAACTCCTTGGCTCAAGCTGTCCTCTGACCTCAGCCTCCCAAAGTGCTAGGATTGTAGGTATGAGCCACCATCCCCAGCTATATTTATTTATTTTTTATTTATTTTTTATTGAGATGGGAGTCTTGCTCTGTCACACAGGCTGGAGTGCAGTGGTGTGAACTTGGCTCATTGCAACCTCTGCCACCTGGGTTCAAATGATTCTCCTGCCTCAGCCTCCTAAGTAGCTTGGATTACAGGTGTCTGCCACCATGCTCCACTGATTTTTGTATTTTTAGTAGAGACAGGGTTTCACCATGTTGGCTGGGCTGGTCCAAACTCCTGACCTCAAATGATCCACCTATTTCAGCCTTCCAAAGTGCTGGGATTCCAGGCGTGAGCCACCATGCCCGGCCCTTATTTTATTTTATTTTATTTTATTTTATTTTATTTTATTTTATTTTATTTTATTTATTTGAGATGGAGTCTTGCTCTGTCTCCCAGGCTGGAGTGCAGTGGCGCGATCTCTGCTCACTGCAACCTCCGCCTCCCAGGTTCACGCCATTCTCCTGCCTCAGCCCCTTCCCCAAGTAGCTGGAACTATAGGCGCCCGCCACCACGCCTGGCTAATTTTTTGTATTTTTAGAGATGGGGTTTCACTGTGTTAGGCAGTATGGTCTCGCTCTCCTGACCTTGTGATCCGCCCGCCTCGGCCTCCCAAAGTGCTGGGATTACAGGCGTGAGTCACCACACACAGCCTATTTTATTTTTGAGACAGAGTTTTGCTCTGGTCGCCCCAGCTGGAGTGCAATGGCACAGTGTTGGCTCACTGCAACCTCTGCCTCCCGAGGTCAAGCAATTCTCCTACCTCAGCCTCCCGAGTAGCTGGGATTACAGGCACCTGCCGCCATGCCCAGGTATTTTTGTATTTTTAGTAGAGCAGTGCTTTCACCATGTTGGCCAGGCTGGTCTCGAACTCCTGACCTCAGGTGATCTGCCGAAGTGCTGGGATTACAGGCGTGAGCCACCATACCCAGGTGTGAGCCACCATACCCAGCAATTTCTTTCTTTCTTTTTTTTTTTTTTTTTTTTTTGAGATGGAGTCTCACTCTGTTGCCCAGGCTGGAGTGCATGGAGTGCAGTGGTGCAATCTCGGCTCACTGCAACCTCTGCCTCCCAGGTTCAAGCGATTCTCCTGCCTCAGCCTCCCTAGTAGCTTGGGACTACAGGGCGCGTGCCACCATGCCTGGCTAATGTTTTGTATTTTTAGTAGAGACAAGGTTTCACCATGTTAGCCAGGATGGTCTCGATCTCTTGACTTTGTGATACGCCCGCCTCAGCCTCCCAAAGTGCTTGGATTACAGGTGTGAGCCACCGTGCCTGGCCTTTTTTTAAATTTTTTTGAGACGGAGTCTCACTCTGTTGCCCAGGCTGGAGTGCAGTGGCTTGATCTCAGCTCACTGCAACCTCTGCCCCCCGGGTTCAAGCGATTCTCCTGCCTCAGCCTCTCAAGTAGCTGGGATTACAGGTGCCTGCCACTGCGCCCGGCTAATTTTTGTATTTTTAGTAGAGACGGGGTTTCACCATCTTGGCCAGGCTGGTCTTGAACTTCTGACCTTCTGATCCACCCGCCTCCGCCTCCCAAAGTCCTGGGATTACATTCGTGAGCCACCACACCCGGCTGGCAGTTTCTTTAATTTTGTCATTTCATACTGTCATGTGGATGGAATCATACAGTATGTAACCTTCTGGGATTGGCTTTTTTATTTTTGTTTTTGTTTTTTTGTTTTGTTTTGTTTTGTTTTTTGAGATGGAATCTTGTTCTGTTGCCCAGGCTGGAGTGCAGTGGTGTGATCTCCGCTCACTGCAAGCTCCGCCTCCCAGGTTCACGCCATTCCCCTGCCTCAGTCTCCCAAGTAGCTGGGACTACCGGTGCCTGCCACCACACCCAGCTAATTTTTTGTATTTTTAGTAGAGACAGGGTTTCACTGTGTTAGCCAGGATGGTCTTGATCTCCTGACCTTGCGATCCGCCTGCCTCAGCCTCCCAAAGTGCTGGGATTACAGGCGTGAGCCACCATACCTGGCCTTTCTTTTTTTTTTTTTGAGGCAGAGTCTCACTCTGTCACCCAGGCTGGATTGCAGTGGTGCAATCTCAGCTTACTGCAACCTGGATTTAAGCATTTCTCCTGCCTCAACCTCCGAAGTGGCTGGGGCTACAGGTGTGTGCCACCAGGCCCAGCTAATTTTTGTATTTTTAGTAGAGACAGGGTTTCTCCTTGTTCGCCAGGCTGGTCTCGAACTTCCGATCTCAGGACACCCACCAACCTCAGCCTCCCAAAGTGCTGGGATTACAGGCGTGAGCCATTGCGCCCGGCCTTTATTGGCTTTTTTCACTAATCATAAGTCTTTGGGAATTCATTCACTGCTGCGTGTGCCAGTAGTTTGTTCCTTTTGATTGATAAGTAGTAGTCCATGTTATGGATGTACGAAAATCGTCTGTTGAAGGAATCTGGGTAGTTTCTAGGTTTTTGGTATTACGAATAAAGTTATTGTGAACATTTGTGTAAGATGTTTTGTGAATTTAATTTTCATTTCTCTGGGATAAATGCCCAAGTGTACAGTTACTGGGTTCTATGGTAATTTCATGTTTAGTTTGATGAGAAACAGAAACTGTCAAACTGTTTTCCAAAGTGGCTGTGATATTTACATTCCCACTAACAATGTATGAACCATTCAGAGTCTGTGCATCCTCACCAACATTTTGTGTTGTCACTGTTTTTAGTTAACTATTCAGATAGGTATGTAGTATAAGACTCCTTTTCATGACTAAGTTTGCCTATATTCTGATTTAGGAGGACTTTGTTTGTACTATCTAGTCACCTTACTCCTGCATATCCCTAGGAACTAGAGGCTGCTATCCAGCCAGATACTAGCCTGGTGTCAGTCATGACTGTGAACAATGAGATTGGAGTGAAGCAGCCTATTGCAGAAATAGGTGAGTATCATGGCTTATCCCTGATCCCTGCCCACCATGGGGCTCTGTATGAGGTAGTATACTGAGAGCTGTAATACTCTATGGAGTGTAGTTAGGAAATCAAGGGAAAGCCTAAGTACTTTGTTCAAGGACATTGGAAGTGTCATAGGCAGTATTTGAATCCAGGTCTATTACCATTTTTTTTTTCATTGAGACAGAGTATCACTCTGTCACCTAGGCTGGAGTGCAGTGGTGTGATCTCAGCTCCCTGCAACCTCCTCACTCTGGGTTCAAATGATCCTACCGCCTCAGCCTCTTGAGTAGCTGGGACTACAGGTGTGTACCACTATGCCTGGCTAATTTTTGTATTTTTAGTAGAGATGAGGTTTTGCCATGTTGGCCAGGCTGGTCTTGAACTCCTAACCTCAGGTGATCCGTCTGCCTTGGCCTCCCAAAGTGCTGGGATTACAGGCGTGAGCCACTGCTCCCGGCCAGGTCTAGCACCTTTTATGGTTTTTAATTTTATTGCAGTTGCTGCCAAAACCAACCACAAAACAAAAAAGCCTGCTACTCTTTTTCCTTTTAGAACATCTCTATTCTCCCCACATAGAGATCGCCCTGTAATTTCTTTAGGCACATTAGCACAAAGATCTGTTAATCTTGTTTTTTTTTTTTTATTTTGTTTTGTTTGTTTTTTAATCAAAAGGGATCTAGAAAGTAATCTGACATTTTGAAAGGCTGGTGTTAATGAGGTGGTGAGAATTGTATGCATAAGAATATCACGAGTGTTTCGATCTGGTGCTTTGCCCTTCATCTTTTTTATTCTAAAGAAGGGAAGCTACTGAGACACAGAGAGGGAGGAAGGGGGAAGGGGGAGGAGGGAAGGAAAAGAGGAAGGAGAAGGGGTAGAAGGAGGGAGGGGAGGAGTTTAATATTTACAGGTCATTTACTATTGGAGATAATTCACAGTGCACTGTGGGACTCTGACAGATGACTTTCCAACATTGTGCTGTGGGTCTTCCCCTCTGTTTCCTCAGGGCGGATTTGCAGTTCCAGAAAGGTATATTTCCATACTGATGCAGCCCAGGCTGTTGGAAAAATCCCACTTGATGTCAATGACATGAAAATTGATCTCATGAGCATTAGTGGTCACAAAATCTACGGTCCCAAAGGTACCAGCCCCTTCTAGAGTTCCTTCTCTCTGTACCTTCCAGCAAGACCTTTGATAGATGTTTGTCACAGTCATTTGGGACTACTGTTGCTCTCAGAGGAAGTTGTACATTCAGAGTCCCTTGTAGAATGCAAATGTCATTTAGCAATAGCCAGAAACACTTGCTTGTTTGTAGACCTTAGCAGTTACTATACATCAGGCCATTCTTTCTTGCTCTCTTTAACAAATCCTTAGCAAGCATGTAGATCTTAATTTGGTTGAGGAAAAATGGGTTTTGTCAAATCAAATTTATCTAGATAGGCCCAGCTATCTTGTTTTCCCCACTATGATGTGCAGAGCAACTATTTGAGTCCCTCATTCCCAGTGTCTTGCTATAGCTCAGGGGAAGATTGCATGGGATTTGACATCTCTTTGTGTTCTTTTTTTTTTTCTTGAGACGGAGTCTCGCTCAGTCGCCCAGGCTGGAGTGCAGTGGCGCCATCTCGGTTCACTGCAAGCTCCACCTCCCTGGTTCACGCCATTCTTCTGCCTCAGCCTGCCGAGTAGCTGGGACTACAGGCGCCTGCCACTACGCCCGGCTAATTTTTTTGTATTTTTAGTAGAGACGGGGTTTCACCATGTTAGCCAGGATGGTCTTGATCTCCTGACCTCGTGATCCGCCCGTCTCGGCCTCCCAAAGTGCTGGGATTATAGATGTGAGCCACCAAGCCCAGCTATCTTTGTGTTTATTCTTAGAAGACTTCATAGTCTGTTATCCTGTTAGTCTCTCAAGGATACATGTTTGTTCCCTATGGTCCTATTGGAATGTGTTCAAGCTTGAGTTATGCCTCTTTCCCTTAACCCTTGGGAATAGACTGTTGTCCTCTGTTTTGTGAAGGTAACCATAAAATATAAATATAAAATATAACTCCTCTTTCTCAAGTGAGGGCCTTTTTTGGGTTGATGTCTGTGCTGGTACCCTTTTTATGTCTGCAGGGTGTGTTATCTGGGTGTATACCTTGTGGAAGTAGGTGTAATAGCTTCTGGAATTATGGAAGATGGCGTCTTCTAAGGGTTCCCAGAGGTTGTAGAGTGTTTTTTGTGAGTTATTATTTCAAAAAGCCCAGTAAGCGTTCTGTCTTTTAATAAAATGTTGCTTTTATTGGCTTTTATTGTAGATAAGTCTTTTTGATAAAAACCAATGAACTCAGGCTGGATACCCCATTCTTCATCATGTGCCTATTTCACATTATATGCCTGTATTAAAACATCTCATGGGCTGGGCACGGTGGCTTACACCTGTAATCCCAGCACTTTGGGAAGCCAAGGCGGGCGGATCACGAGGTCAGGAGTTCAAGACCAGCCTGATCAACATGGTGAACCCCCGTCTCTACTAAAAATAAAAAAATTAGCCGGGTGTGGTGGCATGTGCCTTTAATCCCAGCTACTCAGGAGACTGAGGCAGGAGAATCGTTTGAACCCAGGAGCCAGAGGTTGCAGTGAGCCGAGATCACACCACTGCCTGGGCGACAGGCGAGACTCCCTCTCAAAAACAAAAAAAATCTCATGAACTCCATAATATATATACCTCCTGTGTACTCACAAAAATTTTAAAAACAAAAAACCAATGAACTCATTGATCAGAAGCTCTGATCAACACTTACATGTGTACAGGTGTCCCTCATTATCCAACCTCCTGCTTTCCAAGTCCAGAATCTAAATAGATTTAGATAATGTGGCATTCTTCACTGTTCAGACATGGTATTTGAGCACTTGCTGTTTGAATTTGGGAACTGTTTAGACTCAGATAGTATAAGATTCTTGAATTTTTTTAAATGGAGAAATGAAATAATTCTTAATAAATACAGTTTAATACATTATTTTATTCATTTGTTTTATAGGGACAAGGTCTCACTCTGTTGCTCAGGCTGGAGTGCAGTGGTGCTATCCTACCTTGCCACAGCTTCAATCTCCTGGGCTCAAGCAACCCTCCTACCCCAGCCTCACCAGTAACTAGCACTACAGGTGTGCACCAACACGCCTAATTTTTTTTTTTGAGACAAAGTCTTACTCTGACGCCCAGGCTGGAGTGCAGTGGTGTGATCTCGGCTCGCTGCAACCTCTGCCTCCCAGGTTGAAGGGATTCTCCTCTCTCATCCTCCTGAGTAGCTGGGATTATAGGCCCACTGTGCCCGGCCATGCCTGGCTAATTTTTTTTTTTTTTTTTTTTGAGACAAAGTCTCGCTCTTGTCCCCCAGGCTGGAGTGCAATGGTGAGATCTCGGCTCACTGCAACCTCCGCCTCCCGGGTTCAAGCGATTCTCCTGCCTCAGCCTCCCAAGTAGCTGGGATTACAGGTGCCTGCCACCACGCCTGGCTAATTTTTGTATTTTATTTTATTTTTTGAGACGGAGTCTCGCTCTGTCACCCAGCCTGGAGTACAGTGGCGTGATCTTGGCTCACTGCAAGCTCCGCCTCCAGGGTTCACGACATTCTCCTGCCTCAGCGTCCCAAGCAGCTGGGACTACAGGCGCTTGCCACCACGCCCGGCTAATTTTTTTTTTTTTGTATTTTTGTAGAGACGGGGTTTCACTGTGTTAGCCAGGATGGTTTTGATCTCCTGACCTCATGATCTGCCCGCCTCGGCCTCCCAAGGTGCTGGGAATACAGGTGTGAGCCACCACACCCGGCCTAATTTTTGTATTTTTAGTAGAGACAGGGTTTCACTATGTTGGCCAGGCTGGTCTCGAACTCCTGACCTCAGGTGATCCACCCACCCTTGGCCTCCCAAAGTGCCGGAATTACAGGCGTAATCCCGTGCCCGGCCCAATGCCTGGCTAATTTTTAAAACAGTTTTTGTAGAGATAGAGGTTTCACTATGTTACTCAGGCTTGAATTCCTGACCTCAAGCAACCCTCCCGCCTCAGTCTCCCAAAGTGCTGGGATTACAGGCATGACCCACTGCACCCAGCTTATTATTTAAAATCTGGTGTCCTTCATAATCGATTTGGAAACCACTGCCTTAATTTTTATAGTACCTCCATTCTCAGCATAAACAGTTTTTCTGTGTGGGAGAACTGTCAAGTGCCAATTCTATTCAGAAGCCCTGATTACTTGGTGAATAACTTTGCATGCTCATGCTCATATTTTGGCACAAAATTTCTGTAATTCGGCTTGTTTAGTCACAGGTTATACGCATTTTTAAGTTTTTTGTTTTTTTGAGTCAAGGTCTCAGTCTGTTGCCCAGCCTGGAGTGGAGTGAGTGGCACGATCATAGCTCACTGCAGCCTCGACCTCCTAGGCTCAAGTGATCCTCCTGCCTTAGCCTCCAGAGTAGCTGGGACTATAAGTGCATGCCACCATGCCCAGCTAAGTTTTAATTTTTTTTTTTGTAGACACGGGGTCTCACTGTGTTTCTCAGGCTGGTCCCAAACTTCTGGTCTCAAGTGATTCTCCTTCCTTGGCCTCCCAGAATGCTGGGATTGTAGTCATGAGCCACCGTGCTCCACCAAATTGTTTTTAAATTTAAATTTTATTTTGAAAAAGTAATATTCATGTGATTCAAAATTCAAAAGCTACAAAAAAGTGCACAGACAGCCAGGTGCAGTGGCACACGCCTGTAATTGCAGCACTTTGGGAGGCCGAGGCGGGCAGATCATGAGGCCAGGAATTTGAGACCAGCCTGTCCAACATGGTGAAACCCCGTCTGTACTAAAAATACAAAAATTAGCCATGCGTGGTGGCGGGTGCCTGTAATCCCAGCTAATCAGGAGGCTGAGGCAGGTGAATCACTTTAACCGGGAAGGTGGAGGTTGCGGTGAGCTGAGACCGTGCCATTGCACTCCAGTCTGGGCAACAGAGCAAGACTCTTGTCTCAAAAAAAAAGGGAAAAAAAAGGCACAGACAAAAGTCTGCCTCTCACCTCTGACCTCCAGCTATGCAGTTCCCTTCTGGGGAGGTAATTTCTTTCTTGGTTTTTTTTTTTTTTTTTTTTTTTTTTTCTGATTTTCTCTGGTTATTGGGAGGCAATTTCTTGGGTTTTTCTACAATTATCCTATGTGTTTACAAACAAATATATACTTCTCCTCCAGCTTTCTTTTTTATCCAGATGATAGCATACTGTACTCACTGTTTCAATCTTTCATTTTTCACCTAATGGTACATCTTTTTTTTTTTAGACAGAGTCTTGCTCTGTCACTAGGCTGGAGTGCAGTGGCACAATCTTGGCTCACTGCAACCTGTGGCTCCCAAGTTCAGGCGATTCTCCTGCCTCAGCCTCCTGAGTAGCTGGGATTACAGGTGCGTGCCACCACGCCCAGCTAATTTTTGTATTTTTAATAATTACGGGGTTTCACCATGTTGGTCAGGCTGGTCTCGAACTCCTGATTTCATGATCTGTCCGCCTCGGCTGCCCAAAGCACTGGGATTACAGGTGTGAGCCACCGTGTCCAGCCCATAATACATTTTTTTTTTTTAGACGGAGTTTTGCTCTTGTTGCCCAGGCTGGAGTGCAATGGTGCCATCTCAGCTCACTGCAACCTCTGCTTCCCGAGTTCAAGCAATTCTTCTGCCTCAGCCTCCCTAGTAGCTGGGATTACAGGCATGTGCCACCATGCCTGGCTAATTTTGTATTTTTAGTGGAGAAGGGGTTTCTCCATGTTGGTCAGGCTGGTCTCAAACTCCCGAACTCAGGTGATCCACCCACCTCAGCCTCCCAAAGTGCTGGTATTACAGGCGTGAGCCACTGCGCCCGGCCAATACATCTTTGTTTTTTCAAGCTAAAGTACAGACTTTTTTTTGGATTTCACCAGTTTTGTAACAATGTATCTTGGAGATTTTATGGTGTCAGTTCAGAACAAGCTTCTTCTTTTTTTTTTTTTTTTTTTTGGGAGACAGAGTCTTGCTCCATCACTCAGGCTGGAGTGCAGTGGCTTGATCTCAGCTCACTGCAACCTCTACCACCTGGGTTCATCTCATGTCTCAGCCTCCTGAGTAGCTGGGATTACATGTGCCTGCTACCACGCTTGGCTAATCTTTGTATTTTTAGTAGAGAGAGGGTTTCACCATGTTGACCAGGCTGGTTTCTAACTTCTGATCTCAGGTGATCCGCCCGCCTTGACCTCCCACAGTTGGGATTATAGGCGTGAACCACCACACCCGGCCCCCTCATTCTTTTATACACCTGCTTGGTATTTCATTGTATGGACATGCCATAATCTATTTGACCATTACCCTGATGATGGACATCTAAGTTGTTCCCAGTATTTTTGCTATTATGAATAATACTGTAATGTATGATGGCATTTCATATAGCATAGGGAGCTACTTTAAACCATTTTGATCATTACTCCTTCTGGCATTTATCTTCCAGATGTTAAATATTTTACTAAATACTATGCTTTTACTGCTGTTTCTTCTTTTCCTTAACGTTTTTTATTTAGAAAAATTTCATGCTTACAGAAAAGTTGAAGTAATATTTTGATCCCTTTGGAAAGAAATATTTTGTTTTATCTACTTTTCTCTCTTTCTGTTTTTTGTAACAAATTTTGTTTCCCAGGGGTTGGTGCCATCTACATCCGTCGCCGGCCCCGTGTGCGTGTGGAGGCCCTGCAGAGTGGAGGGGGGCAGGAGCGGGGTATGCGGTCTGGGACAGTGCCCACACCCTTAGTGGTGGGGCTGGGGGCTGCGTGTGAGGTGGCACAGCAAGAGATGGAGGTATGGGGAGAGCAGTTCCCTCCCACAACTTCTTCCCCTGTGCTGGGTCTCCTATTTAGAGGCTTCTCAGCATGACTGAGGCAGATCTCTGCAGGGAGAGAGGGCTTAAGAAAACTCTTCCTTGTCCTGGTGCTGCTGGCACCTTGTTCTGAGGGAGACATTATGGGCTTCAAAACCCATGGCCTTTTAGTAGTTATCAGCTCATTTATTTCTGGATAAGTAAATGAACCCTGTGTCCAGTTATCAAGCGCCTTTTGCATACCAGGCACTATGCTCAGTACTGGAGATACAGTGGTCCCCATGAGTACATAGGATGATAGGTGGGGCTGATACATAGTCACTTCCAGTTATAGGAGAAGGGCTTCTCAAACTGTCTTTCTGAGCTGGTTAATGGTTACTGCCTAATCCTTCCTTGCCTGCTCCTTAGTATGACCACAAGCGAATCTCAAAGTTGTCAGAGCGGCTGATACAGAATATAATGAAGAGCCTTCCAGATGTGGTGATGAATGGGGACCCTAAGCACCATTATCCCGGTATGGACTTGCTCTTTCTATCCTCATTCTGGTAGAGGCTGAGACTCTGAGACCTCTCTCACAGTATTTCTTTCCTCCAGGCTGTATCAACCTCTCCTTTGCATATGTGGAAGGGGAAAGTCTGCTGATGGCACTGAAGGACGTTGCCTTATCCTCAGGGAGGTGAGCTGGACGGCATAGACAGGGCCTGCGGCAGGGCCACTTAGAAGAGTCATACAGGCTATTAAACTTCCCAGTGTGGAGATGATAGGCACAAGACCTCTTGATTAAGGGTAAAGGTCATTTTGTAAGTGCCTCTCTTTTTTTGGTTGGCTGGGTAGCTGGGTACAGACTGAAGTTTACCACCCTAGGAAGACTTCCTGGGGTAGAATTTTGTGCCTTTTATCGTCCCAGGGGATGTATGTGTCTGTTGTGGGTTACACTAGCAGTTCTGTTACAGGCCTCTAGAATTGAAGATGCTCCAAAGGCCACTAAGTGTTTGGCTGCCCTTCAGGCTGGTGCAGATGGTGCATTACGTCCTGGGGAAGTGAGCACATGGTCCTCTGCTGCGTCTTCTTGTCAAACCCATGTGGTATCATGCTCTGTCACACTTTGCCAGCGTCCTTGCTTAAGGAAGTCATCCACCATGGGGGCCAGAGGAGCTAGGTTCACACATCCTAGGATGTGCAGGGGAGCATCAGGTCCTTTAGTTCTGCCAGATTAGAAGGTCTCTTGTTTTCTCCAGGGTATGACTCCAGGGCCCTGGGGGATGGGAACAAGACTGAGGGTTTGTGACTAAAAGTAGACGTTGATGATGAACTGAACAAGGTTCGTGTCTCTCTCCTCAGTGCCTGCACCTCTGCATCCCTGGAGCCCTCTTATGTGCTTAGAGCAATTGGCACTGATGAGGATTTAGCGCACTCTTCTATCAGGTCAGTGAGTTGAGCTGCAACATTTATGAAAGGCATCCTCTTATATTTTTCATCTCCTGTTACAGTTTTTTTCTTTTTCCACCCTGAAGTTTTTCTCAGTCGAGTTCTCCTTATCTCTTCTCATAACCTTGTGAAAGTTTCTAGAGCAGTGGTTCTCAGACTTCATTGAGTATCACCTGGGAAGTTTGTGAAATATGATATCTGAGTCCCACATTCAGATATTCTGATTCACTAGGTCCGGAGGAGGAGTAGAAAACATCTCAGGTGATTTTAATGTTGGTGGTCCGTAGATCATGTTCTTTTTTTTTTTTCTGAGACAGAGTCTTACTCTGTCGCCCAGGCTGGAGTGCAGTGGCATGATCTCAGCTCACTGAAGCCTCTGACTTGCAGGTTCAAGCAATTCTCCTGCCTCAGCCTCCTGAGTAGCTGGGATTACAGACATGTGCCACCAGGCCCAGCTAATTTTTATATTTTTAGTAGAGACGGGGTTTCACCATGTTGGCCAGGCTGGTCTCGAACTCCCAACCTCATGTGATCTGTCCACCTTGGCCTCCCAAACTGTTGGAATTACAGGCGTGAGCCACCATGCCCGGCCGATCCATATACCATGTTCTGAGAAACTCTGCCTAAAGGGGAAGGACCATGTTCTTCTCTCCATATCTTTTGTGTCGTAGATCCTTAGTGAGTATTTGCGGAATGAATTTATCCCAGTGCCAGAGCTCTGATGGGGAGCCATTCTCCTGTGCCTTTTTTCAGGTTTGGAATTGGCCGCTTCACTACAGAGGAGGAAGTGGACTACACAGTGGAGAAATGCATTCAGCATGTGAAGCGTCTTCGAGAAATGAGGTATACATATTGTATCAGAGACGCTTTGGAAGAAACTCTAGCACTGTCTCCCCTCTTGTCCTTAGGCTATGTGTTTACACTGCCAAAACCAAAGTTCAAGCGTACTTGGATCTTAGGATTTAGAGATTCCACAAAGCAAGAAAGTAGATCTTCTTGGCTACTTGTCTTCACAATGAGAAAGTGTTTTTAAAAACTAAAGAACTAGGCCGGGCAGGGTGGCCCATGCCTGTAATCCTAGCACTTTGGGAAGCCGAGGCGGACAGATCACCTGAGGTCAGAAGTTCGAGACCAGCCTGACCAACATGGAGAAACCCCGTCTCTACTAAAATACAAAAAAATTAGCCGGGAGTGGTGGCGCATCCCTATAATCCCAGCTACTTGGGAGACTGAGGCAGGAGAATCACTTCAACCTGGGAGGGGGAGGTTGCGTTGAGCCAAGATTGTACCATTGCATTGCAGCCTGAGCAACAAGAGCCAAACTCCGTCCCAAAAAAAAAAGCCGGGCACAGTGGCTCACACCTGTAATCCCAGCACTCTGGGAGGCTGAGGTGGGTGGATCACAAGGTCAGGAGATCGAGACCATCCTGGCTAACACGTTGAAACCCCGTCTCTCCTAAAAATACAAAAAAATTAGCTGGGCGTGGTGGCGGGCACCTGTAGTCCCAGCTACTCGGGAGGTGAGGCAGGAGAATGGCGTGAACCTGGGAGGTGGAGCTTGCAGTGAGCCGAGATCACACCACTGCACTCCAGCCTGGGTGACAGAGTGAGACTCCGTCTCAAGAAAACAAAAACAAAAACAAAAACAACAAACTAAAGAACTAGATGAATGCAGGTAATGCAGGTAGTAGTTTTTTTTTTTTTTTTGGAGACAAGTTCTTGCTCTGTTATTCAGGCTGGAGTGCAGTGGCACAATCACACCTCACTGCAACTTGTGCCTCCCAAGCTCAAGTGATCCTCCCACCTCAGCCTCCCAAGTAGCTGGTACTACAGGCATGTGCCACTATGCCTGGTTAGTTTTTGTATTTTTTGTAGAGACGGAGTTTTGCTATGTTGCCCAGGCTGGTCTCAAACTCCCGGGCTCAAGCAGTCCTCCTGTCTTGGCCTCCCAAAGTGCTGGGATTACAGGCACAAGCCACCGCACCTGGCCCAGGTAGTATTGTTCATTATGATTATTATTATCTTTAGAGAAAGTGTCTCATTCTGTCACCCAGGCTGGAGTGCAGTGGCACAGTTGTAGTTCACTGTAACTTTGGACTCTTGGGCTCAAGTTATCCTCCTGCTTCAGACTCCCAAGTAGCTAGGACTACAGCTGTGTGCCCCCACACCTAGCTAATTTTAAAAATATATTTTCTGTGGCTGGGCACGGTGGCTCACGCCTGTAATCCCAGCACTTCGGGAGGCCGAGGTGAGCGGATCATGAGGTCAGGAGATCAAGACCATCCTGGCTAACACAATGAAACCCCGTCTCTACTAAGAATACAAAAAAATTAGCCTGGCATGGTGGGCACCTGTAGTCCCAGTTACTTGGGAGGCTGAGGCAGGAGAATGGCGTGAACCCAGGAGGCAGAGCTTGCAGTGAGCTGAGATCGCACCACTGCTCTCCAGCCTGGGCGACAGAGCAAGACTCTGTCTCAATCAATCAATCAATGTGTTTATAAAGGTAATGAGATCCTTGGCCAGTCAGCTGGCACCAGGGCTTCCCCTAGTAGCCACAGAGCTCATCTTCCTCCTGGAACCTTGAGGCCTCTAGATTTTTTCAGAGCCTGGCTCTGTCTTGGTTAACCTTGACTTTCAGGATTCTCTTGATCTAGTTGGTAGAGAGAGGAATTTCAGGTATATACTCTGCTTCCCTTTATGAGCTCTCCCAGGCCTTTCTGTGTTCTGGATTTTTCTTTGTAGGGTCTAGCTGTATTGCTTAAGTGTCTATAGCTTGCTCAACTGCAGGACCCTTCCTTTGTCCTCACTTTCTGGTATTCTGTGGTATACTCACAAGGCATTTCTACTGACCACGTGGCCAGCAAAGCCTTTTGTTTCCTATCTATGTGGCTTCGGCATCTGCACCCTATTCCTTCTGACCCTTTACAAACTGAATGCAGCCTGGTCCTATTAGCTCTCAGAGTCTTATTTTGTGAGCCTATAATAATAAGTGGTCTTCCCTAAAGAGGAAGGACAGGAAGGAGATGGCTAACTTTAAGGGCCATGGAAAATCTCATGAATAGAAAGGCATTCTGGGAATGTTTAGTATATAGAAGAGGGACAAGTCAAGAATATAATGAAATTTGATAAAATTACCTGGTGAAATCTAAACTGTAAAATCCCATATTCATAGCACACTGAAGTAATATCTGGTCTGGGAACATTATCCAAGATATCCAAGCTTCTGCTTGGGGATCGATCAGAGCTTAGCAGAGATTTCTTAGCAGCAGCTCTTGTGTGAGATGGGATGCTCAGGTCTAAGATCCAAGGAATTCTTTTGGATTAGACCCAGGGATATTGGAAGCACAGGCCAACTCTGGGGAGATGAAACGGGCAAGAACTGGGTAAGGGTACAGCATACCAAGATGATGTAGGGTTAAGTTCCACCCCTAACTGGGAACTAGAACAAAACCAAGAAACAAATGCTGAAAAGCGGGTAATATGTGGTGGGCTGAAACGAGCTGCTTATACATGTCATATGAAGAGAGGCTTAAACTAGATGTTTATACAAGTCTCAAGGGTCTTGGTTCCTCCAAGGGAAACCATGGCCATAGCCTCTTACCAGTGGGATGAAAGCTTCAAGAATATGACCATGTTTGGTGTCCATTGGCTCAGGGCCCCACTGCAATTGAGCCTGAGGAACCTAGTTATTCCTGTTAGCAGTTGGGGAGAGCTCTCAGGAGAGCTGACAAGGACTTACAGGGAGCTGGAGAGCTCAGGATACCTTAACCACCTGTGTTAGGGTCTACCAGGGCAAGAGGCAGAGGACAGACAGGGACAGAAGGAGGCAAGCCATTGCTCAGAGCCTTGGGGCCAATGTTGTCGACTTCCTATCTAAGCCCTCACTCATTTAATGCCTCTTCTCTTTGGCAGCCCTCTCTGGGAGATGGTTCAGGATGGCATTGACCTCAAGAGCATCAAGTGGACCCAACACTAGAAGAATAGGGCCCTGACTTTGTGCTGGTCTGGCCCCTCCTGCCTCACCAACCCGTGCACAACCAGACACCTTGTTACACCTAGTGGATGCTCTAGATTGGTATAGACCAGTTGACTTCAGCATCAGTCCACCTCTATGACAGAAACACAAGAAAACTGTCTTTCCCTAGCTTCAGTTCCTTGGGTGTGGAGCACTCCCCATTTCTTCTCGGGTCTTAAAGTGTGTGGACATTTTCATCCCGAAGCCATAGAGACATTTGCTGTCATATTGCTGCTGGGCACATCTGTGCTCTTGGTGAGGAGAGCAAGAGGAACCAGAAGAAGTCTCTTTGGTCAGGGACCATGATGCTCTACATGGACATTTGAGTCTTCGTCTTCTGCTGCTGCTCGGCTGGACCAGCTTCTTTAACAGCAAGCATAATCCACTTCAATGTAATATTTTCTGTAGCTCCAAAGGCTATCTCTTCATATTGACTGCAGACAGACTGAATGGACAGTTTCTTAGAGGGCTTGTCTCCTTTCTACCCTTGTCCTCTTTCCTTTCCTTTGACCTAATGGAGCTAGAAATATGTCTGTGACTCCACCAGTTATTCTAATAATTTGTTTTCTTGAAAATTGTTAATTTCAAGACTGGAGAAATAAACTCACCTTCTATTTACTCTGTGACTTTATGAGAGGTTGAGGGAAAAGTGGAAGCTGTACTTGGGAATTGTGGAGAAGACCGCCACTCCATCTGATTTGCATAAATGACTCAGTGGGCTTTTGTATCTCTTCATTTAAGAATTATTTGAATGCCTGCCAGGAGCCAGATTTGTTCTGGGTATTAGGAATACACTGGTTAACAGGACCAAAAAAGACCCTGCCCTCACTGAGTTTTAAATTTTAGTGGAGAGATGGAAAATAATTAAACAAATAAACAATGTTATAGATTGTGATAAGTGCTATGAAAGAATTAAGTGGTAAGAGGACATAGCAGGGAAAACCTACCATGCTGGGTGTTTGAGGAAAGTTTTTCTGAGGAGGTAGTGCTTATAAATATGAAGAGCTCGCTAATCTAGAAATGAGAGGTGAGAAGGAATGGCAAGAGCTAAGGGCCTGAAGTGTGATAAAGCACAAAGTATTATACTTTAGAAACCAAGAGAAGGCCATTGTAACTAGAGCTTTTCATTTGTGGGTCTGAACCCATAGGTGGGTAGTTACCAGTACTTAAAAAAGGAGATAGTATGTTAGAGTACATTTATGCATATTTTAAGAATATATTTTGATGATATATTTGAATTTGTATACCAGGTTATAAATGTATTTCTTATTGTGGATAATGGTCAAAAAAGTTTAATTGCTTTTCATACTTGCCAGTAGCAGGGGGACAGGAAAGTTTGAAAGCCACTGGGCTAAAGTTTGGTAAATGTAGATGGACAGTGGAAGGAGGAGATGAAATTATAGAATTTTTCTTGTTGAAAAATATCTTTTTTACTTAGAATAATTTTAGATTTACTGAAAAGTTGCAAAGATAGTAGAGTTGTAGATCTATTACCAGTTTTCCTCTAATTAAAAAGTCTTACATAAAACTATGCTAATTTGGCTGGGTGTGGTGGGTCACACCTGTAATCCCAGTACTTTGGGAGGCGAAGGTGGATGGATTGCTTGAGCTCAGGAATTCAAGACTAGCCTGGGCAACATGGCAAAACCTTTACTCTACAAAAAAATACAAAAATTATCTAGGCGTGGTGGTGCCCACCTGTAGTCCAAGCTATTTGGGAGGCTGAGGTGGGAGGATCGCTTCAGCCCGTGAGATCAAGGTTGCAGTGAGCCTTGATCGCACCACTGTATTCAAGCCTGAGCGACAGAGTGAGACCCTGTCTCAAAAACAACAATAGGCTGGGTGCTGTGGCTCATGCCTGTAATCCCAGAACTTTGGGAGGCTGAGGTAGGCAGATCACGTGAGGTCAGGAGTTTGAGACCAGCCTGGCCAACATGGCGAAACCCTGTCTCTACTAAAAATACAAAAATTAGCTGGGCATGGTGGTGGGTGCCTGTAATCCCAGCCACTTGGGAGGCTGAGGCACAAGAATAGCTTGAACCCTGGAGGCAGAAGTAGCAGTGAGCCGAGGTGGCAGTGAGCCGGGATGGTGCCACCACACTCCAGCCTAAGCAACAGAGCAAGACTCCGTCTCAAAAAACAAGGCCAGGCGCGGTGGCTCATGCCTGTAATCCCAGCACTTTGGGAGGCGGAGGGAGGTGGATCACGAGGTCAGGAGATGGAAACCATCCTGGCTAACACGGTGAAACCCCCGTCTCTACTAAAAATACAAAAAATTAGCCGGGCGTGGTGTCACGCACCTGTAGTCCCAGCTACTTGGGAGGCTGAGGCAGGAGAATTGCTTGAACCTGGAGGTGGAGGTTGCAGTTAGCTGAGATTGTGCCACTGCACTCCAGCCTAGATGACAGAGTGAGACTCTGTCTCAAAAAAAAAAAAAAAAAACAACAAAAGAAAACTATGGTACATTTGTCAAAACTTAGAGGTTAACATTGGTATATTAGTATTAATGAAACGTGATTTTCTAAAATTATTAAAGATTTTTTTATAGAGACTGGGCCTGTGTTGCTCAGGCTGGTCTTGAAGCAATCCTCTTGCCTCTTGGCCTCCCAAAATGCTGGGATTACAGGTGTGAGGCACTATGCCCGGCCTAAACTTCAGATTTTATTCAGCTTTCACCAGTTTTCCTGTCTTTTTTCTGTTCCAGGATCCAACCCTGGATGCTACATTGCATTTAGTAGGTTTTGTTTTTAATGGACTATGTTTTACCTACACAGAGCAAACCTATAAAAACCTATAAAGCATAGGTTTAGTTTAACAGTGTGGCCTGGTTTTCCAACTTGCTGTTTTTGGCATACTGGGCTAGCACCAGTCCAGTCTGCCATAGAAATCCCGAAAGGTTGTTGGAATTGTGATAATTTCAACCTTTTTTTTCTTTTTTTTAAGTGATAGGGTCTTGCTCTTGTTACCTGAGCTAAAGTGCAGTGATGCAATCATAGCTCACTGCAGCCTCGGACTCCTGGGCTCAAGGGATCCTCCTGCCTCTAACTCCCGAGTAGCTAGGACTACAGACTTAAGCCACCACATCCAGCTTTTAATTAGCAGGGGCATGAAGTTCGGGGGGCTAGGCCCAAAGCGGCTTGAGAACAGCTTTCTTTTTTTTTTTTTTTGAGATGTAGTCTCGCTCTCCTGATGGTCTCCATCCCCTGACCTCGTGATCCTCCCACCTCGGCTTCCCAAAGTGCTGGGATTACAGGCGTAAGCCACCACGCCCAGCCAGAGAATAGCTTTTTCTATAATAAAATAATACTATAGTGAAGCCGTGGAGGGGTCACGATGGATTTAATTTTTTTTTTTTTTTTGAGACGGAATCTTGCTCTGTCGCCTAGGCTGGAGTGCTATGGCGTTATCTTGGCTCACTGTAACCGCCACCTCCCGGATTCAGGCGATTCTCCTGCCTCAGCCACCCTGGTAGCTGGGACCACAGGCGCCAGCCAGCACGCCCAGCTAATGTTTGTATTTTTAGTAGAGACGAGGTTTCGCCATGTTGGCCATGCTGGTCTTGAACCCCTGACCTCAGGTAATCCGCCCGCCTCGGCTTCCCAAAATGCTGGGATTACAGGCGTGAGCCACTGCGCCCTGCCCTAGATTAAAACTCTTTTTTTGTTTTTTTTTCTGAGACGAAGTTTCGCTTTTGTCATCCAGGGTGGAGTGCAATGGCGCCATCTGGGCTCACTGCAACCTCCACCTCCCGGGTTCAAGCGATTCTCCTGCCTCAGCCTCCCAAGTAGCTGGGACCACAAGCACCGCCACCACACCCAGCTAGTTTTTGTATTTTTAGTAGAGGCTGGGTTTTGCCTTGTTGGCCAGACCGGTCTCGAACTCCTGACCTCATGATCCGCCCTTCTCGGACTCCCAAAGTGCTGGGATTATAGGCGTGAGCCACCGCGCTCGGCCTGTATAAACTTTTTTTTTTTTTTTTTTTTTTTTTGAGATGGAGTCTTGCTCTTTCGCCCAGGCCGGAGTGCAGTGGCGCAATCTCGGCTCACTGCAAGCTCCGCCTCCCAGGTTCACGCTATTCTCCTGCCTCAGCCTCCCGAGTAGCTGGGACTACAGGTGCCCGCCACCACGCCCGGCTAATTTTTTGTATTTTTTAGAAGAGACGGGGTTTCACCGTGTTAGCCAGGATGGTCTCGATCTCCCGACCTCGTGATCCGCCCGCCTCGGCCTCCCAAAGTGCTGGGATTACAGGCGTGAGCCACCGCGCCCGGCCCCCGGCCTGTATAAACTCTTAAATGGGAAAAAAGAATCAGGTTTTGGCTGTTTTGTCAGGATATAATAACTAGCCACCACGTTGTGGTCCATTTAATCCTCAAAAAACTTAGAGGTAAGCACAATTCGCTCCTTCCGCGGAAACTGGAAGACGTGAAGCAATTTGCACAGTCTTGCAGTGAAGGGCCAAGCTAGACACTCATACCCAGCCCACCCGCCAGGGCCACTAGCCCAAGGTCGGTCCTGTGCGCCAACAGTCGCAAGCAGGGACTGAATATCCCCCTCTTAGCACAAAACCCAGTAACTTCCGGGAGATCGCCCGAGACCGTCAGCGCGCTTGCGCGGCCCCTTGACGTCAACCACGCCGTTCCTCCCCCTTCTGGAACGCGGAGCCGCTGAGCGGGCCGACGGCCATTTTGTGAAGCGGCGAAGGAGGTGGTGGCTGCGTTGGGCTCCGGGAAGCCGTTCGGGCTGGGGCTGTCGGCCGCGGGGCGGAGGCACTCGCGCGGGGGGTAATTCGGGGTCTGGGTTCTGGTGCCGCGCAGCTTTCCCCGGTAAGACTCCCGCAGCCCCTGAACGGGTGGGGCTGTGCGGGGCTCGTGGTGCCCCTTGGTGGCCCGGGGCGGGGCCTTCGGAGGCCTTCGAGCCCGCGGCAACTAGCGCCCCACACAAAGGGTCGAGGCAGGGCTGCAGGGGGAGTGGGATGCCACTTAGGCCTCTGAGATCTGAGAGGATGCAAGGAGGACGCAAGAGGATGAGCCTGCGTACCGAAGTGGGGACGAGGCCATAGCGAGGACTCCCCCGTGGTCTGAGAGGGGGCAGGCCAGAGCTGGCTGGCTCAGCGGCCTGCGAGCTAACGGGGACTGCAGTAAAAACACGCCTACATCCCGAGTACGGAGGATTTCTTGTCTCCCCCAGTGAAGCAGAGGTTATAACTACATCTCTGTGCCTGGAGGTGGGGAGATAATCGTAGTGAGGACACTCCTTCAACCCGAAATGGAAAGGAGGCCTTTGTGGCCTACCAGCAAAAGGGGACCCAGGTCACACCTGTGGGGAGGAAGCTGTAGTCGGTACACTCCTGTGAGTTCAGAAAGGAAGTGTCACAACCGGCCGCCTTCGTGGCCTGAAGGTGGAGGGGTTTGCAGTGAAATGCCTCCGAGGTCCATTGCTGGGGAGGGGCTTTACTCGAGGGTGTAGCAGTTTTGAGAAGCCGGCGTCTGAAGCTAGGAGGTGAGGGGGTGGGGTGAGTACGCCTCCTGAGGCTCTGAGAATTGTAGTAAGATGCCAGGCCTTTGGTCCCCCAGTAGGGAAGGGGCTGCTGTGAGCAGCACATTTACGGCTCCCTCGGGAGAGGATCCTGTGGCATTTCAGGAGGACGAGATCCAGTGGGCTGCGGAGGGTGGGTGCTTTTGATGGAGAGTTAATTGAGTTTCTCTGAAGCTTGGCTGCATTAGTTTGCAGCCACGTGAATTGGGTGGTGGGAGGGACTTTGAGGATCTACAGGTTAGTGACGGGGTTGGACGCCAGTGCAGCAGGCTTAGCTGCTAGGTTGTAAACGTACGGGCTTTTTGTGTGCCTCCAACGTGTGCTTTATAGTGACAAATCTGAGGGGCTCTTGTGAGGGTTACTCAGTATTAAGTGCTAAACATTTACTCATCTGCGTGGTGTCATGCTGAGAATTGCAGACTTTAAGAGATTTCTGGGCCCTAAAACCCTCCTTGGCTCCAGGATTCTCAGAGATAACCTAATATAAATTGAAGAAGTTGGTAGGGACCGTTTTATATTATTCAATAATAGAGTCAGTATAACCCACTGGAAAAAAGTGTGATGGCAACTGAAGGTTTGTTGAAGGGAGAGGCTAGGCTTGTGACTGCAGTATTTTAGAGCTTCTTGCTTGAATGGTTTGAAATGGTGTAATTTTTGCAAAATGCAGTCTTAGCAACAAGAATTGTCTGGGACCTTGTTAACTAGTGTATATTGTTAATGCATCTCAGAGCATTTGCAGTCGAGAAAAATCCCTCAAGTCTGGACACATAGGGAAATCTTGTTTTTTAAATTATAGAACTACAATACAAGACTGGTTGTACTTGTTTTTGAAATTTGGCAGTTTTGATAAGAATGGAGGATTTCTGGATTTAGTGGAAAGTGTGCAGACATTTTCAAAGAGTATAAAAAGTTGGGAAGAACTGTTACAGGTGGTTCAAATAACGTTATGGTAATTTATGAAGAAAGTGAAATGTTTGGCGTGTTTATACAAAACAATGAAGATGTGCTTAGTATATATTATTGGACAGATTTTTAATGAAACAGGGAATACATTTTTATATATGCTCGATTAAATGTGATTACTTTGCTTATGGATTGTAATGTATAATTTTCATTTTCTTTATGTTCAAATCTGTTAGATGAAAAATGTGAAGCTTTAGAAATAATTGTGTGGTTACTTGCAACGTATTGTTACATGCTAATACCAGTACTCTTTGGGCTTCTTTCACCTTCTTTGACACGTCAAATGTTTTGATGATTGAGTATTGAGAGTTTGGGAGTTGTTAGTACAGTCTTTAGGTGTGAAACTTGATGTTGTGGGCCAGTGTGTTCCAGGTGCTGGAATCCAGTGACAGTGTTGATAGTTTTTACTCCATTTTGCAGAGAGCCATTCTGTCATTGTATGAATGTATGTTTTCTTCTGTAGATGTTGTAGGAAGAACCAAGTGTCAGTAGTTGGTTGCACAAAAGATGCTTTTAGATGTCCCTCCCTAAAATGCAGAGACTGATGATGTCCACTTTTATATCTTTTGTCTGGCCCACAAGTGCTTAATAGTAAATGTTCATGGAGTAAAGGAATATTGTTAAATGTTTTCAACTAAACAGAAAAGATAATTTTATCTAAACTACAGTTTTATCAGATTTTACTACCACACCCATATACCTTTTGGTTTGCACAAAATTTAATTAAGTTTAAAGCCAGCTTTTAAGACTCAAAAACAGAGTGAATGTGGTTGTTTAGGTTAGAAGTATAATTTTGCTCTGAAGTGAAAATGAAGGTAGCAACATTTTTGTTGGCATTTGGGGGGATTGAAACATAACTTAATATTTTTGACAGGAGGAATATCTTATTTAGAAATGTCTTCTGATTTGCTGCCTTTGAGTACGGAATGGAGGTTAATGGAAAAATTGAGTAATGCGTTATAAAAAGTACACATCTCCATCAGTGTCAGAATAATTTTTTCATTAAGAGTGATCCCAGACTTTGATATATGGTCCATTTGGGAATGGGGAACAAAATCAAGTGGCTGAAACTGTGGTTGTTTCATAATGTTTATTATAATGTGATTATACTGTTTTTAGCATTGTGCCCGTTGTGATTGGTTCTCTGTTGCTAATCTCTGAGGTGAACATTTGAGAGTTTGTTTCTTTTGGATCTGAAGAACCTAGCTCTGCTGTACCCTGGTTCTTGTTGATTAAAGAGTGATAACTGAACAAAGTTAAAGTTCACTTTTGGATGTTTACTACCAGATGAAGAGTGAAAATAGTCGTTTTAGTTTGTGCCTTGACTTCTTGATGAAGAGATTTGTTGTCAGACATTTTTTTCTGAAATTCCAAGTGATTAGAATGGCTAGTAAATACGAAAGTCTGTCTTGCCATAATATGTTAAATTTTTGTAGCAGATACTTGTGATTTGTGCATGCATCCGGTATTTTGTCAAGTTGAAGCAAGCCTTTATGTTAGGACTAATTCCTGATAATATGAATGGAAAACATACTAAAGCCAGCTTCTTGTTTTAGATCTTCTGAAGTATATCAGTGGCTTTAATGACAAATCAGGCCCATTTTCTCCTTTCCTATCATTATGCTGTATGTATAGATAGAATATGTATTTTAGATGTTTTATTGTTTAGTTATTATTTTAGTCTTATCCTTCTAAAGTTCAGCAAAGCTTTAGGTAAATGGCGTGGATTTTTGAAATCCTGCATTCAGTCGCTAGCTGACATTTAGAATACAGGAATAGTAGTTTCCTGGAAAACAGTGACACTTATGTTAAATTCTTGTGGTTTTTACAAAGTGAGGTGTCAACACAGAAGTATTTCAGTTCTATTTCCATTTACCTTTCCCTTTTGAAGAGGTATAATACCAAGGGTTGTGAAGTTCTGACTTGTAGCATCAACTTTCTGCATGGTTTTCCTTGGTATGGGGTGGGGTGGGTATTCCTCTTTGCTGAAATAGAAGAGAATCATAAATTTCTATCTGGATTGATTTTGTGCTTTAAGTTGTACACATAAAACTTGAACTAGGCATTTGTCAAATTCAGCTGGGCCTTTCAGCCTTGCCTTGTGGAATGAGAAATATCTTCCTTTTAAAGGTAATTTCTGGTAACCTTTTAGAAATTTTTGAGAGTAGACCTGGTGAGTTCCCTTTGAGCTTAACTGGCTGACCCCAGATATGTCCTTCTCAAGATAGACATACGGTATCTTTTGAGTTTGCAAGGGAAGAGGCTGAGAGGAACCTTCTTACCTTATATTCAGGCATATGCCCTGGCCCCATACCTGACCTTTTGAATTGGAATCTCCAGTAGGGATCAGATGTTTATTACAAGTTCTAGAAACTAGAAAGTTACCCTGTTATGTGGCTGCTGGAGTCAAACCTGTACATAAATATTACAGTACTTCATGCTCTTGCTCATTGCTTTACTTGAAGCAGGTTTTTTTCTGTTTCACATTTTCCTTTGTGACCTGTTAAACTACTAGATATGGCTTTCAAATGAAGAATTTTTAAACTCCTTAGACTTAGTTAGGCTAGGCCAGGCGTGGTGGCTCACACCTGTAATCTCAGCACTTTGGGAGGCTGAGGCGGGTGGATCACTTGAGGTGAGGAGTTAAGAGACCAGCCTGGGTAACATAATGAAACCCCTGTCTCTACTAAAAATACAAAAATAAGCTGCGGGTGGTGGCGCAAGCCTGTAGTCAGTCCCAGCTACTCCAGAGGCTGAGGCATGAGAATAGCTTGAACCCAGGGAGGCGGAGGTTGCAATGAGCCTAATGAGCCTAGATCGCGCCACTGCACTCTAGCCTGGGCGACAGAGCGATACCCTGTCTCAAAAAAAGAAAAAAAAAAGAGGCTAGATTTCTACAACATGTAAAAGATTAATACAATGCTCTAGACTTTTGATTGTGTTGATTACATATTTGCATAGCTTTTTGTGGTAAAACCATCTCACTATTCTTTAGCAACTTGAGTAGTTGACTAGACGATGAATAGTTTGTCCTTTAGAAAATCACACAGATTTTTGAAATATGTTTTACTTTTTGGCGATGAATATTAAGGTCATTAGTTGTATTTTGGTCTTGGAAGATACTAATTTAAGATGAGCATCATTTGGAAAAGTAGTCGTAGGTAATCTTAATACTGAACAGTGGCAAATTTCTTCTCTCTCCGAATTAAAACATGACCTTTGAAAAAAAATAAAAAGCAAAAAATGACCTTTGAATATAGTTGTCTAGACATTTGGTCATATATGCTTGTGACTTGTTAATAACCTCACCAGTTTGGAAGAAATGACAGTGAAAGATGAGTGACCTGTTTTTATTTTGGGATATACTCTTAATATGTCAGGCATTTTTAGGGTGTTTTTAAATTTTATTTTATTTTATTTATTTAAATTTTACAAGTTTTTGAGAACTGTTGTGATGTCAGAGGAAAAAACACTTTCCCTTAATATTTTGTTAATATTTTGAGCTCCAGTGGAATTAGTCCTTATAGCAAGAACTCATACTTCATTTGTTTTGTGATGTTGGATGCTATTTTGTGCAAAATAAAATATATTGAAAGAATAATTGCAGTAATTTCCATGAGTACCCTTGAATTGCTATCTTAAGTTGTCCAAGAATTGTTATTGTGCGAACTTGTGCCTTTTCATCACAAATTTGGTGAGAACCTGGGGAAATAGACTTGTGTTACGGAGTTTTCTGGACTGGTTTAATTATAAAGTGATCAAAGCAATTAGCTGTGAAGCTGAGCTTTATGACTGTTTTAATTTTCAGTGGATTCGTTATTGGGCTAAGTTAATGACACTCTTGTAAATATATAATTATTTTGAGATACTCAAATTTGAAAGCAATACCAACTAAAAAGCATGTGTGGGATTTTGTTACGGTGTCTTTCTTTTTTTTTTTTTTTTTGATATGCATTCTAATGAAGTACTCTGGTGGTTTCAGACTCGCCTTCGTAATGTACAGTGTGGCCTGTGCGTGTTGTTTTGTGTTTCCTGCATTGATTTTTGCCTCCGTTTATTCTCTATTGCAGTCTAAAAGTTGGTTTTAATTGGTTGCCCACAGGATTGACTTGGCCTCTACTTCTTGTTAAGGAAATTCATCTCTTGTTTTATCAGGTAAGAGATTTTGAATAGAGAGTTCGTTTTTATACAAAATAAAATGAGATAGCTTATTAAGAAATATGAAAATATATGTAGCAACTATATTGTGTGTGTGTGTGTGTGTGTGTGTGTGTGTGTGTGTTTTTGTTTGCTTGTTTTTTGTTTTGAGACGGAGTCTTGCTCAGTTGCCCAGGCTAGACTCTGTTGCCCAGGCTGGAGTGCAGTGGTGCCATCTCGGCTCACTGCAACCTCCGCCTCCCGGGTTCAAGCACTTCTCTGCCTCAGCCTCCCGAATAGCTGGGATTACAGGCGCCTGCCACCATACCCGGCTAATTTTTTTGTATTTTTAGTAGAGATGGGGTTTTATCCTCTTGGCCAGGCTGGTCTTGAACTCCTGACCTTGTGATCCACCTGCCTTAGCCTCCCAAAGTGCTGGGATTACAGGCATGAGCCGCCACCCAGGCCGGTGTGGTTTTTTACAAGTTTATCTGAGGGATAGGGGTGGGGTAGATGGGTGCTTTGAACAGTTGTTCCTTTGGGGGTCAATTTCATTTATATGGATCTATTTATCTTGTGATTTTCCTGATAGGCAGTAAGTTTTATTCCTTAGTAGCATTTTAGACTAATTACAAATACAGATGCTTGTTATTGATATGTTTATTTATATTTCCTAAGAGTTTAAGTATAGATAATGGGTCACATGTTTTAGAGTACAAATTTTAGACTTTAAATGGAACCTTAGCAAGTGGAATCTAACCCTCTTGTTTAAGTAACTAAGATAGGCCCAAGTTAGGTTGAAATGACTTAGCTGTCAAACAGTTACTTAGTAACAGAAAAGCAGATACTTTTTTAAATTTTTTTTTAAATTTTTATTTGTTTTATTTATTTATTTCTTTTTGAGACAGAGTTTCGCTCTTGTTGCCCAGGCTGGAGTGCAGTGGCGTGATCTCTGCCTCCCGGGTTCAAGTGATTCTTCTGCCTCAGCCTCCCTAGTAGCTGGGATTACAGGCACCTGCCACCATGCCCAGCTAATTTTTTGTGTTTTTAGTAGAGACGGGGTTTCACCTTGTTGGCCAGGCTGGTCTTGAACTCCTGACCTCGGGTGATCCACCCACCTCATCCTCCCAAAGTGCTGGGGTTACAGGTGTGAGCCACCGCACCTGGCTGCGGATATTATTTCATATTTTTTGGAAGCTAGAAACAATTTTTCTCATCAGATGGCTTTATGAATAAATCTTGTATTCCACTTTGGTTTAATATTCAGCCCTTTCCAGCTGGTAATCTGAGGCAGATTTTCAATAGCATATTCTCATGTGTACCTTGTACAAACTTTCAGTAAATCCCTGCTCTTAACAGAAAATGGCTTGAAGACTTAACTGTGTATGTCACTTTAGCCCTGTGTTTAATTTTTGTGTTCTTGGGACTATATCAAGTTTCTGTTTGATTGTCCCAGTGCAAACTAGTCTCTCTCTCTCTCTCAAGTTGTTTTGAGTACCTGGATTGCCCATGATGTTTCCCCTATACAAAGTGATTAACCGTTTTTTGAAGTTGAACAGGAAATGCTATCACATTTTGCATACAGCCACATATTCTAGATTGAGCAAGGAATGTGAATTTGATTTAATGACTTGGAAACTGCTTGATGAACCTCCTTATAGGCTGCTAAATAGTAAATGAGAAAAGAGACTGTTGGTGTGATGTTTTTTAGCGTTAATTTTTCTTGTTGACTCTTGAAGTTTGTAAATGAAAAGCTTCCCCACACTTCCCAAATTTCTAGTGCTTTATAATGGCCTCACAAAAAGCATTTTCTGTTTGCTAGTCCATTTTTCTGGATTAAATTTGAAGGTGGCTTTTTATTTTTGTGTATGTGTCTGTGAGAAAACTGTCAAAGCCAAGCAGTTTGTTTCTTGTTTGTATACGGCAGTTGTAATATTGAGATATAATTACAGATTTTGTTGCATTAGTATTTATATAATATTTGACAATGAAGTTACAGAATTCTTAGAGCTTATAGTAGAAAATCTTGCCCCTTCTAATATTCTTGAGAAGTGATAAAACCAAATCTCTTCATTAATTTATAACCTTTCTGAGGGTCATGAGCTGATTTTATGGGCTTATATTTAAAAGTTGACTTTTCAGGTGGGGCGCAGTGGCTCACGCCTGTAATCCCAGCACTTTGGAAGACTGAGGAGGGTGGATCACCTGAGGTCAGGTGAAATCCCATCTCTCCTAAATACAAACACTTAGCCAGGCATGGTGGCGCATGCCTGTAATCCCAGCTACTTGGGAGGCTGAGGCAGGAGAATTACTTGAACCTGGGAGGTGGAGGTTGCCGTGAACCGAGATCGTGCCGTTGCACTGCAGCCTGGGCTACAAGAGTGAAACTCTGTCTCAAAATAAATAAATAAATAAAAGTTGACTTTTCAGATGGGTTGGAAAACACCCTATGTTATTGACCACCTTAATTTCAAAGTAGTATGTTTCCCAGGCCCAATAATTCGGTTTGTGTCACTTTCCAAAGGGCTGCCCTTGAATTTGCTCTTAGAAGCCTTTGGAACTGAAATACTGAAATTTGAGGGGAACATTTCTTTTTTGATTATGTCAAAACAGGCATGATCTAAGGAGATCACAGAGATCCTGTAGGAGTTGTGTAGGTCCAAGACTGTAACAACCACTGAGTAATTCACACTCTGGTTCTAAAACAAAAACAAAAAATATTTTTATTGTCAGCCCTCTCCTAGGGGAAAATAATACTTTAAAAAATTTTATTAAATAGAGGATTTGGTTATGAGTCATTGGACCTGAGTTTTAATTAAAATAGTCACAGTGAATGGGACTATAACCAGGTTCTACTTTTGGGGGTAATGAATCAAGGTAACTCAGATTTTAGCTGTCCTATTCAGTAGTTCTTTTGGCTTCTTAGTATGTCTTAACCTTGTTTATAATAAATAATTCCATATGTAGTTTTTTGTAATGTACAAGGCAGATTGAAAAGTTTTAGGATGAATAAAATAATGGAACCAGTTCTCATTTAAGACTTGAATCTACTTTTAGTCTTAAGTATTATTTACAATTCATTAGTATTCTAGTTTTTTGCTTCTGTTGGATGGATTTTGAGACTGAGCTCTATAAAATCACACTCTTGATAATTCTATGAAATTATCAAGTATATAGGGAAGATGCTAAGCCAGTTTTAAATACTAACTTCTATATATTCTTTGCATGTTTTTTCCCTATAGATTGTTAAACTTTGTTTCCTGATTTGACTTAGACATTTCTTTTAAATCTTACTGAATGATTAGTGGTCTGAATGATGTATATGTATTTTACTGTCCTACAGTTGTTTTTTCTTGAACTTTTTGAGTCTTGGGACTGAACTGTTTCCAAAATTAATGCCTTCTGGAAGTTGAAATTGTCTACGTTTTACATTGTAAATGGCACGTAATGTTCAGTTTTTAGAATATCTAAATTAAAGACATTGCCTGTGATAGCTTGAGGGAATATTTGAGGGCCTAATATGGTAGCTGGTCATTCTTGTAGCTAAAAACTTGGTGTGATAAACAGGAGTCTGACCTGGCCGTTGCCTTTTCTCATCTGCAGGTGTGTGTGGTTTCAGCGCAGCATGGCTGTGGTCATCCGTTTGCAAGGTCTCCCAATTGTGGCGGGGACCATGGACATTCGCCACTTCTTCTCTGGATTGACCATTCCTGATGGGGGCGTGCATATTGTAGGGGGTGAACTGGGTGAGGCTTTCATCGTTTTTGCCACTGATGAAGATGCAAGGCTTGGTATGATGCGCACAGGTGGTACAATTAAAGGGTCAAAAGTAACACTATTGTTGAGTAGTAAGACGGAAATGCAGAATATGATTGAACTGAGTCGTAGGCGTTTTGAAACTGCCAACTTAGATATACCACCAGCAAATGCCAGTAGATCAGGACCACCACCTAGCTCAGGAATGAGTAGCAGGGTAAACTTGCCCACAACAGTATCCAACTTTAATAATCCATCACCCAGTGTAGTTACTGCCACCACTTCTGTTCATGAAAGCAACAAAAACATACAGACATTTTCCACAGCCAGCGTAGGAACAGCTCCTCCAAATATGGGGGCTTCCTTTGGGAGCCCAACGTTTAGCTCAACTGTTCCAAGCACAGCCTCTCCAATGAACACAGTCCCGCCGCCACCAATTCCTCCAATTCCAGCGATGCCATCTCTGCCACCAATGCCATCCATTCCCCCAATTCCAGTTCCTCCTCCAGTACCTACATTGCCTCCTGTGCCTCCTGTGCCCCCGATTCCCCCAGTTCCTTCTGTGCCACCCATGACCCCACTGCCACCCATGTCGGGCATGCCGCCCTTGAATCCGCCACCTGTGGCACCTCTACCTGCTGGAATGAATGGCTCTGGAGCACCTATGAATTTGAACAATAATCTGAATCCTATGTTTCTTGGTCCGTTGAATCCTGTTAACCCTATCCAGATGAACTCTCAGAGCAGTGTGAAGCCACTCCCCATCAACCCTGATGATCTGTATGTCAGTGTGCATGGAATGCCCTTTTCTGCAATGGAAAATGATGTCAGAGATTTTTTTCATGGGCTCCGTGTTGATGCAGTGCATTTGTTGAAAGATCATGTAGGTCGAAATAATGGGAATGGATTGGTTAAGTTTCTCTCCCCTCAAGATACATTTGAAGCTTTGAAACGAAACAGAATGCTGATGATTCAACGCTATGTGGAAGTTAGCCCTGCCACAGAAAGACAGTGGGTAGCTGCTGGAGGCCATATCACTTTTAAGCAAAATATGGGACCTTCTGGACAAACTCATCCCCCTCCTCAGACACTTCCCAGGTCAAAATCGCCCAGTGGGCAGAAAAGATCAAGGTCAAGATCACCACATGAGGCTGGTTTTTGTGTTTACTTGAAAGGGCTACCATTTGAAGCAGAAAACAAACATGTCATTGATTTTTTTAAAAAGCTGGATATTGTGGAAGATAGTATTTATATAGCTTATGGACCCAATGGGAAAGCAACTGGCGAAGGCTTTGTAGAGTTCAGAAATGAGGCTGACTATAAGGCTGCTCTGTGTCGTCATAAACAGTACATGGGCAATCGCTTTATTCAAGTTCATCCAATTACTAAGAAAGGTATGCTAGAAAAGATAGATATGATTCGAAAAAGACTGCAGAACTTCAGCTATGACCAGAGGGAAATGATACTAAATCCAGAGGGGGATGTCAACTCTGCCAAAGTCTGTGCCCACATAACAAATATTCCATTCAGCATTACAAAGATGGATGTTCTTCAGTTCCTAGAAGGAATCCCAGTGGATGAAAATGCTGTACATGTTCTTGTTGATAACAATGGGCAAGGTCTAGGACAGGCATTGGTTCAGTTTAAAAATGAAGATGATGCACGTAAGTCTGAACGCTTACACCGTAAAAAACTTAATGGGAGAGAAGCTTTTGTTCATGTAGTTACCCTAGAAGATATGAGAGAGATTGAGAAAAATCCCCCTGCCCAAGGAAAAAAGGGATTAAAGATGCCTGTGCCAGGTAATCCTGCAGTTCCAGGAATGCCCAATGCGGGACTGCCCGGTGTGGGACTGCCCAGTGCAGGACTTCCCGGTGCAGGCCTGCCCAGCACAGGACTGCCTGGTTCAGCAATAACCAGTGCAGGACTGCCTGGTGCGGGAATGCCCAGTGCAGGAATACCTAGTGCAGGAGGTGAAGAGCATGCCTTCCTGACTGTAGGATCAAAGGAAGCCAATAATGGGCCTCCATTTAACTTTCCTGGTAATTTTGGTGGATCAAATGCCTTTGGGCCACCAATCCCTCCTCCAGGATTAGGAGGCGGGGCCTTTGGTGATGCTAGGCCTGGTATGCCTTCAGTTGGAAACAGTGGTTTGCCTGGTCTAGGACTGGATGTTCCGGGTTTTGGAGGTGGACCAAACAATTTAAGTGGGCCATCGGGATTTGGAGGGGGCCCTCAGAATTTTGGAAATGGCCCTGGTAGCTTAGGCGGTCCCCCGGGGTTTGGAAGTGGCCCTCCTGGTCTTGGAAGTGCCCCTGGGCATTTGGGTGGGCCACCAGCTTTTGGGCCTGGCCCCGGCCCCGGCCCCGGCCCTGGCCCAATCCATATTGGTGGTCCCCCTGGCTTTGCATCTAGTTCTGGAAAACCAGGACCGACAGTAATTAAAGTGCAAAACATGCCCTTTACTGTGTCTATTGATGAGATTTTAGATTTCTTTTATGGCTATCAAGTAATCCCAGGCTCAGTGTGTTTAAAATACAATGAAAAAGGTATGCCCACAGGTGAAGCCATGGTGGCCTTTGAGTCTCGGGATGAAGCCACAGCTGCTGTCATTGACTTAAATGACAGGCCTATAGGTTCAAGAAAAGTAAAACTTGTATTAGGGTAGCCATTCACATCATTTTTTATAGGGTAGATCTTCATATTGCTGTGATTAATGCATCCAGATTGTTTTCCTAGTATTTCCAGGTTAGAACCTGTGGATTGTTTCAATTGCATATAGCTTGGTTTCCATAACATAGAGCATTGGTTGACTGTTTACAGAAGACTCACTCACCAGGATAAACATTGCTGTATGTTACAGTAAAGCTATCTGGAGAGAACACATAAATGATTTTGGCATACCATTAGAGAAACCATTTGTAAAACTCAAATGACCACATAAAGCTTATCAAGGAGTCTAGATTGGTTTTGTTTTATACCATATGGGATGAAGAAAATAGAAATGTCAGTAGAACTCATTGAGGGTGCTCTTGCCAGCTGCTGAAAATAGAAGTTGGCTACTCTCAGAATTTGGTTTAAAGCTGGACAGATTTGCTTTGTTATAGGGTAAAGCTTTGTCTAAAGTCCTCATTTTCTTTTAAAATTGAATAAAATTTCTGTATACAGATTCATTGTATGTACCTTTATTGCTTCTTAAGGGTCCTTGCTGTATAGACAGTCCTGCTTCAGAAGTTGCTGCTTTGTTTGTCTAATTGACTCATTTGTAAATGAGCAGAACTGTTTTGTTGGTTTTTTTCCCTAAATATAAAAGTCCACACTTCGTTTGTGCTATAACCTCAAACTTTGATTTCTAATGTCACACTTAAAACTGTGTGGAATAAGACTTTTGCCATAAAAATAAACTATGGAGTCCTTTATCTACCAGAGCCTTTTTGGTTTGACCGCCACGATTTAGGTTAGTCAGTTTAAAAATTGTTCATGTTGTTTGGATGGTATCGAAAACCAGAAACCACTTTTAATAATGTGTTTAAGATACTTGATTTGAAGTCCTTTTCATATGGACTAATTGTAGTATCAATTTCCTCCTGTCCCGATTATGTGAAATTTTGGCCTTTAAACAAAGAGGGGCCCATTCATAAGAAAGTGTTATATCTAGGTTTTTAAAACTGAAGTTGAAATTATCTTTGTTAGCAGTAGTAGTATAGAATAAAAGATCCGTATGCTGGTTCGTAGATTGATACGTGTTAGTCCTGTTATTTGGAGGCTTTTTGGCATAGTTGTTCGATCAGGAGCCTGTTTACTAAAAGTCTTCATACAGAGTACAAGTGCAGCCGCCAGAGGAGAAAATTGAGATTCTTGACCCTTTCATACTCTTTTCTTTGGTATTCAGGACACTAAGGCAGGAGGACCACATGAGTTCTGGTTGGTAAGTGTCCTTGTCATGAAAACACTTGCCTTACAAGGCTCTAATTATGATTTCCCTAGTCAGTGCTCTGAAGATGTGTCACATTATATTATAAACAATACGGAAGGGGAGATAGGTGAGATGATATGAAAAACAAATTTTCTCACTGTCATAAAAGGCTCTAATTATGGTTACTTTCCTTGTGATGAAAAACTTGGCCTTACAGGGCTCTAGTTATGGTTACTTTCCCTAGTCAATGCTCTGAAAATGTGTCACATTATAAACAATACAGAAGGAGAGATAGATGAGAGATCATGAAAACCAAATTTTATCTTTTACATGGCCCCTTTGTCTTCGTTTGAAACATCCCCAACATTTCCTACAAATCAGCGTAGTTACAAAGGGGTCAGTCTTTTAAAATAAGTATTTCCTATTAAACTATATATATATACAGTGCCTTTTTGGTGTTGTGAGTCAGTGGAACACTGAAATACAGCGGTTGTGTAATTTAAGAGTGGCAACAGTTTCATTTGATAAGATTTGAAAAGGCTTTTTATCACTACAATCTTAGAGGATTGACAGTACAGGATTTTTGTTTAAGAGAAGGATTGTTTAGACTCAAGAGGTGACTATGTTGTGGGTCTTTTGATAATTCATGAATACAGATTTGCTTTGACCGATCACTAGATACTGCCTCCTCAATTTCAAAAGCAATATAACGTTTGTATATGCTGTTTAATTTAAGTTAATGTTAAGTAATCATTTCTCATTCCAAAGACAATGCAAAAAACTTCAGCACTGCTTGAGAGTTGTATTTCAGCCACAGATATTTTCTCCATTGGAAAGCTATTTTCATTTTAGAAAAATGGGTTGTTTGAAGATGAAAGTCTTTTATCTTTTTTCACAATTTATTTTGGTTATATGTTCGTACATTCTTATTAAATATTTCATACACTTTATTGCAACTACTTTGTTATTTCTACATCTTAGATAAATGCTGAAAAGGAAAACGATTTCATTGTTCATCTAATTAAATAAATTAAAAGAGCGGTTTGTGTAGAAATTGGAGAGAACTATGTTTTATATGAATCACAACAGTGCTCGTTGTGGACTGTAATTAAATGCTTTGCCCTCTGGAACTTGATTTTTGTGTATCTGAGATTTATTAACAGTGCTAACTGCTAAGGATACTGTTTATCTTGTTCTGGGCATTGGAGTTTCAGTTTTTAAAAAATTCTTGAAAATGTATTCTGTGAAACTACTCATACCTCTCTTCCTGCGAATTTTCTCCTAAGAACTAGGTTTGGGGTAGAAATGAATTGACATTATTTTCTCATTTGCTTTGTATGGTATGAAGGATTTGTAAAGCTTTGCTCAAAGTTGTGTGCATTTGTAAACACTATCATGATATTTTCAATTTTATGTGTAAATTTTATTGTCTGTTTTTGGTGACTCTGACATTAATGGAAGAGAATATTTTCCATTAGATTTAATTTTTTTTCCTCTCCCTTCTGATTTTTTTTTTATTGGTGTTCATTTTTCTTTTGATTTAAAGGATTAGAGAAATCTACAAATGTATGTCATAAATAAGCAAATTTGTAAACTTTTCTGAACTTTAGTGAAACATTTAGTTCACAAGCATAATTTGGAGGTGTGTTCTGTGTTTACACAGTAGTTTGGATGTACAATTATTATTAGTGGCTTTTTAAAAAATGAAACAGTGTTAAGTGAAATGTAGTTCCTAGCTTTGTACTCCAAGTTGTCAAAGCATCAACAATGAAAATTCGATTAGGAAACTTTATTTAAAATTTCAGGTAGTAATATTCAGTGTAGTTAAGGCCAGTCTTAACCCACTGGATGAAAATCTAGGACTGTATGGAAGTAAGCAAACATTACATTTTTAGGTGGAAATAGTCAGCCTTGCATAAAAACAAGGATGCGTGAAAGCCTTAAATTCCAGCTCCCTTTTACTGGAGTCTGTGGTTGTGTACAGGTATGGGCCAAGTGTAAAATCTCATCAATTTTAAGAACACTCGGGAAATGAGTAAAGAAAATGTAAAATTGCTGCTAGTCAAATCTTTTGGAAAGAATTTCTGGAAGTGGTCACTTTAAAAATTATTTTCCACCCTTGCAAAATTGCCACATTTAAATTGTTTTACTGGCAGTTCTATAGTAGTCCAGACTTTAGAAACCAAACACAACAAAATGGCTTGTTGCCAATATGGCCACAACATTGCCAGCAAATACTGCCTTGGCATCACTCAGCAGAGGTTTTTGTTTATAAAGATGAAGTCTTGAATACTGTTCAATAAACTTGTCAAAAAATAAAACAGGCTGATGCTTTTAATGCTTTAACTGCACAAAAGTACTTTACTGAGCTATAATATTATCTTGTCAGGGTTTTTGTTTTGTTTTGTTTTTAAACCTGAAAATATTTTGTGCCTTTGGAGAGGTAGATTTGGTAATCTTGGAGAGGTAAAAATTGTTGCTTATCCTTGCCTGCTAATGCTGAAGTGTCAAGAGAAGAGGATACTTGGAACAGCAGGGAGGAAACTTGATTCAAGTCCATAGTATCCACCTTTTCAGAATTTTATGTGTATGATGTGTTGGCAAACAAAGCCCTTAAATGTTGAAAACTTTTTATCTTGAAAGAGTTTAGCTTGTATTAGAATTTGGATACCCAGTGTGTTTTAGAGGGGGCTAGACATATAATTCCAGGTAGTAGCTGAGCCATTATTAAATAATCGGGATTTGACTAAGCAATGGACAAATCACTGAGTGAAATCAGCTGCCTACAGATATCCAAAATGGCTTTTACCATCTGAAAGGGGTGGACTGTGTGATAATATGTCTCCTTTTCTTGTTCAGGAGAGATCAGTTATGTAATTCATTGTTACCTGCTTTCCAGTGTTTTACAGCAAGAAATAGTTTATCAACTATGTGCATCATCACTAATCTCCCAAAAGTAGAGCTTTTACAGGGTATGGTAGAATCAAACTTATGGCTTTCCTTTTTTATTAAAAATGGCTTTATTTCAGTCTTATCTTTTTAGTATAGAATCTGATCATTTTGACTTGTGAAATGTTCTGGAAAGAGTGTACTCTGGTAGTAGCACAATTCTCTGATGTTACAGTGACTTTTCTGGGAAAACCCCTGTCTATTCAACAACATAAGCAAGTTCATCTCCTGCTCAGGTAAATGGTAATTTTTTTTTTTTTTTGAGATGGAGTCTGTATCTGTTGCCCAGGCTGGAGTGCAGTGGTGCGATCTCGGCTCACTGCAACCTCCACCTCCTGGGTTCAAGCGATTCTCCTGCCTCAGCCTCTCAGTAGCTGAGACTATAGGTGCGTGCCGCCAAGCCCAGCTAATTTTTTTTTTTTTTTTTTTCATTTTTAGTAGAGACGGGGTTTTGCCATGTTGGCCAGCATAGTCCCCACCTCCTGATCTCATGATCCGCCCACCTCGGCCTCCCAAAGTGCTGGGATTACAGGCGTGAGCCACCGTGCCCAGCTGGTAAATGGTAATTCTTTACCATGCTGTTCTTGGGTTTATTCTTGGTGCTTTGGCTGCTTTGTGTTAGAGTCTCAAAAGCATCCTAGAGTATGACTCCTTTTCTGGATCAACGTTAACTAGCAGTGAGTAGCCACGGTGGCTTGCTACTCTACATACTGCTCTATCACTGGAGTCCAGAAGGAGGAAAAAGCCACCTGACATAAACATTTCAGACCCAGGGACAGAAGGACAGCACTCTGAAAGTCTAAGGGCAGGAAAGAGTGCTGGGAAAAATCACAACCAAATCCCTTGAATTCTGTCAATAGCCCCACGGACCTCCTTCCAGTGAAAATGTTTAAGATGTGCTTGCTTCAGCAGCACATATTAAAAACGAATTAAACAGAGAAGATTAGCATGGCCCCTCTACAAGGATGACACGCAATTTGTGAAGCGCTCTTTTTTTTTTTTTTTTTTTTTTGAGACAAAGTCTCACGCTTGTCCCCCAGGCTGGAGTGCGATGGCGTGATCTCAGCTCACTGCAACCTCCGCCTCCCGGGTTCAAGCGATTCTCCTGCCTCAGCCTCCCGAGTAGCTGGGATTATGGGCATCTGCCACCATGCCCAGCTAATTTTTTTTGTATTTTTAGTAGAGATGGGGTTTCACCATGTTGGCCAGGCTGGTCTCGAACTCCTGACCTCAGGTGATCCACCCACCTCAGCCTCCCAAAGTGCTGGGATTACAGGCATGAGCCACCATGCCCGGCCCTATTTTTTTTTAATTAAAATGTTAAAGGTTAGGGCATAGAGACTCAGCAAACGTCATATAGAGAAGTGGTAAATGGCACAGCTGAGCATTGGAATTGGCTCCCCAGTTGTTCCAGACATCTGGATATTGATCTTAGTAACTTACTAGTTTCAAGTCATTTTGCTTAATTAATGGCTTGCCATTTCATGATAGGAGATGACTATTTCGTTGTGGGGCAATGCCCAGCAAGAGAACATAATTCAGTATGAACAGTCAAAGGTGTTGAGTGTATTTAACTCATTTTAGGAATGAGCTGTACTGTATTCAAATGGGCTACTTGATGGTTCATTACCTCCATTCTGCTGCTGTTCATTTCCTCCCTTTGCTTGCTTATATAGTAAACCTGCTCGTAACCAGGACTTAAAACTCTTAGACTGAAGCCCCTTCACTGCTGTCTCTAGCCTCAGCCTCCTAATGGGTGGGAGTAGTTCATTCATAGCTTTTGATTGGTGGATAAGACTTGTCAGGCTGGGTGTGGTGGGTCACACCTGTAATCCCAGCACTTTGGGAGGCCGAGGTGGGAGGATCGCTTGAGCCCAGGAATTGAGACTAGCGTGAGTAACATAGCAAGACCCTGTCTCAAAAAAAAAAAAAAAAAGCCTTGTCACTTAGAGTTTGTGCTTCATATCAAATGATAACAACCACATTGTGCTACACCACAAGTCACACAGTGGGAAGGATTTAAGAGGGTTAAATAGTTTTTTTGTTTCTTTTTTTTTTTTTTTTTTTTTTTTTTGAGATGGTCTTGCTCTGCTGCCCAGGCTGGAGTGCAGTGGTACAGTCAGCTCACTGTAACCTCGATGTCCTGGGCTCAAGCAATCCTGCTTCAGCCTCCTAAGTAGCTATTTTTTTTTTTTTTTAATTTTTTTGTAGAGATGAGGTAATTGCTGGGGTAGGGGTGATGGTGGAGTGGAGGGGTAGTTTCACTATGTGGCTCAGGCCGGTCTTGAACTCCGGGGCTCAAGTGATGCTCCCGCCTTGGCCTCTCAAAGTGCTGGGATTACAGGTGTGAGCCACTATGCCTGGCCTCAGTTTCTTAAAAGGTTTTAAATCACACCAACTGGTACCAGTGCCTCTGATTGCCTTGATTTTTCTGTGATCCCACTTGGAAGTTTGTTAATGCCACACTCCACTATACTCCACACATTAGATTGCAGTGGGGGCTGGAGAGTGGCCCAGCCTTTATACATAACTCCCTTCTGTGGTTTGGCCTGTGGGACCAGTAGGGTCCCTGTGCTGTAACTCTGACTGAAGTGATGGACATTAATGCAACTACTAATTACTGATGTAGATGAGCTGCTTTACTTCTATGACCATTGAATTGACAGATTGGAATTGGAAGCACCTGTCACCTTCAAGCTTTTAAGACAACTTCACATGAATGTACAGCTTAGCCATAGCTGTATCTCATACTAACAGATTTTTGCAGTGGTGTGCACCCAGCACTTATACTTTGGTGGAAAAGCAAAATAAGGTTCCTGTTCTTCAACAGTTGAGGGTTTTAAGTCACAACTAAGTGCTTGGTTGTGCTTATACTAGGTACATTCCTATACCACGGGAACCAGGTAGTGGCTTTCCTGGCCATTTGCTAAGTTATGGTTAGACAGGAACAAGTGTAAACTAGTCTTTGTCATAGTGTAGTTTCCTGTTGTTGAAATATTCCTTTGCTTTCTCGGCTTCCCTAACATGTAAATTCTGAAGACCCATCTTAAACTCTCCCCAGTGTCCCAAATGAATTTATTCCAGTGAAGGGTAAGGGGCTTGCATTATGAACAATAGGTAGGTTTCTTTTCCAAGAGCTCTGGTCTGCTTTTGTTCATTTACTCATCTCATTTTGTGCTGTAGGAGATATACACTCCTTTTGTGCACACTGTAGATGCACAGGTATTTGGTGATGCCTCAGTCCTGGAGATCATCAGGAAGGCGGTATAGTACTGTTGTCTCAGACACCCCACAGGTGATAGACATTAAAAGAATGTAGATTTCAGCCGGGAGGGATGGGGGCAGAATTGACTACCCTATAGATGTCCTTTGAAAATTTTGATACAGATCACATTTTTTAGAGGTGAGTTCTACCTTATTTGCACTATGCATGCTTGCTACTTAAAATTTATTCCTTTGATCAACTCCTGTAAATGTGGAGTCCAGGATTTCCTACCTTCCTTCCCCAGCAGTCAGACAAATAGGGAGAATTATATTCCATGTTTGTGCAAGGCTAACATTAGCATAGATCATGAGGGGAGACCATGTGAGTCTCACTGCTGTTGTAGTGGCAGGGTAGATTTCAGATTGGGGTGAATTACAAAATGTGAACTGTTGCTAAAATGGTTGGATATAGAAATAACATTCTCAGAATCGGTTCGTGGTTCCATCAGTTATGTGACTTAGGACAGATTATTTCCCTCTGGCCTCAGTGTTTCTTTTACAGTATGGGATTAAATTAGATAAGCTTGTGTCCAGTTTTAAGCTTCTGTGATTGTATGAACCTAGCCATTCGGTTTCTGGAAATCTGTACTGAGTTTGGACCTTAAACTAAAGTGACCAGGAATGGAGCTCCAAATTTTGATCTGGGTACTGCTCTCCTGGTTTCCCTAGTGTGGTAGTGATTCTACACTGCAGCTTGAGAAATTCAAAGGGGAAGAGTCTTCATCTCTCCTTTTGGGGGCTGTCCCTGTCCTGCTAGTTATATCCTGGAGCAGGTAGACCAGAGGCATTCCTCCTGGATCCACTCCTCCTTGGTCCAATTAACCAAGAAGGAGTTAATGATACTGCAGAAGGACCCAAAGGTGCACTTCCCTGTTTGTGAGCACCTACAGGGACAGTTGACACTGGGTACTTACTCTGTGCCGGGCAGGGGATACTTTCTATGACTGTCCTCATGTAATCCTCACAAATAACACTGTAAAGTTAACATTATCATCCCTACTTTACAGGTGGGGTAATCCAGGCAGAGAAAAATAATTAATAGTAAGGGGAAAACAAAGATGTTTTAATCATGGATGCTTGTATGACTCCTCAGGTAGAAACCCTCCCTCAACTATCCCCAGCCCCTCCCTGACTTTTAGGGAAAGTGGGAGGCCACTGGCAGCAGTCTTCTGTCATGGATTCTGAGCTGCTGGGGAAGGAGCCTTTTCAGTTTGCCAACTCCAACTATAGTGTGGAGGGCCCTTACCTATTGGTAGGGCTTCTTGGCCTCCACGGTCAAGCTTATGATTGCAGAGGGGGACCTGAACTTACTTTGTTGTTTTTTTGTTTTCGCAACAGAGTCTCACTCTGTTGCTTAGGCTGCAGTGCAGTGGCGTGATCTCAGCTCCGCCTCCTGGGTTCAAGCAATTCTCCTGCCTCAGCCTGCCAAGTAGCTGGGATTACAGGTGTGCACCACCACACCTGGCTAATTTTTGTATTTTTAGTAGAGACAGGGTTTCACCATGTTGGCCAGGCTGGTCTCGAACTCCTGACCTCAGGTGATCCAGCCTCCCAAAGTGCTGGGATTACAGGTGTGAGCCACTGCACCCTGCCTGAACTTATTTTGAAGTACTCACGTGAAGACTTTGTGTTGGTGTGTTCAGAGTCTCTGGGCAGAGAAAAACACCCACTCCGCTACAGTCCTATCCTGCTTTTGAGAGCCTGTTTGCAGGTTCTAGCAGGGGAGCACTCGTATATCCTTGACCAAAGACCAGTCCTCCTCTCTCAGGGATGGTCGTCTTCAATCGAGCATGCAGCTTCGGGACAGATGCATGTGGAGCGGTGAGGGAGGAAGGGGACACCCACCTAGTCAGCCAGATCAGCCAAATCAACCCTGGTGATCAATGGGGTGACAGATGTCACAGCCAGATGGCCCTATCCTGCTTTTGAAGACCATGTAGTCCTCCTCAGTTTGCTTCTTTCCTTCTCCATATCCAGTTTTGTCGTCAAGTTAGGTTCTTTTTGAAGAGTTAGTTGTACAGTGGTCAGATTTGTTCAACTTTTGGATAAGCCTTTGGGGATGTTGGGGTTAGATTAGTGGCTTTGGTTTTTTGTTTTTGACCTTCACCCAGTACAGTAAAGTGGAAAACCTTGTGGCCATCTTCTTTTTCATATTTTCCCACCTTTTAGTTTTTGTGTGCACATGTTAAGCTTTGTAGTGTTGCCAAATACTTTGTGTCAGCCTGACTCCTTAGTAGTATATGGATCTAAACCAAATTTATTGAAAATTTCAGTTTATGAGTACCATTCAGTAGCCCTTAGTCATATGTATGAATAAGGAATGTGTAGTTTTATAGAAAGGATTTTCATTTTTGGTTCAGTTTGTGACCTGTGAGGAATATCCTTAGAGCTGCTGATGTAAATTTGGAGAATCCTCGAGTTAGAAAAGTAGGGATAAGAAAACTTGTCTACCTTCTCCATGTCCTTTGATGGGGCCAAAAAGGAAAAAGAAGAGTGGTGGTGGTTGGTGTAGTTTGTCTTTTCAGTCTTACGGGAAACAATGTTCCATGGGTGGTCCTTTGTAAGCCTATGGAGGATTTTCTGATTGGCTTTCAAGACTTGATCCTGCATCTGTGAGCTGATCCAGCATGCCAAGGTAGGCAATAGGAGTGTGAGCATGACATTGGTTTATTAAAGGAGTGGCCCTGCCACCCAGACCTTCAGCCCTCTATGCCACCTTCTTGCAGCCTCTGTACAACTTCTGGTCATTACCTGGGGTGGATAAGGAATTGGGAATTGCAGGCTGGTGCCTTTCTGGGTTAGGACTTTGGAAGTGGAAGAGGGAAGTGTTAAGGACTGACAAATGAATTTCAGCTCATTTGGCACTGAATTAGATCCCACTGGACCCAGGAGAAATCTGTTCTTGGTTATGAATAGGAAAATTAGAACCTCCCAAGGCAAGGGAAGGGTGGCCATAGAAAATGAAGGGCAAGTTACTCCCTTGTAGCAGAGAATGGGATTCCCTATCGACAGTAGTATGCTGGTAAACTGGCTGGCAGGGTGAAGGAAGCCATGACTTTTTGCAGTTGCCCAATTTCTACAGTTTTAAACTTACCAAGGCCACCTGCTTCAACGATTTCCTGATATGTAACAGTTGGCTCTTGCAAGCCATACAAGCTTGCGCCAGCACACTGCTGCAGACTTGCCTCAAGTATTTGAATTCCCATTATGTGCTCAGGTATATGCTGTGTGGCAGGAGATGCTGAAACAGTGTTTATTCTGAAGAGCTTTGTCATTTAATTGACAGGCAAGAAGCTGGAGAAACATCGACAGAATACAGTCGTGTGGCATGAATTGAATATAGTGGTCCAGAGTGAGAAGTTGAGTGCTGGAAAGATCATGAAAAGGGGAGCATATATAAGCTAGGCTTGAAGGATAACGATAATAGCTAACACGTGGTCATAGCAGTTCCAGCCTCTGTACTAAGCATCATGCATACATTATTTATATTAATCTTCAGAAATAGATACTATCCCCCAGTTTACACCTGAGGAACCTGAAGTTTAGTGAGATTAAGTATTTGCCCAAGTTATATAGATATGACATCAATTTAGTGTTGTAGTATGTCATTATTGTGGCTAGGAAGGAATAAGGCCAGTATTTGGAGCCTGGTCACTTCACTGCAGAACCCACACTCTTGCCCACTGCATCAGATTGCAACAATATAAAAAGGGGGGCTTTTCAAAGAGAGGAAAAAAGTCTAACAACAGTCCAAGGTTTGAGATTAGGTAGGAATCAGAATATTTGAGTTCTAGTCTTCATTTCACTTAACCATATATGTGGCCTTAGCCAAACCACATCTTCCCTCTATGCCTTGGATTGAGGGACTTGAATTAGATGGCCACTCAGTTCTTTTTTATTTCTGACATTTTGTGAATTTTAAGTTATAAAAATGGGAATGAGTATGCCTTTCTTAAGGGACACTGAGAGAATGTGCCCTGCTAGGGCACATTGAGGTTGGCAGAGGGAGTAAACAGAAGAAAACAAACTATAAAGGGTAACTCCTAAGTGGTAGAAAGCAGAGGCAGAAAAATGTTGGAGCTATAGACTCAGCTGTTCCATTCGCAACACCCGACTAGTCCCAAATGGAAGGGTCAGGGGGTGGGGACCTAACAGAGAAGATAAATTGGTGTTTGGTGTTGGGTGTTCCTAGAAAGCCTACTTCTCTCAGTGTCTCAGTAGCAGGTCAGAGCTAGATTTGGGTCATTTCTGAGGATCCTTGAGTATCACTCCTTTCCTAGCATTCATAAATTTAACAGATATCAGTAGAGCACCTGCTGTGTTCCAGGCGTTGGCACAGAAGCAAGACTAATCTGGTCCCTCTGCTTGTTGAAGTTACAGTCCAAGAGGAGAAATACATAATAAGCAAGTTACACATTTTGATAGGATTATAAGAATTGGGGTTTTGTTGGATTAGAGTCAGGGAATGTCTGTGACTTCAACATAACAGATAGGAGGGGACTGAGAGTGGAAATGGTAAAACCAGTTAGACTGTTAGAGACATCGAGCCAAGATGTGCTCGGTGATGAAAGAGTGCACAAATATCACAAAAATAAATGACAAATTTTTTTTATTGACTCAAATGTGATATTTAATATGGTTCTGGAAGATTTTGGTCCTAAAAAGGAGGTTGAAAGTCCATGGCGTTAATTATAATGGCAGTATATGAAAAATACATGAGTCTGGTTTAAAGTAGGTAGTTGTTCAAGAGATGTAGGACAGAAGAGTGACATGAACAGTTTTAATCACAGATTTCTAAGCAGAGATAGGCTTAGAGGTAGATTTCAAAGGAGATTAAACATGTTTTGGAAGAGATTAATAATCCCGTGGTTTATAGATCATTTAAAGGAAATGTTGCTCAAAGGATAGAAAACTACAGATGGAAAAGATTTGTTTATAAAGAGTTGATTCCAATGAGAAAGAAAAGGAGACAAATCTGTGAACAAAACTGCTTGCACAGGAAGCTCTGACCTCAGAATGGAAGCCAGGCCACCTTAGGGGCTCACATCAGTGAGAGTTCAGCCCCTTATCCTACTGAGGCACACATGAGCCCACAACAGTATGGCTGGGGTTTGATTCTGGGTTCAAAAAACTGAAAAAGGATTTAGTCCAGGAAAAGTGGTGTAATGGTAATGATTAGGAAGGAATAGTCCACCAGAAATTGAGGCCTACACAGGAAGATGATAATAGTAGCCCACTACACGTGTTTGGCCCAGACCAAGGGCATCTCTTTTGGGGACATTTGAGAAGTCGTGGAGTGAGAAGACAGCAGCTCCAGTTGTGGCCTGTAATCTTACCACCCCAAATAATCACTGCTAATGCTTTTGTCATTCACAACAACCTCTTACCAGGGGGAGGACCTGTAGTTCTCCAATTAAAAATTTCCCTAGCTGGGTGCGGTGGCTCATGCCTGTAATCCCAGCACTTTGGGAGGCCAAGGCGGGCGGATCACCTCAGGTCAGGAGTTCAATACCAGCCTAGCCAACATGGTGAAACCCTGTCTCTACAAAAATATGAAAATTAGCCGGGCATGATGGCAGGTGCCTGTAATCCCAGCTACTCTGGAGGCTGTAGTGGGAGAATCGCTGGAACCCAGGAGGCGGAGGTTACTATGAGCCGAGATGGTGCCATTGCACTCCAGCCTGGGCAACAGAGTGAGACTCTGTCTAAAAAAAAAATAATAGTTTCCCCAACATTTTATTATGAAAATTTTCAACATGTAGCAAAGTTGAAAAAAATTATACCCATATATCCGCCATTTCAGATCCTACAACTTAAAATCTTGTTTTATCACATTTCTTCAACAACTCCTTTTATTTTTTGGTGGATTTCAAAAAAGTTTCAGTCATCGGTACACTTGTAAACATTTCAACATGCCTTAACTTTAGTGCAACATTTGTTTATGGGTTGTTGGGTTTTGTTTTTTTTTTTTGTAAAATTTTACAATCAGATGTGTACACTCAGTGTTCCTTTAGATGGAAGTGGCAAATGCACACACTCCTGTGACCCATATTCTTAGAATGCTAAGAACGTTTCCCTTTCCACTGGGAGCTCTCTGCCTCTGCTCAGTTAATACCTTCCCTTCCCCTGGGGGAGAAGGGAGGACAACCAGTGTTCTGAATATTTACATCACAGATTCGTTTTGCCTGTTCTGAAACTTCATAAATGGAATCTGTTTACTTTATTCTTCATTTTTATTCATGTTACAGATACTAATAGATTTTTTTGTTGCTGAATAGTTTTCTATAAACATCACAATTGGTTCTCATATTGATGAATACCTGGGCTGTTTCAAGTTTTTGGCTATTGTGAATAAAGCTGCTGTGAACATTCTTATACAAATCTTTGTGGACATAATGTTTCCATTTCTTTTGGCTAAAAATGTAGGAGTGGAATCGCTCTTGGGCTAGGTGTTTGTTAGGTTTTTTGATAAGCTGCCAGACTGTTTTCCAAAGTGGTACATTTAATGCTTTCACTAACAATATATGAGAGTTCCATATCCTTGCCAGCATTTGGTGGTGGTGGTCTTTTTAATTATACTTTTAGCCATTGTGGTGGGTATGTAACAGTATCTCATTGTGGTTTTATTTTTCATTTCCCTGATAATTAACGCTGTGGATCACTTTGCTTATTTCTGATTCACATATTTTCCTTTATGAAGTGCCTGATCAAATCTTTTGCCCATTTTAATTGACTATCATTTAATATTGAGTTGTAGGAGTCCTGCATTTAAATTTCAAAGTTGAACTATACAAGATCAGGATAGGGGAGATTTATTGTTACACATCAGTTCAAGGCCTGAAGTGTGACTTGAGCAAAAGCACATTCACCATTTGTTCAGCAAATGGTTATTAGTACCAGCTATATACTAAGTACTAATACTAGTGATACAGAGATAATATCCAGCCCTAGTTCAAGGACCCCATAGTTTACAGGGTAGACAGACAAAAGTAAAAATTATGGTGTGGCTTCAATGTTAAGTCAGTCACTAAATACTTACTGATGAGTATCTACTGTAGGATAGATAGATACTGCTGTGGGTCCTGGAGCTAGCCAGAGTTCCTACTCTAGTATAGCTTATTTTCTGTAGTGTATAAGGAGGGAGACAGAGTGCAAAAGCCCTGAGGTGGTAAATAAGGTTGGTGTTAGGTATATGTGGATCAGAAAGGCCAACCTGGCTGGAGGATAGTTGCGTGGCTAGATGATTAGTTAGGCAAGGGTAAGGTCTTGCAGGGCCTTGAAGACCATGGTAAGAACTTTGGGTTTTATCTTAAGTGTTTTGGAAAGGCATTCCAGAGTTTTCAGTGGAAAAATGACATGATCAGGTTTCTGTTTGGCTAATAAACCCAGAAATGTGTGTGTATGGTCGCAGAAACACTAATGAGGAAACATCGCAGTCATCCAGAGCAGAGACAAGAAAATCCTTGGGGAAAACAGGCAAGGGTTCATAAAGGAATAATGTCATATTAGAACCATGGATGACAGGACATTTGCTAGGCAGGAAAGTCAGGCATGTGTGTTAGATGAACCAGAAATAACTTTGGATGACTAGTTCGGTGGGTGGGTGAGTGAGCGGCAGGAGGTAGAGCTGATGGCAAACTGGGAAGAGCTTTGAAGGTTGATCTAGGGATGCAGGGTTACCAGATTGCAAAACTACCAAATTCTATGTAGGTATGTCCTTTGGAGTTGTGCAGCAAGGTAGCTTTGCTAGGGAGTTTGGCTCCGAACCTAAAGGCAGCTATACGGGGCTTTTACTTGGAATAGAGACTGGAAGCTGGCATCTGGGATGACCAGGTGGAGCAGTGCTAGGACAGAAACCAAGCAGGACGCAAGAGACTAATAAGGCCTGAAGTTAGGTAGGGGTTGTTGAACTGGAAGTGGAGGCTTTGGGCTTAGAATGAACAGTCAAGAAGATTTGAGGTGTGGATTTGGGGGGAAAGCTGATGAGGCCTTTTTATTTATTTTGCTTGTTTTGTTTTTGTTTTTTATTTCATATAAGGCCTTTTAAAAAATACAAAACAGTATAAAATATTGAAACAATACAGAATTATGGAGTTCACAAAATTCTTATCTTCCACTCCTTTGAGCTACCTAAAACATTTGATGCATCTTCTATTTTTCTGTGTGTGTATTTATTTATGTTTGTATTCAAATCTGTTATAAAGATACACCTACAATTGAAGTTTAAAATGGAAGTTTACAATTGAAGTAAAAAATGGTCATACTCTTCCTATTATTATTATTATTATTTGAGATGGAGTCTTGTGTACAGTGCCATGATCTCGGCTCACTGCAACCTCCAACTCCCAGGTTCAAGTGATTCTCCTGGCTCCCGAGTAGCTGGGACTACAGGTGTGCACCACCACACCCAGCTGATATTTGTATTTTTGGTAGAGACTGGGTTTCACCACGTTGGCCACGCTGGTCTTGAACTGACCTCAAGTGATCCGCCTGCCTCGGCGTCCCAAAACGCTGGGATTACAACAGTGAGCCACTGCGCCCGGCCTATTTTTGATTTTTTCATAGGATACCAATATAATATAGTTCTGGCTTGTTTTTTAGCCACTATTCAGCATTCCGTTGTTCAGATGTATCATATTTAGTTGATAGACCTTTAAGCTGCCTTAGATTTTTCACTATTCCCAGCATTAGTGAAATGAGCATTCTTTTTTATTTGTCTCTGTACTGTGTAAACACTGCCTGGGAGAGCATGTGAGGTGACATGCATGGAGTTCAGATTGTGACTTGGGGGAAGCTGTGATCCTGATCCCTTGAGGGAGCATGTATTCTGCTCTGGGTCTGTCCTTGGGGAACCCCCAAGGGAGTGATCAGGATGGTCAGAAGTCTGCAGGCCACATTCTAGGGGCAACAGCCAAAAGAACTGCGGCTGTTTCTCCAGATTTCAGCTGGGACTGTTCACAGCTTCCAGGTATCAGATGAGTTCTCATAGGGAGATAGGGTAAGGCCTTCCCATGGAGCCCTAGGCTGGGGAAGAACTACCAGGTAGAAGTAAGAATTCCACAGAGTTAGGTCAGTTTGGGTAGGATTTGTATGGACCTAGACTTTCTGATGATTGGATTGTAAGACTGGGTTTTCTATCACTGGGACTGTTCATGCAGGGGCCAGGGTGCTGTGGAGGGGCAGTATGTGAAGCAAGTTGAACTCTGAAGCATTCCAACTTTGATAACAGCATTCCAGATGGAAACTATGAGGGACCAAGATGAGGTGCTGTGGGCTGCGAGGGAGGAGCGATTGACTGAGGATCAGTATAGGGGAGGGCTGACGCTGGAGGCATCTCAGGGTATAGCTTTGGGAAACATGGAATGCTGAGTGAAGCTCAGTGAAAGATCTGACCTCGTGTGCACTGCTGGTGGAGTGGTCTTCAGGTATATGGGCCAAGGGGGACACAGGGATAACAAGAGGTCTGAGGGTGATTGTTATGGTGGCTGCAGGAGGACGGAATTACCCAGGTGTTGTCGTGGTGAACCATGCAAGAAAATAATGTTCCCAGCAGAGGGAAGGGGTGAATCAGAGAAGCTTGGTGCTGCCTGATTACAAGGGCGAGACATCAGTTAGTTTGGAGCTGGCTGGGCAGGGAGCTGGGGCTGGAGATGAACTTTCAGATTTCATTCTGCAAATATGTATTGTCTAGGTGCTTGGGATAGAGCAATAAACAGAACAGCTAAATATTCCTTTCTCACAGAATTTATATTCTAGTGGGGGAAACAGTATATACATGTATATAATGTTAGACATTGAGAAAAAGCAAAAAAGGGGTATGCAATGCCAGGGGCAGTGGGGTTGAAATTTTAGAGGGGCTAAAAGGGAGAGCCTTTATATATATATGTATATATAAAACAGGGAAGATTATTTTGAGTAAAGACTTGTGGGGAAAGGGAGCAGTGAGCCATGTGGATATAATGCAGAGAAAGAACACATTCCAGGTACTGCAAAGTGTTTGGGGTAGAAACAAACTTGGCTGGCTGGGTGTGGTGGCACACACTATCATGCCAGGACTTTGGGAGGCTGAGGTGGGTGGATTGCTTGATCCGAGGAGTTGCCCAGCAGCCTGGGCAACATAGTGAGACCCTGTCTCTACAAAAAAAAAAAAAAAAAAATAGCTGGGTGTGGTGATGCACACCTGTAGTCCCAGCTACTTGGGAGGCTGAGGTGGGAGGGATCGCTTGAACCCAAGGGGCAGAGGTTGTGGTGAGCTGAGATCTCACCACTGCACTTCAGCCTGGGTGACAGTGAGACTCTGTCTCACGAAAGAAGGAACAAACAAACTTGGCTTATTTGAGGAGTGACAAAGTGGCTGAAATGGAGTGAGCAAGAGAGACACTCCGAGATCAGGTTAAAGAAATCTGGACCTTCCAGGACCTTATAGGCCATGGTATAGTTTGGACTTTTTTTCTTTTCTTTTCTTTTTGGAAATGGAGTCTAGCTTTGTTGCCCAGGCTGGAGTACGGTGGCGCGATCTCGGCTTACTTCAACCTCCACCCGCCAGGTTCAAGCGATTCTCCTGCCTCAGCCTCCCAAAGTGCTAGGATTACAGGCGCCCACCACCATACCAGCTAATTTTTTTTATTTTTAGTAGAGACAGGGTTTCACCATGTTGGTCAGGCTGGTCTCGAACTCCTGACCTCAAGTGAGCCACCATATCTGGCCAAGTTTGGAGTTTTTCTAAGCTCAGTAGGAAATGGGAAGTACTAGAGGGTTCAGGCAGAGGCGTGATATGACCTCACTTTTTTTTTTTTTTTTTTGTGACAGAGTCAACCTCGGTCCCCCAGGCTGGAGTGCAGTGGCGCCATCTCGGCTCACTGCAAGCTCTGCCTCCCGGATTCACGCCATTCTCCTGCCTCAGCCTCCCGAGTAGCTGGGACTACAGGCGCCCGCCACCACACCTGGCTAATTTTTTGTATTTTTAGTAGAGACAGGGTCTCACCATGTTAGCCAGGATGGTCTCGATCTCCTGACCTCGTGATCCACCCACCTTGGCCTCCCAAGGTGCTGGGATTACAGGCTTGAGCCACCGTCCCCGGCCTTTTTTTTTTTTTTTTTTTTGAGACGGAATCTTGCTCTTGTTGCCCAGGCTGGAGTACAGTGGCACAGTCTCGGCTCACTGCAACCTCCACCTCCTGGGTTCAAGCAATTCTCCTGCCTCAGCCTCCTGAGTAGCCAGGATTATAGGCACACGCCAACATGCCTGGCTAATTTTTGTATTTTTTTTTTTAGTAGAGACGGGGTTTCACCATGTTGGCCAGGCTGGTCTCAAACTCCTGACCTCAAGTGATCTGCCCACCTTGGCCTCCCAAAGTGCCAGGATTACAGGCATGAGCCACTGTGTCCGGCCTCACTTATGTTTTAATAGGATCGCCCTGATTGCTGTATTTAGAATAGCCTGTTGGGGTGGACATGGGGGAACGGAGGTGGAGACAGCATAGAATAAGGGAGACCAGTTGAAGAGGCTAATGCTGTAAGCCAGGTGACAAACAGTGATGGCTTAGATTGGGCAGCAGCAGTGGAAATAGTGAGGAGTTGAACATTAGCAGTAGAGGTGAGGAGAATTAGTAGGGGGATCATAACTCCACCACAAGAGTTAGATCCCCAGGGTTAGTGAGAAATTATTGGAAGAAGATAATTTGTGGAGGATATTATCTGGATCATAGTTATATTTGGGGTTATGTTAGGATCAGAACTTGGATTAGGGTCTGGCCTGGGGCCAGTAAGGGGGTCAGAAAGATTTATTGGTCTTTGCAAAGACCAAGATTAGAGTCTGGGTTTGGACAGCCCTATTGGGATTAAGACAAATTTTAGGGTGAGGATAGTTTGGGGTCACAGTTGTAGATGGAGGCTAGTACCCCTTTTCAATATCTTCAGACCAGGGTTGGTTGTATCTGCCATCTTCTGTGCCAGTGAGCTCACCTAGGGGTGGAGGGGTTTGGAGGCTATGAGGCCTTCTCTTCCTTGGGTGTCACGGGGGTGGACGTATGCTCAGCCCTGCCTGGGTGATGCCTGCTGGCCTTCCCAAGCTGGGACCTGTAGTCGGGGAAGGGGAGAGAAGGCTCCCTGGTGCTTGACCCAGCTCCTTTTCCCTCAGATGGCCCACTGCGTGACCTTGGTTCAGCTGTCCATTTCCTGTGACCATCTCATTGACAAGGACATCGGCTCCAAGTCTGACCCACTCTGCGTCCTTTTACAGGATGTGGGAGGGGGCAGCTGGGCTGAGGTGAGGCGGATTATGGAGGTTAAGGTTGTGGAGGGAGGCTAGGATTGTGTTTTGGGGTGGAGGCTGTGACTGTGATGCTTACTGGCCTCTGCCCACAGCTTGGCCGGACTGAACGGGTGCGGAACTGCTCAAGCCCTGAGTTCTCCAAGACTCTACAGCTTGAGTACCGCTTTGAGACAGTCCAGAAGCTACGCTTTGGAATCTATGACATAGACAACAAGACGCCAGAGCTGAGGGATGATGACTTCCTAGGGGGTGCTGAGTGTTCCCTAGGACAGGTATGTAGGGCTGGGGATTAGGATCCTTCAGATGCAGGTCTGTGAGACAACCTAGCCTGCCTGGAGGTAGGGGGCAAGCAGGACCTAACCCTGCCTGTTATCCTGAAACTCCCTTCCCTGCTTTTCCCCAGATTGTGTCCAGCCAGGTACTGACTCTCCCCTTGATGCTGAAGCCTGGAAAACCTGCTGGGCGGGGGACCATCACGGTAAGGAACCCAGCAAGGGTTGAGGAGGGACTTAACATCAATGAATTCATGAGGTGATGTAGTCTCCCCTACCTAGGTCTCAGCTCAGGAATTAAAGGACAATCGTGTAGTAACCATGGAGGTAGAGGCCAGAAACCTAGATAAGAAGGTGTGTCTGGAAGTAGGCCCTGGTAATCCAAGAGTTAAGGGGCCAAGGATGGTGTATGGGGGATGGGGGTGTGGACAGAGGGATGGCATAATGGTTGTTTGTTCCTGAGTCTTGTAACTGGGGTCTCGCATTGGCAGGACTTCCTGGGAAAATCAGATCCATTTCTGGAGTTCTTCCGCCAGGGTGATGGGAAATGGCACCTGGTGTACAGATCTGAGGTATGAGACCCCTGGGATTGGGTGGGCTGGGGTAGGAGATAATCTCCTGGGGCCTGTGACTAGCAAGGTTTGGAACTCAGAAAGAGACTGCAGGTGGGTAGAGAAGTGTGGCAGCTCCTCAGGGGGCCATGCCAGAGCTCACTGGAGGCCTTGGCCTCCACCTTCAGGTCATCAAGAACAACCTGAACCCTACATGGAAGCGTTTCTCAGTCCCCGTTCAGCATTTCTGTGGTGGGAACCCCAGCACACCCATCCAGGTGAGGAGCTTGCCCCCTAAGTGGACTGCGCTGGAGAAGAGAACCTGGGGAGGGACTTATTCTCATCTGCCACCTGGCTTGTTTATGTCCACACACACCTTTCCCTCAGGTGCAATGCTCCGATTATGACAGTGACGGGTCACATGATCTCATCGGTACCTTCCACACCAGCTTGGCCCAGCTGCAGGCAGTCCCGGTGAGTGCTGGTCTTGCCAGGGGTGTGGAAATGGGCCTAGATAGCTGAAGCTTGTGGGAGAGAGGAAGGAGAAGGCAGCTCGAGTCCTTGACTGATGCTCTGAGAATTTCCTACCCTAATTTTTCTGTCCTCACCAGGCTGAGTTTGAATGCATCCACCCTGAGAAGCAGCAGAAAAAGAAAAGCTACAAGAACTCTGGAACTATCCGTGTCAAGATTTGTCGGGTGAGACAAAAGCCCATGTAACCAAGGCTCTGATTCCTGAGCTCCATGACACCAACTGCTATCACCCCAGGCATGACCCTGGTTTCATTTGCAGGTAGAAACAGAGTACTCCTTTCTGGACTATGTGATGGGAGGCTGTCAGATCAACTTCACTGTAAGTTACTTTACCAAGGGCAAGAGAACAGGTCTGGGGCTCAGGGTGGCCTTTAGCTGCCTTCCTCACCTCCTCCCAGGTGGGCGTGGACTTCACTGGCTCCAATGGAGACCCCTCCTCACCTGACTCCCTACACTACCTGAGTCCAACAGGGGTCAATGAGTACCTGATGGCACTGTGGAGTGTGGGCAGCGTGGTTCAGGACTATGACTCGTGAGTACCTGCTTCTCTGGGCTATACCCGCTCCCTGCAGATGCTTCAGCCTCTGAGCTTACAGTCCCCTCACTGCCTTTTGCCCAATACACTGTCCTCCCACAGAGACAAGCTGTTCCCTGCATTTGGATTTGGGGCCCAGGTTCCCCCTGACTGGCAGGTGAGCTCCCTCTCTTTCTGCCACTCCTGTTTTCAGTTTCAGGGTCCTGATTTTGGGGGATGTGGTAAATTTACTTGCTACTTGGCACTCAGCTTTAAGAGGAGATGCAGGGTTGGATTCCTGCAGGCACGTAGACAGCAAGTGCTCAGGACTCCATAGCTCCTATAGGAATCTTGGCACACGCCAGTGTCCTTTTTCATTCTTAGCAGAGGTCATGGGGAAAGAACCTCATTTTCATTCTTGTCTCCAGGTCTCGCATGAATTTGCCTTGAATTTCAACCCCAGTAACCCCTACTGTGCAGGTAAGTTTCCCCATCCACCCTGAGGCAGGTCTGTCCACACAAAGAGGGGCAAGCCTGCATGAGTAAAAGGGAGAGTGGGGGCAGATACCTGCCTTCATTGTCCAGAGGGTGGATTTTATTTAATTTTAGTTTAATTTATTTTTTGAGAAAGAGTCTTGCTCTGTCACCCAGGCTGGAGTGCGGTGGCGCAATCTTAGCTCACTTGCAACCTCTGCCTACTGGGTTCGAGCAATTCTTCTGCCTCAGCCTCCCAAGTAGCTGGGACTACAGTCGCTTGCCACCGTGCCTGGCTAATTTTTGTATGTTTAGTAGAGACGGGGTTTTGCCATGTTGGCCAGGGTGGTCTCGAATTCCTGACCTCAGGTGATTGACCTGCCTTGGCCTCCCAAAGTGCTGGGATTACAGGTATTGAGCCACAGCGCCTGACCCAGAGGGTGGATTTTAGAGCTAGGCCTCTGGAATCAAATCGTCATGCCAGGCCAGGAGTGGTGGCTCACGCCCGTAATCCTAGCACTCAGTTGCGAGGCCAAGGTGGGTGGATCGCTTGAGCCCAGGAATTTGAGACTAGCTTGGGAAACATGGCAAAACCCCATCTCTACTAAAATTACAAAAATTAGCCGAGCATGATGGCAGGCGCCTGTAGTTCTAGCTACTCAGGAGGCTGAGGTGGGAGGATCACCTGAGCCCAGGAGGTTGAGGTTGTGGTGAGCCATGATCATGATCATGCCACTATACTCCAGCCTGGGTGATAGAGTGAGAACCTATCTCAAAAAAAAAAAAAAATGATGCCACATGACTTGGGGCAGGTTGCTTAATCTCTGTGTGCTTTGGTTTCATAAGACTAAACATAGGAAATTGAGTACTCAAGGAGAGGATACAAGTAAAGCAGTAAGCCTGGTACTTACTAAGTGTTCTCCGAAAAATGGTATCTGTTATATTATCGTTATTATCTTTGCCTAGAAGCTAACAGGTACTTACTTGAGCATCAGTGGAAGCCTTGTTTGCCTCCTTGCAGGGTGCATTTTGCCAGAGTCCACCAAGCCCTTTTGTTTAGGGCCAAACCTTTTGACTCCCCAGTACCCCCAAGGGGGCACAAGCTGAAGTGGAAAATCTGACCTGACCTGATCTGATCTGGGTTTTAAAATTTTAATTTTGTATTTCAACATAAGTTCAGACTTAGAGAAAAGTTGCAAGAATAGTCATAGGAGCTCAGTCCCTTGGAACTCAGGGGTCAGGGCCTGAGTTCACAGGGGCTCTTCACCTTTATCCCAATTACCCTAACATAACATTTTACCACATTTGTTTTCTCTTTTCTCATACATGTATACAGTGTGTATGTGTGTGTATATGTGTGTGTGTGTGTACACATGTATACATATACACACACATTCACACATTTCAAGGGAAAAAAGATTAAAAATATGTGTTTATGTATGTACACACATGTATACGTGTGTTGGAGAATGCTGTAGTGAATAGCCCTGCCTCAGGTTTGCTTCTATGGCCCTACCAGCTTTGTACCCATCATTATCCACCTGGCTTTTTACCTCTGAGTACTTCAGTATCTCCTAAAATCAAAGACTCTTTCTTACATTATCACAGACCAATCCTCAAAATCAGGAAATGAACATCTATGCTATTATCCAGCCTATAGCATTTATTCAGATGTTGCCAATTGTCCTAATGTCTTTTACAGCAAAAGAAAATCTCAGATCACACATTGCGTTCAGTTAGCACATATCTTTTTATATGGAAGACTTCTTGCCTTTCATGACATTCACATTTCATGATATAAACAGTATAGGCCAGATATTTTCTAGAATGTCCCTCAGTTTGGGTTTACCTGATAAATCCTCAGGATTAGATTCAGGTTGTACATTTTTGGCAGGAATACCACCAAAGTGATGCTGTATATTCTCAGTGCATCATATTCAGAGGAACATGATGTTGATTTGTCCTATTACCAGTCATGTTGACTTTGGTCACTTAGTTAAGGTAAGATCTACCAGGTTTCTCCACTATACAAGTACTATTTTCTCCTTTCTATTTAGTAAGTATATTCTGGGAAGAGACTATACAAATACTCATCACACACACATCAACATTCCCCTCTAGTTTTTTTTTTTTTAATTTATTTTTTATTTTTTATTTTTTGAGATGGAGTCTTGCTCTGTCACCCAGGCTGGAATGCGGTGGCGCGATCTTGGCTCACTGCAAGCTCCACCTCCTGGGTTCACGCCATTCTCCTGCCTCAGCCTCCCGAGTAGCTGGGACTACAGGCGCCCACCACCACGCCCGGCTAGTTTTTTTTTTGTATTTTTAGTAGAGACGGGGTTTCACTGTGTTAGCTGGGATGGTCTCAATCTCCTGACCTTGTGATCCGCCCGCCTCAGCCTCCCAAAGTGCTGGGATTACAGGCCTGAGCCACTGCGCCCGGCCTTAGTTTTTTTATTTTTTAAGTGACGGGGGTCTCACTATGTTGCCTAAGCTGGCCTTGAACCCCTGGGCTCAAGCAGTCCTCCCACCTCAGCCTCGTGAGTAGCTGGGACTACAGGCACATGCCACTGTGCCTGGCTATACTCTCTAGTTTTAACATCCATTGATGATCCTTGCCTGAATCAGTCATTTCTGTGATTGTCAAATGATTGTGTAATTCTTCCTTTTACATTTATTAGGAGCTTTCCCTTCTCCCTCAGTAATTAATCCATAGTACGGATCCTTATTGTATCAAATGGATCATTATTAAATAGGTTATAATCTGATGCTCAAACTCTCCTGGATTTGTCCAGGAGAATCCCTCTCATCTGGGTGCTAATTCAAGCTGTGATTTAGGGCAAGTCCCCTCCTCTCTTTGAACCTTAGTTTCCTCATGTGTAGGAGACAGTTAAGTACCCTGGTTTACAAGGGTGAATGAATGAAATGCACCCAGGTTCCGAGATCTCCTGGGCTGGGATGGGGTGATTTCAGGACTGGTGTAGTCCTGAGAGGTCCAGGATTTTACGGTATTTCTTGCTCTCCTCTGCAGGCATCCAGGGCATTGTGGATGCCTACCGCCAAGCCCTGCCCCAAGTTCGCCTCTATGGCCCTACCAACTTTGCACCCATCATCAACCATGTGGCCAGGTTTGCAGCCCAGGCTGCACATCAGGGGACTGCCTCGGTGAGAGTCGTGGGTGGCAGTGGCAGTGGTGGCAATCAAGGGCTTCCTTGAGGGTTATGGAACAAAGGACTTTTTTTTTTTTTTTTTTTTTTGAGATGGACTCTTGCTCTGTCACCCAGGCTGGAGTGCAGTGACGCGATCTCAGCTCACTGCAACCTGCACCTCCTGGGTTCAAGTGATTCTCCTGCCTCAGCCTTCCTAGTAGCTTGGATTACAGGCGTGTGCCACCATGCCCAGCTAATTTTTATATTTTTAGTAGAGACGGGCTTTCACCATGTTGGCTGGGGTGGTCACAAACTCCTGACCTCAAGTGATCCGCCTGCCTTAGCCTCCCAAAGTGCTGGGATTACAGGTGTGAGCCATCGCACCCGGCCTGTAACAAGGGACTTCTTATGAGTGTGGGGATGTGTGGCTGGGGTGTTTGCAGGGGTTTAGGAGGAGGATCTGCTTCAGGACATGAATGGGCTTGTCCCCAGCAATACTTCATGCTGTTGCTGCTGACTGATGGTGCTGTGACGGATGTGGAAGCCACACGTGAGGCTGTGGTGCGTGCCTCGAACCTGCCCATGTCAGTGATCATTGTGGGTGTGGGTGGTGCTGACTTTGAGGCCATGGAGCAGCTGGACGCTGATGGTGGACCCCTGCATACACGTTCTGGGCAGGCTGCTGCCCGCGACATTGTGCAGTTTGTACCCTACCGCCGGTTCCAGAATGTGAGTAGGTGCAAATTTGATCTGGGAGTTTACCCTTTCACCTTTCCCTGATGTGAGTAGGGTTGAGGCCCAAGGGATGCTCACCTTTTCCTCTAAGCCTGGGATATGGTTGGGTTCTTGAGCATGAAATACAGACTTTGGGCAGCTGTTCTGGGCCACCACTGACTTTTCCCTTTTCTTGGCAGGCCCCTCGGGAGGCATTGGCACAGACCGTGCTCGCAGAAGTGCCCACACAACTGGTCTCATACTTCAGGGCCCAGGGTTGGGCCCCGCTCAAGCCACTTCCACCCTCAGCCAAGGATCCTGCACAGGCCCCCCAGGCCTAGGTTCCCTTGGAGGCTGTGGCAAGTCCTCAATCCTGTGTCCCAGAGGTCCCTCTGGGCCACAACCCAACCCTTCTCACTCTCCTCAGTGCTAGCACTTTGTATTTTTTGATACTTTTATACTTGTTTCTGCTTTTGCTGCTCTTGATCCCACCTTTGCTCCTGACAACCCTCATTCAATAAAGACCAGTGAAGACCAATGCTTTGCCACCACTCTCTTGTGTGTTTTTAGGTAGGAGGCTGCTATGAGCAATGTTTACATCCCCTCTCCACACCTTAGTTTGTTTACTTAGGGGTTGTTACGTGAAGGATGTCTCTGGTGTAAAGCCCCACTCAAAGTTGAGTATTTCTGGGCAGATATCTATTCATTCTAGAGACACTGACTCACTGTTTTTGAAAATACAGCCAGGGGTGGGTATCATGTACCTGTAGTCCTCAGCTTGGGAGGCTGAGGTGGGAGGACTGCTTGAGCTCAGGAGTTCCAGAGCAGGTCTGGGCAACATAGCAAGACCCCATTACACACACAAGAAAAGGAAATACAAAGTTTGAAAGTAAGCTAAACACCCAGCCTTCGCCTTCCCTCCCTCAGGGCAGAGCTGGGCTGGGAATACAAAGATGGAAAGTGTCAGACTTCATAAAAAGCAGCAAAAGGAGAAGGATGGATGAGTTTTAAGGTGGAGCAAAGGCTATGTTAGACTTCCTGGAGGGGAGGGAGTAGTGGTAATTTTGGTCCTAAAGACAAGTGAAAATCCTGAATTTTTTTAACAGCTAATTTTTTCTTAATAGAGAATACATGTATTCATTGTAGAAAAATTCTGGCTGGGCGTGGTGGCTCATGCCTGTAATCCCAGCACTTTGGGAGGCTGAAGAGGGCAGATCATTTGAGGTCAGGAGTTCAAGACCAGCCTGGCCAACATGATGAAACCCCATCTCTACTAAAAATACAGAAATTAGCTTGGTGTGGTGGTGGGTGCCTATGATTCCAACTACTCAGGAGGCTGAGGCAGGAGAATCGCTTGAACCCAGGAAGCGGAGGATGCAGAGAGCTGGTATTGCACCACTGCACCCCAGCCTGAGCTACAGAGCGAGACTCTGTCTCAGAAAAGAAAAAAATTTTAAGTGCAGAAAAAATATCACTCAAACTCCCATGTCCTGATAAAACATATTGGGCACATAACTTTTTGTCTACACATACTGTTTTAGCATGTGTTAAAATTTGTTTTTTCTAATTTTAAAATACGTGCTTGTTAGTATGAAGTTATTTCAAATATAAATATTGTACAAATAGGCCAGGTGCAGTGGCTCACACCTGTAATCCCAGCACTTTGGGAGGCCGAGGCAGGCGGATCACAAGGTCAGGAGATTGAGACCATCCTGGCTAACAGGGTGAAACCCCGTCTCTACTAAAAAATGTAAAAAATTAGCCAGGCGTGGTGGCGGGCGCCTGTGGTCCCAGCTACTGGGGAGGCTGAGGCAGGAGAATGGCGGGAACCCAGGAGGCGGAGCTTTCAGTGAGCTGAGATGGCGCCACTGCACTCCTGCCTGGGTGACAAAGCGAGACTCCCTCTCAAAAAAAAAAAACAAAAACACATTGTACAAATAGTGGAGCAGGTAAGGGCCCCTGTTTTTCCTAGATCTGAAAAATAGATTTTTATCAATGGGCTATTTATACGTACTACTTGGACCTTTTTATTTAATACATTTTGGTGTCTTACCTATCAGAACCTATTGCTTCATTCCTTTTTTTTTTTTTTTTTTTTTTTGAGACGTAGTCGCTCTGTATTGCCCAGGCTGGAGTGCAATGGCGTGATCTCAGCTCACTGCAACTTCTGCCTTCTGGGTTCAAGCGATTCTCCTGCTTCACCTCCCAAGTAACTGGGACTACAGGCACGCACCACCATGCCTGGCTAATTTTTGTATTTTTAGTAGAGATGGGGTTTCACCATGTTGGCTGGTCTTGAACTCGAGACCTCAGGTGATCTGCCCACCTTGGCCTCCCAAAGTGCTGGGATTACAGGCATAAGCCACTGCACCTGGCCATCATTTTTTTTTTTTTTTTTGTAGGAGTGTACCTTATTTAGCTCATCTCTTATTTATGGAGATTTGAGTCTTAGTTTCTTTCAATGCTGTAATGAACATCCTTGTACATATATGTCTGTGCACTTAACTGGAATGTTTCTGAAGAAACATTTGTTCTGAAGAAACATTTATTCCTAAAAGTGGAAATGCTATATCAAAGGTTATATTTTAAATTTTAATAGATATTGCAAATTATTCTTCATAACAAAAATTATGGTCAAAGTTACACCTTTTGTTAATCTGACAGGTAAAAAAAGAAGCAAAAAATCATTTTTAGTTTGAATTTATTTTATTTTTTATTTTATTTTTATTTTTTTGATGGAGTCTCACTCTGTTGCCCAGGCTGGAGTGCAGTGGCACCATCTCAGCTCACTGCAACCTCCGCCTCCCAGGTTCAAGTGATTCTCCTGCCTCAGCCTCCTGAGTAGCTGGGATTGCAGGCATGCGCCAGCACGCCCGGCTGATTTTTGTATTTTTAGTAGAGACGGGGTTTCACCATATTGGTCAGGCTGGTCTCAAACTCCTGACCTCGTGATCTGCTCACCTCGGCCTCCCAAAGTGCTGGAATTACAGGCGTGAGCCACCACACCCAGCTCGAATTTATTTAAATATGAAGGATCGGTATCTTATATGGTTATTTGTAAATTATAGTTCTTCTCAATAGCCTATTCATAGTCTGCATGTATGTGTTATAGCTTTTATTTTGTTAAGGTTATTAGCCCCTTCATCTCATACATGTTGAAAATATTTCTTCCCAGGTTGTCTTTTTATTTATAGTGTCCTTTGGCATATAGAATTCTTTTAATATGGACATATTATTTATGCCAGTTTAACTTGCTTTTTAAAAAGTTATCCATATATCATTTATTATTATTACCATTTAGATAGAGTCTTGCTCTGTTGCCCAGGCTAGAGTGCAGTGGTGCGATCTCAGCTCACTGCAACCTCTGCCTCCCAGGTTCAAGCGATTCTCCTGCCTCAGCCTCCCTAGTAGCTGGGATTACAGGCGCGCACCAGTATGCCCAGCTAATTTTTGTTTTGTTTTGTTTTGTTTTGTTTTTTGAGATGGAGTCTAGCTCTGTCGCCCAGGCTGGAGTGCAGTGGCGCGATCTGGGCTCACTGCAAGCTCCACCTCCCGGGTTCAAGCAATTCTCCTGCCTCAGCCTCCTGAGTAGCTGGGACTACAGGTGCCTGCCACCACGCCCGGCTAATTTTTTTGTATTTTTTTAGTAGAGATGGGGTTTCACAATGTTGGCCAGACTGGTCTCAAACTCTCAACCTCAGGTGATCCGCCCACCTCGGCCTCCCAAAGTGCTGGGATTACAGGCGTGAGCCACCATGCCTGGCCTATATATCATTACTTTCAGTGGCTTCAGACATTCTCTTATATTACCATTTCTATTGGCTGCTTATTTTTTATAACAGTTTATCTACTTGGTTACTAAGTTTCCAATTTATAAACAACACTGTTAAATTTCCTTATAAATATTACCTTTGAATACATCTATGTATTCTATGGATACATTCTTAGAAATGGAATTGCTGTGAGTAAAGAGTACAAAAAGTTGTAAGGCTTTTGGTTCCTGTTGTGAAACTGCCCTCCAGAAAAGCTGCATTAGTTCATAATTCTAAACTTAGGCTTTGATAAATAAAAATAGGCCTTGAGAGCACTCAGTGGGGTCTTTTTCATCTTCAAATTATAAAAAAATCCCCCAGATTATTTATTTATTTATTTATTTTATTTGAGATGGAGTCTCACTCTGTCGCCAGACTGGAGTGCAGTGGCACGATCTTGGCCCACTGCAACCTCTGCCTCCCGATTCAAGTGATTTCCTGCCTCAGTCTCCCAAGTAACTGGGACTACAGGCACATGCCACAACGCCCAGCTAATTTTTGTATCCATGTTGGCCAGGATGGTCTTGATCTCCTGACCTCATGATCCACCCTCCTCAGCCTCCCAAAGTGCTGGGACTACAGGCATGAGACACCATACCAGGCCGAATTTCACTTCTTAAAAGTATAAACACTATTAATAGTCTGTATATTCTTCTAAAGCATGAGCACATTGGGAAGGTGTTAATGCCTACATCTTATTTTTTTGTAGGAGCGTACCCGTCTCTTATTCATGGAGATTTGAATCCCAGTTTTTTTCAAACAATGCTATAATGAACATCTTTGTACATGTATCTTTGTGCACTTAACAGGAATGTTTCTGAAGAATTTGTTCCTAAAAGTGGAAGTGCTAGATCAAAGGGTATATTTAAAATTTTACCAGATACTGCACATTGCCCTCCAAGATGGTGCATGTTGTGCGTGTTGCTTTGCTCATGCTGGTCCTCCTTTCCTACCCCTAGGTAGAACTCATTAATCCTTTGTTGCCTTCTCCTCCATCTTTTTTCCCTGCAATTCCACTTTCGACCCTTAGAGTGAAGAATTCTTGGATCTGTAAATGCATTGTCCTGTTTCCTGGAGTCTCTTCTTTCCCCTGTCAGGCTCCTTGAGGGCAGGGACTGGTGAACACTAAATCATCTATGCTGTGCCTCACACAGAGTTGGGAACTCAGGTCTCAGTAAGACAACCTATGTAGGGGCTACCAGGCCTGCATCAGCTCTGTGACTCAGAAGCTTCCTAGAGGTTATCAAGTCTCCTTAGCTTTTGAGTGTGTGCCTGCAGAAGGTGGGTAGCTACCCCTCCACCGGTACCTAGCAGGAGTTGGGGACTTTCCCACTGGGGCTGGGAATTGAGCACAAAGGTGGGTTCAGGCTGCCTGCAGCTCTGCAGTTAGAGGACTGGCTCTGGAGGAAGGTGGGCCTGGGTACTGCTCTGTCACTGCCTTTCACTAGCTGTGTGACATTGAACAAGTTTCCTGACCTGAGCAGCTTCCCTTTCTGGTTGTGAGAATGAAGTTAGGTAATGTGTGTAATGTCCACAGCACTGTTTCTTGTACGTGGTAGGCACTCCATAAACAGGAGCTGCTATTACGATCTTGATCAAGACTTCTCCAAGAAAAGAGGGTGCATTGGGAAGTCAGCCCCTCCATACTTAGATGCAACGGCAGCCAGAGCTCTCCCAACAGAGCCCCCGAAAGCACTGATCCAGTATCCTTCAGCAGAACTCAATTCTACTCCAAAAATCAGCATGTTTAATGGGGCCCCTGTGCACTGCCCTCTGCCCCCTCTGAGGTTCGCACACCGTGGGCACGGACTCGATACAAGCACGTGAAACGGGGGTGGCCCCAGTTGCTTAGAATCTGGATCTTCACCTTGGGAAAGGCAGCTGGGGGGTCATTCTGGGGAGACAAATGGATCATGCCAAGGGCTGCCCTCCTCCTGGATCATTCATCCCTCACTGCCCCACTCCCTTGGCACCTTCACCCTAGAGACAAACACACCTGCAGGTGGAAAGTCTGAATCTCCGATTTCTCAACATCGAAGGTGAATTTCCCCAAGGAAACTTCAGTTTCATCATAAACCTGGAGGCCCTGGTGGGTGAAGAATGAAAGGAGGAACTATGAGGGGGACAGGTGGGGCGGGGGGGGCGGGGAGAAGAAAACTTTGCTGAGGATCTTCTGTGTATTCAATAGCTATATGCATGTTCTCATGTATTTTTTGATGGTCGTACACTGTAATTCAGAATGTGGGCTCTAAGAAACCAGGTTTTATTTATTTATTTATTTTGAGACGGAGTGTTGCTCTGTCACCCAGGCTGGAGTGCAGTGGTGAGATCTTGGCTCACTGCAAGCTCCACCTCCCGGGAAGAAACCAGGTTTTAAATTTAATCCTGCCAACTGTTAGTTGTATTACCTTGGAAAAATAACTTCCCCTCTCTGAGCATTACTTTCTTCATCTTTAAAGGGGGAGATAACAGTACATCATAGGTTGTTATGTGGGTGCAAAGCAGGCACGGTGGCTCATGCCTGTAATCCTAGCATTTCAGAAGGCCGAGGAAGGCGGATCACTTGAGGTCAGGAGTTTGAGACCATCCTGGCCAACATGGTGAAACCCCATCTCTACTAAAAATACAAAAATTAGCCGAGCATGGTGGCGCACGCCTGTAATTCCAGCTACTCGGGAGGATGAGGCACAAGAATCGCTTGAATCCTAGAGGCTGAGGTTGCAGGTGAGCTGAGATGGCACCACTGCACTCCAGCAGCCTGGGTGACAAGAGCGAGACTGTCTCAAAAACAACAGCAAAATAAGAATGCCTGTAAACTGCTTGGCACGGAGTAAGTGCTTTGCAAGCAATAACTAATATCTGGATATGGTTATGACTATAACCTACAGCAGCTCTGAGAGGCAAATAGTAGTATCTTCATTTTATAGATGAGCAAGCGAAGACTCAGATAACGGCACCAGTTCTCAAGACTGCTTGGGCTCTCTAGGCAAAATCCCCCACCTCCTGACCTCGTCCGCACTCACAAAGACCGCGAAATCGCGGGGGGCGCTGTTGGCTCCTCCGGTGTGCTCCACGCTGGGCGGTGGATGCTGCAGAGTGATGTCGCTCAGCTGCACTCGGCCCGGCAGTTGGATCACCACCTGGCCTTGGTCGCCTTCAAAAGCCCAGCAATTCCCAGGGAACACGTGGGGCTGCAGGCGGGCGGAGGGACCATCGGAACCGTCGGACAGAGCGACTGCTGCCGCTCCCCAGCCCGGGCCTCAGCTCGACCCCATCCATCGACCCGCCCAGAGCTCCACCTCCAGCCCGCCCCAGTCCCCAGCAATGCCAGGTCTCTCCTTGAGTTAAACGCCATCCTCCACGCCCTCGGCTCAGCCAAGCTCCGCCTGTAGGGCGGGGTTTTGGTGCTTTTCCCAGCGTCCCGCCCGGGGTCCCATCCCGGGATGTTTCCAGACTCACCTCCAGGATAACCGTGGGCGGCCGTGCGTAGTTCCAGAAGCTGAAGCGATTCCAGAAGTAGGCAGTGTTCCTGTCTGCGTAATCGTGGGATGTCTTCTGCAGGTCGATGGAGGCTCCTGGAACAGTGAGAAGTAACCCTCAGAGGCTCCCAGGCCTTGCCGGGAGTCGGGGCGCGGGGGCGCGGGGGCTGGGGGCGGGTGGGGGCTGTCCGAGGCTCTGTCTTCGGCCGGTCAGGTGCATGGGTCTGTCTGTGTCAGTGTCTTGGCCTCTTTCCTGTCTGCGTCTCTGTCTTCCAGTGTCTCCGGGTCTTACCCACAGAGCTCAAAGCATAGTCGGGCTTCCGCACAAAATCCTCATTCAGCCTCTGGAACACGAGCTTGGCCACTCTCTGCAAGGAGGGAGGGCGAGGCCTGGAGGGGCGAGGCTTGCGGGCTGCTTTTACAGGTGGACGGGACCTCTGGGAGCTGGTTGCTTTGGGATGGACTTCGTGGGCACCGGGAGAAATCCCGCAGGGCTCTGGGCGGAGCTTAAGTCTCAGGACCCTGGGAGCAGGGATCCATCAGGGGTTTCCAAGGTGGGCCGGGGCTCACCTCGCTGTTGGCTGCCCGAACAGTGGACACCTCCTTGTGGAGTTTATCCAGCTCGGCCTGGAGCTGCTGCAGCTGCTGCCCCTGGGAGCGCACGCGCTCGTGGTACTCACTGGAGGTGGGAGGTGGGCGCCGTGGGGTTGGCTCCCTGTCCCCCTGGACACCTCCCAAAGGCCCCCACGCCTTCAAGGTTCTCAAAGAAGCAACTTTGAGCCCCCCAATTTCCCACCCTAGGTGCCCTCTTTCACCTTAGAGTCAGCATCTCCTTAGGTTCCTGTTGGATGAAGGGACAAAACACAGAGCCGCTCAGCTCCCGTCGTCCTTGCTCCTACCTCAGCCTGGAAACGGCCAGGGCTTCCTTTTTGAAGACTGTGTCCCCTTTCCTCGACTCCTCCTTGACCTCCCAGTATCAGAGCCCCCAAGAGACCCTCAAGCACAATCCCTCATAAGTCTGTTTATATCCAGCCCTTTCTTAAGGATTGTAGCCTCTGGCACTACCCCCACCCCAGCAGACCGACAGTCCAGGGGACCCCCACAATCTCCGGGTTCACAACCTGCCAACCCCCTACCCCAAGACAGTCTCCCCAACTCACATTCTCCAAAGGAGAGACCAGGTACAGAAGCCCCAGCCAGAATGCTGGAGAAAGAGAGGGAGGGGTCTCAGAAGGAAAAGGAAGAGAATGGGTTTCCCCGGCATAGGGGGACAGTGGAAAGAGGCTTGAGGGGGTTAAGCCTGGGGAGGACCGTGGGAGTCTGAGGGGGAATTAGGGGGTTCTGCAGGGGAATGCCAGGAGCTGCAGGACCGAGGATGTAGGAGAAAATGTGCTGGGTTTGCCTCCAAAGCACCCAGGGCAGGGGCTCCAGGGAATTCACTGCCCCTCACCTGACAGAAAGAGGCTCAGCAGCGACACAGCCGTGAACAGGAAGCGGATGGAACAGACCTCCCTGGGGAACCGGAGGGAGGCTGAGGCCCCGACCTGCTCAACCCTCCAGTCCCCACCCCAGGGTCCTAGACCCAGCTCTTGCCAACATGACTCAATCAGATCTGAATCGGCTCAAGCGCCAGCAAGGTTCCGGCCCTGCTCCCCACCCCCTCCAAAGAGCTGTTCCTGGGGCGCCAGCGTCCCTTCCTCTGACCTGTACATGCTGACCAGCACGTCTCCTGCCAGGGATAACAACACGCTCAGCCCCTGGAAGAGCAGGCCTGAGGCCAGGACAGAGGGTCAGAGAGGGGCCCACGGCAGGGAGAGGCGGGGCTCAGCCTGCGTGGTGTCCGGGTTCAGAAGGGGCTTGGGAGGGGCCGGGGGTGGGCCTGGGGCTCAGGAAGAGAGGGTCGGCTAGGATAATTGGATGGGGGCTAGGAATGAGTTGAGGCTCGGAGAGGGGCTCGATACTCAAACGGGGGCCGGGGGCTCAGAGAGAACTGGAGTTCGGAGAGGGGAACCCGAGGGTCAGAGGGGATCGCAGCTGGCCTGGCCCGTACTCAGAAAGCTCTTGAACACCCGCGGGGGAGGCATCTCCTGCCTCAGATCCAGGGTCGGGAGAAGGTCGAGCGGCTCCTCAGAGACTACTGGAGACCCAGTCGGTTCTGCGGGAACCCAAGGGCTCCACTGGGGCCTTGCGGACCACAGACCTATTTTCCCCTCGAGACCGGGCCGCAGATTGCTCAGTCCACAAGCCAGACAGCTGGGAAGTCTCTCACAGGCTTTGGTCCCACCGCAGCCCTATCCCGGCTCCAGCTCCGCCCTCTGAAGCCCCGCCCCTCAGGGAGGCTCCGTCAAGAGTTGGTCTCCTGGCCGGGCGCGGTGGCTCACGCCTGTAATCCCAGCGATTTGGGAGGCCGAGGCGGGCGGATCACCTGAGGTCGGGAGTTCGAGGCCAGCCTGATTAACACGGAGAAACCCCGTCTCTACTAAAAACACAAAAATTGGCCGGGCATGGTGGCGCACGCCTGTAATCCCAGCTACTCGGGAGGCTGAGGCGGGAGAATCGTTTGAACCCGGGAGGCGGAGGTTGCGGTGAGCCGAGATCATGCCATTGCATGGCATGGGCAACAGGAGCGAAACTCCGTTGCAAAAAAAAAAAAAAAAGAGTTGGTCCCTCCCCCAAACGGATGACCCGCCCCCAGCCTTAGATCTTGGTGGAACCCAATTGTCCTGGGAGCCACTCACGCTAACATTGAGGCCGCGCCCCCTCAGTGGCACCCAACCACAAGATTTTCCCCGCCCCTTCCCATAACCGTCCAGGACACCGAGGCTCCGCCCCTTAAGGGATCTCATTTAGCACCATCCCTTTACCCTACAGGACCCACCTTGTAGGAGGTGCCCAGATATCATCTTAGCCCCGTCCCCGCCCAGCACCGCCCTTTAGGCCCCGCCCCCTCCACTGGCTCACCCGGGGTCGACCCCGCCCGCACCCGAGGCCCCGCCCCTCACGGTTGCCGCGCCACAGGCTGTCTGCCAGTTGTGGCTCCGAGGCGCTGGCTTCTGCTGAGAGCTTCCTGCCCATGTGGTTCCTCCGGGCACTCCCGCGCTCAAGGCGGGCTCACCGCAGCTCGGGCCCCGGGCTCTTCTGCCCTCGGGCTCCCCAGGCCCGGGCTCCGCTGACCGGAGCCCTTTGCTGTCCTCCGAGGTGATGCTCATTGAGCTGTTCTCGCTGAAAAAGTTGGGCGTGTGCTTGCGCGAGGACGAGGCCGAGCCCGGGCGGGAGCTTCGCCGCATCCTGACCCCCTGCTGCCTAGTCACTGACGCTAAAGCCGCCGCTGCGGTCGCCAAGGCCCTGGGGCCTCCTTCAGCCGCTGCGCGCCGCGGGGACCCCACGGACCCTGCGTGAAGTCGGCAGGCCCCGCGGCCGCACCTGCCCTCCCGCTGTGTCCCGGCCGGCTGCTGACGTCACAGAGGAGCCTCGGTCTCCGCGGGCTGCCCTGGCCGCGCGTCACGGAGCTGGCCGTGACGTCACCTGGAGCCGTAGCCATGGCAGCCTCTCCTTCTGACTTTGTTGTTGTTTAAGAGACAGGGTCTTTCTCATTGCCCAGGCTGGAGTGCAGTGGCCTGATCATAGCTCATTGTAACTTCGAACTCCTAGGCTCAAGCGATCCTCCCGCCTCGGCCTCCCAAAGCGCTGGGAGTACAGGCGTCAGCCACCGCGCCCGGCCTCTTTTACAGCAAGCGATGATGTCACAGCACTTCCCAGAAAACCCCATCTAAAATGGCACTCAGTCTATAACAGTTTTTTTCTTTCTTTCTTTCTTTCTTTCTTTCTTTCTTTCTTTCTTTCTTTCTTTCTTTCTTTCTTTCTTTTTTTTTTTTTTTTGAGATGGAGTCTCATTCTGTTGCCCAGGCTGGAGTGCAATGGCGCGATCTTGGTCCACTGCAACCTCCGCCTCCCGGGTTCAAGCGATTCTCCCGCCTCAGCCTCCTGAGTGGCTGGGATTACAGACATGCACCACCATGCCTGGCTAATTTTGTATTTTTAGTAGAGACGGGGTTTCTCCATGTTAGTCAGGCTGGTCTTGAACTCCCGATCTCAGGTGATCCACCCGCCCCGGCCTCCTAAAGTGCTGGGATTACAGGCATGAGCCACTGCGCCCAGCATTTTTATTTTTATTTTATTTTTATTTTTTGAGACAGAGTCCTGCTGTGTCGCCCAGGCTGGAGGGCAGTAGTGCAATCTCGGCTCAGTGCAACCTCCGCCTCCCGGGTTCAAGCGATTCTCCTGCCTCAGCCTCCCGAGTAGTTGGGATTACAGACACCCGCCATCATGCCTGGCTAATTTTTGTATTTTTGTAGAGACGGGGTTTTACCATGTTGGCCAGGCTGGTCGTGAACTCCTGACCTCAGGTTATCCGCCTGCCTGGGGCTCCCAAAGTGCTGGGATTACAGGAGTCAGCTACTGCGCCTGGCCTCTTTTAAAGCAAGTGATGACGTCACAGCACTTCCTAGAAAACCCCATCTAAAATTGCACTTAGCAAATACCAGTTTCTATCCCCCTTCCCTGTTTTGTTTTTCTCCTCAGCACGTGTCACTAACATGCTATATATTTCATTTCTCTCTTTCTTTGAGATGGAGTCTCGCTCTGTTGCCCAGGCTGGAGTGCAGTGGCATGATCTCAGCTCACTGCAACCTCCATCTCCCGGCCTCAAGCAATCCTCCCGCCTCAGCCTCCCGAGTAGCTGGGACTACAGGCTTGCGCCACCACACCCAGCTAATTTTTGTATTTTTTGTAGAGATGGGGTCTCGCTATGTTGCCCAGGCTGGTCTTCAACTCCTGAGCTTGAGTGATCCACCCACTTCTGCCTCCCAAAGTGCTGGGATTACAGATGTGAGCCACCATGCCTGGCCCATTTATTTATTTCCTTATTGCCTGCCATGCCCACTAGAACATAAACTTAATCAGGGCACAGATTTTCATTCACTACTGTATCCTCCAGCACCTAGATAAGCCTAGCATGTAGTAGGTGCTCAAATATTTGCAAATAATGAATGTTAAGAAGGAGCAGGGCATCACTCAGGGCACTTCTAAATACTTAGTCCCCTTTGCTCTGCAAGCCCTTCAGCCCCCTCCTCTCATCCTAGACATCAGGTCAGAGAGCTCATTCAGGATCTGTGGGTCCCTCCTCCAGACCCATTTTTCCCAGGGGTCTGTGGGTTGAGAATTCAGCACCCACCAATCGTCATACCCACACTCAGGCTGCACACCTGAGCCATGGAGGAAAGAATGAGGAATCAGATGGTCACAGCCAGAAGACTAGAGGTCCCCAAACTCTTGCTATGTAACAGAATATCAGTGCAGCTTATAGAAATTCAGCTTCCCAGGCACACCTTGTGATTCTACTGCAGATACTGCAGAATTTCTGAGTTGGCCCAGGAATGTGCTTTTGTTTTGTTTTTGTTTATTTTTTAGGCAGAGTCTTGCTCTGTGGCCAGGCTGGAATACAATGGTACGATCTCGGCTCACTGCAACCTCTGCCTCCTGGGTTCAAGCAATTATCCCGCCTCAGCCTCCAAAATAGCTGGGATTACAGGCATGTGCCACCACACCTGGCTAACTTTTTTTTTTTTTGTATTTTTAGTAGAGACGGGATTGCACTATGTTGGCTAGGGTGGTCTCGAACTCGGGACCTCAGGTGATTCGCCCACCTCGGCCTCCCAAAGTGCTGGGATTACAGGTATGAGCCACTGTGCCCGGCTGGAGTGTGCATTTTTAACAACCACATTTGTGATCCTGGTTAAAGACCACATTTTGGGGCCAGGCTTGGTGGCTCACGCCTGCAATCCCAGCACTTTGAGAGGTTGAGGTGGGCGAATCACCTGATGTGAGGAGTTTGAGACCAGCCTGGCCAACATGGTGAAACCCCATCTCTACTAAAAATACAAAAATTAGCCGGGCGTGGTGGCCCGTGCCTGTAGTCCCAGCTACTTGGGAGGCTGAGGCGGGAGAATCACTTGATCCCAGAAGGCAGAGGTTGCGGTGAGCCAAGATTGTGCCACTGCACTCCAGCCTGAGCCACAGAGTGAGACTCTGTCTCAAAAAAAAAAAAAAGAAAAAAGAAAAACAACAACCACATTTTGAAAGACAATGCAGTATGTCATGCACAAGTTGCACAGCTAGGCAAACAGGTCCAGGTAGAGGAATAACACTGCATCACATTAGAATTCCCAAATCCTGCCCTCGAGTGCAGTCCTCTTAACTGCCATCTCACAACTTCCTTAGAATGTGAGGAGCTGGGGCCGGGCATGACGGCTCACGCCTGTACTCCCAGCACTGTGTGAGACCCAGGCAGTGGATCACTTGAGGTCAAGAGTTCAAGACCAACCTGGCCAATATGGTGAAACTCCATGTCTACTAAAAATACAAAAATTAGCTGGGTGTGGTGGCGTGTGCCTGTAGTTCCAACTACTTGGGAGGCTGAGGCAGAAGAATCGCTTGAACCTGGGAGGCGGAGGTCATAGTGAGCTGGGATCGCACCACTGCACTCCAGCCTGGGTGACAGAGCAAGACTTCGTCTCAAAACAAAACAAGAATGTTAGGAACTGGAAGTGGCAGTTTTTGAGGGGTTGAGGCACACGGACAATCTGTTAAGCTATGTTCTAGCCCAGAGGGGAGATGCCCATGCCAGGCTCCAGAGGGATGATCTCAATACCTTGCTTCATTAGGTGCCACAGGGCCCACACGGAAGAAGGGAGAGGAAGGCGAAATCACTGCAAACTACAAATTCTGGTCCATACCACCCCATCTCTGCCTCTGCCACGTTTTCTGTCCGTTAACTCCTTTGGGTCCTTTTAATAGAGGTGAGCCGGGCACAGTGGCTCACGCCTGTAATCCTAGCACTTTGGGAGGCTGAGGCGGGCTCACAAGATCAGGAGTTCATAGACCAGCCTGACCAACATGGTGAAACCCCGTCTCTGTACTAAAAATACAAAAATTAGCCAGGCGTGGTGGTGCACACCTGTCATCCCAACTACTGGGGAGGGTGAGTTAGGGAATTGGTTGAACCTAGGAAGCGGAAGTTGCAGTGAGCTGAGATCGCACCACTGTACTCCAGCCTGGGCAACAGAGTAAGACAGTCTTTTTTTTTTTTTTTTGAGACAGAGTCTTGCTCTGTCACCCAGGCTGGAGTGCAGTGGCACGATGTTGGCTCACTGCAAGCTCCGCCTCCCAGGTTCACACCATTCTCCTGCCTCAGCCTCCCGAGTAGCTAGGACTACAGGTGCCCACCACCAAGCCCAGCTAATTTTTTGTATTTTCAGTAGAGATGGGGTTTCACCATGTTAGCCAGGATGGTCTCGATCTCCTGACCTCTTGACCCGCCTTCCTCAGCCTCCCAAAGTGCTGGGATTACAGGCATGAGCCACTGTGCCTGGCTGACACTGTCTTAAAAAAAAAAAAAAGACTGTGGGGAGGTGAAGCCTTCCTCCAGCATCTGAGGGTTTCAGGTCTAATCTGGGCCTTTTTAAAAAACAGAACAGCCTGTCCCTCTTGTCTGATGTGGTTTAGACCCTCAAACTCATTTGAATACATAACAACTGGCCAGGTGCAGTGGCTCACTTCTGTAATCCCAGCACTTTGGGAGGCCTAGAAGGGCTGATCAGCTGAGGTCAGGAGTTCAAGACCAGCCTGGCCAACATGGTGAAACCCCATCTCTACTAAAAATAAAAACATTAGCCAGGTATGGTGGTGCACATCTATTAATCCCAGCTACTCAGGAGGCTGAGGCAGGATAATCGCTTGAACCCGGGAGGTGGAGGTTGCAGTGAGCCAAGATCACACCACTGCACTCCAACCTGGGTGACAGAGTGAGACTCCATCTCAAAACAACAACAATGGAGAAATAGGCAGAACAGGGCTTTCCAACCCAGTACTGAGATGGAAAAGCTGAAGCACAAGAAGGGACCATGACTGGCTCAAGGTCACACAGCAAGACCCAGCTCCTCTGACTGTCTAATCTTATCTGCTGCTGCTGCTGCCGCCGCCCAGTACATTCCTTGTGTTCAGGCCAAACTGTACACATTACATGGCCCAGAACACGTTCAGCATTTCTTCCCACTGCCTGGGTTTCTGTCTTTGCTCCTAGCTCCTGTCCTTTGAGCCAGGGGTTCCCAACCCCCAGGCCATGGACTGGTATCAGTCCATGGCCTGTTAGGAACCAGGATGCACAGCAGGAGGTGAGCAGTGGGTAAGGGAGCATCACCACCTGAGCTCCGCCTCCTGTCAGATCAGCAGCAGCATTAGATTCTCACAGGAGCGCGAGCCCTATTGGTAACCATGCATGTGAGGGATCTAGGTTGTGTGCTCCTTATGAGAATCTAATGCCTAATGATCTGAAGTGGAACAGTTTCATCTCCAAACCATCCTCTCCACCCGCCGCCCCTGCCCCCGACCCTGTCCATGGAAAAATTGTCTTCCACGAAACCGGTCCCTGGTCACTGGTGTCCAAAAAGGTTGGGGACTACTGCTCTAAGCCAATTTTCTTTTCTTTTGAGGTGGAGTCTCGCTCTGTTGGCCCAGGCTGGAATGCAATGGCCTGATCTTGCTTCACTGCAACTTCTGCCTCCCGGGTTCAAGTGATTCTCCTGCCCCAGCCTTCTGAGTAGCTGAGATTACAGGTGCACACCACCATGCCCGGCTAATTTTTCTGTTTTTAGTAGAGACGGGGTTTCACCATGTTGGCCAGGATGTCTTGAACTCTTGGCCTTGTGATCCACCTGCCTTGGCCTCCCAAAGTGCTGGGATTACAGCAGTGAGCCATCATGCCCGGCCGCTTTCTTTTCTTTTAAAAAAAAATTTTTTTTTTTTGAGACAGTGTTTTGCTTTATTAATAGCCTAGGCTGGAGTGGAGTGGCATGATTACAGTTTACTGCAGCCTCGACCTCCTGGGCTCAAGCAATCCTCCTGTCTTGGGCTCCCAACAGACATGAGCCACTGTGCTGAGCCTAAACCCATTTTTTATTTTTATTTTTATTTTTATTTTTTGAGACAGTGTCTCGCTCTGTCACTCAGGTTGGAGTGCAGTGGCACAATCTCGGCTCACTGCAAGCTCCGCCTCCCGGGAGCCTAAACCCATTTTAAACATTCCTTTTTTGGGGAAGCGCCTCTAGTCTCCCTCCTCTGAGCTCCTGGGCCCTGACCCTTTCTGCTCTCAGGGTAATTCCAGTCTTTCTAGGCTGTGTTAGTTATTGGAGTCATGAAGTTACTGGAAGACAGACACATGTGATTCCCCTCTCTCTGGCTGCACACCCTGCAGGGTGCCATAGCACAAGCCCTGCAAATAGAAGGTGCAGGACATGGTAGATCATGCCTGTAATCCCAGCACTTTGGGAGGCCAAGGAAGGAGGATTGCTAGAGCCCAGGAGACCGGCCTGGGCAACATAGTGAGACCCCACCTCTTAAAAAAACTAGCTGGTGTGATTGCATGAGCCTGTAGACCCAGCTACTAGGGAGGCTGAGTCAGGAATATCACTTAAGCCTGGGAAATTGAGGCTGTAGTGAGCTGTAATTGTGCCACTGCACTCCAGCCTGGGTGACAGAGCAAGACCCTTTCTGAAAAAAAAAAAATTTTATATATGTATATAATTAAAGGGCCTGGCTGTGAACTCCAGTGAATACATACTTTCACATATTATGGGTTCAGATTTCAAGATACATTCATGACTTCACTCAGCAAAAGTATTGTACATCTGTTTTAGGGTTATTAACCTAAGTGATGAGCTCTTAGTCCACAAAAGTGTACACATGCCCAATATTTTGCAGAAAATTTCAAAGATTTGCAGCCTCCATGGAGCCATTCTATGGTCCCACTAGGATCCTAGGACCCCAAGTTAAGGACACCTGGCTTCCAGCTGAATGCTTACTATGTTGCAAGCTAGGAACACACATTTAATCACTTTTTAATTCAATAAATGTGTTGAATGCCTACAGCACTACTTCTGAGGGCTAAGGGATTCATTTATTAGTTCATCCATTTGTTCAGTGTTTTAAGGGTCTACCATGTGCCAAACCCTGATCTGGGCACTGAGAACAGGAAGATGAACAAGAAACAACATGAGGCCAGGTGTAGTGGCTCACGTCTGTAATCCCAGCACTTTGAGAGTCCGAGGTGGGAGGACCACTTGAGGCCAGCAATTTGAGACCAGTTTGAGCAACATGGCAAAACCCCATCACTACAAAAAATACAAAAATTAGCCAGGCCCACTGGCACATGCCTGTAGTTCCAGCTACTTGGGAGGCTGAGCCTGGGAGATTGAGGCTGCAGTGAGCCTTGATTGCACCACTGAACTTCAGCCTAGGTAACTGAGTGAGACCCTGCCTTAAAAAAAGGAAAAAGAAAGAAAGGAAGGGGCTGGGCGTGGTGGCTCACTCCTGTAATCCCAGCACTTTGGGAGGCTGAGATGGGCAGATCACTGAAGGTCAGGAATTTGAGACCAGCCTGGCCAACATGGTGACACCCCGTCTCTACTTAAAAATGCAAAAATTAGCCAGGGCGCAATGAGTCATGCCTGTAATCCCAGGACTTTGGAAGGCCAAGGCAGGCGGATCACAAGGTCAGGAGTTTGAGACTAGCCTGGCCAATATGGTGAAACCCCGTCTCAACTAAAAAAATACAAAAAGTAGCCAGGCGTGGTGGCATATGCCTGTAATCCCAGCTACTTGGGAGGCTGAGGCAGGAGAATCGCTTGAACCCGGGATGCAGAGGTGGCCATGAGCCAAGATCACACCATTGCACTCTTGCCTGGGCGACAGAAGGAGACTCCATCTAAAAAAAAAAAAAAATTAGCCGGGCATGGTGGCGGGCACCTATAATCTCAGCTGTGTGGGAGGCTGAGGCAGGACTATTGCTTGAATCCGGGAGGCAGAGGTTGCAGTGAACCAAGATCACACCACTGCACTCCAGCCTGGGCGACAGAGTGAGACTTCATCTCAGGAAAAAAAAAAAAAAAAAAAAGAAAAGAAAGAAAGAAGGAAGAAAGTAAAAAAAATAAAAATAAAAGAGAGCGAGAGAGAGATAGAAAAGAGGAGAGGCCGGGCACAATGACTCATGCCCATAATCCCAGCACTTTGGGGGGCTGAGGTGGGCAGATCACCTGAGATCAGGAGTTTGAGACCAGCCTGGCCAACATGGCGAAACCCTGTCCGTACTAAAAATACAAACAATTAGCCAGCTGTGGTGGTGGACACCTGTAATTCCAGCTACCCGGGAGGCTGAGACAGGAGAACTGCTTGAACCCAGGAGGCAGAGGTTGCAGTGAGCTGAGATCGTGCCATTGCACTCCAGCCTGGATGACAGAGCAAGACCCCATCTCAAAAAAAACCAAAAAACAAAAAACAAAAAAACAAAGAAAAAAGAAACGAAAAGGCATGAGGTCCATGTCCTTGAGGCCTCATCGGCTGGCAGGGAGCAGACTGGGGTCCTGTTCACTCCCCTTGCCTCCCTCCCACCCTATCACAGCTCTCACTCCCTGAGGATGCAGGATGGAGGCTGAGGCAGTCCTGCCAGCTTGCAGCTGGTGGAGGCAGGGAGGGCTGAATTGACCTCCAGGACCTTACCCCTATCCCTCGGTCCTCTCCTCCCTCCCCACCCATGACCCCCAGGCCTGCTCCCTGTGTGTTTGACTAAAGGGTAGGGATTGCTAAACCTGCTGGGTGAGTCCAGTGAGTCAGAGGCGATTCAGGTGGGCGGGCTGGTGGGCAGAAGGGCAGACGGGCAGAGGAAGTGCCAGTGCCACTGGGACCATGGCTCTGACGGTAACGCGTGCAACGACTAACAGGGCTGACCGGCACCCACGACCGACAAGTGAAGCTCACCTTTCGAGGTGAGGCTTGCAGGGGCGCCCTAAGGATATTTGAAACTGGGGGCCCTTGACCCAATGCCTTCCCATCTCTACAGCCCATTTCTTTTCTCTACCCACACTGGTATCTCCAACCCTCTGCCTCTTTCCTTCCCATTGTCTACCTTTCTTTAAGGGTGAATCCAGGAGGGACTTGACACTGGGCCAAGAGTGGGGGAAGCAAATTATTTTTGTGTGTGTGGGGGGAGGGGCTGATATATGACTAGTTTCAGTTCTGAGCAGGCTTTACCCAGAAAACAAGAAAAATTCACTGTGGTCCAGAAGCAGATATCGGTGAGGTCAGTACAGTTGGTTCCTGATCTGTCTCCCATCCAAGTCCAACCTGGGGTTCAGGGGCTCATTCCTGGGTTTGGGGAAGTATAGTCTTGGGAGGTGGGGTCAGTCTGAGGCCTGAGAGATCAGACCCAGATTGGAACAAATTAGTTGCAAGACTGGGGGAATTCATTCTTGATCACTAGTTAGTCCCAGATCAGCCCTCACTCAGATTCAAACCCATGTGCAGGGATCCCTTCCAGGTTTGGGGATGTTAGTCCTAAAGTTAGCTCTAAGTCTGGAGGATTGGCTCCTGTCTGAGGGTTAGGAATAGGGTTTTTTTTTTTCTTTTTTTTTCTTTTTTTTTTGAGACAGGGCCTCACTCTGTCACTCAGGCTGGAGTGCAATGGCACAATCTCAGCTCACTGGAAACTTCACCTCCCAAGTTCAAGCGAGTCTCCTGCCTCAGCCTCCTGAGTAGCTGGGATTACAGACATGTACCACCACACCTGGCTAATTTTTGTATTTTTAGTAGAGAAGGGGTTTTACCATGTTGGTCAGGCTGGTCTTGAACTCCTGATCTCAAGTGATCTGCCTGCCTTGGCCTCCCAAGGTGCTGGGATTACAGGCGTGAGCCACTGTGCCCAGCCAAGAATGGGCTTTGGATTGGAGTTTAGGGTCAGCACAGCATGGGTGTCACAAGCTTCCTCCTGTCCCCAGCTGTTCCGATGGCCCCACTATGGGGCTCCACTGGCTGGGGAGTGTCTGTCTGTGCAGGTGGTCAACTGCAGCCGTGTATTCAGCCTTAGGTGAGTAGGCCTGGGGAGACAGGGATGCAGGTTGGGCTGGGGGTGACTTAGAGCCATTCTCTTGGGTCACTCTTTTGCTCTATGCCACTCCCCTAGGCCTCTAGGGACCCTGGTGATCTCCCTGCAGCAGCTACAGAATGCTGGGCATTTGGTGCTACGGGAAGCCCTAGTGGATGAGAATCTTCAAGTGTCCCCGGTGAGCCCCTCTGGCCCCCAGGCTGCCACCCTTAAGTACCTCTAGATAAAGGGTTCCATTTCTCACAGGGGAAAACCTAAGACCCAGAGAGGAGTGGTAACAAGGCCTCCAGCCAGGATTCCTTTCAGCAATCAATTCTTTTGGGAGACAAAGATGAACCTGGCTGGATTTTCCTGGTGTTTCATGGAAGGGCTCATAGCCTAGTAGACATGGACCTAACTTCAAATCTCAGATCTGCCATTTCCCGTCTGGGAACTTGTACACGTTCTTTAGCATTTGGTAGCTGTTTTCTTTTTTTGTTGTTGTTTTGAGACGGAATCTTGCTCTGTCACCCAGGCTGGAATGCAGTGGCTCAATCTCGGCTCAGTGCAACCTCCACCTCCCAGGTTTAAGTGATTCTCCTGCCTCAGCCTCCCAAGTAGCTGGGACTACAGGCGCCCGCCACCACACCCAGCTAATTTTTTTATTTTCAGGAGAAACTGGGTTTCACCATCTTGGCCAGGTTGGTCTCGAACTCCTAACCTTGTGATCTACCCTCGGCCTCCCAAAGTGCTGGGATTACAGGCATGAGCCACCGCACCTGGCCTGGAAGCTATTTTCTCATTTATATAATGTGGAGTTCTTTTGTTCAGTCCGTCATCATTTGTTGAGCTCTTATGATAAGCCAAATGCTGAGCTGAGCAATGAGGATTCCGTGGTGAGCAAAACCAGATAAAGATTCACACCCTTGGAAGGGAGGCAAACATTAAACAAATATTCACACAAGTAAGTGTGAAACTGGAACTGGCAGGTGTTAGAAGAAAGCTGGTAGGGGCTGGGAGAGGGTACCACAGGGGAGTATGATCTACTTGGGGGCCAGAGAAGGTTCCCTGAGGAAATAGTACCTGAACTTAGACTTGAAGGATAACAGATGTTAACTGGGAGGAGAGAATGTTCCAGGCAGAGGAAAAGGCATATGCAAAAGTCCAGCGCCTTGAAGGAGCACAGCTGGGGTGCCTGGAGTGAGATGGAGCTGGAAAGGTTGGTGGGGCCAGACCAGGCAGAGTAGTGAAGGCCACCGTAAGGGATTTCCAACAAAAATGAGACAATTTTGGAATCCTGTTGGGCCTCAAGAGGTAACTTGCGGCTGGGCACAATGGCTCATGCCTGTAATCCCAGCACTTTGGGAAGCTAAAGCAGAAGGATCATTTGAGCTCAGGAGCTCAAGACCAACCTGGGCAAGGTACATAATAAGACCTCATCAATACTAAAAAAAAAAAAAAAAAAAAAAAAAAAAAGAAAGAAAAAAATAACGAGGAAACTTGCCTAGTTACTTAGTTCTTAATAGGTTATGAGTAGTCTACATTATTAATGATCAGAGAGGAACCACAAGGCACCACGGATGCTGGCCAGAAAGATCTCTGCCGCCTGTAGTAAAAGGCACTGGCATTGTCCTTGGGCCTCTCTTAGACCCAGGGCAGTTAGATGGGGGGCCCTAGGGGATACTGTATCTGGTTTCAGATCCAGGTGGAGCTTGACCTGAAGTACCAGCCCCCAGAGGGCGCTACTGGAGCCTGGTCAGAGGAGGACTTTGGGGCACCCATCCAGGACAGGTAATCCCCTCAGCAACTGAAGCAAGACCTGGTGGTCCCAGCCCAGGCAGACCCTGGAAAGGGAGAAGTAGTGCCCGGTTCCACTCTGGATCTGCCGATTCAGTGACCCTTGGACGTGTGCTGAGCAGGTGCCGCTCTGTAGTTAGGAATGTTCCTCTTAGTCCTTTCATTTATTATTCCCCAGCTTCGAGTTAATCATCCCCAATGTGGGCTTCCAGGAACTGGAGTAAGTATGTGGGGATGACCTGGAGTCACTGAGTCAGTCTTGGAGTTAGGAGCCAGTGATATGGGGGCAGCCCCAGGGTCTTGGGTCAGAACTGAATCAGTTCCAGGGTCAGAGGTCAGTCCTAGAATCAGAGGTCAGTTCTGGAATTAGAAATGTCCCAGGGTTAAGAGTCTGTCCTGGGATCAGTGAAGTCAGCCACAAGGTCAATAACTGGTCCTAGGATCAGTGGGATCAGTTCAAGGGTCAGGGGTCAGTCCAAGGCTCCAGGAAGTCAAGGGATTGCCTGGAGATGGGTGATGGGTTCCAGGCATGTCCCTTGAGGGTCTTTCCTATCAGGCCTGGGGAGGCCCAGCTGGAGCGGCGGGCAGTGGCTCTAGGCCGCAGGCTAGCTCGAAGTCTAGGCCAGCAGGACGATGAAGAGAATGAGCTGGAGCTTGAGCTGGAGCAGGACCTGGATGATGAGCCTGACGTGGAACTTTCTGGTGTTATGTTCAGCCCCCTCAAGAGGTAACTTGTACCCACGGCACACCTGCTCCCACACCCATCTGCCCTCACAAACACACAGTCCCAGGGGGTGTGGGAAGGGTGGATTCTCCAGTCACTTGCTCATAGGCATAGACACTGCCATGTTCATACACATAGTTACAGTGGCTCACACACATGCAGGGGATGAAAGCTTGATGAGGGCAAGATTTGTCTCTTCACTACAGCGTCCCAGTGCTTGGGACAGTGTTAGCTCATAGTAGGTACTCAATAAACCTCTGTTGCATGAATGAATGGTTTCGGGCTCCAGGAATGAGTCAAATTGTGGGTGCAGGGTTGAGATGGAGGCAGCAAGACATGACCTGAAGGACCTGGAATCCAAAAATTCAGAGGGAGAGAAAACATCATTCCCAGCACCAAGCAAGTGTGTGTGTGTGTGTGCGCGCGTGTGCGTGTGCAGGGGAGGGACCAAGTGAGTGCTAACCTTAAGCTTCTCTCCAGCCGCGCCAGGGCCCTGGCCCATGGGGATCCCTTCCAGGTGTCCAGAGCTCAAGACTTCCAGGTACTACTCTTTTTCCAGGGCCTAACCCTTGGAAGTACTACCTCTTCTGGCACGCATGTTCTTTCCCTCCACCCAGGCAGGTCTGGCTTCCTTTCCTCATCCTTCTGTACCTCTCAGGTGGGAGTCACTGTGCTGGAAGCCCAGAAACTGGTGGGAGTCAACATTAACCCCTATGTGGCCGTGCAAGTGGGGGGGCAGCGCCGTGTGACCGCCACACAGCGTGGGACCAGTTGCCCCTTCTACAATGAGGTGGGTGCCACCACAGAAGAGGGCGAGCCTGACAGAATGGGAGGGGTTGATGTGAGAACTATTCCCGGAGCGGGTGAGGCCTAGGTGGAAATGGAGCCAGATGCTGGGCCTATGGGTTGGGGTTGGGGGGTTGCTGATCCAGGAAAAGCTTGCAGTGAGAGGGTTGGGGGTGGGGGAAGGAGGGTCTTCTGAGCAAGAGACCTGGGTAAGCTGGCAGGAGCCCTTCACATCTGACCTCTCATCCCCACTTCAATTCAGTACTTCTTGTTCGAATTTCATGACACGCGGCTTCGTCTCCAAGACTTGCTGCTGGAGATCACGGTGAGTGGGGTAGGGGTGACCAGTGTCCTTCAGAGAAGGGGGGATGAGAAAGCTGCAGGACTAACACCACCTTCCCCCAAGGCTTTCCATTCGCAGACCCTCCCCTTTATGGCCACCCGGATAGGCACCTTCAGGATGGACCTGGGCATCATCTTGGACCAGCCAGGTATGGAATCGTCCCCTTATTGAGACTCTGCACGGACAAGGGCCCTAGAGATTGACCCTGCAGTGACTCCGCATGGACCCCTATACACTCACTTCGGAGAGGGCCATCTCTGGCGGAGGCTGAACTCTTGGCACTTCCGCCCCTCCCTGCTGAGCCAGAGAAGCCCTGGCCATTGTCCGTCACTCCGATAGCCTCACGGCCACCCTGTGCGTCCCGCCGGTCGCCCCTTACCCCTGGCTCGCCCCTTCGCCCTTAGATGGCCAGTTCTACCAAAGATGGGTTCCGCTGCATGATCCCCGAGACACCCGCGCCGGGACCAAGGGTTTCATTAAGGTCACCTTGTCCGTGAGGGCGCGCGGGGACCTGCCCCCTCCAATGCTACCCCCGGCCCCAGGGCACTGTTCGGACATCGAGAAGTGAGCCGGGGTGAGGTGGGGAGGAGGACATGGATCCGGGGGTGGCCGTGGGGCGCGGATAAGGGGAGGGGCCGAGATCCCAGTTTCTCCCCCCCCGCTCGGTGCCCCCTCCCCTAGGAACCTGCTCCTGCCGCGCGGGGTGCCCGCCGAGAGGCCATGGGCGCGGCTCCGCGTGCGCCTGTACCGCGCCGAGGGGCTTCCCGCGCTGCGCCTGGGGCTGCTGGGCAGCCTGGTCCGCGCCCTGCACGACCAGCGCGTCCTGGTGGAGCCCTATGTGCGGGTGTCTTTCCTGGGGCAGGAGGTAAGTCCCTCCGGGGCCCACGGCGCCGCGGCTCCGGCCCCGACTCCGCGCTGATCTCCCTTCTCCTGTCTTTAACGCCACCTTCAGGGCGAGACGTCGGTGAGCGCCGAGGCGGCGGCGCCCGAATGGAACGAGCAGCTGAGCTTCGTGGAGCTCTTCCCGCCGCTGACGCGCAGCCTCCGCCTGCAGCTGCGGGACGACGCGCCCCTGGTCGACGCGGCACTCGCTACGCACGTGCCGGACCTGAGGCGGATCTCCCATCCGGGCCGCGCGGGTGAGCGCTTCTGGCCGCGGCAAATCTGGCCTCACTCGCCTCGGTCCATAGGGCTCCATAGGGCCCATTCCCAACCGCAAGCCCCATCCTCGCGACCCCGCTCCGCCTAGGAGGGCTGGTCCGCCCGCAAAACAAACTGCTTCAAGCCGCCCCCAGACTGTGAACCCCACCATCGGTTTGGCTCCGTTGGCAAAATTCTGACCACAACCGCCTGTCCAGTAACCAGCCCAGTCCCACCCTTCTACAGCTGTGCACACGCTGACACTGCCGGTCCACTCCTTTCCCCGACCCCCAGGCCTGGCCGATCGCCCGTAGCTCCGCCCCAATCCCGACCCCGCCCCCAGGGCTCAGGCTGCGTCCCCCGAGGCCGGGCTCCCGCGATTTCCAGCTCCTTGGGGCGCTGAGCTGTTTTGGAGGCGCCCCAGGTCGTGTTCCACAGCGGCGCGTCCGCAGCTGCTGGCCAACTTCTTCCGTTTCAGAGCGGCTTAGCCCCCCTCCCCTGCCCTCACCCCCGAATACTTGGAGGAGATCAGGGTGAGGTGCAGAGATTTACCAGCACTCGCCCTCCCCACGCTCCCCTCCAACACGCTTCTCTTGTTCCCCACAGCGGGGTTTAACCCTACCTTCGGCCCGGCCTGGGTGCCCCTCTATGGCTCGCCCCCCGGCGCGGGGCTCCGGGATAGTCTTCAAGGTCTCAACGAAGGCGTTGGCCAAGGCATTTGGTTCCGCGGCCGCCTTCTGCTGGCTGTGTCCATGCAGGTGTTGGAAGGGAGAGCTGAACCTGAGCCTCCCCAGGCCCAGCAGGGGTCCACGTTGTCCCGGCTCACCCGAAAGAAGAAAAAGAAAGCCAGAAGGGATCAGACCCCAAAGGCGGTTCCGCAGCACTTGGACGCCAGCCCCGGTGCCGAGGGGCCTGAGATCCCCCGTGCCATGGAGGTGGAGGTGGAGGAGCTGCTGCCGCTGCCAGAGGTGGGGGCTGGGGGGTAGCAAAGGGGGCGGGGTCACCTCAGCTCTGGAAGGTGGAATCCACTCTCAGGCATTAAACACCACGACAGGGGTCTCAATTTGGGGGCCTGGGCGAAGAGTGAGGTGTGTGCCCACATGGGCTCTGGTATATGCACACATGTTGTGGGAGAGAGGACCCATACCCAGGGCCAATGCTGGGGCCGGGAGGAGGGAGAGGGAGTAAGAAACCTGCAGTGACTTCCAAGCCTTGGTCGCACTTCTTTCTGTGGGCAATGCGGCCAAGCATAGTCCAGGCTGTTCCCTGGGAGAGTAGGTGCTGACTCCAGCCTGATGGCCTCCCCCAGAATGTCCTGGCGCCCTGTGAAGATTTCCTGCTTTTCGGTGTGCTCTTCGAGGCCACCATGATCGACCCCACCGTGGCCTCCCAGCCCATCAGCTTCGAGATCTCCATTGGTGTGTGGCCTAGCCGAACCCCTGAGTGCCATTTCAGACCTTAGAACCCTGGAAGGGGTGTTGACTTTCAGTAAGGGGCAGGTTCTGACTTCTGTTGAGGCAGAGGTGGTTGAGGGGGGGTTCCAGCCCTCAGCCTGGCGCCCACTGACCCTTGCTGCTCTGGGGCAGGTCGCGCAGGCCGTCTGGAGGAGCAATTGGGCCGAGGGTCCAGGGCTGGGGAGGGAACTGAGGGTGCAGCCGTGGAGGCTCAGCCTCTGCTGGGAGCCAGGCCAGAGGAGGAGAAAGAGGAGGAAGAACTGGGGACCCATGCTCAGCGGCCTGAGCCCATGGACGGCAGTGGGTGAGTGCTGCCGGTGGCTGGAAGGGGGGGTTTGGGAGGTCTCCAGGAACCCAGAATGCCCGCGAAGCCTCCTCTCCATCTGCCAGGCCATACTTCTGCTTGCCCCTCTGTCACTGCAAGCCATGCATGCATGTGTGGAGTTGCTGGGAGGACCACACCTGGCGCCTGCAGAGCAGCAACTGCGTGCGCAAAGTGGCCGAGAGGCTGGTAAGGGCAAGGCTGGCGCCCACAGGGAGAGACCGGGCCGTAGGGACGCCTAGGACACTGCAGCCTTTGAAGGAAGCTCTGCAGTGGGGCTAATGGGCAGGCACTAGAGAGCCAGCACCTTGCTGGTGCAAGGCCAGGGGGGCAAGGGCCAAAGAGCACAGCTTCTGGGCGAACCGAGGATGCCAGGAGTTGTGGGAGGACAGAGTTTCAGAATTGGTGGACCCAGGAAGGGACTGGATGAAGGAGATGGGTAGAGGTACGGATGGTGGGGCCGCACATTTGGTGGAGCCAGTAGCGGGCTAGAAAGATGGAGCCATCAACCTGATGGAGCCAAAGAAGGGCAGGCCAAGAGGTGTGGTCGTGAGTGGGTGGGGCCTTGGGTGGGGGTGTGGTCTACAAGAGGTCTGAGTCAGGGACCCTCAAGACTCTGACCCTCTCCCACGTTGCACAGGACCAGGGGCTGCAGGAGGTTGAGAGACTGCAGCGCAAGCCGGGGCCTGGCGCCTGTGCACAGCTCAAGCAGGCACTGGAAGTACTGGTGGCTGGGAGCAGGTGAGCTGAGAGCCACTCCTACTGCTGCCTGTACTTGGGCCAACTCCAGGGCAAGGGAGACTCTCGGTGGCTGTCTGGACCCAAGGGCAGCTTGCAGCTGCATTTGCTCAGCACCTTACAGAAAAATGAGAAGACAATTATTCCTATCCAGGGAGCTGATGAGATTATTGGGGGTTAGGCTTCCCCTGATTCTCTGGCACCTCAGCTGTTTTCCATCTCCATGAGTTCCCTTTCCCACGCTCCTAGAGGCTTATCCCGTGTCTCTTCAAACCTCGCCTCCTTTCTTTCACACTTGTTCCTGCTAATCACCTTCCCACACCCAGTCTACCTCCTTGCCGGCTTCTGCATCCATCTGCTCTCCTCCTTTCCTGCTCCAGTGACCACAGCTGTGATCTGGATTTCATCACTGGAGGAATTAGTTCTGTAATTGTCAATTTTCTCCCCTTCATCATTGATTGGTCCCTAGTTACCAGGTCATTGCTGTAACCACATAAACATGTTCGGCCAGGTGCGGTGGCTCACACCCGTAATCCCAGCACTTTTGGAGTCTGAGGCGGGCAGATCATTTGAGGTCAGGAGTTCAAGACCAGACTGGCCAACATGGCGAAACCCAGTCTCTACCAAAAAAATACAAAAATTAGCCGGGCATAATGGTGGGTACCTCCCAGCTACTTGGGAGGCTGAGGCAGGAGAGTCACTTGAACCTGGCAGGTGGAGGTTGCAGTGAGCCAAGATTGCGCCACTGCACTCCAGCCTGGGTGACTGAGCAAGACTACGTCTCAAAAACAAACAAACAAGAAAACAAAAAAAAAACATGTTCTAGTTACTTCCATCTTTGACCTTCACTACTGCCCTGAATTCCATTACCTGCTCCAGGTACTTAAGTGATTTTCAGATCCTCTTCTCAAAAGGGTTCTTTATTTGATAACTATTTATGGCACTTACTATGCCAGACACTGTTTTAGGCACAGGAATATCAGTGAAAAAGCATTCCTGCCCACAAAAATCCCTGAAGTTGGCCAGGCACAATGGCTGATGCCTGTAGTCCCAGCTACTTGTGGGAGGCTGAAGTGGGAAGATCTTGAGCCCAGGAGTTCAAGGCTGCAGTGAACCATGATTGCGCCACTGCACTCCAGTCTGGGTGACAGAATGGGACCCTGACTTTAAAAAAAAACCCTGAAGCTTACATTTGGGTGTAGAGGTTGGGGAAGGGTGGAGACATGTGAAATAAGCATGTAAACAGATAGAAAAATACTAAGTAGGATAAGTGTTAAGAAAGAACGCGAAGCAAGGAAGCATTAGAAAGAGGTACTGCAATTTCAGAAAGGGTGTGGAGGGGAGGCCACCGTGAAGGTGACATGAAGCTGGAGGAGAAAGCCTGCCTGTAATGGTGTTCCAGGTGGAGGGGACAGCATGCCTGGAGTGTTTGAGGAGGAGCACAGAACCAGTGTGACTGCAGCAGTGTGACATAGTAGAAGAGGCTGGAGGAGGCCAGGGGAAGGAGGATGATGGTGGGGAGGGACAGATCCTGTGGGAGCCTCACAAGCCATTTTAATGACTTTGGCTTCTTCTCTGAGTGAAATGGGGGGGGAGGGGCAGTGAATGTTTTGAAAAGGAAAAAGATACACTCTAACACATAGATCCTTAAAAGGGATCAGTGGGGGAGGAAGCAGGGAGATTAGTAAAGGGGCTATTGTGATAATCCACGTGACAGGTGGCGATGAACTGATCTAGGGGATGGTTGCAGTGGAGATGGAGTGCTGTGAATGGATTCCAGAGAAAATTTGGAATTGGGGGTGATACCTCAGGACTTGCTAAGATTTTGGCTTGTGGGCTGGGCATGGTGGCTCACACCTGGAATCCCAGCACTTTGGGAGGCCAAGGTGGGAGGATCAATTGAGCCCAGGGGTTTGAAACCAACCTGAACAATATAGGAAGACCTTGTCTCTATGAAAAATACAAAAGTTAGCTGGGTGTGGTGGTGCACACCTGTAGTCCCAGCTACTCAGGAGGCTGAGATGGGAGGATGGCTTGAGTCCAGGAGTTTAAGGCTGCACCAACTGCATAGTTATGCAAGCCAAAATCTTCTTTTTTTGGAAAAAAGAAAAAAATCTGTTTTCAACAGAAAACAAAGGAGAAGGTCTGATGGAAGCAGGGATGAGGTGGGATCTGAGGGAAGGCAGATAGTAGGAGCTCAGTTTTGGACATGTTAACTGTGAAATTCTTATTGAATTGTAAGTGGACATGTGTGGTAGGCAGTTAGCTATATGAGTTGAGTTCTGGGGAGAATTCTAGGCTGGAAATGTCAATTTGGGAACTATCATTATGTAGATGGAGCTGGATAACAGCATTAACAGAGCACAGAAAAGAGAAATCTGAGAACCTGGAGCGTTCCAGCATTTAGAGGCAGGGAGGAAGCAGGGACTCAGCCAAGGACCCTGATCAGGAGAGGCAGTGAGGTAGGAGGCTGTAGGTGGTCACTTTTCTGTTCTCACCATGCTCAACCTTTCAGCGTCAGTAGACACAGTTGTTTCACCATTTTGGCCAGGCTGGTCTCGAACTCCTGACCTCAAGTGATTCACCGCCTCGGCCTCCCAAAGTGCGGGGATTACAGGCCTGAGCCACCACACCTGGCCAGATTCTGGATATTTTTTGAAGGTAGAGCATAAAGAATTTGCTGATGAATTGATGTGGAATAAGAGAGAAAGAGCAGTGAGAGATGACTCGAAAGTTCTGAGGTGAAATAGGGTTTTTGTTTTGTTTTGTTTTGTTTTGCGGGGGGGATCATTGGAAAGTATGCATTTGGCTTGGGCATGTAATGTTCAAGCTATACGTTAGCCAAGCTGGTGGAGACGTCTGAGGCTTCAATGTGCTTAGGAATCCCCGAGGGCATAAACGCAGCTTCTGATTCAGCAGGGCCTGGGGTGGGGCTGAGGTCCTACAGTTTTAAATAGCCTGCAGGTGATACCAGTGCTGTTGGTCCATGGGCCACACCTGGGGTAGCCAGGGTAGTAGGTGGTTAAGTATTAGCGAGCTCTGGAGCTCAAGAGCAAGGCTGGCCTTAATGATTTTTGGGAGTGGTCCAAATAGAGATAGGCCAGCTTTGCAGGAGAAAGGGTGCCTCTTCAGAGCCCAAGACTGAGAGGGCTATGAGGGAGGCTGGGGGTGGGAGGTCAGCTCAGAGCAAGTGGCCCCAAGGTCACTGTCCTTCTCCTTTCCTTTGATTCCTGTCTGCTGTGCACATCCCTGCTCACTGCAGACAGTTTTGCCACGGTGCCGAGCGCAGGACGATGACCCGGCCCAATGCCCTGGATCGATGCCGAGGGAAACTCCTGGTGCACAGCCTGGTACGGCCTCGGGAAGGGACTCAGGGGCGCCTAGCTGGGGCCTTCCGCTCATGCTGTCTTTTTGCCCTCCCAGAACCTTTTGGCTAAGCAAGGACTGCGACTTCTACGCGGCCTGAGACGGCGCAATGTGCAAAAGAAGGTGGCACTGGCCAAGAAGCTCCTGGCAAAACTGCGCTTTCTGGCTGAGGAGGTAATGCCTCACTCACCCCACTTTCCTACCCTGTACACCCTTTTCCCTAAGCTTTTGAACCATTCCAGAGGCCTCGGGCAGGTGTGATTTAACATTTTTCCTTTGGAATGATGCCAGGGCTGGGACTAATTGCTGTGGGCATAGGACCAAGATTCATTTGCAGTAGCTAAGGGTGAGGACAAGAGTTCTAGAATCCAGCAGAGACCCAGGGAACATTCAGGATTTCTTTGGATGAAGATTTGAGAGTAGGCTGCCTTGAGCATGACCTCCCTTGTCTGAAGCACTAAATATATACATACATATATATATATATATATATATATATATATATAACATATTGTGCTGCTGATGGGTATGTGAGATGTTCCCAATGGGTTGTGATTAGAAACAATGCTTCCGAGACCATTTTGGTACATGTCCTGGTGCTTTTCTATGGCAGTGGTTCTCAAACTTTTTGGTCTCGGGACAGGTCTCAGATTACACCACTGCACTCCAGCCTGGGTGACAGAGACTCTATCTCAAAAAAAAAAAAAAAAAAAAAAATGGAGATGGGGTCTTGCTGTGTTGACCAGGCTGGTCTCAAACTCCTGAGCTCAAGCAGTCCTCCTGCCTTGGCCTTCCAAAGTGTTGGGATTACAGGTGTGAGCTGCCATGTCCAGTCACAAAAATCTTCGAGTGTTGGCAAGCTGTCAAGCTCACAATGGCAGATACAAGACACATACTTTTTCTGAAATTGTAATTTTATTCTGCCTCCTGGGTTCAAGTGATTCTCCTGCCTCAGCATCCCAAAGTGCTGGGATTACAGGTGTGAGCCACCACAACTAGCCAAAGTTGTAATTTTCACTTGCTTTGTTTCTGATTCTAGGGGGAAAGCTTTCATTATTTATTAAGTTTGATGTTAGCAGTGTTTTTCATAAATGCCCTTTATCAGGTTGAGGAAGTTCTCTTCCATTCCTAGTTTTGCGTTTTTATTGTGAAAGGGTGTTAGATTTTATCGAACTTTTTTTCTGTGTCTATTAAGATGATCATGTTTTTTTCTTTTTTGTTCTGTTACTGTGATGTATTACACTGATTGATTTCCTTAGGTTGTACTATCCTTGCATTCATGAGATGAATTCCTTTTATCAATGGTGTATATCCATTTTTTAAATACGTCATTGGATTTTCTTCAGGACTTTTGCATCTGTGTATTTATAAGGGATATTGTTTTGTAATTTTCTTTTTTCTTTTTTGATTTAAAAAAAAAGTACTTAAAAAGTAGAGATGGGGTCTTCCTGTGTTACCCAGGCTGGTCGTGAACTCCTGGGGCTCAAGGGATCCTCCATGCCTCGGCCTCCCAAAACGCTGGGATTACAGGCCTAAGTCACCACGCCCGGCATGTAATGATTTGATGTCTTTTCTTGTGATTTATCTATCTTTGATATCAAGGTAAAGCTGGCCTCATAGAATGAGTTACGAAGTGTTCCTCCCTCTTCTATTTTTTGGAAGAGTTTGAAAAGGATTGGCGTTAATTCTTCTTCAAGTGTTTGGTAGAATTCACCAGTGAAGGCATCTGGTCTTGACTTTTTTTGGGAAGTTTTTGACTGCTGAGTCAATCTCTTTAATTGTTATAGATTTGTTCAGATTTTCTATTTCTTCTTGAGTCAGTTTAGATAATTTGTATTTCCAGGAATTTTATAACTTCATCTTAGATAATCCAATTTGTTATTTTATACTTGTTCATGGTATTCTCTTACAATCTTTTTATTTCCATAAGGTTGCTAGTAATGTCCTTCCTTTCATTTCTGATTTTAGGTATTTGTGTCTTTTTTTATTTTTTATTTTATTTTTTTTATTTTTTTGAGACGCAGTCTCTCTCTGTCACCAGGCTGGAGTGCAGTGGCACAATCTTGGCTCACTGCAATCTCTGCCTGATTACAGGTGTAAGCCACCATGCCCGGCCAGCCTAGTCTTTTTAAATTTACTGTTTTGTGATCTAACATATGATGTATCCTGAAGAATGTTCCGTGAGTGCTTGAGAAGAATGTGTACTCTGCTGTTATGATGGAGTATTTTGTATGTGTCTTCTAGGTATAGTTGGTTAGTGTTGTTTTAAGTCTATTTCCTTAATAATATTCTGTATAGATGTTCCATCTGCTATTGTAAGTGGTGTACTGAAGACTCCAACTATTGTAGAACTGTTTGCCTGATATATTTAAAATTTCTATTATTTCCTTTTGGTTCCAGTTTTCAACTGTTTGCTGAAATCACCCATCTTTTAATTCTTGTGTACTTTCCTCACTAGATCATTTAGATTTCTATCACAGTTATTTTAATATGCTTATCTAATAATTCCAACATCTGGGTTATCTATGCATCTACTTCTATTGATTATTTCCTCTTGACCATGAGTTTTGCTTTAACTCCGTCCTGTAATTTTTTTTATCATATGCCTGGATATTTGTATAAAACATTAGTGACTAAAATAATATATATGTCCAGGAAATGGCATTTCTCTTCTTACACTAGGCCTTACTCTAGAGAGTGAGGACCAAGTCATTATGCTTTGTATTTGAAATGGGCTTAGTTGTGAATTTGGTTTGGTTCAGTTCACTTTGGGCTTCAAATGTTTTTTTGAAGGATCACGATTGTCCTTTCATCCAGGCTTAGAACTGAGAACTGGCAAGATTCCAGAAATCTGTTTCTTGTTCACACCCAAACTGCCAATTCTCCAACTCTGGGTAAGCTCTCCCTGCTTTACAAACCACCAACCAGGTGTTTGGGTTGCTGGGGCATTCTCTGTGCTTTTTGAGTCTGCTTCCTTTCCTCTGTGCCTTGTTAGTCCTGCTTTCCCTCCTCTGGCCTTTGGAGGGTCTCCACTTTACGTTGTAAAAGTCTAGAATGCATCAGAAGGGTTCTCTTGGCTCTCCAGCTGAGCCTGTAGCATCTGATAGCTGAAAGCCTAGTGGGGGAGGTTTCTCTCAGCCCTCCTACCTAACCCTCAGCCTTCAAAAGATGAAATCCCAGAGGACCACTTCTGGGTTTTTAAATTCTCTTCCCTACCACCTCCTTCTAAGGGCAGTTACTTTGTGCTTTTTTTTTTTTTTTTTTTTTTTGAGACAGAGTTTTGTTCTTGTTGCCCAGGCTGGAGTGGAATGGCATGATCTCAGCTCACTGCAATCTCCACTTCCTGGGTTCAAGCAATTCTCCTGCCTCAGCCTCCCAAGTAGCTGGGATTACAGGCATGTGCCACTATGCCTGGCTAATTTTGTATTTTTTTTTTTTTTTTTTTTTACTAGAGATGGAGTTTCACCATGTTCGTCAGGCTGGTCTCGAACTCTTGATCTCAAGAGATCCACCTGCCTCGGCCTCCCAAAGTGCTGGGATTAGAAGTGTCAGCCACAGTGCCCGGCCTACTCTGCACTTTCAAGAAACTTTACATACCTCAGAAAGATCTCAGCTCTCCTTCCCTGTTCCCAGCTTTTTGCATACCGCCCCTTAGCTCTAGGCGAGGATCCATAGGAAAGAGTTCGGAGGTACGGAAAGACATATTTTGTGGCTGTGGTCCCTGGGATTCTCATCTGGTATGCTACCTCACACATAGTCATTAAAAGTCTCTTAAAAGTGGATACTTTCTCCTTGTCCCCACTTCTGATGTTCCTTTTTACTACTGCTGTTCTGCCAGAGGTGGGAGTAGCAGCTGGAGGTCTCTCCTTGATTATGAAGAACTCATCATTTTCTGGAGTTTAGTTGATATAGGTTTCTTTGAATCCCCACTTCTCTGATGTGTTTTTTAAAATACGATTTTTAGTCTGGGCAACATAGGGAGACCCCCATCTGTACAAAAAATAAAACTAACGAGGCGTGGTGGCAAGCTCCTGTAGTCCCAACTACTTGGGAGGCTGAGGCGGGAGGACTGCTTGGGCCTCAGGGTTCGAGGCTACAGTAAGCCATAATTGTGCCACTGCACTCCAGCCTGGGTGAAAGCGAGATCCTATATCCAAAAAAATAATTGTGGGTGTGTATAATTTTACAATTTATTTGGATTATTTTGGTTGTTAGGGTATAAGTCTTTTTGTTGTTGTTGAGACACAGTCTGGCTCTGTCGCCCAGGCTGGAGTGTGGTGGCGCAATCTTGGCTCACTGCCTCCCAGGTTCAAGCGATTCTCCTGCCTCAGTTTCACTAGTAGCTGGGATTACGGGCATGTGCCACCATACCTGGTTAATTTTTGTATTTTTAGTAGAGATGGAGTTTCACCATGTTGGTCAGGTTGGTCTCAAACTCCTGACCTCAGGTGATCTGCCCACCTCGGCCTCCCAAAGTGCTGGGATTACAGATGTGAGCCACTGTGCCAGGCCGGGAGTGAGTCTTTCTACATCCAAACTAATAGTGGACCCCTCCACTGATTTTTATTTTTTTATTATTTTTTATTTTTTTGAGATAGAGTCTAGCTCTGTCGCCCAGGCTGGAGTGCAGTGGCGCAATCTCGGCTCACTGCAACCTCTGCCTCCTGGGTTCAAGAGATTCTCCTGCCTCAGCTTCCTGAGTAGCTGGGATTACAGGTGCCTGCCACCATGCCCAGATAATTTAAGTATTTTAGTAAAGACGGGGTTTCAGTAAAGACGGGGTTTCATTTTGTTGGCCAGGCTTGTCTCGAACTCCTGACCTCGTGATCTACCTGCCTTGGCCTCCCAAAGTGCTGGGCTTACAAGCGAGAGCCACCACGCCCGGCCCTCCACTGATTTAAAAAAAAAAATTACAGTGTTTTCCTCTGATGTACAATTTACATATAATGAAGTGTACAAATACATATATATTTTTAAGACAGAGTCTCACTCTGTCACTTAGGCTGGAGTGCAGTGGCAAGATCTCAGCTCACTGCAACTTCTGCCTCCAGGCTCAAGTGATTCTTCTGCCTCAGCCTCCTGAGTAGCTGGGAGTATAGGCATGCGCCACCATGCCTGCTAATTTTTGTATTTTTAGTAGAGATGGGGTTGCGCCATGTTGGCCAGGCTAGTCTTGAACTCCTGGACTCAAGCGATCTGGCCACCTCGGCCTCCCAAAGTGCTGGGATTACAGGCATGAGTCACCATGTCTGGCCAAGTGTACAAATCTTAACACACATTTGCTGAATTTTGGCAAATACATATATCTGTGTAACCCAAGTCCCTATCAAGATCTAGAATATGACTTTCACCCCAGAGTTGTTCCTTTATGTTCCTTCCCAGTCAGTCTCCATCCACCCCCATAGAGATAACTACTGATTTTTTCAATATATTTTGATTTTTTTCATTATAGTTTTGCCTGTACTAGATTTTAATACAATGCAATCATGCCATATGTATAGTCAGTTCTTGTTATTGGTGGTCTATAAAGTTGCTGCAAACACTGAATTAGCAAATACTGAATCACTGCCCCCAGAGAAATACAGGGTTAGGTTTCTAGTGGGCGATGGTCACATTTTTTTTGTCAACTGATCAGTACAAAACCTTGTTTTATGTGTGTTTGTTTAAAGATACTTTCTTTAATATAATATATTGTTGGCCATTGCAGTGGCTCACGCCTGTAATCCCAGCACTTTGGGAGGCCGAGGTGGGTGGAATCACCTGAGGTCAGGAGTTTGAGACCAGGCTGGCCAGCACGGCGAAACCCCATCTCTACTAAAAATATAAAAAATTAGCCAGGTGTGGTGGCCAGTGCCTGCAGTCCCAGCTTCTCTGGAAGCTGAGGCAGGAGAATCACTTGAACCCAGAAGGCAGAGGTTGCAGTGAGCTGAGATTGTGCCACTGCACTTCAGCCTGGGTGACAGAATGAGACTCTGTCTCAAAAAACAAAAACAAAAACAAAATGCTTACAGTATCAGAGCTCACAAAGGCAGAGTATTGCTTTATTCCAACTCAGGGCCCTTCAAACTTTTTTTTTAAATCTAAGTCTCAAGTGTGGTGGCTCACGCCTGTAATCCCAGCACTTTGGGAGGCCGAGGCAGGCGGGTCACTTGAGGTCAGGAATTCAAGACCAGCCTGGCCAACAAGGTGAAACCCCCTCTCTATTAAAAACACAAAAAGCTGGGTGTGTGTGGTGGTATGCATCTGTAATCCCAGCTACTCAGGAAGCCGAAGCCAGAGAATTGCTTGAATGCAGGAGATGGAGGTTTCAGTGAGCTGAGATTGTGCCGCTGCATTCCTCCAGCCTGGGTGACTGCAAGATTCCATCTCAAAAAAAAAAAAAAAAAAAAAAAAAAAAAAAAAAAAAAAATTTAAACCCATTTCCCGTTTAGAGAAAAAAAGTGCAGCTCACTGCCAGCACTCATTTAATTTTACATAAACTCATTCTTTGAGGCTGAAGAAATTATGACTGATTTTCAATATGAAAATAAAATATAAAAACCTTACTTGGAGTTATTTCTAAACAGAACTTGTCTCTAATCCTAATGTAACAGAAGTATATATGATGTTACATTAGGATTACAGGCAAGAGTATTCTCAAGGCAAACAGGAAATAGGTTAAAAAATTTCTTTTTGTATTTTAATAAACCAGAACACTTTTTGCATGACTCGTTGAATTTTTTTTTTTTCTTTTCTTTTTTTTTTTTTTTGAGACAGAGTCTTGCTCTGTCGCCCAGGCTGGAGTGTAGTGGCTCGATCTCGGCTCACTCTAACCTCCGCCTCCCAGGTTCAAGTGATTCTCCTGCCTCAGCCACCTGAGTAGCTGGGATTACAGGCGAGCGCCACCACGCCCGGCTTATTTTTGTATTTTTAGTAGAGACGGGGTTTTACCATGTTGATCAAGCTATTCTCGAACTCCTGACCTCGTGATCCACTCACCTCGGGCTCCTAAAGTGCTAGGATTACAGGCATGAGCCACCGCACCCGGCCAATTGTTGAAATTCTTAAGATGAACTGGATGCTGCAACAGGTACCCTCTTGGGTTTAGGTGTTGTTCCTTCACAGAATCCATGCCTGAATCTGCAGTATACAATTTTTAGGTGCCTCATTCGATCAGTCCCAGTGGTATTTTGTCTTTTAGCCAGTTATACTTCCTCTAGTGCTTGGCGGGGTAGCCACGTTTGCCACAGGTCGACTTCTGAAGTTGGCAGGCCATAGAGCCACAGTGGCGGCACAAAGTGTGTGTCTTATCGCGATGCTTTCCAAACGATGACGTTTCCTTTGTCATCTTGTTTCTGCGGCTTCAACCAAAGAAGGGTTAAAAATTTTTAGTAGAGGATGGGTGCGGTAGCTCATGCCTGTAATCCCAGCACTTTGGGAGGCTGAGGCAGGAGGATCACCCGAGGTGAGGAGTTTGAGACCAGCCTGGCCAGCATGGTGAAACCCCATCTCTACTAAAAATACAAAAATTAGTTGGGCATAGTGGCACATGCCTATAGTCCCAGCTACTCAGGAGGCTGAGGCAGGAGAATTGCTTGAACCTAGGAGGCAGAGGTTGCAGTGAGCCGAGATTGCACCATTGCACTCCAGCCTGGGTGACAGAGCGAGACTTAGTCTCAAAAAAAATTTTTTTTAATTTTTTTTTTTTTAATAAAGATGAGGTCTCACTTTGTCGCCCAGGCTGCTCTTGGACCCCTAAGCTCAAGTGATCCTCCCACCTTGGCCTCCCAAAGTGCTGGGGTTACAGGTACGAGCCACCATGCCTGACCTGTTCAAAGTTTTTGACTCTTTGCCCATACTCATGTGATTACAAAAGCACCAGGGGTATTGATTTGGGGGTTACAAATTTTAGCTAGTACGCAAATTTGCAAATACAGAATTCACAAATAATGAGGAAGGACTGTATTCTCTTGTGAGAGGCTGTTGTAAGATGCGTCCAAGTTGTTGCAGATATCTAGTTTCTTTCTTTTTATTGTTGAGCAATTTCCCATTGTATAAATATATCACAGTTTGTTTATTCATTCTCATATTGATGGACAGCTGTGCTGTTTCATGTTTTTAGCTAGTATGAATAAAGCTGCTATGAATATTCTTGGTTTTTTTTTTGTTTTTTTTTGTTTTGAGATGGAGTTTTGCCCTTGCTGCCTGGGCTGGAATGCAATGGTGTGATCTCAACTCACTACAACTTTCGCCTCCTGAGTTCAAGTGATTCCCCTGCCTCAGCCTCCCAAGTAGCTGGGATTACAGGCGCGTGCCACCTTGCCTGCCTACTCTTCTGTATTTTTAGTAAAGATGGGGTTCACCATGTTGGCCAGGCTGGTCTCAAACTCCTGATCTCAGGTGATCCACCCGCCTCAGCCTCCCAAAGTGCTGAGATTACAGGCATGAGCCACTATGCCCAGCCTCAGCCACCACGCCTGGCCTCTCAATGATATTTCAAGTCCTCCTGTGTGCCAGGCTCTGTATTAGGCCCTGGGGGTCAGCCCCTGCCATATTCCTTGCCCTTTTGAGGCTAATGTCCTAGGAAGACAGACTATACATCTGTAAATGAATATGAAAAATAATTATGATCTATAGGAATTGGTAAGAAAGAGGTTACAGAGGCTGAGGGGGTGGAGGAGAACCTGCTTGGGTAAGGTGGTCAGGCAAGTCTTATCTGCAAAGACAACATTGCAGCTGACACCCAGAGGATGGGGAGAAGCCAGCCAGCCATGGCAGAGTGGGTAGGAAGGGAGGACTCAAGGCAGGAAGACTGCTTAGGAGCCTGTCACAATTGTCTAGCCAAGAGTGGGTGGTCTTTTGGCTGGGCATGGTGGCTCGCACCTGTAATCCCACCACTTTGGGAGGCTGAGGTGGGAGGATTGCTTAAGTCCAGTAGTTTGAGACCAGCCTGGACAACATAGTGAGACCCTATCTCTACAAAAAAATTTAAAAATGAAAACATCGCAAGGCATGGTGGTGTGTGCCTATAGTCCCCAGAGACTCAGGAGGCTGAGGTGGGAGGATCACTTGGGCCCAGGATGTTGAGCCTGCAGTAAGCTATGATTGTGCCACTGCATTCCAGCCTCGGCAACAGAAAAAAAAAGCAGATGGTCTTGAAGTGGGGCAGGGAGAAAGGGAGAGAAGGGGGAAACTGCCAGGAATGGGTGATTGGATGTTGGAGAAGAGTGTCACCAGCCCAGGTATTTGGCTGATGTGATGGGCACCACATGTGCACACTGTGCACATTGGGGAAGATAAGACTGGGGAGGAGGGAAAGGTGAAGAGACAAGGTTGGCACCAGCTACCACGTGCATGAGCCTTGAGGACATTATGCCTAGTGAACTGGGCCAGGCACAAGGGCACGCACTATATGATTCCACTCATATGGAGGGCTTGTTGTAGTCAAATCCAAACACAGAAAGAAGAATGGTGGCTGCCAGGGGCTGGGATGGAGAGCAGTGAATGGAGAGGTATGGTTTAATGAGCAGAGTTTCTGTTCTGCAAGATGAAAAATGTTCTGGGGATGAATGATGGGGATGGTTGCATAATAACGTGAATATATTTCTTTTTTTTTTCTTTCCTTTTTTTTTTTTTGAGACGGAGTCTTTCTCTGTCACCCAGTCTGGAGTGCAGTGGAGCGATCTCGGCTCACTGCAAGCTCCGCCTCCCGGGTCATGCCATTCTCCTGCCTCAGCCTCCCAAGTAGCTGGGACTACAGGCGTCCGCCACCACGCCAGGCTAATTTTTTGTATTTTTAGTAGAGAGGGGGTTTCACCATGTTAGCCAGGATGGTCTCGATCTCCTGACCTCATGATCCGCCCACCTCAGCCTCCAAAAGTGCTGGGATTACAGGCGTGAGCCACCGTGCCTGGCATTGTGAATATATTTCATGCCCCTGAACCGTACATTTAAAAATGGTTAGGATGATGGTCAATTTTATAAGTATTTTTCCACAATTAAAAAAAAGAAGCCAAGTGTGGTAGCTCATGCCTGTGATCCCAGCACTTTGGGAGGCCAAGGCAGGAGGATCTCTTAAGCCCAGGAGTTCGAGACCAGCCTGCGCAACGTGGCCAAACCCCATCTCTACAAAAAGTAAAAAATTAGCCAGGCATGGTGACACGTGCCTGTAGTCCTAGCTCCTTGAGAGGCTGAGGTGGGAGGAATGCTTGAACCTGGGTGGTCAAGCTGCAGTGAGCCATGATAGTGTCACTGCACTCATGCCTGGGCGACAGAGTGAGACCCTGTCTCGGGGAGATAGAAGCTGGAGTGGCTATTTGGTCCGTTCAGTTCAAGCTGTGAGAGCAGGAGAGGTCGGCTCCAGATCCACCTCCGTGACCAGTTATCCACCCGCAGCCCCAGCCACCCCTCCCCGATGTGCTGGTCTGGATGCTCAGCGGGCAGCGCCGTGTGGCCTGGGCCCGGATCCCTGCCCAGGATGTGCTGTTCTCTGTGGTTGAGGAGGAACGGGGCCGAGACTGTGGGAAGATCCAGAGTCTAATGCTCACGGTGAGGGGACCCACGGGTGAGGGGCCGGGAGAAGTGGAGTGGAGCTTATAGGGCAAGGGTAGGATAGGCCTTGGGTAGAGGCCTGTGCTTCCCAGCTAGGGGCCCCTGAACACTTTCCAATTGTCCAAAACACCAGAAAGGGATTGTGCCTTTGCCTGGGGCAGCTTTGAAATCAGATAAACCCCAAATCTTCCCTAGCTCTGGGACTGCATGGGCCATTTTGCTGACTAGGCCCTGACAGATAGGCAGGGTACCAAAAACGAGAGAGTGTGACTCACCCCTTACAAGTGTGGCTGGTCTGGCCGGGAGTGGTGGCTCATGCCTGTAATCCCAGCACTTGGGGAGGCTGAGGCACGCGGATCACCTGAGGTCAGGAGTTGGAGAGCAGCCTGGCCAACATGGTGAAACCCCGTCTCTACTAAAAATACAAAAATTAGCCAGGTGTGGTGGTGTATACCTGTAATTCCAGCGACTAGGGAGGCTGAGGCAGGAGAATCTCTTGAACACAGGAGGTAGAGTTTGCAGTGAGCAGAGATCACGCCACTGCACTCCAGACTGGCAACAGAGGGAGACTCCATCTTAAAAAAAAAAAAAAAAAAAAAAAAAAGTGTAGCTGGTTTGTGGGCCAAAGATTTCTAAATGAGGTGTCCCTGGAAAAGATAACTGAAAAGGGTCCCTAGGAGGGAGAAGCCGTGACCCTTGGGGTTGGGGATGGGGAATGTAAACGTGTAGGGGGTGGAGGGGACAAAGGTGGGAGAGCAGAGCTCAGAGTGTAGTTAGGGGTCTGGGGAGTGGGGTACGGGAAGTGGCAGTGTTAGGGCAAGAGGTATAGGGAGTAAGAGTGTGAGGGTCATGGCGTAGGGTGGAGGGTAGGAAGAGGGTAAGGCTGGGCAGGTAGGGAGTGGACTGGGAGTTTGGCATGGTGTGGCGATGTGCAGTAGAGGTGTGCCCTGGGGAAGCAGGATTGCTAGGTCTAGCTGGGGTCATGAGAAGAGGCATCGGGGCCCTGACATGCCTTCTTCACACACAGGCACCCGGGGCAGCCCCTGGTGAGGTCTGTGCCAAGCTGGAGCTCTTCCTGCGGCTGGGCCTGGGCAAGCAAGCCAAGGCCTGCACCTCTGAGCTGCCCCCGGATTTGCTGCCCGAGCCCTCAGCCGGGCTGCCCTCCAGCCTACACCGGGACGGTGAGTGCAGAGGGTGGGCAGGGCAGGTATAAGGCCCACCTGGCTCTCTGCCCAAGGTGTGGGGCTCAGTCAGGGGACTTCAGTGGTTCCCCTGGGCAAACATGACACCTTCCTTGCCCCTCACCCCAGACTTTAGCTACTTCCAACTCCGGGCTCACTTGTACCAGGCCCGGGGTGTGTTGGCTGCAGATGACAGTGGCCTCTCGGACCCCTTTGCTCGAGTCCTCATCTCTACCCAGTGTCAGACCACACGGGTGAGGGCTGGGATGACATGTGGGTGGAAGGGACCCAGGAGACAAGTTAGGGTGGGTCTGAGCTTTTCCCCAAGGCCCCTCTCCTCGCACTCTGGGTTTGCAGAGCAGGGTATCAGGATGGGGTACTAGATGGCCCTAACTTAGCAGGTGATGTAGAACTGGAGGTCTTAGCGGCGAGGAGTCATTTTCTGGGGTTGACTTTAGGCCTGGACTCTGAGGGGCCAATTGCAATGGGGAGGCAGGGCTGTGAGGGGCTGGCTGCAACACCAACTGAAGATGCTTTCGTCTTCCTCACATCTCACTCTTCTTGTGATGAGCATTTACTTAAAGTATTCCTTCAGAGCAGGGGTGTTCGCATGGCATGCATGTTGGGAGCCTTCTCCTGATATCTGCTGCTACCCGCTTCTCTGTATGGCCCCCAAGGTCCTGGAGCAGACGCTGAGCCCTCTGTGGGATGAACTCCTGGTATTTGAGCAGTTGATCGTGGATGGGAGGAGGGAGCACCTGCAGGAGGAGCCTCCATTAGTGATCATCAATGTATTTGACCACAATAAGTTTGTGAGTGTGGCCTGGGCCCTCCCTGGGTTCCTGGCCAGGAGTTTCCCCCTTGATGCCCACCTTCCCTGGCTCCTGAGCCTCTTCCCCTTTGTCTTCACTGCCCTGCTCCCCCTAGGGCCCCCCCGTGTTCCTGGGCAGGGCACTGGCCGCCCCAAGGGTAAAGCTGATGGAGGACCCATACCAACGCCCAGAGTTGCAGTTCTTCCCCCTGAGGAAGGGACCCTGGGCAGCCGGAGAGCTCATTGCCGCCTTTCAACTCATTGAACTAGACTACAGTGGCCGACTTGAGGTCAGCATGCCCTGGCGTGGCTAGCACAGGCTGTGAGCCCAACTTGTTAGTCCATCAGGCCATCCAGCCCTAGGGAATATAAAACATGGATATGTCCCAGGACCAGCCTCCAGGTCTCTTTTCCCCAGAGAATAAAGACTGCAGGTTTGTCCTGAGGTCACCTCATTGGACCACTTGACCCCAAGGAACATTGCAAGTATTCATGTGCTAGGTTCACCTTGTTGGGCCATCCTGCATGCCTCAGACACCCTGCTCCCTTCCTGCACGAAGCTGCTTCCCGAGACCCCCTCCCTTCCACCAATCCAGCCTTGGTTGGTTCCTGTGCATTTACATTTCACCAGTACCTCTCCATATCCCCTCCCCACACCTAGGCTTTTCCTCCTTTGGCCTGATTCCTCTTCGCCCTCTGACTGTTTCCCTCCTACAGCCCTCAGTGCCCAGTGAGGTGGAGCCCCAGGATCTGGCACCCCTGGTTGAGCCCCACTCTGGACGCCTGTCCCTTCCACCCAACGTGTGCCCAGTGCTCAGGGAGTTCCGTGTTGAGGTATCACCAGGCACTCAAAGCCCCCTTGTTCCCCAACATCCGGGTGCCCATTTGTCTGGTGCAGGCCCCTGAATCTCCCATTTTCTGACCCCAGGTGCTGTTCTGGGGTCTTAGGGGACTTGGTCGTGTGCATCTGCTCGAGGTGGAGCAGCCCCAGGTTGTACTGGAGGTGGCTGGGCAAGGTGTGGAGTCTGAGGTCCTGGCCAGCTACCGTGAGAGCCCCAATTTCACTGAGCTTGTCAGGCATCTGACAGTGGTGAGGCCACGGGCTAGGGGAAAAGGGGGGCAGAATAGTGAAAGAGGGCAGTGGATGGTGACTTTCTACCTGGTTATCTTAGATGATCCAAGGGTCAGCAAACTCTCTATAATGGGCCAAATAGTAAATATTTTAGGCTTTGAGAGCCATCCAGTCTGTTGCAACTACTCAACTCTGCCATCGTAGCATGAAAACAGCCATAGATAATATGTAAATGAATATTTACAAAAACTGACAGCAGGCCAGACTCTGTCTATGGGCTGTAGTTTGCTGATTCCTGGATTAATTCATGGACTTGTGGTGCTCTCTAGGTGTTACTGTTATTCAGACCTCTTGAACAAGCCTCTTTGATTATTTTCTGTCTATCCATTATTGAGAATAGGGTATTGAAATCTCCAGCTATTACTAATGAATTGTGTATCTCTCTCTTTAATTCTATAACTTTTTAGTTTTTGTATTTTGAGGCTCTGTTGTTAGGTGCATATATGTTTATAATTGTTATATCTTCTAGATGAATTGACCTGTTTACCATTATAAAGTATCTGTTTGTCTCTAGTAATATTTTTTGTATTAAAGTCTATTTTCTCTGGTGGTATAACTACTCCAGCTCTCTGTGGTTACTATTTGCATGATATATTTTTTTCCTATACTTCATCCTTTATGTGTCTTTGAATCTAGAGTATCTCTTAGACAGCATGGAGTCGCATCTCTTTTTTTTAATGCAGTTAACAATCTCTGACTTTTGATTGGTATTTAATATGATCACATTTGATGCTGTTGATATTATTGGCTGAATTTACATCTGCCATTTTGCTGTCTGTTTTCTATGTCTTGTGGACTTATTATTCCTCTTTTACTGCTTTCTTTTGTGTTAAATAGATATTTATTATATTTTGATATTTATTAGTGTACTATTTTAATTTGCTGATTTTTACTTAGTAGTTGCTCTAGGGATTACAATATACATACTACTGTTTCACAGTCTACTTCAGATTAATACTAATTTAATTCCAGTAAAATATACAAACTTTTCTGTGGTATAGCTCTATTTTTCCTCTCTTTTGTGCTAAAATTGTCATATATATGTGTATATATGTATATATCTACAAATACATAAAATAAACCCACCAATACAGTAGTAAAATTGTTTCCCTTAGGATCCATTGATAGATATGGAATTCCATATATATATTTTATATATATATATATTTTATATATATATATATTTTATATATATATATTTTATATATATATATTATATATATATATTTTATATATATATATTATATATATATTTTATATATATATATTTTATATATATTTTATATATATATATTTTATATATATATATATATGGCCTTTAACCATAAAATAAAATAAACCATAATATATATTTTAAGACAGAGTCTCACTCTGCTGCCTAGGCTGCAGTGGCGCGATCTCGGCTCACTGCAACCTGTGCCTCCCAGGTTCAAGCTATTCTTCTGCCTCAGCTTCCCAAGTAGCTGGGATTACAGCCACCCGTTACCACACCCAGCTAATTTTTTTGTATTTTTAGTAGAGACAGGATTTCATCATCTTGGCCAGGCTGGTCTCAAACTCCTGACCTCAAGTGATCTGCCTGCCTTGGCCTCCCAAAGTGCTGGGATTACAGGTGTCAGCCACCATGCCCAGCCAAAAAATATATTTGTGTGTGTGTGTGTGTATATACACATATATATTTTAGACAGGGTCTCTTGCTCTGTCACCAAGGCTGGAGTGCAAATCTTGGCTCACTGTAACCTCCGCCCCCTGGGCTCAAGTGATCCTCCCACCTCAACCTCCTGAGTAGCTGGGACCACAGGTGCGCACCACTATGCCCGGCTATTTTTTTGTATTTTTGGTACAGATGGTGTCTTGCCATGTTGCCCAGGCTGGTCTCGAACTCCTGAGTTTGAGCAGTCTGCCTGCCTCAGCCTCCCAAAGTGCTGGGGTTACAGGCATGAGCCACCATGCCCAGCTTCTGACAGCACTTTGTAGGCTCCAAAGTACTTATGTTTCTATTATGTCATTTGATATTTACAACAGTCTTTTGAATCCAGGATTGTGTCCCTTTTTTTTTTTTTTTTTTTTTGAGATGGAGTTTTGCTGTTGTTGCCCAGACTGCAGTACAGTGGTGTGACCTTGGCTCACTGCAACCTCCACCTTCTGTTTTCAAGCGATTCTCCTGCCTCAGTCTCCCGAGTAGCTGAGATTACAGGTGCTCACCACCACGCCCAGCTAATTTTTGTATTTTTAGTAGATATGGGGTTTCACTACGTTGGCCAGGCTGGTCTCGAACTCCTGAACTTGTGATCTGCCCACCTTGGCCTCTCCAAGTGCTGGGATTACAGGCATGAGACACTGCGCCCGGCCTGTGTCCCTTTTTTAGCTAGGAAACAGGATGAGAAGGCAATGGTTTACCAGAGATTACACAGTGAGGCTATGGCAGAGCTGGGCTTAGAATGCAGGTTTAGATGTATTTTTTTTCCTACCTGTCTCTGTGGCTACCTTTCCCTGTTCCCCAGGTCTTCAAAGACACAGCTCCTCTCTTCCACCCCCAGGACTTGCCGGAGCAGCCTTACTTGCAGCCTCCACTCAGCATCTTGGTGATTGAGCGCCGGGCCTTTGGCCACACAGTCCTTGTGGGTTCCCACATTGTCCCCCACATGCTGCGATTCACATTTCGGGGTCATGAGGATCCTCCTGAGGAGGAAGGAGAGATGGAGGAGACAGGGGATATGATGCCCAAGGGACCTCAAGGTTAGGAACCTTCTCCTTCAGGGACACCAGACAGAAGCCCCTCTGATTCCTGGTGGACGTGGCTCCAGAGGGCCCTCCGATGGGGTGTGGAATCTGACTTCTACTTACCCACTCTCCTCATGCTGCCATTTTCCCCCTCCCAGGACAGAAGTCCCTGGATCCCTTCTTGGCTGAAGCGGGTATATCCAGACAGCTCCTGAAGGTGATGGGGTAGAGGAGATAGATGGTGAAGGGGCTGGCAGTACTTGGGATGGTGCTGGGTTAGAGGGACAAAGTCTGCTCTTCCTCAGCCTCCTCTGAAGAAGCTCCCACTAGGAGGCCTCCTAAATCAAGGCCCTGGGCTGGAGGAAGACATCCCAGATCCAGAGGAGCTCGACTGGGGGTCCAAGTACTATGCGTCGCTGCAGGAGCTCCAGGGGCAGGTGGGGGCAGAGAAGGGTCCCAGGGAGGGGGCTGGGGTGTAAATGGTAAAAAGAATGATATCTTAGCTAGGCATGGCGGCGCGCACCTGTAGTCCCAGCTACTCAGGAGGCTGACGCAGGAGAATCACTTGAACCCAGAGGCAGAGGCTCCTGTGAGCTGAGATCATGCCATTGCACAACAGCCTGGGTGACAGTGAGACTCCGTCTCAAAAAACAAACAAAAAACAAGAATGATCTCATTGAAGGTGGAGCTCTACAGTTTTTCAGAGCTCTTCATTATAGTCCTCTTTTCTTCACAATTCTAGAAGCTGGGGATTATTAACTCCATTATCTAGAGCTGTGTTGTCCAAAAGACATAACACGAGCCACATACGTAATTTTAACTTTTGTAGTAGCCACATTAAAGTAGAAGGGGCCAGGCGCGGTGGCTCACGCCTGTAATCCCAGCGCTTTGGGAGGCCAAGGCGGGTGGATCACGAGGTCAGGAGATTGAGACCATCCTGGCTAACATGGTGAAACCCCGTCTCTACTAAAAATACAAAAAATATTAGCGGGGCATGGTGGCGGGTGCCTGTAGTCCCACCTACTCAGGAGGCTGAGGCAGGAGAATGGTGTGAACCTGGGAGGCGGACCTTGCAGTGAGCCGAGATTGCGCCACTGCACTCCAGCCTGGGCGACAGAACGAGACTCCCTCTCAAAAAAAAAAAAAAAAAAAAAAGTAAAACGAAACAGGTGAAATTAATTTTAGTAATATATTCAAAATACCATTTCAAGGCTGGGCACAGTGGCTCATGCCTGTAATCCCAGCACTTTGGGAGGCTGAGGCAGGCAGATCACTTGAGGTCAGGAGTTCGAGACCAGCCTGGCCAACATGGCGAAACCCCGTCTCTACTAAAAATACAAAAATTAGCCGGGCGTGGTGCTGGGCACCTGTTAATCCCAGCTATTCTGGAGGCTGAGGCAGGAGAATCGCTTGAACCTGGGAGGTGGAGGTTACAGTGAGCCGAGACTGTGCTCCAGCCTGGGTGACAGAGTGAAACTCTGTCTCTCAAAAAAAAAAAAAAAAAAAAAAAAAACTTCAACAAGTAATCATAAAATTTCTGAGATATTTTACATTCTTGTTTTTTGTACTAAGTATTTAAAAATCCGGTTTTTATTTTATACTTATCGCACATCTTTTTCTTTCTTTTCTTTTTATTTTTAGAGATGGGGTCTTTATCTGTTATCCAGACTGGTCTCAAACTCCTGGGTTCAAGTGATCTTCCCACCTCAGCCTCCCCAGTAGCTAGGACCATAAGTACATACCACTACACTCAGCTAATTACAAACTTTTTTTTTCCTGGGTGTGGTGTTTCATGCCGGTAATCCCAGCACTTTGGGAGTCTGAGGTGGGAGGATCACTCGAAGCCAGGAGTTTGAGAACAGTCTGGGGAACATGGTGAGACACCATCTCTACTAAAAATGAAAACAAGTAGCTGTGCATGGTGGTACACGCCGGTGGCCCCAGCGACTCAAGAGGTTGAGGTGGGAGGATCACTTGAGCCTCGGAGGTTGAGGCTACAGTGAGCCATGTTCACACCAATACACTCCAACCTGGGCTACACAGCAAGAGTCTGTCTCAAAAATAAATAAATAAAAATTAAAAAGCATTTATTTCATAGAGACAGGTTCTCACTGTGTTGTTCAGCCTGATCTCGAACTCCTGGCCTCAAGTAGTCACCTCAGTCTCCCAAAGTGTTGGGATTCCAGGCATGAGCCACCAAGCCTGGCCACTTACAGCACATTGCAATTCAGACTAGCCACGTTTTGACTGCTCAGTAGCCACGTGTGGCTGGTGGTGACTGCCCTAGACAGGGCAGGCTGGATGATAAATTGGAGCTTTAAAAATGCAAGTGGCATACACAGTGGGAACTTGAGTGAAGGTTTCCCAACTCTCCTGGAAAAGGGGGTAGACTAAGGGGTTGAAGGGGATGGGGAAGAATCTCTGGATCTGCTCTTTAATTTCAGCACAACTTTGATGAAGATGAAATGGATGATCCTGGAGATTCAGGTAACAGATTGGGCTTTTTGCTCTGGTTCCATCTGCCCATCCCCTACCCACCCAGATATTTCTGACTGGGGCATTTTTGCTGTTTCCAGATGGGGTCAACCTCATTTCTATGGTTGGGGAGATCCAAGACCAGGGTGAGGCTGAAGTCAAAGGCACTGTGTCCCCAAAAAAAGCAGTTGCCACCCTGAAGGTGACTGGGTACTGGGAAGAGGAAAGTCTCCTTTGGATTCTGGACATCGGGCTGTTGCTGAAGTCCTTGCCTTTTAGATCTACAACAGGTCCCTGAAGGAAGAATTTAACCACTTTGAAGACTGGCTGAATGTGTTTCCTCTGTACCGAGGGCAAGGGGGCCAGGATGGAGGTGGAGAAGAGGAAGGATCTGGACACCTTGTGGGCAAGTTCAAGGTACATTTGGGGAAGGAAAGCGGAACCAGGGAGCCCAGGTGGGGATTCAGGAGGACAATTATCTTACCAGAGCTTTTTCTGTCTCCCCCCAACTCAGGGCTCCTTCCTCATTTACCCTGAATCAGAGGCAGTGTTGTTCTCTGAGCCCCAGATCTCCCGGGGGATCCCACAGAACCGGCCCATCAAGCTCCTGGTCAGAGTGTATGTTGTAAAGGTGAGTCTCCATAGCCCTGGCACGCCTCCAACTATAGCTAAGGTAATGTACACAAAACCTACAGAAGGAAGGCTTTGGGAGGAACCTCGTGATCACAGAGTTCAAGTTCTTCATTTTTCAGGTGAGAAATTGAATCCACAAATTTAGGAGATCCCCTAGGGTTATAAAGCATGTTCATGGCAGAACCAGAATTGGGAGTTGGTCTCCTGACCCCTGTTTGTAGTTCTAGTCCTGTAGAATGGCACGTATAATTCTAGGATGAGAACAGGGCTGAATCTCAGGCTTCAGAAGGCTTGTTACCAAATACCTTTGTCCAACTTTGTCCATTGGTGCAGTTTTCATACTGAGTTCAGCAGGGCCTTGAAGTATTCTTAAAGATATCTCGGAGCCGGTTGTGGTGGCTCACGCCTGTAATCCCAGCACTTTGGGAGGCCGAGGCGGGTGGATCACGAGGTCAAGAGATCGAGACCATTCTGGCCAACCAACATGGTGAAACCCCATCTCTACTAAAAATACAAAAATTAGCTGAGCATAGTGGCTCATGCTTGTAGTCCCAGCTACTCGGGAGGCTGAGGCAGGAGAATCACTTGAACCCAGGAGGCGGAGGTTGCAGTAAGCCAAGATTGCGCCACCACGCTCCAGCCTGGGTGACGGAGCGAGACTCCGTCTCCAAAAAAAAAAAACAAAAAAGAAAGTGAGTGGCAAAGGGATGGAACGAAAGGGGGAAAGGGGTCAGGGTTGCGAGAATGAGGACAAAAATGACACTTCTCAAAGTAGATCTTTTTGTATACCTCTGACTCTTAGAACTGTAGCAGTGTTTCACATGCCCCTACAATAGACAGAAAATTAAAAGCAATCACAGTGTTGAGGAAACCTAACATGGAATACAAACACTAACAAATGACCCTCACTGTATTACAAATGAACAATATAACCACACTGAAGGAAGTGAAGAACAAAACCAAGTAACTCTGGAAAACAGTAATTTGACAGGGCTCTATAAAACTCTAGATGGGCCTGGTGCAGTGGCTCACACCTGTAATCCCAGCACTTTGGGAGGCCAAGACAGGAGGATCACTTTAGCCCAGGAGGTCAAGACCAGCCTGGGCAACAAAGTGAGACTCCATCTCTACAAAAGATTAAAAAACTAGCTGGATGTGGCTGGGTGTGGTGGCTCATGCCTGTAATGCCAGCACTTCAGGAGGCTGAGGCAGGTGGATTGCCTAAATTGGGTGGATCGCCTGAGGGTCAGGAGTTTGAGACCAGCCTGGCTAACAGGGTGAACCCCGTCTCTACTAAAAATACAAAAATTAGCTGGGCATGGTGGCACGTGCCTGTAGTCCCAGCTGTTTTGGAGGCTGAGGCAGGAGCATTGTTTGAAGCTGGGAGGAGGAGGTTGCAGTGAGCCAAGCTTGTGCCACTGCACTCCAGCTTGGATGACAGGGAGAGAGCTTGTCACAAAAAACAAAAACAAAACAAAAAACCAACTAAACTAAAGATAAAGAGAGCTGAACATAAATGCTGTCATCTAGTTAGAAGTATGTGTTAGCAATTCTGAAACTATATTATGTGTATACTGGTATACATGAATAAGTAAACTATATTGTAGATAATGAGAACCAGGTTTCTTACTGTTGGAGAAAGAAGTTACAGATAAGGAAAGGGGATTAAATGAATGCTGTGGTATTAGATCAGAAACAGAAGTATCTGTATAAACTCATGTTTTTAAATATACACAGATGGAAAGATACAGAAATATAGATATGTGTATATATATGTGGATTATGTTATTCATGTTTGCTATCTCCGTTTGCTGAGAAGGCCTAGAATCAACAACATCCTAGTAGCAGTGAGCAAACCAGGTGCCCAGATTTTGGTTTCTAAAAACCATTATTTAATAAAAGGATTAAGGACTCCTTGGAGTTGATTCCAGGACTAGGACTGGGAAAATATAAGTCAAATCTGGAGCATCTTGTGGGGCAGGAGTAAGGAAGTGCTCAAAAAAGGATGGGGGCTTGATGAAAGAATGAACACAGGAGCCAACCTGAAGGAGCTCCTAATGGTTAAGACTTGAAAAATTGGGGCAACAGAATAAGTAATGAGGCTGGGCACAGTGGCTTTCGCCTGTAATCCCAGCACTTTGGGAGTCTGAGGCCAGGGGTCCAAGACCAGCCTGGCCAACATGGTGAAACCCTGTCTCTATTAAAAATACAAAAATTAGCTGGGTGTGGTGTCAGGCACCTGTAATCCCAGCTACTTGGGAGGCTGAGGCAGGAGAATTGCTTGAACCTGGGAGGTGGGGGTTGCAGTGAGCCAGGATTGTGCCATTGCACTCCAGCCTGGGCAACAAGAGCAAGATTCTGTCTCAACAACAACAAAAGTAATGATAGTATTGGATATTCAGACTTTCTTTTTTCTTCTTTTCTCTCTCTCTAGCTCTTTTTTTTTTTTTTTTTTGAGACGGAGTTTCGCTCTTGTTGCCCAGGTTGGAGTGCAATGGCACTGTCTTGGCTCACTGCAACCTCTGCCTCCCAGGTTCAAAGGATTCTCCTGCCTCAGCTTCCCAAGCAGCTGGGACTGCAGGCATGTGCCACCATATCCTGCTAATTTTGTATTTTTAGTAGAGACAGAGTTTCTCCATGTTGGTCAGGCTGGTCTCAAACTCCCGACCTCCGGTGATCCGCCCGCCTGGGCCTCCCAAAGTGCTGGGATTACAGGTGTGAGCCACCGTGCCCAGCCTGCCTTCTTTTTTTGTTGTTGTTTTGAGATGGAGTCTTACTCTTGTTGCCCAGGCTGGACTGCAATGGCACAATCTCAGCTCACTGCAACCTCCACCTCCTGGGTTCAAGTGATTCTCCCACCTCAGCCTCCGGAATAGCTGGGACTATAGGCACACACCACCATGCCTGGCTAATTTTAGAGATGGGGTTTCATTCACCATGTTGGCCAGGCTGGTCTCAAAGTTTTGACCTCAAATGATCCGCCTGCCTCATTACAGGCGTGAGCCACTGCACCCAGCTCTCTGTCTCCTCCTAATGCTCCCATTATACGTGTGTTGGTGTACTTAATGGTGTTCCACATTTGTTTGAGGCTCTATTTCATTTTTCTTTTTTCTCTTTTCTCTCTGTTCTTCAGCTTACATAATCGCTTTTGATCTAGCTTCAAGTTTGCCAATTCTTTCTTCTGTTCAAATCTACTATTGAGCCTCTCTAGTGAATTTTAAATTTTAGTTATTGTACTTTTCAACTCAAGAATTTTCATTTGGTTCTTTTTAAAAAAATGTATGGCTTGGCTGGGTGTGGTGGCTCATGCCTGTAATCCCAGCACTTTGGGGGGCTGAGGCGGGTGGATCATGAGGTCAGGAGACGAGACCATCCTGGCTAACACGGTGAAACCCCGTCTCTACTAAAAAAAATACAAAAAATTAGCTGGGTGTGGTGGCATGTGCCAGTAGTCCCAGCTACTTGGGAGGCTGAGGCAGGAGAATTGCTTGAACCTGGGAGGCAGAAGTTGCAGTGAGCTGAGATCACACCACTGCACTCGAGCCTGGGTGACAGAGTGAGATTCTCTCAAAAACAAAAAAAAAAATGTATATCTCTTTATTGATATTCTCTATTTGATGCAACGTTATCATCATACCTTCCTTTACTTCTCTAATCAAGCTTGCCTTCAGTTCTGTGAACATGTTTACACTGGCTACTTTGAAATACTTTCCAGTCGGCCGGGCGCAGTGGCTCACGCCTGTAATCCCAGCACTTGGGAGGCCGAGGCAGGCAGATCATGAGGTCAGGAGATCGAGACCATCCTGGCTAACATGGTGAAACCCCATCTCTACTAAAAATACAAAAAATTAGCTGGGCATGCTGGTGGGCACTGTAGTCCCAGCTACTCGGGAGGCTGAGGCGGGAGAATGGCCTGAACCCAGGAGGCGGAGCTTGTAGTGAGCCGAGATTGTGCCACTGCACTCCGGCCTGGGCGACAGAGCAAGACTCCGTCTCAAAAAAAAAAAAAAAAAAAAAAAAAAAATATATATATATATATATATAGATAGATAGATAGATAGATACATACATACATACATACATACATACACACACACACACATACATACTTTCCTGTTAAGTTCAACATTGTGTTGCTCTCACGGGCATTTTTTGGGGGGTGGATGGAAAAATAATTTTTCTATTTCTTTGCAGGCCTCATAATTTTTTGTTGGAAACAGCATTTAGATAATATATGATAGCAACTCTGGGTACTGAGGTTTCTTGTTATTTGCTTGTTTATTTGTTTAGTGACTGGCTGGATTATTTTAGCAAAGTCTATTTCCCATCCCCTGTGTTAGATCACTGATGTTGCTACTCTGGCAGGTGCAGCTTTGGATATACCACTGTCACCCTAGGATGACAGTGGTACTGGTAGGGCCCTCTTGCATTCTTTTCCCTGACCACACCCAGTTAAGCTCTACTTATTGCTCTGTCATTTGCAGTAGTATCCTGGGAGCATAAAATCCTCTACAAATAAATCTAATCAAATGGTGGCTCTTTCCAATGAATACTTTCTGAGGTTAGTGTTTGATATTTGTTTTAACCCCAGGAGAGCTCCTCCCAGCTGTCTTATCCTTTGGCTCTCCCCTGTAAAATAGATACAGCCTGTAGTCTAAGCTGTATCTTCATTACATCCACGAATCTCCTCCCAATCCCTTCACTACAACGTCCACTTTTTTTTTCTTCTTTAGACACAGTCTCACTCTGTTGCCCCAGCTGGAGTGCTGTGGCACAGTCTCGGCTCACTGCAACCTCCGCCTCCTGGGTTCAAGCAATTCTCTTGCCTCAGCCTCCCGAGTGGCTGGGATTACAGGCGCCTGCCACCACATCCAGCTAATTTTTTGTATTTTTAGTAGAGACAGGGTTTCTCCATGTTGGTCAGGCTGGTCTTGAACTCTTGACCTCATGATCCGCGCCCCCCCCTTGGCCCCCCAAAGTGCTGGGATTACGGGCATGAGCCACTGTGCCCGGCTGAGACCCTATCTCTACAAAAAAATTTAAAAGTTAGGCCAGGTGCAGTGGCTCACCTCTGTAATCCCAGCACTTTGGGAGGCCAAGGTGGGCAGATTACCTGAGGTCAGGAGTTTGAGACCAGCCTGGCCACCATGGTAAGACCCCAATGCTCTACTAAAAATACAGAAATTAGCAGGGCATGGTGGCATGTGCGTAGTCCCAGCTACTAGGGAGGCTGAGGCACGAGAATTGCTTGAACCTGGGAGGCAGAAGTTGCAGTGAGCTGAGATCATGCCACTGCACTCCAACCTGGGCGACAGAGCTAGACTCTGTCTCAAAAAAAAAAATAAAAAATAAAAACAAAATAAAAATTACCTGGACGTGGTGGTTCCTGCTTGTTGTCCCAGCTACTCAGGAGGCTGAGGTGGGAGGATTGCTTGAGCCACTGAGGATGCAGTGTGCCAGAAAAAAAGGAAGAAAACTTACTTATTTTTGAGATAGTCTTGCTCTGTCGCCCAGGCTGGAGTGCAGTGGTGCAATCTTGGCTTACTGCATCCTCCACCTCCTAGGTTCAAGCAATTCTCCTGCCTCAGCTACCTGAGTAGCTGGGATTACAGGTGCCTGCATCCACGCCTGGCTGATTTTTCTATTTTTTAGTAGAGACAGGGTTTTGCCATGTTGGCCAGGCTGGTCTTGAACTCCTGGCCTCAAGTGATCCACCCACCTCGGCTTCCCAAAGTGCTGGGATTACAGCCATGAGCCACCATACCTGGCCAGAAAACCTGAATAGTACTATAAGTATTAAAAGAAATTGTGTCAGAAACTCCAGACCAAATGGTCTCAGCAGCAGTTTCCACCAGTTATGGATGAAACAATTTTAATCTTACACAAACCATTTCAGAGAATATAAAAAGAAATACCCCAGTTAATTCCATGAGGGTGGCATAATGTTGATGCAAAACCTGAGAAGAATGACATGAGAAAGTATAATTCTAGGCCAGTTTCACTCACAAACATTTATTCCACAGGTATTTCTTGCATTTTTTTTTCTTTTTTTTTTTTTTTTGAGACGGAGTTTCGCTCTTGTTGCCCAGGCTGGAGTGCAATGGCGCAATTTCGGCTCACTGCAACCTCCGCCTCCTGGGTTCAAGCGATTCTCCTGCCTCAAGCTGGGGTTTACAGGCATGCACCACCACACCCAGCTAATTTTGTATTTTTAGTAGAGACAGGGTTTCTCCATGTTGGTCAGGCTGGTCTCAAACTCCCGACCTCAGGTGATCTGCCCGCCTTGGCCTCCCAAAGTGCTGGGATTAGAGGTGTGAGCCACCGTGCCCGGCCTTTCTTGCATTTTTTATGAGGTACTAGGCAGTGTTCTGGGTACTGGTGATAAAAAGCAGTGAGTAAAACAGATGAAAATCAGTGCCCTCGTGAACTTTACATTCTAGTGAAAAGAGATGAACAATAACCATAATCAATAAGTAAATTATATAGCTTACGGGCTGGGCATGGTGGCTCACGCCTGTAATCCCAGCACTTTGGGAGTCTGAGGAGGGGGCAGATCACCTGAGGTCAGGAGTTCGAGATCAGCCCGAACTCCTGTCTCTACTAAACATACAAAACCCGTCTCTACTAAAAATACAAAAATTAGCCAGGCCTGGTGGCACATGCCTGTAGTCCCAGCTACTCAAGAGGCTGAGGAAGGAGAATTGCTTTAACCCAGGAGGCAGAGGTTGCAGTGAGCTGAGACCACACCACTGCACTCCAGCCTGGGCGACAAGAGCGAAACTCCATCTCAAAACAAAAAAAAGTTATATATCTTATTTATATGTTAGAAAATTATAAGTGCTGTGGAGAAAATATGTCAGGATAAAGGGATGGGGGAGTGCTGGGGGTGGGTTGCAAATGGATGGTCGGAGTTGATAGACCTCAATAAGACTTTTTTTTTTTTTTTGGTAGAGACGAGGTCTTGCTATGTTGCCCAGGCTGGTCTCGAACTACAAAATGCTGGATTACAGGAATGAGCCACCATGCCCGGCTGAGAAAGTGTTATTTAAACAAATACTAGAGTTGGGCACAGTGGCTTCCACCTGTAGTCCCAGCTACTAGGAAGGCTGAGATGGGAGGATTGTTTGAGCTTGGGAGGTTGAGGCTATAGTGAGCTGTGATGCCACCACTGCAGTTCAGCCTGGGTGACAGAGAGAGACCCTGTCTCTTAAATACACACTAGGAGGGGGCCAAGGAGTTATCCAGGTGGCTACCTGAGGGAGAAAGCATTCCAGGCAGAACAGCTGGTACAGAGGCCATCAGGTAGAACCATGACTCGTGTGTGACAAACAACAAGGGGCCCCTTGTGGCCGTAGCAGGCAGGATAAATGAACAGGTTTTAGGAATTAAGGCTTCAGAGGAAATGGAGCAGTGATGGGCAGAGAAAGCAGATCATGTTGGGTTTTGTTATTCACTTTATTCTGAATTACATGGGAAGCCATAGGAAGGTTCTGAGCAAAGGAGTGCCAGAATATAACTTACATTTTCTTTTTTTTTTTTTTTTTTTTTGAGACAGAGTCTCGCTCTGTCACCCAGGCTGGAGTGTAGTGGTGCTATCTTGGCTCACTGCAACCCTTTCCTCCTGGGCTCAAGCGATTCTCCTGCCCCAGCCTCCCAAGTAGCTGGAATTACAGGCGCTCGCCACCACGCCTGGCTGATTTTTATATTTTTAGTAGAGACAGGGTTTCGCCATGTTGGCCAGGCTGGTCTCAAACTCCTGACCTCAGGTGATCCACCCGCCTAGGCCTCCTAAAGTGCAGGGATTACAGGCATGAGCCACTGCTCCTAGCCTTTATTGTCCTTTTAAAAAAATGAATGTCAGGCCAGGCGCAGTGGCTCATGCTTGTAATCCCAGCACCTTGGGAGGCTGAGGTGGGCGGATCACGAGGTCAGGAGTTCGAGACCAGCCTGGCCAACATGGTGAAACCCAGTCTCTACTAAAAATACAAAAAATTAGCCGGGCGTGGTGGCAGGCGCCTGTAATCTCAGCTACTCAGGAGGCTGAGGCAGGAGAATCGCTTGAACCCTGGAGTCAGAGGTTGCAGTGAGCCGAGACCGCGCCACTGCGCTCCAGCCTGGGTGACAGAGCGAGTCTCTGACTCAAAAAAAAAAAAAAAAGAAAAAGAAAAAATTAAGATCATCTTAGTGGGTATAAAGTGGTATCTAATTGTGGTTTTGATTTGTTTCCTAATGACACTGAACAGTCTTCATGTGGTTTTTAGAACTTTGTATATCTTGGAGACATGTCTAAAGTCCTTTGTCCGTTTTAAAATTAGATTGTTGTTTTGTTGTTGAGTTGTAGGAGTTCTTTGTATATTCTGGCTACTAGATTTTTATATGGCTTGCAAATATTTTCTCACTTTCTACGTTGTCTTTTCACTCTATTGATAGTGTCCTTTAAAGCAAAAGAGATTTTAATTTTGATGAAGTCTATTTTTATTTCTTTTATTGACTGTGCTTTTTGGTTATAGCTAAGAAACCTTTGCAAAATCCAAGGTCATGAAGACTTTTGCCTGTTTTCTGCTGTGAGTTTGAGTTTTGACTCTCATGTTTAAGTCTGTGATCCATTTGGGGTTAGTTTTTGTATCTAGTGTGAGGTGAGGGTCTGACCTCATACTTTTGTATGTGACTGTCCAGTTGTCTCAGCTCCATCTGTTGGAGAGATGGTTCTTTTCCCATTGAATGGTCTAGGTACCCTTGTTGAAGATCAATTGACCATAGATATGTGGATTTCTTTCTGGACTCTCAGTTCTATTCTACTGATCTATGTTTATGCCACTACCATACTCCTTTATTACTGTCTCTGCAGTAAATTCGCGGGTTTTTTTTTTTTTGAGACAGGGTCTCACTCTGTTGCCCAGGGTGGGGTGCAGTGGCATGATCACGGCTCCCTGCAGCCTTGACCTCCCAGGCTCAAGCGATCCTCCCACCTCAGCCCCCACAAGTAGCTGGGACTACAGGCGCATGCCACCACACCCAGCTAATTTTTTCTATTTTTTAGTAGAGACAGGATTTCACCATGTTGCCCAAGCTGGTCTCGAACTCCTGAGCTCCTGCCTGTCTTAGCCTCCCAAAGTACTAGGATTATAGCCATGAACCACTGAGCCGAGCCAGCACAGGAAATTAAGGCTTGACTGAGTATCTCTAAGTAGGATTTGGACAGGACAAGAGAAGAAAGAGATTTCAAAGAATAAAATTAATATGTAATCACAAGGAGAAAAAAAGCTTTGCCTTTATGAAGACTGCATTCTAGTAGGAGAAACAAACATTAACAAAATAAGTAAATGTTTCAGTGCGTTAGAGAGGCATAAGTGTGGCCAGGCGTGATAACTCACGCCTGTAATCCCAGCACTTTGGGAGGCTGAGCCAGGCGGATCACCTGAGGTCAGGAGTTTGAGACCAGCCTGGCCAGCATGGTGAAATCCGTTCTCTACTAATAATACAAAAATTAGCCAGGTGTGGTGGCATGTGCCTGTAATCCCAGCTACTCGGGAGGCTGAGGCAGGAGAATCCCTTGAACCTGGGAGGTAGAGGTTGCAGTGAGCCGAGATCATGCCATTGCATTCCAACCTGGGCAACAGAGCGAGACTCTGTCTCAGGGAAAAAAAAAAAAAAAAAAAAGAAGAAAGCATAAGTGCTATGGAAAATATAAATACCAAAAAAAAATCAAGTTGGCACAGTGGCTCATGCCTGTAACCCCAGCTACTCAGAAGGCTGAGGTGGGAGGACTGCTTGATGCCAGGAGTTCTCGAGACCAGCCTGGGCAACAGAACAAGACCCAATCTCTAAATTAAAAAGATGTAAAGATCATCATAGAGAAAGTACAGATTACCACAATGGAATGACAGTCAGCCCATCAACTTCTCTACAGCAACCAAAAGTGCTGGAAGAAAAATAGAATAATATCTTCAAAGCACTGAGAGAAAAATAACTATCACCCTTGAATTGTGTGTCCCAGGAAACACTCATTCAAGAGAGAAAAAAATGAAAGACCTCTTTAGGCAAACAACAATTGAAAAAATCACCCAACAACTTTCAGTCAAGAAACTACACAGGGCTGGAGGTGCAGAGGCTCACACTGTGTAATCCCAGGACTTTGGGAGGCTGAGGTGGGAAAATCATTTGAGGCCGGGAGTTCAACACCAGCCTTGGCAATGTAGTGTGAGACCCCTGTCTCTATAAAAAGGGGGGGAAAAAAACTACACAGGATGTAATTTCTTTCTTTCTTTCTTTCTTTTTTTTTTTTTTTTTTTGAGACGGAGTCTCGCTCTGTCGCCCAGGCTGGAGTGCAGTGGCGCAATCTCGGCTCACTGCAAGTTCCGCCTCCCGGGTTCACGCCATTCTCCTGCCTCAGCCTCCTGAGTAGCTGGGACTACAGGTGTGCGCCACCACGCCTGGCTAAGTTTTGTATTTTTAGTAGAGATGGGGTTTTCCATGATGGCCAGGCTGGTCTCAAACTCCTCACTGCAAATAATCCACCTGCCTTGGCCTTCCAAAGTGCTGGGATTACAGGTGTGAGCCACTGCGCCCGGCCCAGGAGTTTGAGACCAGCCTGGGCAACATAGTGAGACCCTCATCTCTATTAAAAAAATTCATAAATTAAAAAATAAGTCAAACCATATAGAAAGTTATGAGTTGAATAGTAAGTCCGTTATACATCTTTCAAAATATTTTGTTTCATTACACTTTTTGTTATACCTATTTGTATGACTTAACTATTTCATAACTAATTGAAAATAAAAGTCATCTTGTCCAACCTCTCCATTAGCTCCTCACAGTGGGAGATCTCTCCTTGATAACTTCCTGCTTTCACCCAATGGGAAATTAGGTCCTACAAAGGTAACCTTGGGTTATCATAATGACATTTCTCTCAGTTCCACTCCATGCTGTTCCCCTAGGCTACCAACCTGGCTCCTGCAGACCCCAATGGCAAAGCAGACCCTTACGTGGTGGTGAGCGCTGGCCGGGAGCGGCAGGACACCAAGGAACGCTACATCCCCAAGCAGCTCAACCCCATCTTTGGAGAGTGAGGCTGGGCCCTGTGGGGTGGAAACGGGGTAGCTGCAGGAGCATCCAGCCCTGTGGCCTTGTGGCAGCTGGCCTAGGAATGGCAAGGGAATGGACAGGGGATGCTGACACACCCGCCTCCTCCCCAGACCACCTCCTGGAGCATGGAAGTGACCTCAGTCCCTCTCCCTCCTTGCCAGGATCCTGGAGCTAAGCATCTCTCTCCCAGCTGAGACGGAGCTGACGGTCGCCGTATTTGATCATGACCTCGTGGGTTCTGACGACCTCATCGGGGAGACCCACATTGATCTGGAAAACCGATTCTATAGCCACCACAGAGCAAACTGTGGGCTGGCCTCCCAGTATGAAGTGTGGGTCCAGCAGGGCCCACAGGAGCCATTCTGAGTTTCTGGCCAAACACATTCAAGCTCACATTCCCTTTTGTGTTCTCCAGATCCTATGATTTCATGGAAGGGGACCCTCCCACCCACCGCCACTGCCAACCAAGACATAGCTCAGTGGTCAAGACTTGGGCTTGGGAGTCGGGATCCTGTAACGAATGTCACTTGACCGCTTTCTTTTTTTATGAAACAGTCTCGCTCTGTCTCCCAGGTTGGAGTGCAGTGGCACGATCTCGGCTGACTGCAACCTCCACCTCCTGGGTTCAAGCGATTCTCCTGCCTCAGCCTCCCCAGTAGCTGGGATTACAGGCGTGGGCCCCCATGTCCAGCTAATTTTTATATTTTTAGTAGAGACAGGGTTTCACCATGTTGTCCAGGCTGGTCTTGAACCCCTGACCTCAAGTGATCCACCCACCTCTGCCTCCCAAAGTGCTGGGATTACAGGTGTGAGCCACCATGCCAGGCCCACTTAACCTCTTCAAGTCTGTTTTCTCATCTGCAAAACAGAGGTAATAAGATCAGTATCTTCTTAATGGAAGCACCTGGACTACATTTTTTTCATTCATTGTTATCATAAATGAGGACTAACCTGTCTCCCGTTGGGAGTTTTGAACCTAGACCTCATGTCTTCATGACGTCATCACTGCCCCAGGCCCAGCTGTGTCCCTACACCAGCCCCAGCTGACGCATCTTCTTTTTCTGCCTGTAGAGATGGTTACAATGCCTGGCGTGATGCATTCTGGCCTTCGCAGATCCTGGCGGGGCTGTGCCAACGCTGTGGCCTCCCTGCCCCTGAATACCGAGCCGGTGCTGTCAAGGTGGGCAGCAAAGTCTTCCTGACACCACCGGAGACCCTGCCCCCAGGTATCAGCCCCTTTCTGTTCAAGCAAGATGTCGGTAGAACAAGGTACAGGGGGCCCAGTCTTGTGTGCTCCCCAAAATAACCCATTTCTTCAGCAAGTAGATGTGAATTTGGTTGAGTAAGGACGAGGTTCTTGGGTATTAGGGAGAAAACAGTCTTTATTGGTGAGTGTGAGATTCCCCCAAAGAGCCAAAGTGGACCCATAACTAATCAAGTTCCCGGAACACAGAGGTCCCATAGAGCGCCCCATATAACAGAATGTGGCTGCAGAATTAAATGGCTGGAGGCTTATTTTTTATTTATTTATTTTTTTTGAGACAGGGTCTTGCTCTGTCACCCAGGCTGGAGTGCAGTGGTGCCATCTCAGCTCACTGGAGCCTGGACCTCCCAGGCTCAAGTGATCCTCCCATCTCAGCCCCCTGAGTAGCTGGGATTACAGGCACGTACCATCACGCCCACCTAAGTTTCTTTCTTTTTTTTTTTTTTTTTTTTTTTTGGTAGAGATGAGGTTTCGCCATGTTGCTCAGACTGGTCTCAAACTCCTGGACTCAAGCAATCCTCTCATCTTGGCCTCCAAAAGTGCTCGGATTACAGGCATGAGCCAGTGTGCCTGCTCTGGTGGCTTATTCTCTAAATAGGGTCTAGGCAAAGGTGGCAGTACCTCCAATCCCACTGTCCCACTGACTGCTGGCTTTTCACTGGGCAAAGTTATAGCAGCGTCTCCCACTTTTTGTGCATTACAGAGCTGCTCTCCTAGTCCACAGGGCTTTATCCAACACAGTGGCTTCCCCAGCTTAGAGCTTCTGTTGGGGGGGCGGGGCGGGGGAGGGCGGGAGGAGAGATGGAAACTGTGTGGAGCCCTAAGCTCACACACCTCTTGCTTCAGGCAGCAGCAGCCCCACAGTGGCGAGCGGGGACCCTGAAGAGGCCCAGGCATTGCTTGTGCTGCGGCGCTGGCAGGAAATGCCGGGTTTTGGGATCCAGCTGGTACCCGAGCATGTAGAAACCAGGCCTCTCTACCATCCCCACAGCCCAGGGCTGCTACAGGTGTGGGAGGGCTCAGCACCCAGGCCCAGAATCACAAGACTCTTAGAATCCCAGGACACCCACCTGATCCTGGACCCTGGGCCCCCAGGACAGCCTTTCCCCAAGATGTCCACCTGGGTGCCACCTGCAGCTCCTGACTGCAGCTCCTGTTGCTGGTCCCTGTGTCCCTGCTCATCTTGGACCTCCATCCTGGACCACACCTTCACCCTGACCCTAGTCCTACAGGATCCCCACCCCCGGGCCCCAAGACTCAGATGTGGGGTTCCTAACCTGACCTCCCCCCAGATCCCTAAGATCTGGACCTTGGAACACCAGATATTACTTTTAATCTCAACTTCCCCTTCTGGAACCTCATTTTTTTTTTTTTTCCTTTTTGACATGGGGTCTCACTCTGTTGCCCAAGCTGGAGTGCAGGTGCATGATCTCGGCTCACTGCAGCCTCCACCTCCCAGGCTCAAGTGATCCTCCCACCTCATCCTCGGGAGTAGCTGGGATTACAGGCGTCTGCCACCACACTCGGCTAGTTCTTATATTTTTTGTAGAGACAGGGTTCCGTCATATTGCCCAGGCTGGTCTCAAACTCCTGAGCTCAAGTGATCTACCCTCCATGGACTCCCAAAGTGCTGGGATTACAGGCGTGAGCCACCGCGCCCAGCCTGGACCTCATCCTTGAACCCCTAATCTAACCTTGATCCTGGAACCCACACTTCAGACTCCACCTTCATCCTCATCCCCCAGGATCTACCCGACCCTGTCATTTTGACCCTAGCTCTTTTCTCCACTTGGGGACAAGGCACAGCCTGTGGCCATAGGGCTGTCAGGGAAGGTTGGGAGCCTGGCAAGACCCTCCAGCCTGGTCCTGTCCCCCCAGGGATCTCTTCACATGTGGATTGACATCTTTCCTCAAGATGTGCCTGCTCCACCCCCAGTTGACATCAAGCCTCGGCAGCCAATCAGGTGAGAGTTCTGTCGCCTCCTCCCAAGGCGGGTGCACATCCTGGTCTACCTGTACAAGGCTCCTCTGAAAACCCGGGTCCCCAGTGAAGCAGGCAGAGGTTGCTCATCACAGGCTTTTCAGTTAGGTGTCATTAAATTCCCTGTTATTCAAAAGCATTGCAAGTTGAGTGTCTCTTGTAAATTGAGTCCAAGTACCTTTTGGTAAGCCCCCTTCCCACCTAAGCTCATCTGAGTGGAGTTGTGTGTGGGTCACAGCCACTTCACACAGGGCTGAATGCAGATGCTCGGATATCAGCAGCCTGTCACTTTCTGCCTCTGGGCTCTGCTTTCCTTGGTGTCGCTCTCAGGGAGCCCTCTGCAGGGCTGGGGGCAAAGTGGCATCTAACAGTGCGAGGCTTACATCTCAGCCAGGCCACTTGAGCAGAAACAAACACCTCTTTCCCAGTTACAGCAAAAGCCTCAGGGCTGACTCAGCCGACCAGCTTGGGTCAAATGCTGTGCCCTGAAGAACCAATCATTGTGGTTAGGGGGCTGTAATACTCGAATTGGCCAGTCCAGTGATGTCTCCCCGACCCCGTCCAGCCAGGGAGGGAGGGGCCTGCCCCACCAGAATTCCATAGATTGACAGTGGTGGTGGGGAGGGGTGGTTGGGGTGGGGGTGGGTCACCAGCAGAAAATCACGGTGCTGTCAACAAATGAGGGGAAATTGATGCTGGGCTGGAGAAAACAGCTATCCAGGCAACCCCATGGCCCCCAAAGACAGGGCTATATGCGGGTAGGGTCCAGAGTGTCGCAGCCCTCCTGTCCCTCAGGCGCTGTATGCTCCTGTCCCCCATCTCTCATCCTCCCTCTTCTCCCTGCAGACTGGCTTTCTGTTCACTCACTTTTCTACATCCCCAAACTCTGGCTTGTGGTAGCTCCAGCTTTGCATCTGATGCCACACCATGCAACAGTGCAGCGCCCTGATTCTAAATTCACGGGAAGGAGAACCTCGCTGGCCCCACAGACCATTCCTGGGGCCATCTGCTGTGGCCAGGGTGGTCAGTGACACCTGGGGCTTCCCTTCATGGGACCACAGGCATTGGATTCCCCTGCTGGGCACACAGGTGTCCAGTGAATGTCAGTGGCCCCGGCCCAGGTCCCTCCTGCTTCCTGCAGCCCCTTTTAGGGCCCCACTCGAGAGTCTGAAGCCACCCCCTAATGTGCCCCCCAGCTATGAGCTCAGAGTTGTCATCTGGAACACGGAGGATGTGGTTCTGGACGACGAGAATCCACTCACCGGAGAGATGTCGAGTGACATCTATGTGAAGAGGTAGGCTGCTGGCCGGGTGGGGCAACGGCGGTGCACTAGGGGGATTGCAAATGGGTGTGGGCCCTCGGGCTGAGTCCAGAGCCCCGACCCCAGGCCCTCCGTGGTGCTGAGAGCGGGGTGAGGAGTGGGTTCTCCATGTAGCTCCAGCCCTGACGCTCACCCACCCCGGCCCCAGCTGGGTGAAGGGGTTGGAGCATGACAAGCAGGAGACAGACGTTCACTTCAACTCCCTGACTGGGGAGGGGAACTTCAATTGGCGCTTTGTGTTCCGCTTTGACTACCTGCCCACGGAGCGGGAGGTGAGCGTCCGGCGCAGGTCTGGACCCTTTGCCCTGGAGGAGGCGGAGTTCCGGCAGCCTGCAGTGCTGGTCCTGCAGGTCTGGGACTATGACCGCATCTCTGCCAATGACTTCCTTGGTATTACAATGCTTAGCCTTCCCCACCCTCAGCCCCTGCCTCCGGCCCTCACCTCCGCCCCTGCCTCCAGCCCTCACTTCCGTCCCCCAGTTCCCTACTCTGACCCAACCTTGAATCTTGGGATTTTGGACCCGAGGTGTGAAACCTTTGCTTTCTGGCCTAATTACTGAGTTAATTAGGCCTAGACCACAGTAACCTCCATTCCCACCCAGAGTCTCTGATTCAACTCTGATTTGACCCTAGCTTGTCACCCTGACACCGACTCCACAGCCTTTGGTCCTTGGCACTCTGATCCCGACCCTTGGCCCTCTTCCACTGGGAAGTAGCAATGGGTGGACCGCTGGGCTGTGGTCTGGGTGGTCTATAGCTGTGGCCTGACCGCACACTGCAACAACTTTCAATGCCCCAATTTACAACCTTGGTGTGTTGCCTCCTCACCCCTGGCACAATGAGACTTTGATCCCATGCCTAATCTGGTGTGCTCTGGACTTGCAGGATCCCTGGAGTTGCAGCTACCAGACATGGTGCGTGGGGCCCGGGGCCCCGAGCTCTGCTCTGTGCAGCTGGCCCGCAATGGGGCCGGGCCGAGGTGCAATCTGTTTCGCTGCTGCCGCCGCCTGAGGGGCTGGTGGCCGGTAGTGAAGCTGAAGGAGGCAGAGGACGTGGAGCGGGAGGCGCAGGAGGCTCAGGCTGGCAAGAAGAAGCGAAAGCAGAGGAGGAGGAAGGGCCGGCCAGAAGACCTGGAGTTCACAGACATGGGTGGCAATGTGTACATCCTCACGGTGGGTGCCCGTGGGCAGAGGCCAGGCTGAGCTGGGGCCTGAGCCCGCCCCCTGCTCCCAGTGATGCAGGAATGTCTTTTTTAGGGCAAGGTGGAGGCAGAGTTTGAGCTGCTGACTGTGGAGGAGGCCGAGAAACGGCCAGTGGGGAAGGGGCGGAAGCAGCCAGAGCCTCTGGAGAAACCCAGGTGAGTCAGGCACCGGGGCTGGGGCCACAGCCTGGGCCGATGGGGAGGTGGGGGTGGTCAAGGGGCTTCCTCCTCATCCTGACACCACTCTTCTCCTCAACAGCCGCCCCAAAACTTCCTTCAACTGGTTTGTGAACCCGCTGAAGACCTTTGTCTTCTTCATCTGGCGCCGGTACTGGCGCACCCTGGTGCTGCTGCTACTGGTGCTGCTCACCGTCTTCCTCCTCCTGGTCTTCTACACCATCCCTGGCCAGATCAGCCAGGTCATCTTCCGTCCCCTCCACAAGTGACTCTCGCTGACCTTGGACACTCACCCAGGGTGCCAACCCTTCAATGCCTGCTCCTGGAAGTCTTTCTTACCCATGTGAGCTACCCCAGAGTCTAGTGCTTCCTCTGAATAAACCTATCACAGCCACTGACCTGTGATCACGTGCTATACAAGGCCGGCACCAGGTGGCAAAGAACAGAGATGTTCTTGGGTGACCTCAGGTGCTGGGGACTTGAAGAATGCACAGGGATGGAAGGCTGCCCCCATCCCCACCACAGGGAAGAAAAGGGCCCCGGCAGCTGAGTTATCACACCCACTCCACCACTGCTCCTGCTCCTGCTGGTGGCCAGGTCCCTCTCACCTAATCTGTTTCTGGCTTCCACCCCTCCAGGACAGCTAAGGACCTGACGGACTCCATTAACCTGTCCATTCCTCACCATCCCTGAGAGAGGCTTCCATCAGAGCTAAAAGTTCTGCTGTCACTACCTGACTTCGCTTCCTTTCCCCTCTCTCTCGCTTTTCCCCTGCCACAGTCTTGCATCAACATTCGAGACATGATCTGATAAACTGACTGGCTGTTTAGGTACCCCTGGTTCCCTAGGCTGTGGACTGGTGAGGTTGCTGGGCCCTGGTTCTCCACATGGATCCAGAGTTCTAATGGGAAACCCTGATTAGGCTCCAAGCCAGGGGTCTGGTGCTGGCCCTGCTCCAGAATGGCCACTGACTGCTACTTTCGCACCTCAGTGTTCAGTTTTGCTTCCATCTAGACTGCAGAGGACCTGGAGGGATTCCTCTCTGCAGTGAGAGCCAGCGTGGGGTTTGGCACAGAGTGGGATCAGTGAGTGTGACAGGATCAGGTGTATTGAGCCCAGGGTGGCGGAGAGCGGCCCCAGCTTTACCCATCAATGAAGAAGTGGCAAGCCCCAATATGCACTCAGGGCCCTGAATTAGTGGCCTGGGGTTGATCACTCATGAGCCTGGGGGCCATGGTGGCTCCAGGAAGCTCACGCTGAAAAGGTCCATCTGAGCCCTGGGGCTGAACCCGAGAGGCCTGAGGACCACAGTGGAGGAGGGACCCAGGACAGGGCTGTGGGCTGGACATGAACCTGGTTTGAATAAACCCCGGTTAACTAGGGGATGCCCATGTGGGGCTCCCGAGGGCTCTGGGCCCCGATCTGTCAGTCACAATTGCCTTCAATGAGTGGCCAGGATGAGGCTCTGGCCATGGCAAGGATCACACGGAGACCAGTGAGTACTATCACAATCAATCAATAGATTTATCAACCTGGGGCTGGGGCTGACCGAGGAGGTGGAGGGTGGCAGAGGCTGGGGGACAACCACAGGCCAGGGAGAAAGAGGAGACAGAGGAAGCACCGAGGGTGACTACGTTGTCTTCCCTAGATCAATTTTCTTCTGGATGGCTCGTGCTGAGTGGTAGATGAGCGAATCGATGAGTCCAGCCACTGGGAGAGAGACAAGGGCTGGCACTGGCCCAGTGGGGGCCTTGGCTTTTGACGCTGAGAGCCTTGTCACTTAACTGGCCAGGCCAGCATCTGCCCCTTCACCCCCAACCAAACCTGGGGCACCCAGGCTTTACCCTCCCCACCCCACAGCTCACAGACGCCCTGGGCCTCTTACCTGTGAACATGCCCCCAATGATGGCGCACACACCTGTCAGGAAGTGGGTGAAGGACCTGGTAGAAGGAGAGGGTGGGCTCAGCAGGCATCCTCCTCCCTCAGGCCCAGGCCCCCAGAGGCCGCTTTGCCCCCATCCTCACCTGTGCTTCTCCGTCAGCTTCACCATCATGGGCGAGAGCTCATAGAGGACGAAGACTCCGGGAAGGCCTTGGTCGCCCAACAGCCCATTGGCAACCTTCTCATGTCTGGTCACAGAGAACTGATTTGTCCTCAGTACCTGGGGTGGGAGGGGAGCCTGGGCCAGGGCTAGGGCTAGGACCTGGCTCCAGCCACCATCAGCCCCACCCCTGCTCCTTCCCCTTTCCTGTTGAGCCTTGGCCGTGTAAGGAGAGAACACAGCACCGTGCTAGTGGCCTGCACTGCAAGGCCTGGCCCGCCAGACCCCCTCTCCTAGTCTTGGCCTCAGCCTTCCCCTCCAGGTGCCAAGTCTTTACAGTTTACCTATCCTGGCAGCATTTGGTGGGTGTTCTCACGGGGGTCCAGGCTGAGAAGCAGCTCTCCAAAGACGCACCAAGGCTGACCTGACTTCCTCTGCCCTCAGCCCCTCGCATCCTGCCACTCTGCTGAGATGCTGCTCCACAGGCCAGGGCAGCCTTGGGAGCGGGTACACAGAGACTTGCCTTGCCTAACCCCCAGCCCAGGCAGACCACAGAGAACAGTGAGGCAGGCAGACGGTGGGCACCGGAGGAACGGATAGAAGCGGTGAGGGCAGCAGAAAGAGCAGGCGCTTTAAATCTAACAGCCCCAGGCCTGCACTCTGCCTGGGAGGGCAAATCCCCCACCCTCTCTGTGCCTCAGTCTTTTATTCGCCATGTGAGGACGAGGCAGCTTTCACTCCCCAGGCTGACGGAACGAAATGCAGGAACTCCAGTGCTTGGCACCGCGCAGGAGACTCTGGTAGGGAGCTCCCTGACTCACCTCTCCGTCCACCTTCATGTACACAGTGGGCACCACCTTCACAAAGTACTGGAACATCATGGAGGCTGAGGGGAAAACAAAGCACTGGGTATGGGTGCCCGGCCGGCCTTCTGCGGCTGGGGGCTGCCTCCCGGGCTGGTACCTTGGGGCGCAGTGACATTGGTGTGGTCCAGGGGGTTCACAATGCCTGGATAGTCCTCCCCAAATGACAGGTGCTGGATGTAGTGGGTCATGTTGATCTGTAAACAACACCATCCAGAGCTCATCCAAAGCTCTGATGACAGTAGCAGACAGGGACACCTGGGTCCGTCTGCGGAGATGTGGGAGGAAGGGGAGGCTATGGTCCTAAGGGGACAACCTCCCCGAGATAAGAATCCCCCATTCCCTGCCTAGAAACTCCTCCTTCCACAGCCTGCAAACTCCTGGGGTTCCAGATTTTTCTTTTTTTTTTTTTTTTTTGAGACAAGGTCTCACTCTGTTGCCCAGGCTGGAGAGCAGTGGCATGATCTTGGCTCACTGCAGCCTCGCCTTATTCAAGCGATTCTCTTGCCTCAGCCTCCTGAGTAGCTGGGATTACAAGCATGAGCCACCATGCCTGGCCAGGTTCCAGATTTCTTAAAATACCAGCTTCACTTGTACGTTAGGCACACAGAGTAGCAGGTGCTGGCTTTGCCTGGAGGCCTAGGCTGGAGGCTGTGAACCCCCAGATACACTCCCTTCCTGCTCCCTTGTGTATCAGCCTCAGACACTAGAAGGATCTTTCCTAAAATGCAAATCTGATTATGTCGTGATCCTGCTTAAAGAAGGCCAACAGCTTTCCACTGTTCTCATGAGAAAGATGTGATTCCTCAGCGTGGCCTCTGAGTCCGGTGTGGTCTGGTCCCTGCCGACTTCTCCAGCCTCACCCATCCACACCTGCCCCGCAGTTCCTTAGAAGGGCCATGCTCCCGCCTGACCTTGCGCTGAGGCTCTGTCTGTCTAGGATGCTCTTATCCAACCCCAATCTTGCCCCTAGCCTGCTCAGAGTTCAGTTCAAAAGTCACTCTCGCTTAACCCTCAGGCTGGATCCCCATTCAGAACGTGGTGTATTTTTCCATATGCACTACCCCATCCCAGGATGTTCCTACAAGGAAATGAAGGCAGCAACCAAGCCTCCCACCCCCACCTGCCCTCCATGGTTTCCATCTGGTACGTACGTTGTCAAGGCCAAAGCTCTGCAAGTCATGGACTAGGAGAGAAGGGAGAAGGCAAGGGAGAAGGCGTCATTAGTAGGAGCAGCACTGGCCTCCTCCTTCCTCCCCCTGGACTGCAAACCACCTGTCTTCTCTGCCCCTCATTCCTTCTCCAGCCTGGCACCTCCTGGTCCTGCTTAAGGACAGCCAGAAAGGGCAAGCCTTGGGCCTGTGTGAGAGTTCACGCCCTCCTCAGGAGTCTTTAGAACAGACCCTGGTTCCTCCCTGACGTCCACAGGGAACTCTATGCCTTGACTACCACCATGGCCCTGCCTGCATCTCCGGAAACAAAACCCACCGACTATGGGCTCTCACTAACTAGAGCTGATGGCAAATCACTGAACCTCAAAGTGAGGTGGGATCTGAGAATGCCATCCACACTTTCCCTGCCTCCACCCTCAAAGCTCCCCAGAAGAAATCCCATGGGGACCCTGTACCAACTGTTCCAGAACAATTTATTCCTGCCCTCTAGCCTCAATCCCTCCTGCTGCAAGGAACCATACTTCAAAGATACATCCCAGACCTTTTACAGTCACCCAGCAGCCAGGTCAGAGGAGACCCAATCACAGCCCCATCCAACCTCCCCGCCATTCTAGTAGGGCAGGCTGCCCCAGAAGTAGGGGTTTGGCCTCCATGGGGGCAGGGCCACTTACTCTCCACAGCATGTACTGCAGCATGGGGGAGGGAGGAGAGAGAAGAAAGATTCAGAGCTTCACAATGAGAACTATGAGAGCAAGATATGTTGCAGGAGGGAAGACTGGAACATTCAGCCTCAGCAACACAGTCTGGCCCCAGCTAACAAGCCTCCTTCTGGGCCCCTCCTCGAGAGTGAACTAATCTGGCCAGAGAGGAGCAAAATAGTGGCCTAGAAGGACAAGAGGCCTAGAGCTCAAAGAGCCAAGTTCCTGACTGTGTGGCCTTGGGCAAATCAGTTGCCCTTTCTGGGCCTCAGTGTTCTCCTTTGCAAAGGGCTGTCCTAAGGATCACGTGGGATCTAAGATGGAAAAATACTTGTAAACTTTACACTGTAAGAGATTATTACCCACCCCAGCCCCAATCAACAAGGATGTTAGAAACTCACTCCCAGGCCTCAATTCAGCCAGATCTCTGGCCTTGGGCAACTGTACCTTTGCATTTATACATCCTTCCAAATACAGAGCACCCCCGGCCCGGGGATCCACAAGTCTAACAGTCCCAGGCCAAGAGGCTGCCACTCTGGCTGTGTGTCTACTGAGTGCCCGCCAGACCTTGTGCCAACAGCTTGACACTGATCATCTTCCTGCCCTCCCAGCAAGACCCTTTTCTCCCAGCTTCCTCCAGAGTGAAGAGGGGGTCCCAGAGCTCTGCAGGGTCCTCCAGCCCCCACACTGGCCCCTCCCCAACACAGCCCCACCCCCACAGATTGCCCTGAAGACCAGCAGAGCTACCCTCCAGGGGGCCCTTTCTTCCTGTTCACTTCAACCATTTTGAGAGGCCATCTTCATACCCTGGGCTCTGTCACTGTGCAGCTCTGTCCATCCTTTACTGTGACACCAACTCCCACCTTCCCCAACCCTGCCTTCAACCCCTGGGTTCCTCTTCACTTTCTTGCTTCAGCCTGGCTCTTCCTTTCAGGCACTAACTCCCTGGCATCCCCTCAACGTGCGACTATCTTCTCTCCATACACAACCTCTTCCCTGGCCTAAAGAGAAGTCTTTCTTGCTCCTTACTGCCACTTCCAGATCACTTTCCCTTTATCTGCCTTAAAAATGCACAATGGCTCACATCTGTAATCCCAACATTTTGGGGGGCCAAGCGGGAGGATCACTTGAGCCCAGGAGCCTGGGCAACATGGCAAGACCCTGTCTCTGCAAAAAAAAAAAAAAAAATTAGCCAGGCATGGTGGCATGTGCCTGTGGTCTCAGCTCCTTGAGAGGCTGAGGTGGGAGGATCTCGAGTCCAGGAGGTCAAGGCTGCAGTGAGCCAAGATTGTGCCATGGCACTCCAGCCTCAAAAAAAAAAAAAAAAAAAAAAAAAAAATCCCCAGCTTTGAAGCTCAGGGCAAAGCAGCCCTGCTTGTTTCAGTCACCTAGATATCGATATGGAACCTCCAGAACAGTTTTCCCATGCCATTTTTCAACAGCTTGGGCAACTGCCTGTCACTCTCTCCTGTACTACCTCTGTCACACGTTCTAGTGATTTCCATATCCACGTAGATGATCCTTCCAGTACCCGGGCCTCCCAGTTCCTGGACATCCTTTCCTCCCTGATCTTGTGCTCTGCCTACCCAAGCCACTTGCTCTGTTGGCCATTCCCTAAACTTTGTCATTAACAAAGCCCCTTCTGTGACTTCAATTTCAAGCAACTCATGCTCCACCAGCTTTCTAATTTCCTCCAGTTCCCCAATTCCAATAACTTGTTGACACTACACTCAGGACTTGTAGTCCCTTTTTCCTCCTGCCCCCTCACTGGCTTCTCCACATCCTGTCTTTCCTCCTTTCCTAGCTCATATGCTGTGGTCCAGAATCAAGATGAGTTCTTTACATATTTGACTCCCTCACCTTTGCAGGCACCTGGCAACACCAAACCCCATGCAATTGCAATGTTCTGTTGACTGAGTCCATTCCCACACAGACAACCATGCTGACCGCTCTCTTTGCATTCACAGCCGCGGACTCCAGGGAGGCCCTAGGGCTGCATCAATCCTACTCAATCTCCCCAGTCCACGCACTCTTCCACCCCCAAGTGACCAGTCACATCTTTTCTTCTTTCAAATCTCCAACACCTCCTTCCCTCTCTCCTCATTCTCAACTGAGGACCTTCCTTCCTACAACACGGAGAAGATGGGAAGACTCAGAAGAGACTCTCCATGTACTTCTGCCACACCAGCTACCACCCTACCTGTACCTACAGAGCCTGCCCTTCCTCCTGGTGCTAAGTTTGGACTTTCCACATATGTAAGGCACTAGATTCTGTCTTCTTTCTCCTTCTCCAGGACTTCACTCCGGTCACTGTCTCGTCTCTGGAGCATCACTTATGCTCTTTAGTCGATAATTTCCAACAGCATATTAACATTCTGCTACATCACCCTCCTTAGAAAAGCCTCCCTCGACTCCACATTTCCCTCTAGCTTCAGCTCATGCTCTCTCCTCCCCTAGGCAATTTCCACTATAGAGCTGTCAATACTGGCTCCAACTCCTCCCCCATTCCCTCCCGAACCCACTCTAGGGTGGTCCTGTCACACCCTTAAATGACTCAGTCAAGGCTATAAGTGACTGTTGCATGTACATGCCATGGTCAATTCCCGCTTGACATCCAGAAGCATCTGATGTGGTATTTGAAACACCCGTCCGTGGCTGGCAGGATGCCACATTCCCAGCTTACACTCCTCCTCCAGTCTCCCCTACCAATTCCCCCTGACACCCTTGGCCTCTAATGTGGGAGGCCTGGCACCCAGCCCTTTGAGCTTCCCTTCTTCTCCATCTGCCCTCACCTCCAGGGTGATTTCATCCAGTCCCACAGCTCTATACACATGCTGATGATGCCAACATCTGCATCTCCAGGCAAGTCCTCTCCCTGAACTCCAGGCTTGAATGGAAAACTTACTTGACACCTTGGGTGTCTAGAAGGACACCCAGATGCTATTGGTCTGAACACGTCAAAAGCCGAATACCAGCTGTACGATCCCATTTCCGAACATCTAAACCTGCCCTGAGTCTCCCTCATCTTGCTAAATGGCAACTCTATCCTTTTTTTTTTTTTTAATGGAGATGGAATCTCACTCTGTCGCTCAGGCTGGAGTGAAATGGCACAATCTCGGCTCCCTGCAACCTCCGCCTCCTGGGTTCAAGCAATTCTCCTACCTCAGCCTCCCGAGTAGCTGGGACTACAGGCGCACGCCGCTACGCCCGGCTGATTTTTTGCATTTTTTAGTAGAGACAAGGTTTCATCATGTTGCCCAGGCTGGTCTCAAACTCCTCAGCTCAGGCAATCCACCTGCCTTGGCCTCCCAAAGTGCTAGGATTACAGGCAACTCCATCCTTCTTACTACTCAGGTACAAAACTTTGGAGGCATCCTTGACTCCTTTTTCCTTTATCCCTCATGCCCATCAGGAACTCTTCTCAGCTCTACCTTCAAAATACATCCAGAAGCCAGTCACTTCCCACCACTTCCACTGCCACTCTGGGCCGTGCCCCACCATCTTTTGCCTGGATTGATCACTGCAACTGCCTCCTAATGGGCCTCTCTGATTCTGTCCTTTCCCCTGCCCAGTCTTGTCCACAGAGCAGCTGGAGAGCTTTTAAGTCAGATCATGCCTCACCTTCTTCAGGGCCCTACAATGGCTTCTCATCTCATGCAGAGTAACGGCCCGAGTCCCTACAATGCCCCTGCAAGCCCTGCATGATATGGCCCTGTGACCTCTCTTTATTTATTATTATTTTTTGAAATGGAGTCTCACTCTGTTACCCAGGCTGGAGTACAATGGCGCAATTTCAGCTCACTGCAACCTCCACCTCCCAGGTTCAAGAGATTCTCGTGCCTCAGCCTCCCGAGTAGCTGGGATTACAGGCGTGTGCCACCACACCCAGCTAATTTTTGTATTTTTGGTAGAGACAGGGTTTCACCATGTTGGCCAGGCTGGTCTTGAACTCCTGACCTCAGGTGATCCACCCGCCTCGGCCTCCCAAAGTGCTGGGATTACAGGTATGAGCTACTGCACCCGGCCTCTCTCACTTCATTTCTAAGCATGCTCCTCTGCTCCAGCCACCCTAACCTTCTTACTGTATCTTGAACTTGCCAAGCACATTCTAGCCTTAGGAATTTGCATTTGCTGTTCTCTCTGCTTGTAACACTTCCTCCCCAGACATCCACATGGCTGGCTCCCTCACTGTCTTCAGGTCTTTGCTAAAATATTACCTCATCAAAGAGTTTTTCCCTGACCTCCATATTTAAAATAGGACCCTCACTGCCCTACCCTAGCCCCTCCCCATTACCATCTTTATCCTGCCTTGTTTTGGTCCATATGACTTAACAGCATCTGATATACCATATACAGATGCTCCCTGACCTACACTGGGGTTACGTCCCAATAAACCCATTGCAAGTTGAAAATATTGTAAGTCGGCCAGGTGCGGTGGCTCATGCCTGTAATCCTAGCACTTTGGGAGGCCGAGGCGGGCAGATCACTTGAGGTCAGGAGTTCAAGACCAGCCTGGCCAACATAATGAAACCCCATCTCTACTAAAAATACAAAACTTAGCTGGGCGTGGTGGCACGCACCTGTACACCCAGCTACTCAAGAGGCTGAGGTAGGAGAATCACTTGAATCCAGGAGGTGGAGGTTGCAGTGAGTCAAGATCATGCCACTGCACTCCAGCCTGGGCGACAGAGTGAGACTCTGTCTCAAAAAAGAAAAAGAAAATATCGTTAAGTGAAAAATGCATGTAATACCCATCATGAAGTTAAAAATTGCAAGCTGAACCATTGTTAATTGGGGACTATTTATATTTTATATACTTATTGTCTATTTCTTTACTAGAATGTTCTGAGGGCACAGATTGTTCACTACTGTACCCTTAGCAACTAGACTAGTAGGTGATTACTAAATATTTTGTGAATGCATGAATGAACAAATGAATGAGAATAAATCTCATTTGTTCACCCCAACAGCCCTGTGAGTGGGTACTATTATCATCATCCCCATTTTACAGAAGAAGCAACTAAATAGGGCCCAAATATGACATAGCCCAGGTGTGGCAGAACCTGTGCTCCAACCTAGCTCTGCTTCTCCCAAAGCCTCATGCACAGGTCATCATCGGACACGGGGGGCTACCATTTCAACAAGTACCTACCACAAGCCAGGCTCCGTGCTATCATCTTTAACCTGCACACACACCCTGTGAGATAAGTGCCCTCACAACATTTTATAAAGTAGAAAACAGGAGTCAAAAAGATTAAGAAACCTTCTCAAAGTCACACAGCCAGTAAGGTCTGAAACTGGTATCTGAATGCAGGCAGTCTGGCTCCTCGGCCTGTGCTCTTAGCCACTGTGCCAAACTGCTGCCCTGAGATGAAGGCCTGCTCTGGCCAAATGGTTGCCCAAGACAAATGAGCAGCAGGCAGAAGAGGACCACTCAAGCTCACCAAGAAGGTGGCCAGCATCTAAATCTCCCCAGCTAGTGCAGATCACTCACCGTGCACATGGGACTGCTGGAAGCTCTTCCCAGGGGCAAAGTGGAAGTTTCCGGCCACCTGTAAGGAACATTCTCTCTCATTCACTGGCTGTGTCCTCCTTTTGCCTACTCAGGGCCTGACTGGGCCCTCGGTTCCCAGTGGAGCTTGCCCAGCCCAGCTGGCCCTATCTTGTCTTGATCCCTCCTGATACCTTATTGACTTCCAAGAAGCCATACACCTGGCAGCCTTCATTCTTCTGCTCCTGCATCTTCTGGCTGAAGCCCTCTCGCCGGCACTGCTCAATAGTATCTGGGTTCTTGAAGGCCCAGCCTCTACGGCGATATGCCTCCCGCACATCTTCACAGGTGTTACAGCACCTGTAGGGCAGGGAGTGACGGTGAGAGTGTTAAAGAGGCATAAGTCCAGTGCTGGCATCTGGGGAAATAGAGCCCGAGCAGCTCTGCCTGCTAATGAAGGCTCTGCTAGCCTCATCCCTGACCACCAAACATTCTCCAAATGTGTTTCCTCAGTGGCAGAAGGACTGTTTTCTTTTTTTAATTTTTAAAATTTTTTTAGAGATAGGGTCTTGCTATGTTGCCCAGGCTGGTCTCAAACTCCTGAGCTCAAGTGATTCACCTACCTCGGCCTCCCAAAGTGCTACGGATTACAGGTGTAAGCCATTGTGCCCAGACTAGGACTGTGAAAAATACATATTCCCATTCTGTTTGAGGCGATGACAAGTTTTAGGACAGAGAGTGGTGACTGCATGACACTGTGAAGATACCTAATGCCACTGAGTTGCACACTTAAAAATAGTTAAAATGGTAAATTTTATGTCACATATTTTCCCACAATAAAAAAAAATTTAAGTACACATTCCCAGGCCCCACTCCAGACCTGCTGAATCAGTCTTGCAGAAGTCAGGGTCTGGGAAACAGCAGCAGTTATCAGATACTGAGGGTCTAATAATCTGGGCTGGGCCTTCCACCTCAGTGCTTTACACACAGTATACAGCTAATCCATATGTGACTCTTACGAGAAGATGTTATTATCATCCCTCTTCACATAGAGAGGTTACATGGCTTGGCCCAAGGAAACGGGTAGAACCCAGGTAACTGGACTCCAGAGACCACCTCTGAACCATTTCTCTAGGTGGAAGAGCAGAGACCACTTCAGCTTCATCTCTAGGTCTGCAGCTCCCAGATAGGGCCTGGTTACAAAGCCTCAGTCGCTTGCACCAGGATCAATGACAGAGGCACATACCCCGCCCACTCTAGATTCTTGGTCTGACCTCCCCACCTGCCACAGTCTGACTGAGGCTGAGGCTGACTGACAGATGGCGCCTGATGGGAACCCTGCTCCCGCTCCCCGCCAGCTCACTTGATATCTTCTGCCTCAGCACCATAGCAGCTCTCACAGCGATCAGGGTCCAGGGAGTCAGGGTCAAACACCGTCACCTCGACTTTCCCAAGCTCTAAGGGGAGGGGAGAAGCAGAGGCATCAGCTGGGGCCAGACACAGTGAAATCGGTGGCTCCAGTCTGCACAAGCCCTTTGCTTAGGGATAATAAAAGTTATAATAACTAATATTCATATAGTACATGCTACGGGTCAGGCATTAAGCACTTCTACACACATATCAATTCTTTTAATAAAAGAAACAGTAAGAAAACAGTCAACAGTAAATACTGAACATTAGCTGTGTACAGATCACTGTACTTCACAACCATCATCTCATTTCATCCCCACAATGACTCTTTGAGGGTGGCGGTAATTATCCCTGTTTTACTGAGAAGATGTTGAGGCTCACTGATGAGAAGTGACTTTGCCCAATGCAACCGAGGAAACAGATTTCAGCTAATTCCAACGTGTATGCCACTAACCTCTTGCCATGGTGCTTCTCCTCACACCTCTCCCTCTGCACCGGCTCCTTGCCTCACTCTAATCACCCCATCATAACTGGTGATTTCAATAATGAATACTGACCTCCCGACTCATGATAATCTTTTGATTTTGCCATCTCACCTCAGCTACCCATTTTCATACTCATACCTAGATCCTGTCACTGCCAATAACTGCAAATCTTCCAAAATTCAACTTCAAGTGTCTGAGTCTTCAACTACTTACCCTTATTTTCCAAGTTCACTATTTAGTACCCGAAATCCACCAATTCTTTGACACTGCTGACACTATCACGTCCTCACTTCCCTCCTGAAATCCCATGGTCCACTGTAATTATTCTCTTGCACATAACCACAACTCCCTGTTCCTCTCGTCTTTCATTTACAAATCCAGCAAAACCCACACCCTGGTTCCATTCAACTCTCTGTACCTACTTCTTTCCTGAAGCTCCTTTAGGACTGCCTGGCAATTCCACTTCATTTCTCTAATCAGTTCACTCTCCCACTCTCTAAGGTGACTTAGACCTTCTCCTCTCTCCTTAGGCTCCCAAAACCCCCTCCTATTTCTTCACTTAGCTAATGTCCTTGCTTTCAATTTCCACTAAGAAAAGAGAAGCAACAGAACTTCACTTGCTCTCACCACCAAACCCACCATCTCACCACTTTCTCCTTCAGATCCCACTCCATTTCTCAGCTCTCCCTTACAGTGAAACTCCCAAGTCACCTATAGGTAATGTCTCCACTTCCTTTTTTGCTCTTTGATCCGATTTTCATCCTCAACAGTATCAAAATTGTTCCTTTCAAAGTCTCCAGGAATCTCTTTGTTGCTAATTTCAATGGTCAATTCTCACTCCTCATTTTACTGGACTATCAGTAGCTTCTGATACAACTGCTCACTCTCTCTTCTTGAAACTCTCTCCACTTGGCTTTTGGGACACCTCTTGGTTCTTCTACGTCAATGGCTAATCCGTCCCAATCTTCCTTCCTGTCCTGACTTTTAAATATTGGAGATACCCAGGGTACAGGCCGTAGACCTATCCTCTACCTACATTGACTCCCCAGGTTTTCTTAGTCCAGTTGTTTAAACTACCCTGTACCTGCTGATAACTCCTCTAAATTCTAGACTGGTACATCTAATTGCCTCTTAATATCACCAGAGTATAAAATAGGAACCCCAAATTTAACATACCCCAAACCTGAGATTCCTCTTTCCTGCAAATCCTGACCTTACTCTGTGGAAGCTAGTTTCCAAGATGTCCTCAATGATCCCCACTTCCTAGTATTCACACCCTTATGTAGTCCTCTCCCACAATGAGTAAGGCTGACCTGTGTAAGCACTAGTATATTGCAGAAATGATGGTGTACAACTTCTGAGGCTGGGTCATAAAAAAGGTTACACGTTTTTTTGTTGTTGTTGTTGAGACAGAGTTTCACTCTTGTTGCCTAAGCTGGAGTGCAGTGGCGTGATCTCGGCTCACTGCAACCTCTGCCTCTCTGGTTCAAGTGATTCTCCTGCCTCAGCCTCCTGAGTAGCTAGGATTACAGGTGCCCACCACCACACCCGGCTAATTTTTTTTTTTTTGTATTTTTTAGTAGAGATGGGGTTTTACCATGTTGGCCAGGCTGGTCTTGAACTCCTGACTTCAGGTGATCCAACTGCCTCAGCCTCCAAAAGTGCTGGGACTACAGGCGTGAGCCACCATGCCTGGCCAAAGGTTATGGTTTCTACTTTGTTCTCTCAGCTCACTTGCAAGATCCAAGTGGGGGAAGCCAGTTGCCGTGATACAAGGACACACAAGCAACCCTACTGAGAGGCCCATGTGGTGAGGCACTGAGGCATCCTGCCAACAGCCCTATGAGTGAGCCCTTTAAAAGCAGATCCCCTGCTGGGCGTGGTGGCCCATGCCTGTAATCCCAACACTTTGGGAGGCCAAGGCGGGTGGATCACCTGAGGTCAGGAGTTTGAGACCAGCCTGGCCACGATGGTGAAACCCTGTCTCTACCAAAAATACAAAAAGTAGCCGGGTGTGGGGGCAGGCGCCTGTAACCCCAGCTACTCAGAAGGCTGAGGCAGGTGAATCACTTGAAGCCGGGAGGCAGAGGTTGCAGTGAGCTGAAATCGCACCATTGCACTCCAGCCTGGGTGACAGAGCGTGACTCAAAAAAAAAAAAAAAAAAAAAGTAGATCCCCGCGTGGCACCAGCCCTTCTGCCACAGCTGCCATTGGAGAGCAGCAGCCATGGCTCTGTGCTACCCACTATGGCCGTGTGCCTTGACAAGGGCCACAAGATGACCAAGAACATGAGCAAGCCCAGGCACAGCTGCCGCCGCGGGCGCCTGACCAAACACCAAATTCATGTGGGACATGATCCGAGAGGTGTGTGGTTTCGCCCCGTATGAGCGGCACGCCATGGTGTTACTCAAGGTCTCCAAGGACAAACGGGCCCTCAAGTTCATCAAGAAAAGAGTGGGGACGCACATCCGCACTAAGAGGAGGCAGGAGGAGCTGAGCAATGTCCCAGCCATCATGAGGAAAGCTGATGCCAAGAAAGACTGAGCCCCCTGTCCTGCCCTCTCTCTGAAATAAAGAACACCTTGACAGAAAAAAAATAAATTTAAACAACAAATAAGTAGGCCAGGCGCAGTGGCTCATGCCTGTAATCCCAGCACTTTGGAAGGCTGAGGCGGGTGGATCACAAGGTCAAGAGATCAAGACCATCTGGCCCAACAAGGTGCAACCCCGTCTCTACTAAAAATACAAAAAATTAGCTGGGCATGGTGGCACAGGCCTGTAATCCCAGCTACTCGGGAGGTTGAGGCAGGAGAATCACTTGAACCTGGGAGGCGGAGGTTGCAGTGAGCCAAGATCGCGCCACTGCACTCCAGCCTGGGCGACAAAGTGAGACTCTGTCTCAAGATAGACAGATAGATAGATAGATAGATAGATAGATAGATAGATAGATAGATAGATAGTAGATTCTTCAGTGCCCCATCAATCCTTAGATGACTGCAACCTCGTGAGATACCCTAATCCCGAATCACCCAAACAAGCCACTCCTAAATTCCTGACCCAGGGAAACTGAAAAAACACATTTTTATTGTATCAAACTACTAACTTTTGGAGTACTTTGTTACACAGCAGTGGATATCCAATAGCCACTCCTCCCTCCCACCAAAAAAACCTTCTCCTCCAGTCATCTCCATCTCAAGTCATTCATTTGCTCAGGCTGAAAGCGTTGGAATCAACAACCATGACTTTGCTCTCCTCCACTCCACATCCAGTCCTATAGCAAATTATGTTGGTTCCACTGGTGTCCTGCATTAATCTGCTGAAACAACGAATGATAAAACTCCCCACCAGAGTAATCTCTAAGGTGTTAGAAATCCCAGCTTTGAGGACAGTTTGCTGTGGTGGGAAACTGAGTTAACGAAGGGAATTGGGAAGCCACCAAGATAAAGGAAAGGAAGGTAAAAGTGGGTACCCACTCTGTACCAGGCATTTTACACATATGACTTCATTTGATCTTACAATTCCATGTGGTTGGTACTACTGTTTTATTACCACTTTCTAGCTGAAGCTCACAGACTGCAGGAGACAAAGCTAGATGTGAACCCAGGCAATCTGACTTGAGAACCTAAATTCTCATTAAACCACCTGCATTCCAAAGGGGAAGAGCATTAAGGGCTGAATTAAGCCAATGGGCTGGGAAAGCAAACACTCAAAGAAGCCTGGGTCCATCTAGACAGTTCTACCAAGGCAAGAGCACATAAGACCTATCTTCAAACCTCTGGTATTCAAACTACCATCTGCAGGTATTGAGGACCTCTGAGAATAATAGCCAGGTAGATTACCTGACTCGATATGTATAGAGGATTTTAGCTCACTCTGACTCTTACTAGCTGGGGGACCCTAGGCAAGTCACTTGACTTCTCTAGCTCTTAGTTGTTTAATGTATCACTATGCCTGCCACAGTTCACTTGCTAGCAGATAGGCTTGGGTACATCCAGCTTTGGGATCTGAGACCCGGCCCCCTCCCCTGGTTACCATGCCGCTCAGCCTCTGAGCTCACGGGGATGCCATCTTTATCTAGTCGTTGCTTGAACAGGTTGTGTTCCACATCCAGCTGCTGTTCTCCGGCCACATCCATGGCATCAATACTCAGATCTGGAAGCAGGAAAATCAGGCTAAGGTACTGGGACCCTAGGGACAAGGGGATGTGGGTTTTGGAGGGGAAGGGGATACTGGGCCTGTCTTGGGGCAGAACGGGATGAGGAGAAGGAGGTTGTCCTGGGGTCCAGTCCAGAACCTAAGGGTGGAGGTGTGAATCTGGCAGCCCACATGAGAACCCTGGGTCTCTCCAGTCCCACCCATGGTGAGGTACTCACAGGCACAAGGCATGTGCGGAAAAAGTACATCGATGTTGATCTTCAGTTTATCTCCCCGCGACTTGTCCACGTAGAGCTCAGGATGCACCTGGGGCAGCGCTACCTCAGTAAGACTTAGCCCCAAACCTCTCCTTCCCCACTCCCACCCCTAAAGGTCCTACTCCTAGAATGCCAAGCCCCGCCCACGCACTAAGCCCCGCCCCTTACCTCCGTGGTGAGGTAATACTGCAGCTCGGACAGGAACAGTAGCAGCATGAGAAGGCCACTGACAATGGTCACTGCAGGACAAGGGGCGAGGGTCAGAATGGCCTCGAATCCGCTCCCTCAGACACCGGCAGGCCAGTCAGAGTCCAGGAGCCCGGGCTAAGCTCTAGGACGCCCCCCTCCACGCGACCCCGGCCCCGCTGCGGCCTACCGGTGGCGCCCCCGCAGGTCTTGACCCGGAAGTCCTCCAAAGTCTTGGGGTAGGCATCGAACTGCTTCAGCTTCCCCAGCGCCTCCATGGGGACCGGCCGGAAAGGGGACGCCAGCCGGCCCGCCCCTACAGACTCCCTCTTCCGGCCTGGAGCCACGCCCCCCTCTTTTTCCTCACGCAGGCGCAGCAAACCGCACGCTTGGCCCCACCTTTAGCCGCGTTCTCTTACAGGCGGCCCCGCCCAACGATGCTGCCACGCCCCCTTGCGCGGGCAATTGGGTCTGGAAGCTACTGCCCCGGCCTCCGCTGTCCGGGGCGGGATTTTGAGGACTGGGGTGCGAGGAGTTCTCTGCGGGGTTAGAAACGCTAATAGCACCGTTCGTGTGCCTTGTGCTCGGAACTGCACCAGGTGTTTAAGACTCTTGGAACATCTTGGAATATCCTGGAACAGTGGTTTTTCGAGTGTACCGGACCGGCCGCATCATTATCAACTGATTACCTATTAGAAATGCAAATAATTGATTCCCACCTACTGAAGCCGAAACGCTAGGAATGGCATCGGATGATTCTGATGTAAAGTAAGGGTGTCCGCCCTGAAAGCAGGTGTGACTTATCTCCGTTTTCCAAAGAGCAAACTGTGACCTGGAGAAGTTAAATAACTTGCCCAAGATCACAGCCAATTAATAGCAGGACCTGCTTCCAGCCCAGTTCTTCTGGACCTCAAAGTACTCTGGGAATCAGGGTCTTTTGGGTTGATTTTACCTAAACAGCGTCCCAGTGCTTCTCCTGAGCGCTGCTTTCTGAATATTACCCTAAATTGCTCTCCAGGCCCTGGGATCCTCACGGACACGCTCTATCCCTCCAGGTTTAGACTCAAGTGATATGGAGCTTAAGCTCTCCCTGACACTTCCCATTGCAGCCCAGTGTCTCTAGAGGGACAGCTCCCACAGTAATGCAGCTGCAATGAGTAAGATATAAAAGCTCATAGGCTTTCATACAGGAATTCCACTTTAGGAAGTAAAAGCACCATGTCAAGGTTAATAGAAAAATTTTGAAAAAGAAAAAATATGTAAGCAGCTATCCAAGGTTAACAGAAAAAAATTTTAATATAAGGATAAAAGTACCATGATCTGGGTGGTTGTTACACCTTAAGATATTGAATCTGTCTCTTAAAGATTTTAAGTGCACCACATCATAAAGATGTATGCATGAGATTGTTCAATGGCAAAAATCTGGAACCAGCCAGAATGCCCACTGATACATTAAATAAATTGAATAAATCACGATACACCCATTCTATGGAATATTAGGCCACTTTTCAAAAGAATGAGGTAGATTTACTCCTTTAGGTATACTAAGAATGTATTTTTAAGGGGGAAAAGATGCAAAGTAATGTGCATTCCATCATTCCATTTTTTAATTAAAAATTGGGCTGGGCACAATGGCTCACACCTGTAATCACAGCACTTTGGGAGACCGAGGAGGATCACATGAGGCCAGGAGTCTAAGACCAGCCTGGGCAACACAGCAAGACCCCACTCTACAAAAACTTTAAAAACTACATCTGTAACCCTAGCACTTCAGGAGGCCGAGCCAGGAAGCATCACTTGAGTTCAGGAGTTTGAGACCAGCCTGGTCAACATGGTGAAACCCCATCTCTACTAAAAATACAAAAATTAGCCAGGCGTGGTAGTGTGCTCCTGTAAACCCAGCTACTTGTGAGTCCGAGGCAGGAGAATCGCTTGAACCTGGGAGGCGGAGGTTGCAGTGAGCCGAGATCATGCCATTGCATTCCAGCCTGGGCGACAGAGTGAGATTCTGTCTCCAAAAATAAAAATAAAAATAAAAAAATTAGCCAGGTGTGGTGGCATGCGTCTATAGTCTCAGCTACCTGGGAGGCTGGGGTTGAGCCCAGGAGAGTTTGAAACTGCAGTTGTTACCAGGTTACCTGCAGTTGTTACCAGCATAGAGTTGTCCAGGTTCTTGGCGTGTTGAACAAAACACATAAAGTAACAGAAGGGCAACGAAAGACAAACAGCAACAGAAGAACGGAATAACAAAAGCATAGATTTATTGAAGACGATTCATAGCGGCAGCTGGTTAGAGCAAGCTGCTCAAGAGCCTCCTCAATCAGGGTTTGTATTAAGCTAAAGGGACCTGGCAACACCCCTAGGTGCCCTTTAGAAGCCTCCAGTTGGCTACACCTATGAAGGATTGGCCTGCGACCAAATCAGAGGCTGAAGTGGAGACTTGGCCCACAGCCAATCAGAGGCTGAAGTGGAGATTTGGCCCCACGGTCAATCGGAGGCGGAAGTGGAAACTTCTGTCTCGTTATCATAGGATTGAAGATGTGGCCTGTATGCTGCCTAGAACTGGCTGCACCCCTTCATTTGCTTATGTCTTAACCCCCGGTTACCCTGATTCCCTGTTCTCCTGCCTCATAGTGAGCTGTGATTACACCACTGCACTACAGCCTGGGCGACAGAGCGAGTCTCTCTCTCTCTCTTTGTGTGTGTGCATATATATATATATAATATATATAAACTGTTATATATATTATATATATAAACTTATATATATTATATATATAAACTGTTATATATTTTATATATATAAACTGTTATATATATTATATATATAAACTGTTATATATATTATATATATAAACTGTTATATATATTATATATATAAACTGTTATATATATTATATATAAACATATATATAAACTTATATATATTATATATAAACTTATATATATTATATATATAAACTGTTATATATAAACTTATATATATTATATATAAACTGTTATATATAAACTGTTATATATAATATATAAACTTATATATTATATATATAAACTGTTATATATATTATATATATAAACTGTTATATATATTATATATATAAACTGTTATATATATATATATAAACTGTTATATATATTATATATATAAACTGTTATATATATATATAAACTGTTATATATATTATATATGTAGTTATATATAAATTGTTATATATGTAAAACATAGGCCGGGCGCTGTGGCTCACGCCTGTAATCCCAGCACTTTGGGAGGCCGAGGCGGGCGGATCACGAGGTCAGGAGATCAAGACCATCCTGGCTAACATGGTGAAACCCTGTCTCTACTAAAAATACAAAAAATTAGCCGGGCGTAGTAGCGGGCGCCTGTAGTCCCAGCTACTCGGGAGGCTGAGGCAGGAGAATGGCGTGAACCTGGGAGGTGGAGCTTGCAGTGAGCCGAGATTGCCCCACTGCACTCCAGCCTGGGCGACAGAGCCACACTCCGTCTCAAAAAAAAAACAAAAAAAAAAACCTAAATAAAAAAAAAATCTATCTATATATAAAAATCTTAATCTTATATGGGGGAATATGTATTTGTATAATCATGAGAAAAGATTTGGAAGGACTCATGCTACAACTTTGGGGACAACTGGAGGAGGACTTTTCACGGAAGCCAAAGTTTTTGGGTCTCCCTCAGCTAACAGGGTGGCAGAGGACACCTGGGATCTCCCTCTATTATCTGGGCTTCAGATTCCTGAGAGCACCAAGAATTCTATCAGAAATAGGTAATAAGGAATCTGCTGATGGAATTAAGTCTAAAGCTCTGCTACCCTAAGTGGGATCCTTGAACCAGAAACATTGGCCTTATCTGGGAACCTGTTAGAAATGCAGAATCCCAGTCCCCACCCCAAACCTGCAGAATCAGAATCTGCATTCTAACAAGACTCTCCAGATAATTAGCATGCACATTAAAGTGTGAGAAGTACTTTCCTGAAAGGTTCCTTGTTTTATTGCCCACATAGGACCAAAACCAGCAGCACAGGAAAAAAAAAATCTGAGTGCCTCAAATATTGCACTAAGCCCAGGCGCGGTGGCCCATGCCTGTAATCTCAGCACTTTGGGAGGCCAAGGCAGGTGGATCACTTGAGGTCAGGAGTTTCAGACCAACCTGGCCAACATAGCAAAATCCCATCTCTACCAAAAAATACAAAAACTTAGCTGGGTGTGGTGGCGGGTGCCTCTAATCCCAGCTATTCGGGAGGCTGAGGTGGGAGAATCGCTTGAACCCAGGGGTGGGGGGCAGAGGTTGCAGTGACCCGAGACCATGCCACTGCATTCCAGCCTGGGTGACAGAGTGAGACCCTGTATCAAAAATACTTTAAAAAAAAGGCCAGGGGTGGTGGCTCACGCCTGTAATCCCAACACTAGGGGAGGCCGAGGAGGCCAGATTACCTGAGGTCAAGAGTTCAAGACCAGCCTGGCCAACATGGTGAAACCCCATCTCTACTAAAAATACAAAAAATTAGCCGGGCGTGGTGGCGCATGCCTGTAATCCTAGCTACTTGGGAGGCTAAGACAGGAGAATCGCTTGAACCCAGGAGGTGGAGGTTGCAGTGAGCCAAGATCATGCCATTGCACTCCAGCCTGGAGGACAAGAGTGAAACTTTGTCTGAAAATTAAATAAAATAAATAAAATAAAATAAAAATTATTAAAAAATAAAAATTAAAAATTGCACTAAATTCAGATTTTAAAATGTAATATCCATGTATGCAAGCAACACTCAAATATACACACACACACACTGTGTCCCTGCCCTGTGTTGAGTCCTGGGAAGAGAGAGTTGAATTAGAACAGTTCTTGCCTTCAAGAATGTTACAGTCCTGGCTGGGCACGGTAGCTCACGCCTGTAATCCCAGCACTTTGGGAGGCCGAGGAGGGTGGATCACCAGGTCAGAAGTTTGAGACCAGCCAGGCCAGAAGACCAGCCTGGCCAATATGGTGAAACCCCGTCTCTACTAAAAATACAAAAATTAGCTGGGCATGGTGGTGGGCGCCTGTAATCCCAGCTACTCAGGAGGCTGAGGCAGGAGAATTGCTCGAACCCGGGAGGCAGAGGTTGCAGTGAGCCGAAGATTGTGCCATTGCACTCCAGCCTGGGCAACAGAGCGAGACTCCGAATCAAAAAAAAAAAAAGAAAGAAAGAAAGTTACAGTCCTAATTATGGATATTAATATATCCCTTAATAAAATAATAAAAATAAAAATAATAGCTAATAATAATAATTTTTTAAAATAGCTAGCATTGGCCGGGTGCAGTGGCTCACACCTGTAATTCCAGCACTTTGGGTGTCAGAAGTGGGAGGATCACAAGGTCAGGAGTTTGAGACCAGCCTGACCAGCATAGTGAAACCTTGTCTATACTAAAAATACAAAAAATTAGCCAGGCATGGTGGCGTGCACTTGTAGTCCCAGCTACTTGGGAGGCTGAGGCAGGAGAATGGCTTGAACCCGGCAGGCAGAGGTTGCAGTGAGCCAAGATCGCATCACTGCACTCCAGCCTGGGTGACAGAGGGAGACTCCATCTCAAAAAAAAAAAATACCTAGCATTTGTCAAGCCACTACTATGTGGCAAATATGGTGGTAAACTCTTTTTTTTTTTTTGAGACAGATTCTCATTCTGTTACCCAGGCTGGAGTGCAGTTGTGCAATCTCAGTTCACTGCAACCTCCACCTCCCAGTTCAAGCGATTCTCATGCCTCAGCCTCCCGAGTAGTGGGATTACAGGCGTCCACCACCACACCTGGCTAATTTTTTATATTTTTGGTAGAAATGGGGTTTCACCATGTTGGCCAGGTTGGTCTCGAACTCTGACCTCAAATGATCTGCCCGCTTTGGCCTCCCAAAGTGCTGGGATTACAGCCATGAGCCACCGCACCTGCCCTGTTGTAAACTCTTTTATCTTCACCTATATCATGTCAGTTCATCTTCACAACAACCTTAGGCCGGGCACAGTGGTACACACCTATAGTTCCAGCTACTTGGGAGACTGAGGCAGGAGAGGGAGGATCACTTAAGCCCAGGAGTTTGAGACCAGCCTGGGCAATATAGCAAGACCCTGTCTCTAAAAACAAAACAACAACAAAAACAACAACCTTAGATGCTAACTGCTATTATTATCCCTGATTAAAAGCTTTGAGTGGCTAATAAGCTAATATCTAAACTCCAGTCTGTTTTATTTCAAAGTGCATAGCTCAAATCATTCAATGACTTAAGATCAAAACTTTGATAAGAGGTGGCACAGGGGGACCATGGGAGTCTGTAAGGGAAGGTGACTAACATGCTGGGTTAGGGAATGCTTCCATAAAAAGGAAGAGGAGGGACCCTGGAGTTGGGTGACTGTGGCAGCCTGACCGCAGCTCACCAAGGAAGGAGCAAAGACAAGGAGAAACTAATACTAACTGAACATGGACAATATGCCCATTGCTGTAATCCATTTCACCCTCAAAACAACGTGGGAGTTAGGTGCTTTTTTTTTTTTTTTGAGACAGAGTTTCGCTCTGTCACTCAAGCTAGAGTGCAGTGGCGTGATCTTGGCTCACTGCAACGTCTGCCTCCCAGGTTCAAGCAATTCTCATGCCTCAGCCTCCTGAGTAGCTGGGATTACAGGTGCACACCACCATGCCCAGCTAATTTTTGTATTTTTTGTAGAGATGGGGTTTTGCCACGTTGGCCAGGCTGGTTTCTAACTCCTGGCCTCAGGCAATCCACCTGCCTCAGCCTCCAAAAGTGCTGGTATTACAGGCATGAGCCAGCGCATGCGCAGCCTAGGTGCTACTTCAAGTCTCATTTTATAGATGAGGAAGCCAAGAGGTGAACTGACTTTCCCAAGATGGCAGGCGCACGCCTGTAATCCCAGCTACTCAGGAGGCTGAGGCAGGAGAATCGCTTGAACCTGGGAGGTGGAGGTTGCAGTGAGCCGAGATTGCACCACTGCACATCAGCCTCGGCGACAGAGCGAGACTCCATAGAAAAAAAAAAAAAAAGTGAAAGTACATTTCAAAGAATTTCTAGAAATGAAAAATAGTCATTTAAGTTTAAAAACCAGTAGAAGGGCTAAACAACCAATTAGGCACAGTTAAAGAGAGAAATATTGGCCGGGTGCAGTGGCTCACACCTGTAATCCCAGCACTTTGGGAAGCCAAGGCAGGTGGATCACCTGAAGTCAGGAGTTTGAGACCAGCCTGGCCAACATGGTGAAACCCCATCTCTACTAAAAATACAAAAATTAGCCAGGCATGGTGATGAACGTCTGTAATACCAGCTACTTGGTAGGCTAAGGCAGGAGAACTGCTTGAACCTGGAAGGTGGTTGCAGTGAGCTGAGATGGGGCCACTGTACTCCAGCCTGGGCAACAGAGTGAGAACTCCGTCTCAAAAAAAAAAAAAAAAGAGAGAGAGAGAGAGAAATATTGAACAGAAAGATGGAGCTGAAAAACATTACCCATAATGTAATATAGAGAAATAAAATCATAGATGTAAAAGAGAGATTCAGATACTTGAAGGATAGAAAGAAAAACAATCCAACATTTGCCTAATAGGAGTTTCCTAATAGGAGGAAATACTGAGAATAAGGGAGAGGCAATATTTGAAAGAAATGGCTGAGAATTACCCAGAATTGATGAAAGGCAAGAGTTCTCATATTTAGGAAGCCTGAATGTACTGTAACAGGATAAATGAACATATATTCATACCTAAACACCAGAACAGCAAAAGCAAAGAAATGCTAAGATCTGGAAAAAATGGGTAGTGGGGATATGAATGTCATGTAATTGATTCTAGTCTTATTCAATGTATTATTCACTAGAGTATGCTTGGAATGATGAATGTGTTCTGAGACTAGATAGTGATGATGGTTGCACATTAAAAAAATGGATAAAATGCAATGAGAACACATGGACACAGGGAGGGGAACAACACACACTGGGGCCTGCCTGGTGGGCAGGCCAGTGGGAGGGAGCGCATCAGGATAGCTAATGCAGGCAGGGCTTAATGCCTACGTGATGGGTTGATAGGTGCAGCAAACCACCATGGCACACATTTACCTACGTAACAAACCTGCACATGTATCTCGGAACTTTCTTTTTTTTTTTTTTTTTCTGAGATGGAGTCTGTCACCAGGCTGGAGTGCAGTGCCTCGATTTCAGCTCACTGCAACTTCCGCCTCCTGGGTTCAAGCGATTCTCCTGCCTCAGCCTCCTGAGTAGCTGGGATTACAGGCACGCGCCACTATGCCCAACTAATTTTTGTATTTTTAGTAGAGATGGGGTTTCACCATGTTGGCCAGGATGGTCTCAATCCCTTGACCTTGTGATCCCCCTCCCCTGTCTTGGCCTCCCAAAGTGTTGTGATTACAGGCGTGAGCCACTGCTCCTGGCCTGTATCCTGGAACTTAAAATAAAATTTTATATATATTATATAAAATAAAAATATATATATATACACACACACACACACACACACACACACACACACATATATATATATATATTTTTTTTTTTTTTTTTTTGAGACAGAGTCTCATTCCATTGCCTAGGCTGGAGTACAGTGGTGCGATCTCAGGTCACTGCAACCTCTGCCTCCTGGGTTCAAGCAATTCTCCTGCCTCAGCCTCCCAAGTAGCTGGGATTACAGGCACACACCGCCACGCCTGGCTAATTTTTGTATTTTAGTAGAGACAGGGTTTCACCATATTGCCCAAGCTGGTCTTGAACTCCTGAGCTCAGGCAATCCGCCTGCCTCAGCCTCCCAAAGTGCTAGGATTACAGGCATAAGCCACCACACCCGGCCAAAATATTTTTAAAATGGTTAAAATGGTAAATTTTATGAGTTTACAAAAATTTTAAAAATTATACCAGTTGGCCAGGCACAGTGGCTCATACCTGTAATCCCAGCACTTTGGGAGGCCAAGGCAGGCAGATGACAAGGTCAAGAGATTGAGATCATCCTGGTCAACATGGTGAAACCCTGTCTCTACTAAAAATACAAAAATTAGCTGCGCGTGCTGGCTCGGACCTGTAGTCCCAGCTACTCGGGAGGCTGAGGCAGGAGCATCTCTTGAACCCGGGAAGCAGAGGTTGCAGTGAGCTGAGATCATGCCACTGCACTCTAGCCTGGCAAAAGAGCAAGGCTCCATCTCAAAAAAGAAAAAAAAATTGTAGCAGTTGATGTAAATGAAATAGCAATAAAACTTGCTATACATCTTTTCCTAAATGATTTTTTTTCTTTGAGACAAGGTCTCACTCTGTCACTCAGGCTGGAGTGCAGTGGTGCAATCACATATCACCGAAGCCTTGACTTCCTGGGCTCAAGTATTCCCTACCTCAGTCTCCTCCTGAGTAGCTGGGACCACAATGGCCAATTTTTATATTTTTTATAGAGATAGGGTCTCCCTACGTTGCCCAGGCTGGTAGATAATTTTTAAAACCTTTTCATTTTGAAAAAACCATAGGCACACAAGAAATTGTAAAAATAGTACAGAAAATTCCCATGTACCCATCATCCATTTTCCCATTTTATTCTTTATTTTTGCTTTATTTTTTTTTTTTAGAGACAGAGTCTTGCTCTGTCACGCAGGCTGGAGTGCAGTGCTGCTATCATAACTCACTGCAGCCTTTAACTCCTGGACTCAAGTGATCCTCCCACCTGAACCTCCCAAGTAGCTAGGAATAAAGGCGCACACCACCAAGCCCAGCTAATTTTGTGTGTGTGTGTGTGTGTGTGTGTGTGTGTGTGTGTGTGTGTGTGTAGAGTCTTGCTGTGTTGCCCAGGCTGGTCTCAAACTCCTGGCTTCAAGCTTCAAACCCCACCTTGGCCTCCCAAAGTGCTGGGATTACAGGCACGAGCCACTGTGCCTGGCCTTCATTTTCTCTTAATGGTAGTGTCTTACCATATAATACATATAGTAATTTTTCTTTTTCTTTTTTTGAGACAGAGTTTCACTCTTTTTGCCCAGCTAAAATCACATTCAGTGGTGCGATCTCGGCTCACCGCAACCTCCGCCTCCCGGGTTCAAGCAATTTTCCTGCCTCAGCCTCCCGAGTAGCTGGAATTACAGGCATGCGCCACCATGCTTGGCTAATTTTGTATTTTTAATAGAGACAGGGTTTCTCCATGTTGGTCAGGCTGGTCTCGAACTCCTGACCTCAGGTGATCTGCCCACCTTGCCTCCCAAAATGCTGGGATTACAGGCGTGGGCCACCGCGCCCAGCCCATATGGTACTTTTTCAAAACCTGGAACTTGACGTTGGTATGATATAATTAACTAGCCTACACACCTTACTCAGATATTTGGGTGAATTGATTTAAAAGCTATACAATATCCAGTGCAGCTTTCCACTAGTTAAGATGAAGAATTTTACTGTTCTTATCCCATTGAATAAAATGTTTTGATTTTTTTTAAAAACCAAAATGTTCTGTTTTTTTCTTAAACTTTAAAAACAACTCAAACATTTTCATTTTTTTACTATCTTTACAAGACTACAATTGAATTAAGGGGGTGGCAGTGGAGATGAAGAAGATGACTTAGAAATAGAAACGAATTAAAAAATGGATTTGAGGCCAGACTCAGTGGCTTATGCCTGTAATCTCAGCACTTTGAAAGGCCGAGGAGGGTGGATCACTTGAGCTGAGTTCGAGACAGGGCTGGCACAGTAAACCCCATCTCTACTTAAAAAAAAAAATCAGCAAGGCTCGGTGGCTCACGCCTGTAATTCCAGCACTTTGGGAGGCCGAGGTGGGCGGATTGCTTGAGACCAGGAGATGGAGACCAGCCTAGCCAACACAGTGAAACCCCGTTTCTACCAAAAAAATACAAAAATGAGCCAGGTGTGGTGTTGTGCGCCTGTAGTCCCAGCTACCTGGGAGGCTAAGGCATGAGAATCACTTGAACCTGGGAGGTAGAGGTTGCAGTGAGCCAAGATTGTGCCACTGCACTCCAGCCTGGGCGACAGAGTGAGACTCTGTTTCAAAAATAAATTAAATAAATAAATAAGCCTAGCGTGGTGGCACACTTCTGTAGTCCCAGCATCTTGGCAAGCTGAGGTGAAAGGATTGCTTGAACCTTGGAGGCAGAGGCTACAGTGGGCTAAGATTGTGCCACTGCACTCCTGCCTGGGTGACAGAGTGAGACTTTGTCCTAAAAAAAAAAAAAAAAAAAGAATTTGGGTATCATAGGAGTAGGAGGAATTAATAACACATGAGTTCTGGTTTCAATAACTGGGTACGTGGTGGAACCATTTGTTGAGATAGAGAAGTTTTGAAGCTGGGTGCAGTGGCTCACGCCTGTAATCCCAGTACTTTGGGAGGCCGAGGTGGGCAGATTACCTGAGGTCAGGAGTTTGAGATCAGCCTGGCCAACATGGTGGAATCCCGTTTGTACCAAAAATACAAAAAATTAGCCGGGCTTGGTGGCACGCACCTGTAATCCCAGCTATTCGGGAGGCAGAGGCAGGAGAATTGCTTGAACCCCGGAGGAGGCAGAAGTTGCAGTGAGCTGAGATTGCGCCACTGCACTCCAGCCTGGGTGACAGAGCAAGACTCTGTCTCAAACAAAACAAAAGAGACAGAGAAGTTTTGGGAAGGGTTGGTTTACAGGGAAAATCCTGGGTTCAGTCTCAGGCTTATTCAGGTGAGATGTCTCTGAGCCATCTAAGTGGCAATTCAGTAGGCTGTTGGATATGGGGTCTAGAGACTACAAGAGAGGATTGAGTTGATGTCACACAACTCCAGAGAGGGCATCACACACAAGTATATTTAAAGTTCCAGGCTGGGGCGGGGTGCAGTGGCTCATGCCTGTAATCCCAACACTTTGGGAGGCCAAGGCGGGCGGATCACCTGAGGTCAGAAGTTCGAGATCAGTCTGACCAACATGGGGAAACCCCGTCTCTACTAAAAATACAAAAAAATTAGCCAGGCGTGGTGGCGGGCACCTGTAATCCCAGCTACTTGGGAAACCGAGGCAAGAGAATCACTTAAACCCGGGAGGTAGAGGGTGCAGTGAGCCGAGATCGTGCCTCTGCACTCCAGCTGGGGCGACAAGAGTGAAACTCCGTCTCAAAATAATAATAATAATAATAATAATAATAATAATAATAATAATAATTTAAAAATAAAGTTCCCGGCTGGGCATGGTGGTTCACGCCTGTAATTCCAGCACTTTGGGAGGCTGAGGTGGGCGGATCACTTGAGGTCAGGAGTTTGAGACCAGCCTGGCCAATATGGCGAAACCCTGTCTCCACTAAAAATATAAAAATTAGCCAGGCGTGGTGGCGCATGCCTGTAGTCCCAGCTACTTGGGAGGCTGAGGCATGAGAATCGCTTGAACCAGGCAGGCGGAAGTTGCAGTGAGCCAAGATCATGCCACTGCACTCCAGCCTGGACAACAGAGCAAAAACTCCATCTCAAAAAAAAAAAAAAAAGTTCCCTCTCAACCCCTGTTTATTTATCCCATAAATATTTATTAAATGATTCTAAGTCTTAGAGCTGCAGAGGTGAAGAAGAGAGACTAGGTCAGCCCCTGTCCTCATGAATCTTACATCCAGTGGAGGTCATTTCGGTGTCAGAGAAAGGGTAGGGTGGTGGCTTTTTTCAGGCAGGCTAAAGGAGGGAGGTCACAATGTGTACTTTGTGATGAGATCTATGATATAACTGGGATGACAGCAAGGCCCCCACTGAGGTATTCCTTCCCCTCTCAGGACTAGCCACATGCTGTCTCTCTGCCCTGGCCTCTTCCACCCCATGCCCAGTCAGAGACCGTTTTGAGGGTGAGCAAATGGATAGTGAGGCAGGAGAGGAGGGGTTGGAAGGAGGTGGAAGGTGGTGGGATGGGGAGTTGTGGAGGCCGACAGGACAGAGGGAAGCTGGTGCTGTCTGTGGCCTCAGCCCCTCATCCTTACAGGTAGAGAAGCCAGTCTACGGCCCACCACGGGAGCCACCGCCTGGGCCAGACATGAAGCGCTGGCAGATTTTTGTCCTGTGGGTCTTTTGGGTGCTCATCCTCTGGCTGATGACCCCCTATCTGGATCTGACACCTGAATCAGCACCCCAGGAAAAACGAATGTACTTGGTACCACAGCATTGCGACTGCCCTTGGTTCAGTTCCGGGAAGTGTGGCTGCCCTTCTGAGACCCTCAACTGCTCCTCCTGCCACCACACAGCCGACGAATGGAACTGGCTTGATGCGTGCTCCAGGAAGACTATGGGGTACCTGATGAGGACAAGAGAGTCTATGACCTCTGACACTGTGCTCTGGTGGTTGGTCAGTGGTCAACACTGGGCCCGGCCATATCCCCCATGCTTTCCGGGCCTCACCCATCTCCCACTTTCCGCCCAAATCCCTGCCCTTGGCCCTGTCTTCACAGCCTCTGGATGGAGATCTCACCCACCCAGCTCTGTTTTCTCTCCCCTGGGCCCAGCCCCCAATCTCCCTCTTGCTGTTTCCAGGGCATGAACTCAGGGAGCGAGCTTGGGAAATTGTGGAGGAAGCTGTTTAAAGGGATTCCCAGGCTCTCGGTGAGCCATTTTGATTTCTATTGTGGGACTTGTGTGCTGTTGGGGCGCCCACAGATCCCGCAGGGCTCCAGCCTTGGCAACGACATCGACCAATACCCCGTGGTTTTCAGGTGGGTGCTGGGGAGAGGGCGGGAGCAGGAAGGCCAGGCCTGCCCCACAGTTCCATCAGTTTCTGCTCCCCTTCCCAAGATGAAGCAGGCCCCAAGTCCAGGGCTTTGAGATGGACGTGGGGAACCAAACCACACACAATGCTTCATCTATCCCAGGAATGCCAGCGACCAGGGCTCCTGGATGCAGCTGGAGATGCTACTGCGGAAGCTCTCTGACCTGGTGTGGACTTCAGATGCTCTAAGTGATAAGGTGATGGAGGTGTCCCCAGACATTCTCTGTGTGGGGGTGAGGGGAGGTCACTGCAGGGAGTAACAGCAGGGGCTCTGGGAAGACCTTCTATTGGCTTACTGGGGACACTTGCAGGACTTTCCCAGGTCTTGTGGCCCAAACTCCCCCACCTCCAATTCTTTCTCAGATTTTGGAAGATGGTCTGGTTCCCTAGTGGAGTGGAAGATAGCAAAGACACGGTGAGGGGGAATAGGAAAAGGGGTAGGATGTGGCTGTGGGTTGCTGTGGGAAGGGCCCCAGGTCAGTTCCCTCCCCCTTCCTCCCCAGGTGCAACCAGGACAACTGGCTGTCTTACCAGGGTCAGGGTCATCCCTGGGGCCCAAGGCTTTGTTCTGTGTCTTGCACAACTGTGCCCCGGCAGGAAAGATTCTTGTATCTTCTTCTCTTAAAATTCCTGCTCCTCAATGCCTTCAGCATGGAGTCTAAAGTTTTCTGCCTGGCTTTCAAGACTCTACATGTAGGCCAAGCGTGGTGGCTCATGCCTGTATCCCAACACTTTGGGAGGCTGAGGCGGGTGGATCATGAGGTCAGGAGTTCGAGACCAGCCTGGCCAATATGGTCAAACTCCATCTCTACTAAAAATACAAAAAATAGCCAGGCATGGTGGTAGCCTCATCTCTACTAAAAATGCAAAAAATAGCCAGGCATGCCTGTAGTCCCAGCTACTCGGGAGGCTGAGGTAGAAGAATCGCTTGAACCCGGGAGGCAGAGGTTGCAGTTAGCCGAGATTGCGCCACTGCACTCCAGCCTGGTGACAGAGCGAGACTCCATCTCAGAAAAAAAAAAGACTATACATGTTCTGACTCCTCCCCTTGCCTCCTGTCTCCCAGGCTCCCATAATGGGCTCTTAGAATTCCCCAGACACATGAGCTGCCTCATGCCTTCTCTCGCACCATTCCGTTTGCCTGGAATGCCCTTCTCTTACGTCCTGGGGGTTCCCCTCTCTTCCTCCAATACCATGAGGAAAAGTGAGTTGACATTCTCTTTTTTGGGATCCTCAGTGACTCTAGGAGAGTGTCCAGAGTCTGTTTCCTGGAGGTGAGCTCCAGTCTCCTCCCAGCTCCCAGGGACAACCTGTCATCCTAGATGCTGAGTGAAGGGAGGCAGGGGTGAGGACAGGAGTCTGCCTGCTGACGCACATGTCCCTCTCTTATCCACTAGGTCACCCTCTTTGGATTTGGATCAGAATAGCAAGGAAAGTGTTTCTATCACTGGAAGGAGGATAATCAGACCAAGGGCTCCAAGGAAATACTGCCCACGTCTAGTGCAGGAGCAGAAATCGAAGTCATCCATCAGCTAGCGTGTGGACAAGCTCACTATTCACACAAGCTCAGCCTAGCTGAGTCCATACAAATCCTATTTCTGGGTGGGTAAAGGGCAGGAGGAAATTGTAAGATCAGTCTGGTACTGAATAAAATCCTGGCCTGATTGTCTTACCTGTAACCACAGTGTCTGGGAGGGATGGGCCAGAGGTGCCTTCCAGATCTCAGGGGCAATATTTGAGTTGATTTCTTTGCCTAGTGCCCTGGATCATGTAGGAGGTATAAGTTTAGATTCAATTTCATGCCAAGTGCAAACCCAGACTTTGAGTTGTTGGGGGAGGCTCTTTACCCACTTCGATAAAAGAAGTAAACCTCCTTGTTTCACCCATGCCGGAGGGTGAGGGTTGTTTTTTGTTTTTTGTTTTTTTGCCCAGCTTTTCACAGAAGGTTTAGCATTTTGAGGTTCCCAGTTTTTTTAGGTGCCTCAGTTCCAATTCGCTTTTTTTTTTTTTTTTTTTTTTGAGACAAGAGTTTGCTGTGTTGCCCAGGCTGGAATGGAGTGGCACAATCATGGCTTATTGCAGCCTCGACCTCCTGGGCTCAAGTGATCCTCCCACCTAAGCCCCCTGAGTAGCTGGGACTATAAATGCATGTCACCACACCCAGTTAATTTTAATTTTTGTTTTTGTAGAAAGGGGGTCTTGCCATGTTGGCCAGGATGGCCTTGAACTCCTAGGCTCAAGCAATCCTACTGCCTTGGCCTCCCAAAGTGCTGGGATTACAGGTGTGAGTCACTGTGCCTAGCACTTACCGTGTCACTTCTGCAGCATTCCATTGGTCAGATCAAGTCATAAAGTGATCCAAGATCCAAGAAGTGGGGAAATGAACTGCTCTTCCTAATGGAAAGAGCTGAAGAGAATCTGCCATAATGAGACTACCACAGTGTCAAGGGCCCAGTTGTGTTGGCAGCAGTGGTGGCATTCCAGGTGGGCCATTCCTGGGGTAGTCTTTGGCCATGTTTTGCATCTCATGATAGACTGAGCCTGGTTCTCTAGCTTTTGCATCATCCTGTAAACTACTAAATATTTAGCCGGCGAATTGTTTTTCTCTGAAGTTTACCAGTCTGTTGACCAAGACCAAGAATCCAACTGCTACAGTTAACAAAGAATAAAAAATCAGACTTTTGGCTGGGCACAGTGGCTCAGACCCAGCATGTTGTGAGGCTGAGGCAGGAGGACTGCTTGTGCCTGGAAAATTTCTGCATAATTCACCCCTTAATTTGCATGTAGTTAAAAGTGGGTATAAATAGGATTGCAGAGCTGCTGCTGAGCTGCTAACTCTGGGCACACTGCCTATGGGGTAGCCCTGTCCACAAGAAGCAGTGTACCTCTGCTGCTGCTGTGCAATGCTGCTTCAATACAGTTTGCTAACACCACTGGATCGCATCAGGGCAAAGCCAAGAACCCTCTCAGGCTAAGCCCCAATTTTGGGGATTGCCTGCCCTGCATCAGAGGCATCACTCCAGTCTCTACCTCCAACTTCACATGGCATACTCCCCTGTGTCTTCTGTTTCCAAATTTCCCTCATCTTTTTTTTTGAGATGGAGTCTTGCTCTTGTCACCCAGGCTGGAGTGCAGTGGCATGATCTCAGCTCACTGCAACCTCTGCCTCCCAGGTTCAAGCAATTCTCCTGCCTCAGCCTCTCGAGTAGCTGGGATTACAGGTGCCCGCCACTACGCCTGGCTAATTTTTTGTATTTTAGTAGAGACTGGGTTTCGCCATGTTGGCCAGGCTGGTCTCAAACTCCTGGCCTCAAGTGACCTGCCTGCCTTGGCCTCCCAAAATGCTGGGATTACAGGCATGGGTCATCACGCCCGGCCAATTTCCCTCATCTTATAAACACACTAGTCATTGGATTAGGGCCCATTCTCATCCAGCATGATCTCATTTTAATTTCATTGTATCTGCAAAGGCCCTACTTCCAAATAAGGTCACATTTATAAGTATCAGGGGTGAGAACATAAAGATTTTTTTTTTTTAAAGTAACACAATTCTACCTCCTGCAAGCAGAATAATGGCGTTTCTAGACATGCAAACTTAGAATGTTTTATCTCCTACACACCCTTTCTTAGAAAGTTACCACGAACAAAAGGCCGGGCACAGTGGATCATGCCTATAATCCCAGCACTTTGGGAGGCCAAGGTGGGTGGATCACCTGAGGTCAGGAGTTCGAGACCAGCCTGACTGATATGATGAAACCCCGTCTCTACTAAAAATACAAAAATTAGCCAGGCATGGTGGTGCACGCCTGTAATCCCAGCTACTCAGGAGGCTGAGACAGGAGAATTGCTTGAACCCGGGAGGCAGAGGTTGCAGTGAGCCGAGATCATGCCATTGCACTCCAGCCTGGGCAACAAGAGCGAAATTCTGTCTCAAAAAAAAAAAAAAAATTATCATGAACAAAAAAAGGTAGTCTTAGTTCATTTACAAACTCTATAGGAAATATTTATCTAGTTACAATAATGTAAACACTAATAGTAGATTGTTGACTTTTAGAATTAAATTAGCCTGTATTTCTGTACCATCCAATATGATGGATGAGCACTTGAAATGCGGCAAATGCAAGTGAGGAAGGAATTTTTAAATTTATTTTAATTAATCTAAATTTCAAAACAATTCAGTTCTTAGAAAACTTTTCACTATGCTTATTGTAACTTGGGTATGTAAATCTTTTTTGACTGTAAAATTTTATGAAATTTATAAATCATGTATTTCTGACAAAACGCTTTGAATTTAGATACACTATAAGTGTAAGATATACACTGGATTGGCCGGGCGCAGTGGCTCAAACCTGTAATCCCAGCACTTTGGGAGGCAGAGGCAGGCAGATCACTTGAGCTCAGGAGTTTGAGACCAGCCTGGCCAACATGGTGAAACCCCGTCTCTGCTAAAAGTAAAAAAAAAATTAGCCGGGCACAGTGGTGTGCACCTGCAGTCCCAGCTACTTGGGAGACTGAAGCAAGAGAACCATTTGAACCCAGGAGGCGGGGGTTGCAGTGAGCCAAGATCTGGGCAACAGAGCAAGATTCCATCTCAAAAAAACAAACAAACAAAAACCACAAAAAAACAGTTCTTAAAAAGAAAAAGTCGACCCCTGAGAGGTGTTAAGGGCTAAAGGTATCAAATATTCTCTTTCATCAGTATAGTAAATTCTCTTCAGAAGATTCCAGGTGGCCCTTCTTGAACTCACGGGCTCAAGTGATCCTCCTGCCTTGGCCTCCCAAAGCTCTGAGATTACAGGTGTGAGCCATCGCCAAGGTGGCCCTTCTGTTTCCCTCTTTGCCTCCTGCTCACCCACCCCAGCCTGGATACAACCTCTCCCTCTGTGCCCTCCTGTCCCCTGGACCCTTGACTACCACACCTCCCTGGTCATCTGGGCACTGGGCTGAATGCCAAGGTGAAGGAGGGGCCTTGGTGGAGTAGGTCACAACGTGGCCTCTGTGATGAGTCCCTGATATCACTGGGCTGGCACAGAAGACCCCATTAGGAATCAGTTTCCTCAGGGAGGCCACAGAACACAAAAAGTGTCCTCTCTCCCTTTCTTTCTGCCTCTAGGCCAGGCTTTGGCAGTTCCAGTAGTGATCAGTAGGTGGCCAGGGAGGCAGGAGCGAGGTTTTGGGAGGAGGTGTAATGTCAAGGGTTGGGAGAGGGATGGAAGCCATTAAGATGGGGGATGCTGGGGACTTCTGTGGCCCCAGCCTCTTCTTCCCGGTGCCAGGTGTCGGGGCCAATCTACTGTCTGCCAGGGGCACCATCATCAGGGCCAGAGATCATGATTCGATACAGGAGTTTGGGCCTGGTGGCTGCCTATGTCCTTTCATTGTGGCTGATCACCTCCTTCCTACACCAGCACTCCAGCCAGAAGGACCTCCGTAATATGGCCAAGATACACCCAGGAATCTGCCACCATCCCAGCAACTTTTCCAGAAAATGCAACTGCTCATCTGAGGTCCACACATGCTCTGCCTGCCTCCACGTGCCTGGCGAGTCTGACTGGTTTGACAGACGCTTCGACAGTACCGTTGAACCCCTACAGAGGCCACAAGATCCCACGTCCAATGATGCTCTGATATTGTGGCTGGTCAGTGCGCAAACTTGGTCTTTGTCCAGTCCCTGACCCAACCCCAGGTCCTAGCCATCTCTCCATCAAGGCCCCAGGCTCTAACCTTCTTCCACAGGTAGGTGGAACCTGGGTCAAGCCCCTAAATTCTTCCCTCCTATGCTCCTAGGGACTCGAGAGGGTCAAGTCAGAGAAGGAGGTTGAGAATAAGCAGCAGCAGCTGATTAAAGCACCTCCCCTGTGCCCACTGGGCCATGTGGTGTCCAACTGCCGGGTCTGTGCAGTGGTGGGAAACTCAAGGTCTCTATGGAGCTCTGGCCTTGGCTTCAGGATTAATCAACATGAAGTGGTCCTCAGGTGGGTGCAGGGTAGGAGGTGGAGACGAAGACCAAGCCGAAGCCTTTTCCTCCTCTAAATGACCATCCTAACTTCCTTTTCAGGATGAACCAGGCCCCTGTCTGAGGCTTTGAGGCAGATGTGGGGAACAGGACCACCATGCGCGTTATGTACCCTGGGATTGCCAGCCCTCAGGACCCCGGTACCCAACTGCTGCTGCTTCCGTTGAATTCATCTGGTCTGGAGTGGTTCATAAGTGTACTGCATAAACAGACAAGCATGTGGAAGCAAAAAAAACCCTGGGTATGTCAGGGAGTGAGGTCACTGTAGGGAGTGACAGAGGTAACTCCAAAGAGACCCTGGCTGGATACTGGGGCACCCCCAAGGCTTACTTAAGGCTGAAGTCTGCTTGTCAAATGACTCTGAAATCCTCCCAAACCTCAATTTCTTTTTAGATTTCAGACGGTTCAGGTTCCTGGTGGAACCGAAGACAGCAAAGATAAGGTGAGGGTCCCAGGAAGGAAAGGGGAAAGTGGTAGGACAACATGATAGTGGGTAGCCATGGGACAGGCTTCAGGTCAGTCCCTTTCTCCATCTTCCTAGGTGCTGGTGATCAGCCTCTACTTCCTCAGGTATATCCAGGAAAGTTGGCTGGAGAACCATGGTCAGTATCCGTCCTTGGAGTTTGTGGCTCTGTTGTATGCCTTGCATACCTGTGACCAGGTAAGATATCTCCTGCAACTCACGGACTTTCACTCCTCTGCCACTCAAAATTTCTGTCTTCTTGGCTGGGCATGGGGGCTCACGCCTGTAATCCCTGCACTTTGGGAGGCTGAGGCGGGCTGATCACCTGAGGTCAGGAGTTCGAGACCAGCCTGACCAACATGGAGAAACGCCGTCTCTACTAAAAATACAAAATTAGCCAGGCGTGGTGGCGCATGCCTGTAATCCTAGCTACTTGGGAGGCTGAGGCAAGAAAATCGCTTGAACCTGGGAGGCGGAGGTTGCGGTGAGCCAAGATCATGCCACTGTACTCCAGCCTGGGCAACAAGAGCAAAACTCCATCTCAAAAAAAAAAAAAAAATCTGTCTTCCCAAGGACTTCCCGTTAAATCTAAAACTTTCTGCCTAGCTTTCAACACCCTACATGATCTGACCCCTCTCCTCTCTCCCTCTCCTCTCTCCCAGATTCCCGCACTGGACTTCTTGGGGTTCTCCAAACATACCAGCTGCCTCACGCCTTCTCACACCTTGCTCCCTCTGCCTGGAATGCCCTTCCCTTGTCTCCCAGGGGAATCCTCTCTTCTCTCAATATATAATGAAGAACAACTAGTTGGTGCTCTCTTTTCTGGGCTCTGGGGTCACTATGAGTATTTAGAGTCTGTCTTCCTTGAAGAAGGTGAACTCCATTCTCCTCCCAGCTCCAAGAGGAAGCCTGGCACACTAGTGGTTGAGTGAGTGGTGCTGAAGGCATGATAGGTGTTCCATGGGGGCAGGGCAGGATCCAGCCCGTTACACCACCACCATCTTTTGTCTTATCCAATCTCTCAGGTATCCTTGTTTGGTTTTGGGGAAGACAATTGCAAAAGGTGGTCCCATTACTGGGATGACAAATATTGGTTTGAGAACACCATGCAAAATTTCCCAGCAGAATACCAGATCATCTTGAAACTGCAGTGTGAGAGGAAGATTGCTGTCTACGGCTGAGATGTTTCCAGTGGAGTCCCCAGGAGGCTTGACAGGTAGCCAAGGGGACCTTGTGGTGTCAGAGAGGGACTAGGGCTTCAAGCAGACCCTGGATGGAGATTACTCTGCTACTGAATAAAACCCTAGCTTATTTCTCTCTCTGGATTTCTGGTGGCATTAAAGGGCTACATTCTATTACTGATTCTGTCTTATCACCATGTGACTCTCTTATGTTGTATCTTACCAAAAAATAAAATTAAATGAGAAAAAAGTGAACCCTGAAGTTGAAAACACATCAAATGGACCTAACTATATTTAATTGATAATATAAACACCAGAGAAATAATTATTTCAAGTTCCTTAAACTCAACACCTTGATTGTATATTCTTTGTAGGATAGTCTCTGTGGACAAAAAGAACTAAGAAGAAATTTTAGGCCAGGCGCGATGGCTCACACTTGTAACCCCAGCACTTTGGGAGGCCAAGGCGGGCAGATTATGAGGTCAGGAGGTCAAGACCAGCATGACCAACATGGTGAAACCCCATCTCTACTAAAAATACAAAAATTAGCTAGGCGTGGCGGTGTGTGCCTGTAATCCCAGCTACTCAGGAGGCTGAGGCAGGGGAATCGCTTGAACCTGGGAGGTGGAGGTTGCAGTAGCCGAGATCGCACCACTGCACTCCAGCCTCGGCGACAGAGTGACACTCTGTCTCAAAAAAAAAAATTTTTTTTTAAACTTGACTCAGTATTTTCATTATAGTGCTGGTATTATTATTATTATTTAGAGACAGAGTCTCACTCTGTCACCCAGGATAGAGTGCACTGGCATGATCACGGCTCACTGCAACCTCTGCCTCCTAGGCTCAGGTGATCCTTCCACATCAGCCTTCTGAATGGTTGGCACTATTGGTGCGTGCCACCACCCTCAGCTAATTTTTAAATTTTCTTGTAGAGTTGAGGTCTCACTATATTGCCCAGGCTGGTCTTGAATAAGTAAATAACTACTTATATTAACAACATTAGAAACTAGACACAGGCCAGGTGTGGTGGCTCACGCCTGTAATGCCAGCACTTTGGGAGGCCAAGGGAGGTGGATCACTTGAGGTCAGGAGTTCAAGACCAGCCTGGCCAACATAGTGAAACTCCATCTCTACTAAAAATACAAAAATTTGCCAGGTGTGGTGGAGGCTGCCTGTAATCACAGCTACTTGGGAGGCTGAAGTAGGAGAATCACTTGAGTCTGGGAGGCAGAGGTTGCAGTGAGCTAAGATCGCACTATTGTACTCCAGCCTAGGTGACAAAGTGAGACTTCATCTCAAAAAAAAAAAAAAAAAAAAGAAACAATACAAAATTGGGCAGGTGGACAGGCTAAAAACTCTGTGACATTAAATTCAATCTGGAATTTTTTTTTTTTTTTTTTTTTTTTTTGAGACAGTGTCACTCTGTCGCCCAGGCTGGAGTGCAGTGGCGCGATCTCGGCTCACTGCAACCTCCGCCTCCCGAGTTCAAGTGATTCTCCTGTTTCAACCTCCTGAGTAGCTGAGATTACAGGCGCGCACCACCACGCCCGGCTAATTTTTGTATTTTTAGTACAGACAGGGATTCACCATGTTGGTCAGGCTGGTCTCGAACTCCTGACCTTGTGATCCACCCACCTCAGCCTCCCAAAGTGCTGCGATTACAGGCATGAGCCACCGTGGTCGGCCCAAACTGGAAATATTATGAACTCGATTTTCAAACTTTTTATTGTGACAAAATAATACACAAAATTTACCATTTAAAAGTTATCAATGGCAATAAAGTTCAGTGGCATTAAGTATGTTCACATTGTTGTGCAATCATAACCTCATTGAACTAACAGTTTACAAAGTACATTTTCTCCCTCTGTCATCTGAACAGCCATAACACTCCATTAGCAACGATCAGCCCTGCAATCCAGATTATGTTTTTTGTTTTTCGTATTTTTTTTTTTTTTGAGACGGAGTCTTGCTCTGCCACCCAGGCTGGAGTGCAGTGACGCGATCTCAGCTCACTGCAACCTCTGCCTCCTGGGTTCAAGCAATTCTCCTGCCTCAGCCTCCTGAGTAGCTGGGACTACAAGGTGCACACCGCCACCCCCGGCTAATTTTTTGTATTTTAGTAGAGACGGGGTTTCACCATGTTGCCCAGGCTGGTCTCCAACTCCTGAGCTCAGGCAATCCGCCTGCCTCAGCCTCCCACAAGTGCTAGGATTACAGGCGTGAGCCACTGCACTCAGCCTGATTTTTGTCTTCTAAATACTTTTTCTTCACTAAAAGATTCTAGGCCTAGACAAGTACAAGAACACTTGGACATTAGATTTGCGGCAATTTGAGCATCAAAAATAGCAACTGTCATGATTGAATCATAGTGAATATATAAAAAACTTTGAGCTCATAATGATACTCAAAGAGAAAGGGAAAACTGGCGGTGGCTATTACCTCAACCCCTTACTCTGAAAATTGGTAATTAAAGGTGTGTGTTGAGGGAGCATTTATCCTGCCTTTTTGGTAGAAACAGTAGTTCAGGGTAACCAAATAGCCTCAGTAAATGAGTTTCCAGTTACTGTGTATCTAAAACAAATATCCACCGCATGCTACCCCCTTGGCTGCTCAACTACCACACACAACCTAACAAAATGCAAATATCCCACATAAACCGACATCCCTGACACATTGTGGTGCACCAGGTGTCTAGGAATGAGGTAGCTCAGAGTCAGGATCCGAGAATCCCCAAAGGTGTAGGTAGTGCGGCCTCGTGTCCAGATACTGGACCCGTTATGGCACCACATAGACAAGTTACTATTTTAGAGGAATAAAGTGAGCCAGTAGAAAAACATAGTTAAAAAAAAAACAAAACCCGCTGCCTCTGAAGAGGAGTTTGAGAAGAATGAGGTGGGAAACTGCTATCTTCTTTTTATTTAATTTCCTTTTTTTTTTTTTTTGAGACAGTCTTGCTCTGTTGCCCAGGCTGGAGTGAGTGCAGTGACATGATCATGGTTCACTGCAACCTTGACCTCCCTGGGCTCAGGTGATCCTCCCACCTCAGCCTCCCGAGTAGCTGGGACTACAGGCACATCATCACACTGAGCTAATTTTTATATTTTTTCGCTTAGGATGGTCTTGAATTCCTGAGCCCAAGCAATCTGCCTGCCTGGGCCTCCCAAAGTGCTGGGATTACAGGCGTGAGCCCCCAAGCCCGGCACTGTTTAACTTCTTTAATTTTTTTTTTTTTTTTGAGACAGGGTCTCACTTTTATCACTCAGGCTGGAGTGCAGTGGTATGATCTCGGCTCACTGCAGCCTTGACCTTCCAGGTTCAAGCGATCCTCCTGCCTCAGCCTCCCAAGTAGCTGGGACTACAGGCACGCACCATCATTCCTAGCTAAAATGTCTTAACCACGTACATGCACTTGTTTCATTTTAAATAGATGACAAGAAAGTCTACCAAAGAAAAAAGTTTGGATGCATGGGAAATTTATTTTTAACCCTCTTACATTTTCCTATAGATTCTATCCTCAAGAGGAACCAAAAAGCTCTTGCTTTTCTCTCCCTGCCTCCAGCTTGACAACCCTACACTGTGAATAGGCAGCTCCTCTCTCAGATATACAACATGCCAGCTTTGGCACAGGGTGGTGCCCCTTTTCATTCTTATCTCCATCACCCTTGATTGCCAAGCCTTCCCTTGGCAGCTGGACCCTGGGCTGAACACCAAGATGAAGGACTCTATTGGGCATCGACCCCTTAATCAACCCCAGGGAGGACACAGGACACATTGAATGCCACCTCTCCTCTTAGCTTTCAGCCCAGCCTTTAGCAGGGCACCCTTGAGGACTGAATAGGTCCAGAGGGAGGCAGGAGCTAAGGTGCTGGAAGGAGGTGTTCTGCGGACGGTTGAGGAAGGGATGGAGGCCAACAGGAGAGGGGAATGTAGAGTCTGTGACCATGGCTTCCCACTTTTCTCAGTGCCCGGTGTCTGAGTCAGCATGCCACTTGCCATGTGCTCTGCCCTGTGGGACAAGAATGTAGCCTTCAATGGGGGGGTTTGAGCTTATGCTCACCTGTGGCTGACGTTTCTGCCGTCTGCTCAGAGGTCTAACCTGAATGAATGGATAACACCTGCCATTGCTTCTGGATGTACCCCTGGACTCCACACAACCCGTGCATCCAACTGGCTTGACACTTTGAAAGGGCCTTCAAGCCCTCTCTTTGTCCAAGATGCTCTGTTTGACTCTCCCTGGCCTCACTGAGAGCAGCCAGTGGGTCTCTTCTGCACAACTGGGTCATTCTGCAAACTTTCATCTGTGTCCAGGTTCTGTGTGCCTAGAGGTGAGCTCCTTCTCAGAGATCCCTGTGGAGCTTTGTTTAAATGAGTATTTGCCAAATGACTGAATAGCTGGGGCAGGAGCAGCAGCTAGCCAATCTCATTCACCAGGTAATGGAGTCAGGCAGACAAACTTCAGATGGCCCTTATACAGGGAAGAGAGTTATAGCCAAAGGCTCCAGCATGAATCATCAAACCACATACAACAGCAGAAGCCGAGGCCATCAGTCAGCTAGAATGTGAGACTACTCCTGGCCAGCAATCTGACCTGCAGGGCTGGAATGTTCATAGATACGGGAGAGGTTTTGATAGGAAACCAAGACAGGAGGTGCAAGGGCAATGTGTGGATTATTAATCTGGCCTTCCCTGATTCCCTCACCTGAACAACTGGTAGTAATTAAGAAAGAATCACATTTGAATATGAATTCTCGTCCCCCTCCCTGGCTCTAAATAAATGGCCATGTGCTGGGAATAGGGGTTACCCACTCTCTCAGATGACACATCACACAGCCTTGGCAGAGACTCATCTCTCCTCCTACCCCTGACCCATTCAATTATTTTACCTCCAAGCCCATCCACCTGAGCCAAGGTTCAGGCCCTATAAGGGCATATATAGAGCTGGTAGTATTGCCAATGAAAGGCTAAGAAGAGGTCAGAGTGTCCACCCTGTGACCAGGCTACTGATGTAATGAGTTGGGTGAGATCAACTGGCCAGGAGCACAGTCCAACGAAGTCTCACCTCTCATCCTCACCTCCAGCAGGGTAGAGGGAGTAAAAGGGCCTCAGGACCCCATGTTTTTGCCCTTCATCCTCCCTTGCCTGCTTCTTAAGTGTGGTGAGCAGAGTTGAGCTTGCACTCCTCCTCAGCTGTGCCCAGAATCATGTGGAGGGCTCTCTTGGTTTGGAGCACACTGGCAGCTCTTGCTTCTTCCTCTTCCCTGCCCCTGTCCCCTGGCCCCATTCCCCCGCTCTGCAGAGTACTGGGTCAGAAGGCAGGAGGTGAGGTATTGCAGGGTGGACAGCTGAAGGTATCATCTACCCCAAGGCCAAACTAAAAAAACCAGGAATCTGTCCCATGGGCTGAGATGAGGCCTGCAGGCAAAGCCTCAGGCCTGGAAGTCAGCTCACTGCTTTTGTGGCTGGGGTTTCCCACCCCACAGGTACTTCTAGAAGTTCTGCCACTGGCCCCAGAGCTGCAGAGGTTCTGTGGCTGCTCAATTCAGCCCCGCATCTACAAAGCCTGCCTTCACCAGCATGGTGTGTCTGCCTGGTTTGATCAGCACTTCAGATGGGCCCTGAAGCCCCGATGCAACTGGAGACCACGCCATCTCCAGAGGCCGGTGGATGCTCGGTCCTGGGCTCTGGGCTGCATCCTCTTCTTGATCCCTTCCTCCGCTGGGCCTCCAGTTGCAATGGCTCCAGCCTTTCCTTGGTACTGGAACCAGGGGTGAGTGATAAACAGTCTGTGTTCTTCTCCATAGGCACCAATGCTAGGACACCTAACCCAATTCCGGCTGGTCAAGAAGCTACTCCAACCGATCCCCAGGTCACAGCTAGACCCCGAGCTCCGACTCTGCCAGTCCTGGGCCATGCGTATTTGGAATATAGGATAACCATCACTGAGCACCACACTGTGCTCAGGTGGGGGCAGAAGGGTGAGGGTGGGAAGCAGCACCACTCTGTGAGCCCCAGTGCCTTCCTATCTCTGTAGAATAAAACAGGGCCTATTCTGGGCTTTAAGAATAACGTGGACAACAGAACTCCCCTGCACTTAAAGCACCCCGAATACTCATGGCCTGCATGAGAACACCCACATGCTGTGGGTGTCGAAGCCTCCAGACCTAGTGTGGACTGCAATGGTTTTATCAGGCGGTATGACCAGTGGGGGCCCCAGACCTGGCGCAGACAGCCTTTGGCACTTTGGTGTCAACATTGATCTTGCCCTCCCTGTGCAGCCTGTAACTGTACACTCCCCACCCTCCTTATCTCAACATACACCACCAGCTTCTCCTCCTTTAACGGGTACATTCAGTTTTTCTGCCTTCAGGGTGCTGGCAGTCCCATGTGGGAAGCAGAGCAGCAAAGGTCCTTGGGTTGGGAGGTGATGGTCACTGCTCTAACACACAAAGCACGTGGGATCCTTGAGAGAACAGGGGCAGCACCCGCCGGACCTCAGCACTCCCCGGAAACAAGAACATTGCCCAGCCTCTGACGACTCTTGTCCCCTCCTGCTTTCAGGCCTTTCCAGCCAGTACCAGCTTCTATCAAAGCAGACAAGATTAGGAAGGGGGAAAAAAGTTTTCTGCAAGAAGATAATCTCTGTGGCTGAGCTCTAACCTCTACTCCTGCATGTTCTGGTGGCCAATTGCACCTTCCTCAAGTACATCCACGAGAACTGGCTGGACTGCCAGGGACTCCTCCCGTCTGCTGGATTCACCATTCTGGTTATACCCTGCCACATGTGACAAGGTCAGGAAAGGAGGCTCCGGCCTCATGCCCTTAGGCAAAGTTGGGTCCCCCCTGGATGACACATATTCCTTCCTTCACACTTCCCCACTTCAGGTCTCTTTGGGTCTGGAGCTGATGAAAACAGCAGTTGTCACCATTATTGGTGGGACACTCCACAGAGGCAATCCTGCTACTGGGCAAGGAAAGTGTACTTTAGAAAGCCGGAGTGGAAGATCATCCACAAGCTCGAGTGTGAGGGCAAGAGCACAGTCTACACTTGAACTGAAGGCCAGCCCTGCTCTGAATATCTGGTGGGGAGGGGAGACCCTAGGCCGAGGTCTATAATGGAGCTGGGGGGCTCTTGAGGGTTGGATGGAAAGAGAAGAGCAAATACAGATTAGTCTAGTCCTGAATAAAGACCCTGCTTGGCAGCCTCTAAGATGTCTTTCAGCTGCTGGAACCTCTCTGAGGCCCAGAAGGTATGTGGGGCCTAAGGCCCTGGCTCATGACCTACAGAAAATGATGCTGAGAAGAAACTCTAAGGTAAAAAACAGGGACCCTCTGTCAGCCCGAGCCTGAGAACCAGGGCTGGAGGATGTAACAAGTGAACAACCAAGAGAAGTCTTGTCTCTGACAACTCCTAGCATAAAAATGGCCTAAAGGGCCGGGCGCGGTGGCTCATGCCCGTAATCCCAACATTTTGGGAGGCCGAGGTGGGTGGATCACCTGAGGTCGGGAGTTCGAGACCAGCCTGATCAACATGGAGAAACCCTGTCTCTACTAAAAATACAAAATTAGCCGGGCATGGTGGCACGTGTCTATAATCCCAGATACACAGGAGGCCGAGGCAGGAGAATTGCTTGAACCCAGGAGGTGGATGTTGCCACTGGTGAGCCGAGATTACGTCACTGCACTCCAGCCTGGGCAACAAGAGCAAAACTCTGTCTCAAAAAAAAAAAAAGGAAAAAGAAATAAATGGCCTAAAAGCCAGGTAAGGATTTTAAGCTACAGGGAATCTGACTGGAAATAGGGACCAGGACAGCATTTCTGGGGCCCCAGATCTGTTTCTGGGGTTTCAGAAGTTTTCACTAAGCATCTGTTGCTGAGCTGCATGTGTAGGTTTCTGGAACAAAGCTCTAGTCGCTGTGAACAGCCCCATTTCCACTCTGTGTGGTGCAATGAGACATAATGGGGCTGAGCCCCAAATTAGGAGGTCTGGGTGAGTGGGTGCTGCTCTTACCCCTCCCAGATTCTTGGCTAGGTCTCAGTTCCATCCCCAGGCTTAGTAAAGAGGAATTCCAGATTATGGTGGGAGTGCCAGAGGAAGGTAATGGCCTGCTTCTTTAAGGAAAACTGTTCTGGTTGGGCATGGTGGCTCACACCGGTAATCCCAGCACTTTGAGAGGTTGAGGTGGGAGGATCACTTGAGCCCAGGAGTTTCAGGCTGCAGTAAGATGTGATTGTGCCACTGCACTCCAGCTTGGAAGACAGGACAAAACCCTGTCTCTTAAAAAAATTAAACAATTTTTAGGCTTTGAGGAGGTTGCCAGCAATAGGTCTTAAGCCTGTGAGCTGGGTTCTGTCCAGCCTCCACTAGGACCAGTCCATGGGTGAGAAGTTCCGCCATAGTCCATCCTTCTGATTGGCTTGACACATGGTTGGACTACAGGCGACCAGATCAGTTCCAGCTGATATGCCCAGGAAGCGACATCTCAAGGACATTCACCCAGAGTAGAAGAGGAATGAGGCCATGTGGAGCTTCTGAACTCAGAGACTCTGACTTTAGCTAAAGGTCAACGCTGTGTTTTTGAGGCCCCAGAACTTCTTTTAACCCTCCAAAATCTCCCCGCTCAACCCACCCAAGCTCAGCCCCAACCCCCTGCCACAGTCAGACCAGTCTTCTCACTGTGTGCTTGGCAACACCTCCAACCCCACTCCATCTTTCAAGGGCCAGTTCGTGCCTCCCTTCCTCAGCCCCTGGAATTTCTACAGTTCTTCTAGTCAGTACACAGAATTGCCTCTGACTCATAAATGAGTGTTAGCCTGTTCTCATCAACTGGACTGTAGGCTGTCTGTGGACAGGGGCTTTGTCTTGTGTGTTCTCTGTAACCCTTCCCTATCACAGTGCATGGTGTACAATAAATGCATGCTACCTCAACAGGAATCTTTGGCAAGTTCTTCCCAGATAAACTCCCTTGATGTGGTGCTGCCACCCAGCTGCACAAGTGGAGACAGCAGCAGAAAATGAATGCAAAGATCCCAGGGTTTATTGTTGAAGGAGAAGATGAAGGAGGTGGTGAAGTGCTAGGAAAATAAATTCTAGATGAGAGGCAGTACATGTCCCTCAGCCAGGGCAAGGCACCCCTCTGGGTGATTCCATAGGGAGCAAGCAAATGCAATTTGCCTCATTCCCAGGTGAGTTGGGGTCCTCCCCAGGGTTGCAGATTTACTTCCTCTTCCTGGGAACACCCGCCGACCTGGGGCTCCTGGGTGCCTAACAGAGCCAGGCTTTTCCTTTGGCAAACCTGTAGGTGTGCGGAGGGGCCATGACCCATGACACAGTCTTCTGTCTGTGTGCTCCTGGCTGTGGCTGCTACCTGGAGGCGGCTTGGGTAGTGCTGGGGCTGGGGTGTAGCAGGACTGGCCCTGGGGATGTCAGACTTTGAGTCAGGGACTCATCCAGCCTGCGGGTCTCTGCCTCCAGGACAGTGGCCTCAGGGGCCTGGGCCACGGCAAGAAGTGAGTGTGAGAGGCTGTGGTGCAGGCCTGCTAGCTCACGGCTGGTCTGTGCTGAGCGGGTGATGTAGTCCTGCTTCTGCTTCCGCTCCAAAGTCAGCTGAGCTTGCAGCAGGACCACCTGGTGGGCAGGAAAAAAAAAAAAAAGCGAGAGCAGCTGAGGGCCCTGAAGTTGTCCCAGCTCTTCCTGCTCTGTGTTCTCTGAAGCTCGTTGGCTGATCATCTGAATCAACTCTACCACATACACGAATCTCAGAAACAGGCTGTAGAGAGTTTAGAGGAAGGGCCCTTAGGAATTCTAGAATCCAGTGATTCTCAATCCTGGCTGCACATGTGACTCAAATAGCGCGCTTGAAAACCACAAAGCTATTCATCAACTTCACTGAAAGATAATTTACATGTGAAAAATGCCCAGTTTTAAATGTACATTTTGATGAGGCTGATAACAATATATACTCAAGTATAACCACTATCTGACTTTTTTTTTTGAGACAGAGTCTTGCTCTGTTGCCCAGGCTAGAGTGCAGTGATGCAATTTTGGCTTACTGCAACCTCCACCCCATCGGGTTCAAGTGATTCCTGTGTGTCAGCCTCCTGAGTAGCTACGATTACAGGTGTGCACCACCACGTCCAGCTAATTTTTGTATTTTTAGTACAGACAGGGTTTCGTCATGTTGGCCAGGCTGGTTTCAAACTCCTGACCTCAAGCGATCCGCCCACCTTGGCCTCCGAAAGTGCTGGGATTTCAGGTGTGAGCTACTGCACCTGCTTTGACTTTTTAATAAAATAGAAAAACATTCTGAGTTTAATAGAATTCAAAGTAATAGCTTAGGTCTAGCTACAGAGTCAGGCCCTGCCAGTAGTGACTACTGATTTCTGAAATAGGCTCAGAAATAAAAAGGTAACACTTATGATTCCTGCAACTTGAAAGGGAGAGTGGACTTTTAGTTGAGGCCTAAGAGGCAGGAAGGCTCTTCAAGTCACTTCTCTGCGAGTGGCGGCTTGAGCTGAGCTGTGTGGCCTGGAGCTTGTGCTGAGCTGTGTGGCCTGGAGCTTGTGCTGGTGCCTGGCTCCTCTGTCTGGGGCACTGGCAACAGTCTTGGCTGCGAGGGCACCTCTGAGGGCAGGGAGGCCAGGATGGCTTCCCTTGCTCCCACCTGTCCTCCTAGAATCTTCTGCCTGCTCCTCAGCCCTCTTCCTATTCCTTTCCCTTTCTAAGTATGGATTTGGAAGTCGGGGGCCAGGATCATGCTTTCTTCCCCACTCCCACCCTAGGCATATGAGAGATGGGGTTGGGACTGGGACTATTTTTGCCTCCCATGGAGACTGAAGTTCTCTGAAGGGAGGAACTTCCCCTCTCCCTGCTGGAGGTGCACAAAGGGCCTGAGTGCAAGGGAGGGAATATGGGCTTAGAAAATCCAGAACATACCTCTTTCTGCAGTTCAGCCACACACTTGGCATCTGAGTTCTTCTGTCCTCTCCCATCCTAAGGAAGACAAACAGCACTCTTGTTGGCATAGGCCTTCCCACTCTGGGGTTTCTGCAAGTTTCCTTGCAGAACCTCATCACAATCTTAGGGGCCTGGGCAAGGGCTATGGGCCAGAAGCATCTGAACTCAGACTGGACGTCTATGGGGCAGCAGGCCCTGCAGCAAGGAGAGGCCCCACACCAGCATAATGGGCAACGCCATGGAGACCTGACACAAAACATCCAAAAGGCCTGGATGGCATTTGCTTCTCTGAGGCATGTTTTAATTTAACAGAAGTACACCATGTATCTGCTTTGTGCTAGCCCTGGGCTGTGAGCTAAGGATGCAGAGAGGAAGACACGGTGCCTGCCCTTGAGAACTTTCAATAAAGGACAAGGGATGGAGATCTAGTGCTCAGCCACCATAAACAGCGCCTCCCTGTCAGGCTGCAAGCCTGTGTCTGTTGGCAGGGATACCTCACCTAGACGAGTAGTTTGGGGAGTCTTCCCCAAGCCTCTTACCCAAAAAAGGGACACTGGCTCCAGGAAAGACCATGGACCCTAAGCCTATAAACTCAACATTGTAAAAAGGTCTAAGAGATCAAGCTGTGATCAAGCTCCTAGGCTCCTCAGGAGCTGGCAAGCACCACACAACCCCCATACACCAGGGATCCTAAGCAGAGCCCCATGAGCCCCACTCCCGGGCCAGCCTGTGGCACTGGTCTGGGAGTACACAGATCTAAGTCCCTCAGAAGGCAGGGCCACTAGCCACCCCAACCCCCACCCCAATGTTGGGCCTCCTTCTCAGGGCAGGGACAGACTGAGCTGTGCCGAGCAGGGCAGAATGCAGTCAGGAGGGGCTCTCTGGACTAGCTGAAGTGCTGTTGGCCCGGGATATGCAATGAGGAGGGCTGAGTTTCTGGTGGCTGGGGTTGGGCTCTCTAAGGCTGCAGCTGAGGAAAATGAGTAAACCTGCTGTGTGGGTGAAGAAGCCGTGGCCTTGCTGATCTCTAGGGACCCTGCCTGGGCCGCACGCATGGCCTCCCTCTTCAGCTTCCTCCGTTCTCGCTCCACCTGCCAAGGTGCAAATAAGAAATCAGGGCTCGGCTTGGCTCTGTGGTTGGAGCAGAGCTGCCTTTCTCCAGAGGTGGCCAGTGCCTGTGCAGGTATATGAGGGGACAGTAACCATGGGAAGAGAACTCCTGGCTGAGGAAGGCACAGCTAGGGCAGGCCTCAGTGCAAAGAAGTGCTCCTGAAGCAGAAGAGGCAGGGCCAGCCTCTCAGACCTCTGGAGCAAAGGCCAGCAAAGTTCTCCTGCAGTAAGTACTGTAGGCTTTGTGGGGCATAGCAGGGAAGCAGCCATAAACAATGCATGGCTGTATTCCAATAAAACTTAATTTTCAGGGCTGGGCGTGGTGGCTCACACCTGTAATCCCAGCACTTTGGAAAGCTGAGGCAGGCGGATCACAAGGTCAGGAGTTCAAGACCAGCCTGGCCAACATAGTGAAACACCATCTCTACTAAAAATACAACAATTAGCCAGGCATGGTGGTGCATGCCTGTAATCCCAGCTATTCAGGAGGCTGGGGCAGGAGGATTGCTTGAACCCGGGAGGTGGAGGTTGCAGTGAGCGGAGATCGTACCATTCCACTCCAGCTCTAGGAGACAGAGCAAGACTCTGTCTCGGGAAAAAAAAAAACAAACTTAATTTTCAGAAACAGGCAGCAGGCTGGATTTGGCCCACAGGCTGTAATTTACTGAGCCTATGCTCTAGGGACCACACGAGAAGTGGAGATGCATGCCCACTGGACAAGAAGAGGGGTCACCTGCTCCAAGGTACTCCGCAGCTGGACATTGTGGCGCTGCAGCCTGCTCCTGTCAATCTCCAGCCGGGCCACTGCTTGCTGCAGGTGTTCAAGCCTTTGTCTCCATGACTGCTTCTCCATTCCATCAGGACTAGGCTCAGCCTCCACTCCTGAGACCTGTGGGAAAGACCTGTGAATCTCACCTGGGCAGCCCCTAAGACAGGTAGGGAACAGACAGAGGACACACAGACCAATCTGGCAGGTTTAAGCTTCAGGAACCCAGTTCCCAAGGGAAGGGGACAAACCCCTGGACAGGAGCTCCCTGCTGGGTCACCTGTTCCCCCAGAGCCCCCAGCTCACCTCTCCCAGCTGCACACCCTGCTCCCCTCTGGACCCCAGTTCTGCTGTGCTGGTTGCACCTGGGCTGTGTAGCCGCTCCTTCTCCAGAGCCCGTCTGGTGAGCTCCAGTTCATCCTAGGGTACGGAGGTATGGAGCAAAATCACACCTTGCCAACCTCATATCCAGACCAACCCATCCTCCACACAAACAGCGGTTCAATGTTCTCCTCAGGCTTTTGTCTTATTTTTCCTAGAGGCTCTGAGTCATTCTAGTACAGAACCTTCATTTTACAGATAGGTAAAACAAAGGAGCAGAGGGGCTCTTCTCAAGGATATGCGGTGAGCTAGCAAGGAAGCTAGGATCAGAGCCCCCAGCTCACTTCACATCTCCTAGAAGGCTGAGCAATGACTCAGAGCACTGATGTGCTGTGGGAACAGCATGGACTCTCGAGTCACACAGGGCTGGGTGCCCTGTGGCGTACCCAGTGGCCCATATAGCCACTCAGTGGCTATATGACTCTGGTCAAAGCACAAGCTCTCCCCAAACCCCAATTTCCTCATTTATAAAACGACTACATGCACCATGAAACATGGATCAAGTCCTTAGGTTAAGTCCCTTTGGATAAATGGGGAAGCCTCATGCTAGATACTTTCTAGGTGCCCTGTGGTTCATAAATGATAACAGTCAAGAAGAGATGAACAAGAGAAAACAAGTGTACGCAGGTGGATGTGGGTTGCCTGGGAGAGAGGAAGAGCTTGGTGACAGAAAGCCTGCGCTCTAGAGGCAGATGACTCAGACCTCATTCCAGTCCTGCCATTTATGAGTTTGTTTTTTTGAGACAAGAGTCTCACCCTGTGTGTTTGGAGGTGGCAGTGGGTGAAGTGACTCTGACCAGAGTTATGTTATTGAGTGAATACTGCTCAGTAACCCAAGAGTATGGGTGGGAAGTGCCCTCCTGCCCAATTACATAACTTACTTTTGCTGTGCCTGTAAGAATGGGCCTGAACATAGGAAAGGAGGTCCACTTAGTGCTTTCTTCCTAAGCAATTCATACATATCATGCCATGTCATACCACCAATGCCTATATTACTGATGAGAAATTGAAGATCAGAGTGAAGGCATTCACCCGGGGTTACACAGCTGATAAGCCGCACTACTGTATTTCAAACCCTGTGAACTTTGGAGTTCACAGATGGACCTCCTTCTCCTCATATTGCCCTTCACCAAGAGCAGAGCTTTGTGAGTTCCCAGAATGAACTCTCTGGGGGACTGTGTGTCTGGGGTTCTCTGGGGCCCAGTCAAGGGACCAGGATGTAGAGTCTATTTCCCTGGAAAATTGGACTGGGCGTCTTTTGGAAAAAGAGATGATGCCTCTCTCTCTTGAGCCAACTTGGCTTTCCTGTTTGCCTGCTCTCTGCAGGTCTTGTGCTCAGTACCGGGGGTACAAAGGTGACTAAGACACGGTGCTTGACCTTGAGGTTAAATAATACACCCTGAAGTCCTCTCCTAAGCCCACTTCCTCTCTCACTCAACATTCTGCCTACAAGAAACCCATTTGTTCTAACTGCTGATGACTCCAAAGTGTCTCTGGCTTCAACTCCATCCTTCAGCTTCAGATCATTTTACTGACCTGCCAACAGGCTCCTCCCTCCATTTCCAAACTGACCTCATCATTCATTCCACTCCTCTTTCTCACACCTGCTTCTCTTCATCTTCATGAACAGGAACCTGAGTGTCATCTTTGACTTCTTTCTGCCCTCTCTTTATTCCTCCCACCTCTTAGCCAATCAAGTCCTACCTCTCAGACCCACCCACATGTCTCCATTCACACTTTCCATCTTAGGGCACAAGCTCTCCCCTGGACTTCCCAGTACAGCCTCCCAGTGGGTCTCTCCAGACATGCTGTTGCTCCACACGGCAGCCTGAGCAATCTTTGTGAGCTGTATGTCTGATCACATCACTCCCCTGCTGCAAAAACTTCATCTGCTTCCCACCACCCAGGTCCTCAGCATGACTTGTAAGCCCTGACAGGTGTGGCCCCTGCTGTCTTCCGGTCTCTTCCCAAATCCTCCCTCTGTCCCATGCAACCTGAACCATCTACACAGATACTACACTTGTTCTCGCCCTCTTTTCCTCTTCCCGTGAATGCTCCTCCTCAACCTGTGCTTGGCTAGTTCCTTACTGGTCCCTTCACGTCTATTTTTTTTTTTTTTTTTTTGAGATGGAGTCTCGTTTCTTTGCCCAGGCTCGAGTGCAATGGTGCGATCTCGGCTCACTGCAACCTCCGCCTCCTGAGTTCAAGCAATTCTCCTGCCTCAGACTCCCAAGTAGCTGGGATCACAGGCACATGCCAGCATACCTGGCTAATTTTTGTATTTTTAGTAGAGACGGGGTTTCACCATGTTGGCCAGACTGGTCTCGAACTCCTGACCTCAAGTGATCTGCCCGCCTCGGCTTCCCAAAGTGCTGGGATTACCGGCGTGAGCCACCGTGCCTGGCCCAGGTCTAATCTTAAACACCACTTTTACCAGAAAGCCTTTCAGGACCCACTCCCAGGAAAGGGTGGGCATCCCTCCAGCATGCCTGGGGCATACTAAACTTCCCCCATTAGGCACCAACCACACTGCATTATCGTTGTTTACCCACTAGACTGTGAACTCTGTGAGGGCAGGGACTGTGGGGTTCTTATCCTCTCTGTATCTCCCGACTAGCACAGTAGCCTGAATCCCACCGATGTTGAGGTGCTCATGATCTCAGCTTTCTCATACCCCTGAGGTGCCACAGGGCCCAGGGTGGTGGGCAGTCCCTGAGCTCAGCCAGACAGGGGTGTGTCCCCTGGCCCTTACTCCCCATGGAGTGACTTACCTGCAGCCTTTGCTGTTCTGAGTCCCGCTCCAGGACAGAGGCTTGTAGGAACATGGCTACCTCCTGCAGACTGCTGACACTGGCCTTGGTCTGCGCTAGGGAGAGTGCCAAGTCCTGGGCCTTCTCCCTCCACTCAATCTCCCTGGCTTCTGTCTGTCTCAGGGCTGCCTGTAGCCGCTCCAGCTCCCGCTGCAGCCTGGGCTCTAAAGAATCAAGTTTTAGAGATTGTTCCTCCATTGGGGAGGTTTTGTGGCTGTGGGGTAAGGCTTCCAGGTTGTTCCTTTGCTGGGTCTCCCTCAGCTCCAGAATCTCCTGTTCCTTTTGGGCTAGAGTCAGCTGTAGCTCCCTTACACTCTGATGAAGGCCCCTTATCTCCTCCTCTTCTCTCTCTTGCCCCAGATTCTGCTTCTCTTGGATCATATTCTCTTGGACCCTCTGGGCCAGAGACTTCTCCAGCAGCTGCTCCCGTTCCTGCTGATGTCTCAGCTCTTCATCCCTCTGGGCAAGTGCCTGCTGCAGCTGCTGCACATCCTCCTGGTATCGGAGATCCTGGTCCTGGATCTCACCTTCTTGTATCCTCAGAGCCTCCTCCAGCTGCCGACTGTGTGCCTGGCAGGCATCCAGGGAGGCTTGCAGGGTTGCAGTGCTGGCCTCCAGACTGCGGCTCAATTCTGCCTGCTCGAGGAGATGCTGCTCTTTCCCCTGCAGGGCAGCATGAGCCTTGCCAAGGGCCTCCTGCAGAGCCTCAGCCCGGGCCCGGGCAGCCTCCTCCTGATGCCGGGAGGACTGACTTTCTGCCCGCAGAGCTTCCAGCTCCTGGTCCCGTTCCTTGAGCACTGCCTGGGCCTGCAGCCAGCTGTCCTGCAGGGCCCTGGTCTCCACCTCATGCTCCTGTGCCTGCTCAGCACACTGCTGCTGGAGGGCCAACAGAGCTTTCTCCTGTTCCCGAGACTCAGCCCTTAGGTCTCCCAGCACCTCCTCCAGGGCCTGGACCCGCCGTCCCTCCACTGCCAGCTCTTCCTCCAGCCTTCGTGCCTGTTCCTTGTGGTCCTGAAGCTCTCCATGACGCTCCTTCAGTGTCATATGGGCTTGCTCCAGAGCTCCCTGGAGGGCGTCTGCCTTTTCCTTCACCCTCTCCTCCTGTCCCTGGGCCTGCTGCTGTTCTTGCTGCAGAGCCTCCAGTTCCTGGTCCCTCTGGGCTAGGGCTCTCTGGGCCTCATCCAGTTGACTCTGAAGTGACTGCTCCTTCAGCTCCCCTTGTTCCCTGGCTTCCTGCAGTTGCTGCTGCAGGACCACTATTTCCTGCTCTCGCTGGGACAGGAGGAGGCTGGTCTCACCTACCTTCCTGTGCAGGCCCTGGAGCTGCTGCTCCAGCTGGTCTTTGAGCTCCTGGAGTTCATGGATATGCTCCTGCTGACATTCCACCTCCTTCTCCTTATCACGCAGGATCAGCTTCATGTGCTCTAGGCTCCCGCGCTGTGCTTTACTTGGGCCCTTCCCTTCCTCTGCCCGTTCCTGCATCAGCTGCCTCTGAGTGGTCAGCTCCCGGCCTCGCTCTCTCAAGGACAGCTTGATCTGTTCCAGGTCCTCCTCCAGGATCTTGGTCTGCCGGGTCCTCTGATCCTCGAGAACCTGAATCCTCTCCTTCTGCAGCATCAGCTCCTGGTCTCTCCTCTCGAGATCCTGAGTCAGATGCTCTTTCTGCCTCTGCAGCTCCTCGATCTGTTCTCGCTGAGACTTCACCTCCTGGTCCCTCTCCTGCAGCTCTCTTGCCAGAACGGTGCTGTGGCTCTCCAGGTCATGGATCTGGCTGCTTTGTGCCTGCAGCTCCTGGCTCCTTTCTTCTAGGTCCAGCGTAAGGTGGGTCAAAGCCACTCTCTGGGTTTCCCTCTGGCCCTCCAGCTCCTTGATCAGTTTTTGCTGGCACTCCATCTTGTGATGGTTTTCCTCCAGTTCCAGGGCCAGGCATTCCAGAGTAACCAACTGCTTTTTCAGGTCCTGAACCTGTCCTCTCTGGGACTCAATCATTTGGTCTTTCTTCTCAAGTTCTAGAAGCTGATGCTCCAAGACGTTCCTCTGAGTCTCCCGATCCTTCTCGAGCTCTCTGATCTGCTCCCTCTGCACAGTCAGCTTCTGCTCTCGCTCCTGGACGGCCATGGGCAGATGCTCTAAAACAGACCTACACTTCTCTAGCTCCTGAATCTGTTCTTGCTGCAGATCTACCTCTTGGTTCCTCTTCTTCAGGTCCAGAGACAGCAATTCCAAAGCAGCCTTCTGCATTTCCCGTTGCTTCTCCAGTTCCTGGATTTGTCCCCGCAGAGTCTCCACCTCCTCTTCTCTTTCAGCTAGGGTCTGGGTCAGGAGGGCCAAATTCTCTTGCAGAGCCTTCCCTTGGGCCACCTTCAGTTCGCCCTGCTCTTGCAGAGCCTGGGCTCTCTCACGCTCACTCTCTACTTCCTCATTTTTCAGCTTCAGTGCTGAGCGAGCCGTTCTCAGGTCTTCTTCCAGGATGCCAGCAGCACTTGCCTGAGCCCTGGCTTCTACGACAGCTGCTTGCAGGTGTTCCACCTGGGCTGTCAGGTTCTCCTTGGCTGCCTGAAGTAACTCTCGCTCACCCTAGAAGACAAGATGAAAAGCCACTTTAGACTACACTTCCCTGCTACTGTCACCCCAACACCGACCCTTCTCTTTCTTATTTTGTGGCACTAGCAGTGATAAGGACTTGGGCAAAAAAAAGTGGTGGTATATTCCACTTAAGCTGATACTGTAAAAGGGCATCCCTACCACCTTCCAGGACTCTGCTATGCCCAGGGGAGACGCTGGTCCTTCAGGACAAGGGGCAAAAATATCAACCTCAATTCAGAAAAAGCAATTGAAGGAGGATTCATTGGAACCTGAATAATGGCCCCCAGGGACATGGAGACAGCCAGAGGAACTGACAGACTTGCTGAAGGAAGTGGGACACAGGACCACAGGCCAAGGTGGGCCCAAGGGACTACTCCTGAGGCAAACCCCTCCCTGAAACCAGTACCACTTTACCTGGGCTTCCATTCGCTGTAGCTCTGCTCTCCGCAGGCGACTCTGTAAGGATGCCATAGTTTCATGTAGTTCCATCAGCTCAGATTCTAGGGAGTTCTGCTTTCCTTCCCACTTAGATTTCTCTTTGAGAAGAGAGGAGAGGAGAGGAGAGGTAGTGGAGTAAGACCCATGTTTGGGATATAGAGGGATATAGAGGCAGATGGAGGATGGGGAACAGATTCAAAGGGAAGGAAGGCCAAGAAGGAGAAAATTATATCCAGTGTCCTAGAGATATCAAGGACATCAAGAGCTGGCAGATGCCAGCTGCTTCTATTTGCCTGGCAGCACTCCCTGCTGCTGCCAGCCCCAGCACTGCCTGGTAATCATCCCAATATGTCCTCATCCTCATCACAGAGAGCCTTGGCCCTCAATTCCAGACAGGGTTGAGCCAGATGACACTGGAGGTTCCTTCTAGCCCCCAGTCCTATAATTGTGCAGGAGCTCCTAGAGACCCGGGTGGCTCTGCTGGTTGCCCACCATTTCTGCAACAGGCGTTGGAATCCCATTATTTTTGTGGCTCTCAGGGAACCCTCAAACGGCCTCAAAAAAGGCCCAGACCCAAGGTGTCCTCTTCTCTTTTTTTCTTTTTTTGAGATGGAGTCTTGCTCTGTCACCCAGGCTGGAATGCAGTGGCACAATCTCGGCTCACTGCAACCTCCACCTCCCGGGTTCAAGCGATTCCCCTGCCTCAGCCTCCCGAGTAGTTGGGATTACAGGTGCCCACCACCACACCCGGCTAACTCTTCTCTTTTACAGTAGAAACTTGAGCTTCAAGACCCTTCCTCTCCTGTCCTTTGTAAGGAGTCATGACACTTTCTAGTCCTTGGCTGGCACATGGATATATCCTCCCCAGATCCCCTCTCTTTGCTTTCTCCCAAATAAGCTCATAATCCCTCAGCTACCAAAGGCTAACTTGGAGGACACAGTTGAAGATGATAAAAATAAGTAACATGGATGACAAAAGATGCAGTTTTATAATGTTCTTACAGTCCTGGCCCTGGGTCTCCAATTTTTTTAATTTTTAAATCTACAGAGACAGAAAATGGAAGCCCAGCCATTTCCTTCTTTCAGTTCATCAAATCTGTTCCTCCTAATCTCTTCTTCCAGGATGGGCCTCAAAGGCCAAGCAAAGCTGAAAAAATAGTTCAAGGTGGTCAGCACCCCTTTGGAAGTGCATCTAGATCTCACCTCACATTTCTGGGTAAATAATGCAGTGCAGCTGGGCGCAGTGGCTCACGCCTGTAATCCTAGCACTTTGGGAGGTCGAGGCAGGCGGATCACTTGAGGCCAGGAGTTCAAGCACTCCCTGCTGCTGCCAGCCCCAGCGCTGCCTGGTAATCATCCCAATATGTCCTCATCCTCATCACAGAGAGCCTTGGCCCTCAATTCCAGACAGGGTTGAGCCAGATGACACTGGAGGTCCCTTCTAGCCCCCAATCCTATAATTGTGCAGGAGCTCCTAGAGACCCCGGTGGCTCCGCTGGTTGGTGAACATGGTGAAACCCCGTCTTTATTAAAAATCCAAAAAAATTAGCCAGGCGTGGTGGCGCATGCCTATAATCCTAGCTGCTCGGAAGACATAGGTTGCAGCGAGCCGAAGTCGTGACATTGTACTCAAACCTGAGTGACAGAGTGAGATGTCGTCTCAAAAATAAAATAAAATAAACAGAGTGGCTGCTAGGCCTGTGCCTGCCACTTCTGGGCTCCCCACCTATCCCTTCTCCCTCTCAATCTCCCTGCCTGTCTTGAGCTTCTCACCTTCCTGATTCTGGGAGAGCTGTCTCTGCAGATCCTGCAACTCTGTGTGGACCTGGCTCTTCTCAGCCTCAGTATCAGTTAGACGCTCTTCCAGTTTCTGGACCTGATCCCTCAGAACATCCTGGGAAAGGAAGGGCATGGCTAAACGTGAGTTCCTCATCTTCCACAAAACAATGCAGGGCTCAAGCTCTCTCCTCATTCTCAGCTTCTGTGGTGGGCCGCCATTGTGGACCTACTCCCAGATTGCCGGGTTACTTCCTTTAAACACATGTGTATTTAGCTTCCTGAAGTGATGACAGGCTCTGCTCCACTTGGATGGAGTGTGAGAATCCATCCCCTTCTGACCTATCTATGTCTTTTGAAACAGAGCTCCTGCTCAAAGTTAGCCCAGGGGTCACCACTTCCCTCTCAACACTCCTACTTCAAAGCTCAGCCCAAAGGTCATCTCTTCTTTCCTTCTGACCCTTCCCAAATCAGGATGAATTGCCCCCTCCTCCTAGTTCCAACAGTGCATCACTTGCGTCTGTTATTGATCCAATTAATTCTCTCAGTTCTGCTTTCCAGTAGAATGCAGTTTGGTTCCTCCACCATGTCACAAGCCTTCTTTAGGCAGAGACCAGGTCTTTCTCCTTTTTGTATACCCAGCCCAGAGTGGCTGACATATGGATGACACTCAATTTGTATTGACTGATAGGTTCACTGTGAGGTGGAATTTATGAGCTCTTTCAGACCTAGGCCTAGAACATGCCTATAAATGCCAACCTCAAATCTCAGTGGTCACTGATTTCTAGGGTTTCTCTTGGAAGCCTGGGTACCAAGAATTAATTCATAGCTGAGTGGAAGATGATGGAAAACAATGCCATACATCTGCCCAGGGTTTTTTTGTGTTTGTTTGAGATGGAGTTTCACTTTTGTCGTTCAACCTGGAGTGCAATGGCACAATCTTGGCTCACTGCAACCTCCACCTCCCAGGTTCAAGTGATTCTCCTGCCTCAGCCTCCTGAGTAGCTGGGATTACAGGTGCCCACCGCCACCTCTGGCTAATTTTTGTATTTTTAGTAGAGATGGGGTTTCACCATGTTGGCCAGGCTGATTTTGAACTCCTGACCTCAGGTGATCCACCTGTCTCAGCCTCCCAAAGCACTGGGATTACAGGCATGAGCCACCGTGCCTGGCCTACCCAGGGTTTTTTGGTTTACAGGGCTCATTCAAGATCCTCTCTCATCTAATCCTCAAAACCCTGAGCAGGCACTATCTGCCCTACTCTGCAAGGGAAAACAAGGCCCAGGAACTTCAAATGCTTCATTTGTGGTTGCCAGGTGGTAAGTGATAGAGGTGAAACTCATCCCAACTTGATCTCAGGAATAAAACAGGTCAAACTGCTTCACACCCCTTTGCCTCATGCTTTTCCAGGGATGTAAAGAGTTCGGGAAAGGGGAGCAGAGAAACATACCCGGGTCTGTTGAGTCTTCCACAGGTCTTGATGAAGCTTGTGGAGGGCAGATGCTACTGCCTCAGCGGAGAGAGCAGTCAGCAGGGGCCCTCTCTTAAAGAGGCTCCTAGCTCCATTCTGGTCTGAAAAAATGAGGAAAACCTCCTTACCTGGCTGCCACTATGAAAAGAAACAGCCAGACCTCTCCAGACACAGCCCTGTCCTTCCAACTGGTCCCTCCTCTCCGCAAAGAACCCCTTTCTCAGCAGTTCACTCATCACATATTTTCTCCATAAGTATGGGCCAGGCACTATGGTGGGTGCTAGATTAATGCGAGCTATCACTTATTACGCACTTAATAAGTGCCAGGAACCGTGTAAGTGATTCACATCTGCAACCTCATAACTCCTTGGTGAAATTATAAGGTAAATACTTTTAACATCCTCATTTTGTAGTTGAGGAAAATCAAGCTCAGAGAGGACAGGTGACTTGCCCAAGGACACATAGCTAGCAAATGGTAGAGCTGGGGCTTAAACTCAGAATTAATTCCCAAGTATGTAATCTTAACCCTGAAGCAATATGGTCTAACAAATAGCATTCCTCTCCCTTTCCCCTGGGAGCCAGGCCTGGCTTTGGCCCAAAGGACCTAGTTCTGGGGAGGCTGTCTCACCTGGCTCAAGGCCCCAGACGGAAGGAGCAGAGTCTCCCCCACCACTCAGCTCAGGCCTGCTCTCACAAACAGACCCCAGGGCCTGCTGCAGGGCAGAGTAGAGGCTGGCCAGCTGGGCCTGGGCCTGGGCCTGGTTCCCGGGCTGCTGCTCTGCGGCCAGCGCTTCTAGCTGGCTCTCTGTGCTGCGCAGTCGCAGCTGTAGTTGGGCTGCCTTGGCTTCCTGGGCCCACAAGGAGGCTCGCAGCTGCTGCTCCGTGATATGAGACGCCTCCAGCTCCTCCAGCAGCTGTGCTTCCTGGGCCAGAAAGTCAGCCTCCTTTTCCTTCACCTCTTGCCTTAGTAATTCCATCTGTCAAGGAAGAATTTTACATAATATAAGCAGGAAGCGGATACCCTCTCCTCAGGCCTTCCCAGGCCAGACCCCACTCAATCCTTGTACAAACTCTGATCAGGGCTGGGAGGATTTCAGCTCAGCTCTCAGGCAGGTAGAGGGGCTCTGAAATGAGTGTTACCCTAGATCTAACACCTGGCTGCCTGCCGACTACTGAACACATGGGCCCAGGCTGCTATGCTAATGGGCTTCAGCCCTGGCTTCCTGGGCAGATATGCTGGCTCCTTGCTATGACCAGAACTCTGCCCTGAAACCTCGACGCTGCGCCTAGTAAGACCAGTCACAATAACATAGCTACCATGTATTGAATGCTTATTGTGTTCCTGACACTTTATATATTCCTATAATGGTTATAGGAATTAGGAACAAGAATTGTTCACCCTTGTTTTATGGATGAAGAAGCTGACGTTCACACAATTAGAAAGCTTACATTCAAACTCAAGACCATTGAACAGCCAAACCTGTGTGCCCTTAACCCCTGCAAGCCACCATCTGGCTCTTACACCCCATTCCTTCCCTCCTAGTTCCATCTTTTCTCTGTATACAATATCTGGGGTTCTGATGGGGGCAGACTGAGTCCCTGGAAGTCTTGCTGCTGCCTGCCTGATCTGGAGTATTTCTGGTTGCTCATTCTCCCTGCTACATCTTGCCAACCAGACCCAGCATACTTTGAAGCCGGTGTGCTGGAACCAGGCCTGCATGGGCTACACCCGTGTGCACTTTGCTGTGGGCTGTCAGGTTTCCCACAGGAGCCATGTCCATCTCTGGGTCAGATTCCCAAGCCCCCGCCTTGTCTAGTCCTGGCTTCCCCCTCCTGTAGGGGTGTTGAGGCACCAGCCTATCCTGTAATCAGGAAAAATAGATGGGTCCTCTCCATGAGAGGACTCAGAGCAATCAATCCACCGCTTCAGAATCAGGCTTCTGCCAGGGATGCAGAGCTCATAACCAGAGTGGGAAGTACCTGAGCACTGAGCTCTTTCTGTTCTCCCTGGGCCTCCTGCATGTCCTGGCGCAGGGCACTCAGCTCTTGTTGTCGAATAGAGTCAGCTTCTTGTAAAACAAGGAGTCTCTGTTCCTTTTCCATCAGTGAGAGAGTCAGGCTAAAAAGAGAGGGGTCAGAGTGCTGGGCCATTCTCTTAGGGAATGAAAAATTACCTTCTCATCTGAGTATTCTAAACATAGCATTAATAATCAAAATAGAAATAGTAATGATAATGATTATGATGTAACAATAAAAGCTATCATTTATTGAGCACTTACTATAATAAGTGCTCCTAGGTACTTCCTGCAGATGATGCCCCATTTCAACCTCACAGGTTTTTTTGTGTTTTTTTTTTATTGAGACAGAGTCTTGCTCTGTTACCCAGGCTGGGGTACAGTGGCACGATCTCGGCTCACTGCAGCCTCTGCCTCCCGGGTTCAAATGATTCTCGTGCCTCAGCCTCCAGAGTAGCTGGGATTGCAGGCATGCGCCACCATGCCTAGCTATCAACCTTATTCTTCTCTGGCAAATTTCACACATACCTTATATTAGTACCTCACGTTCAACATGTCCAAATCTTCCCCATCCCTTTCCTCTCCTCCCCTGTCCACCCAATCATCTCCTACTATGTTCCCTAGCTCAGTGAATGGCACTTCCATCCACACAGTGTCCTAACGTAGAACCTTGACTACTCCAGAGTTCTCCCTTCAACCTACCTACATCCAATCTATAATTATATACAATTGATTCTAACTCCCTTAACATCCTTTAAACCTCTTCTCTTCTCTCCTCCTCTTCCCCACTACCCTACCTTGGTTTAGCTTTAGGATCTCTCATCAGGACAACTGTACCAGCCTAACTTGTCTTCCTGCCTCTAGATTCACCACCAAAATAATGTGTCCCTTCTCAAACTGTGTCTTTTTTTTGTTGTTTTTTGCTTTTTTTGAGATGGAGTCTCGTTCTGTCACCGAGGCTGGAGTGCAGTGGTGTGATCTCAGCTCACTGCAACCTCCACCTCCTGGTTCAAGCAATTCTCCTGCCTCAGCCTTCCAAGTAGCTGGCATTACAGGCACCCACCACCATGCCCAGCTAATTTTTTTTTGTATTTTTAGTAGACATGTTGGCCAGGCTGGTCTTGAATTCCTGACCTCAAGTGATCTGCCCACCTCAGCCTCCCAAAGTGCTGGGATTACAGTCGTGGGACACAGCACCCAGCCCATCCCCTTCTCAAATTCCCACAGCACTAAGAATACAAGCTGCTCTTCACTCTGAATGGTCTTCTTTCACTCCTGATGTCTCATGGCATTACAATCCCTTCAAATACATCATAAGTTGGATTGTATCAATTTCCCTGCTTAAAATTCTCCAGAGGTTTCCTATGAAACTCAAACTACGAACTCCTTGCTGTGGCCTACCAAATCTTGAATGCTGTGGACCTGCCCAGCTCATGCCACTCTCCTCATTCACCAGGCTCCAATTACAATCCAATCAGGCTCCAACCACTCTTTCAGTTAACACTGTAAACTTTTATCTGCCTCACGGCCTTTGCATATTATTTCTCCTCTTACGGAATAGAACTCCCCCTCACCCTTTTACATGGGTAGCTCCACTTCATGCTGAGTGCTCAGTTTAAATGCAACTTCCTGAGAAAGGCCTTCCCTAACAATGGTTCTAAAGTCTCTTCTCTCTCTCACCCTGTTTCCTCCATGTGTCATAACGTAATAATTTGAGTTATTATTTGATTAATGTCTTCCCCACAAAACTATAAATTCTACTGGGGCAGGGACCATACAGTCTTGTTTATCACTGTATCCCCAAGCATGGTGCCTGGTGCATAACAGGCGTTCACGAAATATTTACTAAATAAATGAAGTTCAAGCTTTGAAGACAGGAACCATGTCCTCTCCACATGGCTACATGTACATCCCAGAGTTGCAGACATGAAAGGCAAGGTGGCCTGAGCAAACAACTGTCAATATCACAGTGACCATGGCAGCCAGATAGACAAAAGCCACCTCCATGGCCTATCTAGCCTACCTGGCTTTCTCTCTCTCCAGCTCCTTCTGAATTCGGTTATACTCCTGGGTCTCTCTCAGCTTCTCCTGAACCTCCTGCTCCACCAGCCTCTGGGAGTCATCCTGGGCCACCAGCTGAGACTTCAAGTCCTCCACCTGGAAAATTAAGGGCATGAAGACCAAGATGGCAGGGCAGGGGGCCGGTGGGAAGATGCTCCTCACCTAGGGCTTCAGGGTCCTTCGAGGTTTACCATAGTCAGTGGCCATTTCCAATGCTCTGGCGATTCTACCAATTCCTACACACTGTTCTTAACCACCCCCTTCCTCAATACAATTCGGCCTGGTCATCTGCCTCCCAGCCTCACATATGCTGCATAGAGGCAGGCACAAATAAAAATCTTGGCTGGGCTGGGTGCGGTGGCTCACACCTGTAATCTCAACACTTTGGGAGGCCAAGGCGAGCAGACTGCTTGAGACCAGGAGTTCGAGATCAGTCTGGGCAACATAGTGAGACCCTGTCTCTATAAAAATTTAAAAATTAGCCAGTGTGATGGCACACATCTGTAGTCCCAGCTACTCAGGGGGCTGAGGTGGGAGAATTGCTTGAGCTTGGGAAGTCAAGACTGCAGTGAGTTATGATCTGCACTTCAGCCCGGGCGACATAGTGAAATCCTGTCTCCCCCACCAAAAAGAAGGAAAAAAAGGCTGACTATAACTACTCCCAAAGGCAAAACATGTATTGTGATTGCTTTTTTAAAAATGAAAAGTCAGAACATCATTTGATATAGGATTCTGAGGAGAAGCAACCTAGTATGTAAAAATATTAGATTTTTGGCAAGGACGGAAAGAACAATTGAAACTGAGACAGCCAGGGAAAACAAAAACTCTGTGACCATTACAGAGAAAGAGATTACTATCCCAGGGCTCTGCCAGGCACATGCTCAACTCTGAGCACCCTCTAATTTTCCACTCAGTACTGTGGCCCACCCATCTACCCTCCCAAACCAGGCAGCAGGGCCAAGGTTCTCCCTGTCCTGCAAGAGGAAGTGGGAAAGCCTGGCTGTGTTGGGGAAGGACCATGGGACTTGGTGGGGAGGAGGAGGGGACCTGCTTCTGCAGGTCCATCTTATCCTGCAGCAGGGAGCTGCTCTCTTCTTGGAGGGCAGCAAGGTCATCTCTGTGCTGCCGGGCTGCCTCCTTCAGCTCCCGTTGAGCCTCCTGGAGCTGGGTCTGTAGTATCCCAGTGGTCTCCTGAAGAGGGATAAGAAATCATTGAGTAGAGGAAATCTGTGTCATAGAAATACTGGTTTTTTTGGTGGGGTGGCAAAAGCTGAGGCAGGAGCCAGCAATCCACATTGTTTCCACCTCACCTTCTCACTTCCTAGTCCCTCTCCTCCCTCACAAAGTGCACTGGCTCACCCAGGTTTCTTGGTCAGAGTCCATGAATTGGTAATAGTCTCTCACCTAGACCATGGAAACAGTCTCCTAACCATATCCCTACTTCCACTTGATGCCACGATCCCCTAAAAACACACACACACTATTCTCTACTCAGGAGAGTAGAGAATACATATACATATATGTATATACATATGTATACGTATATATAAATAAATCATATCCCACCCCTGCTTTTTAAATACCATCCAACTGCCCAGGCGCGGTGGCTCACGCCTATCATCCCAACACTTAGGGAAACCAAGGTGGGTGGATCACTTGAGGTCAGAAGTTTGAGACGACCCTGGCCAACATGGTGAAACCCTTTCTCCACTAAAAATACAAAAATTAGCCAAGCATGGTGGCGGGCACCTGTAATCCCAGCTACTTGGGAGGCTGAGGCACAAGAATTGCTTGAACCTGGGAGGCGAAGGTTGCAGTGAGCTGAGATAGTGCCACCGCACTCTAGCCTGGGTGACAGAGCGAGACTCAGTCTCAAACAAATACATACATACATACCACCCAACAGTTTCCCATTGCTCTTAGAACAAAATCCAAGCTCCTACAATGGCTGACACAGGGCTTCTGGCTACCGCTCCACTCGCCCCTGAGTTTATCAAGCTGGAGCCACACTGCCTCCTTTTTGTCCTTGAACTTCCCAAGCCCTCTTCTGTGTCCCAGGGCCCTTGCGACAGGTGTTTCCTCTGCCTAAAGTGTTCTTCACATGGCAGGCATTTTTTTTTTCAAATGGCTTGAGATATAACTCATATACCATACAATTCACTCATTTAACGTATACTGTGTAGTGGGTTTTAGGATATTCACAGAGTTGTGCAACTATCATCGCAATCAATCTTAGAACATTTCCATCAATCCCAAAATAAACCCCGTGCCCATTCACAGTCAATCCCCATTCCCCACCCCATTCCCCACCATAAATCTGTTTTCTGCCTCTATAGAGTTGCCTATTCTTGGTGTTTCATATAAATGGAAGCATATCATATAAAATATATGGCTCTTCCACTTAACCTGATGTTTTCAAGGTTCACCTATGTTGTATCACGGAGCTGGTTTCTTTCTAACCTTCAAGTCTCAGCTCAGATGTTACTTTCTCAGTGAGGCCTTCCCTGACCACTAAGTGCAAAGTGAACCTCCTTTGACTCACTCTCAGTTGTATCATTCTATTTCCTTTACAGCACTTATCACAAACTGTAATAATCTCATTTACTTTGTGTCTGCTCATTTGTCATCCATTTCTGCCACAGGAATGTAAGTTCCTTGAGAGCAGGGGCAATGTCTGTTATGCTGACTGCTGTGCCACACCTTTTTTTTTTTTTTTTTTTTTTTGAGACTCGCTCTATCACCAAGGCTGGAATGCAGTGGCGTGACCTCGGCTCACTGCAACCTCCGCCTCCTGGGCTCAAGCTATTCTCCTGCTTCAGCCTCCCAAGCAGCTGGGATTACAGGCAAATGCCACCACACACAGCTAATTTTTGTATTTTTGTAGAGATGAGGTTTCACCATGTTGGCCAGGCTAGTCTCGAACTCCTGACCTCAACTGATCTGTCCGCCTCAGCCTCCCAATGTGCTGGGATTACAGGGGCCTGCCACCATGCCCGGCTAATTTTTGTATTTTTAGTAGAGATGGGTTTCACCATGTTGCTCAGGTTGGTCTTTAACTCCTGACCTTAGGTGATCCACCCACCTTGGCCTGCCAAAGTGCTGGGATTACAGGCGTGATCTACCCTGCCCAGCCTGTGCCATACCTTTATGTACTTGTCATATGTCAGCACCTAGCACAGGGCCTGGCACATAAGAAGTGCCCAAGAACCCTTCATGGTCGAATGGGTAAATGAGTGCCCCTTTCTCCCCTACTCCCGAGACCACCCTCCATACCTGCTCCTTTAATTTCTGGACTTTCATGTCCTGCCTCAGTCGTTCCAGTTGTTGGCTGGCATCTGCTAGCTCCTTCTGCGTCTGCAGCAGTGTCTCCAGGAGGGATACTCTCTCCTTCTCTGTTTCCAGCTGCATCTGTGGAGGGGTAGGGGGGTAACAGCTTGTGGGCTCAGGATTACCATGCTCACCAACGAGGCCACAAGCACATCCCAGCTGCCCTAGGGCTCTCCTAGCAAATGGGAAGGGGCTGAGGGCAAAGGAAGGTCTGAGCCCATGGGTTCAGAACAAGGAAGTGCAAAGATTACCACTGGTTTGCAAGCTGACAGGATGTGGTACATGTCAGCCCTCCCTCAGGAAGTATGACATACTGCCGGAACTGTGGCTAATGGTGCGGACCACCCTGCTCACTGTTAGCAAAGTGGGTAGCTACCCTCTCTTCTGGAAGCCCCTCTGCAGCACTCCTCTTGGGAGTAGAAAAGGAAGTGGTCAAGGTAAGGAGATCGCTGACTGGACGTGCAGCTCCAATCCTCCTAGCTTCCCACCTGGCATAGGGCACTCTCTGCCTGGGTCCGTTCTTCTTCCCTCTGGGCCTGGATGGCCTCCATTTCTGTCTGCTGCTCCTTTAGCCTCATTTCCAGCTCCATTTTTTCCCTTTCTAAGCTCTCCAGAGCCTTTGCCAGCTCCTGCTGGTGCCAGGAGCGCTCCTTCTCCTGGCCACATGAAGGAAACACCATTAGAACCAAATGGGTGAGGAGGGGAGGCAGGGGTACTGGATTGGAAAAACAAAGTCTCTCTACTACTCACTAGTGGGGTGACCTTGGTACCTCTCTAAGCCTGTTGCCTCATCTGTAAAGCAAGGCTAATATTCCCTGCCTTATCTATCTTACCAAATTTCATGACAACCAAATGAGATTCATTTTAAAAAATAAAATTATATAATACATGTGGAAGTACCTTCCAAACTGCAATTGTCCCTTATATATGCTACAAGTATCTGGGTTTTAAAATGTATTTCTATTTTTAATTTTTTTTTGGAGACGGAGTCTTGCCCTGTCACCCAGGCTGGACTGCAGTGGCACGATCTCCGCTCACTGCAACCTCCACCTTTCAGGTTCAAGTGATTCTCCTGTCTCAGCCTCCCTAGCAGCTGGGACTACAGGTGCCCCCCACCATGCCCAGCTAATTTTTGTATTTTTAGTAGAGATGGGGTTTCAACATGTTGGCCAGGCTGGTCATGAACTCCTGACCTCAAGTGATCTGCCTGCCTCGGCCTCCCAAAGTGCTGGGATTATAGGCATGAGCCACTGTGCCTAGCCTAGGCATTCTTATTTTTAGAGATGGGGTCTCACTATGTTGCCCAGGCTGGACTCGAACTCCTGGGCGCAAGTGGTCCTCCTGCCTCAGCCTCCTGAGTAGCTAAGAACACAGGGGCATGACACCACACACAGCTCCGTATTTGTTATCTTTAAAGCAGCCACATTGTGGTTGACAGTTGTAACAATGAACTGAGGCGGCCAATTCTGGCTGTCTGCTGCCTGCTCTCCTCTACTCAGAGTTGCAGAGTTAGCCCCTGAAGAATCAGGCCTGGCCCAGTGAGGATGTCTCCCTGTATTATATAAGAGCATTAGGATAGGGGTGCTTCTTGTCTTAGCGGTCTTCCAGCAACCAAAGCTTTCCCAAGCTCTCTGACTAGTTCAGGACCCTCTATTAGGTGTACAGGATAGAGGTGAAGGGCTCTGGAGTTGGGCTGCCTGGGTGGAGAATCTTTAATCTACCACTACTAGCATGATCTCAATTTCTAAACAACTCTGTGCCTCAGTTTCTTCATCTATTAAAATGGGGATAACAACAGTGTCATTCTCCTCAGGTTGTATTGAGGATGGAGATAAGTCATGTGAATCACTTTAAATGTGCGTAGCACACAGAAAGCGGGCAATACACAACAGCCAGCATCATCATCACATTAGTATTCCCTGCACTTTTCCTTTAAAATGCTTGTAAGTTTGTCGTTGCTTATTCATGTAATGGGAACGCCTCTAGTGTTTCAGCCTTCCCAGTGTCATCCTGTGCAGCTTTCCCCCTCATTCACTACACCCTGGCTACACACACTTGCCTCCTTGCAGGTCCTTGAGCACACTAAGCACTTTTTTTTTTTTTTTGAGACAGAGTCTCACTCTATCGCCCAGGCTGGAGTGCAGTGGGGTGATCTCGGCTCACTGCAACCTCTGCCTCCCAAGTTCAAGTGATTCTCCCGCCTCAGCCTCCCAAGTAGCTGGGATTACAGGCGCCCGCCACCACTCCCAGCTATTTTTTTTGTATTTTTAGTAGAGACATGGTTTCACCACGTTGGCCAGGCTGGTTTTGAACTCCTAACCTCAAGTGATCTGCCCGCTTAGGCCTCCCAAAGTGCTAGGATTACAGGTGTGAGCCACTGCACCCAGCCAACATGTTCATGCCTTAGAGCCTTTACTCATGCTTCCTTCTACCTGGAAAGCCCTTCTCCCCCCTACTCCATCATTCCTCACGCCTAAACTAACACTTCCTTGGTGAAGCCTTCCCAGACCATACAATTGACAGTGGTCTGGCTGGACGTGGTAGTTCACATATATTATCCCAACATTTTGCGAGGCCGAGGTAGGATGATCACTTGAGCCCAAGAGTTTGAGACCAGCCTAGGCAACATGGTGAAACCCCTTATCTACAAAAAATGCAAAAATTAGTCAGGTGTGGTGGTTCACTCCTGTGGTCCCAGCTACTTGGGAGGCTGAGGTAGGAGGATCACTTGAGCCCAGGAGGGCCTTGAGGGTGAGGCTGCCGTTAAGCCCTGATCACGCCACTGCACTCCAGCCTGGGCAACAGAGCAAGACCCTGTCTCAAAAGAAATAATAATAATAAAAAGAAAAAAAAGAGGTCTTCCTTTGTTCTTCCTTATAAAACCCGGCAATGTGTAATGTCAGTTACAGGACAGTCATGAATGACAAATCATTTTACCCTCTGGTTCAAAAAGCCAAAGACAGCGGGTATAGCTCAGTGGCAGAGTATGTGACTGCAAAAAGCCAAAGCCAACTGTAAAAATATGAAAAAGATGAATGTTAATAGCAGTTGCAAGTGTTAAAAAAACTGATCTATTTGCTCTATGTGAGTTAGAAGTGTGTTATAGCTACAAGAAGAGCTAATTCTGTGATGTGTAGGAAGTAACAGTCCAGCATTGCTGGTATGACCATGAACAGAATATTCTGCCCAGTTCAAAGTGCCACCTTTACACCACTGGGACATGAGTAAATTGTAACATGCCTAGAAGAAAGCAACCATGTTGGTGGGGTATTTCAAGCAAATCTAAGGCTCATTTGTTCCTGGTAATAGGTTTTGGTTCAACATGAATTTCCTAATAACTAGATCTATCTAAAATAAATGGGCAGCCAAGTGATGGAATACAATAGCAGCTAAGCAACCATTTGGAAGGGACATTACAGAGGTGGATAAAAAAGAAATGGTTAGGAGTTTGGGCCCTGAATCCCTTTTCTACCCCTTATTAGCCATGTAACCCTGACTTCTCTTTTTATATTTTATTTATTTAGAGATGGGGATCTTGCTATGTTGCCCAGGCTGGTCTCGAACTCCTGGCCTCTAGCGATCCTTTCGCCTTGGCCTCCCAAATTGTTGGAATTACAGGTGTGAGCCACCACGCCCAGCCCTGAGTGACTTCTCCATGCATTTATTCACCTTTATTGTGTGAATAAAGCATTCAGCATGGTGCTTGGCATGGGGAGGTGCTTAACAAGTGTCCAATATCATTACTCTTAAAGGGGAGACAGACAGTAGATGGAAGAATAAAGAATACAACTGCCAAGAGTGTTTCTTTTTCTTTTTTTTCTTTGAGACAGAGTCTCACTCTGTTGCCCAGGCTGGAGTGCAGTGGTGCGATCTTGGCTCACTGCAACCTCCACCTCCCTGGTTCAAGCAATTCCCCTGCCTCAACCTCCCAAGTAGCTGGGATTACAGGTGCATGCCACCACGCCTGGCTAATTTTTTTGTATTTTTAGTAGAGACGGGGTGTCACCAGGTTGGCCAGACTGGTCTCAAACTCCTGACCTTGGGCAATCCGCCCACCTCGGCCTCCCAAAGTGCTGGGATTACAGGTGTGAGCCACCACGCGCGGCCTCCCAAGAGTGCTTCTAATTGCCAGGATTCCAGGAGAAGGCAGTCACTGCTAAAACGAACAGGCTGTCGAGAGTTTTAAGAGGGCAGTTGACCTGCTCAATCATAGAGAAATAATAAAGTGGGACAATCAGAAGTCAGGAGGATTAGCTGAATGACAGAAAAGGAAAAGAGAGAAAAGGCCCTTTCATGACCCAGATATGGCCACTATAGTCAATCCTTTTAGGGAAACCAAGGCCACGTAGGTAGCTGGCTTATCATTCAGAAGTTTTATAGCATCTTTTATTTATGGAGTTTTCAGTACATGGTATACATCTGATTCCTGCTAGAATCAGTGTTCATTCAACAAATACTTTTAAGCACCGACTATAGACTAGGCACAGAATTCCAAAAATAAGCAAACTTCTGGTTATCATCTTGCCAATAAGCCTGCCTCATAATAACAATCAAATTACAAATACACATAAAGCACAAGTCAACTTCCATTTCCAGATACTTGATAAACAAGATCTCTGAACCCTCCAGCTACGAAATCGCAAAAAATGCTGGATAAAATATTAAATATGTATTTTAATGTATCACAGAACCAGCAGGAAAATAATAAAAATTCCACAGAAGCCAAAAGCAAAGCAAGACTTGTGGTGTAGGCCAGGTGTGGTAGTTCATACCTATAATCCCAGCAGTTTGGGAGGCTGTGGCAGGAGGATTGCTTGAAGCTAGGAGTTCAAGACCAGCCTAGGCAACAAAGTGAGATCACATCTCTACCAAAAAAAAAAAAAATTAGCCAGGCATGATGGTGCATGCCTGTAGTCCTAGCTAGTCTGGAGGCTGAGGCAGAAGGATTGCTTAAGCCCAGGAGCTTGAAGCTTCAGTGAGCTAGAGTTGTACAGTGCAGTTGTACAACTGCACTCCAGCCTGGGCAATAGCAAGACCTTGTCTTGAGGTCAGGAGTTCGAGACCAGCCTGGCTGATGTGGTGAAACCCAGTGTCTACTAAAAATGCAAAAATTAGCCAGGTGTGGTAGCATGCGCCTGTAATCCCAGCTACTTGGGAGGCTGAAGCACGAGAATTGCTTGAACCCAGGAGGCGGAGCTGAAACAGCACCACTGCCTGTGCAACAGAGCAAGACTGTGTCTCAAAAAAAAAAAAAAAAAAGTAAATCCACTATCTTTCACCCAATGCAAATGTAATTCAGAATTTAAAATAAAAATAAAAATAAGCCAGGTGGCTGGGCGTGGTGGCTCACGCCTGTAATCCCCAGCACTTTGGGAGGCCAAGGTGGGCAGATTACCTGAGCCCAGGAGTTCAAGACCAGCCTGGGTAACATGACGAAACCCCATCTCTATAAAAAAAAAAAAAAAAAAAACTTAGCCAGGCATGGTGGTTCATGCCTGTGGTCCCAGCTACTCAGGAGGCTGGAGAGGATCACTTGAGCCCGTGAGGTAGAGGCTGCAGTGAGCCATGATTGTACCATTGCACTGTAGCCTGAGTGACAGAGCAAGACCCTGTCTCAAAAAAAAAAAAAAAAAAAAAAAAAAAAAAAGCCAGGCAGACGCTGTAGTCCTAGCTACTTAGGAGGCTGAGGCAGGAAGATCACTTGAGCCTGGGAGTTTGAGGCTGCAGTGAGCTATGATTGTGCCACTATACTCTAGCCTGGGTGACCAGAGCAAGACCTTATCTCTAAACAAAACAAGCAAACAAACAAAAATCTGGACTGGGGTTAACAAATTATAGTATGTGGACCAAATCTGGCTCACCACCTGTTGCTCTCTGGCTATGAGCTAAGAGTGGTTTTTACTTTTTTTTTTTTTTTTTGAGACAGAGTCTCACTCTGTCGCCCAGGCTGGAGTGCAATGGTGCGATCTTGGCTCACTGCAACCTCCACCTCTCAGGTTCAAGCGATTCTCCTGTTCAGCCTCCCAAGTAGCTGGGACTACAGGCATGTGCCACCACACCCGGCTAATATTTTTGTATTCTTAGTAGAGATGGAGTTTCACCATGTTGGCCAGACTGGTCTTGAACTCCTGACTTCAGGTGATCCGGCCACCTAGGCCTCCCAAAGTGCTGGGATTACAGGCGTAAGCCACTGCGCCCAGCCTTTACCTTTTTTTTTTTTTTTTTTTTAAAGAGATAGGGTCTTGCTATGTTGCCCAGGTTGGTCTCAACCAATCGTCCTGCCTCAGCCTCCCAAAGTGGTGGGATTATAGGCATGAGCCACTGCACCCAGCCTTTACATTTTTAATGGTAGAAAACAATAATGTTTTGTGACATGCGAAAATTATATGAAATTCTCATTTCAGTATCTATACATAAAGTTTTATCTGAGCACAGTCATGCTCATTTGTTTATATATGGCTGCTTTGCACTACAATTGCAAAGTTAGATAATTGTAACAGAGACCATATGGTCTGCAAAGCCTAGCATATAGTCCTTAACAAAAAGCCAGACATGGTGGACTGTGCCTGTGGTCCCAGCTACTCAGGAGGCTGAGACAGGAGGATCCCTTGAGCCCAGGAGTTCAAGATCAGACTGAGCAACATAGTGATAGTCCATCTCTAGAAAGAAAAAAAAAAATGCCTATCTCTGGGCTGTAGTGACCTCAGCTTAAGGGGGAAAAGGCAAAAAGAAGGAGGACATGGGGAGGAAGGGAGAAAAAGAGAAACTGGAGGGATGTGGAGAGGGGACAAAACAAAATAAACTCTATAGAAGGAAATTATCAAGGAAATATGCTTATCTCAACTTTGATACAGGGTAGGAAAAAAGTCTCCTCTGAAAATTCATAACCACAAGCTGAGCTGCACATGGGGTCTGGGCCTGACTGTGGGTCAAAAAACTTTAAACAGAAAATTTACTTTAAGGTGGTCCTGGGATGCTAGTCCTCCAGCTTCCTGACAGAAGCACAAATCCTCTGAGGAAAAACTCCTTTGCCTCAGGCCTAAAAAGATTCCCACAGAAAACCTTCCTCAGAACAAAGGTCTCTGGGGGAAAAAAGAAAAAAAGAAAAAAGAAAAAAAAAGGAAAATTTCCAAAGACATGCTCATAGACAAGAATCACAAAAACACAGGGAAACAAGCCCATGAGTAAGAGCCAACAGAAACAACAAATTACAGAACTAGACCCCAAAACGTTAATTAAAAGTTATTGGAATTACTAGACAGGACACAAGTATGTTTCATATGTTTAAAAGAATGGACTGAAAATACAAATTAGGGAAAACAGACTGAAAAAAATGACCAAGAAGATATGAAAAAATAACCAAATAAAATATCTAGAAATAAAAAATTTAAAAAGTGAAATTTAAAACTTGGTGAATAGAATAAACATCAGATTCGACACAGCTGAAAAGGAAAATCAGTAACTAGATGAGAGATCTGAAAAAAATAATCCAGAACACAGCATACAAAGAGAAAAGTAAACATGTAAAATGCAAGAGGCAGTGAAGATACATGAAGGATAGAGTAAAAAGGTCTGACATACAACTAACCAGAGTACAGAAAGAGAGAAGAAAGTAGGAAAAGAGCCAGGTATGGTGGCGTGCACCTGTAGTCCCAGCTTATGTGGGAGGCTGAGGCAAGAGGACAGCTTGAGCCCAGGAGTTCGAGACCAGCCTGGATAACATAGCAAGACCCATCTCTAAAAAAAAAAAAAATTAAAATTAAAATTAAAAAATTAGCTGGGCATGGTGGCATGTGCCTGTAGTTGCAGTTCGTCGGAGGCTGCGGCAGGAGGACTCACTTGAGCTCAGGAGTTTGAGGCTGCAGTGAGCTATGATTGTATCATTATACTCCAGCCTGGGTAACAGAGCAAGACCCTGTCTCTAAAAAATAAAATAAAATAAATTTAAAAAAAAAAATTTTTTTTTTTTTTTGAGACGGAGTTTCGTTCTTGTTGCCCAGGCTGGAGTGTAATGGCGCGATCTCAGCTCATCGCAACCTCCACCTCCCAGGTTCAAGCGATTCTCCTGCCTCAGCCTCCCTAATAGCTAGGATTACAGACATGTGCTACCACACTCGGCTAATTTTGTATATTTAGTAGAGACGGGGTTTCTCCATGTTGGTCAGGCTGGTCTCGAACTCCTGACCTCAGGTGATCCGCCCACCTCAGCCTCCCAAATTACTGAGATTACAGGCATGAGCCACTGCAATTGGCCAAAAAAAAATTTATTTTAAAGAGTAAATAAATAAAAGCAGGACAGTAGGAAAGAGGTAATATTGAAGAGATAATATATAAGAATTTTCCAGAATTGATATTTCAACATGAAATCTTAAATTCAGGATGTCTAAGAAATTCCAACCAAATAAAAGAAATACACATCTAAACACAAGAAATTGCCAGGCGTGGTCTCACGCCTTTAATCCCAGCCCTTTGGGAGGCCGAGGTGGGTGGATCACTTGAGCCCAGGAGTTTGAGACCAGCCTGGGCAACATGGTGAAACCCCATCTCTACTAAAAATACAAAAAAATTAGCTGGGCATGGTGGTACGTGCCTGTAATCCCAGCTACTCTAGAGGCTGAGGCAGAAGAACTGCATGAACTCAAGAGGTGGAAGTTACAGTGAGCCGAGATTGCACCACTGCACTCAAGCCTGGGTGACAGAGCAAGACTCTGTCTCAAAAAAATAAAAAATAAAAAAAAATATAAAAAAATAAATAGCCGGGCACGGTGGCTCACGCCTGTAATCCCAGCACTTTGGGAGGCCGAGGCGGGTGGATCATGAGGTCAGGAGATCGAGACCATCCTGGCTAACACGGTGAATACAAAAAATTTTTGTATTTACTAAAAATACAAAAAATTAGCCGGGCATGGTGGTGAGCGCCTGTGGTCTCAGCTACTTGGGAGGCTGAGGCAGGAGAATGGCGTGAACCCAGAGGCGGACCTTGCAGTGAGCCAAGATTGCGCCACTGCACTCCAGCCTGGGCAACAGAGCGAGACTCCGTCTCAAAAAACAAACAAACAAAAAAATAATAATAAACACAAGAAACTGTGGAATGATTAAAATGAAAGCTAACTTCTCAATACCAACAATGTTGAGAGAAAATAATTGTCATCCTAGAAACTTATATCTGAATGTTTTACTTAGTGAATCTATCTATCTATCTATCTATCTATCTATCTATCTATCTATCTATCTATCTATCTATTTTTTAAGCCTGAACAAAGCCAGAAACTATCTTTCAAGAATAAAAGTAGGCTGGACATGGTGGCTCACCTCTGTAATCCCAACACTTTGGGAGGCCAAGGGCGGGTGGATCGCTTGAGCCCAGGAGTTTGAGACCAGCCTGGGCAACATGGTGAAACCCTGTCTCTACCAAAAATAAAATTAGCTGGGTGTGATGGCATATGCCTATAATCCCAGCTACTTGGGAGGCTGAGGTGGGAGGATCACCTGAGCCCAGGAGGCCAAGGCTGCAGTAGGCCATGATCACATGACTGCACTCCAGTCTAGGCGACAGAGTGAGACCCTGCCTCAATAAAAGAATAAAAATAAAATAGAAACATCTTCAGACAATTAACTACCAACAGACCCTTACCAAAGAAAATCCTACTTCAGGCAAAAAAAAAAAAAAAAAATCTGAATAGAAAGTCTGACATGCAAGAAGGTATGGTGAACAGAAAAGGTATCAATTCGTTGTATCTGAACAAATATTGACTGTATAAAACAATAAAAAAATCATAATTTGTGGTGTTAAACTAGTTAGAACTGAACACACTGAACAAAATAGCCTATAAATTAGGGAGCAGTGAAACAAGTAAAATGTTCTTTTTTGCTTTTGAGACAGGGTCTCACTCTGTCACTCAGGCTGGAGTGCAGTGGTGCTCAGCTCACCACAGCCTCAACCTCCTAGGCTCAAGTGATCCTCCCACCTCAGCCTCCCAAGTAGCTGGGACTACAGTGTGTACCACCATGCCTGGCTAATTTTTGTATTTTTTTTTGTAGGGAATGGGGTTTCGCCGTGTTGTCCAGGCTGGTCTCAAACTCCTGGGCTCAAGCAATCTGCCCACCTCAGCCTCCCAAAGTGCTGAGATGACAGGCATGAGCCACTGTCCCTGGCCCAGGTAAAATGTTCTAAGACCCTTGTATCGTTCAGGAAAAGGGTAAAACTACTGAACCTTGAGATTTTATTAAGTATATGTTTAAAAATATTAAAGGTAACCACTAACAGGATTTTTAAAATAAAGTATATATCATCCACAGTTGCAGAGAGAAAAAAGAGGTGAGAAAAGAATACAACTTAATCACCCAACTTAATCCTCTAAAAGAAGTTAAGAAAGGAGATTTCCCCTCCCTAAAAGATATAAAAATGGCCAGGCACAGTGGCTCACAGCTGTACCCTGCACTTTAGGAGGCTGAGGCAGGTGGATCACGAGGTCAGTTTGAGACCAGCCTGGCCAACATGGTGAAACCCCATCTCTACTAAAAATACAAAAATTAGCCAGATGTGGTGGCACACACCTGTAATCCCAGCTACTTAGGAGACTGAGGCAGGAGAATCGCTTGAACCCAGGAGGCGGAGGTTGCAGTGAGCCAAGAATGCACCACTGTACTCCAGCCTGAGGGACAGAGTGAGACTGTCTCAAGGAAAAAAAAAAAAAAAAAAGATATAAAAAAGCAAGACAAATAACATAAGATGGCACAAATAAATCCAAATACACCTAAAACCACAATAAAACCAAATGGACTAAATTACATTATTAAAAGACAAAACACAGTTCTGAACTGCACAAGAATGCATCCAAGATATTCCTCTCCCCCGTTTTCATCCTGAGGCCAGTTTAATAATCCTAAATCCCAGGGTCCACTCTCAATTCTCTGTACACACCAACACAACAACAATAATAATGGCTAACACATATAGGGAGCCCACCACATGCTAGGAACTACTCTTAGTGCTTTTCATATATTAACTCATTTAATAGCAGGAAGTTGGATTTTACAGCTTGGTTACAAAATTTCACTCATACGAGCAGCAATAACTGGACCAAGAGGCAGCAGGTAGAGCACTCATGGAAGGGAGGCCATACCCGGCCACATTGACCACTTACCCATTTCTCCCGGAGCTGGTTCACCTCTTTCTCATGGGCTGCCTTCTGCTGCTCCAAGGCAGTCTTCCCTTCTTGCTCAGCCTGGGCCAGCTGTCTGGCTGCAGCATCCCGCTCCTGCTCTGCCTGACTCCGTTCAGTGTCCAGTTCCAGCTTCAGGCACCTCACTTCCCCTAACATGCCAGGGACAGGATCAGGCCTCCGCCCCCTCCTTTTACCTAATAAAATTCTCCCTCTCCCCTGACCTCATGAGCAACTCCCATCTCAGAGGCCCTGCACCCTGCTGGAGAAGGACCTCTAATAGTCTCCCACCATCTTCCTGCCTTTCAACATCTCCATGGAATGGAGTGCATCCCATCCCAGTTGGGTTCTCACCTTGGATTACTTCCTTGGCTTGAGTGACAGTTTGAATCTGGACCTCCAGCTGCCCCTTGGTGACCTCTATCACAGAATTTTGTTGTTGGGCTTCAAACAGACTGCTCTCCAGTAGCTCCTTGGCTGAGCTGTGAGGTTCAGGAATCAGAAGAGTTTCTTACCCATCAAGCCCCTTACCCTTCCTCAAGAGGAGCTGGGTTCTAAGTATTGGCTACCTGGAGAAGTTAGGGGGGCAATTATAAATTCATAATCAATTTAGGACCTGCATACTTATGGCAGGGAGCTTAGCTTCACGCCTTTGCCTTGCAAAGCTCTCTCTGTGCTTGGCTGAACTGAGTCTGGGCCCTACCTGAGCCCCTGTAGTTGTTCAGCGAGGTCCTGCCGGTCACGCTCCACGGCCTGCAGCCGCACCTCTAGAGCCGCTTTCTCTCGTACTAGGGCCTCCTTCTCCTGGACTGCCCTGGCAAGCACTTCTTCCTGTCGCTTTGCCTCCTGATGTAGCTGCTCCAGCTGAGTCGTGGCTGCCTCCTGCTGGTGACGTGACTGAGGGGAAGAATGTGGTGAGAGATGGAGCAGAGGCTGGATTCCCCTGGGGCCGCTACCACCAGGTTAGGGTCATTGCCTCTTCAGAGATTCTGGACCCAGCTCTGTGAGCCCGGATTGCTTACCCAATAGCACGTGGCATTTATCTATTTCCCTGATCCGCCCACAGAGCCCCCAGCCCAGGAAGAATGCTCCCCTGTGAGCAAGACCCTGTGCTAGGGACAGCAGAAGACCTGCCCCTAAGGAGGTTTTGGCCTTGAGAAGATGCACACATAATACTGGGAAGAAAGTCATCAATGTCCCGAGAAAGGGACTCTGTGAAGGGAGAGTCCGTACAATTATTAGGACAATGAGAGGTTTTGTAGAGGAGAAAGATGACCTTTGAGCCAGGTCATTCATTGGCTCAGGAAAAAAATTTACTTGGCCCCTGTTATGTGGTAGGCACTATGCTAAAAGCTGGAGAAATAAAAACAAATAAGATATAGCTTTGCCTTCAAGGAGCTTTTGGTCTAATGGTAGAGACATATAAACAGATAATTATAGCATGAGGAATGTGGTAGTTAAAATAAGCATGAGGTGCTATCAGAGTATAAGGAGAAGCTTCTAATTCAAACTGGGTGGTGTGAATGAAGTAGTGGAGAATCAGTGAAGAATTCTTTTTGTTTTTTTGAGCAGTGTCGCTCTGTCATCCAGGTTGGAGTGCAGTGGCGCAATCTCGGCTCACTGCAACCTCCGCCTCCCAGATTCAAGAGATTCTCCTGCCTCAGCCTCCCGAGTAGTTGGGATTACAGGCATGTGCCACCATGCCGGGCTAATTTTTGTATTTTTAGTAGAGACAGGGTTTCACTATGTTGGTCAGGCTGGTCTCGAACCTCTGACCTCGTGATCCGCCCGCCTCGGCCTCCTAAAGTGCTGGGATTACAGGCATGAGCCACTGCGCCCAGCCTCAGTGAAGAATTGTTATAGGCATTCTTTTTTAAAATTGGAAGATATACTGCAAACTAGTAACACTGGTCATTTCTAGGAAGTAAGACTTTTTCACTTTCCAGATAATTTCTGTAGTGTTTTAATTTTTTATAATGAGCATATATTACACCTAGACATGATGGTGTCCATTTTGGCTTCTCACCTCACTTAGTTTCTTTTGAATTTCTTCCTTCTCTTCTTGGATGTCCCTGAGATCTGCCTGCAGCTCAGCCCCAGCCTCCTCAGCTTTCTGCAGCTGAGCCTCCAGGTGAGTGTTCTTTTCCCACAGGGCTTCCCTCCTCTTCTCTGCCTCCGCCAGGTCGACCTGCAAAGCATTTCTCGCCTGCTCTGCGGCCTCCATTCTGCTGCACACAGACTGGTTCTCCTCCTCTAACTACTGGCCAAAAAGGGAAGGGAGTACAAGCATCAAAGACAAATGGTTAGTTTAGGAATCAAATGCTAAGACTGAAATCCAAGTGAGATATGAATCTATTCTCCAAAGATGAACAAAGGAGTGTTTATAAGATGGGGGAAAATCCATTCATTTGATCTAGTGCCTATATTCCAGGTACTAGATGGGCTGGATGCTGGGGACGGAGATATGCAAGGCAAAGTCCTGCTCTCAAATAATTCAGAATAATGGAATAGAGAACACTCAAGGAAACAGAGATTGCAAGGAGGTTCCCTCGCTATAATTATAGGTTAAATTTATAACCTATAGAAAAGATTCTTTGGGACTTAGGCTCTTCAGCAGATTCTTTTCTGGTGATTGCTATTATCTCACCCAACAGGATTAACAACCTAGACTTAGGCCGGGTATGGTGGCTCATGCCTGTAATCCCAGGACTTCAGGAGGCTGAGGTGGATGGATCACCTGAGGCCAGGAGTTCAAGATCAGCCTGGCCAACATGGTGAAACCCCATCTCTACTAAAAATACAAAAACTAGCCCAGGGCAGCCAAGTGTGGTGGCTCACGCCTGTAATCCTAGCACTTTGGGAGGCTGAGGCAGGTGGATCACCTGAGGTCAGGAGTTTGAGAACAGCCTGACCAACATTGTAAAACCCTGTCTCTATTAAAAATACAAAATTAGCCAGGCATGGTGGTGCATGCCTGTAATCCCAGATATTCAGGAGGCTGAGGCAAGAGAATTGCTTGAACCCGGGATGCAGAGGTTGCAGCGAGCCAAGATCGTGCCACTGTACTCCAGCCTGGGCAACAAGAGCAAAACTCCATCTCAAAAAAAAAAAATTAGCCAGGTGTGGTGACACATGCCTGTAATCCCAGCTACTCAGGAGGCTGAGGCAGGAGAATTGCTTGAACCCAGGAGATGAAAACTGCAGTTAGCTAAGATCGCACCACTGCACTCCAGCCTAGGTGACAGAGGGAGATCCATCTCAAGAAAACCCCAGCAAAAAACCTAGTCTTCCTTCCAGAGGACATGGGCCCCTTCCCAACCTTGGTGTCTTACCCTGAAGTCCAGAGGTGGTTCTGCTGGAGGTGTGGGAGGGGAATATTTATAATGGCTAAGCCCAATCCTTACAGTCTTTGCTCTCCTCTGCATTGTAAATGTTCCTTTTGCTCATTTCAGACCTACATTTGGGAGCTGATCCGTCTTGCTCTCAGTTAGGGCCCAGCCCTTCTGTGGGGACCAGGAAAATCTTTGCTCACCTGGAGAAGCTGCTGGTTCAGCCCAACTTTATCTAACGCCAAAGCCTCATTTAAGGCACTGAGCTTGACAGCTGCAGCCCGAAGATCAGCTACTTCTGTCTTCAGGGTGTTTTCAGAACTCGACAGCTCTGCAATTGACTGCTCTGCCTAAAAAACAAAAAGGATTAAAGAGTTTCATATTTCCAATTTTCCTGGAACAGTAAACAGTTCACATTCCCAACACTGCTGCTTTTTGGTACAGAGATCAGTTAATACTCCATTCCCTCTCCTGCATTCTAAACAAGTTTTCCCTTCATTCATTCATTAAGGAGTGAGACAGGACCTCACAGTATAGAGATACCAAAGTTAGGATAGAGAAATGACTATGATTGTAATGATGCCACAGAAAATGTAAGCACAAAGTGCTCTGGGAACTAAAAAAAATATTAATATAGTTTGGAAGAGTCAAATATGCTTGGTAGAGGAGTTGACGATTAAGTTGTGTACTGAGAGATGAGGAACAGTTTGCACATAAAGGAAGAGGAAAGAAGTAGTGCAGAGAAAGGGAAAAGTACACGCAGAGTATTAGAGTCATGAAGAACATGGAATAACTGAGAAGGCAATTACTGCTGTGGCAGGAGCAAAGGATATGAGGTGTTAGGATGGGTTTTGCAGTAGAAGGGGAGGCTAAAACACACTTTGAGGCACATGACAAAAAGCTTTGAATGTGGCACCACAGAGCTAGAAAGCCGTTGAATGGTTTTAAGAGACTGACATAACCAGGTATATACTTTAGAAAGCCCATTCTAATTCCAATATAGAGGGTATGTTGGAATAGAGAACCCAGAAGCAGACTAATGATTGAGGAAAGATGAGGGATCCTGGCTTGAAGGTGAAGAATGAGGCAGGCTGCATGGGAACACACTTTCGAAGCCGCCCACCCAGCAAGTGAGGAGAGGAGGCCACGCACCCTAGCCAGCGCTGCGGTCACTTCCGTTTGCTCTTGCCTCAGTAACTCCCCTTCCAGGTGACTTGACTCCAGGGCTTCCCGAAGAGTGATCAGTTCACTGAGTGATTCTGACTGTTTGGCTTCCAGGCCCATCAGCATCTCCTGACTAAGATGGGAAAGAGAGGGGTCTAGAGGAACTCTTAGGGATGGGCCATAACCCCAAAGGTAACAGGAATATAATCACCTTTGCTATGCAACAGAATGAGGATGGTCTATAAACACTGATAAGGAAAGATTTCTAAGACATGTCAAGTGAAAAAAATCAAGGTGCAGAACAGTATATACATGATACACTACCTTTTATGCAAGAAAGTGGGGGAAGAAAGAATATATGCCCGTATTTGCATGAAGGAGCACTGGCAAGATAAACAAGAAGTCAGCTAAAATGGTTGCCTAAAGGGGGAAGGGAAATGGGATGGAGAAAGCACAAATGAGAGTGAGACTTCTCTGTGTATCTTCTTAGCTCACTGAAGCCTCAAACTCCTGGGGGCTCATGTGATCCTCCCATCTCACCTTGCCATGGCTACAGGCACATGCCACCACATTCAGCTACAGCTAATTTTTTGTTGTTAGGGGTTGTCTGCCCTTCTCCTTGGTACAGGGAGATCATTCTTAGCACAAGTCATGACCCTTATGGCAGCCCTTCAAGCTTCCACTATTCATGCCTACCAGGTACAAGGAACTGGGGCACAGGAGAGGAGGGAAATACAGCAAAGATGAAGATATATCCCTGCTCCCAGTTATTAAAGACCTACCATATGCCAGGTTCTATGCTGGCGTTTTCCAAAACATTGCTCTCATCTTCCCAGCAACCCTTCAAGGTAAATATTATCATCATTCTACAAATAATCTGTCCATGTGACAGAGCCATAATTTAAACTAAGCTTCTGCCTAGCTCAAAGTCCTTGCTTTTTCTGTGACATCATATAGGGGAATTTACAGATTAGCTGGGGCCATTGATTCTGGATTTCCCTTTCTTGACCAGCTAGCACATTTCCCACTACTTCCCTGTATAAGTCTTACCCTTTAGCCAGCCCAGCCTACTCTGAACATGCCATGAACCTTCCTGCCGCCTTTTCTTTGCTAATCTGTTCCTTGAGCTCTTCTCCCACTCTCTGCTAACCAAATAGGTAAAGGCCCAGCTCAAAGTCTACTCTCTCCTCCATAAAGCATTTCCTAGTCTTCAATAATTAGCTGTCACTCCTGTGCTCCCAAAGGACTTGGTCTGAAACTCTATTTAACTCATACTTCATCCAGCCTCATGTCACAGTGAGTTGTCTGTCTTCTGGCAAGTTCCCTGAAATCAGGGCTTTTGTCTTATTCATTTCTGTATCCCCCTCAGTGTCTCATCCCATATGGGTGCTCAACTAAGACTTAACCAACCACGAACTTTCCATATTCATCTTTCTGCAAAGGAAGAAGCAGCAAGCTAATCTGAACCCACTGCATGCCAGACTTCTACATACTCTACTTTGTAACAGAGGGGAGTAGACGGGGAGGGTGTAGAATTGAAGAAAGACCAGGGCCCAGCGAGGAGGAGACTAGTCTCACTTACAGACGCTCCCTCTCCCGGACAGCCAGGTGCAGCTCCTCCTGCTGTTCCTCCTTCTGGCCCTGGGCAGAGTCCCCCTGCAGCTGAAGCTCCACATTTACCCTTCGCAGGCGCCATGCCTCCTGCTCTAGCACCTCCAGCTGCTGCCGCAGCTCTTCCCTGGCCTTCTGCAGCAGCTCTCGCTCCCTGGAAGAAGGGAATCAGAGATGAGCAGAGACCATAGGACCTAAAATTCTTTCTGGAAGCAGGCATCACAGGGCCAAGAGACCCTGTTTCAACATCCCATCTTCTGTTTCTAGTGCGAAACTTTTTTATCATCACAAAGACTCCAACCCCAAAAGCTTGTTCTGGAGAAACAAGTGAAACACTGGGCAAAACAGCCCTGAGTCTCAAGGAGAACAGGATCAGCACCCCAAAAACCTGATGGGAGTGGGTAAATGGCTGGATGGTGACTGAGACTGAGACCAGGCTGGGAGGGTGGGATGAACAGCCCGTCTGCTCACTTGCTGAGAGAGTCCACCTCTCCCTGGAGGTCCACAGTCTGCCCTGCCAGAGTGTCCCGCTCCCCAGTGAGCTTCTGCAGCCGCTGTCTCAAGGCTTTGCCCTCTTCCTCCCACTGATCATGCTGCTGTTGCAACAAGTTCACAGCCTCTTGACAGCCTGCAAGCTGCTGCCTTAGGTCCTGTGGAGAGAGAGCAAGAGAAACCAGATGATGAACAAGGGCAAAGGAGGGATGTCAGAACCCCGAAAGTGGGGCTGGAGAAGGGGGTCGGGGGCTGGTGCAACAAAAGAAAGCTGAGAAGGGAGATGCAACTATTCAAGAAGACAGGCCATCAGAGGTCATTGGGCTTCTGTGGCTCTAGATTCTTAGAGTTCGTCATCTCCAAATGTACAGTGGCATGGGGGAGTGGTAAGTGTGCCTAAGACTCTCAGAGTTGGAGAACGTTGACCCAATAATCTCCCAGGGCTCTGGTTCCCAATCTTTGCATACTGTTATGCAAAGATTGTACACAAAGTGAAGCATGCCATTGGCGTGGAGGATGTGCCTGCTACTCACAAGCACAATTCAGCAGACATAGGCAGATTTACTCTGGGATATTGACAGAACACCTCATGACTGGTCAAAAAAGTGAAAGGGATAGTCCAGGCTAGGGAGGTACCTGAGGCACAAACCAGTTTAGACACAAACCCCTGTGACTGAGGTGGAATGCTGAGGGTTCCTACCTGCACAGCCTGGCGTCTCCGAGTCAGCACTGAACGCACCAGAGTAAGAGCCTTGTCTGCATCCTGGTAATCAAACTGGGAGAAGATACTAGAGTCCAATTCCAAAGAGTTCTCATGACCAGAGCCTTGGGCTATATTGTCCCCTTCTTCCACCATGACCTGAAACCCAATACAGCAAGGTCACCACCCTACTGACCAAAGCCTAGAGTCTATAGAGGGACTTAACCCTATAGCCTGGACAAACCTGATGTTTTCCTTCTCAGGTCCTCTCCCCTGGGGGAAGGAGGGGAGTATCTGAGCATAAAAGTCTGGTTCCTTCAACTCTCCACCTTTGGTCACCCAAGTCTAGGACTAACAACAAGGCTAGAACACTGTCTGAGGTAACAATAAATGAGGAAATGAAAGAAGAAACGATTGAGATATTGAATACCAGAATCTAGCCTCCAGCCTGAGAACTGCAGCTAGAAACAGGAAAGAGGGCCTGTCCCATCAGGTAGTGCTAAACGTGAATGCTTAGCTATCTCTTAGGGTTCTGGTCTTCAAACACACAAAACTCATCCCCACAAGACTTTAAGCACCCGAACCTCAGAGACTGGAAATCTAGGCAGGACTGAAAGGACATGGAGACCTGGGGAGTGGAGGCATAACCTGGTTACCATGAACAGGAGGCTTCCCAGTACCTGGGTTATATCCTTGATCACCTGCTGTAAAGACAACTTCTCCTCTTGCGCATTCCTACTAAGAGATGCTTCATGTTCCATTAATTCTGTGTGATTTGTCTCCTGAACAGGGAATAGAACAGAGCCTCAGAGCCAAACTCTCAAAAGTGAATTTATTATTCCAGGACCCCAAACAACCAAAGTCTCATTCTGTCTATTCTATCAGCCCCACTTTTTCCCTGACCATATGTCAATGCTAATGTTGTCTGAAGAGTCTGAAGACAATGTGATGTGGTGATTACAAGTTTAGATTAAGTGATTACGAGTTCCAAATTGGACTTCACAGATTAGAATTCCTGCTCTATCACTTACTAGCTTCTATCACTTACTTCTTTTTCTTTAAAATAGAAATAATTACAGCAACTAGTTGTTTTGAGGCTTAAATGAAAAATGCATGTAAATTATTCAATATAGTGTCTGGAACAAAGCAAATGTTCAATAAATGTAAACTATTATTAGATAGGGGATGGGTGCTGTCTCTGAACAGTAAATGGATGCTTGAGACCTAATACTAAACCAGAGAATCCTCTAGCCCCAAAGCTAGACATAATCTTGAAGACTCAAGAGTTCCTCTCTTCCTTCCTATTTGTGTTAGTGAAGACCTAAAGACACAGACTTGCAACTATGTTTTATTTGGCTTATACAAAATTTGAATCAACATTTATAAATGGAAAGATTTTACATAAAAATATAAATTTCTGGCTTCTCCCAAAAAGTTAACAAATGGGCCACACCCAGCCCCCATTCCTACATGGAAACGATTTACTGAAGTTGAATGGTAGATGCCTCATCTAGATGAGACATTTATTATTGAGGGTCCCACAATCCCTATTGCTCCTCATGGCTTCCTTAATACTGAGCTCAAGTGTCCCCTGCAGTACTGAAAACTAAATACAACAAACAGCACTGGAAAACCAGAATTCTTACAACTGAACCCATTTCATTTATTTACATTATCTGAGCCCCATGGATATTCTGAATTGGCAAGTTCCTGAAAAAAAAAGAGGGAATCAGAAAGCTACAATTCCTGTTGATCTCAGCTTGGATGAGAAGACTAGGGGTGTACATATGAATAGGGGTTCAGGAGCTACCTAAAATCAGAGATCTGAAAACTTATAGAGATGAAACATGGTATTAAGCCAGAGGGTTCTAACATCCAACCTTAGAGAAGCCCTCTGATAACATCCCTGGCAGATGTTAAGCCAATGACCAAAACCTTACTCCTTCACAAGACAGGCTGTTCAACTACTTAACAGCTCTAGCTGTGAGCCAGAATCTATTCCCCTATTAACTTCTAGCTATTGACATTGGTTTTGCCCTGGAAAACATTAAATATGTAAACTCTCTTTTCTCTTTTTTGAGACGGAGTTTCACTCTTGTTGCCCAGGCTGTAGTGCAATGGCATAACCTCGGCTCACCACAACCTCCACCTCCCAGGTTCAAGTGATTCTCCTGCCTCAGCCTCCCGAGCAGCTGGGTTTATAGGCATGTGCCACCACGACCGGCTAATTTTTTTTATTTTTTTAGTAGAGACGGGGTTTCTGCATGTTGGTCAGGCCGGTCTCAAACTCCCGACCTCAGGTGATCTGCCTGCCTCAGCTTCCCATAGTGCTGGGATTACAGGCGTGAGCCACCGCGCCCGGCCCTTCATAAACTCTCTTTTCCCAGCGTCAGTCCTTCAGATATGTGAAGGCAGCTATCATGTCTTCAAGGGCCTTCACAGGGCCTCAAGCTCTTTCTTCTCCCGGCTAAACATTGCCATACTCCTCAGTTGTTTCCCATGTGACTAGATTTTAAATCTCTCCACATATCCGCTTCCTGGTAACTCACTAATTTGCCAATGTGTCTCTGAATGTATGTGCCAATTCTCTGGTAAGGACACACTGCATACATATGCCATTGCAATTTCCCCAGGAATACAGTAGGGATAGTAGACAGTCAATAGTATTTATTCAATGAATAAATGAATGAGTTAATTAATTTTCAGATTCAGCCAAAATTTATTTTTTAGCTTTAGAGGATTTCATCATGGAATATGTAACTGGTATCCTGCACTATCTGTCCATAAAGCACAAGGAACCTACAAGCCCACGCCCAACTCCTTTCCAGAGCAAAGGATCATGTACCAGGATCTCCACTGTCTCTCTCAGAGCCTTTATCATCTTTTCATAATCTTCATTTTGCTTCTGAGACTGGGTCAACAGAGCAGAGAGCTCGGTCACCCTAAAGAGAAGAGCATAGCACTGTCACCAGAACAGCCCATGGATGTGGACAGAGCTACGATGCAGCACACCCCAGCCCCAGCCCCAACCCCAACCACTCCCAACTGCAGCCTCCCCCAAATCCCTTAGGCACCCCCAGCCCGTCTGCACTCCCTGAATACCACATGATGCTATAGCCTTGAAGTGGGGAAGCAAAAAACCACTCAGACACATGCAGGGATTTACCACATCTCAAGGCTGGAACACGTGTTTGGGGGCCCAAGAGCTGAAGGAAAGCCCTGGCCCAGGCCCTTCCAGGCCTCGCTTGATCTTGAAGTCAAGCACCCTGAAGCCAATAAGAACATCAGAATTGCACTTGGGATAGTCCCAAGGTCCCTCCAGCCCGAGGTTCTGACTCTGATAGGGAAAAAGGAAGGGCAATTTGGGGAAGATTATGTTCAACCTTCTTGATATTAATCTCAAAGTCCAGCAAAATCACCAAACACTTAACACTATATCTTAGAGCTTACTGCTTGCTATTATGTGAGTGGCTAAATAAATATTTCTTGAATGAATGCTATCTAAAAGTTTAAATTTTTTTCCAATTTTTTTTTTGAGACAGGGTCTTGCTCTGTTGCCCAGGCTGGAATACAGTGGTGCAATCATAGCTCACTCTCAAGCAATCCTCCTGCCTCAGCTTCCCAAGTAGCTAGAATTATAGGTGCATGCCACCACATGGCTATTCTTTTTTTATTTTTACTTTTAGTAGAGACAAGGTCTCACTATGTTGTCCAGGCTGGTCTCAAACTCCTGGGCTCAAGTGATCCTCCTCACTCAGCAAAAGTCTTAATAATTTTATTCTATACCATCTCTAAGAACCTTAACACACTGTATGGTCATTTGTTTAAGTATTGCATCACTCAACAAACATTCACTGGCCAGCCACGGTGGCTCAACCGGTAATCCTAGAACTTTGGGAGGCCAAGGTGGAAAGACTGCTTGAGCTCAGGAGTTCCAGACCGGCCTGGGAAACATAGTGAGACCCCGTCTCTACAAAAAAATTAAAAAGTTAGCCAGGCATAGTGGTGCGTGCCTGTAATCCCAGCTACTTTGGAGGCTGAGGCAAGAGAATTGCTTCAGCCCAGGAGGTTAAGGCTGCGGTGAGCTGTGTTTACACTACTGCACTCCAGCCTGGGCAACAGAGCTAGACTCTGTCTCAAAAAACAAAGAAACAAAATGTATTGAGTGTCTAGTATACGGCAGGTGAAGTACAAAGTACTAGAAATAAAAACTTACGAAGACATGGCCTGCTTTTGTACTTCTCAGTGCCTCCAAAAGCAAAAACAAAACAAAATAGCCCTGCATTTTATGTATGTACCTCCAACAGGTGAAGATACAACCCTCGTCATGGGCATATATGAACTTTGTCCTGAGATTCAATGGGGCTCTCTGCTCATTTCCCTGCCCTTCTATGTCATTATTTTTTAAAAACCTACTTCATTATAATCCAAAAAGTAAAACAGCCTCACCAAAAAAAGAAGGTAGGGGAAACTAAATCATCAGTGAGATCAATGCTGTAATAAGAGGTCAAAAGACTACAAGGGCACAGTAACTTAGCAGGCTACTGAGGTCAGAGAAGGCTTCATAGAAGAGGTGACATTTCGGCGAGTTGCAGTGGCTCACGCTTGTAATCCCAACACTTTGGGAGGCTGAGGCAGGTGGATCACTTGAGGTCAGGAGTTTGAGACCAGCCTGACCAACATGGTGAAACCCTGTCTCTACTAAAAATACAAACATTAGCTGGGTATGGTGGCATGTGCCTGTAAACAGTCCCAGGTACTTGGGAGGCTGAGGCAGGGGAGTCACTTGAACCCAGGAGGCAGAGGTTGCAGTAGGCAAGATCATGCCACTGCTCTCCAGCCTGGGCGATAGAATGAGACTCCGTCTCAAAAAAAAAAAAAAAAAAAAGAGGTAATATTTGAACTATGTCTTAGAGGATAAGGCAGAGAGAGAAGGGAGGGAGGCATTCCAGACTAAATTCAGCAGGTACAAAGACAGGGAGGGGGAAGAGCTTGGCTGTTCTGGGAATGGCAAGCACTTTGGTGTTGATGGAGGATGGAGTCATAGCTAGCTCCATAAATCAACAGGAAAGAAACTGGGCTAAAAGACAGGCTGAGGGCAGAGGTCAGTACAAGCCCCAACTGTGGCATCAGGTTTCAAAGTAGATTTCCTTGGGCACATCTTCTCCCCCTCCATGGTAGGAATGTTCCTGGCACCTCCCCCTGCCTGTCCCTAACCCTCTAAAGGAGTCAGCTCTCTCTCAGCGAACCCTTCTTGGGACCCCAGGCCATCTCACCGGTCCTGAAGTTCAGCCTTCTCCAGATCCCCTTGACTCTTCAGCTGTATTAACTCCTGGCTCCTTTCATGGGCTTCCTTCTCCAGCTCCTGGGTCTTGGCTAGTAGCAGCAGCAGCTGGGCCGGCTCCCGCCCATCCATTCTTCCAGATCCGTTGGGTTCCCGAGACTGTGCTCCCACAGTCAAGCGCAGACAACAGGTCAACAGAGACCCTGAAAGCCTCACATGCTCAGCTTTTAGCTCCATCAGATCTCTGAGTACAAGCAAGGAAAACAGCAGACTCCACTAGGAACCAGGGAAGGAGTGTGGTGATCAGGCCCAGTGAAGCCTGAGGAGCAGGGCTGGGAAAAATCATCTGCTTCCAATACTACCAACTCCCCCACCCACCCCACCCCCACAGCTGATCCCGCTTCTATAGCAGCCCACTGTTATTAGTCCAGAATTGGTAGGGGCAAACCTCCTCCCTTCTTCTCCCCACACTGACCTGTCAGTAGCTGACTTCATTTCCAGGAAGTGGCGTCGGAATGTCACAACCTCCCGCCATAGACTGAGAAGGCGACCGTGCTCCCCTTTCAGGTAGCCCTTGAAGAACTGTGTGTTCAGAAACCCAGGTCATACCCAAAGGCAGAGGGCTATCTTTTGCCAACACAAGAGTCTTGGATTCCTCCTGACTACTGAGGGAAGGAAGGAGGGACTTACAGGAGATAGTTTATGAATGGGTATCTATCCAGGTTATGGTGAAGGGCTTAATAAAGCTGGCAGTGGGATTCGAGAGGTCAGAGGGCCTAGGATGGTATATCGCCTTCCTCTGGGCCAGATTAGAAAAGGATACACGGTAGCTGCTTAACAAATGGGATCTATTACCACAGACTTTTCTAAGGAGGAGTCAATGATATACATAAACCACTGAGCACAAAGCAAAAATGCAGGAAACATTTGTTTCCTTCAGCTGGGACCTGAAAATTCCCCAGGGCCCATAACAGCTCTTTCTTTCCCATTCAGTTTCATATCTACCTCCTTAGCATCTAGATATGCAAGACCTCCAGACCAGGAATCAGTAAGCTTTCAGATCCATCAAAAACCTAAGCTCGTCACTGCTGCAGGAACAGAGTTGCTCTGAGTGTCATGCTACCTCCCAGCAGAACCTAGACTAGGCGGGTAGTGGCAGGTCTAAGCTGAAGGCCCAAGAAGGCTGAGGCTGCCAGCATGCGCAGGTAAGGATGGTCAGGGACTTTAACAGCAACAGCTCAGTTTTCATCCAAGTCCTGAAGTTAACTCCTTCCAGTACTGACCAGGGCAGCATCCAGAATACACAGGCTTCCTCTCACAGTTCCAGTCCCCGTTCTTCCTACCTCCTGCTCCATCTGCCACTGGCTCTCCTTCCTCATTAGCTCATCCCGGGCCCGGCTCCAGTCCACTGTCAGTTTTTCCACATCTTCCCTAAGGGCTTTATTCACCACGTCAGCTTTTTCCATGTGCAGTCGAAGCTGGGTGTTCACCTCTGCTAGACTCTCACACCTGCACTGGGGAGGGGTAAAAGTGGGTGCAAAATAAAGGTCTAGTCCAACCCTTGGACCTCCTGGGAGTAAGATGGCAACCACTGAAATTTTCCATTGCAGGAATTAGAGGGCTATGGCTGAAGTCCACATTAGCCCTCAGGGCAGAAGTTTCCCATCAGCCTTCTCCACCAACTGGCCAATCACCCAGGTCAGAAAGTTTGGGGTCCATCACCTCTGTTGCTCCTCCTCCAATCGGACCAGCAGCTCATCCAGGTTTGGCTCCTCCACATTTTCCCACCTCTGGGGGATTGGTCCCTGCGCCAGACAGAGACAAGCCTTACTTACCTCCAAAGAGAACATCACTCAGACCAGTTCCCTAAGGCTCCCTTCCATGGCAGTCCACTTTCTTTTTATTCTTTCTCCCCTTTGTTAGCAATATGCTTCTATTCTCAATCACTGCATCCCTCACTCCAAAAGTAAACTGATGACCTCTCCTGAAAGACGGCCTTCAGTAGTAAATAGAATCTTCAACTTAAGAAGTGATGTATCTTTCACTAATGGCCTTAACTTCCACTACACTAACGGTTTGACCTTGGGAAGTGACTTAACTTCTTTCATTTTTTTTTTTTTTTTTTTTGGAGACAGAGTCTCGCTCTGTCGCCCAGGCTGGAGTGCAATGGCACAATCTCAGCTCACTGCAACCACCGCCTCCCAGGTTCAAGTGATTCTCCTGCCTTAGCCTCCCAAGTAGTTGGGATTATAGGCACCTGCCACCACACCTGGATAATTTTTGTAGTTTTAGTAGAGATGGGGTTTCGCCATGTTGGCCAGGCTGTTCTTGAATTCCTGGCCTCAAGTGATCCACCCACCTCAGCCTCCCAAAGTGCTGGGGTTACAGGCATGAGCCACCACACCCAGCCTGTGAAGTCACTTAACTTCTTGGAGCTACAGTGTCTCCAGCTACAAAATGAAAGCGGTATATCGTTCCCTTCAGAAAGTTGCTGTGCAGGTTAAGAGACACAATTATAGATGCTCCTTGACTTATGCTGGAATTTCATCCCATAAATCCATCATAAGTTGAACATAAGTTAAAGGTGTGTTTTCAACTTACGACGTTTTCTTTTTTTCTTTTCTTTTTGAGACAGTCTAGTTCTGTTGCCCAGGCTGGAGTGCAGTGGCATGATCTCGGCTCACTGCAACCTCTGCCTCCTGGGTTCAAGTGATTCTCCTGCCTCAGCCTCCCGAGTAGCTGGGATTACAGGCACGCACCATCATGCCCGGCTAATTTTTTGTATTTTTAGTAGAGATGGGGTTTCACCATGCTGGCCAGGTTGGTCTTGAACCCCTGACCTTGTGACCCACCCACCATGACCTCCCAAAGTGCTGGGATTACAGGCATGAGCCACTGCGCCTGGCTGACATTTTCAACTTATGATATTTTCAACTTAACAGTGAGTTCGGGCCAGATGCAGTGGCTCACACTTGTAATCCCAGCAGTGGGAGGATTGCTTGAGTCTAAGAATTTGAGACCAGCCTGGGCAACATAGAGAGACCCTGTGTCTACAGAAAATAAAGAAAATTAGCCAGATGTTGAGGCATGTATCTGTAGTCCCAGCTACTTTTTGGGAGGCTGAGGTGGGATGATCGCTTAAGCCCAGGAGGCTGAGGCTGCAGTGACTCATGACTGCACCAGTCCACTCCAGCCTGGGCGACAGAGTAAGTAGGACCCTGTCTCAAAACAACCAACCAACCAAACAAACAAAAACCAACCAAACAAGCAAGCAAAACAACCCCAAACAATGGGTTTATCCAGCTGTAACCCCATCATAACCCAAGGAACATACTGAATGCATATAGCTTTCACATCATCATAAAGTTGAAAACTTGCAACCATCCTAAGTTGGGGAGGACCATCTGTATATGACAGTGCCTCATGCTGCCTGGACTGCATTGAGGGTGCTCAATAAGTTTTGGTTCTTTCCTTCCTCTGAGAGAACTTTTCTGAGGAAAATGTGAGGAGGTACTGAGAGGCAGCTGGAACAAAGGCAAATAAATGGGTTTTTCAAAGCCAGTTCTAATAGCACAGACATCCCTTTGCTGCAGACATGCTGTAGGCTCGCAAAGGCCTGCATCTTTCTAAAAGAAACACTGACACCTGCTGGAGGAAACATGCACTTCTTCCTGCTAATCCCACACTCCTTCCAATCTAATTTACATTTCGTCCTTTGAAAACCAAGGGTTGGAATCTGACAGGCCAGCTAGGTCCAATGAAGATATCAGTGTGATAAACCTCTCAGAGGCTGAGAAAGAGAGCCTTCCACCAAACACCTCACTTGTACACTCCAACCTCCCTCAGTCAACAAATGAAACCTAACAAGTATATTCACTGAGGACCCAGGGGGTGCAGAGAGCTCAGCCTCACTCACTCCAGTGGCTTCTAGCCGCTTCTCCAGCTCTTGGCACCAGCTTCGGTACTGCAGCACCTGCAGCAAAAAGAACAGGCCCTGGGCAATGAACACAGCTGGCACAAACAGCCCAAAGCAAAGGCCCCTGAGGATCTTAGGCAAACTTGCTATGAACAGGGGAAATGGGTGGTGACAGTAAGGTAAGGCCATAACATCTTATAGTTTCTATTTGGGCATTTTTTTCTTTTTTGAGATGGAGTCTCGCTCTGTGTCCCAGGCTGGAGTGCAGTGGCACAATCTTGGCTCACTGCAACCTCCGCTTCCCAGATTGAAGTGATTCTTCTAACTCAGCCTCCCGAGTAGCTGGGATTACAGGCATGCGCCACCACACTCAGCTAATTTTTGTATTTTTAGTAGAGACAGGGTTTTGCCATGTTGGCCAGGCTGGTCTCAAACTCCTGACCTCAGGTGATACACCTGCCTCGGCCTCCCAAAATTCTGGGATTACAGGCATGGGCCACCGTGCCTGGCCTTATTTGGGCATTTAAATAATACTTTCTATATGAGCGAGACTCTGTCTCAAAAATAAATAAATAAATAAATAAATACTTTCTATATGCCTTTTATATCACAGAGGCAAGATCATGGGCTTTGGCTCTAGACTAGCTGAAGAAACCTGGATAATTAACTTAACCCTTGTGAATTTCATCTTTAAAGAGATATATTAGCCAAAAGTGGTGGTGTACACCTGTGGTCCCAGATACTCCAGAGGCTGAGGCAGGAGGACTGCCTGAGCCCAGGAGGTTGAGGCTGCAGCGATCTGTGATCATACCACTGCACTCTAGCCTGGGCAACAGAGCAAAACCCTATCTCAAAAATAAAATTAAATTAAAAGGATATAATACGTACCTCATGGAGCAGTTGTGAGCATCAAAAGAGAAGCTGTACATGAAAGCTAGAAGGTCTGGGTCTTATCTCACCATGCTAGATGTAGGCCACTCCCACCACAAGACTCTGCCTCCTGCAACCCTTATCTCACCTCAGCACCTAGCTCTGGGGGTTGTTCTCTTTCCCCTCCCCAAAAGGGCAGCTGCCTCACCTTGGCCTGCAGCTTCCTCACAAGGGTTGCTTGTCTCTGCTGGGCCTCCTGGGAGTTCTTCAGCTTCCGCCAGGAGGCTGCCTGATTCTCTGCCATCTGCTGCTGTAGTGCCAGCACCTGCTCTTCCAGTACCAGCTGCAGTGACTGGGGCTTCATGTTGTTCAACCCAGGGCTTCTTGTCTCCATGAGGGCACCAGGTGGTAGGCCCACAGGTCCCTAGGTAGCCAGAGGGTGTTCACGCCCAGCAGGGTCTCTAACCATTGCCATGCCACTTCAACCTCCTCTTGAACTGGGGACCAAAGCACATAGTCAAATGGAAAGGACTGTTCTTTTACTACACACAAGACTCCTCAGAACCTTTAAAATACTAAAAGGGACCCTCATCTCTGAAGGGCGCTATGATGAGCATCATTCCCCAAATTTAACTGACCATGAGACAAGCTCACAGGACTAGTGTCTCCTGGCATGACTTTTGGAACTCTGCACTAAACCAAGAGCTCCTGGTTTATCACTGCATCCTTAGTTCCTGGCACAGTGGTTCAGAAACATTTGTTGAATGAATCGCTGAAGGTGTTCTTAGTCTAGCAGGGGAAATAGACACAAACTATTACAATACATACAATGTAGCATGTGAAATAATAAGATAATATGAGAAAACAAAGGAAGAGAACCCAGCCTGGGAGCCTGTGAACTGTGTGAATCATCATCATCATTGTTAACACTTGCTGAGTGCTTCTGGAGGGCTGTTGCTTTAAGTGCTTTACATGCATTACGTCATTTTGTTTTTACAAAAATCTTGAAACCTTCCAATGCCTTCTCATTACACTTCACCAAACGTACTATTATAACTCTTTATATATAGATGAGGAAACTGGGGCTTAGAAAGGTTAAAAAACTTGTGCCAGGCCACACAGCTGGCATATGGTTGAGAGAGATTTGAACACAAGTAGTCTATCTGACAAAGAAAAGGGGTAGCAGGCATTTCAGGCAAAGGATCCAAAAGAGAGAAGGAACCAGTGGCAGCAGGATGGCCAAACCCCCTCACCCACCAGGAGCTGGGCCAAAACAGGGCAATGGGCCACCACAGGCAGAGGCGGCCAGCCTAACGGTGACCTTCATCAGAGATACCCAGGACAGGGGAAGGCATGGTGGTAAAGAGTTCTGGGTGTTAGTCCAAGCTCTGCCTCCAATGGGCTCTGTGACCTCAGATGTGCTACTTCCCTCATCCAGAAATGAGGGTATCATGACCTCTGAGTTACTTAGGCCTCTAAAACACACAATTATCCCATAACCTGGGCCAGAGGAAGAGTTCTCTCATTTTATTAACCCTAAGACTCTCACCAGCAGGGCTAAGGAATATCCGTATTTTCAACTACCTATCAACAAAATGGTATATACAGCGAATGCAAACCTAACATTTGCACATACAGTAGAAATTTCAAGGGCCCCAAATCCCTTTAATGCACCAAACTATTGATTTCCCACATCCTGGCTCAAATGCCACGTCCTATCATGTCCTCCCAGATGAACCCAGGAAGAGTTAGTCACTTTTATAGCTATATACACAGAGAGAATACATATGTTCTGATGTCTACTCTACATCTTATCATCATTACTTGTCTATTTTCTCTGCTAATCCATGAGTACCTCAAAGGCAGGAGCTGTCTAATTCATTTTAATTGTAACTTGTCAACAATGTCCAGTGAAGAAATGCATGTGAGCCTCACTCCTGGCAGAGCTAAGCCATAAGCCAGAGATGACAAATCAGTGCCCTGCTAGCTCTTTTCAGCCATTGTGTGGCCCACATAATAGTTTTTAAGAATTCAAATTAGGTGCCAACATTTATCATTGGGAGAATGTACATAAAATCCATATTTCTGGCTCCTTTGGAAAATCAGAATACCCAGTGATGCTTGACCCATATTTCAATAAGGCAACAACCAGCTGCACAGTTGAATAGTGCCTGCCCGTTTAGACAGGGCACGCGCTCCGTGCAGTTGAACAGCGCCTGTCTCCTTTAGACAGGGCGTGTGCTCTGCACAGTTGTATAGTGCCTGCCCCCTTTAGACAGGGCATGTGCTCTCCAGTTCATCATGGCCTCCCCTATGCACACACCGATTCTCTCCCTCACAATGATAGCATATTTCAGTTGTCATTTATCATTGCAACTGTGCTATTGTTTCTGTTATAGTAGCATTAAAGAGGAAAACTCGGCTTACTAATTTACATTACCTCCTGAACAACCGAAGATACTTGAGTTTGCAGAGCCTGTACTAGGCAGTAAGGAAAGTGCATAAAGTAGGGAGAATAGAATGGCACCAATAAAGGTTTGGTGGCACCAGTACTCCAGGCCTCTTCCTAGCCTACGAACCAGGGGAATACAACCTTTCCCCATACTATTACACCCTCCTTTTCAGCCTTTTTGCCAAGGCTGTGTGACCAACTCACCATGGTGCTATGAAATGTTGGCTCTGTTGAGTTCAATGAAGCTCAATCCCTCTCTGCTGGTTGGAGGCACAGATCTTCCAGGAAACTATTCTCTTATCCCAGGATTTCTGCCAACAACTCTACCTACAATAATGTAGATCCAAGTTACTCCAAGGGAACTGAGGAGCCTTTTCTCTCCTAGTATGGTGAGGGCTGAGCCGGGCTTTTGCATGCAGTGGGAGTTTATGAGGTCTCAAAGGCCCCCTCACACTTTGTTGAATCCCTATCCCAAAACATTAGGTTGAACCATATGAAATTGCTAATATTATCCTATTATTATTATTATTTTTAGAGAAAGGATCTAGCTCTGTCACCCAGGCTGGAGTACAGTGGTGCAATCATAGCTCACCGCAGCCTCAAATTCCTGGGCTGAAGGGATCCTCCAGCCTCACCCTTCAGAGGAGCTGAAGATGTGTGCCACCGAGGCTTTTTTTTTTTTTCTTTGGTAGAGACAAGGTTTTGCCATGTTGCCTAAGCTTGTCTCGAACTCCTGGTTTCAGACAGCCACCCCCTGGTCCAAGCCTCCCAAAGCAATGGCATTATAGGTGTGAGCCACCAAGCCCAGCCTCACTCATTACTTTTTATCTACAAAAATGGCAATTTCACATCATTCAACCTAATATCTCTAATAAGCAGTCCTGCCACACATAGTTCCATGAATTCTCATTAAGTTTTCTTTTAGGATATGGCTGTCAGTAACTTGCAAACATGATTTGGCAAGGTGGTATTAGTAATACTTAAGCAAATAAAGAAAATTATATTACAATTATATAATTATTTTACTTTAGCAGATAATTAAAAAATTTTAAAGCTATTTAGAAATTTAGTCCACCCCCCTCATCTTGCAGATAAGGAAACTGAGGCTTGTAGAGATAAAGCAACTTCATTTTGTTTATATTTTTATATGCCCCACTTATCTCAAAAAATGATTTGCATGGCCAGGCACAGTGGCTCACACCTGTAATCCCAGCACTTTGGGAGGCTGAGGCAGGCGGATCACTTGAGGTCAGGAGTTCGAGACCAGCCTGGCCAACACTGTCCAGCCTGGGCGACAAGAGCAAGGCTCCATCTCAAAAAAAAAAAAAAAAAAAAAAAAAAAAGATTTGCATTATAGCAAATATACCATACTAAAAGGGGAGACTGGGTGCAAGGTATACAGGAACTCTCTGTACTATGCAATTTTTCTGTAACCCTAAAATTGTTGTAAAAAATAGTTTTAAAAAATGATTTAAAGTTTTTTAAAACCAAAACAATCCTCATAAAACTAAAATTTATTAAAACAAGAATAAAAGAGAAGAGACAGAGAAAAATTATCTCAGGAATCTTTCTGAAATTCAGATTTCATTCTGAGCTTCCTCAAGACACAGTTCAGCATCCTTTTACAAACACACTGCCAGATCAGATCTGCTAGGAATAAACTAGCAGAGCCCCCAAAGGGAAAGTAAATTTCAATGTGCCTGAGAAAGGGAAAAGAGCAGTAGCTGGCAAACTAACAAATTGGATTACATCTAAATAAGATAATGAGTGTCAGTGTACTTCTAAGCTGTAAACCACTGAGCCAATGTTATCATTACTGCAGGAAAAAGGGAAAGATTCATTTCTTTTGTACATTAATTTATCCCATAAACACTCATGAATTTCAACTCAGTATCAGGAGTCTGCCACAGTGGTACAGAAATGAACAAGACCTACCTTCCTACTTTTGCTAAGGATCAGACAGGGAAGACAGCACCCTTACTAAAGACCAACAGCCACCTGTGAACCTGGAGTGGAAAGTGACAGAAGAGTGAGATAAATTATGTATTTGATCCTCTCTCATCCAAAATACTACAAAAGGAGTATTTAAATAAAGTTTAAAAGAGAAGCAACACTACCACCTAAACTTGGAATAGAGGCATAAATGCTACAAGGACTAAGATGCAGAATGGTATTAAATAGAATTTGTCACTTAAAGCAAAAACAGAAAAATACTTGAGGACACAAACATTTTATTTACTGAGAAAGAAACTACAGTATAGACATTTGTGTACAGACATAATTTGTTTCTTACTCCTGAAAAAAACAAATTAGCATGCAGCTCCTTATTTAAATCTCATGTGGGGCCTCTCTGTTGCTCTCTTCCAACCTCTGGCCTCTCCCACTCAGTCTCCTTTGCTGCCTTTTCTCATCTCCCCAGTATCTAAAGTTTGGAAACCTCAAGGCTTCAGACCTCTTCTCCATCTCCATTAATTTCCAAGGTAATCTCATCCAGTGTTTTGTTTTGTTTTTGAGACAGGATCTGGCTCTGTTACCCAGGCTGTAGTGCACTGGCATGATCTCAGCTCACTGCAACCTCTGCCTCCCCGGTTCAGGCAATTCTCATGTCTCAGCCTCCTGAGTAGCTGGGATTACAAGCATGTGCCACCACGACCAGCTAATTTTTTTGTATTTTTAGTAGAGACAGAGTTTCACCAAGGTGGGAGGATCTCTTGAGGCCAGGAGTTCAAGACCAGCCTGGGCAACACAGGGAGATTCCCATCTCTATTAAAAAAAAAAAAATTGCTGGCTGTGTGGCATTCACCTGTAGTCCCAGCTACTTGGGAAGTTAAGGTGGGAGGGCTGCTTGAGCCAAGGAGTTCGAGGCTGCAGTGAGCTGTGATCACGCCACTGCACTCCAGCCTGGGACAAGATGCTCAAATAAATAAATAAATAAAATACTATCACCTCTCCACATAACACTAGTACTTTTATTTACCTTACCATGCTTTTTCTGTCCCTATCTAATTATTATGTAATATACTTACCAAAATGCAAATTCCACAAGTGCAAAAGCATTGTTTTATCGAATGCTGTATTCCCAGCTCCTACCTAAAACACAGCCTGGTTTATAACAAGTGCCCATTATTACTGACTATTATAGGACATTAGGTAACATGATCCATATTATCACCAATGGTCTTGCAAAATGCTAACAGCTCTATTACCTATATAAAAAGCAAAAAAACAGGCTGGGTGTGGTGGCTCACAACTGTAATCCCAGCACTTTGGGAGGCTGAGTTGGGCAGATCATTTGAGGCCAGGAGTTCGAGACCAGCTTGGCCAACATGGCAAAACCCCATCTCTCCTAGAAATACAAAAATTAGCCAGGCACGGTGGCGGGCGCCTGTAATCCCAGCTACTCAGGAGGCTGAGGCGGGAGAATCGCCTGAACCTGGGAGACAGGATGTTCCAGTGAACCCAGATCGCACCACTGCACTCCAGCCTGGGTGACTGAGACCAGGTCTCAAAAAAAAAAAAAAAAGTGGGGGGAGGCATATAACTTATAGCTTGGTCAGTGGCAGAGCAATGACTGAACCCCAATCTGATTCCAAATTCTACACTCTCTCCATTACATTAGCTGTTAAAGCATGAACATTACATTAGTTAAAGCATGGACTACGAACTCACAGCTCTGTGAGGGGCACTTCTTAAATAGTGAGCGATAATGACACCTATGTCTGCAGCTTTCTGATCGAAAAGGAGCAAAGAAAGATAGAAGAACTAAAGGAACAGAGGGCGTACCAGTAGCCTTGGTTTTGTTGTGACCTCTATAAATCTGGGACCAGTTCTCCTTTCTAAGCCTTCGCGGTAAAATACTGATCACAAGCCTAGCCTCCAATAACTCCCAGGGCCAAAGTAAAGATCAATTCAACAGACGTTGATTAAACCCAAAGGCAATCTAGTCAAGTCATCAAATGCCCTGGGGACAGTTTCCCAGCTCCATCCACTTATTAGTTGTGGGACTCCTGGCAAATTACTTTTTCTATGAATACCTCAGTTTCTTCATGGGTAAAACGTGAAGCTATAGAAAGAACTCACCCCATAGGATTGTTGGGAAGATTAAATAGGCCTTTGGCTGAGCGCGGTGGCTCACGCCTGTAATCCCAGCACTTTGGGAGGCCGAAGCGGGCGGATCACCTGAGGTCGGGAGTTCGAGATCAGCCTGACCAACATGGAGAAACCCCGTCTCTACTAAAAACATAAAATTAGCCGGGTGTGGTGGCGCATGCCTGCAATCCCAGCTACTTGGGAGGCTGAGGCAGGAGAATCGCTTGAACCCGGGAGGCGGAGGTTGAGGTGAGCCGAGATCGCGCCATTGCACTCCAGCCTGGGCAACAAGCGCGAAACTCCGTCTCTAAATAAATAAATAAATGGGCCCTTATGTGTAATGCATTCAGTAGCACCTGACAATTTGTGATCATTCCGTACAGTAAGCCATGACTATTATCATCACGTGCTAGGCCCTGGGATCTAGAGATGAAAAAGGCAAGGCATAACATCTAACGAACGAGCTTACGGTGTCAACGAGGGGCCGGGAAAGTAACTCGGTGCACAGCGAGTGCAAAAACCGAGAAGCGAATGCAGCTGCGCCTGGAGAAGGCGGCTGAGAAGCGATACTTCAGCAGGGTCCTGAAGAATGGGAGCTCCAGAGTCGGGTGGCGGGTGGGACTGGGCTTTCGGATAGATTACGTGCAAATCCGCCAGGACACAGGGAGCGAGGGGCGGGGGGGCGGCAGAGCGCGGCGCCTCACCCTCCCAGCCTGGGATTGCGGCTACTGGACACGAGGGTCGGGAAGCTCTCCTTCGGCGCCGACTGGAGCTTAGCGTGCTGGCGGCAGCAAGAAGCTGAGGCAAGCGGGCCCCGGGCCCTAACGACGCGTCCCAGCCCCTCTCTGGGCCTCGGGTTCCTCCCGGGTAACAAGAGGCCGCTGCCCGAACGGGATTCCCTCAGGCGCCCTAGACGGGCGGGTCTCCGGGCCTCGGACGGTTAACCCGAGCACCTCCCACCTGCCCCTGAGGCCCCACCTCACCACGCTCGGCTCCCGCAGACGCCCGGCTAGTTGCTCCGCGATTGAGCTGCGGCAGCCGCTGCTAAGGCCCTGCGGGGGACGGGGGCGGAGCCCACCCCGAGGCAGAGGGCCAGGCCCCGCCCCCCCAAACTCCCGCCCTTTGGGAGGGGCCCGCCCCTCCAAGTCCTGCACCTATAGGCAGACTGAGCCGGCGCAGGGCCTCCCGCCATGTTGGGTATTGGCAGCCGACTTACTAGAGAGGCCCTGAAGGAAAGGGGGTATTATTTTAAGAATTATAAGATCCCTAGCCAGAAATGGGGACGGTCAGGGTCTCTGGATTCGCGAAAGGGACATTTCGGAAGCAGAAAAGAAAAATTGCCCTCAATCATTTCGCTTTTGGCTTCAGTGTTACATACAGCGCATGTGCAAGGTCACCTGGTTCTAGGTGCGCCTGCGCACAGCTCCACCTACAAACCAGACTACAATTACAACTGCCGAGAAACAAAGGGGCTCGCTGCCACTGGTTAGCGATAATACTGGCAGCGCGACCGGTTTCTGAGGGTTGTTCACCTTGCTGCTCAGACGCTCCGAGAAGCTTCAGGCAGCATAACACTTACAGGCGAGTTACTTACTCAACACTCGGTTTTGTCTGCATGTCTCTGCACAGAGTGTTACCTTTACCTGACTTAATCCGTCCCGGAGCTGCAGTTCTGCTTAAGCCTGACTTCTAGAGAACTTTTTCTTCCCAATAGGACCCATGCGTTATTCCTGTAGCATTTTGTGTATAAATTTTTTTTTTTTTTTTTGAAATGGAGTCTTGCTCTGTCGCCAGGCTGGAGTGCATTGGCACGATCTCGGCTCACTGCAACCTCTGCCTCCCAGGTTCAAGTAATTCTCCTGCCTCAGCCTCCCGAGTAGCTGGGACTACAGGCGCCCGCCACCACGCCCGGCTAATTTTTGTATTTTTAGTAGAGACAGGATTTCACCATGTTGGCCAGGATGGTCTCGATCTCTCTTGACCTCGTGATCCTCCCGCCTCGGCCTCCCAAAGGGCTGGGATTACAGGCGTGAGCCACCGCGCCCGGCCTTGTGTATAAATTGTTAATGCACTTTCTTAGAGTTGTAAACTCCATTTACCTGCCTCACTCTTGCACTCAGTGGTTCTCAATTTTTAGTAGGAATTAAAAACAAAACTGGTAAATGCAGACTCTTGGTTTCCACCCCCAGAGAATCCCTAAACCGGGGGTGGAGTCCAGGAATCTGCATTTTAGAAAGTACCCAGGGTGATTCTGATAATTGGGAACACGTTTTAGGAAGCGCTGCATGAGATTGTGAGCTTGAGCGTAGAGACTGTAATTTGGTCATCTGACTATAGCGCTCAGCACAAGGCCTGGTACAAAATAGGTGCTCAATAAGTGCTGAGTGAATGGGTGAATGAGTGGATAGCTCGAGTGAAACAGCAAGGCTTCAGGTTAATCCACAGCCAAAGGTAACCTGAGAAAGGAACGCTTAAAAGCTATATTTTATCTTTCTCCTGTAAGAACACAAAAAAGATCTTAATAGCTAATTTGAGAAATAGAGAAAGTGGAGAGTAAAAGGGGAAGGAAGGACACGGATTCTGAAAGGCAAACTATCTAGAGAGGGGAAAAGGAACATCTCCAGGCACTAGACAGAGAAAACGATGCAAAGAAGCAGTGGTGTGGGATTCCATCCTAGGGAAATAATCCCACAACAGGCATTGTGCTTGAATGTTCACTGCAACAATATTTGAAATACAAATGAAACAATCTAAATATTATGCACATCAAGCTCTTTTCTGCCTCAGGGCGTTTGCATACACTATGCCAGCTACCTAGACCACTTTTCCCCCAGCTCTTGGCCTAGCTGGTACCTTCCTGTCCTTCAGGTCCCAGCTTAAATGATACTTCCTCAACTAGGTCTTCCCTGACCATGCTATCTAAAGTAATACCCTATACTTTCTAGGATAGTCTTCTGTTTCTTTTCTTTTTGAGACGGGGTCTTGCTTTGTCGCCCAGGCTGGAGTGCAGCGGCGCAATCTCGGCTCACTGCAAGCTCCACCATCCGGGTTCACGCCATTCTTCTGCCTCAGCCTCCCCAATAGCTGGAACCACAGGTGCCCGCCACCACGCCCGGCTAATTTTTTTGTATTTTTAGTAGAGACGGGGTTTCACCGTGTTAGCCAGGATGGTCTTGATCTCCTGACCTCGTGATCCGCCCGCCTCAGCCTCCCAAAATGCTGGCATTACAGGCATGCGCCACCGCACCCGGCCGTCTTCTGTTTCTTTCATAGCACTTTCCATTTATTATTTTGTTTTCCTATTAACATTCCCTCCAAAATTTAAGCTTTGTGTGGATAGGAGACTTATTCCTGGGATTTAGCACAGTCTTACACACATGGTAGGTATCAAGTAAGTGTCCATTGAATGAATGAATCAAGTCAGCCCTAGTGTTACAAAGTTTAATGACATAACATCCATTAGCAAACTAGACAATATTTTTTAAGACTATGAGGAGTCGGCCGGGTGCGGTGGCTCACGCCTGTAATCCCAGCACTTTGGGAGGCTGAGGTGGGCAGATCACCTGAGGTTGGGAGTTCAATACCATCCTGACCAACAGGGAGAAACCCCATCTCTACTAAAAATATAAAATTAGCTAGGCGTGGTGGCGCATGCCTGTAATCCCAGCTACTCGGGAGGCTGAGGCAGGAGAATCACTTGAACCCGGGAGGCGGAGGTTGCGGTGAGCCGAGATTGCACCATTGTGCTCTAGCCTGGGCAACAAGAGCGAAAGTTCATCTCAAAGAAAAAGACTATGAGGAGTAAACAGGTTTCAGACTACCAAGATATACCAAACCAAATAGTAATCTTTGATGTTTGTAAAGGGGGATTCATTCCCTTATTTATTCATTTACCCAGTGGACATTTATTGAGCATTGATTATGTTCTAGTATTGAATAATAATACAATGTAGTAAGGACAAGTTGGAAATTGTATTAAAACATAATAATGTAGTACAACTGGATATTATCTGAGCCAAAGCCCAAAGTGGAATTAGCTGGTGTGTGAAACAGGGATGGGCAGGGGTGGGTGGGAATGGTTTTGAGATGAGACTTCCACCTCAGATCATCAGGCATTAGATTCTCATGAGTGTGTAACCTAGATCCCTTGCATGCACAGGTCTCAATAAGATTTGCCTCCTATGAGAATCTAATGCTGCTGCTGAACTGACAGGAGGTGGAGCTCAGGTGGTAATGCTCGCTTATCTGCTCAACTCCTACTGTGCTGCCAGGGTCCTAACAGGTCACAGACTGATAGTAGTCCATGGCCTGGGGGATTAGAAACCCCTGCCCTAGTGGTTCTGTAGGCATAAGAGTACACCACATCAGTCTTACACAACCTGCAGATGGCTGGGTGCAGTGGCTCACGCCTGTAACCCCAGCACTTTAGAAGGCCAAGACAGGTGGATCACTTGGGCCCAGGAGTTGGAGACCAGCCTGGGCAACATAGTTAGACCTTGTCTCTACAAAAAAATAAAAAAATGAGGTGAGAGGATTGCTTGAGCCCAGGAGGTCGAGGCTGCAATGAGCCGTGATGGCCCTACTGCACTCTAGCCTGGGTGACAGGAGTAAGACCCTGTCTCGAAAAAAAAAAAAAAAGGAAAAAAAAACAGAAAAAAAACGCATTCTGCAAACTGCATGGAGCATTTGAGACGTACAAACAGGTGTTCCTACCTATCACCTGGCTTGGGGCCCAAGAGTCCTATAAAGACTTAAACCAGACAATTCAAGTCTGATCATGTTCAGACCTGTCTGATGAACCAGACTGGGGAGTTCTCAAAGGAGGCTGGATTGGAGGGAAAGGCAATGGATGAGTTGAAAGAAAATCAACCCTGGTCCCTGCCAGGTGAGGGGAACGGTTTCTTCCTTTATATCCTAAATTCCATCTCTAGAAATATGCCTTGTACTCAAACCCTCTCTGAGGGCTATAATATGGATCTTTCCTACACCCAGCCTTGCTCATTATTTATACATATTCCTCCTAGCCCATGCCAAGAGGCCGTCTGGACTAACTGAATTAAAAAATATATATATATATGTATGTGAAATTTCAAAATGAGGTGCTAAATCACTACATATATATTTGTGTATATATATATATATATATATATATATATTTTTTTTTTTTTTTTTTTTTTTCTGTTAGTCTAAAATCTGTTTGAAAGTTCCTAAATCCCTTATCCCAATATAAAGGGGTCTGCAGGTGGAGGATAGATAATTTGTGTGGAGATATTTCTGGCTATGAGTCCCCATTCCTCCTTGGGGAAGATTAAGAGGACATTACTTTTAACCGCTCAAACCAAGTGACTAGGAGAGGGGGCTTCCATGAGAATCTGAGATGCAGAATCCATACCATTGCACTTAGGGAGTATCGTGACCAGGATATGCTTCCTGCCTGTGAACTCTAGCAAGAAGAGACAAGCCTGCTGACTATTAGGTCCTGTTCAGTAGGGCTTCCTGGAGGTATAAAGGGACCCCAGGAACAAGAAGCTAGACAAATGGCCATTAATAGATGCCTTTGCTAAGGGAACTGCAGGAGAGGGGCCAGTAGGGAACCCCTGAAGAGTGTATAAAAGCACCCCATGATGCTTTGATGATGGATAGAGATGGCTATAAACATCTGCGAGGCCCAGAAAGCACTAAGCCAGCTATTACACTGGTTCAAAGAAGACTTTTCCCACCCCCATCTTCCTCTCCATGTTAACATGGAGACATGTTGAGTGACTAAAGTGAGCTGAGGATGACAGAGAGGGAAAAATAGAGGGAAAAAAAGTCAACCACTTTCCTCTTTCTTTCTCACTGCAAGGTAACAGTCTGGAGCACCAAAACGATAGTCTCTTGCTGCTGTTCCTCTGAGTCCATTCTTTTTTTTTTTTTTTACAGAGTCTCACTTTGTAGCCCAGGCTGGAGTGCAGTGGCACGATCTTGGCTCATTGCAACCTCCGCCTCCTGGGTTCAAGTGATCCTCGTGCCTCAGCCTCCTGAGAAGCTGGGATTACAGGCGCCCACCACCACCACACCCAGCTTTTTTTTTTTTTTTCAGTAGAGATGGGGTTTCACCATGTTAGCGAGGCTGGTCTTGAATTCCTGACCTCAAGTGATCCGCCCACCTCGGCTTCCCAAAGTGCTGGGATTACAGGCGTGAGCCGCGACGCCCGGCCCATTCTCTCTCTCTCTCTTTTTTTTTTTTTAAGAGACAGGGTTTTGCTCTTTCACTCAGGTTGGAGTGCAGTGATTTGATCATAGCTCACTGCAGCTTCAATCTCCTGGGCTCAAGCGATCCTCCTGGCTCAGCCTCCCGAGTAGCTAAGACTATAGGCCTGTGCCACCAGTCCTGGCTAATTTGTTTAAAAATTTTTTTGTAGAGATGGGGACTCACTGTGTTGTCCAGGTTGGTCTTGAATTCCTGGCATCAAGCAATGTTCCTACTTTAGCCTCCCAAAGTGCTGGGATTATAGGCTTGAGCTGCCGCGCTGAAGTTCCATTCATTCATTATTTTTAAAATATTGATTGAGCACCTACTGTGTGCCAAAAGTTGAGTTATGCACTGGGAGGGACCCAAAGAACAATAATAAATGAACTCTGTCCAGAGCCTCTGTTCACAAACTCACATGGCAGGCAAGCAAGTAAAGAAATAGTTCACACACACACAGTGTAGTAAATTCTATAAAGAGGGAGCAGCTGGCTACACAGCATCAGGCCACTATGACTTGTTTGTGAAGGATAAAAACGCTAAAATTAGCCAGGTGTGGTGGTGCACTACTGTAGTCCCAACTATTCTGGAGGCTGAGGTAGGAAGGATCGCTTGAGCCCAGGAGGTTGAGGCTGCAGTGAGCTGTGTTCAAGCCACTGCACTCCAACCTGGGCAACACAGCAAGACCCTGTCTCAAAAAAAAAAAATGCTAAGCAGACAAGCCAGGCATGGTGGCATGTGGCTGTAGTCCCACCCACTCAAGAGGCTGAGTCAGAAGAACCTCTTGAGCTTAGGAGTTTGAGACCAGCCTGGGCAGCATAGCAAGACCCCATCTCAAAAAAAAATGCTAAGCAAAGTGGCAGGGGTGGGGTGGTGGCGGGGATTCCAAGCAGCATGTGCAAAGGCACAGCAGCATGCTAGAGCATGGGATGTGTTAGGAATGCCGGACACTCCTCTTGCTGATGCCACCATCTGGTTGAATTGTGTCAATCTCCCTAGTTGGATTCCCTTTGTCAGCTGGATATTTTCTCCCTGGTCCTGACCCCGCCTCAGTAGGCAGTTCTTATTCCAGTCCTAGCCCCCTCTCACTCACTAAGTCAGGCTCGAAGTGACCAGCGTACCCAAGCTTGAGATTCTTGAAGTGGATGACATCTTTTCACTATCACTCAGGGCTTGGGCAATAAAGGATGTCCAGTCACAGTTCCCACAGGACCAGGTCCTCTCCTTCCTCAAAAATGGGCCCTTGGTCAGGCCTGATGGCTCATGCCTGTAATCCCAGCACTTTGGGAGGTGGAGGCAAGTGGATCGCTTGAAGCCAGAAGTTTGAGACCAGCCTGGCCAACATGGCGAAACCCTGTCTCTACTAAAAATACACAAATTAGCCGGGCCTGGTGTCGTGCACCTGTGATCCCAGCTGCTCGGAAGGCTGAGGCACAAGAATCGCTTGAACCTGTGAGGAGGAGGTTACAGTGAGCCAAGATTGCTCCACTGCACTCCAGCCTGGGTGACAGAGTGAGACAAAAAAAAAAAAAAAAAAAAAGTCGGGGGGGCCCTTAACTATATATATATATATATTTTTTTTTTTTTTTTTGAAAAAAACAAAAAGTCCCGTAGCCAGGACTACAGATGTGCACCACCGCGTCCAGCTTGCCTTATGTTCTTGAGCAACCCTCTTTCCCTTTCTGAGCCTCAAATTCCTCAGCTGCAATATGGGGATAACAGTACTTACCAGCTAGGGTTCTTATACACAAAGTGGGAATTAGAATTAGATGGAGGGAAGGAGGAGTGGAGGAGTCCAGCAAGGATCTGAGATTTCTGAGCTCAAGAATGACAACAAGGTTTCCAGTGATTAGAGAGGTTTCCTGTGATTAGAGAGATTGGGGTGTGAGGGGAGAGGGGAACTTTCTCTTTTAACTTTATAAACTTTGGTATTATTTGAATATTTTTACAATGAACATGATTTAATTTTATAATCAAATATATTTGGTATGAATATCATGCATCGATAAAAAGGTGTTTAAATTTTTTTTTTATTTTATAGAGACGGGCTTGTGCCATGTTGCTCAGACTGATCTCCAACTCCTGGGCTCAGGCAGTTTTCCCGCCTCAGCCTCCCAAAGTGCTGGGATTACAGGCATGAGCCACCGTGCCCTGCCTAATAAAGTTTTTAAAAAGCTGATGTTACTATATTGTGTGGAAAGTCATCTAGGAGACTGATCAGAGTTGTTGCTTCTGGGGAGGACTGAAAGACCCAGGGTCTGGGGTGGGAGGAAAATATTTTCTTTTGCATTCTTTTCTACTGTTTGAATTTTTAAAATCATGAATTCATATTACTTTTCTTCCTAATATGTATGACTTTTTATAAGTTTTAGAATTATTTTAAAAATAAAAATATTTTCTAGAATAAATATGTAAAACATGTGGTTATTTTATTCACACCCCTCTACCCACAACAGACAGACACACGCAACACTCACATACAATTTCCAGCTTCAGATTGTAGTACAGGTATTTGCAGCCCAGGGAAGGAATTTGATTGACTTATGGACAGAAGGCCCAGAGACACTCAACTCTAGCAAGGTGCAGCTCCCGAGTATCCCAGCAGGGGGAGCCCTTGAGAGCGCGTCCTGAGCAGTGGCCACTGCTGCGGAGTCTAGAAAAGAAACCAGGTTTTCATTGTTAAATTCCCACCTATGAGTGAGAACACGCGGGAATTGAACAATAAGAACACTTGGACACAGGAAGGGGAACATCACACACCGGGGCCTGTTGTGAGGTGGGGGGAGGGGGAAGGGGTAGCATTAGGAGATATACCTAATGTAAATGACGAGTTAATGGGTGCAGCATACCAACGTGGCACACGTATACATATGTAACAAACCTTCACATTGTGCACATGTACCCTAGAACTTAAAGTATAATAAAAAAATTTTAAAAAAACATATGTAACAAACCTGCATGCTGTGCACATGTACCCTAGAACTTAAAGTATAATAATAATAAAAAAGAAAAGAAAAGAAACCAGGTTTGCGGCGCGGGTGAGTGTAGGCAGAGGCGGCTCTGCTCTTGCTGGGATTCTCGGGTTGGGACAGGCAGTCCCCACAGATTAGAAGGAGCACAGATGAAAAGGGAAGGGACTCTGGGCTTTCCTCCCTGCCAGCTCCTAACCTGTAGGGTGGTCAGTCCTCTCTTTACGTGGGAAGGGCACTGGATTCAGAATTAGGGTCTTGGGTTGAATTCTAGCTCGGTCGTCTTTAGCTGTGTGAACTTGTGCCGATCACTTAACTACTCAGAGGCTTAATTTCCTCATTTATGAAACAAGGACAATATTAACAGTGGAATCTTTTTTAAAAAAACAAAACAAAACAAAACTGTAATTTATGATTAGCCAGGTGCAGTGGCTTGCACCTGTAGTCCCAACTACTCAGGAGGCTGAGAAGGGAGGATCACTTGAGCTCAGGAGTTCGAGGCTGCAGTGAGCCGAGATCTCACCACTGCACTCCTGCCTGGATGACAGAGTGAGACCCTGTCTCAAAAAAAAAAAAAAAAAGCAATAAATAAAATTATAATTTATGAAGCACATACTGTATTTTGGTCATTGAAAGGTACTTTACATATATAAACACATTAATTCTTATAACCACTCTGTGATACAAGTTTTTTTTTGTTGTTGTTTTTGAGACGGAGTTTCGCTCTTGTTGCCCAGGCTGGAGTGCAATGGCTGGATCTCAGCTCACTGCAACCTCTGCCTCCTGGGTTCAAGCAATTCTCCTTCCTCAGACTCCCAAATAGCTGGAATTACAGGTGCCTGCCACCACATTCAGCTATTTTTTTTGTATTTTTAGTAGAGACGGGGTTTCACCATGTTGGCCAGGCTGGTCTCAAACTCCTGACCTCAGGTAATCTGCCCACCTCAGCCTCCCGAAGTGCTGGGATTACAGGTGTGAGCCACCACACCTGGCTTATTTATTTTATTTTATTGTTTTATTTTTATTTATTTATTTTTATTATTATTTTTTGAGACAGAGTTTTGCTCTTGTTGCCCACGCTGGAGTGCAATGGCGCGATCTCAGCTCACTGCAACCTCCGCCTCCCGGGTTCAAGCAATTCTCCTGCCTCAGCCTCCCGAATAGTGGGATTACAGGCATGCACCACCACACCCAGCTAATTTTGTATTTTTAGTAGAGATGGGGGTTTCTCCATGTTGGTCAGGCTGGTCTCGAACTCACAACCTCAGGTGATCTGCCCGCCTCAGCCTCCCAAAGTGCTGGGATTACAGGCATGAGCCACCATGCCCAGCCTATTTTTTTATTTTTTTGTTTTTTGAGATGGAGTCTCACCCCGTCGCCCAGACTGGAGTGCAATGGTGCTATCTCAGCTCACTGCAACCTCCGCTTCCTGGGTTCAAATGATTTTCCTGCCTCAGCCTCCCGAGTAGCTAGGATTACAGGTGCCCGCCACCATGCCCAGCTAATTTTTGTATTTTTAGTAGAGTCAGAGTTTCACCATGTTGGCCAGGCTGGTCTCGAACTTCTGAATTTGTTATCTGCCCCGCCTCTGCCTCCCAAAGTGCTAGGATTACAGGCGTGAGCCACTGCACCCGGCCAGTTTTTTTTATTTTTATAGAGACAGGTCTTGCTATGTTGCCCAGGCTGGTCTCGAACTACTGGGCTCAAGCAATCCTCCCATCTCAGACTCCCAAAGTGCTGAGATTATAGGTGTGAGCCAAGTATGTTTTTACCGGTTTGCCCAGCTAGGTATATCGTTATTATTCCCATTTTATACATGAGGAAACTGAGGCAGGGAGAGATGAAATAATTTGCTTGAGATTACATAGCTGATAAATGGGGGGAACCAGGATTTGAAGGTGAGTGACTTAGCTCTTAATCATTATTTCACTACTCTCCTGCTTAAAACATCCCATTGGGTTCCCAGTGCACTAAAAGTAAAATCCAGGCCAGGCACGGTGGCTCACACCTGTAATCCCAGCGCTTTGGGAGGCTGAGGCGGGTGGATCACCTGAAGTCAGGAGTTTGAGACCAGCCCAGCCTGACCAATATGGTGAAACCCCATCCCTACTAAAAATACAAAAATTAGACGGGGTGCGGTGGCCCATGCCTGTAATCCCAGCACTTTGGGAGGCCTAGGTGGGCAGATCAGGAGGTCAGGAGTTCGAGACCAGCCTGGCCAACATGGTGAAAACCTGTCTCTACTAAAAATACAAAAATTAGCTGGGCATGGTGACGGGCACCTGTAATCCCAGCTACTTGGGAGGCTGAGGCAAGAGAATCGCTTGAAACCAGAAGGCGGAAGTTGCAGTAAGCTGAGATCACACCATTGCACTCCAGCATGGGCAACAGAGCAAGACTCTTGTCTCAAAAAAACAAAAGAAAAAGAAAAGAAAATCCAGCTCCCTTTCCAGGGCTTATAAGGCCATACAAGATGTGGTTCTGGCATGATCTGACCTCACCTCCTGCCACTGCCCCCTTCGCTCACTCTGCTTCAGCCACACCAGCTCCTCCTTACCTCAGATGTACCAAGTGCAAAGGCCTCAGGGCCTTTGCAACTGCTGTTCCCCCCACCTGGAATGCTTGTCCTCCAGACTTCAGTATGTCTCGTTTTCTCACTACATCTGGGTCTCTGCCCAAACATCACCCCCTCAAAGGGCATTCCTTGCTAAAATAGACACCTCTTTGACCCTGCTTAATTTTTCTTCACAGCACTTAGCATTCTCTTATGTGTTTGTTCCTCTGTCTCTTCCACCAGAATGTGAGAAGAGACAAACAAACGCATAAGAGAAATTTCAGATAAAACACTTGGTTTGTCTTGTCCATGGCTAGATACCCAGAACTCTACCTGGGGCCCATCCCATGGTAGGCACCCAATAAATGTTTGCTGAATAGTTAAGTAGATAAAGAAATGAATACCCAACATCACCCAATTGGCAAATGGCAGAACTGGAACACTGCATTGTCTGGTCCCAGCGCCTGTTCTCTCAGCTGCTGTGCTGTGCAGGACTGACTCCCGGAGAGATCTCGGGAGGTTCGGATAGCATCATGAATGGGAAGCCATTTTGAAAATTGACAAGTGCTTGAAAAAGGGATTATTATTATTATCACTCAGTTCACTGTTTACTCATCTGGAGACACAATAAAAAAGGGATAATAATAATCTGGCCGGCCGGCGCAGTGGCTCACGCCTGTAATCCCAGCACTTTGGGAGGCTGAGGTGGGTGGATCATTTGAGGTCAGGAGTTCGAGACCAGCCTGGCCAGCATGGTGAAACCCTGTCTCTACTAAAAATACAAAAATTAGCCAGGGGTGGTGGCGCATGCCTGTAGTCCCAGCTACTTGGGAGGCTGAGACAGGAGAATCGCTCGAACCTGGGAGGCAGAGGTTGCAGTGAGCCGATATCATGCCATTGCACTCCAGCCTGGGCAACAGAACTAGACTCTGTCTCCAAAAATAATAATAATAATAATAATAATCTGGCCAACTGACTTTATAAGGATGGTTTATGGAACAGCAATGAGACAATGGATGGGGAAACATAAAAGCAAAAGGCTCTACATGGCAGAAGGGGCTGCAGAGATTACTTCCATGTCAGTGGCTTCCCAAGGCTCCCATCCTCTACCTCAAGTTTGACATTAATATTGCTGACAGGAGAGGGGGAGGTTGGGGGACACGGGGGACCCAGGGACGCTGTGTCCCAGTAATTAAACATGTCGGGACTGAAGCACTGCCAGCGGCAGCATCTGGTTGCAATTACCAGAGGGAACCAAAGTGATTAGTCACCTTTATAGTGAGAGCCAGGCAGGAACCCTGGGCTCCTCTCTGGAGAGGGCCTTCTAACCAAGCTCAGAGTCCCCTTTCCCTGCTCCCAGCCCATTTCTGGGAGTTCCCTGTTCCTCAAACAATAGCCCTGGCCTCGAGACTCCTCCATGTCCCCAAAGTCCCAGCCCACTGGGTTAGACGTTGACTGAAAGGAATACTGTAACTTTCCCCAGTGCCCTATCACTTCTAGTGTTTCTAGGGGCCAGATTAGGCTTTTTGGGTATAAAATGTGTTGAAGCCAAAATTAGATTTAAAAAATAATTTAACCTTTCTGAACCTAAATTTATTTATCTTTAAAATGAGAGTATTGGGCCAGGCATGGTGGCTCATGCCTGTAATCCTAGCACTTTGGGAGGCCGAGGTGGGCAGATCACTTGAGGTCAGGAGTTCGAGACCAGCCTGGCCAACATGGTGAAACCCCCGTCTCCACAAAAATACAAAAAATTAGCCGGGCGTCTTGGTGCGCATCGGTAGTCCCAGCTACTTGGGAGGCTGAGGCAGGAGAATCACTTAAACTGGGAGGCAGAGGTTGTAATGAGCTGAGATTGAGCCACTGCACTCTTCACTCTAGCCTAAGTGACAGAGCAAGACTCTGTCTCAAAAAAAAAAAAAAAAAAAGACGGGTATCAAGAGTTACCTTCGGGCTGGGCACGGCGGCTGATGCCTGTAATCCCAGCACTAGGGGAGGCCAAGCCACATACAGAGACATTGTGGTTGTTCAACTCGTTCATTTATTCACTCTCTGAGCTTACAAAATGCTTTTTTGTGGATCACCTGAGGTCAGGAGTTGGGACCAGCCTGGCCAACATGGTGAAACCCCATCTCTACTAAAAATACAAAAATTAGCTGGGCGTGGTGGTACACATCTGTAATCCCAGCTACTCAGGAGGCTGAAGCAGGAAAACCCCTTGAACCCAGGAGGCGGGGGTTGCAGTGAGCTGAGATTGCGCCACTGCACTCCAGACTGGGTGAGAGAGCGAGGCTCCATCTCAAAAAAATAAAAAAAGTTACTTTCGGCCACATGTGGTGATTCACACCTGTAATCTCAGCACTTTGGGAAGCCAAGGCGGGCAGATCACTTGAGCCCAGAAATTTGAGACCAGCCTGGGCAACATGGTGAGACCCTGTCTCTACAAAGAATACAAAAATTAGCTGGGCATCGTGATGTGCACCTGTAGTCCTAGCTACTTGGGAGGCTGAGGTGGGAGGATCACCTGAGCCCCATGATCACGCCATTGCACTCCAACCTGGGCAACAGGTAAGACCCTGTCTCAAAAAACAACAATGAAAACCACTACCTTCATAGCATTGTCATGAAGATAAATAACACATAAATGCAATGGAGTACAAAACCCAGAGTCTAGTTGACTGGAATAAGTGCTTTAAAAAAAATAGCTATTATTGGCCGGGTATGGTGGCTTACACCTGTAATCCCAGGACTTTGGGAGGCCGAGGCAGGCAGATCACAAGGTCAGGAGATCGAGACCATCCTGGCTACCACAGTGAAACCCCATCTCTACTAAAAATACAAAAATTAGCCGGGCGTGGTGGCACGCACCTGTAGTCCCAGCTACTTGGGAGGCTGAGGCAGGAGAATCACTTGAACCCGGGGGGTGGAGGTTGCAGTGAGCCAAGATCATGCCACTGTACTCCAGCCTGGGTGACAGAGTGAGACTCCATCTAAAAAAAAAAAAAAAAAAAGCTATCATTAACAATTGCCATTAATAGTTGATCACTTTATGCAATTTAATTTTATTTATTTTTTTAGTAGAGACAGGGTTTCACCATGTTAGCCAGGATGGTCTTGATCTCCTGACCTCGTGATCCACCTGCCTCGGCCTCCCAAAGTGCTGGGATTACAGGCGTGAGCCACTGCGCCTGGCCGCAATTTACTTCATTGAATCTCCAACAAGAGTCCTGTGAGGTAAGCACTATCGTTATCACTGTTTAGAGTTTCAGAGGGGTTTAGAGGCTTCCCAAGATCACACAATACATAAATAGCAGAACCAAGCTTCAAAACCAGGTCTGTTTGTCTCCAGAATCCTTGCTCTTTATCAAGCCACGTACAGAGACATTGTGGTTGTTCAACTCATTCATTTATTCACTCTCTGAGCTTACAAAATGCTTAAGAAGTGGCAAGACAATTCTTCCCTTCAAGAAACTTAGAGTCTAATGGGAAAGGCAGGTTATGTCCACAAATAACTACACCTCAAAGTAGAAAATGATGATTTTTGTCAATAAGGGCCAGTTAGAGATTAATTTATTCATATAACACGTACTGAGAGCTGCTGTGGGCTGGGCCCTCTGCCAAGCACTGGGTATAATTCAAAGATAAATATGGCACAGTCTAGTCATAATCTAATGGGAGAGACAGGTATGTAAAGAAATTATTATAGTTATAAGGAATTAAGTTATGATTTTAAAATATGACAAAATACAGAGTGGAAGAAACAAACTGTGTTGGGATAGGGGGCAGAGGCAGAGACTGAATAAACTTTCAGCTGCCAAAAAATGTAAAAGAGCACAGAAAATGTGTGATGGCAGCTCAGGGGGAGTGTGCATTTTCTGGAGGATGCAAGAAGGCTTCATGGAGGAGGTGGCACGTGGGTTGGCACTTGTTTGATGGGTAGCTTTTAGTAGAGGGTTGAACCAGAGAGAGCCTGGAGGCCTAGAAGCCAGTTATAGGGGAGAATCATAGCGAGGCAAGCAATGAGGAGGACAGGGCAGTGACAGAGGTGGTGAGGAGGGAGTGAAGGGAGGGATGCCAGAGAGGACTGGTTCAGTGGGAACAAGTCTGTTTTTAATTTTTTTATTTTATTAATATTATTTATTTACTTATTTTGTGTGTGTGTGATGGACTCTAGCTCTGTCACCTAGGCTGGAGTGCAGTGGTGCGATCTCGGCTCACTGCAACCTTTGCCTCCACACCCGGCTAATTTTTTGTATTTTTGGTAGAGATGCCTGCAATCCCAGCACTTTGAGAGGCCAAGGTGGGTGGATCACTTGAGGTCAGGAGCTCGAGACCAGACTGGCCAACATGGTGAAACTCCGTCTCTACTAAAAATACAAAAAATAGATAGGCATGGTGGTGTGCACCTGTAGTCCCAGCTACTCGAGAGGCTGAGGCAGGAGAATCGTTTGAACCCAGGAGGTGGAGATTACAGTGAGCCAAGATCGCACCACTGCACTCCAGCCTAGGTGACAGAGTGAGACTCTGTCTCAAAAAAAAAAAAAAAAAAAAAAAAAAGAAGGAAGCCTATCTGACTATTGCTTCTCCCCCGCCATCCTTCTTACAGCGTGAAAAGTGTTGTTGTAGAGAAATGTACAGAAGGGGTAACTGGCTCTGTCTGGGGACGAGGAAAGGCTTCCCGAAGGAGGTAAATTTTCAGCTAAACTTCTCAGGATGTAGAGTGCTTCCTCCAGTTGTGGGAGAGAGAGAGGAGGATATTTCAGGTGAAGCGAACAGCTTTCCCCGCTGACCCTGTGTTAAGTTGCCCAGGGGCTCTACGGCGAAGGTTCCCCAGAGGAAGGGATCTTCCATACTTCAATGAGGCACTTTAAGAAACCCTTGAGTTCAGCTGGAATTCAGACCTTCCAGAGCTACCAGAAAAACATCATGTGGGAAATTGTGCCCGGCGCGGTGGCTCACGCCTGTAATCCCAGCACTTTGGGAGGCCGAGGCGGGCGGATCACGAGGTCAGGAGATCGAGACCATCCTGGCTAACATGGTGAAACCCCATCTCTACTACAAACGTAAAAAATCAGCCAGGTGTGGTGGCAGGGGCCTGTAGTCCCAGCTACTGGGGAGGCTGAGGCAGGGGAATGGCGTGAACCTGGGAGGCAGAGATTGCAGTGAGCTGAGATCATGCCACTGCACTCGACAGAGCGAGACTCCGTCTCAAAAAAAAAAAAAAAAAAAGCGTCATGTGGGAAATGGCTTTTCCAGCCTCCTGTAGGGGCCGCTGCTGCCCCAGACTCAGCCAGTCTTGTCTAAGAAAACTCAGAGGACGTCTCTGCTGGGGTGGTGGTGGGGTACACCCTGGACCTGCCGCCATCCAAGGAGTGAACTTAAGGGCGACAGTGCCCCCAAGCCTGAAGAATATGCACTCAGTCAATGGCATTTGGGGGTAGGGAGGGGGTGTAGTGGGCACTGATATTTTTCAGTCTCTGGGTCACCACAAGTTTATTAAAATAAAAGAAAATGTGGGTAAATGCTGCCATCTGTGCTGTCCCTACTCCCAATACACACACACAGGCACACACACACACAGGCACACACACACACAGGCACATAAACACACACACACACACACACACACACACACACACACGCATAACAAATCAGGTCCCAGACTAGATGCAGGAGTTGAAACTGCTTTAAAAACACTCTAAGAACTTAACTACAAACCCACACTCCCCATGCTTCTGGGGCTTAAGATCTTTGAGCTCATTCTTCAGCATCTCTCCTCGGGAAAGTGGGGTGGGCTGCTCCATGAGGTGGAGGTGAAGACCCCTGAGTCTGCCCTGTGGAGGGGGAGGCCCCCTAAGCCTAGAGTCCCGCTGCAGGGCTCTGTGCCAGGAGCCCCCGTGAGCCATGGCCTCGAAAGGGCAGCGGTGATTTTTTTCACATAAATATATCGCACTTAAATGAGTTTAGACAGCATGACATCAGAGAGTAATTAAATTGGTTTGGGTTGGAATTCCGTTTCCAATTCCTGAGTTCAGGTTTGTAAAAGATTTTTCTGAGCACCTGCAGGCCTGTGAGTGTGTGTGTGTGTGTGTGTGTGTGTGTGTGTGAAGTATTTTCACTGGAAAGGATTCAAAACTAGGGGGAAAAAAAAACTGGAGCACACAGGCAGCATTACGCCATTCTTCCTTCTTGGAAAAATCCCTCAGCCTTATACAAGCCTCCTTCAAGCCCTCAGTCAGTTGTGCAGGAGAAAGGGGGCGGTCGGCTTTCTCCTTTCAAGAACGAGTTATTTTCAGCTGCTGACTGGAGACGGTGCACGTCTGGATACGAGAGCATTTCCACTATGGGACTGGATACAAACACACACCCGGCAGACTTCAAGAGTCTCAGACTGAGGAGAAAGCCTTTCCTTCTGCTGCTACTGCTGCTGCCGCTGCTTTTGAAAGTCCACTCCTTTCATGGTTTTTCCTGCCAAACCAGAGGCACCTTCGCTGCTGCCGCTGTTCTCTTTGGTGTCATTCAGCGGCTGGCCAGAGGATGAGACTCCCCAAACTCCTCACTTTCTTGCTTTGGTACCTGGCTTGGCTGGACCTGGAATTCATCTGCACTGTGTTGGGTGCCCCTGACTTGGGCCAGAGACCCCAGGGGACCAGGCCAGGATTGGCCAAAGCAGAGGCCAAGGAGAGGCCCCCCCTGGCCCGGAACGTCTTCAGGCCAGGGGGTCACAGCTATGGTGGGGGGGCCACCAATGCCAATGCCAGGGCAAAGGGAGGCACCGGGCAGACAGGAGGCCTGACACAGCCCAAGAAGGATGAACCCAAAAAGCTGCCCCCCAGACCGGGCGGCCCTGAACCCAAGCCAGGACACCCTCCCCAAACAAGGCAGGCTACAGCCCGGACTGTGACCCCAAAAGGACAGCTTCCCGGAGGCAAGGCACCCCCAAAAGCAGGATCTGTCCCCAGCTCCTTCCTGCTGAAGAAGGCCAGGGAGCCCGGGCCCCCACGAGAGCCCAAGGAGCCGTTTCGCCCACCCCCCATCACACCCCACGAGTACATGCTCTCGCTGTACAGGACGCTGTCCGATGCTGACAGAAAGGGAGGCAACAGCAGCGTGAAGTTGGAGGCTGGCCTGGCCAACACCATCACCAGCTTTATTGACAAAGGGCAAGGTGAGGGGGCGGGGTGGCAGGGGCACGGCTCAGAGGGAGGGGCATCTGCATGAATGGAGGGGCTTTCAAAGCCCTGGCACTGCCCTGGTGGGAGACACTGTGTGCATCTGGCCCGGGGTGGGTGTCTGGGGACACTGACACATATCTCACACATAGCAGATCCTAGGCTGCCCACACATCAGGGCTGGAGGGCACCTAGGAAGCACCAGGTCCAACGCCTGCAAGGTGCAGAGTGGGCACTAAAGCCTAGAGAAGAGACAAGACCTGCCAGTTCGTGGCAGAGTTGGAGACCAGATTCCGAGACTTGATTGCTCAGTTGTGCATCTGTACCTGCTGGGCTGGCCGAACTTTCCAAGCTTCACAGGTTTGTAGGCGGTCTCAGACGGCAGAGAAAGAAATGAATCTTGAGGTCCCCATGCTTCTGCAACTTTGCCCTCAGGCAAGGGGATAGAGGAGGCAAGAGAGGTGCACACAGTAAATGGGGCATCTTGGAGTCATGGAATGATGTTCAGATACATGGGGAGGGAGCAGACCCAGGGCCTAACTCGCAGTATGACCTTGGGAAAGCTCCTTCTCACTTGGGGTCTCCGTTTTCCCATCTGTACACCTATATGGGGTTGGACAGGGTGGTTTCTGAGAGCCCTTCCAACATGAAAACTTTAGATGCTGTCCTGAACATGCCTCATTCTCCTCATTAACTCCAGAGACTACCTGCTCCCCTCTGTCTCTCTCGGCCCACCTAATGTTACTGTTGCAGCTTTTCCTCTCCACTTGCTGTGTGATCTAAGCAAGTCCCTCCCCCTCTCAGGGCCTCAGTTTCTTCCTAGTGTGAAGAGGGAGGTGGGCTGTTGGTCGCTCAAGTTGCCTGCAGCTCATTTGCTCTGGTCCTAGGCTGGCAGGGTGGGGGAGGGGTCAGAGGGTGGGAGAGGCTCCTCATTAGAGCTGGCCTGGAGGGGGCTGCCAGGGGGCGGGGGAGGCACAGAGGCAGCAGGTCTGGCTGAGGTGGGGGAGGTGGTCTGGCTGCCTGCCCAGCCAGGGAAAGCTGTGACCCCTTGGGGGCTCATAAAATAAGTCCGTGTGCCCCCCAGCACTAAGGGAGCTTGGAGAGGGGGAGATGGGGAGTTTAAAGGCCTAATTAGTCACCTTCTAGAGCAATATATGAAAGCTCCCCAATGGCAAATTGCAATTTAGGAAGGAGGGCATGCTGATTCGGAGATACTACTGAGCTTCTCACATACACATACATAGCCTTATGTTTATACACACATGCTGAATCACACATGTACATGCATGCTGACTCACACACACACGTGCTGAATCACACACGTACACACATGCCGAATCACACACATATGCATGTGCACACACACCTTCTTACATACACACACAAGATCAATCATGCATATACAGACATATATGTGCTCTTCAAATAGTCACACAAGCCCAATCATTTATACATATAATGCGTCATTAACGTATACACTCTTTCATATTCACATATGAACCCAATCACACACATGCATACAACTGTAACACACACACATGCTCAGGAGAGTAAGACACATAGGCAACAAAATCCTTGCACTGGAAAGCCAGGAAAATTGGGCTGTAGGTCAGTGTGGACCAGCTTTGTCATTAACTTGCTGTGTGACCTTAGTCAAGTCACTCCCCATCTCTGTGCCTCATCTGCATAACAAGAGCACCAAGGTCTCCTTTAAGGGATGGTGGAAGCAGCTGAGAATTTGAGCAAGTCATCTAACTTCTCTGAACCTTGGGATTCTCCTCTGGAAAAGCGTGTATTTTTTTTTTTTTTTTTTTTTTTTTTTTTTTTTTTTTTTTTTTTTTTTAGCCAGGGTCTTTCTCTGTTGCCCAGGCCGGAGTGCAATAGCGAATTCACGGCTCACTGAAGCCTTGACCTCCCTGGGGTCAATCAATCCTCCCACCTCAGCCTCCTGAGTAGCTGGGACTACATGTGCACGCCACCATGCCTGGTTAATTTTTGTATTTTTTGTAGAGACAGAGTGTCACCATGTTGTGCAGGCTGGTTTCGAACTCCGGAGCTCAAGCAATCCACCCACCTCAGCCTCCCAAAGTGCTGGGATTGCAGGTGTGAGCCACTGTGCCCAGTCAACAGGAGTAATTTTAATGCTCACTCCACCTATCTCACAAATGAGACATCACGTTAGCTCATGGCTGGGAGAGAGATAGGTAGAAGGCAGTTACAAAGCTGATAAATCTCTGATAACACGTATATCATGACACAAACACCAGAATCACGCAAATCATCCCCAGCCACATCTTCAGGTGAACACCCCTACTTGGTCGGCTATGTAGGAAATGCTCTCATTTTCAAAAAGGCTCTCAGTGGTTTGGCTCTTGGCTTCTGTCAGAATGGGGCAGAGGTGAAAGAAAGCTCTCTGGACTGGGAGAGAGCTGGGGCCTTCCCCCGCAGCCTCGAAGTGACTGGCTCCCTTGGTGAGGTTGCAGGGAATGACTTCTGGGTGTTCTCTCTAGATGACCGAGGTCCCGTGGTCAGGAAGCAGAGGTACGTGTTTGACATTAGTGCCCTGGAGAAGGATGGGCTGCTGGGGGCCGAGCTGCGGATCTTGCGGAAGAAGCCCTCGGACACGGCCAAGCCAGCGGCCCCCGGAGGCGGGCGGGCTGCCCAGCTGAAGCTGTCCAGCTGCCCCAGCGGCCGGCAGCCGGCCGCCTTGCTGGATGTGCGCTCCGTGCCAGGCCTGGACGGATCTGGCTGGGAGGTGTTCGACATCTGGAAGCTCTTCCGAAACTTTAAGAACTCGGCCCAGCTGTGCCTGGAGCTGGAGGCCTGGGAACGGGGCAGGGCCGTGGACCTCCGTGGCCTGGGCTTCGACCGCGCCGCCCGGCAGGTCCACGAGAAAGCCCTGTTCCTGGTGTTTGGCCGCACCAAGAAACGGGACCTGTTCTTTAATGAGATTAAGGCCCGCTCTGGCCAGGACGATAAGACCGTGTATGAGTACCTGTTCAGCCAGCGGCGAAAACGGCGGGCCCCACTGGCCACTCGCCAGGGCAAGCGACCCAGCAAGAACCTTAAGGCTCGCTGCAGTCGGAAGGCACTGCATGTCAACTTCAAGGACATGGGCTGGGACGACTGGATCATCGCACCCCTTGAGTACGAGGCTTTCCACTGCGAGGGGCTGTGCGAGTTCCCATTGCGCTCCCACCTGGAGCCCACGAATCATGCAGTCATCCAGACCCTGATGAACTCCATGGACCCCGAGTCCACACCACCCACCTGCTGTGTGCCCACGCGGCTGAGTCCCATCAGCATCCTCTTCATTGACTCTGCCAACAACGTGGTGTATAAGCAGTATGAGGACATGGTCGTGGAGTCGTGTGGCTGCAGGTAGCAGCACTGGCCCTCTGTCTTCCTGGGTGGCACATCCCAAGAGCCCCTTCCTGCACTCCTGGAATCACAGAGGGGTCAGGAAGCTGTGGCAGGAGCATCTACACAGCTTGGGTGAAAGGGGATTCCAATAAGCTTGCTCGCTCTCTGAGTGTGACTTGGGCTAAAGGCCCCCTTTTATCCACAAGTTCCCCTGGCTGAGGATTGCTGCCCGTCTGCTGATGTGACCAGTGGCAGGCACAGGTCCAGGGAGACAGACTCTGAATGGGACTGAGTCCCAGGAAACAGTGCTTTCCGATGAGACTCAGCCCACCATTTCTCCTCACCTGGGCCTTCTCAGCCTCTGGACTCTCCTAAGCACCTCTCAGGAGAGCCACAGGTGCCACTGCCTCCTCAAATCACATTTGTGCCTGGTGACTTCCTGTCCCTGGGACAGTTGAGAAGCTGACTGGGCAAGAGTGGGAGAGAAGAGGAGAGGGCTTGGATAGAGTTGAGGAGTGTGAGGCTGTTAGACTGTTAGATTTAAATGTATATTGATGAGATAAAAAGCAAAACTGTGCCTAAAACTGTGGCAAATTTCTTGTTTACTCCAGGGGACCCAGTGACCCCTTGAAGAATTACTGACCCAGGGCAGGGAGGTGGGTTGCTTCATGTATAAACTCAGTTTTCAGAGCCCTATCCCCACCCCCACTCCTGGAAACTGAAGCACAATGGGACAGAGAGTGCAGCTAAGCAGGGCCAGTGCTCACCTCTAACCGCATTCCTGTTCCTTCCAAAGGCCCCTGGGTCCCGAGCTCTATTTGCTCCATTGGGGCCTGGCAGCAGAATTATATTTTCTTCTTGAGATTCCTTAGTCAAGTTTGTTGTCTCCAAAATAGATCCCTAAAAGGGAGGGAAATTGGGGATTTCATTTCTTCTAAAATCATTCCTACATCATCGACCAATATCTGCCTGCCCTGCTACCCCCATACTCACAGAATTACCTGGGCACCATTGAAAGAGTCCTTTATCTCTCCCCTGGGGAATCTGGGCTGCCAAGGCTCTCCTTCTCCCTGTTGGGGCATCTCCTCTCGCCACTGACCACTGTTCCTCACATGACCATGTCTGTGGCCCTGTTGCCCTCCAGCTTGACACCCTCACTACACCTCACTGCTCACCCATCAGCCCCCAGCTCCAGAAACAGAATCGGAGTCCCCTGCCTTTATATTACACATTATATAAATACATAATTATACATCAGATAAATAAACTCCCCACTAACCTCAGACAGACAAATGCCAGGCACACCCTGACAATGTTTCCTGCTTGGGGCTTGGCCCAGAGTAAATGCTCACTTCCTTTTCTCAGCTGGAATCTTTGGGGAGGCACAGGGCACAGACTTTTGGGAGGGGAACATAGCCCTCTGGTGGGGAGACAGGCATATGGGTGCCTTGGGCTGAGGACTCCAGTTCTACCTGGCAGAATAGACACAGGGAGAACCAGGAGCAGTCTAAGCCTCCACTTCCCACCCAGGGGGCTTCAACATTTCCCCTACCTCCCTCCAGCTGGGTCTTTGATTCCTGGGGCTCCTCACCAAAGCTGCTTCAACAGTAGGGATTCCTACCCAGCTATGGGCAGACCTTGTGCCCTTTCCCTCTAGGCCTGAAGCTTGGGCACAGTGCGGGGGCAGCCTACCTTTGAGCTGCCTCCTTGGTCTGGAGGCTATTACCTCTCTCTGAGGGGACAGACTGAGCCTGGAGCCTCCCCTCACTGGCTGGGCTTCGTTGTGTTTGGCTAGTGGTGGGCCTGGCAGCTCTGGAAGTAAACAAAGGAGCTGCCGTGGCAGACAGAGCTGTGGTGTGTGTGAGGGGAGAATGGGCCTGGAAGGGAGGTGCTGGGGAAGCCAAGGAGTGGGCTGGGGATCCAGGGAGAGCAGTGTAGAAACTGGGGGGCCAGAAACCCAAGGGCAGATAGATAAGATGAATGGGTCACAGGTGGGGCTGACTCCCACAGGTATTATTTCCTGGGCTGCGTGTCCCTGGTTTCTTGGAAAGTTCTGACCGAACTGGAGCTTCTCTCTGCCTTAGCCCAGTCAGAGAGGTTCATGTCATCTGAGCCACAATGCCCCTCCTACTGAAGGCCTGGGCTCCCAATGGACTGTTTGGATTGACACGCTAGGAGTTTCCTCTACCACCACAACCTGCCCTAGGGCTCTCTTTCAGACTGTGGACCCTCCTGCATTTTCCCACCCAGACTCTGGGGATGTGATCAGGTCACCCATCCTAACCACAGGATCTGTTCAGCTGCCTCCTTGGAAAACACTCTCCCCCAGCCACCCACCTCCAACCGCAACCATAACAAGCTGCAAACTGGTACTGTTCATTCTTGCCCCAAAGGGTACAAGGCATCTATCATACTTGAGAGTTCACAAACACTCTCCACCCATGGTCACTCAGCTCTGAAGGCTGCACACTTTCAAAATTTCAGTTCTGTCACTTAGAGTTAGAGGCCTTGGGCAAGTAACTTAATTCCATGAACCTTGGTTTCCTCATTTGTAAAAAAAAAAAAAAAAAAGAGGGTTAACAATATGCTTATTTCATGGTGCTAACTGCAAGGATATGAGAAGCACTCAACACAGGAGCAGGCACAGAGGTGGCACTCAGGATGTGTTAGCTGTTATCATTGCCATGCCTTGCGTAGTGAAGCAGGTAAAGCAAGAACTCTCCACCCTCACTTTTTACAGATGCGGAAGCTGATATCCAAAGAGGCAGAGTGATAACTACAGCTTCCTGCAGGTCTGCATTCTTCTTCTTCTTCTTTTTTTTTTTTTTAAAGACAGGGTCTTTCTTGCTTTGTTGCCCAGGCTGCAATTCAGTGGAACAATCATAGCTCACCTCACTGCAGCTTTCACCTTAGCCTCCCAAGTACCAGGACCACAGGTGTGTGCCACCACATCTGGCTAACTTTTAAACTTTTTTTTTTTTTTAAGAGATGAGGTCTCACTGTGTTATCCAGGCTGGTCTTGAACTCCTAGCCTCAAGCGATCCTCCTACCTTAGCCTCCCAAAGTGCTGGATTACAGGCATGAGCCACCGCACCTGGCCCTCAGTGTTCTTCTTTTTTTTTTTTTTTTTTGAGACAGAGTGTCCCTCTGTCGCCTAGGCTGGAGTGCAGTGGCACAATGTCAGCTCACTCACTGCAACCTCTGCCTCCTGGGTTCAAGAGATTCTCCTGTCTCAGCCTCCTGAGTAGCTGGGACTACAGACGAGTGCCACCATGCCAGGCTAATTTTTGTATTTTTAGTAGAGATGGGGTTTCATCATGTTCGCCAGGCTGCTCTTGAACTCCTGGCCTCAAGCAATCCTCCTACCTTGGTTTCCCAAAGTGCTGGGATTACAGGTATGAGCCACTGCGCTGGGCCCTCAGTGTTCTTTATACCATTCTTGCTGCTGCTCTCTGGGCCCTTGACTCCACTGACTGCAGTCCTGGCAAGCTGTTGAATCACCTCCCTGGGTCTTGGCTCCTTGGTCTTAAAAGTTTCTCCTTGGGGACACACAGCGCTGTTAGTTTCTTGCGAGAAACAGCTAAGCAGAGTTTAAGGCAGTGAAAATTGAGAGGCCCATGGGGGAGAAAAGAGAAGAGGCTTCCAGTGCTCTGTCCCCCATCTCATGGCCCCTCCACATCTCCCAGGGTCACAACAGGAGAACCCGCTTTTCTAGGGCATGGAACATACAATCTCGGGAAACCCCTCAGACTTCTGACTCCACAACTAGTTCTGACCTGAATACAGATGTAAGAAAGTATAGTGGGGAAGTGTTAGTCACACAGGCCTGGGAATCAGGCAGACCTGAGTTCTAGTCCTGGTTTTACCACTCTCCAGCTGAGCTACTTTGGGGAAGTTCCTTAAGCTCTCTGAGCCTCAGTTTTCCTATCTGTAAAAGAAGGATAATATCAAATTTACTGGGCCTAGGATTCAGGAGAGGGAACATTCATTCATTTCACCAATCATGGATCCAGTCACTCATTCATTAATCAGTGACTATTTATTGAGAGTCAACTATGGGCCAGATGCTGTGCTGAGGATAATAATAACAATCACCATTGTTAATGTTTATCAAGGACTTATTGCATGCCACGTACTTGTGCTTTACAGGAATTCTCTTACCTTGCAACAATCCTGTCCTCAAAATCTGTGCATAAATGGAAGAAGACATAAAGATTCCAAAAGATGTTAGGATAAGATAGGCTGAATCAGAGGAGATAAAATAAAAGAGAGAAAACAGTCAAATTATCCATCTGAATTCATGAAACCAACTGCACAGGTATAGAATGTAAAAAAACATGATTTCACAGTTTCAGATGGGGAAGAAATGGTGCTGTAGGTGGCTACGAACTCAATGGAGCTGGCTGGAGCTAGCTGAATATAATGCGGCGGCCTAAATGCTAATACAATTGTGGGCTTCATTAATAGACACGTAGCACAAACCCAAGGAAATTGTGGTTTCACTCTGTTCAGTGACCACAGTGAGAGGGGCAGAGGAGGACAGAATAATAAGGGGCCTAGAAACAATGCCTTGTGAGATTCAGTTGAAGGAACTAGAGATATAGAGATAAAAAAAGAAAAGGAGGAAGAGGAAGAGCAGAGTGATGACAACTTAGAGCAAATGATCACAGCTTTCAAGACTGAAGGACTGGCCGGGCGTAGTGGCTCACATCTGTAATCCCAGCACTTTGGGAGGCCGAGGCAGGCGGATCATGAGGTCAGAAGTTCGAGTCCAGCCTGGCCAACACTCCCGTCTCTACTAAAAATACAAAAATTAGCCGGGCGTGGTGGCATGCACCTTAGTCCCAGCTACTCCGGAAGCTGAGGCAGGAGAATAGCTTGAACCCAGGAGGCGGAGGTTGCAGTGAGCTGAGATCACACCACTGCACTCCAGCCTGGGTGACAGAGCAAGACTCCATGTTAAAAAAAAAAAAAAAAAAGACTGAAGGACTACCATGGGTAAAAGAGAAGTGATTGGTTTGTGTGGCTCCAAAGCACAGATCTGTAAAGAGAAGTAAAGGATAGCTCATTGCTGCTGTGTGTTCAGCAGCTCCTGGTGCCAGGCACTGAGCTAAATGCTTTTGTCCTGACTTCATTCATTCCTTACAACCATCCTGGGAGATAGCTACTATAATCTCCATTGTACAGATGAGCTACTATACTATATTCCTCCTTAGGCAGAAGTCAGATGAATTTAAAGGAGAGCTTTTTAAGTCTAAAGATGGAAAAGGCAAAATACTAAGTTCTCCATGGCAAGAAGAGCTTAGGGGTGGGTGTGGTGGCTCACATCTGTAATCCCAGCACTTAGGGAGGCTGAGGTGGGAGGACTCCTTGAGAACAGGAGTTTGAGACCAACCTGGGAAATATAGGGAGACTCTGTCTCTAAAAAATATTTAAAAATTAGCTGGGCATGGTGGTGTGTGGCTGTAGTCCCAGCTACTCAGGAGACTAAGGTGGGAGGATTGCTTGAGCCTGAGAGGTCGAGACTGTAGTGAGCTGAGATCACACCACTGCACTCCAGCCTGGGCTGGGAAACAGAGGGAGACCCTGTCTCAAAAAAATAAAAAATAGGCCAGGTGTGGTGGCTCACACCTGTAATCCCAGCACCTTGGGAGGCCAAGGCAGGTGGATCACTTGAAGCCAGGAGTTCGAGACTAGCCTGGCCAACATGATGAAACCCCGTTTCTGATAAAAATTAAAAAAAATTAGCTGGATGGGGTGGCGCACACCTGTAATCCCAGCTACTTGGGAGGCTGAGGCAGGAGAATTGCTGAACCAAAGAGGTGGAGGTTGCAATGAGCCGAGATCATGCCACTGCACTCCAGCCTGGGTGAAAGAGTGAGACTCCATCTTAAAAAAAATAAATAAATAAAAATAGAAAGCAAAAAGTAAAAAAAGAGTTTAGATAACGACTTGGGAAACTGGAAAAGGGATTTGAGCTTGGTTTAGAGGAAGAGAAAGAGCAGTGCAAGAGAGGGAAGTTGACTAGATAAACACTAAAGATCCCTCCAATCCTGCACATTGAACATAGGTTTGAGCTATGGTGTCAGACAGCCTGAAATTAAACTCCAGCTATGCCTCATTCTTGCTGTGTGAACTTGTGCAAAGTCACCACAGCTATCTTTCCTCAAGTTTCCTCATATGTCAAATGGAGACAATAATAGTTCTTATATCATGGAGCTGTTGGGAAGGTTATATATAATGTTCATAAAAAGTCCTTTGAAGAATGTCTGGCCTATAAACTTTACCTGTATTTATTGATAATGGGGGAGTCAAGGCCTGCAAACATGACATATTAAATAATAACAAAAGAAGTAAAGAATATAGCCTAGCCGGGCGCAGTGGCTAACGCCTGTAATTCCAGCACTTTGGGAGGCTGAGGCGGGCGGATCACAAGGTCAGGAGATTGAGACCATCCTGGCTAACACAGTGAAACCCTGTCTCTACTAAAAATACAAAAAATTAGCCGGGCATGGTGGCAGGCGTGTGTAGTCCCAGCTACTCAGGAGGTTGAGGCAAGAGAATGGCGTGAACCTGGGAGGCGGAGCTTGCAGTGAGCCGAGATCGCACCACTGCACTCCAGCTTGGGCAACAGAGTGAGAGTCTGTCTCAAAAAAAAAAAAAAAAAAAAAAGAATACAGCCTGGGCCGGGAGTTGTGGCTCACTCCTGTAATCCCAGCATTTTGGGAGGCCAAGGCGGATGGATCACATGAGGTCAGGAGTTCGAGACCAGCCTGGCCAATATGGCAAAACCCCATATCTACTAAAAACACAAAAATTAGCCAGGCGTGGTGGTGCACACCTGTAGTCCCAGCTACGTGGGAGGCTGAGGCATGAGGATCGCTTGAACCCGGGAGGCAGAGGTTGCAGAGAGCTGAGATCATGCCACTGCACTCCAGTCTGGGTGACAGAGTGAGACTCTGTCTCAAAAAAGAAAAAAAGAATACAGCCTGTGCAACACACTGAGACCCTGTCTCTGAAATAGCTGGGCCTGGTGGTACACGCCTGTAGTCCCAGCTATCTGGGCAGCTGAGAAAGGAGGATCACTTGAGCCAGGAGTTTGAGGCTGCAGTGAGCCATGGTCATGCCACAGCACTCCAGGCTAGGTGACAGAGTGAGACCCTGTGTCTGAAAAAAGAAAAAAAAGTAAAGAAAGAAATAAAGAATTATGTGAGAAATACATAATAGTTTAACTCAGGTAAATAAGAGAAAGAAGGTAATTAAATGTTCACATGACAAGTGAGTGGAACAATGGAGAAAATGGTAAGAAGGCTTCACGGAGGATAAGGGACTGAGCTGGGTCCTGAAGACTGAATGAAACTTGAGTGGAGTTTGTCTTGATCGATTTTCTGTTGCTGTAACAGAATGCTACAGAATGGTTAATCTGTGATGAACAGACATTTATTTAGCTCACAGTTCTGGAGGCTGGGAAGTTAAAGAGTGTGGTGCTGGTATCCAGTGAGGGCCTTGTGCTGCTTTATCCCATGGGCAAAGGGCAGAAGGTGGAAGCGAACATGTGAAACAGAGAAAGGCATCCGGGGCTGGATTCGCTTTATAACAACCCACTCTTGGCTGGGCGCGGTGGCTTACGCCTGTAATCTCAGCACTTTGGGAGGCCAAGGCAGGCGGATCACGAGGACAGGAGTTCAAGACCAGCCCTGATGGAGCTTAGTAGAAACCCTTTCTCTACTAAAAATACAAAAATTAGCCGGGCGTGGTGGTGCGCACCTGTAATCCCAGCTACTCAGGAGGCTGAGGCAAGATAATCGCTTGAACCCGGGAGGCAGAGGTTGCAGTAAGCCAAGATGATGCCACTGCACTCCAGCCTGGGCGACAGAGTGAGACTCCATCTCAAAACAAAACAAAACAAAAAAACAAAAACCCACTCATAATAACTAACCTGCTTCTGTGATGACAACATTAATCAATTCCCAGTGACTCAGCCCTCATGACCCAATCGCGTTCTTATTAGGGCCCACCTCCCAACGCTATGGTATTGGGGATTAAGTTTCCAACACATGAACTTTTGGAGGACACACTCAAAATACTCAAGCCATAGCAGGGTTGAAGGAAGACATATTCAGCATAGGGACTATATGAGCAAACGAATAACATGAGTTTGCAAGGTGCAGAGGACATATCTTCCCATCCTTAAAATCATATCATGTTGATGATTGGTTCCACTGACTCTGTGAAGGATGGCTTCAGCTGGGAGCTGCCAAGTCCCTTAGGTTTGGGCACTTGAGGCTGTCCACTTGCCTTCTGAGAGGTGCTGACTTGGAGAACAGAGAAAACCCAACAGCCAGGGCCTCAAAGATTAGACATATCGCTTGAGAGTTGGTGAGGAAAGAAAACAGTAGTAAAAACTGGTACTAGGAACTCCATGATATACGTAATATATTTTTGATATATAATATATTTTACTATATGGTAATACTCATATAGTAAAAATGATCCTTGAAGATTCTTTTAACTCTCTCTTCTCTTAACAAGTTTAGTATGACCATTTTTCCCCTCCAATAGGAAAACAGTTTCTTTGATTAAGGCCCATGTAAGCAGCTGCCTTGCATGTAGGGGCCATGTTGTAAGAAACATTTATCCTTTTTTTTTTTTTTTTTGAGTTGTAGTTTTGCTCTTGTTGCCCAGGACGGAGTGCAGTGGTGTGATCTTGGCTCACTGCAACCTCTGCCTCCCAGGTTCAAGCAATTCTCTTGCTTCAGCCTCCTAAGTAGCTGAGATTACAGGCGCCCGCCATCATGCCCAGCTAATTTTCGTATTTTTAGCAGAGACAGGGTTTCACCACGTTGGACAGGCTGGTCTCGAACTCCTGACCTCAGGTGATCCTCCTGCCTCAGCCTCCCAAAGTGCTGGGATTACAGGCGTGAGCCACCGCACCTGGCCAGAAACATTTATCTTTAAACAATAAAATCACATTCAGCCCAGTGAGATGCATACTCTATGAAGGAAGGAACCAAGACCAGCCGTGGAAACAGCACAGATTCATGTTCTCATCTCAAGCACTGCTAGCTGATTCTTCTTCCTTTTCTTTTTTTAAAAAATTGTGGTAATAAACACATAACAAAATTCACCATCTTAGCCATTTTGAAGCGCATACTTTATACTGTTAACTATATTCACATTGCTGTGCAACAGATCTCTGGAACTTTTTTATTTTGCAAAACTGAAACCCTCTACCCATTTGAGCAGCTTCCCATTTCCCTTTCCTCCCAGCCCCTGGCAGCCACCCTTCTACTTTTTGTCTCTATGAACGTGACTACTCCAGGTACCTTACATAAGTGGAATCATAGAGTATTGGTCTTTCTTCTTTTTTTTATGTTTTCCCTAAGAAGTCAAGTAAGTCAAATGGGTACATAATGTGACTCCATTGTATTTGTTGAATGAATGAACAATAACTGCCTTCAAAAGAGTTTATAGTCTAGTTATAGAGACAGGAATGCAAACAAATAATTTCCATTATTTTTTCTTTTTCTTTTTCTTTTATTTTTTCGAGATTGAGTTTCGTTCTTGTTGCCCAGGCTGGAGTGCAATGGCACCGTCTTGGCTCCCTGAAACCTCTGCCTCCCATGTTCAAGCTATTCTCCTGCCTCAGCCTTCCAAGTAGCTGGGATTGCAGGCGCCTGCCACCACGCCTGGCTAATTTTTTTGTATTTTTAGTAGAGACGGGGTTTCACCACATTGGCCAGGCTGGTCTCAAACTCCTGACCTCAGGTGATCCGTCTGCCTTGGCCTTCCAAAGTGCTGGGATTACAAGTGTAAGCCAACGTGCCTGGCCATATTTTTACTTTTTTTTGAGACAGGGTCTCCCTCTGTGGCCCAGGCTGGAGTGCAGTAGCGCAATCTTGGTTCACCGTAACCTCTGCCTCCTGGGCTCAAGCAATCCTCCCATCTCAGCCTCCTGAGTAGCCAGGACCACAGCTGTGCACCACCACGGCCAACAATTTATTTATCTCTTTTTTGTAGAGACGGGGTCTTGCCATGTTGCCCAGGCTGGTCTTGAACTCCTAAGCTCAAGCAATCTACCCGTCCAGCACTTTGGGAGGTTGAGGCGGATGGATCATTTCAGGCCAGGAGTTTGAGACCACCTGGCCAGCATGGCAAAACCCTGTGTCTACTAAGAAAACAAAAATTAGTTGGGCATGGTGGCACAGGCCTGTAATCCCAGATACTCAGGGGGCTGAGGCATGAGCCTGGAAAGCGGAGGCTGCAGTGAGCTGAGATCGTGCCACTGCACTCCAGCCCGGGTGGCAGAGTGAGACTCTGTCTCAAAAAAGGATAGAATTTAATGCCTGCTTGGAAATGGTTTCAGTATATTCAATATCATTCACCCCTTCCTATTTTGCCATGTTTAAGAATTGATTTTAAAGTCTTAGTAAGATATGTAAAATGCAAGACAAGATAAATCAAATGTGAATCAATAGGAAAAGAAAACAAGGGAACAAAATGAAGCCAAGAATGGGGCTAAAATGTGGATCATATTGATCTATATCTGCTACAGGTGAGCAATACCTAAGCTGTCTAGCAATCAATACAAAGCAAGAAAATAGGCTATTACACAGGTTATTGCATCTGAGTTAATCAAGCATTGCTCAGCAAATTGTACAGCCATTCTTGAAAACTAATGTAACAAATATCTTCAATTACATTATTACAATAAACACAACAATAAGATTCATAGAAAGGTTTCTTTTTCTTTTTCTTTTTTTTTTTTTTTTTTTTTTTTTTTTGAGACAGAGTCTTGTTCTGTCACCCAGACTGGAGTACAGTGGCGTGATCTTGGCTCATTGCAACCTTCTTCTCTCAGGTTCAAGAGATTCTCATGCCTTAGCCTCCCGAGTAGCTGGGATTACAGGCACATGACACCACACCTGGCTAATTTTTGTATTTTTAGTAGAGACAGCGTTTCACCACATCAGCCAGGCTGGTCTCAAACTCCTGACCTCAAGTGACCGCCAGCCTCAGCCTCCCAAAGTGCTGGGATTACAGGCATGAAACACCGCGCCCGGCCAATAGAATGGTTTCTTAATAGAATTGTCTGCACTGCACTAAGGGGCAAAGAAAACAACTTTGTGTGGGGGCCAATAAGACACAGAAACCAGCCCTCTGCTGGGTTAATTGACAGGTAAAGGGCATAGACTGTTCCTCAAAGAGAAACAGACATCATAACTGATCCCATTGGCAAATATTGTCCTGTAGTCATAGAGTATATATATTCTGAAAGTTCTAGAACAGTTTCAGCATAAAATTTGTCTTTTTAATAAAGGTCATTTGGCCAGGCTCAGTGGCTCACACCTGTAATCCCAACACTTTGGGAGGCCGAGTCAGGTGGATCACTTGAGGCCAGGAGTTTGAGACCAGCCTGGCCAACATGGTGAAACCCTGTCTCGACTAAAAATACAAAAATTAGCCAGGTGTGGTAGTGTGCACCTGTAATTCCAGCTACTCAGGAAGCTGAGGCAGGAGGATCTCTTGAACACCAAAGGCGGAGGTTGCAGTTAGCCGGGATCATGCCACTGCACTCCAGCTTGGGTGACGGAGTGAGACTCTGTCTCAAAAAAATAAAAAACAAACCATGATTTATGGCTGGGCAAGGTGGCTCACACCTATAATCCCAGCATTTTCAGAAGCCCAGGTGGGAGGATCGCTCATGTCCAGGAATTTGAGACCAGCCTGGGCAACAGAGCAAGACCCCATCTCTACAAAAAGTAAAAATAATTACCTGGGCCTAGTGGTATGTGCCCGTGGTCCCAGCTACTTGGGAGGCTGAGGTGGGAGGATCACTTGAGCCGGGAGTTTGAGGCTGCAATGAGTTGTGATCATGCCACTGTGCTCAGCATGGGTGACAGAGGGAGACCTTATCTCTAAAAAAAAAAGGTGATTGGCTGGGCGTGGTGGCTCACACTTGTAATCCCAGCACTTTGGGAGGCCGAGGTGGGTGGATCACCTGAGGTCAGGATGCACTATCAACATAACTTGCTGATCAAGACCAGTCTGGCCAACGTGGTGAAACCTTGTCTCTACTAAAAATACAAAAATTAGCCGGGGGTGGTGGCAGGCACCTGTAATCCCAACTACTCAGGAGGCTGAGGCAGGAGAGTTGCTTGAACCCCGGAGGCAGAGGTTGCGGTGAGCCGAGATCGCGCCATTGCACTGCAGCCTGGGCAACAGAGTGAGACTCCATCTCAAAAAAAAAAAAAAGGTGATTTATTAAATATTTAACTTTCCTAAAGATTTTCACATAGATAAATTTGTAAATCAGCATAAATTCTTGATAGACAATGGCTTTTCGTTTTAGGAAAGCACAATCACTTTATTTGAATGGAGGTGGGTACCTTCGGCTTGATTGCATAATCTAATGGGATTGGGACACTGCCCCCCTTCCCTTCTTCTTTCTGGCTTCCTCTAACAGTTTTTTTCTCCAGGGAAAGAATGTATCACCTTACCTCTTCCAGGGAGGGACTCTTGATCCTTGGCAGTTAACAGAGAATAAAAGAGGTTTCCTTATTTGAAGCTAAAATGAAAACAACTTGGATAGCTTTCCAGTTTCATATACAGTGAAAGCAAGCTAGAGCAAGCCCCAAAATTGGGGTCGCATTAACATCTCAACTTGCCAAGCCTAAAGAGCATGCTGGAAGTAAACTATGCTATGATCTACAATCTATTCTCTGTAAACCAGCTAAGAGAGCCCTTTTAAAACATGTCACTGCTTTGCTTAAAATAAAATAAAATAAAATGCAAACTCCTTATCATGGACCTTCAAGGCCCCCAAAATCTGGACTCTGCCTGCCTCTCAGACCTCATCTTTTTTTTTTTTTTTTTTTTTTTTGAGACGGAGTCTCGCTCTGTTGCCCAGGCTGGAGTGCAGTGGCACGATCTTCGCTTACTGCAAGCTCTGCCTCCCGGGTTCACACCATTCTCCCGCCTCAGCCTCCCGAGTAGCTGGGAATACAGGCGCCCACCACCACGCCCGGCTAATTTTTTCTGTTTTTAGTAGAGATGGGATTTCACTGTGTTAGCCAGGATGGTCTCGATCTCCTGAACTCGTGATCCACCCGCCTCGGCCTCCCAAAGTGCTGGGATTACAGGCGTGAGCCACCTCGCCCTGCCTCAGACCTCATCTTTTATACTGCAACCCTCACTCATTATCTTCCAGTCACACTGATCTTGGCTTTCCTTTTGTCCTCAAAATCTTCAAGCCAATTCTTGAATTGTGCTATTCTTTCTGCCTGAAATGCTCTATCAACATAACTTGCTGATCAAGTCAGTTGTAGTAGTCCAGGTGAGAGAAGACGTTAGTCTTACCTAGGAAGGAGGCAGTGGAGATTGGCGAGGAGCAGATAGAATTCATACGTATTGGCCGGGCATGGTGGCTCATGCCTGTAATCCCAGCACTTTGGGAGGCTAAGGCAGGTGGATCATGAGGTCAGGAGTTCAAGACCAGCCTTATCAACATGGTGAAACCCCGTCTCTACTAAAAATATAAAAATTAGCCAGGCGTGGTGGTGGGTGCCTTTAATCCCAGCTACTCAGGAGGCTGAGGCAGGAGAATCACTTGAACCTGGGAGGTGGAGGTTGCAGTGAGTGGAGACGCGCCATTGCACTCCAGCCTGGGTGTCACAATGAGACTCCATCTCAAAAAAAAAAAAAAAAAAAAAAGAAGAGGAAGAGAAGAGACACAGAGACAGACACCCAGGGAGAATGTCATGTGATAACAGTGGCAGAGATTGGAGTTATGCAGGTGCAAGGTAAGAAATGCCAGGGATTGTTGGCAATCTCCAGAAGCTAGAAAAGGCAAGGAAGCTTCCTCTCCTGGAACCTACAGATAGAGCGTGGCCCTGTCAACACCTTGATTTCAGACTTCCAGCCTCCATAACTACCAAACAATACATTTCCATTGCTTTAAGCCACCCACATAGTGGCACTTTTTTATGGCAGCCCTAACAATCTAATGTAGTTATAAATGGTGGTTTTGAAGAAGGTGGACAGAGTATAACTTAATAAAGGTTGAAAACCATATTTAGTGGTACCAATATAATATTTGCATGATTTTCTTCGATAGTACTCAAGAATCCGGAGGCAGGCATGGAATAAATAGACAATTGGAGGGTTGAGGTCTTTCTAGGTGGACGAGATAGGAAGACAATTGAGCAAGGGAGTTAATACTGGCAAGAGAGAAATTAAAACAATAGACCAGATGGGAACTAGATGGGAGAAGCAAAGAGGGGAGAGGGTCAATAGACTATAAAGAGAAGAGATAAAAAGTGTGGTGTCTCAATGGGGTAGAACAACAGGCGTACTAGGGGTAATGAATGAAAACCAGAATAATAGGATGGTGAGAACACAGAAGGCATAAATTAAAAATTTCAGAATTCAAACAATTCTGGTGTTGAGGTCTAAAATTGGCCATGGGAGTGGGTGGGGCAGCACACTTTATAGAAATGGAACAATCCAATATGTGGCCTCTTGTGACTGGTTTCTTTCATTTAATGTTTTTTGAGGGTCATTCATGTTGTAGCATGTATTAGTATTTCATTTCTTTTTATTGCTGCGTAATAATCCATTGTCTGGATATAGCATATTGTGGTTTTTTCATTTTTTTAGTTTTGCTCTTGTTGCCCAGGCTGGATTGGAGTGCAATGGCACGATCTCGGCTCATTGCAACCTCCACCTCCCGGGTTCAAGCAGTTTTCTTGCCTCAGCCTCCCAAGTAGCTGGGATTACAGGCGCCTGCCACCATGCCCGGCTAATTTTTTTGGTATTTTTAGTAGAGACAGGGTTTCGCCATGTTGGCCAGGCTGGTCTCGAACTCCTGACCTCGAGTGATCCCCCCCACCTCGGCCTCCCAAAGAGCTGGGATTACAGGCGTGAGCCACTGTGCCTGGCCACCATATTGTTTTTATCTATTCTTTGGTTGATGGATATTTGGGTTGCTTCTACTTTTCGGCTATTATGAATAATGCTGTGATGAACATTTGCAAACAAGTTTTTGTGTGGATATATATTTTCATTTCTCTTGGATATATACCTAGGAATGGAATGGCTGAATCATATAGTAACTGTATGTTTAAAATTCATAGAACAGCCAGACTGTTTTCCAAGAGTTTGCAGTGAGCTGAGATTGCTCCAGCCTGGGCGACAGAGCAAGAGTCTCTCTCAAAAAAAAAAAAATTTTTTTTTTCTTCATAGAGATGGGGTCTCACTATGTTGCCCAGACTGGTCTCAAACTCCTGGCCTCAAGGAATCCTCTTGCCTGGGCTGCCTGAGTTGCTGGGATTATGGGCATGAGCCACCATGCTTGGCCCAATTGTTTTATTTTAAATAAACGGCTGGGTTTCAATGTGGGGCCTATAAAGAAGTATGGGAATTCTGAGGGGTGAAGTCATTGTGAAGAGAAAGATGGGCAGAGGGAGCTTGGGGAGAACAGTGGAGATTGCTGGGGCTTCAGGCTGAGGGTTTGGGGTACAAGAAGTTGAGGAGCTCTGGCAGCGGAGGGAAGCCGAGCAGCACTGGGGAGCTGAGGTTAAGGAGAATGGGGAGTCCTCTGTGAGAGGACTATGGAATCTATGTGAGATAAAGTTGTCTATACTGCCAGCCCATTCCTAGAAAGTTCCTTCTACTTTCTGCATGAATGAAACCTGGCCTTCCCATTTGAATATTACTTCCCTTGTAGCCCTCTCTGGAATGTTGTCTGCCATCATTATATGCTCTGTTTGTGTTAAGACTGGGAGTTGACCAGGTACGGTGGATCACCCCTGTAATCCCAGCACTTTGGGAGGCAGAGGCGGGCAGATCACCTGAGGTCAGGAGTTCGAGACCAGCCTGACCAATATGGTGAAACCCCGCCTCTGCTAAAAATACAAAAATTAGGTGGGCTTGGTGGCGGGCGCCTGTAATCCCAGCTACTCAGGAGGCCGAGGCTGGAGAATCGCTTGAACCCAGGAGGCGGAGGTTGCAGTGAGCCGAGATTGCGCCATTGGACTCCAGCCTGGGTGACAGAGCAAGACTCCATCTCAAAAAACAAACAAACAAACCACAACAAAAACTGTTTCTTGATTTTTTATTTTAATTAATTAATGTATATATTTTTTGAGACAGGGTCTCACTTTGTCACCCAGGCTGGGGTACAGTGGCACGATCAGTGCTCACTGCAGCCTTGACCTCCCCAGGCTCAGGTGATCCTCCCATCTCAGCCTTCTGCGTAGCTGGGACCACAGGCATACACCACCACACCCAGCTAATTTTTCTGTGTTTTCAGTAGAGGCAGGGTTTTGCCATGTTACCCAGGCTGGTCTCAAACTCTTGGGCTCAAGAGATCTGCCCAGCCTGGCCTCCCAAAATGTTGGGATTACAGGTGTGAGCCACCGTACATGGCCCAAAGTCAACTTCTTAAATATGAATTAGGTAGCCCTCCCTACTTAATATCCTCCAATGGCTGCATACGGTGGCTCTCACATGTAGTCCCGGTTACTCAGGAGGCTGAGGCAGGAGGATCCCTTGAGCCCAGGAGTTCATGATCAGGTTGGGCAACATAGAGAGATCCTGTCTCTTAAAATATAATTCCTCTGGCCAGATGCGGTGGCTCACGCCTGTAATCCCAGCACTTTGGGAGGCCAAGGCGGGCGGATCACGAGGTCAGGAGTTCAAGAACAGCCTGGCCAATATGGTGAAATCCTGTCTCTACTAAAAATGCAAAAATTAGCCGGGCATGGTGATGCACAGCTGTAGTCCCAGCTATTCGGGAGGCTGAGGCAGAAGAATCACTTGAATCCGGGAGGCAGAGGTTGCAGTGAGCTGAGATTGCGCCACTGCACTCGAGCCTGGGCGACAGAGCGACCCCCGACCATACCCGGCTAATTTTTTGTATTTTTTTGTAGAGACAGAGTTTAGCCATGTTGCCTAGGCTGGTCTCGAACTCCTGGTCTCAGGTGATCCACCTGCCTCGGCCTCCCAAAAGTGTTGGGATTACAGGCATGAACCACTGCACCCGGCCTTAAAATGTACTGTTTTTTTTCCCCACCTCAAGACTCTTGTTCTGAAATCTTCTGTCCCTCTCCCACTTCCCAACATTTGCTGATAGAATAGCATTTGTACAGACACATAGACCAATAGAACAGAATAGAGACCCAAAATAAACCTATGCATTTACAGTCAATTGATTTTCAACAACGGTGCAAAGAACACACAATGGGTAAAGGGCAGTCTTTTTAATAAATGGTGTAGGGACAACTAGATATCCACATGCAGAATGAAATTAGACTCTCACCTCATACCATATACAAAAATCGAAGGTCGGGTGTTATGGCTCACACCTTTAATCCTAGCACTTTGAGAGGCTGAGATGAGAGGATTGCTCAAGCCCAGAAGATTGAGACCAGCCTGGGAAACATAGAGAGACCCCCGTACCCCATCTCTACTAAAAATAAAAAAATTAGCTAGGCATGGTGGCACATGCCTACGGACCCAGCTATTCAAGAGGCTGAGGAGGGAGGATCACTTAAGCCCAGGACTTTGAGGCTACAGTGAGCCTTGATTGCACCACTGCACTCCAGCCTGGGTGACAGAGCAAGACCCTGTCTCAAATAAAAATCAATTCCAAATAGATTTAAGCCTTAAACACAAGACCTCAAACTAAAATTACTAGAAGAAGAAAATATAGAGGAAAAGCTGCATGACCTGGGTCTGGGCAATAATTTTTTTAATATGACCCCAAAAGTACAGGCAAAAAGAGTGAAAATAGAGAAATAGTGTTATATGAAACTAAGAAACTTTTGCACAGCAAAGGAAACAATCAACGGAGTGAAGAGACAACGTATGGAATGGGAGAAAACATTTAAAAACCATATATCTGATGAGGGGTTAATACCCAAATTTTAAAATGGGCAAAAGATCTGAATAGACATTTCTCAAAAGAAGACATACAAATGGCCAACAAGTATATGAAAAAATGCTCAGCATCATTAATCATCAGGGAAATGCAATCTAAAGCCACAATGAGATATTACCTTGCACCTGTTCGAATGGCTACTATAACATTGTTCCTAAGGACGTGGAGAAAGGGAACCCTTGCACACTGTTGGTGGAATGTAAATTAGTACACCCATTATAGAAAACAGTATGGAGGTTCCTCAAACAATTAAAAACAGAACCACCATAGGATACAGCAGTCTCACTATTGGATATATATTCAAAGGAGATGAAATCAGTATGTTGAAGAGGCATCTATACTAACATGTTCATTGCAGTGGTATTCACAACAGCCAAGTATGGAATTAACCTAAGTGTCCATTAGTGATGAACAAATAAAGAAAATGTGGTGGCTGGGCGTGGTTGTTCACGCCTGTAATTCCAGCACTTTGGGAGGCCGAGGTGGGCAGATCATGAGGTCAGGAGACCGAGACCATCCTGACCAACATGGTGAAACCCGTCTCTACTAAAAATACAAAAATTAGCTGGGTGTAGTGGTGCACGCCTGTAATCCCTGCTACTCAGGAGGCTGAGGCAGGAGAATCGCTTGAACCTGGGAGGGGGAGGTTGCAGTGAGCTGAGATTGCATCACTGCACTCTAGCCTGGTGGCAGAGTGAGACTCCGTCTCAAAAAAAAAAAAAAAAAAAAAGAAAAAAGAAAGAAAGAAAGAAAGAAAATGTGGTTTATGACCAGGTACAGTGACTCATGCCTGTAATCCCAGTACTTTGGGAGGCAGAGGTGGGCAGATGACTTGAGGCCAGGAGTTCGAGACCAGCCTGGCCAGCATGGTGAAACCCTGTCTCTACTAAAAATACAAAAATTAGCCGGACATGGTGGCACGTGCCTGTAGTCCCAGCTACTTGGGAGACTGAGGCACAAGAATTGCTTGAACCCAGGAGGTACAGGCTGCAGTGAGCTGGGATTGTGTCACTGCACTCCACCCTGGGCGGCAGAGCAAGACTCTGTCTCAAAAAAAAAAAAAAGTGATTTATATATATAATGGAATGCTATTCAGCCTAAAAGAAGAAGGAAATGCTGGCCAGGTGCGGTGGCTCACACCTGTAATCCCAACACTTTGGGAAGCCAAGGTGGGCAGATCACCTGAGGTCGGGAGCTCAAGACCAGCCTGACCAACATGGAGAAACCCCATCTCTACTAAAAATAAAAATTAGCTGGGTGTGGTGGCACATGCCTGTAGTCCAGGCTACTTGGGAGGCTGAGGCAGGAGAATTGCTTGAACCCGGGAGGGAGAGGTTGCAGTGAGCCAAGATTGTGCCACTGCACTCCAGCCTGGGCAACAAGAGCAAGACTCTGTCTCAAGGAAAAAAAAAAGAAGGAAATGCTCATATCTATGACAACATGGATGAACTGGGAGGATGTTATGTTAAGAGAAATAAATGAGGCACAGAAAGACAAACACTGCTTGATTTCTCTCATATGTGGAATATAAGTTGAACACACAGAAGTAGAGAGTAGAATGGTGGTTACTAGAGGCTGAGGAGATGTTTGTCAAAGGATACAAAATTTCAGTTAAGAGAGATAAGTTCAGGAGGCCACTTTGGGAGGCCAAGGCAGGCGGATCACCTGAGGTCGGGAGTTCGAGACCAGCCTGACCAACATGGAGAAACCCCGTCTCTACTAAAATATAATATTAGCTGGGCGTGGTGGCGCATGCCTGTAATCCCAGCTACTCAGGAGGCTGAGGCAGGAGAATCACTTGAACCCGGGAGGCAGAGGTTGCAGTGAGCCAAGATCACGCCATTGCGCTCCAGCCTGGGCAACAAGAGTGAAACTCCGTCTCAAAAAAAAAAAGAAAAGATCTATTGTATAACATGGTGACTATACCCACTATGAATATGTATTGTATTCTTGAAAATTGCTTAAAGAACATATTTTAAACATTTCCAGCACAAAAATATGAGGTAATGCATATATTAATTAGCTTGACTTAGCCATTTCACAATGTATACATATTTTAAAACATCCTGGCCGGGGGCACGGTGGCTCACTCTTGTAATCCCAGCACTTTCGGAGGCCGATGTGGGTGGATCACCTGAGGTTAGGAGTTTGAGACCGTCCTAGCCGAAATGGCAAAACCCCGTCTCTACTGAAAACACAAAAATTAGCCAGGCGTGGTGGTGCGCATCTGTAATCCCAGCTACTTGGGAGTCTGAGGCAGGAGAATCGCTTGACTTGGGAGGTGGAGGTTGCAGTGAGCCGAGATTGAGCCACTGCACTCCAGCCTGGGCGACAAGAGTGAAACTCTGTCTCAAAAAAAAAAAAAAAAAGAAAAAAGAAAACATCCTGTTGTACACAATATATATTTTTTGTCAATTAATAAAAATCAATAAATTTAATTAAAAAAATAGTCGAGTGAAGTTATTTCCCATGACTAGCTCCTCTTCTTCCTTTAGATTTCATCTTACATGTCACTTTCTTGGAGAGGCCTTACCAACCTAACCAAAGTAGCTCCCCAGTTTTAATTTTTTTCACTGGGTTCCTATGCCTCCCCCACCAGTCTAAGAACTCCATGAAGCCAGTATGTCTTGTGTTCAGCACATAGGGAAGACTCAATAGGTCTTTGTTGACTGAATGAAATGAAAGAAGTCCTTCAACATCCTGCCCCTCTGCTCCCTCAACCCCCAAAGCACCAGTACTTTGTCTTCTCTTCTCTTGGGATGTAATGGAAGAGGAGTCTTCTACCAAGGCCGTTCTCTGCCACTTTCCTCAAGAAGCTCCTTGCCTCTTTGATTGATTCTCCTGTATACTCTTTTTTTTTTTTTTTTTTTGAGACGGAGTCTCGCTTTGTCACCCAGGCTGGAGTTCAGTGCCCCAGTCTCAGCTCACTGCAACCTCTGCCTCCCGGGTTCAAGCGATTCCCTGCCTCAGCCTCCCAAGTAGCTGGGATTACAGGCACACGCCACCATGCCCGGCTAATTTTTTTCGTATTTTCAGTAGAGACGGGGTTTCACCATATTGGTCAGGCTGGTCTTGAACTCCTGACCTCAGGCAATCCACCTGCCTCGGCCTCCCAAAGTGTTGGGATTACAGGCATGAGCCACCGGGCACGGCCCTGTATACTCTTCACTAATCTTTTCCTATCAATATGCAAAGATGTTTCCCTTAAACAACCAACCAACCACAAATCCCAAAAGTTTCTTCCTCTACCAGGCTTCAGATCGGCACATGACCGCCTTCTTGCCTTGACTTTCAGGAGTCTGGTATCCCCCGTATTCTTTTATCTTAGCCTCCTTCTCTGGCTTTTTTTTTTTTTTTTTTTTTTTTTTTTTTGAGACAGAGTCCAGTCCTGCTCTGTCGCCCAGGCTGGAGTGCAGTGGCGCGATCTCGGCTCACTGCAACCTCTGCCTTCAGAGTAGCTGGGATTACAGGCACACACCAACATGCCCGGCTACTTTCTTTGTATTTTTAGTTAGGGACGGGGTTTTGCCATGTTGGCCAGGCTAGTCTCGAACTCCTGATCTCAGGTGATCCGCCCGCCTCGGCCTCCCAAAGTGCTGGGATTACAGGCGTGAGCCACCGCGCCCGGTCTTCTGGCTCTTTCTAAAGATTGGGATTTCCTAAAGTCCTGTTCTTTTCAACCTCCATTGAAAAGTGTTGGGGTGGAGTTTGGGAAGGAGGGGCTGAGGAGTGAGGCTGGGTTAGGTGGGGAATAAAGAGAGGGATATGAGAAGCCCCGAGGTCTGGGGTCAAGGAGACAGGCGTGGGGGAAGGATTTGAACCACTGTTACGTGTAGTGGGGGAGACAGCAGGGAGAGCGTGCCCGGGCACGACAGCCTGGTGCACAGCCGAGAAAACAACAGCGCGTGCGCGTAGCGACCTCTTTGCGCCTGCGCCCCCCTTGCCAGTCTTTCGCCGGCAAAAGGAGGACGTAGAAAAGGGGACACCGGAAACTCACTCTTCACCCGGAAATGGTTATTGAGGAACATGGCGTTGCTGGTGCGAGTCCTTGTGAGTGAAGGAGTAATTTTCTACGGTAGCTCTCTGGGTCCCGGGTTGGAGTTCGACAAGGCAGGGCGGGAGGAATTGGAAGGAATCGCAGGAGGGAAGCCTGTGTTATAGCTAGGCTGAGTGGCCGCTTTTCCGTGGGGAAACTGAGGCAGCTTCCGACCTCTTCCTACCCCGTTTTGACCTTAGCTCCCCCATCTTTCGAGAAGGGGAAGACTGACATCTGGCCTTTATTTGATGGGGTTTACTTTTCCTTCCCTCCCCCATGTACCTGCTTCCCCTCAGGGAGAGGAGCATGTAGGACACTGATTGGAGTTTCAGGAGGCCTGGGTTCTAGTCCCTGACTGTCACTGATGCATAGTGACTTTAAGCAAGTCACTTTTGGGCCTCATTGACCCTATGTGAAAAACGAGGACATTTATCTCCTGCAGTCCCTTTAGATTCTGAGATTCTCAGGGTTTCTTTCATAGGTAATAAGTCAGTTCTTAACTGTACAGTTAAGTGGAATATAGATTATTAGATTGAAAGCTGCGTGAGAATTGGAGTCATGTCTGTCTCCGTCGTTTTCACTTTGCCTAGCATGGTGTCTGGCACATCATAGGTGTTAAATGATTACTTGTTGAATAAATGAATGAAGTAAGGAAAGACTACCAGACTCTTTAGCACCCGTGTGTGAAACTACTGCACCTCTTGAGATTTAGTCCTGACCCTTCTAGCATACTCTTTTCTCTAGCAATTAAAGGAGAAAAGAAAGTGGCAGCAGAAAAAACGTTAGGATACAGAGCTTAGTTTTTAATCATGGAGGGATGGGAGAGTGTATAGTTTTAGCGAGTCTTCAAAAACTGGGTCAAAGACACTGTTTTTCATAGTAGACATGGTCTATTCCTGTGTCTAGGTAACTTCTGAATTGTTATTTTACATTTGTGTTTTTGATCTTTTTATATATGTCTTACAAGGACGACAGTTTTACTTCTTGTATTCCTTGCCAGCCTAGCAGAGTGAGGTACCCTCGACTGCTGTTCAGTAAATATTTATTTGTAGAGTAGCCCCTGTAACTGCCAGAAAGATTCACCTGGTGAAGTGATTGTTTGATTTCAGGCCAGAAATTGATTCAGAAATGAGGACTGCTGGGGAAATGGCAATTAGAATGTTCTGAATTTAGTGGTTTTTTTTTTTTTTTTTTTTTTAATCCTTCCCCTGCCACCCTTTAGGGTTTTGTTTTTTTTTTTTTTTTTTTTGAGGCAGAGTCTTGCTCTGTCGCCGAAGCTGGAGTGCAGTGGTGCCATCTCGGGCTCACTGCAACTTCTGCTCCCGGGTTCAAGCAATTCTCCTGTGCCAGCCTCCCGAGTAGCTGGGATGACAGGCATGCACCACACCACACCTGACTAATTTTTGTATTTTTTTTTTTTTTGAGATGGAGTCTCGCTCTGTCACCCAGGGTGGAGTTCAGCGGTGTGATCTCGGCTCACTGCAACCTCTGCCTCCTGGGTTCAAGCAGTTCTCCTGCTTCAGCCTCCCAAGTAGCTGGGATTACAGGCGCCTGCCACCACACCTGGCTAACTTTTGTATTTTTAGTAGAGATGGAGTTTCACCATGTTGGCCAGACTGGTCTCGAACTCCTGACCTCATGATCCGCCTCCTGCGGCCTCCCAAAGTGCTGGGATAACAGGCATGAGCCACCGAGCCTGGCCTGACAACTATCATTTTATAGGGCACTTACTACGTGCTAAGCACTTTAAAATACTTACCTAATCCTTATAACATCCCTTTGGAAAGGAGGGCGTGTTATTTCCTCTATTTTACAGATAAGAAAACTGAACCACAGAGAGGTATTCCTGGCCAGGTGCCGTGGCTCACACCTGTAATCCCAGCACATTGGGAGGCTGAGGTAGGTGGATCACTTGAGGCCAGGAGTTCAAGACCAGCCTGGCCAACGTGGTGAAACCCTGTCTCTACTAAAAATACAAAAATTAGCCAGGCCTGGTGGTGGGCGCCTGTAATCCCAGCTACTCGTGAGGCTGAGACACGAGAATTGCTTCAACCCAGGAGGCGGAGGTTGCAGTGAGCTGAGATTGTGCCACTGCAGTCCAGCCTGGGTGAAAGAGTGAAACTCTGTCTGAAAAAAAAAAAGAAGTATTCCTGAAACATTCTTGTTAGTCTTGCTTTATTTTTTCCTCTTTTTGTCTTGTCAGCCAATATTTTCCCTTCTCCAGTGATGGTTTTGGGAAGGAGGAGGAAACTAAAACACTGCTATTGTTGAATGACTACAGCAGAGAGCCTGGACATTTGATCAGTGGAACTGGACATGCTTATGGTTTTTATGAGTTGTCCTGGGCATTGCTGATCATTTCTGCTTTTCTTTGGAAATAGTAAAAATTGCAGAAAGCCACCCTGTACTTTAGAAAATTAAAAAAAAGTTGTGGTAAAATACATGTAACAAAATTTACCTTTTAAACTTTTTTTTTTTTTTCTGAGACGGAGTTTTGCTCTTGTTGCGCAAGCTGGAGTGCAATGGCGTGATCTTGGCTCACTGCAACCTCTGCCTCCCGGGTTCAAGCGATTCTCCTGCCTCAGCCTCCTGAGTAGCTGGGATTACAGGCACGTGCCACTACGTTCAGCTAATTTTTTGTATTTTTAGTAGAAATGGGGTTTCACCATTTTAGCCAGGCTGATCTTGAATTCCTGACCTCAGGTGATCTGCCCGCCTTGGCCTCCCAAAGTGCTGGGATTACAGGCATGAGCCACTGTGCTTGGCCACCTTTGAAACTTTTTAAGTGTACAGTTCTGTGGTATTGAGTGCATTTACATTGTTGTGCCATCTTTACCACCCTTATCCACAGAATTATTTTCATTTTATAAAACTGAAACTCTGAACCTATTAATAACTCTCTATAGTCTTTTCTCCCCAGCCCCTGGCAGCCACCATTCTACTTTCTGTCTCCGTGAGTTTAACTACTTTGTGTACCTCATATAAGTGGAATCATACAGTATTTGACCTTTTGTGACTGGCTTATTTCATTTAGCGTAATGTCCTCAAGATTCATCCATGTTGTAGCATGTGTCAGAATTTTCTCTTTTTTTTTTTTTGGAGATAGGGTCTCGCTCTGTCATGCGTGCTGAAGTGTAGTGGCTCAATCATAGCTCACTGCAGCCTTGACCTCCTGGGCTCAAGTGATCCTCCCACTTCAGCCTCCTGAGTAGCTGGGACCACAGGCATGTGCCACCACGCCTGGCTACTTTTTTTTTTCTTTTTTGTAGAGATGGGGTCTCCTTATGTTGCCCAGGCTGGCCTTGAACTCCTGGGCTCAAGCAATCCATTGTCTCGGTCTCCCAAAGTGCTGGGACTACAGGCGTGAGCCACTATGTCCAGCCTGTTTAATTTGTTGAGGAATTGTCCTACTGTTTTCCACAGCAGATACACTGTTTTACATTCTCACTAGCAGTGCACAAGGGTTCCAGTTTCACCACATCCTTGCCAACACTTGTTATTTTCTGGTTTTTGTTTGTTTGTTTTTGAGACAAGGTCTTGCTGTGTCATGCAGGCTGGAGTGCAGTGGCCCAATGACAGCTTACTGCAGCCTCCACTTCTGGGCTCAAGTAATCCTCTCATCTTAGCCTCCCGAGTAGCTGGGACTACAGGTGTGTGCCAACACACCCAGCTAGTTTTTAAATTTTTAGTAGAGAGGAGTTCTTGCTATGTTGCCCAGGCTGGTCTCAAATTCCTGAGTTTAAGTGATACTCCTGCCTCAGCCTCTCGAAGTGTTAGGATTACAGGTGTGAACCACCACACGTGGCCTTATATTCTGTTTTTTGACAATTGCCATTCTAATGAGTATGAAATGGTGTCTCATTGTATTATTGATTTACATTTCTCTAGTGACTAGTGATATTGGGCACTTCTTCATGTCTTTTTTCTTTTTGAGACAGAGTTTCACGCGTGTTGCCCAGGCTGGAGTGCAATGGCATGATCTCGGCTCACCGCAACCTCTGCCTCCTGAGTTCAAGTGATTCTCCCGCCTCAGCCTCCCAAGTAGCTGGGATTAGAGACCTGCACCACCACACCTGGCTAATTTTGTATTTTTAGTAGAGATGGGGTTTCCCCATGTTGGTCAGGATGGTCTCAAACTCCCAACCTCAGGTGATCCGCCTGCCTCGGCCTCCCAAAATCCTGGGATTACAGGCGTGAGCCACCACGCCCAGCCTTAAATTTTGTATTTTTAGTAGAGATGGGGTTTTGCTATGTTGGCCAGGCGGGTCTTGAACTCCTGACCTCAGGTGATCCACCCGCCTTGGCCTCCCGAAGTGCAAGGATTACAGGCATGAGCCACTGCATCTGGCAAGTTTTTCATATATTTTGAATATCAATCCCTCATCAGATATATGATTTGCATGTATTTTTCCTATCCTATGGGTTGCTGTTTCAGTCTGTTGATACTATTCTTTGATACACAAAAGTTTTAAATTTTCATGAAGTCCAACTTATTTTTTTTTCTTTTATTGCCCACTCTTTTTTTTTTGACAGGGTCTTGCACTGTCACCCAGGCTAGAGTGCAGTGGCACAATCTAGACTCACTGCAGCCCCTGCCTCCCAGGTTCAAGCAATTCTCCTGCCTCACCCTCCCAAGTAGCTGGGATTACAGTCATGCACCAGCACACCTGGCTAATTTTTATGTTTTTAATAGAGAGGGGGTTTTCCCATGTTGGCCAGGCTGGTCTCAAACTCCTGGCCTCAAGTGATCCGCCCACCTCAGCCTCCCAGAGTGCTGGGGTTACAGGTGTGAGCCACCATGCCTGGCCTATTGCCTACTTTTTTGATATCATGTCCAAGAAATCATTGCAAAATCCAATGTCATGAAGCCATTCCCGTAAGTTTTCTTTTGAAAGTTGTATCATTTTAGGTCCTACATTTTGGTCTTTTATCCATTTTGAGCTAATTTGTGTACATGTTACAAGCTTTTACTATATTTTATGAGCTGTTTTCTTAGTGGCTGCCCTGGGATTACAATGAACATCTTAATTCATAACAGTCTTGTTTGGATTAATACGAACTTCATTTCAGTAATATGTAAAGACTTTCTTTCTATATAGCTCTGTTCCTTCCCGAACATTGTGTTATTGTCATCTAAATTACATCTTTATGCATTATATGTCTACCAATGTAGATTTATAATTATTTCTTCTTGTAGTTGTCTTTTAAATTAAAAAGAAAAAGAATTACAAACAAAAAATCCATTTGTACTGTATTTTTTATTTACCTAAACAGTTACCTTTACCAGTCTACTTTATTTCTTCATGTAGATTTGAGTTATTCTGTAGTTTCCTTTCATTTCAACCTGAAGGTCTGCCTTATTCTTGCAGGGCAAGTCTACTACTGACAAATTCTTTCCATTTTGTTTATCTGGGAAATCTTCATTTTTTCCTTCACTTTTGAATAATAGTTTTGCTGGATATAGAATTCTTGTTTGAAAATCTTTGTCTTTCCTTGTTTTGACTATTTTATCCCACTGCCTTCTGGCTGCTACAGTTTCTGAGAAGAAATCCACTGTTAATGTTCTTGAGGATACTTTGTATATGATGAGTTTCTTCTCTTGCTCATTTAAAGAATCTTTGTCTCTTGGCAGCTTGCATATGATGTGTCTGTGGCTCTCTTTGTGTTTATCCTATTTGGAGTTAGTAGAGCTTCTTGGATTCCTAAATTACCATTTTCCATTATGTTTGGGATGTTTTCTGCCATTATTTCTTCAAATATTTTTCGGTCCTTTTCTTTCCTTCTGAGACTCTAATTATACATATATTGGTGTGTTTGATGGTGTCCCACAGTCTGAGGCTGTTAAATTTGTTCTTTTTTTTCTTTTTTTGTTTTTGCTTTTCATTTTGAGGCTACTAATTTGTCTTTATTGCTTTTTCTTTCTGTTCCTTGGACTGGATGATCTAAATTGACCTATCTTCAAGACCACTGATTATTTTCTTCTGCCTGTTCAAATCTGCTGTTCAGTCCCTCTAATGAGTTTTTCATTTTAGTTGTTGGACTTTTCAATTCTAGAATTTATTTTGTCTTTAAAAAAATAACTTCTCTTTCTGTTGATATTCTCTTTGGTGCCATCTTGGCTCACTGCAACCTCCACCTCCCGGGTTCAAGCGATTCTCCCGCCTCAGCCTTCTGAGTAGCTGGGATTACAGGTGCCTGCCACCACGCCCGGCTAATTTTTGTATTTTTAGTAGAGATGGGGTTTCACCATGTTGGCCAGGATGGTCTCAAACTCCTGACCTCAGGTGATCCCCCTGCCTTGGCCTCCCAAAGTGCTGGGATTACAGGTGTAAGCCACCGCACCCGGCCACTTTCTTATAGTTCTTTAGACATATTTTCATTTAGATCTTTGAACATATTTGAAATAGTTAAAAATCTCTTTGTCTGCTGCCTGGGTTTTCTTAGAGACAGTTTCTATTGATTGCATTTTTTCCCCCTGTGTATGGGCCATACTTTATTGTTTCTTTGCATGTTTTATAACTTTTTGTTGTTGAAAACTGGACATTTTAAATAATGTGGCCACTCCGGAAATCAGATTGTTTCCCTTCCCAGGGTTTGCTGTTGTATTTTTGTTTAGTGACTTTTCTGAATTGATTCTGTAGTCTGTATTCTTTGTTGTTTGTGGCTACTGAAGTCTCTGCTTAGATAGCTTAGTGGTCAGGTAATGATTAAACAAATTTCTTTAAATTTCTGTTAAATTTCTTAAAATTCTGTTCTCACTGCCTGGAAGCAGTGAGTATCCCAGTTTTTGCTTTGGGGCTCTGTGTGCACGTTGGGATGTACCTATAACACTCTGCCAGGCATTCGATAACTCTGCCTTAACTTTCACTTCCTGCTATGCAGAACCTCAAGGTCAACCACAAGTAAGAGACATTCTTAGGTCTTTCCTGAGCATGTGCACAGCTTTGGGTATATGCACAGACCTGGGTATGTTCATGGCTTCCTAGATGCCCAGGAATATATTGGGGCTTTTCTAAGCCTCTGTGGACATCTTATTCCCCAGCTTTTCCTTTAAACCTTTTTGGTTAGCCTGTTGTTTTCTCCACCTGTTAATCACTGCCTCAGGAAGCCATGAAGTCAAACAGTTACCTCTATTTGTTTTCAACCGGTGCTCCTGGGGAAAAGGTTTTTTCACACTGGGTGAGTTCTAAGACAGCCTTGAAATAGGGCCTTCTAAGGAACTGTCAGACAGGTTGAATAATGCCAGTTCTTTTTTTTTTTTTTTTTCAGAGTCAAGCTTCTTTTTTTTTTATACTTTAAGTTCTAGGGTACATGTGCACAACGTGCAGGTTTGTTACATATGTATACATGTGCCATGATGGTGTGCTGCACCCATTAACTCATCATTTACATTAGGTATATCTCTTTTTTTTTTGAGATGGAGTCTTGCTTTGTCACCCAGGCTGGAGTGCACTGGCGCAATCTCAGCTCACTGCAAGCTCCACCTCCCGGGTTCACGCCATTCTCCTGCCTCAGCCTCCCGAGTAGCTGGGACTACAGGCGCCTGCCACCATGCCCGGCTAATTTTGTTTTTTTTTTTTTTTTGAGACGGAGTCTCGCTCTGTCACCCAGGCTGGAGTGCAGTGGTGCAATCTCGGCTCACTGCAAACTCCGCCTCCTGGGTTCACGCCATTCTCCTGCCTCAGCCTCTCCGAGTAGCTGGGACTACAGGCACCCGCCACCACGCCTGGCTAATTTTTTGTATTTTTAGTAGAGACGGCATTTCACCGTGGTCTCGATCTCCTGACCTCGTGATCCGCCCGCCTCGGCTTCCCAAAGTGCTGGGATTACAAGCGTGAGCCACTGCGCCCGGCCACGCCTGGCTAATTTTTTGTATTTTTAGTAGAGATGGGGTTTCACCATGTTAGCCAGGATGGTCTCGATCTCCTGACCTTGTGATCCGCCCTCCTCGGCCTCCCAAAGTGCTTGGATTACAGGCATGAGCCACCACGCCCGGCCTAGGTATATCTCTTAATGCTATCCCTCCCCGCTCCCCCCACCCCACGACAGGCCCTGGTGTGTGATGTTCCCCTTCCTGTGTCCAAGTGTTCTCATTGTTCAATTCCCACCTCTGAGTGAGAACATGCAGTGTTTGGTTTTCTGTCCTTGTGATAGTTTGCTGAGAATGATGGTTTCCAGCTTCATCCATGTCCCTACAAAGGATATGAACTCATCCTTTTTTATGGCTGCATAGTATTCCATGGTGTATATGTGCCACATTTTCTTAATCCAGTCTATCATTGTTGGGCATTTGGGTTGGTTCCAAGTCTTTGCTATTGTGAATAGTGCCTCAGTAAACATACGTGTGTGTGTGTCTTTATAGCAGCATGATTTATAATCCTTCGGGCATATACCCAGTAATGGGATGTCTGGGAATAATGCCAGTTCTTTGTAAGGCTTTGATGAACATCATCCCCATTCTGGAGTCAACTTGTCTCCTGAGGAGACTAGTTCCTTTAGTGGTTGTTGCTATTTAGAAACCACATCTGGGTGCTACATGTGCTTATTGCTACTGGAGTGTCATCTGCAGGCCCTACCAGGACGTGGGTAGGAAATATATATATGTCTATATATACACATAAACATGCATATATCTTTTTCTTTATATATTAAAAGCCCACACCAGTTATTCTAATCTATTCTAATACCACAGGGTTTGTTCTACTCTTTTGCCTTGCCATATTTGTTAACTCCTTTCTCTGATAGAAACCTGACCCCTCACCCTTAATGTATTTATTGATTTATTCAAATCTTTCCTGTATGTAATCAATCTTTTGAAAGCTCAGATTGAAAACTCCCAAAAAAGTGGGAGGAGGCAGTGTATAGGTAATTTTTTTTTTTTTTTTTGAGACGAAGTCTCGCTCTTGTCCCCTAGGCTGGAGTGCAATGGCGCGATCTCAGGTCACTGCAACCTCCGCCTCCCGGGTTCAAGCAATTCTCCTGCCTCAGCCTCCCAAGTAGCTGGGACTGCAGGTGCATGCCCTCATGCCCAGCTAATTTTTTTGTATTTTAGTAGAGATGGGGTTTCACTGTGTTGCCCAGGCTGGTTGCAAACTCCTGAGCTCAGGCAGTCCGCCTGCCTCGGCCTCCCAAAGTACTGGAGTAATTTTTTGTTATTGTTTGAGATGGGGTCTCACTCTGTCACCCAGGCTGGAGTACAGCAGCATGATCTCTGCCTACTGCAACCTCCGCCTCCCGGGTTCAAGCGATCCTTGTGCCTCAGCCTCCTGAGTAGCTGGGATTACCAGCATGCGCCACCATGCCCGGCTAATTTATATATATTATATATATATATATATTTTGTTTGTTTGTTTGTTTGTTTGTTTGTTTGTTTTTTGAGATGGAGTCTCGCTCTGTCGCCCAGGCTAGAGTGCAGTGGTGCGATCTCAGCTCACTGCAAGCTCCGCCTCCCAGGTTCACGCCATTCTCCTGCCTCAGCCTCCCGAGTAGCTGGGACTACAGGCGCCCACCACCACACCCGGCTAATTTTTTGTATTTTTAGTAGAGACGGGGTTTCACCATGTTAGCCAGGATGGTTTCAATCTCCTGACCTCGTGATCTGCCTGCCTCGGCCTCCCAGAGTGCTGGGATTACAGGCGTAAGCCACCGCGCCCGGCCTATATTATGTATTTTTTAGTACAGACGGGTTTCACTGTGTTGGCCAGGCTGGTCTCGAACTCCTGACCTCAAGTGATCCACCCACCTCAGCCTCACAAAGTGTTGGGATTACAGGCGTGAGCCACTATGCCCGGCCTGTATTCAGTAATTTTTGAAGGAATGGTTAAACATTCTCTTCTTCCCTCTGTGGAAATATCCTTTTGTATTATAGCATGCCACATTGTAACTGGAAGGAAAGTTTGTTACCGTAGTATCTGTTCTTTGGACTCCGGAATTGAGTTAGTATCCATGGCATTTGGAATATAGGCACCAGTGGTGACTTATAAAGTGGATTTCGGCTGGGCATGGTGGCTCATGCCTGTAATCCCAGCACTTTGGGAGGCTGAGGCTGAGGGATCACCTGAGGTTGGGAGTTCGAGACCAGCCTGACCAACATGGAGAAACCCCGTCTCTACTAAAAATACAAAATTAGCTGGGCGTGGTGGCGCATACCTGTAATCCCAGCTGCTCGGGAGGCTGAGGCAGGAGAATCACTTGAACCCAGGAGGCAGAGGTTGCGGTGAGCTGAGATTGCGTCATTGCACTCCAGTCTGGGCAACAAGAGTGAAACTCTGTCTCAAAAAAAAAAAAAAAAAAAAGGTGGATTTCATGTTTATAATTGATTTTCGTTATTCACAGATTCTATATTTGTGAACTCACCTAGTTGCTAAAATTTATTTGAAACCCCAAAATCAATACTTGCAGCACTTTTGTAGTCACTTGTGGACATTTGCAGAGGGGTAAGAAATTTGAGCTGCCAATGTGTGTGTTCCTGGCTGAGATGGGTCAACATTCCGCCTTCTTGTTTCAGTTTTCATACTGTAACAAGTATTCTTTTCATGGCCTGTTTAGTGCCATATTTTTCGTATTTTTGTGCTTTTGTTGGTGAATCCCATCTTTAAAATGTCACCCAAGTGTAGTATGGAAACGCTATCTAGCATTGCTGAGTGCGAGAAGGCCACAATGTGCCTTATGGGAAAATATGTTTGTTAGGTAAATTTTGCTAAGTGAGTTATAGTGCTGTTGGCTGTGAGTTCCGTGTTAATGAATCAACAATGTATATTAAATAGGGTGTCTTTCAACAGAAACCAATAAAACAAGGTTATATATTGATTGGTTGATGAATGTTGTGACCAGAGGCTTCCAGGAACCTAAGTCTGGCATTTCCTTTAGAAGCAATGGTTCAGTATTTGCTAACTCAGTGTTTGTGGTGATTTTATGGTGAATAACTAGAATCCGCTACACCTGTAAATTGTTTTCTAGCTCATGAATGAGCCAAGGAAAATACTATGTATCTTAAAAAACCACATGCAGAAACAGGCCTGTCAGTGGACTGATTAAAGGGTAGTCAGTACAAGAGGTGGTATGTCAGAATGTTTTGAAATACTGATGTAAAAATCACTGCAATTAACAATGTGCACGGGAAACGAAAACATGAAGCCTATCTTAAAAATTTTGGTTTTGGCCAGGCATGGTGGCTCACACCTGTAATCCCAGCACTTTGGGAGGCCGAGGCGGGCGGATCACAAGGTCAGGAGATCAAGACCATCCTGGCGAACATGGTGAAACCCCATCTCTACTAAAAATACAAAAAATTAGCCAGGCGAGGTGGCGGGCGCCTGTAGTCCCAGCTACTTGGGAGGCTGAGGCAGGAGAATGGCGTGAACCTGGGAGGCGGAGCTTGCAGTGAGCTGAGATCCCACCACTGCACTCCAGCCTGGGCAACGGAGCGAGACTCCGTCTCAAAAAAAAAAAAAAGAAAAAAATTTTTTTTTTGGTTTTGAAGTGTTGGAAAGGCAAAATGGCAATAAAACTAGTTCTCACTTAGTAACAGTGCATTTATCTTAAGTTAAAGGAATAATTTTTGCCATTGGGAGTGGCTATGAATGTCTTTTGAACTTGGGAGAAGTTGAGATGTGCTAATTGTTATAGGCCTAATATATTAGTACCTTAAGAGAGAGATAAGTACTTCCACAGATTTATATTTATAGATGAAGTGGTGGAAGAGGTGGAAAGGAAAAAGGACGAGTAGAGGTCGACACGGTGGCTCATGCCTGTAATCCCAGCACTTTGGGAAGCCGAGGCCGGTGGATCACCTGAGATCAGGAGTTTGAGACCAGCCTGGCCAACATGGTGAAACCCCGCCTCTACCGAAAATACAAAAATTAGCTGGGCGTGGTAGCGCGCCGCTCTAGTCCCAGCTACTCGGCAGGCTGAGGCAGGAGAATTGCTTGAATCCAGGAGGTGAAGGTTGCGGTGAGCCGAGATTGCGCCACTGCACTCCAGCCTGGGTGACAGAGTAAGACTCCATCTCAAAAAAAAAAAAAAAAAAGGACTGAGTAGAGCCAGTAGAACCAGAAGCTGACATCTAGACAGATTTCTTTTCTTTTTTTTTTTTTTTGAGTGGAGTCTTGCTCTGTCACGCAGGCTGGAGTGCAGTGGCCTGATTTTGGCTCACTGTAATCTCTGTCTCCCCAGTTCAAGCGATTCTCCATGCCTCAGCCTCCCGAGTAGCTGGGATTACAGGCACCTGCCACCACGCCCGGCTAATTTTTGTATTTTTAGTAGAGATGGGGTTTTGCCATGTTGGCCAGGCTGGTCTCGAACTCCTGACCTCAGGTGATCTGCCCGCCTATGGTCTCCCAAAGTGCTGGGATTACAGATGTGAGCCACTGCGCCCGGCCTAGAGAGATTTCTTGAAGCAATTGAGCTTATAGTTTGGGTTGGAGTGAAGAGGAGAGTCCCAAAAAATTACTACAAGGAAATTAGCATGTGTGGAGTGAAGCAGTGATTCCCAAACCAGAGAATCTGAGTCAGGTGTTGAAACTGTTGAGTGGAAAACACAGTAAGTATTATGAGTTTAGAGGGGTCCAGTTGGTAAAGACCAGTAAGGACCAGGTGTTTAAGTTTCAATAAAGAGGTCCTTGGAAACCACTGCAAGCTTTTGAGAAAGGGAATAAATGCCAGATTCCAAACAATATTTTAAGAAAACAGTTTTTGCTTCTCTGGCAGTTTGCTGGGGAAAGCAGGGCTTGTATAATTCGGTAACAGTTGTTCATAACAGTGATGCCTTTAGTTGTGTTTTTCTGTTATCAAAGTGCTTTTAGGAATGTTCCTGGGAACACTCCTGTGAGATAGCTTTTATTATTCCCATTTTTCATAAGGGAAAATGGAGGCCCAGATTGTTGAGTAACCAGTTCACAGCTATTTGATGGCAGACTTGGGATTACCCTTTCTGTTACACTTCAGTGGTTTCAATTAAGGATTTGGACAAGAATTGTTGTAGGATTGGCGAAGGAAAGAACAGCTGATTGTTCCTTTCTTCTAATAAGAACTGATTTAAAAGTATTGGCCTAAGACCAACCGGAGCCAAAATTACAGAGAAAAGTTTTGTTGACATTGGAAATTACATGATGAAATTCTTCAGAAAATCTTCCAAAAGTTTGCATTGTTTCAACTTGTAATTTCCTCTTGCTCCCCCTGCACCGCCCCCCCCCCCCCCCCACCTTTGGCCCTGAATCTGAAGCAGTTTCCTCTTATCCCATAGTTAACATTTTTAGTACAGGAACATCTGACATTGAATGTTTCTGGTAAATCTGTCAGTGTTTGTAAAACAAAACACCAGTAACTGTCTCTCACTTGGAAAACCATTTCAACTGATCCAACCACAGCTCAAATAAAATATTTTTAGCTCCACTTTTCATTTGAAATTTAAGGTGCTGTAAGTGGCAATTATACAATTTTAGAACTGTGAGACACTTTAGAAAGCATCTGTAGGTTTAAAAATTTAATGCCTTTCTCCACCCCACCTCAACCTGTTTCTACTCGAGGAAATGGAGATTCAGATTCAACTTAATATTGTGCTGAACATACTGCAAGGTACATTTGTTAATTTTAAAGAAAATCCTGAGAAGTGGGGATTTTGTCTTTATTTTTGATAAAAAGAGACAACCAAGGCTCACAGAGGTGATTATCTAATATGTAGCTTCTGAACAGTACTTCCTGCCTTTAGTTATGTGGCACTTTCCACAATATGCTGTTTTAATTGGTTCCAGACCAGGTCATATAGTGTTAGAGCTAGAAGGTACCTTGCAGATACTCTACCCTTTCATCCCATAAATGAGCAAGGATTCTAGAGTTGGGTTGTCTGGGTTCATATCTTAATCCTGCTGTTAGAACTATGTGACATTGGGAGGTTGCTTATCCTCTCCATGCCTCAGTTTCCTTTTTTGTGTAAATGGGATAATGATATACCTACATGAGTGGTGATTGTGAAGTTTAAATGAGTTCATATATGTAAAGTACCAGAAAAGTGCCTGCCATCAAATGCTCATTAAGTGTTCCTCATAATTGCTATCAGGAAACTGAATGTCACAGAGGTTAAATTACTTGTAAAGATAATGTTAGAGTAGCTGAATTTAAACTAGAATCTTTGACTCCTAGTACAATTGTCCCCAAGTATCCCTGGTCCTTTGGTTCCAGGACCTCCCTCGGATAGCAAAATCCGTGGATGCTCAAGTCCTTGATACAAAGTGGCATAGTATTTGCATATAACCTATATATATTCCCCCATGTACTTTAAATAATCTCTAGATTACTTACATTTAATACAATATAGGTGCTATGTAAATAGTTGTTATACTGTATTATTTAGGGAGTAGTGACGAGAAAAAAAAAGTCTACATGTTTAGTATGGCATGTTTTTTTCCTGATTTTTTTTTCTTTTTTCTTTTTTTTTTTTTTTGAGACAGTCTCGCTCTGTCACCCAGGCTGGAGTGCAGTGGCGTGATCTTGGCTCACTGCCAGCTCCGCCTCCCGGGTTCATGCCATTCTCCTACCTCAGCCTCCTGAGTAGCTGGGATTACAGGCGCCCACCACCACGCCTGGCTAATTTTTTTGTATTTTTAGTAGAGAAGGGGTTTCACTGTGTTAGCCACGATGGTCTCGATCTCCTGACCTCGTGATCCGCCAGCCTCGGCCTCCCAAAGTGCTGGGATTACAGATGTGAGCTACCGCGCCCGGCCTGATTTTTCTTTTTTTTTTTTTCTTTTTTTTTTGAGACAGAGTCTCCCTCTCTATCGCCCAGGCTGGAGTGCAGTGGCACAATCTCTGCTCACTTGCAACCTTTGCCTCCTGGGTTCAAGTGATTCTCGTGCCTCAGCCTCCAGAGTAGCTGGGACTACAGGTACACGCCACCATGCCCGGTATTTTTTTCCTGAATATTTTAATCTGTGGGTGGCTGAATCCATGGATGCAGAACCCATGGCTGTGGAGGGCTGACTGTGTTATACATTATGCTTGGCAAAGGATTTTCAAGCAATTTATGTATCTGGTCCTCATTATGGCCCTATAAGGTCTACAGGTCAAGTGAAGAAAACCCTCAGATCCCTAGAGTTGGTTCCTAAAATTAAGATTTCCAGTGCTGTGTACATGGCTATCATTTATACAGTGGAATGTATTTCAGGTTCATAAAATAAAGCAGACTTCTTATTTAGCAAGAGAGAGCTATCCCTTTCTCCAGCCTAGCCTCTCACTTTGGCCAAGAGACCTTTCTGAAGTGAGCTTCATGTTAGAGGGAAAACGTGAATCTCAGTTTTAGCTTGAACAGCCATTTAATCTCTCTTGTCTTGGAAATCAAGTTGCCCACGTGTGTTTTCCCACTGCAAAACTTCTACCCTAGTTTCCTCCTCCTTTTGGGGATGATGATGATCTCAGCATTGCTTACTATAAAGGGATTCTATGAAGATCAGGTAAGTAAGTCAGTGTTTATGAAAACACATTGTAAGCCAGGCACAGCTATGCAAGCCTTTAGTCCCAGCTACTTGGGAGGCTGAGGTGGGAGGATCACTTGAGCCCAGGCATCAGGCATTTGAGGCTGTAGTGTGCAATGTTAGCACCATGACTAGGCACTGGACTCCAGCCTGGGGAATGTAGTGAGACCCTGTCTCTTAAAAAAAAAAAAAAAAAAAAAAAGGCCAGGCACAGTGGCTCACATCTGTAATCCCAGCATTTTGGGAGTCCGAGGTAGGTAGATCACTTAAGGTCAGCAGTTTAAGACCAGCCTGGTCAACATGGTGAAACCCTGTCTCTACTAAAAATACAGAAATTAGCCCTATGTGGTGGCTCATGCCTGTAGTCCCAGCCACTTGGGAGTCTGAGGCGTAAGAATCGCTTGAACCCAGGAGGTGGAAATTGCAATGAGCTGGGATCATGGCCCTGCATTCCAGCCTGGGTGACAGAGCGAGACTCAGCCTCAAAAAAAAAAAAAAAAAAAAAAGACATTGCAAACCGTAATTTGAATTATAATCTAATCATAAAATGCCAGAAGTCTGCTTATTTTGTTTCTCTTCCCAGAGGGAGCCCGTGCCCACTGCTTGAGTCACCTATTACCAGAATTATTTTAGTCTGTGGAATCAGTAGTAGGCAGTGGTTTATCTTATCCTTGGAGAAATGAGCATGTGGAGGCTTGGTCTTGGTCCCATTTTGGAAGTTCTTCATTCATGTGATACCCCATTCTGGCAGGATTTTTAAACTTAGGTACTAAAGGCCAGATCTGGAATGGTCCTGAGTGTAGTTGCTTCTGTCCCTGTGGAATTAGAGTGTGCCACCCTCCTGGCCTGTGGCTGCAACCCAGATATGATATTGTGAGAGAAGAAATATATATTTGGTCTTTATCCCTGGTTCCTGGCACAGAGCTCTTGAAACCCTTGCAGAGTGATTGGGGTGAGAGGAATGGTTTTTTTTTTATTTATTTATAATAAGCCCCTTTCAACCATACATGAGTTTATGGGTTTTTTTTTGTATAGCTGGGGGTCTCGCTTTGTTGCCCAGGCTGGTTTCGACCTCCTGGCTTCAAGTAATCCTGCTTCAGCCTCTCAAAAGTGCTGAGATAATAGGAGTGAAGGCATGAGCTGCTATGACCGGCAGTGAGTTTATGTTAATAAGGTGACTCTTGGAGGGTAGAGGCTGGTTGCTAGAGGAACAAATATGTGTGTAGAAGGTTGGAACTTGTAGCTTCTCCCACTCCTCCCTGACTTTTGGAAGGGGAGAGGGGCTGGAGATTGAGCTGATCACCAGTGATCAGTGATAATCAATCATGTCTACGTAATGAAGCCTCCATAGAAATCCCTGGGTTTGGAGAGCTTCTAGGTTAGTAAACACATCAAAGTGTAGGGAGGGTGGCACACCCGGAGAGCAAGCTCCCACCCCGTACCCTGTCTTTTGCATCGCTTCCATTTGGCTGTTCCTGAGGTGTATCCCTTATAATAAACTGATAAAAGTAAGTGAAGTGCCTCCCCGAGTTGAGCCATGCTAGCAAATTATTGAATCTGAGGAGGCAGCTGTGGGAACCCCCAATGTATGGACAAGTTGGACAAAAGTGTGAGTAACCTGGGGACCCACTACTTGTGATGGGAGTCTGAAGTGGGGGACAGTCCTGTTGGATGGTGCTGTGAGGTCTCTGCTAACTCCAGGCAGTTAGTTTAAGAATTAAGTTAAATTGTAGGACACCCAGTTGGTGTCTGCAGAGAACTAGAGAATTGCTTGGTATGGAGACCCCTTGCCCCTGCACATTTGGTATCAGAAGTGGAGTGTTGAGTATAGAAAAAAGAGTTTTTCATCTTTACCGGAAGTTCTCTGAACTCTGTCATTTAGAATTTTTGTGGAGGCTTATTGTTGGCATGATTGATTAAATCACTGGGTACCAGTGATTGGCTCAGTCTCTAATCCCTCTCCTCTCCTGGAGGTGGGGATGCCTTGAGGAGTTGGGGCTGAGTTCCAACCCTCTACTCCTGTGGTAGGTTTCTCTGGCAACCAGCCTCCATCCTGCATGAATCACCTCATTAGCATAAACTCAGGTATGGTTGAAAGGGGCTTATTATGAGTTACAGACACCCCCCTCACTCAGAAATTCCAAGGGTTTTAGGAGCTCTGTGCCAGGAACTAGAGATGAAGGCCAAATATATATTTCTAATTATATTACAGTATCACAGGTACACTCTTTGCCTTCCATGTAGGGAGTATGATTTAGATTCCTGACAGATTATTATTTTCTTTCTTTAGAGGAACCAGACTAGCATTTCTCAGTGGGTTCCAGTATGCAGCCGATTGATACCTGTGTCTCCTACCCAAGGACAGGGGGACAGGGCTCTGTCTCGCACTTCCCAGGTAAGATTTGTTGTTCTTTTGCTTAGTATGAAAACCTTAGTGTTTATGTGCAAATGTCATGTATTTATAGATTAGCCAACCAAATTGTGTGATGGAAAAACCTCATGAGACCACTCTGGGTCTCTGTGGTGCCAACTTAGGACTGATTCCTAAAGTATGGTGTCTAGGGCGTTGCTTCTAAATACCCTAGCAGTGGAACTTAGCCTAGGATACCATGCTACAGTCTGATGATTTTTACTGTTAGGGAATTTTTCCAGATATTCATCTCCGAGTTAACCTTTTTCAATTTTCTTTTTGTGGCCATCTTGTGCTACTTTTATTTGGGCGTGATAATTATTTCTTTTTCCTTTATATGAATATAAAATCCAAGAAACAATTATTTGAGGTATTCATTTACCATTGACCACCTAATCATTATAATGTAGTTTACCTTGGACCTTGTGTCCCTCCTGATTTTTGTTAATAATACAAATAATTTAGTAATAAGGGAAATAAATCATCTATGACTTCAAATCTGAAAACGTCAGTATTTTATCTCTGCTGGTTCTTTTTCAGCCTGTGTGTGTGTGTGTGTGTGTGTGTGTGTGTTTGTGTGTGTTTGTGTGTGTGTGTGTGTGTATGTATATGTAATGTTATTCCTGAAGTACCCTAACAAATGTCCACAGAAGTTTATATTCTGGTACCTTTTCACTTATTAGAGTGGACATTATTCATATTGTTTTGATAGACTTTGTAATTAAAAATTTAATGACCATATAATATTTTATTTACTTAGCCTTTGATATGAAAATCATTTCCTTTTTTTTGCCATTATAAGCTTTAATTTTCTTACCATTGTCTTAGCACATATTTTTTCTTACTTTTAATTACTTATTAATAATTCCTAGGAAGGCATACCTTGGGTCAGAGTATGAACAGTTTGCCTCTTCAAAAGGTTGTTTTAATTTATGCTGCCACCAGCAATGTATGTATAAGTAGTTTTTCATTATTACCTCTCTCAAGTTGAGTTTTTTTTAACTTAAATAAATTGGGTAAGAAATGTTACCTTGTTTTACCTTGTATTTCTTTGTTTAGCTCTCAGGGTTATGTATTTTTTCTGTATTGATCAGTTGTTTTTCAGTTTGTGAAAATTGTATGCTTATGGCATTTCTCCATTCATCTATTGGGAACTCATTTTTCTTACCAATTTATGATTTTTATCTGTAGTCATTAACTTTCTTTTTCGTATTCGATGCAATTAAAAATATGTTTGCTATATGTAATTATATATATTATATAATTTATGTAACATATATAATCTACTTAAAAATTCCCTCCAATTAATGTGTAAGCCCTGCCCTTCTGAGGACATCTTGCTTTTTTCTTGTATTTCCTGGTCTTTTCACTATGCCTGGCACAGAGTAGTCACTAAGTATATGTTGAATGAATGGAGAATATGCCTGTGCAGAAGAGGCGTCTACTTTGGGTAGTTATGCAGGTATTTCTTTTCAGAGCTTGGGCTGTGTTCTGTTACTTTTTGTACAAATTTTTAATAGTATTTGTTATTTGTATGTGTGTAGATGGTAGGGGAAAATAACTCATTATATGAATCTCTGACTTGTGCCCTACTCTTTGGGTCAGTAAACGTTTCTTGAGCACCTAATAAGTACCGGGTACTGTATTAGGCTCTGGGACAACATTATAGCAAAGCATTTATGTAAATAACTGAGGGTGGTTTATCTCATGCTGACCAGATGTAATTTTAGTCATTGTAAATCAACTGGACCTTTTGTCGTATCGACTGTAACTTACTGGAGTATCTTCCTATCTTTGAGGTCCCCTGGTTGGAAACTTCTGCTTCAGAATGGCATCCTCAGGTACATGTCTCACAGGGAGGAAGATTTGGCTCAGAATGAGAAAGAGTTTTGTTAATTAGAATTGTGCATAATGGGATGTGTGAGCTGCGTTTTCACATAGTAAATTTACTCTTACTGGAAATATTCAGGCAGTGGTAGGATGAATGTATGTCAAGGGCCTGACATAAAGGAATCCTTCCTTCGATGAGTGGTAGTATCAGGTATCTGTAAGGTAATGTCCAGTGCTGTAATCCTATTATTGTTTTCAAAGAGCTAGAGACATACTTTCAGCTTTGTCTTAATTAGCCTCTTGAAGTTCTGTCTACTTAAAAATATTTTTTAAATTTTGAAATAATTTTAGACTTATGTAAGAGTTGTAAAAGTAGTAGCATTCCCAAATAGCCTTCATCTGGCTTCCCCTAATGTTAACCTCTTACATAACCATGGTGCAATTACTGAAACCAGGAAATTAACATTGAAATAATACTATTAATTAGTCTATTTGTTCCAATTTTGTCAATTTTTTTTTTTATGAATGTCCTTTTTTGATCTGCGATAACAAATCCAGTTGTCATATATTCTTAGTCGTCTCCAATCTGTTAAATTTTCATTTTTTTTTTTTTAAGACAGAGTCCCACTCTGTCGTCCAGGGTGGATGACACTATCTTGGCAGTGGCACTATCTTGCTCACTGCAACCTCCACCTCCTGGGTTCAAGCGATCCTCCCACCTCAGCCTCCCAAGTAGCTGGGATTACAAGTATGTGCCATGACACCTGGCTGATTTTTGTATTTTTAGTAGAGACGGGGTTTCACCATTTGGTGAACAGGCTGGTCTCAAACTCCTGACCTCAAGTGATCCACCCCTGTGGGCCTCCCCAAGTGCTGGGAATATAGGTATGAGCCACTGTGTCTGGTCACATTTTCTTATTCTTTTTCTTCTCAAGATTTAGACACTTTTGAAGAGTACTAGTCAGTTATTTGTAGAATGTTTCTCAATTTGAGTTTGTGTAATATTTTCTTTTCTTTTTTCTTTATTTTCTTTTATTTTTTATTCATTTTTTTGAGACAGAGTCTTGCTCTGTCACCCATGCTAGAGTGCAGTGGTGCGATCTTGGCTCACTGCAACCTCTGCCTCCTGTTCAAGTGATTGTCTTGCCTCAGCCTCCCCAGTAACTGGGATTGCAGGTGCCCGCCACCACACCCAGCTACTTTTTGTATTTTTAGTAGAGAAGGGGTTTTGCCACGTTGGCCAGGCTGGTCTTGAACTCCTGATCCGAGGTGATCCGCCCACCTCGACCTCTCAAAGTGCTGGGATTATAGGTGTGAGCTACCACCTATAATATAGAAAGCCCGGCCTTTCTAATATTTTCTTATAATGAGATTGAGGTTATGCATTTTTGGCAAAAATGATGTTATTCCCTTCTCAGTGCATCATATCAGGGGATACATAATGCTAGTAGGTCTTATAACTTTGGCCACTTGGTTAAATTGGTGTTTGTCAGGTTCCTGAACTCTAAAGTTAGTATTTTCCCTTTGTAATTAGTATCTTGTCAGGAGATACTTGGAGACTGTGCAGATACCCATTTCACATTATACTTTTGCTTACTAATTTTAGCAGTCATTGGTGGTTTTTTTTAATGATATGTTAACATTAAATTTATTGTCATAACCATTATAAGTGTACAGTTCAGTAATGTTAATTTAAGCATATTCACATTGTTTTGCAACAGATCTCTATAAACTTTTTCATCTTGCAAAACTCTATGCTAAACACTAATTCTCTCCCCACCCTGCTTTTCTACTTTCTGTTTCTATGATTTTTTTTTTTTTTTTTGAGACGGAGTTTCACTCTGTCGCCCAGGCTGGAATGCAGTGGTGCAATCTCAGCTCACTGCAACCTCCGCCTCCCAGGTTCAAGCATTTCTGCCTCAGCCTCCTGAGTAGCTGGGATTACAGGTGCTCACCACCACGCCTGGCTAATTTTTGTATTTTTAGTAGAGACGGGGTTTCACTGTGTTGGCCAGGCTGGTCTCAAACTCCTGACCTCGAGTGATCTGCCCGCCTCAGCCTCCCAAAGCACTGGGATTACAGGCATGAGCCATCACCCTGGCCTTGTTTCTGTGATTTTGACTACTTTAGGATACTTCATGTGAGTGGACTCATACAGTTTTTGTTCTTTTATAACTGGCACATGCTTATTTCACTTAGCATAATGTCCTCAAGGTTCATCTATGTTGTAGCACATGACAGGATTTCCTTCTTTTTTTAAGGCTGCGTACTCTTCTATTGTATATTTTCTTTATCCATTTGGATCAATGGACATTTGGGTTCCTTCTGTCTCTTGCACACATTATTGTGAATAATGCTGCAGTGAATGTCAGTGTACAAATATCTTAGAGATCCTGCTTTGAATTCTTTTGGATATATACCCAGAATTAGGATTGATGGATTATATGATAATTGCATTGATGGTTCTTCACTGCAGTGATCATTATTGTGGTGTTTGTCTAATGATTTTTTATTTCCATCATTCCTACATTTATTAACTGGAACTCTGTTGTAAGAAAGAGCTGTCACTTCTTCCCCATTTATTTATTTATTCAATTATTTATTTATACCAGTATGAGCTCATGGATATTTATTTTCTTCTGAGTTATAATTCATTTTCTTTTCTTTTCTTTTCTTTTTTTTTTGAGACGGAGTCTCACTCTCTCACTCAGGCTGGAGTGCAGTGGCGAGATCTTGGCTCACTGCAACCTCCGCCTCCCGGGTTCAAGTGATTCTCCTGCCTCAGCCTCCTGAATAGCTTGATTACAGGTGCGAGCTCACCACGCCCAGCTAATTTTTGTATTTTTAGTAGAGATGGGGTTTCACCGTGTTGGCCAGGATGGCCTTCATCTCCTGACCTTGTGATCTATGCGCCTCGGTCTCCCAAAGAGAGGTGCAAATTATAAGCACCCGGCTTATAATTCATTTTCCAATTAGTTATTTTGTTGATTAGATTGTCCCAGCTTGGGCTATTGGGAACGCCTTTCTACATGCCCCCCATCATTTTTTGAATACTCTCTTAATTGCTGGCACCACAAGATGTTTCAGGTTCATGCTGTATTTTCTTTGCCCTGGCCCTAGATTCAAACATTACTCCAAGGAGTCCTGATTTTATTTTTTTATTTTTTTTATTTTTTATTTTTAGATGGAGTCTCACTCTGTTGCCCAGGTGGGAGTGCAGTGGTGCGATCTTGGCTCACTGCAACCTCCACCTCCCAGGTTCAAGTGACTGTCCTGCCTCAGCCTCCCGAGTAGCTGGGGACTACAGGCGCACACACCACGCCCAGCTAATTTTTATATTTTTTAGTAGAGAAGGGGTTTCACCATGTTGGCCAGGTTAGCCTTGAACTCCTGACCTCAGGTGATCCTCCCGCCTCAGCCTCCCAAAGTATTGGGATTACAGGCATGAGCCACCGCACCCAGCCCCGATTCCTTCTATTGGAGAGCAGTATTTAGAAATCAAGATCTGGGTATTAAGTGTGCATGAGCCTGTGTTGTTGAACTCTACTCAGACTTTTGAAGGCAGCTTGATATAGCGGACAGAACATAGCTTTGAGTATATATCCTAGTCTTTAATGAACTTTACTTCTTTGAGCCTTTGTGTTCTAATTTCTAAAACAGGAAAAAATAGTCCGGGCACAGTGGCTCATGCCTGTAATCTCAGCACTTCTGGAGGCCAAGGTGGGAGGATTGTTTGAGGCCAGGAATTTGAGACCAGCCTGAGTAACATAGCAAGACCCTATCTCTACAAAAAATCCGGAATAGCTGGATCTCTGTGTTCCCAGGTACTCAGGAGGCTGAGGCAGGAGGATCCCTTGAGTCTGGGGGGGTCAAAGTTGCAGTGACCCATGACCACACCACTGTACTCCAGCCTGGGTGACAGAGCAAGACCCTGTCTCAAAAAAAAAGAAAAAAAGAAATAGAAGGGGCAGGTGTGGTGGCTCATGCCTGTAATACCAGCACTTTGGGAGGCTAAGGTGGGCTGATCACTTGAGGTCAGGAGTTTGAGACCAGGGTGGCCAATGTGGTCAAACCCTGTCTCTACTAAAAAAATAAAAAAATTAGCTGGCGTGGTGGCACACGTCTGTAATCCCAGCTATTTGGGAGGCTGAGGCAGGAGAGTTGCTTGAACCCAGGAGGTGGAGGTTGTAGTGAGCCGAGATCATGCCACCGCATTCCAGCCTGGGCACAGCGAGACTCCGTCTCAAAAAAAAAAAAAATAGGAAAATATACTTTATAAGATTGTTGTGAGATAACATAAGTAAAACACCAAGCATGTAGGTAGGTACTAGACATACAGGAGATCTTCAGTAAGTTGCAATTGCTATTTTTGTTGCTATTTATGTTCCTGTTGCTTGGGAAAGTTTTCTCCTCACTGTATGAAATGAAACTTAAAAAAAAAAAAAAAAGTTGTCCTAAAATTACCTTTACCAAATTGCAACCTCTCCCTTTGTCTTAGTTTCCTCATCTGTGAAGTGAAAAGGTTGGACCAGAATATCTCTGAGATTTCTTCCAGCTCAAGTGTTGTTATTCTGAGTTACTCTTTAGTTCTTCAGTTGCCTTTTCTCCAAGCTAAACAGCCTAAATTCCTTTTGACCTTTCCACTAGGACCTTTTATTCATCCCTTTGATCATTCCTGTGGTTCTTTTTTTGGACGTTCTCCAAAGTTGTCCTCTTTGAAAAAAAAAAAAAATCCACCTAGTTTTTATTGAGTAATGACTTCATGCCCAGAATGGTGTTGAGTATTGGGACAGAAAATGACAGACATATAAGATGGGCTGTGCCCTGGAGCTTATAGTTGCTAAAAGGAGCAGACACACACGCCCATGGTATTCAAGAATCGCTTGAGTTTGTCCCAGCACCCCCTTTCTACTTCTCTGCCTCTGTCATTCTTGTTTTTTTATTTTTTATTTTTATTTTTTGAGACAGAGCCTTGCTCTGTCACCCAGGCTGGAGTGCAGTGGCATGATCTTGGCTCACTGTAACCTCCGCCTTCTGGGTTCAAACGATTCTCCTGCCTCAGCCTCCTGAGTAGCTGGGATTACAGGCACACACCACCATGCCTGGCTAATTTTTGTTTTTTTTTGGAGGGGGGTAGAGATGGTGGTTTGCCATGTTGCCCAGGCTGGTCTCTAACTCCTGGACTCAGGCAACCCTCCCGCCTCGGCCTCCCAAAGTGTTGGGATTACAGGCGTCAGCCACCACGCCCAGCCTATTGATATTTTCTAATCTAAGCAAAGGAAAAATTGAGGTCTTTAAGGGTCGAGTGAATTTTTTGCGGGAAGTGCAAGGACAAGAGTGGGTAGTACAAAAAAGTAAATGTGTGTGTTTATAAGTGTGTAGGTGTGGAGAAACTAGATGTCCTTGATACTAGATACATAGGTACTTTAGTAGTTCAATATAGTGTGAAATGTTAGCTAATGGTAGGATAGAAATACAGTAGATGGTAGGACAGCCACAGAAGGAATCTACTGGTTACTCCTAGAGCTGTGAGGAAAAAGAAGGATCTAATAGAACCTAATAGAAGAGGACCCAGCCCAAAGCACAGCTTGTGGAAACTGCTGTTGGCTGTGTTCTTTGAACCAGTTTAAGTGCTTTGTGTTTTAGGTGGACCATTGCATTGATGTATGTGATGTAATGGGGAGGTGTTCTGTGTTTAGTCTGTGTTTTACAAAGCCTGCTTGATACTTATGAATTAAAGCCTAAGTGTCCTTGGGACTGACCAGAAGAATCCTGACTAATTTTTTAATATCCTCGTTTGGAAAGAAAAGTAAATAGTAACATTCCACAATTAGAAATTCTATTTTTTCTTCGTTAGGGTTAAAGAAAAAAAATCATTTTCATTCCATGTGTTCCATTTCTTCTTGGAATAAACCAGAATTGAAGAGTCAGCCCTCTTCCTGCTCCCTCTCACCCTTTTTTATTGTAAAGGTAATATAGCATTAGTGAGAGTTTGGAAACTAGATTTTTTTTTTTTTGCCAGAATTATTTTGGCTATAGATTCTTAAATTTATCCATAATTCTAACTTAACAAAATAACTCTTTGGTTTCTTGTGTGTTCTTTCTAAACTTGCCCATATGCAGTCTACGCAGTCATGTTTTACCTATAATTTTATACATATTATAAGCATTTAACATTTTTCATGTTGTTAACAATAATAATAATCTCTGAGTAAACCGTGCAGTCTGAGTGATGATGATGTGTCAGTGTAGGTTTGTTCTTTGTATCAAATGCACCACTCTGGTATGGGATGTTGATGGCGGGGGAGGCTGTGCATGTGGGGGAAGGGGTATGTGGGAACTCTGCCCTTTCCAGGAAGTTTTGCTATGAGCCTAAAACTGCTGTTAAAAAAAAAAAAAAAAGTCTATTTAAAAAAAAAAAAATCCCAGCCAGGCACCCAGGCTCATGCCTGTAGTCCCATTTTGGGAGTTCAAGGCATTTTGGGAGTTCAAGGCAGGAAGATCACTCACTTGAGCCCAGGAGTTTGAGGCCAGCCTGGGCAACATATGGAGACACTGTCTCTACAAAAATACAAAAATCAGCAGGGTGTGATGACAGATGCCTGTAGTCCCAGCAACTCAGGAGGCTGAGGCAGGAGAATTGCTTGAGCCGGGGAGGTGGAGGTTGCAGTCAGCTGAGATTGCACCACTGCACTCCAGCCTGGGCCATAGAGCCAGACCTTGTCTCAAAAAACAAAAACAAAACAACAACAACAAAAACAAAACAAAAAACCCTCAATGGATACCTGATTTTCCACTGAGTGACTGAACTTTCATTAACCATCTCCTTAATGGACTTTCCTCCCAGTTTTCATTCTGTATAGTATCTGGCACATAATAACGGCTATTTTATTGCCAAATTGTTTTTAAATGCAATGTGAACATGAAAAAGGTGGCGATTGTGATCCAAACAATAATGCTGGTGATGATAGTGATGATGGAAACTTCTGCTATTTATTGAGTGCCTATTTTGTGAAAGGCACTTTATATATCTTACCTTCTTTCATCCTTACTGCAACTGAGGTTCAGTAAGTTTTCCATGGCCACTGAGCTTGTCGTAGGCGACAGAAGCAGGTTTTAAACCTAAAAGTGGCTGGTGTCTTTATTTTTTTCCCCATATACGGCACTGCTGCCCATATTTAAATAGATAGATACTACAGTTCTGTTTCCTAGAATTGACTTAGATGTAGTTCCAGGTTTCCAGGGCTGAATTCTTTTTTTTTTTTTTTTTTTTTTTTTTTGAGACCGATTCTTGCTGTGTTGCCCAGGCTGGAGTGCAGTGGCATGATATTGGTTCACTGCAACCTTTGCCTCCTCAGTTCAAGCTATTCTCCTGCCTCAGCCTCCTGAGTAACTGGGATTACAGGCATGTGCCACCACACCTGGCTAATTTTTTGTATTTTTAGTAGAGATGGGGTTTCACCATATTGGCCAGGCTCTCAAACTCCTGACCTCAAGTGATCCATCCACCTCGGCCTCCCAAAGTGCTGGGATTACAGGTGTGAGCCACGCCACCTGGCCTTTGAATTCACTCTCTCTCTCTCTTTTTTTTTTTTTTTACAGACAGGGTCTTGCTCTTGCTGAGTCGCCCAGGTTGAAGTGCAGTGGTGTGATGATAGCTCCCTGCAGCCTCGATCTTCTGGGCTCAAGTGATCCTCCCACCTCAGCCTCCCAAGCAGCTTAAGACTATAGGCATGCACCACCACACCCAGCCAATTAAAAAAAAATTTGTAGAAATAGAGTCTTGCTATGTTCCCCAGGCTGAGTCTTAAACTCTGGCCTCAAGCAATCCTCTCACCTTGACCTCCCAAAGTGTTGGAATTACAGGTGTGAGCTATTGTGCCTGGCCCAAATTCTTTTATTTCTTCAGGTATTCAACAGATATTTCTTGGGCATCTACCATGTACTAGACACCCTTCTAGGTGCTGATCTTGGGTCTTCCTGGTGAGCTGATCACGGGGAAGTGGGCTAAGTAAGGTTGGAAAGATCCTATAGTCTTTACTTTGAAACAGCTCTGTTCAGATTAACCCTGTAAGTGCTCAGTGTTGCATAGATCTGTGTTTTTATTCTTCAGTGGCCCCAGATGAGCCAGTCCCGAGCATGTGGTGGATCAGAACAGATTCCTGGAATAGACATACAGCTGAATAGGAAGTATCACACCACACGTAAGGTGAGAATTATCAGTGCATTCTGTGTTTATAGAGTGCTTTCACACAGGTGTTCTTTGGATCTCAACAAAATTGTTAGCTAGGTGAGTTTTAGCGAATGCAGAAGGTGAGGCTCAGGGGGTAAAGTGACTTGCCCAAGGTCACAAGGATGGTAAGTAAGTGGCAGACAAAATGAATTTTTTTTTTTCAGGGACAAGGTCTTGCTCTGTCACCCAGGCTAGAGTAGAGTGGTGCCTTCATAGCTGACTGTAGTCTCGAACTCCCAAGCTCGAGCTATCCTCCTGCCTCAGCCTTCTGAATAGCTGAGACTTACAGTCATGCACCACTGTGTACTGCCAATTTTTAAATTTTTGTAGAGACCAGGGTCTCGTTTTGTTACCTAGGTTGGTCTCAAACTCCTGGCTTCAAGCGATCCTCCTGCCTCAGCCTCCCTAAGTGCTGGGATTGTTTTTAAAATTTTTTTTAACAGATGAGGTCTTGCTCTGTTACCCTGGTGGAGTGCAGTGGCATGATCATGGCTCACTACTGCCTTGAACTCCTGGGCTTAGGTGATCCTCCCACCTCGGCCTCCCAAAGTACTGGGATTACTGAGATTATAGGTGTGAGCCACCATGCCAGCCTGAATATTTGGACCTAAGCCTTCTGAGGCTATGTCCTATGTTTCTTCCATTGTTGTGTCTGGAAAACACTTAAGAGGAAAACATATGAATTTTTTACATGTTAAAAATAAAGTGATATTTAACTTTTGGATAATTTTTTATTGGTTAGATAGCTTGCCTTTGCTTGGAGAGGGTTAACATTAGAACAGACTTTCCTTGGAGGTTATTTGCAAACTACAAGACTCTGTAGTCATTAATAAAATTTGTGATACCTTTACTAAAAAATGCAAGAGTTTAAAAACATTCAGTGCTTGATTGCAGTTTTGAATGACTTTTGACTGCTTTCAGGCAGTATTTTTTTTTCCTTTTCCTATTACATCAATAAGCATAGAATGTTTTACTTCTCAGAATTGTTCTTGGGAGATGGGGGTCAAGATTTCCTTTTAAAAGTCTTCTTTTTGATAGAACTTTTATTCTAATACCCCACATCTGTCATCTGCTAGATATGGGTTAATAGACATACAGTCAATGAGGTAGGCATGTCTTGCTCTGAAATTTGGAGGGCATCTATTAGGTACAGTTCCAAATGTGTTTTCACTGAATGATAAGATGCTTAAAAAAATGAAAATTAGGCCGGGCGCGGTGGCTCACGCCTGTAATCCCAGCACTTTGGGAGGCCGAGGCGGGCAGATCATGCGGTCAGGAGATCTAGACCATCCTGGCTAACACGGTGAAACTCCATCTCTATTAAAAATACAAAAAAATTAGCCGGGCGTGGTGGTGGGTGCCTGTCCCAGCTACTCGGGAGGCTGAGGCAGGAGAATGGCGGGAACCCGGGAGGCGGAGCTTGCAGTGAGCCGAGATCTCGCCACTGCACTCCAGCCTGGGCGACAGAGCAAGACTCTGTCTCAAAAAAAAAAAAAAAAAAGAAAAAAGAAAAAAAAAAGAAAATTAAAAATTGTAGGTGAAAACAAAAATCTAAGCAATAAAAATGCCCTCAGCCCAAGCATGGTGGCTCACACCTGTAATCCCAGCATTTGGGGAGGCTGAAGCAGGAAGATTGCTTGAGGCCAAGAGTTTGAGACCAGCCTAGGCAATAGGCTATGGACCCCCCCTCTCCAGAGAACAACAGGCTGTGGACCCCACCTCCACAGAAAATTTAAAAAATTGACTTGGCGTGATGGCGTGCACCTGTAATCCCAGCTACTTGGGAGGCTGAGGCAGGAGGATCACTTGAGCCCAGAAGTTTGAGGCTGCAGTGAGCTATGATTGTGCCACTTCACTTTAGCCTGGGTGAGGGGAGGAGACCCTGACTGTATTTAAAAAAAAAATGCTCTCAGACCTGATGAGGAACAAAGCATTCTATTAAAAATTTTTTGCAACTAATTTTAGTTTTTTTCTTTTTGGTTAATCAGCTTTCTACTACCAAAGATTCCCCACAGCCTGTTGAGGAGAAGGTTGGTGCTTTCACAAAGATAATAGAAGCCATGGGATTCACGGGACCTTTGAAATACAGTAAATGGGTAAAGTCCTTTAAGTTCTTCTCATTTTTCCTTTTGGGCATTGTGCTTTCTGCTCCTAATAGATTTTTTAAAGCTTCTGCTTTGCTTTCATGGAATTCATACATTATTTTGGATGTGAGGACGATCTAGCTGCGACATCTGTCACCCCATTGATCACCAGGGTTGATTCGGCTGATCTGGCTGGGTAGGCGGGTGTCCCCTTCCTCCTTGACCACTCTATGTGCGACCTTTTTGAAGCTGTGTTCTTGGTTGAAGAGGATGACCTTCTCCAATAGAGGAGGACCATTCTTTGATCAAGGGTATATGAGTAGCTGCACTCCCCTGCCAGAACCTCCCAAGTAAGCTCTCAAGGTCCATACATTATTCTGATAACTTCTTCAAAATATCTTTGCCCACGTGCCACAACCTCTTGCTGCTTCCAGTCAGATCTATACAACATGTGGGGCTGAACTAGTCCCTCCACCTGATTCCTTAGAAGCATCTCATAGTAGCAGGCATGGCAACAAGACTGGGCTTTCCAGGCCCTTGCTGCATGGTATGCCATATAGATGACTTCTGAGGGGTCAGATGGGCCAAATGTTCTGATTGGCAACATTCTTAAGGAAGCATTACTTTCTGATGGACCCATATTTTATAAGGGATTTTCTTTAAAATTTTACTAATCATCTTTTTATTAACTAATTAAGCCCACGATCTATTGTAATTCTTATTATGGAGGGATATTTGTTAACCATGTCACTCCCAGTCAACTCTTGGCCTAGCACATTATCTGTTATAATAGTAGTGGCTATAAATGAATGAATGTCCTCTCTGCCTCAGATGCATACTGCCCCTGGGCTTTTATAATAATACCTCTAACCAATTATAGAAATAAAACATCAGCGATTCAGTTCTTCTCAGCCCACTTATCTCCTAGAACAGGTTGAGCATCCCAAATTGGAAAATTGGAAATTCAAAATCTAAAACGTTTGGAGTTTTTAGACATGATGCCCCAGGGAAATGCTCACTGGAGCATTTTGGATTTTTGGATTTGGGATGCTCAGCTGGTAAGTATAATGCAAAGCATCCAAAATCCCCCCAAATCCAAAATTCAAAACACTGCTGTTTCCACACGTTTCAGATAAGGAATACTCAACCTGTAATACCATTTCTCTCTTTCACTATGGCAGAAGTGCCTTTTAATGCCTTTCAGGGTTGCTGGAATATTGGGTAAGCCTAATCAGTCATAAGTCAAAGCAAGCCCACTCAAAGCAGTAGGGAAGATTTTTCTAGAAAATATATAAGCTTTACTGAGAACAACCAAGTAATGCCACTTACACCATTTTAACAAGTTGGATTCAAATTAGAATTTCAATTTTATTATAGACTTCTACTTGTGGTTTCTTCTTATGGTGTCTGGTTCTCTTTCTAACAATTCTCACTACAGCAAATATGAGCTTCTCTCTATAATTACTCTTTTACCTGAATTCTGAAAAGTGAACAGTAATTCCACAAGCATTTTGTTTTTAAGGAGCTTTGAAAAAATATAGAAAGAACACAAATACTGACAATGATGTTCTTGAGTCCCTAAGGTTATGAAGTATCTTCTTAATTGCCAATGAAATATTAGTTATGTTCTTTAAAGTTGTATTTTTTAATATCTTAATTTTTGACACTTGATAATTGTTGATATACTTGGTAATGTTTTTAACCAGAATCTTTTCCCCTATTAAAAAAATGTTATGCTTATGGCATTTGGATTTACAAACTTAAAGTATATGTTTTGTTTGAAAATTAGAAATTAAGAGGGAAGTCAAAACAAAAAAAAGAAAAGAAACATTTACAGTTTTATTCATTTCTTGGTGATTGGGTTCCACTTGGTTGCTACCATATGTTTTGTCTAGGCTGTTTTTTAATGATTCTAGAGAGAAAATTGGCTATCATTTGGAGGATTACTAAATCATCAGGAAAATTCCTTTGCTCTTTTAGCCTAAGTTAGCCTCTGATTTTTCTTGGTTCCCTTGTGACATCAACTAAATCCCTAATGTTTGCATTTTAAAACTCTTGTGATGTGATGGTGTGTACTTTCTATAACCTTCATTTTATTTTATTTAATTTTAATTTTATTTTTTTGAGACAGAGTCTCACTCTGTCACCCAGGCTGGAGTACAGTAGCGTGATCTCAGCCTACTGTAACCTCCGCCTCCCAGGTTCAAGCAATTTTCCTGCCTCAGCCTCCTAAGTAGCTGGGACTACAGGCGCATGCCACCACACCTGGCTGACTTTTGTATTTTTAGTAGAGATGGGGTTTCACCATGTTGGGCCAGCCTGGTCTCCAACTCCTGACCTCAAGTGATTCCGCCTGCCTTGGCCTCCCAAAGTGCTGGGATTATAGGATTGAGCCACTGCGCCCAGCCTATAACCTTCATTTTAAAATTTGTTACATCACAATATCAACGTATGACATTCTAGTGTAATTGAGATGTGAAAATGTATGTGTAACTTTTCATTTTGAAAAACAGAACCGTTTTCAGCAATGTTGACTCAAATCAATGCACTTGTATTGGATTGCACTGGCAAAATTATTTGTTTTGTGTTTTCACATGTATTTGATTAGGGAGTAAAATACCTGCATGTCTGTCCACATCAGCAGTATCAGCTATCTTTTCTCTATCTTTTTCTTTAGGTTTCATGTGTTATTCCCATGTTTGATAATCATGTTTAGGATCTTAAATGTAGCTTTCCCTTACCTATTTGAGTATCTTGGAATCATCATTTTAAAAAATTACCTTTATATGCAGTATCAGGTGAGATAAGCACAATATTTACCCAACTCAGCCACATGCCATAGAATAGGTTTCCATATTAGCATTAAGCCAAAAAGTTATTCCTATTCTGAAGGACACTGACAAACTGGAATGTATTCAGAGGTAGGCAGTGAGCCTTATGAACATTTCAGAAACTGTTAAGAACGGTTGAAGGAAATAGGGATGCTTAGCCTGGAAAAGAGAAGACAGGATGATTCTTCTCAGGTATTTGAGGGGCAAATGTGAAAAAAAGAAGGTATTCCAGTGGGCAGAATAATGTTCAATGAATGTTATATGAAGCAGATTTTAAGTTTAGCAAAATAAGAATCTAACAAGAATTGTCCTCAGGTGGGACAGGTAGCCTTACAAGGTCATTGGTCTTGTTTGAACAGAGGCCCAGATGGTTGACTGTGAATCAAGAATGCTGTAGAAGGATTTCCAGTAGACAATAGAAGGTTCAAATTACTTAAAACACCCTTCTAACTCTTTTTTATCTTTTTTTGAGTTGGAGTCTCGCTCTGTCGCCCAGGCTGGAGTGCAGTGGCGCGATCTCGGCTCACTGCAACCTCTGCCTCCCAAGTTCAAGCAATTCTCCTGCCTCAGCCTCCCGAGTAGCTGGGATTACAGGTGCCTGCCACCACGCCCAGCTAATTTTTGTATTTTTAGTAGAGATGAGGTTTCATCATACTGGCCACCCTGGTCTCTTGGCCAGGCTGGTCTCAGAACTCCTGACCTCATGATCCGCCCACCTCGGCCTCTCAAAGTGCTGGGATTACAGGCATGAGCCACCTTGCCAGGCCCTTTCAAACTCTTACATAGCTGTTAATGCAAGCATTTTACTAGATTTGTTTTTCATCCTGTAGGATGTTAAAAAATGCATTAGTTCGTGGGAGAGCAGATTTTCATTTCCTAAAGCTGTTCAAGGTGCCTCTCTTTTACTCAAGTAAAAGATGACTGATGAAGTCTTCTAAAATTAAAATGAAATAAATATGAAGTCATCCAAGGACCAGAACAACTTGTATTGACTGGTTGAAAATTCAGTCCCCCTACGTCCTTAACTCAGATCAGTGCATGATTCTTGATGAGGTTCTTTCCTCAAGTTATTATTTCCAGTCTCTGTGTGATAGTCTTTAGAGACTTGTTTTAGAGATTTGTCCAGGAAAATGGCTCACCCAAGTATAAAGGCTTGGCCTTGCAGCAGGAAAAGTGAAGAACTATAAAATGCTCCTGATTGCCATAGCATGAGCACTGAAAACATACTCTGGCCAATCTGGTGAAGTCTTCATTGTTTGTGATGAATGCTTTTTCACAAACGTGTTGTTGGGGAAGCTTCCTTCTCAAGGAAAGACTTGGGCCTTGGGCCTTGAAGGCAAGTCTCCAGGCAAGGTGATTAATTATGAACCCAGGACTTTATATATAGGAATCTGAAGGAGATTACAAGATTTAAAAAAATCAAGAAATAGATGATTAGAAATTTTAGTTAAAGTTACATACTTGTCTGTAGCTGAACTGGGCCGTAAGCTCCATGAGAGTAGAGATTTTTGTCTGTTTTGCCCACTGCTCTATTCTCATCATCCAGATCAGTGCCAGGCACTGAGTTATGTACTCAGTGAATTATTGGATGAAGTGAGGAGCTAGGGCAGATGTCCTGAACTCCCTGTCTTAAGGATAGGAGTAGGCCTGTCAAGGCCAAATTATTAGGATCATGATATTATTAGATTATCATTAGTTTGGTAATGGCACAGACCAGTGCTTCCCAAGATGTGTTCTGTGGTCAGATACTTCCTAGAACTGCAAGTGTTAACAAAATTAAACAGGCTTTTTTTGGTCTGTTGATATGGTGAAACTGATTGATTTGTCAGTGTTGAATTATCTTTGCATTCCTGGGATAAATTTCACTTGATTATGATATACTATCCTTTTAAAAATATTGATGGATTTAATTTTAAAATATTTTCTTAAGGAATTTTGCATCAATGATCTATGTTCATGAAGGCTATTGTTCTGTAGTTTTGTTTTCTCCTAATGACTTTGATTTTGATATCAGGATAAGGTTGGCCTTATTGAATGAGCTGGGAAATATCCTTTCTTCTTGTTTTCTGGCAGAGTTTGTGTAGATTTCGTAACATTTCCTTTTTTCCTTTTCTTTTTCTTTTTTTTTTTGTTTTGTTTTGTTTTGTTTTGAGATGGAGTCTCACTCTGTCGCCAGGCTGGAGTGCAGTGGCGCACTCAGCTCACTGCAACCTCTGCCTCCTGGGTTCAAGCGATTCTTCTGCCTCAGCCTGGGACTACAGGCGCGTACCACCACACCCAGCTAATTTTTGTATATTTAGTAGAGATGGAGTTTCACCATGTTGGCCAGGATGGTCTCAATCTCTTGACCTCGTGATCCGCCCACCTCAGTCTCTCAAAGTGCTGGGATTACAGGTGTGAGCCACCGCGCCTGGCTGATTTCATAACATTTCTTTAGATGTTCAGTACAGTTCTCTAGTGATGCTATCTGGGTCTGCAGTTTGCATTGTGGGGAGGTTTTTAAAGACAAATCCAATTTCTTTAATAGATACAAGACTGTTCATGTTATTTATTTTAGTGAGCTTTAATAGTTTGTATCTTTCAAGGAATTTGTCCATTTCATCTAAGTAATCACATTCATTGGAGTAAAGTTGTTCATAGGATTCCCTTATTATCCTTTTAATGTCTTTAGGATATGCAGTGATGTCTGCTCTCTGATTCCTGATACTGAAAATTTGTATCTTATGTGTTTTGGGCTTTTCTTTTTCCTTGATCAGTTTTATAGGTTATCAATTTTATTGATTTTTTTTTTGAGGCGGAGTCTGGCTCTGTCGCCCAGGCTGGAGTGCAGTGGCACAATCTCGGCTCACTGCATCCTCTCCCTCCCAGGTTCAAGTGATTCTCCTGTCTCAGCCTCCCAAGTAACTGGGATTACAGGCGCCTGCCACCATGCCTGGCTAATTTTTGTATTTTTAGTAGAGTCGGGGTTTCACCATGTTGGCCAGGCTGGTCTCGAAATCCTGACCTCAGTTGATCTTCCTGCCTTGGCCTCTCAAAGTGCTGGGATTAGTGAGCCGGGTGGGTGAGCCACCACAACCCAACCTAATTTTATTGATATTTTTAAAGAAACGGCTTTGGCTTCAATTTTCCTTTTTTTTTTTTTTTTTTTTTTAGGCAAGGTCCAGCTCTGTCACCCAGGCTGGAGTGCAGTGGCGTGATCTCAGCTTGCTGCAACCTCCGCCTTCCAGGCTCAGCCTCCTACCTCAGCCTCCTGAGTAGCTGGTACTATAGGCACACACCACCATGGCCAGCTAATTTTTGTATTTTTGGTAGAGATGGAAACGTTTTGCCATGTTTCCCAGGTTGGTCTCCAACTCCTGGGCTCAGCCGATCTGCCTGTCTCAGCCTCCTAAAGTGCTGGGATTACAGGCGTGAGCCACCATGCCTGGCCTGGCTTGAATTTTCTGTATTTTATCTTCCTGTTTCAGTTTTGTTGATTTCTGATCTTTACTATATCATTCTTTCTGCTTGCTTTTAGGTTTAATTTGCTTTGCTTTTCTAGCATTTCACCATGGGTTTTGTTTAAACGTGGGCTTCTAATGCTGATTTACTCCCCAGATAGGGATATCTGATTTTTATTTGTCTATTTCTATATGTCCTATTTTCCCCTGTATTAACTTTAGACTGGAAGCTCTTAAAAACATGACAGATCTCAAGTTAGCAAATAAAATATCTTAATTACAATCAGAGACGTAATCATTCTTTAATTTGCTATGGGTATTTCTACCCATCAGAGACACTTGCTTTAACTCTAGAGAATTTAGAAAAACATGAACATTATATAGTTTTGGGTATAGTATGTTCTTGGTGACTTTAAACCTTAGTATCATAGCTCCACTAAATTCTAGATTGGTTTTTCTTCAGTTGCTATGTCATTCTCAGCCTGTACACATTTGTTTTTGGTCTATGCATATTTGAGTTTATAACTTTCCCTGTTGTTATAAGAAAAAATAAGCTTCTAGAAGCCTTGTTGAAGTGCTCATTTATTTAGTTATATCCTTAATGAAATGTTTTGAAAGTCCTTAAAATACCTGTTCCTAGAGTGCTGAGTTGGTCTTCAGACCCATAAGTCAACTCTTAAATAATTTATTTTTAGATTTATTTTTATTAAGGCATAATTTATATACAGTGTAATATAAAAATCTTAAGTATACAGCTCAGTGAAAAAATTAAAACCACCACTCATATCAAAAGCCTAAGAGAATTCCTAGTGCTTTGGGAATAGTAAAAGTTTGATTCTTATATTGTATTTTACAGTCATTAGAAACCCTTATTTACAGACACAGTGTTAATCAGCAAACTATAAAATTAAAGATCTGGAAAAAAGATACCGCTTACTCCATCCCCCGAGATTTATAGAATAGATAGTAGTGCCTCTGAGGAAAGATTAAAGGCTTGAGGGTTTTTGTATATTTCTTTGATTTTGGCCAGAAGAATGTGTACTTTTTTACTATAAAGGATTTCAGATTCTAAAGAGTTAATGTGGATAATGCTGAACAGTGATTTAGAGGCACAAATGTGGTGAAGTAGGTTGGAATTAAATGAGAGATTTCATTTAAATATTGGAAAAGCCTTTCTGAGGTTTTCATGCTAAAGTCCTAAAATATGAAAATTGTGTGAAGTCTGTATGAATGGCTAAGCTCTAAGAAAACAAAAAAAATTTATATTGGTTTAAATTACCTAGAGAGTGGTTTGGACCCTTCCTTCTAGTTGAAGAAATATAAGATTTTGTGACCCATGTCTAATGGAAGTAGAACATCCACTTGGTCATGTCTTGAGTTTGGTTTTATTCTCTTTGTCTAGAAGATTAAGATTGCGGCCCTGCGCATGTATACTAGCTGTGTGGAGAAAACTGACTTCGAGGAATTCTTTCTAAGTAAGTTATTGTTTGATAGTACTGAAAAGGAGAACAAATCTACATTTCATTTTTATGGTTGTGTTTTAATAGGATAGGTTTTTTTAGTCCCTAGTGAAACAGTTTTTCCTGCACAAAGCATATAATCCAAACTGTCTATTTGTCTCTTTAAAAAACTTCTTGTATATATTTCTTTAGAGACAAGGGTCTTGCTGTGTTGCCCGGGCTGGCCTAAAACTCCTGGGCTCAAGCAGTCCTACCACCTCAGCCTCCTGAATAGTAGCTGGGACTAAAAGCACATGGCACTGTACCCAGCTGCTTTTCTTTTTTAATAGAGTAAACAGAGAGCAAAAGGATCCTATAAATAAAACATTTTGCTTATTTTGAAAAAACAAACAAACTGTACTTTGACATTATCTCCCTTGTCCACACATGCATCTTTTTACATAAGAGTATTCATATCATAGTAAACATATTCTGTTTTACAGTCTGGATGGTTTTTTTTTTTTTTTTTTTTGAGATGGAGTCTTGCTCTATTAGCCCAGGCCGGAGTGCAGTGGTACGATCTTGGCTCAGTGTAACCTCCACCTCTCCACCTCCCAGGTTCAAGCAATTTTCCTGCCTCGGCCTCCCGAATAGCTGGGATTACAGGCATGTGCCACCATACCCAGCTAATTTTTGTATTTTTAGTTGACATGGGGTTTCACCATGTTGGCTAGGCTGGTCTCAAACTCCTGACCTCACGTGATCCGCCCTCCTTGGCCTCCCAAAATGCTGGGATTACAGGCGTGAGCCACTGTGCCTGGCCCATTCTGGATGTTTTACTTAGCATTTTGACATGGACGTTTGGCCAGCTATTCCTGTTTTTAATTTTTAATTGTTTTAATTAATCCTGGATTAATTATGATTTTTCTCATGTTAAAAGACTATTGGGTCAAAAGGCATATATAATTTTATTATGTATATCTCATTGATAAATTGCTTTCCAAAAGGGTTTTGCTGGTTTAGACTGTCAGAAGCAGTTGATTGTTATCACAGTATTAATTTTGATGCTGTAAACAGTTATATTATTAACAAAGTTAATTAAAGCAGGTACTTGTAATTGGGAGAGATTAAATCATTTCCAGTTCCACAGGTTTTGGAAGGAAATGTATGCTGTGTACTTCTGTGGTAATAGTCACATCCTCAAAGCAGCATACACCTAACTGTATACATTTGAGATTTTTCTCTAGCAGCAAATATTTGTATATAATTGTGTTCACAACAATGAAGAAAGCTGGGTGCAGTTTTGGTTATTTAATAACTATTTTTTTGTTGCATCGTGTTTTTTGAGACTTGCTTTGAGTCTTGCTCTATTGCCCAGATTGGAGTGGAGTGGTGCCATCTTGGCTCACTGCTACCTCCACCTCCCAGTTTCAAGTGATTCTTGTTCCTCAGCCTCCTGAGTAGCTGGGACTACAGGTGCACGCCACCATGCCCAGCTAAGTTTTGTATTTTTTTTAGTAGAGACAGGGTTTGGCTATGTTGGCCAGGCTGGTCTCAAACTCTTGGCCTCACATGATCCACCTGCCTTAGTCTCCCAACCCAAAGTTCCGGATTACAGGCGTGAGCCATGGGACCTGGCCTATTTTGGTTTTTAAAAATCAAATAAATACAAATCATTTTATTTTACTGTCTCAGCAGATTGACACCAAAAACTGAAATACCATACTGAATTATAATTCCAATTTAGTGTTCACCTTTCCTTTCTTCTTTATTCATAACCTGGAAAGAATATTTTCCTGCTTCTTTGTTAGTCTAGGATAAGTTAGTCCAAAAGGAAAAAATATTTTTTCTCTATCTGATGAAGCTATTAATATTAGAAACTGCTTTTTTTCTTTTTCTTTTTTTTTTTTTGAGACAGAATCTCAATCTGTCACCCAGGCTGGACTGCAGTGGTGTGATCTCGGCTCACTGCAACCTCTGCCTCCCGGATTCAAGCAATTCTGCCTCAGCCTCCCAAGTAGCTGGGATTACAGGCATGTGCTACCATGCCCGGCTAATTTTTTTGTACTTTTAGTAGAGACGAGGTTTCACCATATTGGCCAGGCTGGTCTCGAACTCCTGACCTTGTGATCCACCCACCTCGACCTCCCAAAGTGCTGGGATTACAGGCGTGAGCCACCACACCCGGCCTCTTTTTCTTTTTTTTAAGAGATGATCTTGCTCTGTCACCTAGGCTGGAATCAGTGGCTCTAGCCCTTTTACTGCATCCTTTTACTCCTGGGCTCAAGCAACCCTCCCACCTCAGCCTCCTGAGTCGCTGGGACTACAAAGACATGCCATTATGCCTGGGTCATTTTTTTATTTTTATTTTTTGTAGAGACAGGGTCTCACTATGTTGCCCAGGCTGGTCTTGAACTCCTGGTCTTAGGCCTTAAGTGATCCTGCCTCAGCTTCCTGAAGTGCAGGGATTACAGGCATAAGCCACCATGCCCAGCCTGTTTTTTTTTTTTTTTTTTTTTTCTTTAAGTGCCTTCTTGAATCCATGTGTGAAGTATTTTTCATCAGGTCTTTTTAAAACCTCATCCTCAGGCTGGGCGCGGTGGCTCACGCCTGTAATCCCAGCACTTTGGGAGTCTGAAGTGGGTGAATCACTTGAGGTCAGGAGTTTGAGACCAGCCAGGCCAACATGGTGAAACCCCCACCCTCTACTAAAAATTAGCTGGGCATGGTGGTGGGTGCCTCTAATCCCAGCTACTCGGGAGGCCAAGGCAGGAGAATCACTTGAACCCGGGAGGCAGAGGTTGCAGTGAGTCGAGATCACACCACTGCACTCCAGCCTGGGCGACAGAGCAAGACTCCATCTCAAAAAAAAAAACAAAAAAAACCCTCATCCTCAGATGTCTATTTAATGTCTATTTTATATTTGATTCAATAAATAACTCAGAAATTTCTTAGAATTATTTTGAAAGGATGTTTACTAGATAACTTTGTCTTGGCCAGCTGTTCATTATTGAAGGTTCTTCAGTTAATATTGTAGTATTGAATAATAAGACTTTTTACGTATTTAACATATCATGTTTCAATTCATAGCCTGGTGTAAACTACTTATAAAACTTAAGAAAAGTTTATAAATAACTGTTTTATACTATTAGCTCATATAGTATGGTTTTATATTTGTCTCATTTAGGAGTTACAAAATATTGTGGGCTAGGAAGGGCTTGTATTACTGTTTTCATTTTGTTTTATTTTGTTTTCAGAAACAGTTGAGGCTCAAAGGGGCTAAGTGACTCACCCAGGGTTGCCTAGCCAAGCCTTGAACCTGTGTTGTCTGGTTTAAAATCCAGGGATTTCTCCACTATAACATATTGTCTGTGAATGAGTGTAATTGCAAATTAGAAAATGTAATTCATTTTAATATTTTTTGTATTTTGTTATATTTAAATGCAAACTACCTCTGTGAGATTTTCTATTAGTATTGGAAACTGATGTTTATACTAATTATAGTGTGAATCTATTGGTGAGCTTTGTCTTAGCTTAGTCTTTGAAGTAGTTACCTAGGGAGAAAGTAAATTTTTTAGTAACGCTACTCTTCAGGTTTTCTGAGACTCAATTTGAGAATTTCCTTTTGAGACCTATAGCATGTTCATTTTTATTACATTCTGTTGTGGCCCATCTTTGTCATTTGTGGGTAGATTAAGTTTTCATATCAAACCAAAGTGCTTCCAAACTGTGGCTAGTGAATAAAAAGGGAACAAATCTGGAATATACCTTCTGGATGCAGAAGATGACAAATATCTTTCAAATAATTACACTGACTTTCCTGTGGCTTGGATTCTAAAGAGTAGGCCAGACAGGTTTGAAATAAGAGAAAGGGGCTGGGTGCAGTGGCTCACACGTGTAATCCCAGCAGTTTGGGAAGCCAAGGCAGGAGGATCCCTTGAGCTGAGGAGTTCAAGACCAGCCTGGGCAGAAAAAAAAAAAAAAAGAAACAAGAGAAAGCAGTATATATATATTGCTTCCCAAGATTGTACTTTTTAAAGTGGTCATTGCTCACTTGGACTTGTGGTATTTTAGGGCTTAACTTTTGGAGTCCTGAGAATTCAGCAGCCCGCTGTTTCTTAGATATTTTGAGGATGTCTTTTGTCTGAGCATGTTGCACTGATGAGTACACTGCGGTTTGCTGACTGGTCTTTTAGAGATGTTTGCTGTGAAGAGCACTTTGGAGCAGAGGTGGTCAATCAGTAGAGCTCCTGTTGAATTCCACAGTGTTGTCTGCAGACTGCTTTGTCTTTAACCCTTAAGAGACTGGAGGCCTTGGAGAGGAGGCTCCTTAATGAATACATTCTGAGTCTGTGGTTGAGGTTTATCACTGATACAATCTGAAATAATTAGTGGGGTTTTTCAAAGATAATTTCAATTCTACTATTTAAATAATTTGCTGAAAACCAACAATAGTGAATATTTATTGAGTACCTACTAACTTAATACTAACCATTTTGCTAAACATTTTATAGGCCTTATCTCATTCTCACAAAAATCTTACAAGGTCAGTTATCTTGTTTTTCTCATTTTTACAGAGAAGAAAATTGAGTAATTTTACCCAGTGTCACATAGTGAGTGAGAGGTAGAGTCAAAGAATTGAATCAGGCAGTCTGACCCCACATTAAATGTACAACTGTGTTATGCTGCCACCCCATAACAGTAATGAACTATTTAATTGTATCCAACTTGATGTCAAGAAAGAAAGTGCCTAGCTTCAGAAACTAAAGCACTGAATGTGCATTGGAGCAAGAGTGTGATCATGGCAAAATACTACAGCAGGTTTTAACTTTGAAGTGTTTAAATGCATTTCATTGAACTAAAGAATCTGCTGTATTTTTGCATAGTTCACAGTCAACAGTCAATGGTGTTACTTTTTAGGGCTTTACCCTGTGGGTTTCTGTTCTGACACCAGTGTGTATAGGGACTCAATCATATGCCAGCACTTTTCCCACCCTCAGCCCTGAGGTGACCCCAGAAGGGGAAATGGTGACCCAAGTCCAGCTGCTGGCCTGTCTGTCTGTGCTTTCCAGCCCAAGAACTGATTCCCTCTCTGAGAAAATTGGAAAGGCTCCTGGAGGCTGCTGAGAAGCTTTGATGTAGAGGTAGCAATTGAACAGATTGTCCTTTAGAAGCAGCCAAATTTCATTTTCCAGATTGAAAGACAGACTTCCAAGAAAATTTTTCTTTTTAATGTTTTGTTCTAGCATCCAAAAAAGACCCAACTTCAGATCCGGGCTTCAGAGTTTCTCAGGGCTATTCTTGTCTAGGTGGAGGGTGGTTGGCCCATTCTCAGATGGCATGTGTCTTAATAGCTGTATGGCTGGCCAGGCCAGCCTTCAGCTCCCTCCTGCTGGGCTCTGAGAGGAAGTCGACTTGACAGCTGCTAGGCACCTCCCAGTAAGCTCACCAAAGTATTTTGGTGTCACTTTGTGACAGACTTGGATTCAAACTGCAGCCCTGCCACTAGCTTGTTAATATTGTGGCTGCCCACACGTTACTTAGTTTGAGTCTGTTTCCTCATCTCTAAAATGAGGATTATAATGCTTCCCTCCAGGGTTAAAGTGAGGATTGAGTGAGATAATGTATTGACATGGCTTGCAGTAGATCTGGTATGCAGATGGGCCCTTAGTGAGTTAGTTTCTGATAGTGGTATTAGAGAGGCTGTTAGAGCAGGATTAAGAACACAGTGTTTGGAATCAAGTAGATCTGAATTTGATCTCAGGTGTCTCTTTTCATAGCTGTATGACCTTGAACAGCAATTGTCTTGGTCTCTCTGAGTCAGTTTTCTTACCTGTCAATTTGGGATAATATCAATGCCTACCTCAGGGTTATTGGGAGGATTCATTGAGCTCATGGATGTAAAGAACCCAGTAGAACATCTGGCACATAGTAAGCCCGCAGTGAATTACAGCTCTTTATTATTGGTGCTGTTAATGTACCTCATGGGGGTCCGGGCCTATGTGTTATCTCCTAGTGTCCCCTCTTTGTTATCATTTAGTACATCATGTACCTTGATGGTTGCTGAAAAGCAGAGGATAGCGCTTCTTTCTTGAGTCATTGCCCCAAAGGACAGATTCTACCATAAGGGCCCAAATTCCCCACTTATTCTCTTTTTGCATCTTCCTCTTGCTCTGGCTTTTCTCCCTGTTATGTAATAAGGCGGGCACATTCAGTGGGAGACCCCTCATCCAGCAGGAGGCTTTTCTTAGCTGAGTGAGAATTGAGAGGCTTTGATGTCTGAGCACAGAACTAATTTGTGGGATCTGAAACCAAGGAGAAGCCCTTCCCAGTTTTGTCATTTCTGGGGGGGTGATGAACAGCCTTTCAGTAAGTACAATATGCTTTCTTATTCAGCTGCAGCTCCCTAGAGCCCTGATTTTTTTCGCCTGATCTTTTCTTTTTCTTTTTTCTTATTTTTGAGACAGGGTCTTGCTGTGTCACTCAGGCGTGAGTACAGTTAAATGATCTTGGCTCACTGTAACCTCTACCTCCCTGGCTCAAGTGATCATTCCACCTCAGCCTCCCAAGTAACTGGGACTATAGGTGCATGCCACCATGCCTAGCTAATGTTTGTAGTTTTTTGTAGAGATGGGGTCTCACTATGTTTCCCAGGCTGGTCTCAAACTCCTGGGCTCAAGCAATCCACCCACCTCAGCCTCCCTAAGTGCTGGGATTACAAGTGTGAGCCACTGCACCCAGCTCCTGGTCATTTCTTTTGGGCAAATCATTTAGCACACCCATATCCATAGCACATTGGGTACCTTAGAGAAAGAAGACAGGAAAAGGATACTAGAAAGACTTAAGCTTCTCAGTGGAGCCCAACTGAAAAAAGTAAGGGAGTGTTTGCCTAGCTTTTCAGAATTCAAGCCCATGGAGGGAAAATACTGTAGAAGCACACGGAAGCTGGAAGGAACCATAGAAATCATCTAGGCCACATTCTGCAAAGTGAGAAAACCAAGACTCAAAGGGGAGAAGTGATTTGTCCAAGGCCACATAACAAGCTGGTAACAGGGCTGGAACTAGAAGGCTGGTGGTCTGACTAAATTCAATGGGTTGTTTTTTTGTTTGTTTTTTTTTTTTTTTTTAGACAGAGTCTCACTCTATTGCCCAGGCTGGAGTGCAGTGACGTGATCTTGGCTCACTGCAACCTCCGCCTCCCAGGTTCAAGTAATTCTCCTGCCACAGCCTCTTCAGTAGCTGGGATTACAGGCGCCCACCACCACGCCTGGTTAATTTTTGTATTTTTAGTAGAGATGGGGTTTCGCCATGTTGGCCAGGCTGGTCTTGATCTCCTGACCTGAGGTGATCTGCCCACCTCGGCCTCCCAAAGTGCTGGAATTACAGGCATGAGCCACCGCATCCATCCTTTTTTTTTCTTTTACTCCTGGCGTGCTATGATTCAAAGTTCTTTTATCCTGTGGTCTCGCCCTATTGTTCTACTGGACTTTTCTGCAATAGCATAATCAGAGAGCACCATAAGTGCCGTGCCTGCCAATATTTAATATATGGTCAATATGCTTCCTTTAAACCCTCACATACTTATACCTTATTGTTATTTTCTAGGGTGTCAGATGCCTGATACATTCAATTCATGGTTTCTTATAACCCTACTCCACGTCTGGTAAGTGAGCAATTTAAATGAAGTCACCAAATGTATTTTTTTAAACACTGCTGACTTGTAAGGTATAGCCTTCAGGAGGGCTGATTATATGAAATGGCAGTTGTTCAGGTGTTAAAAACTGTTCCTTTCATTTTAATAACTGGTGTCTTGAAGCACATTTTTATTAAAGGTCAAAGCATAAGCCCAGAAGGAAACTAATATTTGTAGGATTTTTTCAGAGAACACCTAACCCAGTGAACAATGCTATCAGTATCTCTTAACACACTCTATGAGCTTGGATGGAAAGTTTTCTCTCCCTTGGCTGTTTTAGGAAAGTTCACATTTACGTAAAAGTGGTTTGAATTGTGAGAATCCGTGGTCATTTTCATTGCTGGTCATCAGAAACCTATAACAAATTATAGCACTGACATTTACGCCTGTACCTCTAAAATGTGCATACAAGTTAGCTTCATGCCAGGTTTGTTGCATGTAAAAATATTTAACACCTTAAACAGTATATTTTTTCTTCAGCTGTGAAATAAGTAGCCAAAAAAAATCAATTTTTCATCTAATGTTACACAGTATTAAAGGTCAGAAGGATATAGGAGAGTCGTTGAAGTCAGGGGCTGGGGAATGTATTTATTGAACTGCCAGATCTTGGGAAAGTAAATTCTGGAGAACTAAGTTTACTACTTTGACCATAGTGAGTATCTGAGGAACATGGGAATGGCTGCCCTGTCAAAAGGACCCTTGTTTGAGACTGCCTTCAGCTGAACCTTTGCATCATACAACTGACTACTATATACTTTTTGGTTTTGATCACCTCTGAAATGTTTCTTCCTCTGTACTCACACAGTTACACTGAGTTTGGCTTAGGGGCCTAAGGTGGCAGTTTATTTTATGCTTTTTTTTTTTTTTTTTTAGACATAGTCTCACTGTGCTGCCTAGGCTGAAGTGCAGTGGTGCAGTTGTGGCTCACTACAACCTCCGTCTCCCAGGTTCAAGTGATTCTTGTGCCTCAGCCCTCCGAGTAGCTGGGATTACAGGAGCCCACCACCACGCCCATATGATTTTTTTGTATTTTTAGTAGAGACAGGGTTTCACCATCTTGGCCAGGCTGGTCTCAATCTCCTGACCTCAAGTGATCCACCTACCTCGGCTTCCCAAAGTGCTGAGATTACAGGCGTGAGCCACCGTGCCCAGCCTATGCTATCTTTTTCTAAGCAGTAGTTTAGTAAGTGCACACCATATCCTGGGCACTTTGTGGGAACTAGGGAATAGTTCTCAAGAAGCTCACAGTCTAGTGAGGGAGATAAGATGTGTAAAATGGTCAATTATAAATCAGAATGCCTAAGTTATATAATAAATATGAGTAAGAAGTACTTATAGGATCACAAAGGAAGCTGCAACTATCAAAACCCTTATACTTCTACCTGTTAGTTCTTTGAAATGTGCCACGCATCAGGTAGCTTAAAAGGCACACTGCCTGCCATCTTGTTGTCTGAATGGTGAAGGGTAAGGCATAGCGTTCAGGGAAGGAAGCTGCATATATTGAAGGGAAAAAGTGCTTTTTTAGGAGAGGAGGACTGTAGAGGTGGCACTGTAAAATTACTCACTGGAAAGGTGGGAGGGTTGCAAGAAGGCTAGGGGAACTCAAAGATAATATTCAGAACCTGTATGAAAGACTCTTTATTGCCCATATAGCTAGAGGTATCAGTGTTAGAGGGAGTGGATGGCAAAATAAAATAAAATATATAATCCCTGTGACCACATCCCAAGGTCAATACCTGACTAACAGCAGATGGGAGAACCTTGAAACTACTTATAGTTCTTTAAAGTTTCCAAACTGTGCCTGCTTAATCTTCCTTGCTGAGGTTGGTTTAATTTCTGAGGAGTAGGGTGTACCACCCCCAGTTCAATTGAGAGAGGGAAGCTGTCTGCTTCAAATCTATACTTGATTCCCCTTCCACTCTTTCTCTCGCCTAGTTCTGATGATATGCAGGTTTTGGTGGAAAGAATCTGTAGCTTTTCAGTTTGAATCAGCACTCTTCTTGAGGACCTCCTATGTGTGCAGGACCATGGGATGTTGGAGAGAAGGGTATGACATGCATTCTTTTCTGGTAATTTCTTTTGGGCAAATCAGATACAGACTCTGTGTCTGTATCTTCAAGAAATGTAAGTCTAATGGAAAACAGACATAAAGCACGATTGCCTATAATGCATGCCAGTGAAAGAAATGCTGTGCCCAAGACACAGGCAGATGCAGTGGAAGCACAAAGTGGTGTAACTAAATCCAGATTTGGTGATGGGGTGGAGTGTTGGATAAAGAGTGGCTTTGTGGTAGAGGTGACATTTGAGATGCACCACGAAGAGTGACTAGAATTTCTGTCAGAGAAAGGGTGGGCATTTTAGATTGAGGGAATAATAGGAGCAAAAGATAGAATGTGTACAAGAACATGGAGTATTTGAGGGCAGCCAGTTGCCTGATGTGTCTGGGGCAGGTTTATTGAGGAATGTAGTGGAAGGGTCACCAGGAAAGTAGTTAGTTTGGGGCTCAGTTGTGCTGTGATCCTCCAAGAATCGGAGAAGTCTTTCTTCTAATGGAATCGTGCAGGGGCGGGGTGGGCAGGCTGTTAGGAGGAATGATGGATCCACCCCAAGTCTGTGGAGAAGCCATGTTCTATTGGCCCTGCTCTCTTAGCCTGAAGCTCCAGGAGGGTAACCGAAGGATAGCCACATCAAGATTACAGGACTCAGTGGACTTGCTGGAGGCATAGGGGTTGAAGTACCTCTTGGAGGTGGTAGTGTGGGGTGGGGGAGGAGGCTTAGAAAACAGAAAAGTAGAAATAATGCCTCCTCCGCCAAACAAAACCAAAACCAAACAAACTACTAATAAACAAAAATACCCTGGTCGCTGACATTTCAGAAGGTTTGCTTAGGTTCCCAAGGGTAAGGGTTCCCTGTTGACTCTTAGAATAAGGACAAGATTTCTCACACCCTGTTAGTTCCCTGGAGGAAATGGTGTTTCACTTATCCTGTCTGATTTTTTTAGTTTCACAGTTTTTCTGTGGTTTAGGATTTAGGACTGGGACACCCTCCAGCTCCTAGAGGACCCTTATCAGTTGTATACTCACTTGAGCTTGCAGCTGCAATGACTATGTGTTCATTGTCTTTGCTGAACAAGATTAGTATTGACTGTGGCTGCTGAAAAAATGCTGAGAGAGGCCACTGTCTGCGCTGTCTAGCATCCCCACGTGGACTTGATAAAAGCAGGCCTCCTCCCCTATATCCTGTCTTGGCCACTGGCATCATGCCCACACCAGAAACCTGGGAGCCCTCATTTGTCTCTTCTCTCACCCCTTCACCTGCTCAGTCACCTAACTCAAAATTTTTTTGACTCTGACCCATCGTAACAAATGCATGTTACTTTGTGACCAGAATGGACACATGAATCTGATACAGAAGTTCTGTAAAATTTATCCTTATAATGTCAGGTAATCTCTGATATTTTCTTTTGTTTCTTTCTTTCTTTTTTTTTTTTTTTTTTTTAGTTTTAAGGAGCAAGGAGTTTAATAGGCAAGAAAGAAAAGAAAGAAGGGGGAAGGAAGAAAGAAGCAGCTCCCCTGTACAGAGACAGAGGGAGGAGGCTCCAAGGCTGAGAGAGGGAACCCCTGATATTTTCTATTCCATTTGAATTCATTTTAAACAGACATTGATAATGTCACCCACTAAATTGATTTCACTGAGTTGCAACCAACAGTACTTGAAAAGTGGTCTTTGGCCTCTAGCTTCCCTATCCCCATTCCATTGGCCTTCTCAGTACAAATGGGGTCAGTACACAAACAGACACACACACACGCACACACATGCACTCACTCCTTAATGTTCTCCATTGTTCTCAGAATAAAATACAAGTTTTGGCCGGGCCCAGTGGCTCACGGTTGTAATCCCAGCACTTTGGGAGGCTGAGGTGGGCAGATCACCTGAGGTTAGGAGTTCAAGACCAGCTTGGCCAACATGGTGAAACCCTGTCTCTAATAAAAATACAAAAAAATTATCCAGGCATGGTGGCGGGCACCTGTAGTCCCAGCTACTCAGGAGGCTAAAGCATGAGAATCGCTTGAACCTGGGAAGCTGAGGTTGCTGTGAGCCGAGATGGCGCCACGCACTCCGGCCTAGACGACAGAGCGAGACTTCATCTCGGAAAATAAAATAAAATAAAAGTTTCATATCATGGCATTCACATCTGATCAAATGTGACCTATGGTGCCTTTACTAGTCTCATTTGTTGCTATTTTAGGCACTATTACCATCACTACTCCCTTCTCTGCAAGAAAAAGCAAAACTATGTAGTAGAAATATCAAGTCTTCTGCACAAAGTTTCTTCTGCCTAGAAGGCCCTTCCCCCGCCTCTCCACTTGACAAATTCCTGTTTTTCCTTCAGTATCCAATTCAGGTATTATCTCTGCTTTGAAACCTTCCCTTCTGGGCAGGGAGATTTATGTAGTTGGAATTTGTGTTGGCATTGTAAGTGTTAACAGATTTGTAGAGACTCCCCTTTTCAAATTGTCATGGAGCACTAGTACCTTCTCAGTGCAGAAATTAATTTTACAAAATGGAATGGAACAAATAAAATTGGAACATACCTATGATGGAGGTACGATGGAGAGGGAGTAAAATGTAGTCTGTTTTTAAAGATTATTTTAAAGTCAGGTATTTCATAAATACAATTACTACTAGGTGTTTTATGTATATTATCATTTATTTATTTACATACATTATTTCACACATGCTCACAACTACTTTATTCTCATTTTACATATGAGGGATCAGGGGCTTAGAGAAGTCAGAGAACTTTCCCAAAGAAGTAGTTAGAATGTGGTGGAGAGGAAATTCAGGTGCTGGTCTGGCTAACTGAAAGCATTAAGTTGCTTTCCTCTTTAGTAATTATAACTACTAAAGTAACTAATTAAATACTTAAATTAATGTTAATTAATACTAAAGTACCTACTTAAACATAGATTCATAAAATTATGGCATTTATTCTCTTGATTGAAGGTACTGTGTACAGCAGACAAATTTATTTCGTGCCCTCTTAAGGCTTAGGTGAGAAGAGAGACATTAAACAAATCACTAATAAAATACAACTGTGATAGGTGCAATGAGAGGATGTGACAAGGCTATGTGGGAGAAGCTGGGAACCTCATTTAGTTTAGGGGTGGGTCAGTCAGGGAAGGCTTCACTGAAGAGGACATTTACATTGACACCTAAAGGGTGAGTAGAAGTTAGCAAGTGAAAGAGTGGATGAAAAAGCCTTCCAGGTAGAGGGATCTAGTGGTTTTCAAACTTTTTATCAGCAGAGTCCTTTTTAAAAATGAAATCTTATGCTCAGCCACCATATATGATAAATATGATGAAAGGAGGTGGGAATGACCTGCTTGCTTCACATCTTCACAACATGTCCACTGAAAAAAGACTGTTAAGTAGTTCCATGGAAACTCAGAATGTAGTTTAAAAACTACAGATCTAGTCCAATTCTCTCATTTTGCAAATGGGGAGACAGTTTTGGCAATTTTAAGGAATTGTCTCAGGCCACTTACTCAGTAGTGGCTGACCCGAGACAACTCTGAAGTTAACTATGGTTACCTGCCCCTTCTAAACACTTTGCTTCCTTTCTGATTGTCCTATTTGGTGGTCAGGGGATAGGGGTCTCTTCCCCTGAGTATGAACATGTCATATGAGCACAGCAAACATTTACGGATCACCAGCTGTATGATGGGCCCCGTGTTTCTTGGCGCTCACTATCTGTGTCCTGGGAGAGGCCACAGGTAAACCTGAAACTAGCACAGGGTGATGTACAGATTATATGGGATCACGGGGGAAGGGGGGTTGCCTGGGGATGGTCAAGGAAAGCAGTTGCCTTGGCCTTCTGGGGGCCAGAACAGACTATATGGGATTGAGGAGTAATTAAGAGGCAAAGAAGTTATTGTAAACTACTTTTCAAGAAGTTTCAAATGAGGGGATGATCGCTTGAGGGAAAAACAGTTCAGAAGGGAAGCATTAATTGTTTTTTATTTTAAAATGGGGAAACACTGGAATGATTTCATAAGCTGAAGGGAAGAAGCCTTTGGGAAAGAAAAGAAGGAATTAAAGTGTGGGGATGGGAAAGGGTTAGAAAGCAGACTGGTGCCAGTCTCAGCGCAGCCAGAGAACTGCACCGGCAGACACTGGCAGCCTCTGCAGAGGCTCTTTAAAACCACCACAGCACTTTTGATGTAGCTGTAGGGCATTCAGGCTTCTGCTGGATTCCAGCAACCCCAGGCCTGCTATACATGGTGAGCCCTGGCCATGTGCACATCCTCTTTTGCCCTCCCCCAGCCAGAGTTGCAGTGTTCAAACACCCACGCTTGTAGCTTTCTTGCCCAAACCAAAGGCCTATGCAGCAGCATTTTACCAGCATTGCATACCCTAAGTGCGCTGATACCTGGTACCCAGGGGCTTATTCTTTATAGTGGATCTGACAGGCAAGCTGCAGGCCAGGTGTAGCTCTTGGAGGAGGCTCGTTGTCAGGTGAGATGGCTTCAGGAAGTGCCTCACCCAACTTGTCTGTTTGCCCACAGGCTGTCCTGTGGCCCTCATGCTCCCCCCAGAAGGGTTAGGCTTCATAGTGAGGGAGTTTGGGAAACCAGGTGGAGATAGCCATGTACACAGCCCTGGAAAAGGGTCAGTGTGCCAGCTTACAGATCAATAAACTCATTCATTAGCACACTGCTGGGGCTTGAGTGTAGCCATCTAGGCTCTGCTTTCTTGGCCTCAGCTGGTGACAGAGTAAGGGAAACATGCTGTGTGAAAGTCCCCTTTGGGATTCCTTCATAGCAGCCAGAGTGACGAACCTGCCCAAGTGCCTGCTAGTCTTTATTAATTCAAAATCAGATCTACTCTAAGCAGCTTATAAACTATCATGTGGGAGAAACAAGGCCAAAACACAACTGGCATTGTCAGAGGGCCCAAGCAGAGTGAGCGAGACAGGATGCTCAGAGCTGCCAGTACCTGGCAGGAGGTCAGCATCAGGAATAACAAGAATCTTCCCTCCCAGATTTAGGCTGACAGGAGGAAATCATAGCTAGGAAACTCTCCTATTCCTTTGAACTCTACAGACAGTGTTGTTGCCTTCCGATTTGTCTTATTTAGCAGGAAGAGGTTCTTGGTGCTATCACAGAATGGGAGAAAAAGGGGGGAGCTCAGGCTTCATTCCAGCTTCTTTCTTCTCTACCGTGCAACCTTAAGTTACTTAACCTCTTCAGAGTGTGTTTTCTTTTCTGTGAAACGGGGACAGTTATAATGTCCTGAGAGACAGAATGAATGTAAATGCATCTTACAGTGACAAGTCTCACATTACAGAACATAGTAAATGGTAGTAATCATTATTATTATTTTCTATAAGGCAGGATTGATAGCTTCAGCCCTTTATTATTTGATATTCCTAGTGAGTGACATTTTCTTCCTTTGTCCCGTCTCCATGCTTGCCTTTTAGAGATATTTGCACGCCAGGTTTGAACACTCCTTTTTTTCTTTACTTTGCTAGCTGCGTTATTTGCCTTTCTTATATGTAAAAGAGATCAGTATTATGTATGAGCCACTGGAATCACTGAGAGACAAGGATAGTACTGTGAAGCTTAAAACCTAAATAATAAATTGTGGGTTTAAGAACATCATCAGGCCAGGCGCGGTGGCTCACGCCTGTAATCCCAGCACTTTGGGAGGCTGAGGCAGGTGGATCACTTGAGGTCGGGAGTTTGAGACCAGCCTGACCAACATGGTGAAACCGTGTCTGTACTAAAAATACAAAAATTGGCTGGGTGTGGTGGTGGGTGCCTGTAATCCCAGCTACTCAGGAAGCTGAGGCAGGAGAATCTCTTGAACCCGGGAGGCAGAGATTGCAGTGAGCCAATATCATGCCACTGCACTCCAGCCTGGGTGACACATCAAACTTGGGAGGAGCAACTTGAGTTTGATCCTAAACAGAGTAGTAGCTTCTGCACAGATTCAGTCTATATTCAGAGTAGGTGCTTAGTAATACTTGTTCAATAAATGATTAGTTAATTAATATAGGAATCTTTTTCATTACAAGATTTTTTTAAGTTTATTTTGCATTTTTTTTGTTTCCTGGATACAGATTGGCACACTGATACTTTGCTTTTTTTTTTTTTTTTTTTTTTTTGAGACAGAGTCTCTCACTGTTGATGCCAAGGCTGGAGTGCAATGGCACAGTCTCGGCTCACTGCTACCTCTGCCTCCCAAGTTCAAGCGATTCTCCTGCCTCAGCCTCCGGAGTAGCTGGGACCACAGGCACCTGCCACCATGCCCAGCTAATTTTTGTATTTTTAGTAGAGATGAGGTTTCACCAGGTTGGCCAGGCTGGTCTCAAACTCCTGACCTCAGGTGATCCACCCTCCTCGGCCTCCCAAAGTGCTGGGATTACAGGCATGAGCCAGCGCGCCCAGCCTGCATTCTTAAGGGCAGTTTTTATTTATTATGTTTTAGCATGGAAGTGTGTTATCCCCTCCATAATGCCCCCTGCCCTTCTCAATTCCCCCTCGTTTCCAACAGAGGTCTGACATTATGACTTTAAATCAGTGGCAAAATGTAATTTGACCTCTCAATGTTAAATTTAGGCATTTATTATGAGGGTATACACCCATGATGTGAGTTAAAGTGAGCTGTATTGTGAAATAGCTTACTTAATGACTCAACGTTATTGTTATATGGTCAGAGTCTGTGACAGGTGTTGGCTTTGTTTTGCAGTGGGTAGCAGGATCTTCAAGTCTTTTATTTTTATTAACCATTTTGACTTTGTTTTATTTATTTTTCTTTGTTTCTTTTTCTTTCTTTTTTTTTTTTTTTTTGAGACAAGGTCTCACTGTGTCTCCCAGGCTGGAGTACAATGGCACTACCATAGCTCACTGCAACCTCCACCTCTGGGGCTCAAGCGATTCTCCTGCCTCAGACTGTAGCTGAGACTACAGTCATGCACCACCGTGCCCCACTAATTTTTTTTTGAGACGGAGTCTTGCTCTGTTGCCAGGCTGGAGTGCAATGGTGTGAACTCGGCTCACTGCAACCTCCGCCTCCCTGGTTCAAGCCATTCTCCTGCCTCGGCCTCCCAAGCAGCTGGGATTACAGGCATGTGCCACCACGCCCAGCTAATTTTGCATTTTTAGTAGAGATGTGGTTTCACCATGTTGGTCAAGCTGGTCTTGAACTCCTGACCTCAGGTGATCTGCCTGCCTCAGCCTCCCAAAGTGCTGGGATTACAGGCGTGAGCCACTGCGCCCGGCCTAATTTTTGTATTTTTTATAGAGATGAGGTTTCGTCATGTTGTCCAGGCTGGTCTCGAACTCCGGAGCTCAGGTGATCTGCCTGCCTCGACCTCTCAAAGTGCTGGGATTACAGGCATGAGCCACTGCACCTGGCCTATTTAGTTTTCTTTTACCATTCAACATACTTCAGTCTTTTCTGAATGATTCAGGATGTCCTGATAACTCTTAACTGTATTTTGCCAGACTATTGTCTCTGAGTTGTACCTGTTGAACCTCAATTGCTCTGTTATTTTTTTCGTGTCTCTATTAAATAAATTTTTCATTTCCTCTTTTCCTACTAGGCTGCTAGCAGTTACTCTTGTTATAGGTATGCTTGCCTCCAGTTAGCCAGTCTTTTTTTTTCCTGATGTGCTATTTCTAATATGATGCTAGTTTTGAAGCTTAAATTACTGTACTTGTGAGGACTGAATGAAAAATAGGGTCAATAGATCCTGGAGGGTTTGTTCTAATCATTAAAGGAGGCAAAAACAACAAAAACCTTCGTAGGACTCTGGGATCAGATTGTCTAGGTTCAGATCTCAGTTTTAGCACTTACTAGGTTTGTATCATTGGGCAAGTTACTTCTCTAGGACTCAATTTTCTCACCTGTGAAATGAGGACAGTAAGGACACAAGTATCAGCTTCATGGAGTTGTTGTAAAAATTAGGAAAAATAATGCATCCAAATCACTTGGCATAGTGCCTGGCACGTAGTTGTGTTAACTGTTAATTATAGCACTTGTCCGTTTTTGCTATTTAAGTTTTTTTTTTCTTTCTTTCTTCCTGTTAGTCATTTTTAGAATAGGAAAAATTGCCAGATAAACTAACTGGTTGAATTCAGCGTCAATCAGATGTCACCCTAATAATGGTCAAATAAGTTAGTAGTAATCTATTATCTCTGGTGTCCAAAAGTTTTCACTGGGGTGTCTGTGGATGAAACACAGAGTTGGAGTTGAGATTTCTTCACTTCCATCCTTCCATTCCAATATCAGATGTAATTTTTTCTTAATGTCTGAGAATAATAGTATGTTGGCCTGGTGTGGTGGCTCACGCCTATAATCCCAGCACTTTGGGAGGCCAAGGCAGGAGGATCACTTGAGCTTATGAGTTTGAGACCAGCCTCGGCAACGTGGCGAAACCCCATCTCATCTCTACAGAAAATACAAAAGTTAGCTGGGCATGGTGGTGCATGCTTGAAGTCCCAGCTACTTGGGAGGCTGAGGTAGAAGGATGGCTTGAGCCCAGGAGGCAGAGGTTGCAGTGAGCTGAGATTATACCACTGCTTTCCAGCCTGGGTGATAGAGCCAGACCTTGTTTCAAAAAAAAAAAAAAAAAGATAGTATGTGTAGAATGCTAGCACAAAAGGGAAGATAAAGAAGGTACCATTTATGTAAAAAGAATACACACATACATAAACTTGTGTGTGTATAGGTTATATGTGGAAGGATTCCTAAGAAACTAGTAGCTGAGGTTGTCTTTGGGAGAGGAACGGGTTGGCAGGGGATGAAGGTAGGAAGGAGACTTGGTTTTTATTACTATGTACATGTATTACCTTTTAAAAACAGTTATCAAACAAGCGTAAATTGAATGTGATAGGCTTCAAGGTCAGGTGGCCTAAGAATTGGTATTCAGCTGCTTGTCTGGACATTCCAGGCAGCTGACTTCTTAAGATTTTGGCCCAGCCTTCAGCTCTGCTTTTCCCTTGAAGAGGATAAACAAAAAAGTCCTTCACAACAGGACTGCTTTTCTGTCCTTAACTACCTAGTAAATTCGATTCACAAACTCAGGGAAAGAATTAGGTGAGCATTTAATTAGCTGAATGTTGTACTGGTGATTGGACAGCCCTGTGGATCAGAACCTTATTTTCCCAGTAGAACTCATGGGAATCTTCAGTAACTTCCGGTTGATAGGAAGACTGATTCTTTGCCTTTGGTCTTACAACTTTATGTGTAATGAGATTTGCGGTAGAGTTTTATATAGCATTTCTTCAAATTACATTGTTCTGTTCAATGTCACTTTGTTATAACAGTGATGAGGAGAAAAATAACAATTCCCATCTGGGGCCACTGCCTGTGTGGAGTTTGCATGTTCTGTCCCTGTCTAGGTGGGTTTTCTCTGGGTCCTCCTGTTTCCTTCCACATCCCAAAGATGTGCACAGAAGGTGAATTAGCATGTCTAAATTGTCCTTATTGGAGTGGGTGTGGGTGTGAGTGTGCCGTGCCATAATGTATGCATAGCTCACATTATTTCAGTGTTTAATATTGGAAGTCTTTTGGGTCTTTATTTAGAAGTTTAGTGATGTTTTTGTGACCAGAAATATACTGTAGGAATATAACTCTTGTTTATGTCACTTAGCCTATGGTAAAATAGGTTTCGTAAGTTGTTAAGCTTACAGTTACAGTTTCCAAGAATCTATCTGTGATGTTAAATGAAGAGTTACAATATTTAGTGTTCTGCATCAATAAAAGGTCTGTTGAACTTATTGGGTCCAATGTTTTAGGAGTAATGAGAATTTGCCCTCCTTTGGCTGGGCATGGTGGCTCACGCCTGTAATCCCAGCACTTTGGGAGGCCAAGGTGGGCGGATCAAGAGGTCAGGAGATGAGACCATCCTGGCTAACACTGTGAAACCCCGTCTCCACTAAAAATACAAAAAATTAGCCCGGTGTGGTGGCGGGCACCTGTAGTCCCAGCTACTCGGGAGGCTGAGGCAGAAGAATGGCGTGAACCCAGGAGGCGGAGCTTGCAGTGAGCCAAGATTGCGTCAGTGCACTCCAGCCTGGGCGACAGAGCAAGACTCTGTCTCAAAACAAAAAAAAAAAAAGAGAATTTGCCCTCCTTTTATTTTCAGGTGTCAATCCATGTCTTCTAAACTGTTAGTATCAGCAAAATTAGGTACAGGTTATAACAATCTTTGCTGGTTGTATATTTCTCAAAAGGCAGGTATAATCTTTAGTTTATATTTCTGGATCAGAATATTCTGAAAATGATGTTCTATTAAAGTAAATTCAGTCATGTGTTGCTTAATGATGGGGATCTGTCCTGAGAAATGCATCATTAGGTATTTCATTATTGTGTGGGCATCATAGAGTATACTTACACAAACCTCGGTGGTATAGCCTGTTATATACCTAGGATGTATGGTATGACCTATGGCTCCTAGGCTATAGACCTATACAACTTATTACTGTTCTGAATACTGTAAGCAGTTATAATGGTAAGTATTTGTGTATCTAAATGTATCTAAACATACAAAAAGTACAGTAAAAATGCAATATAAGAAATAAAAAATGGTATTCTTGTATAAGATATTTACCATAAATACAGCTTGCAGAACTAGAAGTTGCTCTGGATGAGTCAGATATTACTGTATACTACTGTAGACTTTATAAACACTGTACACTTAAGCTAAGCTAATTTTTTTTTTTTTAGACAGGGTCTCACTCTGTCATCCAGGCCAGAATTTAGTGGTACAATCACAACTCAATGCAGCCTTGACCTCCCAGGCTGAAGCAATCCTCCCATATCAGCCTCCTTAGTAGCTGGGACTACAGACGCTTACCACCACATTTGGCTAATTTTTACGTTTTTTTGTAGAGGTGGGGTCTTACTTTGTTACCTTGGTTGGTCTTGAACTCTTGGCCTCAAGCAATCCTCCCACCTTGGCCTCCCAAAGTGCTGGGATTACAGGTGTGAGCCACCACACCTGGCCATAGGCTACATTAAATTTATTTTGAAATTTTTTCTTCAATAATAAATTAAACTTAACTTACTGTAACATTTATACTTTATAAACTTTTTAATTTAAATTTTTTTTTTTTTTTTTAGGTAGAGTCTTGCTCTGTTGCCCAGGCTGGAGTACAGTGGCATGATCTCAGCTCACTGAAACCTCCACCTCCGGGTTCAAGTGATTCTCCTGCCTCAGCCTCCTGAGTAGCTGGGACTACAGGCACGCGCCACCATGCCTGGTTAATTTTTGTATTTTTAGTAGAGATAGGGTTTCACCATGTTGGCCAGGCTGGTCTCCTAACCTCAAGTAATCCACCTGCCTCGGCCTCCCAAAGTGCTGGAATTACAGGTGTGAGCCACTGTTCCCAACCTAAAAAAACTTTTTGACTCTGACATTTTAAGCTTAAAGCACACATTATATAGCTTTCTTTATATTGTTATTCTGTAACCTTTTTTCTGTTTTTTTAAATTTTATTCTACTTTTAAAAATTTTGTTAAAAATTAAGACATAGAGCTGGGCGCAGTGGCTCGTGCCTGTATCTTAGCACTTTGGGAGGCCAAGGTAGATCACTTGAGCCCAGGAATTCGAGACCAGCCTGGGCAAGATGGTGAGACCCTGCCTCTACAAAAAAATTTAAAAAATTAGCCGGGCTCAGTGGCGTGCACCCGTAGTCCTAGCTACTTAGGATGCCGAGGCAGGAGGATAGCTTGAGTCCAAGAGTTTGAGGTTACAGTGAGATGTGATTGTATCACAGCACTGCAGTCTGGGTGACAAAGTGAGAACCTGTCTCTGAAAAAAACAAAAACCAAACTGTGACTCAAACACTCACATTAGCCTAGGCCTCTACCAGGTCAGGATCATCTAGACCAGGTGATAGGAATTTTTCTGCTCCATTATAATCTTATGGGACCACTCTCATATGTGTGGTCTCTTGCTGACCAAAATTGTTATGTGGTACATGACTATATTCACCAAATTTGTCCTTTTCCAGCCCTGGTGATATTTGTATATTTAATTATAGGATTGAGGCTGGGAAGAAAAGGTTAACTTCTCAGAGACTCATCTCCGGTCAGTGCTAAGGAGCGAATCTTCTTCCAGTAGCTGGCCACTCTCTGCTGAGCAAAGTCCATACTTTTTCTTAGCAAGTCATTTCAAAGCTCTTCATGACCTTTCTGGCTTCAGTTTTCTGCATCCTATACCCTGTCCTCCCCACAATCTAGGTATTCATTGTTACCTTAACATCCTGAACTCTTCCATGGCCCTGCCTTTGCTTAGAACATTCCATCAGCTGGACATTCCCTTTGTCTTTTGTCTCAACCTCTTCAACTTCAGCTTATCCTTCTAAGATCCAGGTACAGTGTTTCATTTTCCATGAAGCTTTCTCTGATTCTACTCAGCCAAAAGTCATCCTTTTAAACTTCATTGCACTCTTCTCTTGGGAGATCTATGGCATTCCCTTTTAGGGCTGTTGATGTGTGGTGTACCTTATCTCCCCTAGAGGAAACTGCTCCATAAAAGCTGGGTTCTAGTTTTAGCCATCACTATAATCCCCACAGCATCCAACCATACACCTTCACACAATAGGAACTCCTGTGTTCATTGAGTGAATTGTCAGTCACCATTTTGAAAGTGTCTTCATTTTGCCTTATCTTTTCAACTGGATAACCATTTGAGCCCACTGTTATCTGTAAGGGCTATAGAACAAACTGTGTTGTGAAACAAAAAACACTTCATCCCATGTTGATACAGTTAGAAAGTTTATGGTCTGAGAAAATCTGTGCCTTTTAAACCTCAGAGGGCAGGTGTATTAACAAACTACAGAATTTTCAAATAAATGAAGAATTCCATTACCTCACTATTGCTGTTGATGAATTGGCCTCTGACAACACTTAAGCATCAAAACACACAGCGTCTTTTCAGGTGAGAGGCTGACATGAGGGATTTGATTAACTTTAGAAAAGTCTTATGAAAAAGGACTGTTGAACTTTTCCCCAGTTTGTTTCTGCTGTGGAATAGGCTCTGTGTCCTATAAAGTAGCCAAATCTTTTTTCTGTGACCTGTTTCATTATTGTCACAAAGTGCTTTTTTTTTTTTTTTTTGAGATGGAGTCTTGCCCTGTTGCCCAGGCTGGAGTGCAGTGGCGTGATCTTTGACTTACTGCAATCTCTGCCTCCCGGGTTCAAGAGATTCTCCTGCCGCAGTGTCTCGAGTAGCTGGGATTACAGGCACGCGCCACCATACCTGGCTAATTTTTGTATTTTTAGTAGAAACAGGGTTTCACCACATTGGCCAGGCTGGTCTTGAACTCTTGACCTCAAGTAATCCGCTCACCTCAGCCTCCCAAAGTGCTGGGATTACAGGTGTAAGCCACCACACCCAGCCTACAAAGTGCTATTTCTTAAGCACTACCTGGGGTCAGAGGTTACAGGTTTTTTGTTTTTTTGTTTTGAGACAAGAGTCTTGCTCTTTTGACCAGGCTGGAGTGCAGTGGCGCGATCTTGGCCCACTGCAACCTCCACCCCTCGGGTTCAAGCAATTGTCCTGTCTCAGCTTCCCAAGTAGCTGGGACTACAGGTTTGTACCACCACGCCCGGTTAATTTTTTGTATTTTTGGGAGAGACGGGGTTTCACCATGTTGGTCAGGCTGGTCTTGAACTCCTGACCTCAGGTGATCCACCCACCTCGGCCTCCCAAAGTGTTGGAATTACAGGTGTGAGCCACTGCGCCTGGCCTACAAGTTTCGAATCACATCAGTAAATCTCATTTGGGATCATGTAGTCAGCCTTCTTTTTATTTTCAGATGGAATCTCACTCTGTCGCCCAGGCTGGAGTGCAGTGGTGCGATCTTGGCACTGCAACCTCTGCCTCCTGGGTTCAAGCATTTCTCCTGCCTCAGCCTCTGGAGTAGCTGGATTACAAGCGCACACCACCACACCTGGCTAATTTTTGTGTTTTTGGTAGAGATGGGGTTTCACCATGTTGGACAGGTTGGTCTCGAACTCCTGACCTCAGGTGATCCACTGGCCTTGGCCTCCCAAAGTGCTAGGATTACAGGTGTGAGCCACTGCACCTGGTCATGTTGTCAACCTTCTGTCAGATACCCGAGTTCCCACCAAGCGTTGATTCACTTCTCCGTGACAGACAAATTCTCTACTTTTTGAGGTTGTCAGTTTGATTATTCAAATCTTCAGACACTCAGGCCAGGCACAGTGGCTCATGCCTATAATCCCAGGGCTTTGGGAGGCCGAGGTGGAAGGATGGCTTGAGTCCAAGAATTTGAAGTTACAGTGGGCTATGATTGTGTCACTGCACTCCAGCCTGGGTGACAGAGCAAGACCCTGTCTCTAAAATTAAAAAAACAAAACTTTAGACATTCCTGTTAGTAAGCTTTTAATTTTGCTGTTCAATGTTGATTATATCTTTCTCCCTCTATGGCCTGCCCATTGGTTCTGATTCTAACTCTTTGGTTTTGTTTGTTTGTTTGTTTGTTTGTTTGTTGAGACAGGGTCTCACTCCATTACCCAGACTGGAGTTCAGTGGCACCATCGTGGCTCACTGCAGCCTTGACCTTTTGGGAGGGATCCTCCTGCCTCAGCCTCCTGAGTAGCTGGGACTACAGGCATGCACCACGGCACCTGACTAATTTTCATATTTTTTGTAGAATCGGGGTCCAACTGTGTTGCCCAGGTTGGTCTCAAACATCTGGGCTCAAGTGATTTTCCTGCCTTGGCCTCCCAAATGCTGGGATTATAGGTGTGAACCACCAGGCCTGACCTGATTCTCTTTGGTAAACAGTTTAATTGCTTTTCTACAATGTTTAAGTCAACTTTCCTGTTTTTCTCCAGGTTAAATATCTTCTGGTCTTCTTAAGATACTTCTAGTCCTCCTATTTCTTAAAATGTAATGTTCAAAACTGTGGATAGTATTCCAAATACGTTCTGGTTTGTGTTGAGTATAACAAAAGTCTCACTTTACACATTGATGGTATTATATTTGCATTACTGTATCTAAAATCACATTAATTTGGAGGGCAGCATTGTTATCCTCTTGATTCCTACTGAGCACATAATATCAACTTAAGCCTATAAGTCTTTTCACACATAGGTAGGCATGACTTATCTGTGCTGTACTTTTACAGTTGTTCTTTTAGACTCAAATGCAGGATCCTGAATTTATCCCCATTAGGTTGATCTTGTTAGATTCAACCTGTTGAAGTATTTTTGGTTCATGGTTGGATCATCTGGCACATTTGTTCTCCTGCCCAGCTTCTTGTCACCTGCAAATTTGGTAAATATGTTTTCTTTTCTCCATCTTAGTTATTAACAAAGATGTTGAGACAGGCCAAGCTGTAATCATTTCATTGTACCATTACTATTGCTGGTAGATTTTAATTGGCAAGATCAATTGTGTATGGATATAGAATTGTCAGGTTGGATTAACTATTCCATAATTATAACAGGAATTGTCTTTTAGGTGAGTAATCCTATTGTAGCTGCTTAATAAGCTATTTAATGAGAAACAATAAAAATTATAGTCTGCCAGGCATGGTGCCTCACACCTGTAATCCCCACACTTCGGGAGGCTAAAGTGGGAGGAAGTCTTGAGCCCAGGAGTTTGAGATCTGCTTGCACAGCAAATTGAGACCCCCGTCTCTACAAAAAAATAAAAAATTAGCTGGGCGTGGTGGTGCACACCTGTAATCTCAGCTACACAGGAGGCTGAGGCAGGAGGCTCCCTTAAGCCCGGGAGGTTGAGGCTACAGTGAGCTGTGTTTGTGCCACTGCATTCCGGCCTGGGTGACAGAATGAGACCCTGTCTCAAAAAGGAGAAAACAAGCACTTTGGGAGGCTGAGGCGGGTGGATCACAGGTCAGGAGATTGAGACCATCCTGGCTAACACAGTGAAACCCCATATCTATTAAAAATACAAAAACATTAGCTGGGTGTGGTGGCAGGCGCCTGTAGTCCCAGCTGCTTGGGAGGCTGAAGCAGGAGAATGGCAAGAACCCGGGAGGCAGAGCTTGTAGTGAGCCGAGATGGCGCCACTGCACTCCAGCCTGGGTGACAGAGCGAGACTCCGTCTCAAAAAACAAAACAAAACAAAACAAAACAAAACAAAAAAGAATGAACTATGGTCATGCATGAAATGAGGAACTAGTTTGAAAAGTTGGGGACCCTGCTTATATTCCTATATATAATAAAATATAATTCTTGTATGTTTAGATTATGTGAGGTCTTGATTATTCAGAAAGCCCTCTGGACTGACTAGAGGCAAATGTGGTATAGGGGAAAAGGTCCTAAACTTGGCCCTAACCATAGGTGTTTGTTCATTTATTTATTCAGCAAGTGTATATTGAGTGCCTACTGTACTTAAGCCCTGGAAATAAAATGTTGACAAAAACCAGATTTGATCTTTATCTTCAGTAGAGCTTACCTTCTAGTGGGGGAAACAATTGGATAATTACACAAATGTAATCATAATACTTTCTGTGATCTGTGTTCTGGACAGGTGTTGTCCAACAGAAATATAACGCAAGCCATGTATGTAATTTAAAATTTTCTAGTATCTACATTTGAAAAAGTAAAAAGAAACAAATTTTAATAGATTGTATGTAACCCAGTATATCTGAAATATTATTTCAACATGAAAGCAGTATTAAAAATTGAGATATTTTATATTCTTTTTCTTCAACTAAATCTTTGAAATCTTAAACTTGTGCCACATCTCAGCTTTGACTAGCTGTATTTAAAATGCTCAATAGCCACAGGGGAGCCACTGTATTGGACAGCACAGTTCTATACCCAGTTTTACGGATATAAAACTGGTGTTGGGCAAATTACTTTCCGTCTTTAGGACTCCTGCTTTCATCAGTAAAATGAAGGATTCAGACTTGTTTGTCTTCTAACAAAAAAATGTGGTTCCCTCCAGGTATGAGGGAGCCTTCAGAGGTGCCCTAAATAATCTGTATCTCGATCTGGGTGGTGCTTGTGTGGGTGTATGTATAATACATAAAAATTTATCAGGCAGTACACTTAAGATTTATACACTTAATAGTATCTTTGTTATATCTCAGTAAAAGTTTAAAAAAAAAAAGTTCACTTCCAGTTTGATTTGGTGCCCTTTGCTAAACTCACTCTTAGATGAGGAGACCTTCAGTGGAAATGTGTGATGTGAAAAATGCAAACAGCCAAGACTTTTTTTGTCTTCTTCCCACCCAGGATGTGTCTAGTCCGAATGAAGCAGGAAGGCCGGAGTGGGAAGTACATGTGTCGTATCATAGTTCATTTTATGTGGGAGGATGTTCAGCAGCGCGGCAGAGTCATGGGGGTAAGTGAGTGCTGTCAGATGCTTGTCCTGGACAATTCCAGAGAAGGGTTTGAGTTTGGAGTTTTATCTGTTGTAAAATGGCCCTGCTTTTAGATTTCTGTGAAATGCTGCCTAATATCAAGTGGCAGTTCCGCTAAAGTCACTTTTTCTGCCTCTGTGGAAACTAATACTCCACAGATACTTTATGTGTTTGTACACATTATAGTGATTTGTCAGTGTGAAGTCATCCTGTATGGAGATGGGATTGTAAAGCCCAAATCGTGGTGATAGGAGGGATGGATTTGGTGAATGGAGGGAATCAAATGATAATCCAGTTAAGGATACTATACCTTTGACACCAGTTCAATATTTGAACCAGTCCTTCTATAAATTAGTTCTGATGGGAGGCCCTGGTATGGGGCCTGCACTGTCTTCAGGAACTGAAACTCAAGCTCCTTGATCACTGGCAACCTAGAAGAGTCTGGTAAGATACCTCCTGAAAATGTACATTAGTACATTTAATAATTAACCTGAGAAAGGGGAATATATTATATATATATATATGTCACATGGGATGTAATGACAATAGAAAAATGAAACCAAAACACTAGAATATAGCTGGTTATACAGATCATAGTGTGTCCGGAGTTGGTTCCTTGTGGTGGGTTCTTGGTCTCGCGACTTCAAGAATGAAGCCGCAGACCTTCGCTGTGAGTGTTACAGCTCTTAAAGATGGTGTGTCCGGAGTTTCTTCCTTCCAGTGGGTTCGTGGTCTCGCTGACTTCAAGAATGAAGCCGCAGACCTTCACAGCAAGTGTTACCAGCTCTTAAAGGTGGTGCGGACCCAAAGAGTGAGCAGCAGCAAGATTTATGGTGAAGACCGAAAGAACAAAGCTTCCACAGTGTGGAAGGGGGACCTGAGCGGGTTGCCACTGCTGGCTAGGGTGGCCAGCTTTTATTCCCTTATTTGTCCCTGCCCATGTCTGCTGATTGGTCCATTTTACAGAGTGCTGATTGGTGCGTTTTTACAGAGTGCTGATTGGTGCATTTACAATCCTGTAGCTAGACACAGAGCGCTGATTGGTGCGTTTTTACAGAATGCTGATTGGTGCATTTACAATCCTCTAGCTAGACACAGAGCACTGATTGGTGCAAGTATCCACCCGACCCAGAAGCCCAGCTGGCTTCACCTCCCACTAGTATCTTCTTTTGTTTATGTTGTGTATTTTGTGTATCTAGATCACGTTTTAGTAGCTTGTAGTTCCCTGTTACTGGGAAGCATTTCATTGCCTCCCAGCTTGGGAGCATCCAAAGTAGAACCATGACTGGGTCATGAAATGGGTTAATTTGGTTTCTTTCATTACAGGGCAAAGTTCTCCCTGTGGACTGAGAAATAAACATATTATAAAAGTTACATATGCTCATAGAATAGAAATCAAAGAGTAAAAAGTATTGAGTGTAAAAAACAAGTGTCTTTTTTCCCCCCAGTCTAACTCCCCAGAAGTAACCTTTTTTATTTTTTATGTTATTTTTTCTTACCTTCAAGGAAGGAGAAAAGTAACCATTTTTGAGTTGATGCGTATCCTTCGCCTGAGAGCTATCTTTGTAATCATCCTTTTTGGTTCCTTTTTCATTTTTTGCTTTCTTTCTGTCGTAGCTGCTGTGTAATATAGAGAAAAAAAGTATTTTTTCAGCTCTCTCACTCAATTACAATTACACAGAAGGTTTCTGTGACACATTTGTGGGAGTTTCTCCCCACACAGCAAACAGGCAGTCAATTCTGGAGAGAGGTCACCAGGTGGGTGTCCTCTAACCCAATTCAATTCCAACATTGTGTACTCGGAGATAGTGTCAGATCCCACAGGTTGAGGGCTCTGCCCACAAGACTGCCCCCAACTTGCCACACCAATTGCAAGCTCCAGGCTGTTTTACCTGTGCTTCTGGCCAACCGATTATAAATTGGGGTTCCCCACCCCTTTCTTTGGTTCAATTAATTTGCTGGAGCGGCTCACAGAACTCAGGGAAACACTTATTACATTACCGGTTTATTATAAAGGATATTGCAAGGGATACAGATGAAGAGATGCATAGGACAAGATGGGGGAAGGGGTGAGGAGATTCCATACCTTTCCTGGTGTGCAGCTGTCCAGAAACCTCCACCTGTTCAGCTATCTGGAAGTGCCCCAAACCCAGTCCTTTTAAGGGTTTTATGGAAGCTGCATTATGTAGGCACAACTGATTAAACCACTGGCCATTGGAAATCAGTCAGCCTCTCTGCCCTCCTTGGAGGTTGGGAGATGGGACAGAAAGTCCTAACCTTCTAATCCTCCCTTGGTTTTTCAGTGACCAGCCCCTACCCTGAAGCTACCTAAGTGCGCCAGCCACCAATCATTAGCATACAAAATGACACCACTTTGGAAAGGCCAAAGATTTTAGGAGTTGTATGCCAGGAAGGGAGTTGAAGACCAACTATATATTTCACAATATCACAGCTGCCCAGAGTGAGATCGGCAGCCTTTAAGGTATTCATCCAGCTGAATGTTCCCACATGCCCTCAAGTACTTACCACCCAACTCTGTAGCAGTGCACAGTGGACATAAGGTGGTGTTGGCAGTCTCAGTCCTATTTAATGATGGCCAGAGATACCTCCTGGTCAGCCAAAGCCCTGGCTGACTGCCAGGCAGTTGCGCAGTAGCTCTTCCTGTAGTGAAACTGTTCTTCTTATCATTGTTGACTAAACTCTGTTGGAAGTTGTCTCACTAGCCATATGAGCCACAGCTGTCTCTATCCTGAATAGCTTAATGAGCCATAGGTTGCTGACTCCTGGACTGCAGGAACCTTTTAGTTGCCTCTCGCCACAGTTGAATTTCCTTCTGGACCTCCATCTCTCTTCATCACAGTTGTCAACACTTGAGCCTTCTCCCATGTTACTTCTTATGCAGTGTCCCTTCTACTTAACTGTAAGTTTTATAAAAGCAGAAAACCGTCTTATTCAGTTTTTTGCTTATGCAGTAAACATTGAATAATTGTCAAATGAATAAATAATTGTCAAATAAATGAATATATTGAATACCAGCCTTTGGAATTCTTTTTTAAGCTAACATTTATTAGATAAATCATACCTGCTTTATTAGTCTCTGATCCAAGTGTATATCAGTGCAGTCCTGCAGGAATTGGGGAATTTTTCCCCTATCGCATTTTATCCAGCCGTTTTTTCTATTTGGATTGTTGTAGATAGGGTGCTGCCCCATAAGGGAGTGTTTTAGATCAGCGTTTCTCATACTTTAATGTGCCTATGGTTCACCTGAGGATCTTGTTAAAATACAGATTCTGATTCAGTAAGTTTCAGGACAGGGGTGAGAAAATCTACAGTTCTGAAAAGCTTCCAGGTGATGCGGATGTTGCTAGTGACGCAGGGTGGGGTAGGGGACAATAGCAAGGTTTTAGGTGGTCCCCCAATACAGGCTCTTAAATTGCCTTCATGAAGAGAAGTGCCCAAATTCCGGTTTAGTTACAAAGACTATAACTAAAGGATGATGGTTTTAAAATAATAGAGATTTGGAAGAGTTGGGGAATTACTATTACTGCTTTCTGCTATAGTTGACTTGATACCTTCTTTCTAACCTCATGGCATAAATAGACATGCCTTATATAGGCAAGACAATTGTATATTAATCACTGGGTTGTGAGTGCATGCATGGATGAGTGTGAGTGCATGTGTGTGTTTGAGGGGATCTCAGTCTTCCGTGTGTGTACAACCTATAAATGGGACACGTGGCTAGGGAGAAGTAATAGGCAGTGTAGAGCCAGTCTGGCCTGGTTCTCACCCTGACTGGCAAATCTTTCCTCTTCTGTGCTTCAGTTTCTGTATTAAAAGAAAGGTGGGGACAGGGGAGGCCTAACTACATGAGCCCCAAGTTTTCAGCTTTTTTTCAGCTTGAAAATCTATGGTTTGAAGGTGGTAATTTGCAAATCTATCTCTGTGTTATTTGGCATCCCAGGTGTACCTCTGTAAGAAAACATATAAAATGTAGAATTTATAAAACCAATCAATGTAGTAGTGATTTTTCTCATGCCAAAAACTTAGAGGTGATTGCTTTGAGTGGATTGGTGTGTGGAAGATCAAGAAATAAGAGAGCCACTTTCGAGTTAGTGATGAATAATAAATTTGCATCAAAAACTCCTTTGAAATTAGAATTCTATTCTGATTTGGTGGGAAATTTTTTATTTTACAAAAATTTGCTTTTCACCAACTTTTTGGAGCCCAACTATTGTGAAAAATGGAGCAGACTCATATATCATCGTGAAGCTGGTACAAAAAGCAGGTGTTAAATTTGAGGTTACAAAAATCACATCAATAATTTAGAGTGTTCTGACTTAAAAAAACATTATTTGGGATTTAAACTTATAAATTAGCTGTGGAAATAAAGTTCATTATATCACCTCATCTGGTCTAGTTTTATTTCATTAACTGCTTCTTAAAAATCTTTGTGAGCTGAGTTGCAGCTGAAGAGCTTGGAGACCATTTTTCCTTGGGCCCTTGCCGCACTCCTGAGTGTTGGTAAGAGTAAAGAACTAAGTCTTGACACAGCTGTAAAAACAGACAGCGCCTTTGGCCTCAGCACTTTCTCCTGGTGCAGGCAGATTTCAGATGTAAATTTCACTCTCTGCCTCTCCTACTAATGAAGTAAGTTTCTTTTGCTGGGTTTGCAGCCAGGTGTGTCCAGTCTTGTGGCTAACCAGGGCGCTTTACTTAATTTTTCCATTTGTGACATTTCAACCAAACTTAAAAAACAAACATAAAAATTAGCTCACGGCAGTGGCTCAAAGTGTTAATGGTAACCTTAGGCTGGCTAAACGACTTCCTCTCAGTTCTGCCCTGCCAGACATCTCCACCTTGTGGCTCACAATGAGCAGGCTCAAGCTTTCCAAGACAGAGATGGGAAGGGATGGGAGTGGGCTGTAGTTGAGAAATTACAGTTTACCCTTATCAGCGGTCCCTGGCATGCCTGTTGCCTCAGTGAGACTTCTGGAATAAGAATGCACCTTCTGTCACCTCATGGTCCCCTGCTCACTCTCTAGCAGAGCTGCTTGATGGGATGATGCAGAGGGCCTAGGAAAAATGGAGGAACTGTGGGCTGAACTTGACTCTTGTGTAATTCTGCCTTGCTTCTCAGAACCACCATTTTGCTTTGTAAGGTCCTCTACGATCACACTCCAGACCACCTCTCCAAACTCATTTCCTCTAGTTCTTCTTGAACCTTAAATATGTGAAACCTACTAGCACATGTGCCTGGCACTTAGTAAGCACTCAGTGAACATCACATTCCATCCTTGCTTCACATACCCTTCACTCCAGCCAAGCTGAATTCCTTGCTATTTCTGTCTTGTGTCTTTGCTCACTCCATGCATACACCTAGATTGCCCTAACACCCCAGCCTCAATTCCTTCACATCCTTCCACAGCTAACTGGAAGCCAATCCCAGTTTCCCCTAAGGAAGTACCTTAATGATTTATATCTACCCTTCTTCCAGCTCTTACTCTTTCTATTTTGTATCACTGTTATTCACTTATGTTGACTGTCTTCCAGGTGAATTCCTGTGGTGCAGGATCACGTACATCTGTCTCCAAAGTGCCTGTTATTGCCCCTTTCCTGAATAGGTGCCCAGTAACTATCTGAAGAATGAAGGAAGCCAGTCCTGCAGGCCCAGAATGAGTACTGGAAAAAGTGGGGCAGGGAGATACCGTTTTTTATTCTGAGGATATTTGTTTGCTGTGTTAGTCTTAAATATTGGAAGAAAAGGAAATAAATCGTTTCCCCCACCATCAACTGTTCAGTTCCTTTTTCCCATACTTTTCCATCTTCTAATGGAATTACTTGATTTTTTAAAAACCCCAGGTTATACATAGGGTATATTATGTTTATTTTCTTTCTTTCTTTCTTTCTTTTTTTTTTTTTTTTTTTTGACGGAGTCTCTCTCTGTCACCCAGACTGGAGTACAGTGGCGCGACCTTGGCTCACTGCAACCTCTGCCTCCTGGGTTCCAGCGATTCTTCTGCCTCAGCCTCCTGAGTAGCTGGGATTACAGGCGTGCACCATACCCGGCTAATGTTTGTAATTTTAGACAGGGTTTCACCATGTTAGCCCGACTGGTCTCGAACTCCTGACCTCAGGTGATCCGCCCTTCTCGGCCTTCCAAAGTGCTGGGATTACAGGCATGAGCCACCACCACCCCCGGCTGGTATTTTATCTTTCTAAACTAACAAAGGCATTACATTTTAGGAGGCTTTAGTTTTTCTGAAAATTTCCTTTCAGGCCTCTGTAATCACCACCTGTCACCAAATCGCCTCTCTTTCCCTACAAAAATTTTCAGACCTCTTCTATTTTACGATATAAAAATTTTACTGTTTTGCATCTCTAGGTCAGAATTAAAACTCACTGCCAAAGGTATTGTTTTTAAAGACAAGGAGCACATTAAAAGGTATAGTTAGCCTGGACAATGTAGGGAGACCCCATCTTTACAAAAATAAAATTAGCCGGTTATGGTGGCACATGCCTGTGGTCTCAGCTCTGTGGGAGGCTGAGGTGGGAGGATCACTTGGGCCAGGGAGTTTGATGTTGCAGTGAGCTGTGATCACAGTGTTACACTCCAGCTTGGGTGGGGGGAAAAAAGTGTGAGTGTAACTAAAGGACAGTCCCTTGGGCTTGAGGCCATGAAAATAAGAATACATGTTCTCAGATACCAGTTGTTCTTTTGAAAGTTTCTAAAATGGCCTGAGCTGTTGGAGTGGATAGTCAGTTATTAGGGGAGAGAAGGCTAAATTCTAAGAAGTCAGAGTAATTCCATTTTGGGATTGGCTTACGAATTTAAGCAGGGTCCTACTGAACATGTACGTCTGGTAGATACATGCCTTTCTTTACACATGTTTCCTACCCCTAGGCCTTAAGAGGTAGCAAGAGTTCGAGGAGTAGGTGCCTCAGGCAGTTTTACAACTGGTCAGATGCATAGGTGCATACAGTCAGGGTGCCAGTCCTGTCCTGAGTGGCACATCGGACTCTGCGTTACTGCAGCACTACACCAACTTCAGAGATAGAACTTACCATGATGTGCTGTAATTATTGGTTTATATAGATCCCTCCTATTAGAGTGGGTAAGGATGCATATAGAACCCTTGTAGTTACATAGGAGAACGTGCTTGTTCTTAGCAGATACATATTGAAGTATTTAGGGGTAAAATGTTTTGATATCTGGAACTTCAAATGGTTCAGCAAAAGAAAAGGATGTGTAGATGTATGGATAGAGATAAACAAATGTTGCAAAAAAAAATTGTGCATCTAAGATTGTGCAAAATGCTGAATCTTTTGCAACATTTGCTTTATCTCTACCCATACATATACACACCCTTTTCTTTTGCTGAACCATTTGAAGTTGCAGATCTCAAAACAACTTATATGAGTTTTTGTTGTATTACTCTTACATCCTTTAAAAATTCTTTGAAATTCTTCAAAGCAAAAAATTGGAGAGAAAAGAAGTATTCATGTTCTGGCTCCAGCCCATTCTTCTAGTTTAATCTGCAACAAATCATACCCCTTCCCTCCAAAAAAGTTCAAGTGCATGCACACAAATACATATTCTTCTCATGCCAGACTTTCACTGGTGCCGTAAGTGTGCTGTGTTCTTTTATGCCTCTAGGCTTTTGTTTATGCTATTCCGTCTGATCTGGTCTTCTCCCCTGTCTGCTCATGGCACTATAAGACACAAGCTGGATAACACCTCCTCCAAGAAGCTTTTTCCAGTATTCACCAATAATGTTCATATATCTGGCCACTCCCTTCTCTGAACTTACCATGGTGTGCTCATGGTTTATGTAGGTCACTCCTGTTAGATGGGATAAGGATTCTTGGATTTCTGGTGTCTTAAACCACATGCCTACCGTAGTCACTACTCAAATATGTGTTGGATGAACATAAATACTTGCTTCTTTTGTTAGCATCTGGCTAGCCCTGTATTCCAAATACTGACTGAAGAATGATCTTCTCTGATTACACTTGGATTCAATTTCTCTAACTACCCTCCCCCTTTGAAAAAGGTCCGGTTTTTCTCTGCCCTGCCTCATGGGTTCCCTGGCTCTCATTTAAGCCTGGTTATACACTTAATCTGCTTTATAGGATGGATGAACCTTGGAATGTCAGACTGGGTACCTCAGAGGTTCTCTATTCAGCGGTTCTGAGTCTGTGAAGAGGCTCAGGTATATGCATTTTGAAAAATCTCTCCATATATATATATATATTTTTTTTTTTTTTTTTTTTTTTTTTTTTTTTTTTTTCTTTTGAGACGGAGTCTTGCTTTCTCGCCCGGTCTGGAGTTCAGTGTTGTGTGGTGTGGTCTCAGCTCACTGCAACCTCCACCTCCCGGGTTCAAGCGATTCTTCTGCTTCAGCCTCCCAAGTAGCTGGGACTACAGGCTCATGCCACCATGCCAGGCTGATTTTTTACATTTAGTAGAGACGGGGTTTCAGCATGTTGGCCAGGTGGGTCTCAAACTCCTGACCTTAAGTGATCCACCCGCTCGGCCTCCCAAAGTGCTGGGATTACAGGCATGAGCCCCCGTGCCCGGCCCCAAAAGATTTCTAATACATATTTCTGGTTAAGGTTCTACCCTCTCATTTCTGTGGTGAGGAAATGGATGCCCAGAAAAGTTCATTGATTTGGCCAAGGTCATACAGCTAGAGAATAGCAGAATGAGGACCAAGGCCAGATTACACCAATTTCCAGTCCAGTGTCCTCTTTACTATACCATGGTACCTTCCAATTGAAAGAAAGAAACCTTTTCTCCTGTCTTATTACCAAGGACTGCCAAAGACCAAGAGGACAGCTTTTCTTGAATCTAAAGGCATTCCATTTATTTCTTCAGTGCACTCCCAAGCCTGAGGCCTCTTTTACTCAATTTCTAATCCAATACGGCAGAGACTTCCTACTCAACAGGACTAATAGAGATTAAGGGGGAAAAAAAAGACATGAGAATGCTGACAATGTTCTGAATTTGTTTCTTTTTCCATCGTTTAGAGTCTGAGTGTCTCTACATCATCTGAATTTGCCTTAGTTGATTTTACAATTATTTTTCAGAGACTCCTTGGTTGTGTGTTTTTTTTAAGGGTAGAGGAACACCGAGACTGAACACCGTGCTTGAAGGGGCCGGGCCAGGAGACTAACAAAGGCGGTATTATACTGTGTGCGGCAAAGCCAATAAATGAATTCAGGAGACACCTAGATGTGTTTCTAGAGGAGACCGTGACGGGGAGGGGTCTGGTGAAAAGGCAGAAAGGTGGGATTAAGATAAATTAAAATGGGGCCAACATGTTAGATAAGGGGACAGTCTCTTCCTGTTTCCACCATTGCTTTAGATTTCTCAATCTGCTGAGTTCAGAAGTTAAAACTAGTCTTTACCATGTACTTCATACTCAGCCTCCAAGGCCTCCCACTCTTACTTAGGAAAGAACTTAGTTTTAAGGCTATTTCAGCATGGTACAGCAGTGTTTATTACTTGAGTGCTGCATCTGTTGGATGTTACTGGGGAATCTTAGACTGTTTAAACTGGAAAGGAACCCTGAAATAATCTGATCCAGAGATCTAAAAGTGTGGTCCCCAGACCAGCAGCCTCAGCATCGCTTGGGAACTCGTTAGGGATGCTAGCTCAGGCCAGATGTGGTGGCTTAAGCCTGTAATCCTAGCACTTTGGGAGGCCGAGGCGAGTGGATCATGAGGTCAGGGGTTTGAGACCAGCCTGGCCAACATGGTGAAACCCCATCTCTACTAAAAATACAAAAATTAGCCTGGTGTGATGGCATGCACCTGTAGTCCCAGCTACTTGGGAGGCTGAGGCAGGAGAATCACTTGAACCTGGGAGGTGGAGGTTGCAGTGAGCCTAGACTGTGCATTTGCACTCTAGCCTGGGCGACAGAGCAAGACTCTGTCTCAAAAAAAAAAAAAAAGAATGCTAGCTCTAGGGCATACCCTTGATCTTCTGAAAACTGGGGTGGGACCCAACAGTCTGTCTTTTCACCAGCTCTCTAGTTTGAGAACCACTGCTCCTAAACTAATTATATCATTTAGATGATTGGGAAATTGGCTCTGGAAGAGCTGCGTACAAATTAGAAACACTGAAGAGTAGAACTCGGGTGTCTTTGTTGCCACTGTTACTGTTCTCCTCGCTAAGAGGAGCAGGGTCTAGGCATGGGCTAACGACATGTGAAACTTGAGGATTTCAGCATAATTCAGAAGCAGAGTTCCCCAATAGTAATAGCTAACATTTATTGAGCACTTTCTTTTTTTCATGCACTTTACAAGCACCATTTGAATTTTATAACATTTTGCAACAGTCTTACCTGTGAGATTAGTAACATTTCTAGCCTCATTTTACAGATGAGGAAACTAAGGCTCAGAGATAGTTTCCCATAGCAGTTACAGCAGATTACCACAAACTTGGTGGTTTAAAACAACAAAAATTTATTCTCTTACAGTACCGGAGGCCAGAAATCAGTTTCATGGGGCTGAAATTAAGGTGTCGGCAGGGCTGTGCTTCTTCTGGAGGTTCTAGGGGAGACTCTTGCCCCTTCCAGCTCTTGGTGGCTGCTGATGTTCCTTGACTTGTGGCTGCATCACTGCAATTTCTGCCTCTGTAGTCATGTTGCCTTTTCTTCTATCTGAGCCTAAGTTCCTTCCGCCTCTCTCTTAAAAGGAAGGATATGTGTGATGGCATTTAGGGCTCAACTGGGTAATCCAGGATTCCCTCCCCATCTCAAGTGTCTTAATTTGATCACAGCTGCAAAATCCTTTTTTGCCATATAAGGTAACACGCACAGGTTCCAGGAACTGGGACATGGATATCTTTTAGGAGACCAAATTCAGCCTACCTACCACTGTTAGGCAATTTAATTAGACTTACACAGTAAATATGGGAGCCTGGATTGGAACCCAAACCTTCTGGACTCTAGAGCCTGTGCTTTTAATTACTACTCTGTACGAAACTAAAAACTATGGCTCTAGCATTGGCATTAAGATTTTTAACCCAAGTGTTGTTTCTTTCTTCCTCTAACTTCCACAGTATCCACTTGTATTGTAGCATTGAACCTTTCAGTCCATAAGCATCTTAGGTTTTTGTTTTTGTGGGTTTTTTTGTAGAGATGGGTTCTCTCCGTGCTGCCCACACTGATCTTGGACTTCTGTGCTCAAGTGATCCTCCCACCTTGGCATCCCAAAGTGCTGGGCATAAGCCACCACGCCTAGCCAGGCATCTTATATGTTGGTCCTAGCTTCTCCAGTTAGTTAGCTTCTAGAGGGCAGATATTCCATTTTTCTGTTTTTAAAAATAGAGATATAATTTATATCCCATAACATGTAAATTTGCTTTTTAGTAAATTTGCAGCATTATGTACCCATCACCACTATTCCAGAATATTTTAATTACCTCAGATAGAAATCCTGTGCCCATTAGCAGTCACACCCGTTCCCCTTACCCCTAGCCCCTGGAAACCACTATTCTACATTCTGTTTCTATGGATTGACCTATTTGGGACATTTCATATAAATAGGATCATATAATATGCAGTATTTTATGTTTGGCTTCTTTCACTTAGCAGAATGTTTTCAAAGTTCAGTCATGTTGTGGCATATTTTCAGTACTTCATTCCTTCTTTTGTCTTTTTTCTTCTTTTTATTTATTTATTTTTTGCTCAACTCCCCCGACCGACATCATTCCTTTTTGGGATAGTCTGTTGTGTAGATATACCATGTTTTAAAAATCTATTAATCAGTTAATAGACATTTAGTCTTTCCACTTTCCACTTTTTAGCTTTTGTGAATAATGCTTCTGTGAACATTCATATATAAGTTTATGTCTGAACATAAGTTTTCAGCTTTCTTGAGGGGTATACCTAGGAGTGGAACTGCTGGGTCATATGGTGACACTATGTAAACTTTTTGAAGAATTCAGATATTGTGTCTTTTATCAAGTTGTTTGAATTCCTAGATGATTTCCATTGTTCATTTGTTTATAATGAAATTAGATATGTGTTAGTTATAATGAAATTAGTTATAATGAAATTAGATATGTTTATAATGAAATTAGATATGTGACCTTAATCATTACTTATTTTACCGACAATTTTAGACAGTAGTAAGAAGGGACAGTGTGGCATAATGGAACGAGTTCTGCCTGGCCTGGCCACTCTTCGGGTAAGCCTGAGTAAGTCAAATCACATCACCTCTCTGGGGAGGAGAGTTAGATGATTTCTACATTCTCTTCCAGACTTAACATTCTGCAACTCTGTGGAAGTCTGAAAAGCTAGCCTTGTGTTAAGTCCCAGAGCTTGTGTTCTGTTTTTTTAGCAGTTCATCACTCTCTGTCTGATTTCTGTTCCCAGACACAAACAAAGTTTTACCCATCTATCCATCCATTTTATTGTGGCCTGTTAGCTTCCAGGTACTGTGCTAAAAGCACTGGAGATACAAGGATGATTAAGACATTTTCCATGACTCCCTAGTCTAGTAGGAGAAGATAAACATAAACAGATAATTACAATATTAAGAAATTATAATGTTTTTAAATTGCTGAGAATGCCCAGAGTCTCGAGACAGGCTGGGAATAGATGACATTTGAGTTAAATCTTTTCAGATAAGTAGGTGTTTGCTAGACAAGAAGAGAATGCCAGGCAGAGGAACAGTGTGGATAAAGGCACCGAGTTGGTATGAGAAGACAAACAATGTTTGGCTTTGTTTGGTGACATTCTTACTTCTCCTGCAATGGTAAATGCAGATTCTCTTTATCCAGACTAGCTCCATTTTGAGATCCTTGTGTGTGTCTGATATTTACAGACTCATCCACACTTAAGGATCTGAGTAGTAACATGTTTTGTCTTAAGTACTGGTCACACACAGTACTTCTTCCTTCTTTGTTAAGGACACTTCAGACTCGGTTTCTGAGTAAGGGGGTTCACTGAGTAGTTGAGGGGTCATGGTCCAGATTTGGGTTTTCTCCATAGCACCAGCTCAGGTTGGGCTCTTGAAAATGCCTTCTTGTCGCTCTAAGGGTTTTGGTTACATAAAAGTATTAGGAATGTAAAATTTTACAATATGATCAGCACAGCACAAACTAAATTTCTAGCCTTTAACCTAGAAGCATATATGGAAGGCTTTGTGTTCTAAACTGCCCCCTTCCCAGCCCCCGGCCTTCAGGAGAGGTCATTGTACAGCTCTTTCCATGGTCACTGCTCTCTTCACTTTTACTGGAGGGCAAAACTAGGGCAGAGAAATAATTTTTATTCACTTCTGAAAGGTTACAGTAATAAAGAAACTCTTGTTAACATCAGAGAACGTTGCAGCCAAGAGTTTTCACAGTCTGGCATTGTTTATTTTACATGTAATTTGGAACCTTCTGCACTCTTAAAATATTGGCACAAAAATGTTTTAACTCTTGAAGTACTTCTCTGTACACCGCAGTAGTTTGGTGTCAGGGGGCAGCAGGACTCTGGAGAGCCGTTTGCCCTGTTCCTGTTGGAGAGAGAGATGGTATAAGCATGTGTATGTGTGTAACATACACAGTCACTCGTGTATTTATGTGCCCTTCTGCATTGAGAATTAAGAACTTTCTTTGTCCTGATGAATTTCCATGCTTCTCTTTATTAAACAATGAGAATGGTATAGCAGTCCCGCTTTCCTTTTGCCACAACTGCCAAAAAGTACAGCGCTTCCCTTATTTAGATATTTTGATGTAAGTATTCATTATCCCCTTTCTTCTCCCGCCCCCCACAGACTTTATTACTTAAGTCTTTTCTTTTACTTTTATTTTGGTTGCGGTGCATACTATGGGCCAAACTCTGTGCCAGGAATTTTACAGACATCATCTCATTTAATCCTTACAAATTACCTTGTGATAGAGTTGGGAGTGTCCCCATATTACAACTGAGGAGAACCAAGGAGCAGAAAACTTAAAGGACTTGGCTGTGGCCGCCATAGTAAGTCACAAGCCCAGAGCTGACGGATTTCAAAATCTTTGCTCAAAAAAAAAAATTGGCTCTTTTGGCCATAACATGTGCCTTTTGTTGTAATCCAATTTGAACCTTTTTTTTTTGGAAATAGGTAGAATATAAGTAATTATGAGTGAACTAATGGACTAACTGATCCATTGATAGAAGCACAAGTCACTTATGTTAAATGAGATAATAATACACAGAAGTACCTGGCTCCATCAAAGGGTTTTTGTTCTTGTTGTTGTTTTATTAGGTTGAAATTAAGATATGAAACGATTACAGAAGGATGCCTTGAGGTAAGTGGGAAGAATGCTAGGCTGGGGATTAGGTTTCCTATTTCCAGGCTCAACTTTGCTCTCAGAGTTTGGAGGACATTCTCTTTCTCGCATCTGTCTTATGTCCTGTGGGCTTAAAATAGAGCGATTTATTAGCCCAGCCCTTGCTAAGACCTAGGCATTCCCCAGGACTGACCATTTTCTTTGTAACCTGTCTGGTGTGGGGAGCTCTTCTTTCTCCAAGTCTGGCATTTTCTTCCTTGGCCTCCAAAATGGGGCTTTGGCAAAAGAGGCAGCACTTGCTGCCACCAGGTGAGCTCTGCAGAGCTGTCACTAAGCCAGGCCCTTCTCCAGCAGAGGACTCCTTCCCCAGCAAGAGTTCTACTCTGGCTCTGAGAAAAGGATACCGTACTGCATGTGCACTGCAGCCACCATGCCTTCCTGCAGGCTGTGAACCTTCTGTTAAAGCCAGCATGGGAATCCCATACCTTCTAGTCCTGTTCCATTTTCAGTACTTACCAAAGGAGCAAGAAGAGCTCAGGACCTTTCAGCTCTCCTTTACCCAGAGAGAGCTCTGTTCCCTTTTGGAAGACACACCTACCTTTGGCTTCAGATGTCCCCATGATGGAGAATCCCAGTTAGTACATGCACATACAATTCTGGGCCCAGGAAACAGGCCATTCCCCCAAAATCTAGTGAGGGCCCCTGTGTGTTCTGCTGTTCGCCTCTAAAGTGTGGCATTCAGTGCTAGAAAGTTGAGAGGCCGGTGCCCAGTTTTCCAAACAGTTCTTTTCCTGTCATGTGGTCTTTGGAGCCAGACAGACATAGGTTCTAATCTCTGCTCTGCCACAATGTTGCTTTGAGATCCTAGGCAAGTCTCTTTACCTCTCATTGTCTCCATTCCATCCTCTATAAGGTAAGTCACGCACAGTTATGTGACTTAAACAATATGGCTTAGCACAGTGTTTGGCACATATTAAGTACTTGATAAATGGGAGCTATCAGGATGCTGTATTTGGACATTTTCAATAGCACCTAGCATAAGCTGTCATATCTTGAAGGGATTTATAGGTGCATCTGTGACACCACACTGGATTCTGGCTTTCTGGAGGACAAAGATCCTATCTTTCATCCGTCTCCTGTTCTGCCTGGCATGAGTAAGGCACATAGCAGGCACTCAGTTGATGTTGGCTGAATCTTTTAGGATGACTTGGGCAGAGCAGGGTGGGCATAAATGCTTTAGTTTCTCCATCTGTGCCTGGGGAAATAGTAACCCCTTATTTTGGAGCCTTTGAGGACAATTTAAAACGATATGTGTGAAGTGTTTGGAGCCCTTTGAAAGGAGGGTACTGGAGAAATTAATGGTGTTTTTGCTGTTCTTGGGAAAGCCCTTTGTGGTTCCCAGTGAATAAATTACTTGGAGTGAGTTTTCTCACACCTCCTACTCTGCTCTGTTCACCGTAGCTTTTTTTTTTTTTTTTAAATAACTGTCTGCTGTAATACTTCTTTGCCCATGACTTATAAAGATATATATTTTTGGTGTTGGACTTTTGACCCCTTTCTGCTCCCAGGAGAGAAATTTTGATCAGAATAATAAAAGGTGTAAACTGTGTGTGTTGCCCCCTTTCCTAGGCCTTGGGCAGTTTAGCTGCTGGGGTTAGGAATCAGCTGGCTTGTGGTATGTGTATGGTTATGGGGCAAGTAGGAGATGATTCCTGTTAAGCGCTGAGCAGGCTTCTGTCTCCTGCTCTTCTTTTCATCCCTGTCCCATACCGTTTTGCTAAGATTCTTCAGATTTCAAATGAACCTTGTTGTCTTTGGCATTTTCGATAGGTGTTTGTGGCTATACTCCTTCTCCTTCAAAGACAGAAGGTGTTTATCGTCTCCTGTGCTTTAGGTCCCAAGGTGAGTTGGCTGCCAGAGAAGAGCCTCCCTCTAGAAGGACAGTGGGAGAACTGAAAAACACTCACCAATCTTGGAGCTACAAGAGTGGAGTTAGACTTAGTTCCACAATTAACCAGCAGGCTCCAATGCAGAGCCTGGACCAGGTTATTTCTAAGGGCCTTTCCTGCTTGAAAAAAAATCCATGAGATAAAAATTTTCCAGCCCAGGGTAGAATTTCCAAGAGTGAACACAGTTTGCAAAACTTTCTACTTTTCTCCAAGCCTCTCTTGCCCTGTAGCACTGGAAGAACTGGCTCCGTCCCTAATAGCCTCAGTTCAAAGGGACCAGAAGAGACTAGGGTAGTTGGGGACAAATGTGGGGTTCATAACGTACTAGGGGTATCTCGTCTGATGAAGTGGTTGGGTATGGATGTCAGAAGAATCTCACTTGGTGATGATCCTCAGGAACTATGTAAAGGAATTTTAGATTGCCCTGGCTGATGGCAGGAAGCCCCACCCAGGGCTAGCCCTAGCTGGTCAGAATTGCCAAGCAGTCAGTGTTTTTATTTTATGCCATCTCCTAATCATTTCAGTGGCCGCCAAGCTCCTAGAAGCTTGACAGCCACAAAGATGATCCTAATTCAACCCTTTCCAAGTGAGGACACTCAGTCCTGGTCAGGAAAAAGGCTTGGTCAGTGTCATATAGTAGCGGTAGTAGCAGAGACTAAAACTCACTTCTCTTGATTGATTCTGTTGCTCTTTTCGTTACTTGATACTATCATCTTTGCTGTTCTCTAGAGCCACTACACACACCCTGCATTTTGTGTTGCTGGGAAAAGCCTCCAATCAAAGACCTCCTGATCCTTTTCTCTTAAGGTCAGCATTCCAGTGTCTAGCACAGTGCTTAGCACATGGTAAGCCTCCATCCAATATTGGTTGAATGGTGAATGAGTGAGTGAACTCACAGAGTCTATTCCTAACCCTATCTTCTTAGAATCAATTCTATACTTACACTGCAGTTTACCTGATTAAATTCATGCCAAATCGTTAAGGGTTGCCAACAGGATCTGTTTTAATGGTCCCAGATAACTCTTGCATTTTAACCAGAGTTTTCTGTAAATAGCGTCTTTGGAAAAAGCAGTGGTTGCAGTAGTAAGACATACAGGCACTGTGACGAGCTCTTGGGGTTGACTATGCCTCTCACTCCATGTCCTACCACAAGACTCTTTTCTCCTGTGGGCTTAACCCCTGCATTGGGTACCACCAGAGGGCAGTAGCTCCGCCAGGATCTGGGTGGGGCTATGTAAAAAAGTTCTGGAGGCTCTGAGGTCAGACCTAGGATACAGTAGAGACAGATGTTTCTTTCAGCTGCCCTGGGTGTGCCATGAGTATTTCTGGATCCATTGATGAGGCAGCTGTAACACTCTTTTCTCACTTTGTTTCCCCCAAAATGCTGAGTGAATGGCCCTGTGGGGTTGGTTGGAGCTGAAGGGGCCCAGCTAGAGTGGAGGGACTTGTTTTTCCATGTTCATTGTCCTCTCTTTAGCTGGTCTTTCTGAATGTCAGTGATCCTTGCCATCAATGTGACGTGCCTGGTTCTCAAAGGAGCAGGAGGAACTATAAGGAGCCCTTCTTTAAAACAACCACTATCAGGGCCTCAACTGTCCTACTGATGCTCAGATCCAGTCCTGACCTCTCACCTAAACTCACTGTCGGCTGCTTCTTCACTGGTCCTCCTGCCTCTTGACTCTCTTCATCTCAGATTCATTCTGCAAATCATTCAGCAGCCTGACTAATCATCCTAAACTCCCGGAGTTCGGGAATTGTCTCTTGTTTACTGCTGTAGCCTCAGCTCCTAAAACAGTGCTTGATGCCTGGGTAGTGCTGAATACATTTGATGAAGGCAATATTGAATGTATTTCCTCTAGATCCAGTAGCATTATTAATTTGTATGGTTTTATTAAGAATTGTTTCATTCATTTATTCAAGGAACATTTTTGTCTCTCGCCACATGCTAATCCCTGAATGTGGTTGGTAGATAATATACCAGAGATAAGTGATCTTACAGGGCTTACAATCTAGTTTATGCTGAGAAAGGAAGTTGAATCTTTCCTGGATTCACTTCCACACGAAACAGACGAACGAGAAAGATATGAGTTCACTTGCTTTTTTGTTTTGTGTTCACTGCAGGCTTCTTCCAGGAGTTATCCCAGGGCAGGGCTGAGTGTAATGGGAGGATGAGGCAGGAGAGTAGGTGAGCCCCAAGGTCCTGAGAGAAGCTTCAGAGACTTCCAGGCTCTCATCTCCAAGTGGGGGATTGGGTTGAGTTTATAACCTCCTTTCCAATGCAGTATCACAGAGTAGTTGAGAGTGCTCACATACTGAAGCCAGTTTGGACTCAAATCCTGCCCTAGCCATGTGACCTTGGGCAAGGTCTCTATGCCTGTTTCCTTTCTATGCCTCAGTTTTCTCTCCGTAAAATAGACATAACTGTAATACCCACCTTACATCGCTTGTAGCATTGTGAGGGATAAATGAGTTATCACATGTGAGGTTCTTTAAACAATGCCTGAGAGTGAAATAGATGTTTGCCACTACTAATTTACTTACTGTTAGGCATTTTCATCTGTTAATATGAAAAGGAAAAAGGAAAGGTGGTTTTGCATAGTTGTGATGGAAAAACTGAGGCTCAGAGTGATTAATCTTTCAGACTCACCAGGTGGGGAAACAGGGCTGTTGGGGCCCAAAATTTACTTAGATTTCAGTGCGTTTCCTAGGTCTGAGTTGGGACTTAAATACAGAACACCAAAGAGATCATCTCTTTAACATACAGCATTCTAACTGAGTTTGTCTCTTTCCTTTGGATAAAATACCTTTCTAAGAACATTTTACTGAGAAAAGAGGACAAAAGAGAATTACCCTATAAAGATGGAGTCACTCTCAGAACTCACAGGCTGTGTCAGTTCCATGCTTTTTTTTTTTTTTTTCCTTTTTTTGTGAGACAAAGTCTTGTTCTGTTGCCCCGGCTGGATTGCAGTGGCGTAATCTCACCTCACTGCAATCTTTGCCTCCTGGTTCAAGCAATTCTCCTGCCTCAGCCTCCCTAGTAGCTGGGACTACAGGCACCCACCACCATGCCCAGCTAATTTTTGTATTTTTAGTAAAGAAGGGGTTTCACCATGTTGGCCAGGCTGGTCTCAAACTCCTGACCTCAGGTGATCTGCCTGCCTTAACCTCCCAAAGTGGTGGGATTACAGAGGCATGAGCCACTGCACCCGGCTCTGTCAATTCCATTTTAAGGGATATCTGAACCTCACTCTTGGCCTCAACCTTGACCACCTCACTACTTAAGTAAGAATGATCATATGGCTTCTACCTGGGATCCAGGCTCAGCCATTCCCAGGATGCTTCTACAGGAATGTACAAACTATCCACTGAGTGGCAATTCTGTTTGAGCCTTAAAACAAACAAAAAAACTTGGACTAGGAGCCAGAAGACCTTGTCTCTGTGAACCTCTTGACCATTTATTAGCCAAGTGATAATTGGGTGAGTCACTTGACCTTTCTGAGCCTTTGCTTCCTCATGTCTTCAGCAGGGAACAGCCTCTTTCTCAGATAACCATTGGGTCAGTATTTTGGCAATTGTACAGCTCTGAACAGTGAGCAGTTAGGACACAGCAGTGAAAGACAAACATTCTGTGACCTGTGTGAAACAATGTAAATGTCTGCTTTACTGTTTTGAGCTTTAGACTTTGGTCTGACCCATTGTGCCCAGGTGGAGTTAGCAGTTAACTCCTGTGATTCAGTTCATTAGGGTGACCCCGCCCCTTTCACTCTTCATTGCTGTGGAGAAGAAGAAGGCAGGGCTGTTGGATGAAGGGTCAGGAACCTCAAGATCAGTAAGGGGCTAAATTTTGGGTCCTCTGAGAAAATGTTGCCATCTGGGCAATATGATATCTATTTTAGGATCGCTGGGAAAGGACTCGGGTCAGTGATCTCAGTGTTGCCTTTAGATCCTCTAGGTTGTTCAGGGCCTCAGCATCCATGACAAGTGACAGTGGCTCAGCTCTATTAGCAAAGAACTGACCAACTTGTTGATCTATATTCACCTGTTTGCCTTTTGTGTCTGTGCAGTTGACATGGTTGGTAGTGATGTGGAACAAGCATCCTGTAGTTTTCCACTGTACCCAGTCTGCCTAAATTTAATAGAAAATAATTAAAAAAGCCAAGTAGTGCCTGCAGCTTTTCTGCGCTCATAAATGCAGTCATGAGGCTCAGGGTGCAATTAGCAGCCTCCAAGTGTCTCTGGAAACCTGAGTGTGTCAGCGTCTTCTTGCTGACGGTAATCAGACCTCATGGCTGCAGTCAGAATGCAGAGGGCCCGGAGTAATGATACCGACCTACATGTAGTGAACAAATTACTGGAAAAGGGGCTCAGGCTCCTAGGCCCTGGTGTGTTATGCCTGTGCTCCACTGGAGACGCCTGCCGGGCTCAAACTAAATACACATCTTGCTCATATTACATCTTATCCAAGTAAGATTTTCCATTACCACAACATAGGAGACATGAAGGGCATGGTGATTGCTAAAATCATACAAGACTGGTTGTCTGCGCTTGGCACTGCCAGGGTCAGAAAGTCATCAGTGTATGATTGCATATAACTTGCATTCCGTTTTCATCTTTCTGTTCTCTCCACTTTCTTCAGTGAGGTCTGATTACATGCAAGTCATGGCCTCCCCTTTCCTCCTCCTCATCTACTCGATAATCAAATCCCGTTGCTCTGGCTGTAGTCATTTCTCTTGAAAGCATGCCTTCCTCTTTGTTCGTGTTGTCACTTCACATTGTTTCAGTTCCTTACAGACTCTCATCTACACCATTGTAGCAGCCTCCTCTGGTTTTCCTGCCTCTGGACCTTCCCCCAACTTTGTGATCTGTACTTCTAGGGTTACTTTTTGAAAATAAATCTGTCCATGCAATTTCCCTGTGCTTAAACCCCTTCCTTGTTCTTTCTTTCATGTGGCTGGCGTTCAGGGCCATTTACAATCTCACACAAACTGCCCTTCCAGCTCCACCTTCTGATTCTTGCCACCATGAGCAGCTTCTGTGTTTTTTTGTTTTTTTTGTGTGTGTTTTTTTGTTTTTTTTTTTACAAACTTCCCTTTGAAAATGCTGTACTTGTTCACCTCCCTGTGCCTTTACACATACCATTCTTTCTGTCTGAACATACCTGTTGACCCTTTAATACCCACTGTAATAAATGTTGCCTCTTCTCTCAAGCCTTTCAGTCCCTATACCATTACCGTTTTGTACATACAACGTGCTAGGTGTGTCTCCCACGTGAGATTGTAAACTTCTTGAGGACAAGTACTGTGTTTTATTGATTTTTTTACCTCCAGCATATACCACAGTAGAATACAGCAGTTACTCAATACGTGCTTATCAAACATGTACAATGCAACGTAGAATTCTGTACCAAGACCGTTTATAGTCTGGTGAGGAACATCAGTTAGCTCATGATACCACTGTGCCAAATGGATAAGTGTCCTAAGAGAGGCTTTAATACACACATGGTTAAGTCACAGATTGAAATGCCTGTCTGAGAAGAACTGTTTGTAACTGGGATTTCCTTTATTGTGGTAAAATATACATACATAATATTTATCATTTTAACCATTCATAAATGCTCAATTCAGTGGCATTAAGTACATTCACAGTGTTGTGTAACAATTTTCATTATCTATACCCAAAACATTTTCATTATCCCCAACAAAAACTCTGTGCCCATTAAATAATAATTTTCCCTTTCTTCCTCCCATCAGCCCCAGGTAGACTATTCTTCTTTCTGTCTCTGAAGGTACCTAAGTACCTCATATAAATCAAATTATACAATATTTGTCCTTCCATGTCTGACTTATTTCATTAAGCATAATGCATTTATGAGTGCATTTTTAAGGTCCATCCATGTTATAGCATATATCAAAATTTTATGCCTTTTTATGGCTGAATAATATCCCTTGGTATGTGTGTACCACATTTTGTTTATCCCTGTCATTGGACACTTGGGTTGTTTCCACCTTTTGGCTATCATAAATGATACTACTATGAAAATTGGTGTACAAATATATCAGTTCCAATTCCCGCTTTCAATTCTTTTGGACATATAGTTAGGAATGGGATTGCTGGGCTATATGGTAGTTCTATGTTCAGCCTTTTGAGAAACCGCCAAACTGTTTTCCACAGTGGCTGTACCATTTTACATTTTCTTCAACAATGCATGAGGGTTTCAGTTTTTCTACATCCTTGCCAATACTTATTTTTCTTTTCTTTTTAAATTATAGCCATCCTAGTGGGTGTAAATGGAATTATCTTGCTCGGCCAGGTGCGGTGGCTCACGCCTGTAATCCCAGCACTTTGGGAGGCCAAGGCGGGCAGATCACAAGGTCAGGAGATCGAGACCATCCTGGCTAACACGGTGAAACCCCGTCTCTACTAAAAATACAACAAATTAGCTGGGCGTGGTGGTGGGCACCTGTAGTCCCAGCTACTCTGGAGGCTGAGGCAGGAGAATGGCGTGAACCTGGGAGGCAGAGCTTGCAGTGAGCAGAGATGGCGCCACGGCACTCCAGCCTGGGCAAGAGTGCAAGACTGCGTCTCAAAAAGAAAAAGAAAAAAAAATTAGCTGGGTGTGGTGGTGCGTGCCTGTAATCCCAGCTACTTGGGAGGCTGACTTTAGCTAATTTAAGCAAACAAAGGATTTATTGGAAGGTAACTAAGGCTCATGGAATGGAGAGTTTAACAACAGAGCTCAGGAAGGAAAGATACAGGGCAGCTAAGGGATCTTAGCAATAGGAACTTATGTATAGTCTCTTTGGGGTGACCCAACTTTACTATTTTATTTATTTATTTTTTAGAAATGAGGTCTTGCTGTGTTGGCCAGGTTGGTCTTTAATTCTTGGCCTCAAGCAGTTCTCCTGCCATGGCCTTCCAAAGTGCTAGGATTACAGGCATGAGCCACTGTGCCCTGCCAAGGGTGATCCAACTGTAGCTTCCTTTTATATTTGGTTGTTTGTACTCTCAGAAGCAAGAGTCAGATTAGCTAAGCTTCAGCTATGTGCCCATCTCTGTGATGAGAGGACAGCATTCTAGGATCAACAGCCTGCCAACTCGTGGAAATGGGAAAGAGTAGGTCCTGAACATAAGGAAGAAATGCAGAGAGAGAAACCTCAGTGTCACAGTACTTCTAAGATCTACTGACCCATTGAGGCAGATGATGGAGGCAACCTGACCAATCCATGGAATAGCCTCTGGGTGTTTCTCTTGGCCATAGAATCTTGAACGCCCTGGCCTGTGACCAGTGCCAACCCATTGTAACCATATATATCTGACATTCTTTCTTGAAACCTCTCTGGTTTCTCCATGTTCATTCTTAAGTACGGTTGGTAAGACAAAGACTTTTGACTATTAAAATAAATGAGGGGAGAAAACTTTTTGACCTTTGCATATGGCTTTTCCTTTAATATAGATAATAATAATTACCTTTTCATATTTCTGATTTATCTGTTCATGAGAAAGATTTGCTCTGGGATGCTATTACATCTACTTGGTCAGACCCTTGCTTCATCCTGTTATTTTTTTATTTTGATATAGACATAATACTGTGCATTTGACCTTGTCGAATCTCATCTTCTTTTTAAGGACAGTTTTTCTAAATTTAAAAAGAGTCTATTTTACTCTTGCTTTCCAAAGTGCAGAAATGAGCAATTTTAGCTTTGTGCTTGTGTGATTCTTCCATTTCTCATATGACTCATCAGAAGCAGAAAGGTGTGATCGCTTAGAAAAGACAGTAGATTGGGGCCGGGCGCGGTGGCTCACGCCTGCAATCCCAGCACTTTGGGAGGCTGAGGCAGGCGGATCACAAGGTCAGGAGGTCAAGACCATGCTGGCTAACACGGTGAAACCCCGTCTCTACTAAAAATACAAAAAATTAGCCGGGCATGGTGGTAGGCGCCTGTAGTCCCAGCTACTCAGGAGGCTGAGGCAGGAGAATGGCGTGAACCCGGGAGGCGGAGCTTGCAGTGAGCCGAGATGGTCCCACTGCACTCCAGCCTGGGTGACAGAGCAAGACTCCGTCTCAAAAAAAAGAAAAGACAGTAGATTTAGAGACTGACCATCTGAGTTAAAAGTCCCAGCACTGTCACTTACAAGCAGGATGTGATTTGACTACAAGTGACTTAACGTTTTTGTTTTTGTTTTTGTTTTTGTTTTTTGAGACAGAGTCTTGCTCAGTTGCCAGGCTGGAGTGCAGTGGCACAATCTTGGCTCACTGCAACTTCTGCCTCTCGGGTTCAATGGTTCCCCCGCCTCAGCCTCCTGAGTAGCTGGGACTACAGGTATGCGCCACTATGCCCAGCTAATTTTTTGTATTTTAGTAGACATGGGGTTTCACTATGTTGGCCAGGCTGGTCTCGAACTCCCGACCTCAGGTTATCGGCCCACCTCAGCCTCCCAGAGTGCTGAGATTACAGGCGTGAGCCACCGCACCTGGCCACTTAACAGTTTTGAGCTTCTGTTTCCTTGTTTATAGAATCAGGACAACAATAGCATTTTGGCTGTGAGCTCCTCGAGGGCAGGGTTGTGGTTGTGAGGCACAAATAAGATAATAAAATGAAAATATTATTAAATGCATTGTGTAATCATTGTTACGACCATCACTGTCATCATTATTATCAGTACGGATTTTAGATAGTACCCAGGATTATTTCCTTTAGGACTCCGCACCATCAGTGCTGTTGTTGAAACTGCGACTCTTTCAAGCCAGGTGTTGGCTTCTCTAATGAGTATGCATGAGACTTGTCATGTGGAATACTACAAAAAGCTTCCAGAAACCAAAGTAGATTATAGCTATAATGTTCCCCTTATTCAAATGCCCTAAAAGAGACGAAAGTTAAATTGCCATGGTAGTTTGATCATCCCAGAACCGTAGTGTACCTCATCAGCTCCTTTTGAAGATGATTGTGGACTTAATATTATGTGTTCTCATGTTTTCTCAACTGGACAAATGACTAGAATTTCTGAGGACATACATCTCTTCTCTCTTGGCTATTTTCCAAGCCTGAGGGAAGGACTCCTGTACTTCGTGACTATATAGAAATTAGGGCTGCTGGTTCTGCAATTCTGTCTGCCAACCATGTCCCTTGTTTTTCAGCACATTATCAGGCTATGCAGTCTTGAACATGTAGATCCCAAGCAGCAAAACTAGAATTTTCAAAATAAATAAGAAAGGGGTTTGTATTATTATTACTATGTTGTAGAGACAGGACCTCACTTTTTTGTCCAGGCTAGTCTTGAACTCCTGGCCTCAAGTGATCCACCTGCCTTGGCCTCACAAAGCATGGGGATTATACACGTAAGCCACCTTGCCCAGCCAATAAGGGAATATTTTTAAACAGCATGTCATCATAGCAAGCTTCCCTTGTACATTAAAAGTTTGAAATGTTTAAAATGGATTTTAAAATGGACCTCCTCATGCTGGGTTTAGGTTGGCCTTTCATCGCAACGGGAACATACTCTATTTAAATGTTCACATTATTTTCTAAAAAGAGAAAAAGAAATTGTCTTTCATTTAAAATATTTTTCTTTTTATTCTTGGTATTAACAACTTTTTCTGGAACTGCTCAATATGCATGCGTGCCTGAGCGTGCGCGCGCGCGCGCGCACACACACACACACACACACACACACACACAGTTTTGTTTGTATTTTGTCATCATTGCTAAAAGACCCTCAATAGATCTTTCAGTCGTAATGCATGTGAGTTAACAGGTAGACTTTTTTATTTGGTCTCTCCATGTCCCCCGTCTCTCTTGTCTGTCTACTCTTACTCTGTTTCTAAGTATCTCACAAAATATTCCACAGTGGGCTAATTTCTAACCTGAACTTTAAATAGGCTAGCTGATGTTCAGTGCACATCAGCCTGTTGCCGCACAATGACTGTAGAACATGGCGTTGGCACTGCAAAGCATTGGTGGTGGCATTACTGTCTACTACAGCAAACTAAAACATGACCTACAATCTTGTGTTGCATTGTTGCCTTATGATGAATTTGATATAGTCCTTAGGCTTCAGCCAGCAACTCTAGCTGTCCTTTGTCATTCATTCATTCCAGCAAATTCTTAGTCTGCTACTGTTAGCAACTTTGCTTCAAGCCAGTAACCTTAAAGCTTATTCTCACCTTCATGCTCATCAGTGTTTTCCATACCAACTTTCTTCTGTTTTCCCATTCCCCCACCATAATTACACCCACTCTCAACCTCAGGTTTTCCCAGGAGTGGAGCTTGGCTCTACTAGGGATATCTGATGTATTAGTAACCGGCCACTGATGACCCATCTGGTGGCTGTCTCTAGCTGCCACTGGAACTGGAATCTCTGAGTTGTGTTTACTCAAGACCACATTAGCATTTCTTAGTTCTGCCTCTGCAGATAGCCTGAGCTGTGGGGCACAGGAAGGGGCAGCTACATTCCTTCCAGTGTCTATTCCAACACAGGTAGGCAATGGAGTTGGATTGCTCTGTATTCTTATCTTGACCCCACTATTTCCTAGCTGTCTAGCTTTAACTTTCCCAAACATCAGATTCCTCTTCTCTAAAGTGGAGACAGTAACAGTTCCTGTCTCTTAGAGTCCTTGGGAAGGTTTAAGTGGGCTAATGTGTAAAGTTGTAGCACAGTTATTGGCACTTGGTAAATAATGAATGATGGGACCCGTCTCCAGACTTGAATCACTTTGGGGCACCTGTAGATGGGGGAGAGGGCAGACTTAGTAGAGAAAATATGTGTGCTAAGTCTTAGAGGATAAGGAGTTAGCATCCCTTCCATCAGTGGATAAAGAAGAGAAGAATTCCTGGCAGCAGTATGACTAAGAAATAGATGACAGCATGATGTATCTGTGCACATACTTTACTGACTGCAGGGTGAAGTAAGATGGGGAGGCAAGAGGAGGGGAGGCAAAAAAGATGGCCAAGAGCAGATCACTAGAAGCCTTGTAGAGTCCATGGAGGAGTTAAAACTTGATCTCCCATCAGTCCCTGTATCCACATAGTCTGGTTCCTCTGTTAAGCAGTCACATAAATATCTTTAAGGCAGCAACAGTGAAAAGGGGAAAGAGAGCAGCGAATTGGCCTCAAATGAACTGGCATCTCTTTAAAGCTAATATTCCTCCTTGAGAATGCTACTTTAATTAAACATGTGCCCTGCAAGATTCATTATTGCCTTACTTGTGTTCTCTGTTGGTTGTCTCATTCATTAATCTGCCGATTAGTAACCCTGAACTCTTGCATCCCTTCCTTTTTTTTGCATTCCCTTTTTAATATACTATGCTGTTTCCCCTGGGACATAAACTCCAGGACCCGTCCCTGGCCTGCTCGTGTTTGTTTTCTTTGCCCCTTGTGCCTGCCTCTGCTATAATATTTGTAGTATGTGTTAAGTAATCCTTAAGGTAACATTTTTATTATGTCATAAAAAGTGCATGGCAAATATATTATAACTCATGGACTTTGTTTAAAAATGAACGGATAATTTATTGAGTGTGTTACATGAGCCTCACTCCCCTCCCCATTTCAGCTGAGACCTGCTGCTCATTTAGCCAAGCCTCCTATTGAGTGCTCCCTCCCTGTGACATGCTGGGAAAGCAGGCCTGTGGTTGGCTAGAGGTGACATCATAGTTTATGTACTCAATAAAAATTTAATTAAGTCATTACAGGAATTGCAGTCATCATTTAACCCTCTGATTTCTTCTGTTTAGTTTATTATTAAACATTCAGTAATACCAGTCACTGAATCCTGGTGGCTTATAAAATATCTGCATGAATTTTAATGGCTTAAATAAATGGGAAAATATGAGTAACTGATATAAAAGGAACCTTTTCCTTGTGGTGTTGTATGTATGGGTTTTTATGAAAAGCAAAGCATTATGGAAAGGATGAGTTTAATAAGAGAACGGCCCAACACTATCTGGGAGGAGTTTCTCTTCTGCTGGGTGCAGCTGTGTAGTCATGGGCAGAGTGCTCCATATAGAATGATCTGGCAGTGGAGAGGTGGGGAACCTGCACACCAGCAACCAAAAACTTAAATGAGGGAATAAAATCCAACAGGGATTCACCAGAGCGAATATCCTGCTCCCCTTGGCTGCTGGACTAGCTAGAAGGGCCCTGCCGAGTGAGTCCGGTAGTTGAGGAAGGTGCTGTCACTTGCCCTCACCTGTTGCCTGCAGATCACGTGTCTGTACTGATCTCACTTCCACCCTCTTCCAGGAAGGCCCCTTTTCATGATCTAATCCAGCCTGGGTGATGATATCTGAAAAGCATTTCTAGCTGTGGCAGTTTGCCATTGTCTCAGCTAGAGGTGAAGGGAGAGGCAGCTTACAGGTCACTGGAGTTAGAATATAGGACCAGGAAGTCAAGGAGCCTTGCTAGTAAGGAACTCTACTCTTGCACTCCGTTTTTCCTGGGCAGTAGCCAACCAGAATGCAGGTGTATCCCAAGAGGAGAAAATGTGTTTGTATGTTTGTGGGCCTTGCTGGAAAGCAAGAACTGAGGTTTGCAGATGAATGTGTTGATGATCTCTGGAAATGCCCTGCAGATGGTAAAGTAGGAAAAGCACTTACCCAGAAATCAGGTTCTAATCCTGGCTCTTATACTAACTTGATGTGTGATCTTGAATAAGTCTCTTCTTTCTGGGTTTCAGTTCACCCTTTCCTCAAGGGTATTGAGCTAGGTAATCTCTGAGGGCCCTTCCTGCTCCAAAGCTTAATGGTGTGATACATGACATAAACTAGCTCTGCTAGGCAGGTTCAGTGAATGTTTTCCTCTGAGAGATGCTCCTGCCTTACTGTTTGACACCTCTGATATCATCCGTTTGTGGCTGTGATTATTCCTAACACAATTAGGAGAACAACTCATGTGGGAGTAGGGAGATCCTCCAAGTATGGGTATCAGGAGGTCTGAGTTGTAGTCTCATCCTCACATGACAGAAGGAATGAACTCTAGCTCTGGCCTGTTTCTTGACTCTTCCCTTTACCCCTTTCTGGAAGATGGGACAGTAGAAGTTTGGCAGTATATGTTTCTGAAATTCCAGAAACACAGAAGGTATTCAACAGGGGGAAAGAAAGGCGAAGAAGAAGAAAATCCCCTAAAACACTAGTTGGATAGAACATGCTATGCATGGCGTAGTACACAGGCCCTTGTAAAAATTCAGTTACCAGCAAGCCTGTCTTAGCCCCTGCTCTGGGTTAGGCTCTGGACCAGATGATGGGGGTGCCGAGATTAATCAGACATGGTTCCTATGACCCTTGAGTAGCTCCCAGACTAATGGGAGAGACAGGTGCATAAGCAGCTCTAAACCACGTGTGTACCCAGGCAGAAAATATGCCCAGAGAGCTGTGAGAACACCAAGGATGGATGGCTAATGTAGCCCTGGTTGAAGGTGTGTGGGATAGGTCATGGTTTGCACTCCTAGTTACATCCAGTCTACATTTTCCAGCCTTGAGCTTCACAATCCTTTCATTTTTGAAAATTATCCATGGCTGTAAAGCATTGGAACTGGTTTTGGTTTTATGTAAACAAACCAGAAGTTATTACTTATAATTCCTTACATTTGCAGAGCATTCTGCAGTTTACCAAGGCTTTCAGCATACATACATTATTAAATTAATGAATGAATGCATGCTAACTCACGTGCTCTTCCAAATAGCCCTGTGTGTAGGAAAGGGGCCGGGCGCAGTGGCTCACGCCTGTAATCCCAGCACTTTAGGAGGTCGAGGCGGGCTGATCGCCTGAGGTCAGGAGTTCGAGACCAGCCTGGCCAACATGGTGAAACCCCATCTCTACTAAAAATACAAAAAAATTAGCCAGGTGTGGTGGCAGGTGCCTGTAATCCCAGCTGCTCGGGAGGCTGAGGCAGGAGAATCGCCTGAACCCGGGAGGCGGAGATTGCAGTGAGCTGAGATCATGCCGCTGCACTACAGCCTGGCCAAGAGAGCGAGACTCTGTCTCAAAAAAAAAGGAAATGGGCCGGGCGTGGTGGCTCATGCCTGTAATCCCAGCACTTTAGGAGGCCGAGGCGGGTGGATCACGAGGTCAGGAGATCGAGACCATCCTGGCTAACACGGTGAAACCCCGTCTGTACTAAAAATAGAAAAAATTAGCTGGGCATGGTGGCGGGCACCTGTAGTCCCAGCTACTTGGGAGGCTGAGGCAGGAGAATGCTGTGAACCCGGGAGGCGGAGGTTGCCGTGAGCCAAGATCACACCACTGCTCTCCAGCCTGGGTGACAGAGCGAGACTCTGTCTCAAAAAAGAAAAAGGAAATGGACTCAGGTTGACTTGCTTAAGATAACATCCTGTGTACATAGCAAAACTATCACTTGAACCCAGGTTTTCTGAGTCTAAATCCAGATCACCCTTTCTACATTTCTTCCGAGACTAGTTATGAGCCACAGGATAAAATCACTCAGTCTTTGATTTGTGACCCAAAGTAAAATTATCCTCCCAGAAGCAGAACCCTGGCAGACTGTAAGGAGTGTGGACTCTGGATTCAGACTGACCTGGATGCTGATCTCAGCTTTATCATGAATTTGCTGTGTGACACAAGGCATCACTTCACCAGTCTGAGTCTCTCACACAGTCACTTACAGTCTGAGTGACTGTAACACATCTACCTCCCAGCCCATGACAGGTGCTTCGTAAATGAGATGACTGTGGGCATGGTCACCGTCAGAGTTGTTAAGCACAAATCTTGTTCTCCACATAAAGTTCCAAATGCCTTTTGGCTATTTCCAAAACCATCAGTTCAGATAGTCAGAGTCCTTACTCTGTGCTATACATTGCACTGGCTTTCTGCTGGGATCCTGAAGAGGAATAAAACGTGGACCCTGCCTTACAGCGTGTTACTGTCTGGAGGTCAGAGTTGTACCCTATTGAAGGCATTCAGCGAACTGCACTCTGGGCCCTGAAGATCCTCCAGGCCAGGCTGTTCCCCAAGAGGAGAGAGGAGTTCTACTGGGCTCTCAACCATCTCACCAGAATTGCATTTCTAAAACAGTCTCTGAGTTTTTGTTTGTTTGAGACAGGCTCTTGTTCTGTTGCCCAGGCTGGAGTGCAGTGGCGCGATCCTGGCTCACTGCAGCCTCGGCCTCCCAGGCTCAAGTGATGCACCTCAGCCTCCCAAGTAGCCGGGACTACAGTCATGCACCACTATGCCAGGCTAATTTTTGTATTTTTTTGTAGGGATGGGGTTTCGCCATGTTGCCCAGGCTGGTCTCAAACTCCTGGGCTCAAGCGATCTGCCTGCCTTGGCCTCCCAAAGTGCTGGGATTACAGGCATGAACCACTGCCCAGCCAAAATGATCTCTTAACTTTAACATTCTTCTTGCTTCAGAGCTGCCCCTGCTTTGTTCTTCCCTCCTTTCCATGGCCTCAGAGGCCCCCCTTTTTCCTCAGCATGTCTCTCAGAGTCCTGCCTCTCTCCCTCCTCTTCCCACCTCTGACCACTTCCTTCTCTGTTTTTTCATCACGACAAACTCTTTTGAGTGGCCCTTAAGATGTCTCCTAACCTAGTCTCAACATAACTTTCTTGTGATCCTGCCTATTCACCCTCCCTGACACCCTCCCTGCGCCATTTTCTTTCCAGCCTCTGCACCTTTGCACACCTTGCTCTGTCTAGAATGCTCTCTCTCCCTCCTCCCCCTCACTCTCCTCTGTCAAACTCCTCCTCCTCCAAGTTTCACTTAAATGTTACCTCCTAGAGAGCCCTTACCAGCTCCCTCAAGCAGGTAAAACTAAAACCCATTTATCACTCAGCATGTTTAGAATAGGATTTGAGGCAACATGTTGCAGTATAATTATTTTTTATATGCCTATTTTCCTACATTGGACTGTGCTCCTCCAATCAAGAAACTGTTTCTTATACTTGGTTCATAGGATCTAGCACAAAACTAAACATGTGGTTGGGGCTCAGTTCATTAAGCTGACTTGTGTAATTTGAGATCAAAACCTAAAAGAATTTGGCAAATTGGGGAGAATCCTGACACATCAGGGAATTGAGAATGGACTGGCAGCTTGACTTGTTAGTGGCCGTCTCTCTTCTACTAAGAGTCTGTGACAGCTAAGAGTCAAAGATCATACTTTTTGGGTTTTTTTCTTTCTTTCTTTCAAACTTTTGTTTTTGCCATTTGTTTCTGTAGGTTAATCCCTATATCCTGAAGAAGAACATGATCCTCATGACAAATCATTTCTATGCAGCGATCTTGGGATATGATGAGGTAAGATTGTTTGCCAAGGCTTAGGCAGGACGGTGGCCTCCCCCAGCAAAGGCTTTTGATGAGAGCCTCTGAGGGAAGCCACAGGGACCATTGTTACTGGCTACCACCATGGCGTAGTATTTATTTCTTCATATTCATCAACTGGGCAGCGAGAATGAATGTGCTGAGCATGTTTGGGAAACATGCCACATGTTTGGGAAAGAAAGCAGTATATAATATGGTCAAACCATTCAACTAGTCAGCATTTGTTGAGTGGCTGCTGGGTGCTGGATGGAGGGACAGAGGCAAATGAGACACTGTCTTAGCCCCATGTGCTCCCAGAGAGAGGAGGATATTCACGTAAACAGCATGGTCTGCCAGGCAAAGTATACACTTTTTTTTTTTTTTGCTTTAATTATGAAAGCAATACATATTCATTTTGAAAGTTTGTAAAACTGGCTGGGCGCAGTGGCTCCCAGCACTTTGGGAGGCTGAGGTGGGCAGATCACTTGAGGTCAGGAGTTCGAGACCAGCCTGGCCAACATGGTGAAACCCCGTGTCACTAAAAATGCAAAACTTAGCCGGGTATGGTGGTGGGTGCCTGTAATCCCAGCTACTCTAGAGGCTGAGGCAGGTGAATCGCTTGAACCTGGGAGACGGAGGTTGCAGTGAGCCGAGATCATGCCTCTGCACTCTAGCCTGGGTGACAGAGTGAGACTCCGTCTCAAAAAAAGATAAATAAATAAAAATAAAAGTTTGTAAAGCTGTACATAAGTGGTTGAAATAGAAATCAGAAGACCTGGCCAGGCATAGTGGCTCACGCCTGTAATCCCAGCACCTTGGGAGGCCGAGGTGGGTGGATCAGCTGAGGTCAGGAGTTTGAGATCAGCCTGAAACCCCGTCTCTACTACAGATACAAAAATTAGCCAGGCATGGTGGCATGTGCCTGTAATCCCACCTGCTTGGGAAGGTGAGGCATGAGAGGCGGAGTCTCTTGAACCTGGGAGGCGGAGACTGCAGTGAGCTGAGATTGCGCCACTGCACTCCAGCCTGGGCAACAGAATGAGACTTGGTCTCAAAAAAAATGAAATTAGAAGACCTATTTCCTACCCTGCTCCAGACGAAAACTTAATTTCTAGTTTATTGGATGTCCTTCCGAATGTTGTCTGTGCATAGACAAGCACCTTTGTCTTTTCCTTCTTTATGCAACTGGAGTTACACTAGACACATGATTCTGCAACTTGCTTTTTTCACTGAAGTATGTATCTTGGGTGTCCTTCCACATCAGGACATTTGGATCTATCTCATCTTTTTTTTTTTTTTTTTTTTTTTTTAGACAGAGTCTTGCTCTGTCACCCAGGCTGGAGTGCAGTGGCGCGATCTCTACTTACCACAAGCTCCACCTCCCAGGTTCACGCCATTCTTCTGCCTCAGCCTCCTGAGTAGCTGGGACTACAGGCGCCTGCCACCACACCCGGCTAATTTTTTGTATTTTTAGTAGAGACAGGGTTTCACCGTGTTAGCCAGGATGGTCTCGATCTCCTGACCTTGTGATCTGCCCGCCTCGGCCTCCCAAAGTGCTGGGATTACAGGCGTGAGCCACCACGCCTGGCCTCATCTTTTTAAAAAAATTGTAAAATATACATATCATAAAATGTACCATTTTAACTATTTTTAAGTGTACAGTTTAGTAGCATAAAGTACATTCCCATTGCTTTGCACCGTCACCACCATTCATCTCCAGAGCTTTTCCATCTTCCAAACTGAAACTCTGTCCCTATTGAACAATAATTATTCCCTCCTTCCCTCATATCCCCTAGCAACCACCATTCATTTGACTTTATGTCTCTATGAATTTGACTACTGTAGATAATTCATATAAGTAGAATCACACAATTTTTGACCTTTTGTGACTGACTTATTTCACTTAACATAATGCCCTCGAGGTTCATCTATCTCATCTTTTTTCTCCCCAACATTTATTGTGGAGATTTCAAGCATGTAGAAAGAATGGTGTAATGAACACCTGATATTTTAAACTAACCATATGCTTTTATACTGATTTTGTGGTTACCTCCAGATTTAATGCAAGCATGACCCCTCCTGGGAAGCGGTTCCTGAACTTCCTGTGACTCAGCTCATTCCATCCTCCCTGCACTCTCACAGTGCTTACTACATTCACATTATCTGTCACCTTGGCTGGGTGGGGATTTCTTTTTGGGTAGTGCAATGCCTACTGTGTTTGCATTTCTGTGGCCTGGCATAGTGCTTGGCATGTGGTAGTCAAAGAGTGAGAAATGCATAAAAGGACAAAAGTTAAGAAACTGGAGTTCAGTTTCTTAACTTTTGTTAAAATAGGGTCTCCTGATTCCTATTCTACTGGATATCCTGAATTACAAGGGAGCATTTACATTGCATACTATACACATCATTAACTTAACATGAGCTTTCGGGGGTTATGGGTTGGGAATTGAGAATTATTGCTCAAGTGTACATATCAATTATAAAAGTGGACGAATTGTAATTGTAGAAGCCTTACAATATAGAAAAGGATGAGGCTTAGGAGTGAAGAACTACACCTCTCTGTGAGCCTTTGTTTATGGTCTTTATTGCAGGTGGCTCTATTGGCTCAGTCGATCCTTTCATCAGTATTAATAAAAATGTACCGAATTGTGTTTGTTTCCGGTCCCCCATCCAGTCCATTCTGGCAGAGCCATTTTACCCAACTGTGCCTGACCACAGGAGTCACCTGGGGTGCTTTTAAAATCTAAATCTTTATCACCTCTCTGAAGATTACAATTCAGTAGGAGTGCTGCCTGGTGGTTCAACAAGTCACCCGAAGGTGACTTTTAAGAGCAGGAAATTTTGGGGAAATATACTAATTACCTGGGACACTTTTTAGAAATATCAGTGTCTGGGCCCTGTCCCCCAAAGATTCTGATTTAATTGGTGGAGGTGGACATCTGTAGTTGTAAAAGTTCCCAGGTGATTTTAATGTGCAATTCTAGAAGTTTTTCCTGTATTTTAATGTGCATGTGAGTCACCTAGAGGACCTAGGTACAATTCAGATTCTGACTCAGCAAGTCTGGGGCGGGGCCTGAGATTCTGCATTGCTAACAGCTGCACGTGATGGGGGTGCAGCCATTTTGCAGACCACACTTGGAGTCACAAGGTGCTAGAGCTATTTGATACTAAACACATGCAGCTATTTTAATTTAAATTAATTAAATAAAATGGAAAATTCAGATCCTCAGGTACTCAGTTACTATATGTGACTACCATCTTGGACAGTGCAGATACAGAACAGTTCCATAGTCACAAAAAGTTCTATTGGACAGCGCTGTTCTACAGCAACCTTTTCCTAGAATCTTGCTTGGATTGTTCCCCCTCCCTGGACGCTTTGGGAACCTCCCTGTTTTCTGTGACATTAGGTCCAAATTGCTCCCTGAACTTCCAGGCCTTCTGTGAACTGTTGCCATTGCTATGTGCCCTATCTGCCTTTATATTTCTTGTGCTCTCTCTTAGGCCGTTTGCCTTACTGCCCTATAGACATGCTGTGCCTGACTGAGACTCTACCTAACAATGAGGGGTTGAGGGCAGTAGCTGAGTCTTGGTCAGCTTTAGGGTCTGGTTCAGGGCCTGGTGTACCTTGTAGGCACTCCCTCTGTAAATATTTTGAATATTTTCTCTTGCTTAGAATAATCTGCAGCTGGCCAGGCACAGTGGCTCACGCCTGTAATCCCAGCACTTTGGGAGGCCGAGGTGGATAGATCACGAGGCCAAGAGTTCGAGACCAGCCTGACCAACATGGTGAAACCCCGTCTCTACTGAAAAAAAAAAAAAAAAAAATTAGCCCGGCATGGTGGTGGGCGCCTGTAGTCCCAGCTACTCGGGAGGCTGAGGCAGGAGAATGGCATGAACCCAGGAGGTGGAGCTTGCAGTGAGCTGAGATCACGCTACTGCACTCCAGCCTGGGTGACAGAGCGAGACTCCATCTCAAAAAAAAAAAAAAAAATCTGCAGCTTTCCAAATCTTCCCAATTTTTTTTTTTTTTTTTTTTTTTTGAGACAGAGTCTCACTCTGTTGCCAGGCTGGAGTGCAGTGGCACAATCTCAGCTTACTGCAACCTCCACCTCCCGGGTTTAAGGGATTCTCCTGCCTCAGCCTCCTGAGTAGCTGGGACTAGAGGCAGGCGCCACCATGCTTGACTAATTTTTTTTGTATTTTTCGTAGAGACAGGGTTTCACCACGTTGCCCAGGATGGTCTCGATCTCTTGACCTCGTGATCCACCCACCTCGGCCTCCCAAAGTGCTGGGATTACAGGCGTGAGCCACCACACCCGCTAAATCCTCCCAATTCTTAAAGGCCTACTTCTTCAGAAAGGTTTCCCTGACCTCTCTGGATCGCTTGTGTTTTTACTGTGAATTTCCACACCCATCCATCTATTCATTATCCATTTAACAGGTAGCTTTTGAGTGTCTACCATGTGTGATACATGGGAATATATTGGTGAATAAAACAAACACGGTCTGGCTCTTTCCCACTAGAGCTTACCTTCTAATTGAGAGACATAGTAAACAAGTAGCAGATAAGCAGTAAATATCTAACTACAGTAGAGTGCAGTGAGAGAGAACAACAGGGGGAATGACTTGATGTGGACCAGGAAGATCTCTCTGAGGAGTTGTCATAAAAGCTAAGACTGTAGAACAAGGAGGCAGCCATGTAGAGTGTAGCTGAGTCTCACTGTGCAGCTTGGCATGTGTTCATTCTCCGGGATTTTACTCTGTGCTGCTGTTAGATGTGCACTGATTTTGTCCCTTCAGCTAGATTGCAAGTTCCCTGAGAGCTCAGACCATATTGCTGTGACTCTTGTGTTCCTAGCATCATGCTGAGCACATAGTGATGTCAAATCAATCTTCACTGAGTGGAACTCTGCCACTTTAAACCCTTAATCAGAACTAGAACCCTCCAAAGCTGAAACAATCCCCTTGGCTTCCTCTCAGTTACTCTAGACCTAGGTGTCTTAATTTCTGAAGGATGCTTCATTGTGTCACGAGGGAAAACAAGTAGGCACCCGATTAGATTGGGGGGAAATTATGCTGTGCCCTCATGTTTGGTTCCCAGGACCCTTCTTCCAGTTCTGCTTTCTTAGTTTGAAATGTGCACCCTCAGATTAGTCTCTCATTTGTTTTCACTGCCTTACACTAGCAGTGTGGTGGGAAGAAGGCTGAAGTTGTGTTCGTTGATTTATTCAGCTATTCTTTTTTTTTTTCCTAAGACAGGGTCTCACTCTGTTGCCCAGGCTGGAGTGCAGCAGTGTGATCACAGCTCACTGTATCCTCAACCTCCCCAGGCCCAGGTGATCATCCCACCTCATCCTCCCGAGTAGCTGGGACTACACTTGTGTGCCACCATGCCTGGCTAATTTTTATATTTTTTTGTGGAAACAGTTTCGCCATGTTGTCCAGGCTGGTCTTGAACTCCTGGGCTCAAGTGATCCACCCAGCTTGGACTCCCAAAGTGCTGGGTATTCAGCCATTCTGATTGCTCTCCCACTCTATGCCAGGTTCTGTATTCTGACTAGAGTGGGTCAGTCATCATCCCCCACCTCATCAATGCATGCTGGTTCTAGTTCAGCCATCAGTTAGCTAGCCTCTAAGCCTCAGTTTACTTATCTTTCAAATGGGGATATAGGCCAGGTGCGGTGGCTCACGCCTGTAATCCCAGCACTTGGGAGGCCGAAGCAGGCAGATCACTTGAGGTCAGGAGTTCGAGACCACCCTGGCCAACATGGTGAAACCCTGTCTCTACTAAAAATACAAAAAATTAGCCGGGTGTGATGGCACATGCCCGTAGTCCCAGCTACTTGGGAGGCTGAGGCAAGAGAATCACTTGAACTTGGGAGGCAGAGGTTGCATTGAGCCAAGATCATGCCACTGCACTTCAGCCTGGGTGACAGAGTGAGACTTCATCTCAAAACAAAACAAAACAAAGCAAAGCAAATGGGAATATAATATCTATTCTACTTGGCAAACATAATCATTAGGAGCTAGGCGTGTGAGGGAACCCTAACAGTCTGAAACAGTTGGGTTGTTCTCACTATTAGTGGGTCCTGAGTCATCCTTTTCCTTCTGATGGCTCAGGAATTCCTGATTATGAATTTGCCCCTTCCCAGCCATCTCACCCGCTGCTAAAGTTGCCTGTTTTCCCATCCTGGGCTCTGCCCATTCTCCAGGTCCCCATAACACGCGCTCCCAATCCCATTCCTTTCTGCACAGCACATGTGGGTTGCTGCCAGCAGCGCTCTGGCATGTGCCCAGGCACAGCAGACACAGGCACGCTGTTGTGCTAGCAAATCGTTTGCAGAAGGGTGATGTGCCTGAGCTTGTCCTCTGCTCCTGTCCCCATGTGCCAGAAAAAGCCAGTTTTCCTGACTCAGCCATTGTGCCAGGACAGTCCTAAGCTGTGGAACCGTAAGGAGGGTTTATCAGAGAGCATTTGGAACAGGTGGAATGTTTTTCTACCAAACTGTCAGCACCCCATACTGGACATGGCCCTTGTTGGCAGCAGGCCTGGAGCCAGACCTCACATACCACAATGCCCAAGAGGACAGACCACAATAAAATGTCGAATAAAGTGATCCTGGGTCTTTGGGTAATGTTTACCACTTACAGAGCCATTCATGGCCAGTATCTCTTAATTCTCACAGCAACTCTGTGGGATAGGTATTATTAGGCTTGTTTGACTCATGAAAAACTGAGGCTCAGGAATGGCTAATAGCTTCTTAAAGGCCGCATGGCCATCAAGTGACACAGCTGGCATTCGAACTCTGTGCTCTGGCTCCCAGACCCCACGGTTTTGACTGTATCCCCGCTGTCTGCCAAAGCATGCTCCTAATCTTTGTATCCAACAGATTACACTTAACAAATAGTTCAAGAATGCTATAAGTAGAGCAGGTAACTTCATCTGTTTTGAAGAAGTAGAAGATTGAGACTTTGGTTTAGTCAGCTGCCACCATCACTGATCTTGGCAGAGGTGGAATTAGGACTTGATCTCCCTTCTAACTCCAAGTCAGCACATCGATTCCACACACTACCTTGGCACCTGGACAGAGCAACTTCTCAGGGCCTGTTCCATCAGCCACCTTCACCCCAGGAAGCAAGACTCTCAGCCCTCCCTCCTCTAGAGGTCCAAGCTAGAAAATGTCCTTAGCTGGTGGCTGGGGCTCTTATTTTGCTCTGTAATCTTTAAGCTTCCCAACAGAAGTCTCCTCTGCCAAAAGAGGCAGCGTTAGGCACACACACACATGCAAGCTCTGAGCCTGGCCCTCTGTGGCCCCAGCAATCCTGCTGAACATCCTGTTCCCCTACTTAGGGAGAGGCTGGGCCCAGAGTTGGGTAAGAGTGAAGACAAGGTAGCTGGCTCCCTTCCCCCAAGGACCAGTTGCCTTGCCTTGGTCCTTGGACCAAGCAAGAAGGCACAGTCCATGCCCACCTCCATTCCTGGGAGAAACATACATTCACAATATTCCCAGCCCGTGCCCTGTGGACAGCAGGGGGAGCATTGCTGCTATGGACAGCAGGGGGAGCATTGCTGCTACTGTTTCTCTTCTCAGCCTCTCAAGTGTTGCCTGGGCCAGGCGCAGTACGGAGTACTGCCTGAGTCCCAGCTCTGCATCACCTAACTGGTGGCTTGGCCCCTCTGGACCCCCTGTTCTCCCTCTGTATGTAATAAAATGAAGGGATTGGGCCAGATACCCTTGTAAGACCCCTTCCACCTCTACTGTGTGACTGCCCCATTTTCCTCTTGTGCGTGGAGGGCCCTTCTGAGCTGATTCCATGGTTGCTAGCATGTTCATAGTATCCCCACCGTCTGTGTCCTGGCTCTGTGGATCCCTCAGGAGACCACTGCTGTGCTGTATGTTCCAGGGGATCCTTTCAGATGATCATGGGCTGGCCGCTGCCCTCTGGAGAACCTTCTTCAACCGGAAATGTGAAGACCCTCGACATCTTGAATTGCTGGTAGAGTATGTGAGGAAACAGGTGAGTGACCCTTTCCCTCCCCTCCCAAGTCCTGGCAACAGTGGGTCCTCCTCTTGGGCTTTCAGGGGATCATGAGAGGTGGAGTTACCAAGGACCAGCCTGAGAGAATTCTGACCAGATCACATCAGCACTAGACGCTGAAGAAGGAGCGCCTTCTGTATGTCCAACCATGAACTGGGCCAGGGAGCGGGAAATGGGAAGAGAGAGAGAAAGAGGCATCGAGTAGTCTCCTGCCCTCAGGAACTTTGAGTCATTCATTCACTGTGCACCTCATTGCCTACTGTGCGCCCAGTGCTATGCTAGCAGCTGGGCCCACAGAGTCCTGGCAGATATGAGCACGTGGTGTAGTAGCAGCTGCCCACTGTGGACCCCTTCTCTACCCACTTGGATTTGTTTCCTGCTCCTGACTTCCAGCAAAACTGGGCAGCAGGCAGCATTTCACAGACAGCCTCTTCCTGCTAGATGCTCTCCACAGTCAAGTAGAGTCCCCCCACTTCAGTTTCTCACCCCTCTGGCTCCCCAGGGCTCCCCGACATCAAAGCTTCTACGAGAAAGCTCCGCAGTGGGGGCTGCTTACCCACATAGCTGTCCTCAAGCCCCGGGGAATTAATTCCTTGACCTCCCTGCCCTCAGATCCTGTATTGATGGGAAACTCATACTTGATAGATGAGTGAGCTGACTGGCAGCGAAGAGGACATAGAGGCTCTTCCAGGGCCTCCCAGTGAGTCAGCCTGCACAGCTGCCCTAGGGCCCCAAGCTGTGTGATTCATGTGACCACTGAGGCCTCAGCTGCCTCAGACAGCTCAGGCTGTGCCATGAGTCACACCTTTGCTTCATGGCCTGGCCCCTGGAGCTGAAGGGGTGTCACGCCACAGTTACTCTCTTGTTCACTTGTATTCATGGTCTTCAACAACCAGGAAAGGCAAGGCTGGACTTCAGCTCTTGAGAAGACAGGGCCCATAGGACTAGCTTGTTAACTGCTGGAAAAACCACATACTGGGGCTCTGCAGACCCACAGGGTAGAGAATCCCAGGAGCCAGGACTTCTGTTTGACCACTCTTCAAATCTGCTAGAGCCAGGGAGAGGGCACGGCATGGCCAGAGGGCCCCACTCACAGAGAATTCTGATACTCTGTTGACTGGACTCACCCTCAGACGGGAGTAGCAATTCGCAAAGCAAATGCTGTGTTTTCTGAGAGACCTGCCCAACATTTCCATCTGCCATGGTGGGCTTGTGCCAGAAGCCCCAACAAGACACACTGGGACTTCTCCGAGGGCCCTCTAGGAAGGGGCTGCCACAACCATTGTCCCTACAAGAGGTCCCATGTGGCCCCAGTGAGAGGCAGTGGAAAAACCGTGAAGGGGTTCTTGGGAAAGCAGGGAGCTTTGGTGGGGACCCAGTTCTATCAGCAAACCTTTTGAGCACCTGCTGCTCCATGTACTCTTGGGAAAGCAACGATTAATAAGACCCAGTCCTGCCCTCGAGGAGCCAGCTCATGGTTTGGTGAGGAAGCCCAGGCACACGGCTAACCCTGGAGTAAGCCAGCCTGTTATGTGATACAGGGAGGGCAGAGTGCTGAAGGCCGGGAAAGGAAGAGCAGGAGCTGGGCCTTGAGCAGACTGTTTGGTGTGGCCGATGGCCCAAGAGCCAACCAGAGGTTCTGTTGAGATTTTCAACCCAGGAGGTGGGCAGAGGGGTGGCACTGGGGGCAGAAATGGAGTCACTGTAAGGGAGGAGTGGGCTTTAGGGAAGAGATGGCAGGGCAGGTGGGAATCCAGAGCCAAGACACGTGCGAGAGGCTGGGGTTGAGTTCAAGCGTCAGCAGCTGGAAGCGGAAGCAACCAGAGTGGTGGATTCTTGGAAGGGGGAATGACCTAAAGCCTAAGATGAAGTCTCCTGGCCCTGCAGCAGTGGCTTCTCTGGATGATGACCATTTTAATGGCAGAGCTGTCTGCCCCTACTGTCCTAGAGAGGTGATACTGGGGCCCACTGACCAGGGGCCCACTAGAGGACAACAGAGGCATACATATGTTTAAAGCGTGAGTGCCTAGCACTGCATATATGCATATTGTTGAATCTCTTCATGTGTCCTGTGAGGTACCTGTTTCTATCCCCTCTCTCAAGACAAGGGAACTTAAATCTCAGAGAGGGGAAGCTGCCACCCTGGGTAGCAGCACTGGGAAGGGACAGAATCAGGACTCTCACCCAGCAGTGCTGGGGTGGACAGCATGGCTGTGTGCGCTGCAAGCCCTGACTTCCTGGCCTGCAGGAGCTGTCTAGGGAGGGCGTGTAGGGGAGACGTGTCCTTGGGAGGTGTGTGTCTGTCTCCATTCAGAGGTGTGATAGGGAATTCCCTAACTGCCCCCGCCACCCAGCTCCCCAGTGACTGCTTTCTCTGAACCACCTTAGTGAAATTATCTAGGAGATCAGAGACGGCTTGGCCTGGGACGGCTTGGTCTGGGACCTGGGATGGTCAGAAGCCCCCCTCATGCCCCGTCCCCTTCCTTCCTCTCCTCTGGGAGGCTGGTTCCTGACGCTGGCTCCTCACCTCTGCCCTGCCTCTGTCGCTTCCTCCTTCCCCCTCCCCTGGTTGCAGATACAGTACCTGGACTCCATGAACGGGGAGGATCTGCTTCTGACAGGGGAGGTGAGCTGGCGCCCTCTAGTGGAGAAGAATCCTCAGAGCATCCTGAAGCCCCATTCTCCGACTTACAACGACGAGGGACTTTGATGGGCTGGGCCCTCCGCACGGCCCGCCAGCTGGCTTCGAGGAACCTCCAGGAGAGAAGTGCCTGTTGGTCCAGGACCCTGCAGAAAGTGGCCTGAACTGACCTCTGAACAGCATCTGTCAAATACCTGGCCCCATTTGTGTTGAGTTTCCTCTTAGTGTGCCCAGGAGTCTGATCTGCTGGGGTACAGGGCTGGGAGAACCCCTAGCTCTCCCGGGGTGTCCTCTCCCTTAGGGGAAGCCCCGAGTGAGAGTCCCCCAGCACACACTCCCCAACCCCCTCCAGCAACTACATGTGACTGATAGCTTTTCCCAAAGGCCAAGGAAGGGATGGTGTAGGTTCAAAAGGGAAACCCCCCAGGGCCTGCTGTGGCCTAGGAGCAGATTGTAATGCTGCCGAGTCCGGTCGGTGACCACGCGTTGTCCCTCGGCTTTCAGCCATGGGGTTGAGTTGGCCATTAAAAGAAACAGAGACTTCTCTCTGCCATGGCCCTTCTTTATTCCAGGGACTTAGAAACTTGCCTGAGATGGTGGACGCAGTAATGAGGGCACCGCGCAGCTCAGTTAGAGACGGAGAAAGGGAAGAGGCTGGGATGGTCTCTGCTGCTCTTGCCTCTAGTTCATGGAGATGTGTCTCTGTTCAGGCCAAGATACAGCCAGCCAGGCCTGTCGTCTGGGACCCAGGAGGCCTCTGATGACCAAGGGCTTTCACATCCTAAGTCATTTGGAAGGAGGCCTTGAGAACAAAGTCACCTTTGTCACTCCCAGTGAACTGAATGAGGAACATGCTGTCTCCTGTCTTGGCCTCCCCTTTCATGAGATACTGGGGAGAAGAGAACATTCCTCCTGGCTTAGTTGTAGCAGACCCAGACCTGTGCCCAGCTTTGGTCCCCCTTCCCAACTTCTGAAGCACGTGCTGCAGAGCCACCTTGGTCTGAGCACCTGAGGACCAGCCCCTCCTCCCTCAGTGCGGGTCATCTCTTGGGGGATTTTCTTAAAGTGAAGAAAGGGGGTGGGGAACCATATTGCCCCTCCCTCCCCCATCAAACTTCCTTCATTTAACTTGCTATAAAATGAGTCATATAAAGAAACTCTATATGGGTGAGGTATATCCCACTTCTGTGAAAACATTACAAATCAAACCGCTTCTCTCAGTTTATTTAAGATGCTTTTGTTGCGAGCGGAGCTCTAGAGTGAAGCCTCCTGTGTGTGTGTGAGATAATAACACCTTGTAACTCATTACAGCTGGGCACTATTTACATAAACCAGAGCTGAGCCAGGCAGGAATTTGCTGATTAATTTATTTTTAATGGAGTGAAGTATACCATGCACCAAAATAAACTTTACTGTGTGTACCTAACTGCTCCTGGAATGGATGGAAAAATTAATGGAACAGATTTTGGCTCCCAACTCTACACATTAATTCATATATAAAAGTTATTTGAGCTTTAACCCATTTGCTGCCCAGGGTAGCTCCCCAGCCACAGATCCCAGCTCATGGCACCAGTTCAGCTACCGGGCTTGCTTTAGAATCCTGGAAGCTCAGATTTGGAAGGAACTTGAAAGGTCATTTGGTCCAGCCCTGGTCCAGAACCTGACTCCCCTTCTTAGCATCCCAGTCAGCCAGTGTTCATGCAGGCCCTGGGTGAGTCCCTCCAGCATCTGATGGTCCCTGCCTACAGAGCTAGTCCTGTCTGCTCAGGAGTTTGTCGTCGTGCAACACAGCAACTTGCAGTATGGAGCTGCCTTTGAAGGAGCCAGATTGGATCTATCGTGTCTGATGTTGGTGAGCCCTCACTTCTTGGCCATCAGCACCTTTCCCTGACTCTGCCAATCCCCCTCCCCTTAAGATCTATTCCAGGTTCCTTGGAGGCTACCCTTATTCTTGGTTTGGCCACTGCCTCCATTCCTGTTTTTATGAGTCTACCCATCTCTTCTCTGAGCACACTGAACCTCTTGGGGTTACCTGGAGAGATCATGCTATGTGTCCTCTACCTAGAACCTTTGTCCCTCCCTCTCCTGTCCCCTCCAGGTACAGTCACGATATCCGTGCTGCTCCCCACGTGGTTCTCTGCTCTGGAGCACTTACCTTTTTATTTATGTAGAGACAGTTTCTCACTATGTTGATCCTCCCACCTTGCCCTCCCAAAGTGCTAGGATTATAGGCATAAGCCTCCACACCTAGCCCTGGTAACACTTACCTTACCATGTTAAAATGATTTTTTTACCCACCTCCTACACTGTACTGTGAGCTGCCTCAGCGTGGAGTGGACACTGTGTTTGTGTTGGTCACTGTTGTTTTTCCAGTGCTCAGCCAAATGCCTGATTCATGATCAGCATCAGTGTATACTTGGATAAATGAAAGAATGAATGTGTGACTAAATCACCAAGTGTTATCAATACAACCCCAACCAAAAAGCCCCCTTCTGGACCATTCTCAGTGTGACCCATACAGTTTCACTTATTTTAGCGACTTAATATTGAGCACTCCCTTTGGTCTTAGCATAGGAACCAAAATGGAAAGTTCTTTCCATAGCTAAATGCTTTTCTAGTGTAACTCATTATTGTACAAAACAAGTGAAGGACACAATTTCTTGCCTTCAGGGAGACTGCTCTGTAGGAATGATTTTGTCATTTATTAATATTTGTATTCTGTATTCTTCCAGAAAAGATCACAGCAGATTAAGAGACACAGTTTGTAATAAAATTGTAGGCTGGGTGCAGTGGCTCATGCCTGTAATCCTAACACTTTGGGAGGCCGAAGTGGGCGGATTGGTTGAGTCCAGGAGTTCAAGACCAGCCTGGGCAATACAGTGAGACCCTGTCTCTACAAAAAGTTAGCTGGGTGTGGTGACATGAGCCTGTAGTCCCAGCTACTCAGGAGACTGAGGTAGGAGGATCACCTGAGCCCAGGAGGTGGGGGTTGCAGTGAGCTGAGATCATGCCACCACACTCCAGCCTGGGCAACAGAGTGAGACCCTGTCTCAAAAAAAAAAAAATCCTTAAAGTTTGAAAGATCAGATCCAGGTATTGGGAGGGAAAAAGAGGGAAAATAATTATGTTGGAAAACCTGGACTGCTAATGAGCAACTTTCATATGACTTTTTTAAAATTTTATAAAATACTGTAAATGCATTGTCTCACAACAATCAGGTAAAACAGGTATTGCCCTCATCATTTTTATTATCCCTTTAACACAAGTGAGGGGACTGAAGCTTAGAGGGGCCTAGAGAAAGAGTGATCGAGGATAAGAAGGGGCCAAGAGTGCTCCAGCCCACGACAGACCCTGGGGACCCTGCTTTGTCCCCATGTCACCCTGCCTCCCTCCCCCAGGTCAGCCAGGAGATTTGCAATTGAGTATGAGACCTTGCTCTGAGCTTCCTGGTCAAAGGTGGAAAATGGAAAGCCCTAAGGTTGTAGAGTTCCCATTGTCACATAAAAGGAAGTACACTTACTCATCAGAAGAAACATATGTCTTCCTTACTCTTCAGAGAAGACTGTATTATAGAGGTTTTCAAATGAGAAACACTGAACAGTACCCCTAAGATTGATGTTTTACCTAAAAATTTGAAAAAAGAAATCATCGCTATTTCTTCCGATGAGAAATAGCAATGCTGTACGACAAGACGGGGTGAATCTTAAACTGAGGTTGAAGCCCAGGCCGCACTTCAGCCAGCATCTTTTGAGTTTTCCCTCCATGCCAGGCTTGCTTGGTATTTTCACTTGTCACCTCACTCGCCGCCTTGCAGGTGAGGATTCTTAAGCTCATATTCCAGGAGGGGAATGCCCAGATGTACCCTGTATGGTGGCTCTGACCCAGTCCACCGCTTCAGGCTGTGAAGAGTGAGGCTTAAGGAGGTAGGAAAACGGGAATTGAGGACTAGCTGTCCAGTTGAAGGCACAGAACAGGAAGCTCTTCAGACTGCAGCAACTGTTGAGTTAGCTGCTAAGGGAAGGAAGGGTTGCAGAGATCAGGTGGGACCATGAGTAGGGGTAGCACAGATCACACATCAGCTGCCAGGCAGCAGGAAGCCACTGTGCGCATTCTTGGTAAAGACTGGGGCATGATGGCAGTGGAGAGACAGTGGTACCAGGATGGATTGGCTCTGTCAGGAAGGGAGTTTAGCCATCTGGGCTTGAGATGCCGGGGGTGACAGATGGAATTCAAAGGGAAGCTCAAACCCCAGAGACATTTCCGAGAAAAAACTCATCAGGACTTGAGGCCTAATGTGGAGCCTGAAGAGAGTGCAGTCACAGAACTCACTGGGGCCCAGAGATGGTGACGTCTGGCAGAAGATCCTCTTTGGAGGAGAAGAATCCTCTCTGTGTTGTGTTTTTTCTTTTTCTTTTTCTTTTTCGAGATGAAGTTTTGCTGCTGTTGCCCAGGCTGGAGTGCAGTGGTGTGATCTCGGCTCACTGCAGCCTCCGCCTCCCAGGTTCAAGGGATCCTCCTGCCTCAACCTCCCTAGTAGCTAGGATTACAGGTGCCCGCCACCAAGCCCTGCTAAATTTTTTTGTATTTTTAGTAGAGACAGGGTTTCACCATGTTGGCTAGGCTGGTCTCGAACTCCTGACCTCAGGTGATCTACCTGCCTCAGCCTCCCAAAGTGCTGGGATTAGAGGTGTGAGCCACCGCGCCCGGCCATGTGTTGTGTTTTTTCAAGTGAAACTTACAGCACCCTATGAGCTGGGCAGGGCAGGGATTGCTGCACCCATGATGCAATAGGGAAATAGGCGCACTGAGAAGAATCTGCTTGCTGGTGCAAGGTGACCCTGCAGCAAAGCTGAACAGTCATTTTTTCTGGGTTCCACTCCATTGCTTTTGGTGCACCTTGGTTGCATCTGTGGGGAGCCAGTCTGGTGGCAGATGGACTTCAGATGCTAGAGATGCTCCAGGGAGGGCAAGGGCATGGGGGAGGAAGGACCTTGGCGAACCTCAGGATGGACCTCAGGGACGAAGGATGTTGGCTTTGTCTTGGGTATAGAGATCCTGAAGTTGATGAGCTCCCGGAGGTGAGGGCAGCCCCGAGACTGGGTTGGGAGTGCAAGGAGCATTCACAGGAGGTGGCGGGAAGAGCAGGCACCAGTGCAGAAGGTAGACTGGACCCAGGGAAGAGGAGAGCTTCCAGAAGGAGACTCGGAGCAGCATGCTGAGAAGAGATGGAGGGATACTGGGAGGAGGCGGAAGAGGGGGTGAAACAAGGGGGTTTGCAGGAACGTGCTGAAGATGTATTTGGGGGCAGGAAGCACCCTGATGAGCTAAGCACTTAGTGGAGTAGGGAACTTCCCATGAGTGTTAGGGACTCCGATGAGATCCCTCTGGAAATGGAAGCCTGATCTTGAGAACAAGGGCCTGGCTTTGGAGGTGGTGAAGGGAATCCTTTCCTGAGACCAGCGATTAGGAGGACTGATAGGGGGAAAAGGAGTTTCTGAGGAGAGGGCTAAGGGGGAAGGGAGAGCTCATGCCAGCTGGTCTCGATCTAGAGTTTATCAGCTATGGGGGTGGAGTGGGAGGGAAGTGGAGCTGGCAGGGGTGTTCGAACGCTTCCCCTGGGAGCAGCCCTCCTGTACCTATTGCTCTGGTTCCCACTTCTAGTCTGTCCACTGCACCTACCATGCCTCACCCACCCTATCCACTGGGCTTGGCCTTAGAGAGGGGGAGGCCAGACCTCAGGCCCCTGGCCCCGACCCTCCCCGCTCCCCCATCAGGTTCTCTGTAGCTTCCAGGGGACTTCCCTGGAGTGACGTTGGTGAGCCTAGGACCCAGACCCTGACCAGGCCACGGGCTCCCCTTTTCCGTGTGGAGGGGAGAACAAGGAGAAAAGATCCTGGAGACCCTGGCTGGGGAATTTCCAGGAAGGGACCTCCAAGCACCAACCCGTGGCGTCAACAAGTGATGGACTACAGCGGTAGCGCCGGAAGCACCTGGAGACCTCCCGCCCAGCCAGCGCGTTGGACGGGGGAGGCTGAGGCCCTGCCAGGCCTCACTGCAGGTTTCAGTCAGGAACCAGCACCCACGGGCCTGGGCTGGGTGCTCTTACTTTTTTTCTCTCCCTGTGGCCAGGAACAGCATTCACCTCACACTTGGGAGAGGGCCCGCCACTGCGCTGTGCCTTGCTTGAAGGGGCGGGAGGTGGGGCCATGGCTCGTCTGAGGTTCTTCAATAGGTCCAGGCTCTAAACCCCAGGAGCTTGGTTTATACCTCAGCCTAATGCATGGTTTATAATTATTTATGAGTCTGTCTTCCCCACTGAACTGTGAGCTCCTCCAGGGCAGAGACAAACTCTTACTCATCTTTGGGTCACCTGCCGGCTGAAGGTGGACACTAAATCCATGCTGGGAGGATTGGACAGAGGGAGAGGGGGTGGGAAGGGGAGGCTGCCTCAATAACGGGGCTCCAGGAGTCAGCAGATGCACCTCTTTCTTCCCCTCCCAAGTTCAAAACAAATGGAGAAATAAAATGCAGGAGACAGACAGATGGACACCCCGCCTCCTGTGAGCAGGCGTGTGATGAGAGGCCAGATCTCAGAGGCAGTGGTGACAGACCACACCCCACTGACTCGGCTGGGACCGTGTTGGCCTTGGCACCAGCCTTTGGTCTAGAAGGAACCAGAGACTGACCAGGAGAGCTCCCCCGGTGGCTTCCTGAGCTTTCAGGCCTTCATCGAGCCCCTGTCCTTTCACAACTGGGAAAGCTCTGGACTTCAGCATGTACTGAGCAACCACAGCTGCTCTCAGCCAGGCACTTGGCGTAGCTGAGCCCATATATTCCTCAAGACAACCCTGTAAAGGAGATAGTGTGGGTCCCACTCTACAGAGTCAGCCACTGTGACTCAGAGAAGTTGTGATTGTTCGGCTCCCCCATTAAGTGGCAGAGCCTGTGTTCCTACCAGGGGGTCGACTCAGTCCAGTGGCACAATAGCCCATGGGGTATCAGGATGAGACAAGAGTGCGGAATGGTGACCTCCTGAGACCTGTGTCACACTCAGTGAACAGTGAACCACACTGGGTTCAACCAATGTGGGTTGTTTCTGGTGCTTTGGCCCACTCTCGCCATTGGAGCTGTTTCTGAGTTATCCTAGGACGATGCTCTGGAGTCTTCCCAGCCTTTGTGCCATCATCTCTAGGTAAGAACCCAGCACTTTAGAAGGCCCTCGAGCTCTTCCTAGTGCGGCTCTAGCCTTCCTGTTAGCATCTTCCCCTGCACCACGGCCCCCACCTGCCTTCCTTGGGCATGTCCTTGCCCTCTTTCTCCAGCCAGGAACACTCCACTTACCCCTCTGCACCTGAAATCTTTCTCACCCTTTGCTACCTGGCTCAAGCCAGCCTCGGGGACTCTTCAGCATGTGTCCACTTTGCCTTGATTCAAGGGATTTGGGTGCACTCCAAATCCCTGGTAGGGCACTCCGGGCCCTACAGTCCCAGCTGCTCCTCTGCGGGAGCCCTGTCTCTCCTGACCCGGGGTGCCAGAGGAAAGGTATGCGGCAGCACTGGCCTCAGAGCAGCCTGCACCTGGAGGGCTGCAACCCAGCCTCTGCTCCCCCTACCCTACATGACATTGCCTGCCCAGACGCCGCTTGGCTTGTGAGAGACAATAGACAAGGCTAAGTGGCCTCCAGGACAGCTGAGTGATGCCAGGCAGGCGCCTGACACACCTCCTATACAGGAAAACAGTTTCCTTCCTCTTAATTACAGTCATTAAGGGGCCTGTGCCTGACATACCTCAGCCAGGGACAGGGCTTGGGTCTGTCTGGACGCTCCCATCACCCTTGGCCACCACCCCTAGGCCCAGCCCCAATGCCGGGAGCCACCTGTCTGCCCTCCCATTGCCCTTGACCAACTCAACTCACAGGGAGGGGCTGCCTAGGGAGAGGCAGCTGGTCCCGCAGCCTGGGGGGATTTGATTTGATTTGCACACAAGTATTATCAGGATGTCCGGGATCCACTGGAACCCCTTGCCTTTCAACAAAGTCTTCCCACCCCTGCCCCTCTCCATTGTGCTTCCTGTACACACAGCCCCAGTACCGCAACACAGAGTCCGACTCAAGGACTATCCCGCCACCCAGACACACATGCACACACAGGTCCATGCACACTGCCGTGCCACACGGGCACACAAACATCACAGACAGGACGTGCACACACATACAAGCACAGGTACAGTTCTGCATAGGTACACCTGTATATATTTAGTCAAACCATATGAAATTGCCAATATTCAGTGGTTTCTTATGTACAAAAAAGGAATCTAGTACAAACCTGGGCGTGGGGGGAAGTATACAAAAATACAGAGCCAAATTTGTACACCTGTGCCTTATTTACAACAGCCAAAAGGTGGAAGCAACTCAGGCATCCATCCATGGAGGAATGAGCTAAATGTGCTACACACATGCTACATACATGCAATGGGATGTTATTCAGCCTAAAGTGGAAGGAGATTCCGACATACGCTACAATGTGAAGGAACTTGAAGACATGAAGCTACGTGAAATGAGCCAGTCACAAAAGGACAAAACCGTATGATTCCACTTAAATGAGATACCTAGAGGAGTCAAATTCATAGAGACAGGAAGCAGAATAGTGGGCGCCAGGGGCTGGGGGAGGGGGAAATGGGGAATTCGTGTTTAGTGGGTACAGAGCTCTAGTTTTGCAAAGTGAGAAGAGTTCTAGAGATGGATGGTGGTGAGGGTTACACCACAGTGTGAATGCACTTACGACACTTAAAGCGTACCACTTAAAAATGGTTACAATAGCAGATTTTGGCTTGGTGCAGTGGCTCACACCTGTAATCTCAACACTTTGGGAGGCGGAGGCAAGAGCATCGCTTGAGGCCAGGAGTTTGAGAGTAACCTGGGCAACAGAGCAAGACTCCATCTCTAATTCTTTTTTTTTTTTTTTTGAGATGAAGTCTCGCTCTGTCACCCAGGCTGGAGTGCAGTGGCGTAATCTCAGCTCACCTCAACCTCTGCCTCCCAGGTTCAAGCGATTCTCCTGCCTCAGCCTCCCAAGTAGCTGGGATTATGGGCGCCTGCCACCACAGCCACCTACTTTTTGTATTTTTATTAGAGATGGATGGGGTTTCACCATGTTGGTCAGTCTGGTCTTGAACTCCCAACCTCAGGTGATCCGCCCACCTCGGCCTCCCAAAGGGCTGGGATTATAGGCATGAGCCACAGCGTCTGGCCACGAATTATTTTTTAAAGGCAAATTTTATGCGTATTTTACCACAATTAAAAGATACAGAGCCAAAGATATGTACCTGAAGTAGATGTATACACACTGCAAGATAAACAAAACTAACTCAGTGACACGCAAACATGCCTCCCTCCCTCCCGGGAGCACTTCTACCACCCAGATAAGACCCTGGTTGGTCCTCCCCTTCAAACAAATCTGGAGATAAGGCCCTAATGATGGCCCTGCCACCTCGGCTGCCCCCACAGCTCATCACCCTCCCACGGTCTGGCTTTGTTTACTCAACCTTCTGCCCCTCTTGCAGCCTCCTCACCCCCATGGAAGGGCCTCCTTGGAGTGCCCGGTGCTCCTGCACCTGGGATGGGATGGAGTAGGCCATAACTCCTGACCTGTGGCTCCCCCATGCTCCCCCAGGCCCTTCACTTATAGGGTCCTTGAAGACACAGCCCTAGCCCCATTCACCTTTGGTCCTAGGGCTCAGCTCAACTCCGGAACCTCTAAATCCCACCCAGCTCCCTCCCACTATATGTGTGTCAAGTTCTTTGGACACAGAAGACCCTGTGTTCCGGACATGATCGCAGACCAGATAAACCAAGTGCGCTTAGTGCTAAACAGGCTGCGAGGCACGGCTTTAGGTCTTCTGCGCTTCCCGCCATCCTCGCTGGACCTCATGCCTCCGTGGAAAGGTGGTGACCGCTTCTGCCTAGCCTGGCTCCCCAGCTGCAGCTGTCACCTGCTCACCCCCTTCCCCAGAGCAAAGCTGCTCACCATCCTCCGAAGGACACACGGTACATGCTCCAGGACTTTAATCTTTGTTGGGGCAGAGGTCAGAAATCTACCTGCCCTGTTTGCCTCCTGACCTTGCAGTGTGTCCGCCCATTCTCTGAAACAACCTTCCAACCATTTTCATACTCAGCCCTGGAGGAGGGGAAGAAGGCTGGGGTCTGGCCACCACCAGGCCAAGAACATCCCTGGAGTTAAGGGTGTTGCAAGCACAGCCATCTGGAACAGCATGTCTCAGGGGTGGGCCTTAGCCCACTGCCCACAGTGCACTGGGCACTTGTTTAAAAACTCAGGAATTTGAGGTTACAGTAAGCTATGATCACATCACTGCTCTCTCTAGCCTGGGTGACAGAGCAAGATCATGTCTCAATTAAAAAAGAAAAATGGCCAGGTGTGGCGGCTCACACCTGTAATCCCAGCACTTTGGGAGGCTGAGACAGGAGGATTGCTTGAGGCCAGGAGTTCAAGATCAGCCTGGGCAACATAGTGAGATCCCATCTCTAAAAAAATTTTAAAAGTAGCCGAGCATGGTAACATGCACCTGTAATCCCAGCTACTCAGGAGGCTGAGGTGGGAAGATCGCTCGAGTCCAGAGAAACTGAGGCACAGCTGTAGTGAGCTGTGATTGCGCCACTGCCCTCCAGACTGGGTGACAGAGCAAGACCCTATCTCAAAAAGAAAAAGAAAAAAGACAAGCTCCAGAAGCCTACGGACACCTTCTGGATGAGAATTTCCAGGAGGGTGGGGCCCGGGGATCTGCATTTCATCACCTCTCACCACCCCTGGGGTCAGGGTGAGAGCCACTGCTCTAGGTTCTTGAAGGACAGCTCCGAGCCGGGGTGGGAGAGAGCCAGGGGGCTGTGAGCACCACAGTTAAGATGATGGAGAGTGGCAGGACGATTATGGGAGCAAAAAGAGGGCTGGCTGGGGGACAGACCAGCGTTGATGTCCTTGGATATTCCATGTGACAGTCGTTCAGCTCTCAGGGCCTTGCAGACTTGAGCCAGGGCACGTGCTATCCACTGTGGTATGTGTTGTGGGGGTCATGGCCGGTCTCTACATCGGCGTTTGGGTGAAGAGTTTATGCAAGTGGATGTGATTACAATGTGTGGTCGGTCTGTGTCAGCCCACACTCCATGTCTGTGTATCGGTCAGTTGTCAGTGTGTCCATCTGCATGGGTGTTCATGTCTTTTCCTGGGTGTCTTGAGTCGCTCACCCACCTGCAGTGTGTGTGCGTGTGCGTGTGAGTGTGTGTTCCTGAGTCGCCTGGGCCCCTCTTGGCTGTAATTCAACCTCTGTGGGTCCCGGGAAGTCAGCATTTGGAGACTTGCTGGGAGCCTGGTGGGGATGGGGCGGCGTTGCTGGGAGGAAGAGAGGGAGGCAGGAGTGTGCACCGAGGGCCTGGCACTGCCGCTTCCCTGGGCAGGCGAGTCCCAACACAGGCAGACAGGTGGGGCTGACCTGACAGGTTCCAGAGGCCAGGGGCAATAGGGTGGAGCGTGGCTCTGATTTAGGGTGGCAACAGTTTGGGGGCCCTGCCACACACACAGCGAGCGGGCGGGCAGAAGGCGGTTCTGCTGGTCTCCTCTTCCTGCTGCAGCCAGCCCAGCGTGCGGGCCATGGGCCCTGCCGGCGGGTGAGGCAGCCGCGTGGCAGGCATGTTCGGAGGCCCGGGGCCTGGGGTCCTGGGAGCCCAGGGCATGGCGGGACCCCTGCGGGGCCGGGTGGAAGAGCTGAAGCTGCCGTGGTGGCGGGAGAGCTCACCGCTGGTGCTGCGGCACAGCGAGGCGGCTCGGCTGGCGGCCGACGCCCTCCTGGAGCGGGGTGAGGCTGCCTACCTGCGGGTCATCTCCGAGGAGCGGGAGCTGCCCTTCCTGAGCGCCCTGGATGTGGACTACATGACCAGCCATGTGCGCGGGGGCCCTGAGCTCAGCGAGGCTCAGGGGCAGGAGGCCTCCGGGCCAGACCGCCTCAGCCTGCTCTCTGAAGTCACCTCAGGGACTTACTTCCCCATGGCCTCTGACATAGACCCCCCAGACCTGGACCTGGGCTGGCCCGAGGTGCCACAGGCCACAGGCTTCAGCCCCACCCAGGCTGTGGTCCACTTCCAGAGGGACAAGGCCAAGAACATCAAGGACCTGCTGCGCTTCCTTTTCAGCCAGGCCCACACGGTAAGGGCCTCATCTCTCCATCACTCATCTCACAGAGGAGGAAACTGAGGTCCAGAGAGGGAAGGGACCAGCCCAAGGCCACACAGCGACTTAGGGGCAGAATGAGGACCAGCACCTCTGGCACTATTAGATTGCAAACTCCTAGAAGGGGGACATCCCATATTTACCTTGGCAACTGCTTGGTACCCAGGAATAGTATGGATGAGCATAGAACAGGGCATGGGTGTCAGGGACTCCACAATCCCCTGAAATGCACACGAAGTGGTGCAGGTTGGAGGGAGGAGTCCTCGCTGCATCTTTACCTTGGAAGATGCTCCACTGCCTTAAATCAGATTCTCAAAAAGTTTTATGATCCCCACACTAAGAACTCCAACCTTGGGGAACATCTGAGTCACCTCCTTCACTTATAGAAGAAGAAACTGAGGCCAGAGAGGGGCTTGGGACTTGCCCAGGGAGGTCCATATGGTGACATAGAGCTCAGGGCTTGGGGAGACAGGGGCTCTCTGACTTGGGTCCTGGGGACCAGTCCGGCCCTCCTTGCTGGCTCAGGTCCCTAGTTGCCCCCTACCCTCCTGCACCACATCTGCAGCTGGGCCTGAAGCAGGGGAAGGGGCCAGCGTGTGGGCCTCTTTGGCGTGGCCTTGAGGGCTGGGCTTTGGAACCAAGGAGGAAGGAGGAGAGGAGGCTGCTGGGCTCAGTGATGGGGAGCGGGAGCTCAGGAGAAAGAGAATTGGGAGGGCAGGTAGGGGTGGTCAGCACCCAGAAAGGCTCTGGCCACACACGAGCACAGCTTCCCTTCTGAAGCCCTGGCCTCCGACTCCAGGGGAATGGACGAGATGATCCCTGGCAGGGTTTGAGGGAGAGTTAGGCTCCTGCTGCAGAGATGGGAAGCCAGGATGCTGGGATCCCACCGGTACTTCCAGAGCCTCCCTGGCAAGCCTTCCTGTGCCCCAGGCAGGGGACGGCCAGGCCTGATTGGCATCAGGAATGGGGTTATTAGTGAGGCTGCTGCTGTCGTCCTCCTCACCCCTGCCTCTTTGATCTTCCTGCCTGTCCTTGTTCCCCCACCCTGGCCAGGCCTGTGCTGTGAACTAGGGCATCCCCCAGTGCCTCGCCTTCTCAGCCCCCATTTAGACCCCTCTATCCTGGGTCAGGAGCCAGGTTCGTGCACTGGGCTGTCATGACTCCTAGTGACCTTGGGAAATGCTGCGTTGCCCTGCAGCCCAATGTTTATAGAGCTCTGTTATGTCTTGAGCATTTTCACATTTAATTCCCTGTAACTCTGAGACATGGCTATCATTATCTCCATTTAACAGATGAGGAAGGTGAGGCTTCCAGAGGTGAAGGGACTCACCCAAAGCTGTGTCACCAGGAAGTGATAGAGTCCAGGTTTGAACCCAGTTCTTTCTGACTCCAGAGCTGGAGTGCTATGCTCTGTACCTCCTGCCTCTCGGCCCTGCCTGGGAGAGAAGACTCTCATAGCAGATATATGCCATGGGAAGAAAGGCCAGCTGGGGGCTGGGAGGTGCCAAGAAGGTTTCAGGGGCCTCTTTGAGGCAGCCCTTTATATGGGATGGAGGCACAAGCCCCAGCCCAGCCCTCAACTGAGCAGAAAACTTGGATCCATTTGGCATGGGTGCAAGTAAGGGAGTCTGCAGTGTAAGGGGTCACACCAGACCTCTGTGGCTTCACAGGGAAACTGAGGCAGGACTGGGAAAGGGCAGCGAAGACCCCAGTAAGTGGCTTGTAGCTGTGACCCTGGAGAAGGGAGCCTCAGACAGACAGTCCCTGGGTCAGAGCTGGGCTGGAGTTAGTCGGGGGAGTGCCAGGAACTTGCCTGGGAATTGGGGTCTGGGTTCTCCTTCTCACTGCTGTCCCATCTGGGGCTCAGTGCAGAGGGAGTGTTGGACTAGCACAGCTGATCCACAGTCATCTTTGAGAATCTGATGATGGATAAACACTCGGTGCACAGAAGGATGCACACAAATGCTTTCAAACAGCTAGGGGTTCAAGACAGTCAAATCTGGGCTGGGATTTGACTGTAATCCCAGTGCTTTGGGAGGCTGAGGTGGGAGGATCGCTTGAGGCCAGGGGTTCAAGACCAGCTTGTGAGAACCCCATCTCTACAAAAAATTAGAATTAAAAAAAAACTAGCGACTGGGCGTGGTGGCTCACGCCTGTAATCACAGCACTTTGGGAGTCCAAGGCAGGCAGATCACAAGGTCAGGAGTTTGAGACCAGCCTGGCCAACATGGTGAAACTCCATCTCTATTAAAAATACAGATTAGCTGGGCATGGTGGTGGATGCCTGAAATTCCAGCTACTTGAGAGGCTGAGACACGAGAATCGCTTGAACCCAGAAGGCAGAGGTTGCAGTGAGCCGAGATCACGCCACTACACTCCAGCCTGGGCAACAGAGTGAGACTCTGTCTCAAAAAAAAAAAAGAAAAGAAAATTAGCCAGGCATAGTGGCACATGCCTATAATACCAGCTACTTGGGAGGCTGAGTTGGGAGGAGATTGCTTGAGCCTGGGAGTTCTAGGCAGAAGAGAGCTATGATCACGCCACTGCACTGCAGCCTGGGCAACAGAGTGAGACAGACACTGACTCTTAAAAAAAAGAAGACAGTCAAATCTGCCTGTGCCCAAGTTAAGAAGCCCTGGGCTAGGTCACTGCTAAGTGCCCTTCCTGTTCACTTGCTCTTGAAGGCTCTGGCCTCCTGATTTTCAGTCCAGTACTCTTTTCCCGGCGCCCAGTTTCCTGCCCCAGGTTTGGCTGGATGTGGGGAGTGCCCTGGGCAGCGCTGAGCTTTCGTGTGCCTCCCCCCACCCAGGTGGTGGCTGTGGTGATGGACATATTCACTGACATGGAGCTTCTGTGTGACCTCATGGAGGCCTCAAGCCGGCGTGGTGTCCCTGTGTACCTGCTCCTTGCCCAGGAGCACCTGAGGCACTTCCTGGAGATGTGCTACAAGATGGACCTCAATGGGGAGCACCTGCCGGTCAGTGAGGACCAGGGGCAGTAACCAGGGGTGTGGGCGGGGAGTCAGGGAGGGCAGGGGAGCCAGTGGGTGGCCAGTCAGCACTGGGGGGCACTGGGAGTGGGGGGTGGGTTCCCTTAGCTGTCTGGGGTTAGAGACCCCATGGGGCAGAGACATGGCTTGAGCCTCACTCTCTCAAGGTCACCCCCAACCTACTTCCACCTAGAACATGCGTGTGCGGAGCACGTGTGGGGACACATACTGCAGCAAGGCTGGCCGCCGCTTCACGGGGCAGGCCCTGGAGAAGTTCGTCCTCATTGACTGTGAGCAAGTGGTGGCGGGCAGTTACAGGTGAGCAGGCACGAGGAGGCAAGGGGGGCCTGGGGCTGCATCACTGGCTGGCAGCTCTGAGCTTCCCTCCACTCATCCTTTCCTTCGGACACGGGCTGAGTACCTGCCATGTGCCAGGCATCATGCCAGGCTCAGGGGAGGGTGTCGGGGGCATCGGCCCTGGAGGAGCTCACTCTAGGGGAATGATTACTTTAATACCCTTGGTATAGAAAATGACTATGCCCATTGGAACTGGAGTGACTTCAGGGAACCTCCCCCAAGTCCATTTGACAGATGGGGAAGTTGGGGCCTCCATGAGGTCACACACTAAGCAGGGCTAGGGCAAGCACAGACTCTGGAGTTGGAGCTCTGCCCCTCGCTGTGAGCCCTCGTGGTGGTGGGGTTTGGGTCTAGCGTGCTGGACCAGGTATGCACCCCTGGCTGTGACTCCTGCCGACCCCCAGGATCCTGCACTTTGCCTCCTGACCCCCCTGTCCCTCTGCCCCCAGCTTCACCTGGCTTTGCAGCCAGGCCCACACTAGCATGGTGCTGCAGCTGAGGGGCCGCATCGTGGAAGACTTTGACCGGGAGTTCCGCTGTCTGTACGCTGAGTCGCAGCCTGTGGAGGGCTTCTGTGGCGGTGAGGACCCGCTGTCTCCCCGGGCACTGCGTCCTCCCCCTGTGGCCCTAGCCTTCAGGCCTGATGTCCCAAGCCCCACGTCGTCCCTGCCCTCCAGCACCAGCCTCAGCAGCATCAAGCAGTCACCGCTTATGGGTCGCTCCTCCTACCTCGCTCTACCAGGAGGTGGTGATTGCAGTGATACGGGTGTGGTGTCCTCGTCCCTGGGTCCTGCCCGCCGTGAGGCCAGTGGCCAGCCCTCCCTACATCGCCAACTGTCAGACCCTAACCACGGCTCCCCTCCTGGGCTCTATAGGGCCAATCTCGGCAAGCTAGGGGCATACCCATGGTCCCAGTCCTCCCCTGCCCTCAACCATAATAGTACCAGCCCCTTAACCTTGGCAGTGGGGTCACCTCTGCTTCCTCGCTCCCGGCCCCTCCTCCAGTTCCATCGGGGTGCCCCAGCTCTGTCCCGGTTCCCAGAGAATGGGCTCCCAGGAAGCCAAGAGCCCAGCCCCCTGCGGGGTCGATGGGTACCTGGCACAACCCTGGAGACAGTGGAGGAGAAGGAGAAGAAGGCATCTCCAAGTCAGAGCCGTGGCCAGCTGGATCTCCTTGTCCCCTTCCCCAGAGCCCGAGAAGTGGGAGACCCTGACTCTGGGGTTACCCCCAACTCAGGCCCCCTTCGGCCTGGCGAGCAGGCCCCAGAGGACAGGAGGTTGTCCCCAAGCCAGGCCGACAGCCAGCTGGATCTCCTGTCCCGAGCCCTGGGTACTGGGGGTGCCCCTGAGTTGGGTTCCCTCAGACCTGGTGATCGGGCCCTGGAGGACAGGAGGCTGTCCCTAAACCAAAGCCGTGGCCAATCAGACCTCCTGATGCAGTACCCCAAGGCCCAGGGTTCCAGAGTGCCCCTTGAAACCAACTCCTCAGCCAGACCTGCCAGACGGGCACCAGATGAGCGGCGGCAGACCCTGGGGCACAGCCAGCTGGACCTCATCACAAAGTTCGGCCCATTCCGTGGTGAGGGGCCTGGGCCCAATGGTCTCCCGATATCAAGCCCTGCTCGCACGGCTGGAGCTGGGTCTGGGGATGAGAAACGGCTAACCCTGGGCCACAGCAAGCTGGACCTCATCACCAAGTATCATCAGTTGCACGGGGCCAGGCAGGGAACTGAGCCTGGGGGTCCCAAGGGTGGCCATCTCAATGGTGGTAACAGTGACCTGGTCAGGGATGAGAAACGGCTGACCCTGGGTCACAGCAAACTGGACCTCATCACTAAGTACAACAAGTCCAAGTTCAAGCAGCTCCGAAGCCGCTTTGAGTCCTAGCCAAAGGACTGGCATCGGGGGTGCACTGGCAAGGGCAGGCCCCTCCTCTGTCCACCGAGACTCTGGACTTGCTCAGGTCCCAGACTGGGGAAGGGAGGTGTCTAGAAACCCAGGTCAGACACACTCTCTGGGCTCAAGATTCTTGTGTACACACACACACACACACACACACACACACACCCTAACTAGTATCTTCTTGAATCTAGGCTGTGTTTCCAGCCCTGTGCTGGGCCTGTAGAGCTGACAGGTGGGTCACACTCAGACCTGGGGACAGAGGTGAAATGCACAAGCTGCTGGAGAAGGGGTCAGAGCCATATCAAGTTAAAGGTTAACCAGTTACAGAGGGTGTTAGAAAACAAAGGGCAGAGAGTCCTGGAGAAGGTGGAGTAGTCAGAAAACTTTCTTAGAGGAGATGGAGGTGGCCTTTGAGCCAGGCCCTGAAGGATGGGGAGGTTTTGGACAGAGGGAGGAGAGAGTTAGAAAAATTTTTGGTAGAGAGAATCAGGTGAAAGAGATGCCCTAAAGAGGACTGAGTGGGTCTGAGGTGAATGAGTGAGGAAGAGCAGAGTATGTGGATACCCGGAAACACACACACACACACATCATCATTATCATCATCATCATTGTCGTCGTCATCATCTTGCTGAGTCATCATCATCATCATCATCATTGTCGTCGTCATCATCTTGCTGAGTGTCTCTTGAAGTACAGGCTGTGACAGGTTGTGGGCCATTTTCCTGAACTCACCACTTACCCGGGATAGTAAACATGATACACATCAATAAAGGCAGACTTTATTGTGAATCACAGCGCCTGGTGTATCCTGAACTTTGAGGAGTTATGGGAGGGACACGTTGGGGGAATGGGAAGGGCACCATTCAGGCCAATTATGGGGAAACCCCTGGAGGAGGGTGAATGCCGAAGGAGGAATTGGGGGAGTCCAGGGGCTCCAAGTTACCACTGTGACATTTTGAGAGAACCCGGGGCTTTTGCAGATTCTACAAAATGTGGGCCAAGTTCATCCTGTCCAAGTGTGCAGCAGGGCCCTTGGCCCCCATCACTATCCTGGGGACAGAAGTTGGCTGCTGAGTGAGTGATAGAGGCCGTGCGAGAGGCACATCGTGGAAGCCAACCAGCACCCACATCCTTGCCCACCCTGGACCCCTTTCCAGCCTTTTCCTGAGCCCCTGCTTCCTCAGTCCTCCCCTCTCTCCAGCACCTGCAGCCTGGCTGCCTTTCCGTCTCTGGCTGCGCTCTTTCTCCAGCCTCGGTCTGGCCGCACTTCTGCCTCCTGGAACTCTCTCCATGGGTAGCCTCTTCTAGTCCACCCGTCTTCAGCCCCTCATCTCATTCGTCAGCACTCCACTCCCCTGCTGGGCTCCAGACATGGACTTCTGTCCCTCAAGGCACAGCTGGACTCATCCCTTTCCCCAAACCTGCCCTTCCTCCGGCTTCATTTCCATCAATACCTCCATCATCAACCCTTCCGCGAGACACTCCTGGCCCCTCCTCTCCCTCATGCCTCACAACCGACCAGCCGGAGGTCTAGGTCGATGACAGCTCCTAAAAAGCTCCTGAATGAATAATGAATGAATGAACGCGAGCAGGCTAGGCGTGGGGCCAGGCGGGGTCGCGCCCAGACCGCTCGCGACCATAGAGTCCGCCGGAGGCCGGAGGTAGAGGGGCTGGATGCGTGGCGGGGAGCGCCGGGCTCTCCCGGAAGTCTCCCTGGACGGAAGTGGAAACGGAAACCTTTTTAGGGAGTCCAAGGTACAGTCGCCGCGTGCGGAGCTTGTTACTGGTTACTTGGTAAGCTGGTGTGAGGGGAACCTGGGAGGGTCAGCTCCGGTCCTGGGTCGGGAGGGGTGGGGGCCAGAGGATTCAGGGCCGGAGGTTCTGGTGGGGGCCCAGTGGGCGGGACCCGAGGACGGAGGGGCCGGGAGGCCGAGAGGGGCGGGGTCGCGGCGGGGCCTGAGGGACGGAGGCCGGGATACTTGGGAAAGGATCCGCCGGCCTTGAACTCCCGCCTCCGCCGCCCCTAGGCCTCATGGCGGTCCGAGCTTCGTTCGAGAACAACTGTGAGATCGGCTGCTTTGCCAAGCTCACCAACACCTACTGTCTGGTAGCGATCGGAGGCTCAGAGAACTTCTACAGGTGCGGCGGGAGCCCCGGGGCTTACGGTGGCGGGGAGGCGTGCGCAGGAGTCAAGAGCTCCGGCAGTGGGAGGGTGCCGGCCCCTCTGCCCCGCCACCACCGAGTCCATGTCCCTACAGTGTGTTCGAGGGCGAGCTCTCCGATACCATCCCCGTGGTGCACGCGTCTATCGCCGGCTGCCGCATCATCGGGCGCATGTGTGTGGGTAAGGCAGGTGGAGGACGCCGAGGGAGGGAGTGGTCTCCAAGCACCATTAATTACACCCCCGGAGGGAACCCGGAGTGACCTAGGGATTCCCAGGGTATCATCTGTTATCTCTGGGCACTATAGAATCTCTCAGGCCAAGCGTCAGGAGATCGGGGCAACCCTCTAGCAAAGGCTGCTGGATAATAGTAATAACAAATAATGTAAAGTGCTTTCACTCCTGTTCTCATTCCTTCGTCACAAAGACACTAGAAGGTAGGAGTTACTGGCCTAACTTGACTGATGAGGAAGTTGAGACTTGACCTAAGTGACTCAGTAAGTTCCACACCTAGTTCCTAGTGTTGGAGAAGGATTTTTCTCTTTTTTTTTTTTTTTTGAGGCCAGATTTTTGCTCTTTCGCCCAGGCTGGAGTGCAGTGGCAAGATCACAGCTGTCTGCATCCTCAACTTCTTAGGCTCAAGTGATCCTCCCACCTCAGCCTACCAGGTAGCTAGGGCCACAGGCACGTGCCACCACACCTGGCTAATTTTTACATTTTTGGTAGAGACGCGGCCTCCCTGTGTTGCCCAGCCTGGCCTTGATCTCCTGGGCTCAAGTGATCTTCTTACCTTGGTCTCTTAAAGTGTTGGGATTATAGGCGAGAGCCACTATACCCAGCCGAGGATTTGTATCTCATCTCTCCCTGCCACTGACTGGGCAAGGTGCTTTCTCTTTCTAAGCATCCATTTCTGTCTCTGTAAAGATTAGCTAAGATATGCGGTCTTCCTGCTCAGTTACGTTGGAATCTTAAATTCCCTTTACCACATCTCTACCCTACCTTCCTACCTGTCAGCACTGTTAATTCTGGTCGTTGGTCCTTTCCTTTTTATTATTATTATTATTTTTTTTTGAGATGGAGTTTTCGCTCTTGTTGCCCAGGCTGGAGTGCAATGGCACGATCTTGGCTCACTGCAACACTCTCTTCAAGTGATTCTCCTGCCTCAGCCTCCCAAGTAGCTGGGATTACAGGCGCATCCCGCCACACCCGGCTAATTTTTTTGTATTTTTAGTAGAGATGGAGTTTCACCATGTTGGCCAGGCTGGTCTTGAACTCCTGACCTCAGGTGATCCTCCCACCTCGGCCTCCCAAAGTGCTGGGATTACAGGCGTGAGCCACTGCGCCCGGCCGGTCCTTTCATTAAGCTGGATCTGTCTTCCATTACTGCTGCCCATTGTTTCTTAGTTCTGCTCATTGAGGTCACTTTTAGAAGTCTGTTTATTTTATTTTTTTACTTTTACTTTAATTTTTAAAAATCTTAAGCCTGCTTGGGAGGTCGAGGCAGGTGGATCACCTGAGGTCAGCAGTTCGAGACTAACCTGACCAACATGGAGAAACCCCGTCTCTACTAAAAATACAGAAATTAGCCGGGTGTGGTGGCGCATACCTATAATCCCAGCTACTTGGGAGGCTGAGGCGGGAGAATTGCTTGAACCCTGGAGGTGGAGCTCACCCTGCGGTGAGCTGAGATTGTGCCATTGCATTTCAGCCTGGGCAATAAGAGTGAAACTGTGTCTCAAAAAAAAACAAAAAACAAAAAACAACAACAACAAAAACTTAAGCCTAGTGACCTCAAAGTATTTTCCTATTCAGTTAAAATACTCTGATCTCTAACCATGCCCTTAGGACTTGAAGCAAGTTCTGACAACAAGGGAGATTTTAGCTTAGTCCTTGTGTATTTTATGATGGGAGTGACCTGGAATTCAGAAATTGATTGGCGTGTATTTGTAGATTGTTCATTCTTGTTGCTGTATGGTGTGTTTTGTGTAAGTATATCACAACGTATTCATCCATTCCATCGACAGTGCATTTGGGCAGTTTTCACTTTGGTCTGTTAGGAATAGTGCTGCTGGCCGGGCATGGTGGCTCACGCCTGTAATCCCAGCACTCTGGGAGGCCGAGGCGGGCGGATCACGAGGTCGGGAGATCGAGACCATCCTGGTTAACACGGTGAAACCCCGTGTCTACTAAAAATACAAAAAAATTAGCCAGGTGTGGTGGCGGGTGCCTGTAGTCCCAGCTACTTGGGAGGTTGAGGCAGGAGAATGGTGTGAACCGGGGAGGTAGAACTTGCAGTGAGCCGAGATTGTGCCACTGCACTCCAGCCTGGGCAACAGAACAAGACTCCGTCTCAAAAAAAAAAAAAAAAGTAATAGTGCTGCTATGTTTTTTTAGTGAACACATGTACATATTTCTACTGGGTATATGATACCTAAGAGTGGCATGGCAGAGTCACAGGTTATGTGACTATTTAGTAGTAGTTGCAGATGATGCCAGATAATTATCTAAAGTGATTGACCAACTTACACTCCTGTCTCAGTATGAGAGTTCAGTTGCTCCATATATCTTTGCCAACACTTGGAATTGATGACTTGTAAAAATTTTAGTCATTCTGGCTGGGGGCAGTGGCTCACACCTGTAATCGTAGCACTTTGGGAGGTCGAGGTGGGCGGATCACCTGAGGTTAGGAGTTCGAGACCAGCCTGGCCAACATAGTGAGACCCCATCTCTACAAAATCACAAAAAGTTAGCCAGGTGTGGTGGCACGCACTTGTAATTCCAGCTACTCAGGAGGCCGAAGCAGGAGAATCACCTGAACCCAGGATGCAGAAGTTGCAGTGAGCTGAGATCGCACCACTGCGCTCCAGCCTGGGTGACAGAGTGAGACTCTGCCTTAAAAAATAATAATCTAGCCATTCTGCTATGTGTGTAGTGTTAGCTCAGTTTTTTTTGTTTTTTTGTTTTTTTTTTTTGGAGACGGAGTTTCGCTCTGTCACCCAGGTTGGAGTGCAGTGGCGCGATCTCGGCTCACTGCAAGCTCCGCCTCCCGGGTTCACGCCATTCTCCTGCCTCAGCCTCCCGAGTAGCTGGGACTACAGGCGCCCGCCACCACGCCTGGCTAATTTTTTGTATTTTTAGTAGAGACGGGGTTTCACCGTGTTAGCCAGGATGATCTCGATCTCGATCTCCTGACCTTGTGATCTGCCCACCTCAGCCTCCCAAAGTGCTGGGATTACAGGCGTGAGCCAACACGCCCGGCAGCTCAGTTTTTAAGTAGCAAAATATACAGCTAATGCCAAGAGCTCAGCTTCCCTCCCAGTTGGTGATGGTGAAGTAGGCAGGATTTATTGGGATTCCTGGGTGGTCTCTGGCCTGCCCTGGGTGTTTTCCAGATCAGTGGGTTGGAGGGCTGGGCTCTGGGCCTAAAGCTTTCCTGGGAAAGCTGATTGGGCTGGGCTGAGTGGTATCCTCAGCCCCTAGGGCTCAGCAGGCATCTTGTGTATTCACCCTCTAATTTGGGTTTCTCCAGGGAACAGGCACGGTCTCCTGGTACCCAACAATACCACCGACCAGGAGCTGCAACACATTCGCAACAGCCTCCCAGACACAGTGCAGATTAGGCGGGTGGAGGAGCGGCTCTCAGCCTTGGGCAATGTCACCACCTGCAATGACTACGTGGCCTTGGTCCACCCAGACTTGGACAGGGTGAGGCAGCCCAACTTGACCCAAGAGTCACAGGGCCATCCTAGTCAGTGGTTAGCCACTGTTCTTTCCCAACAGGCAGCAATTAGGGGTCTCTCCTGTGGTTTTTCTATATGGGCTCTTGAGTTTCAGGTACTCATTGGAATAGTGATAACAGAGGCCTTATCAAGTGTCAGAAAGAAGCTGGGGAGGGTATGAATCCTTCATGATTGGGGAGATTGAACCATCCAGTCCTGCATCCTGGGCCAGGATAGGTGATTGACTGTTGAACTTTTGACTGTGGGTGAGAGGGGAAAGAAGTGATATTGAGACCAGCCTCCAGCTGTTCAGGGCATGCATGAATATTAGGGGCTTCACAGCTGCCCTTGACTCTGCTCTAAGCTGTACTTCCTCCTTTCTCTGGGTGAGGCTTTCATATGAGGTACAGAGGAGAAATGAGGGGCTCAGGGAGCCAAGGCCTGGATGCTTCTGGGCATGGAGAACCTTGGTTCTGGGGCTGTAAGTTCTGAGCCCTGAACACAATATCTTTGATTGACAGGAGACAGAAGAAATTCTGGCAGATGTGCTCAAGGTGGAAGTCTTCAGACAGACAGTGGCCGACCAGGTGCTAGTAGGAAGCTACTGTGTCTTCAGCAATCAGGGAGGGCTGGTGCATCCCAAGACTTCAATTGAAGACCAGGATGAGCTGTCCTCTCTTCTTCAAGTCCCCCTTGTGGTAAGCATTCCTGTCCTCTGAACCCCGTCTCCCGAGGCAGATCCTTTTGCCTAGTGTTTGGGAGTCTGGGTCATTACCTGCCACAGTTTGGGACTGGGGCTGCAGGTCAGGGAGGAGCAGGGTTTGGGGAGAGTCTTCATTGAGGAGGGAGAGAATTTGGTGCCGTGACTCACATTGAGCCCATCCCTTGGCAGGCGGGGACTGTGAACCGAGGCAGTGAGGTGATTGCTGCTGGGATGGTGGTGAATGACTGGTGTGCCTTCTGTGGCCTGGACACAACCAGCACAGAGCTGTCAGTGGTGGAGAGTGTCTTCAAGCTGAATGAAGCCCAGCCTAGCACCATTGCCACCAGCATGCGGGATTCCCTCATTGACAGGTACCTGGGGCCTCTCCTTTCTTCTGCTCAGGGTTGGGGGTTAACTTGCATTTTGAGAGTATGGGGAAAAGATGTCATCTAGAATGGGAGCCTACCAGTTTGTTCTGGTAGCTTCTCGAGTGTGAGAGCATATCTGTACACTGCTGAGCAGATAAGAGCCAGCATATTCAAAAAATATTTCTTGAGCATCTGCTAATCCTCATCTTTGTGGTTTTTCAGGGCTAGGATACTAGAGCAGTAGCTGCTTGAGCAGCTTGTCAGAGCTGGTCCCGGGATGAGGGCTGAGGCAGGCACCTCACTTGAGAGTGAGGTGGGCTCTGTGAAACAGCTACTGACCGTGCGCTTTCCTTTCTCTTCAGCCTCACCTGAGTCACCTTCCAAGTTGTTCCATGGGCTCCTGGCTCTGGACTGTGGCCAACCTTCTCCACATTCCGCCCAATCTGTACCGGATGCTGGCAGGGAGGTGGCAGAGAGCTCACTGGGACTGAGGGGCTGGGCACCCAACCCTTTTCCACCTGTGCTTATCGCCTGGATCTATCATTACTGCAAAAACCTGCTCTGTTGTGCTGGCTGGCAGGCCCTGTGGCTGCTGGCTGAGGGTTCTGCTGTCCTGTGCCACCCCATTAAAGTGCAGTTCCCTCCGGGCCATTCTGAATGTGATGTTTGGGGCCCTCAGCCTGTGTACAATCCCTGCACTCTCCAGTTGTTCCAGCATTCTGGGAAGATAGGGTGGGATGAACACAACACACACCCAACCCAGTTCACCACCTCCACACACGCCATTCCCTTCTCCTCTACCATCAGGATGTGAGGCTTCATCCTGGGGCAAGAAACACTCTCCACTACAGTTCTCCTTTTTTCTTTTTTCTTTTTGAGGCAGTGTCTCCCTCTGTCACCCAGGCTGGAGTGTTGTGACGCAAGGATGGCTCACTGTAGCCTTGACCTGTTGGGCTCAAGCGATCCTCTCGCCTCGTTTATTTTTTTGTAGAAACGAAGTCACTGTGTTGCCCAGGCTGGTTTATACTCCTGAACTCAAGCGACCCACCGCCTCGGCCTCCCAAAGTGTTGGGATTACAGGCGTGAGCCACGGCGCCCGGTCTAGTTCTCACAGTTTTCACCCGACTTCTGCGCCGGTCTTCTCTGGCCTTGAAAGGCAGAGAGTCCGTTCCGATTTTCCCCTGAGCTGGGCAAGTCCCCTGTGAGAGCTCTGGGGCATCTGGCTTCGGGGCATTCTTTGACTAAGGTGGATGGAGGTTGCAGGTCTTTTCCTGGGTGGGCGTGGGGCGGGGCAGCGGGTTCCCAGCGTCCTCCTGGCCTGGGCGTCTTGGAGGCTGTTGGGGTGCATTCCGTCCCCTTGCGCGGGGCGGGGCCTTGAGGCGCTGGGGCGGGATTGGCGGGGGACGGTCGCGGAGCCCCGCCCCGAAGCACAGGGTCGAGTCCCTTCTTTCCGCTCCAACGCACGGAGGGTGAGGTCGGTACGCGGTGGTGGCGTCACGGCGCCAGCTCCTCCCGACGCCGAGGTGGGTTCCGGGAGACCCGCGGGTCTGGCTGCGAGAGGTGAGGGCAGAGCCGGGGCGGGGCCCTAGCGGGGTGTCCCGGCGACCCAGACCTTAAAGGGCTTCTCTTCTTGCAGACCATGGGGGCTCAGCTAAGCGGCGGCCGCGGCGCCCCGGAGCCTGCGCAAACCCAGCCCCAGCCCCAGCCCCAGCCTGCGGCGCCGGAGGGCCCGGAACAGCCCCGGCATCCGCCCCAGCCCCAGCCCCAGCCCCAGCCCCAGCCCCAGCCCGAGCCCAGCCCGTGGGGGCCGCTGGACGACGTGCGCTTCCTCATCGCCTGCACTTCCTGGTACTGACGGCGTCCTCCGCAGGATGTCGCCCGTCTGTCCGCCGTCCCCTGTGGTTCTTGCCTGCCTTGTCTCCTCTCCCCACGTCCCTGCGTCTCTTACACCCCCTCCCACCCGAGGCTCCCCAGAGATAGCAGAGAATTCGAAGAGGTCGCCGGGGACTGGAAAGAAGTCCCGGCAGGGCCGCCTTCGCAGTCTACACCCCAGCCTGCTTCCCAGCCTACACCCAGACCCAGCTCAGACCTTCGTGACCACCCCATCCCTTTCTCCGGCTGGCTGGGTCGGGGGCATCCCTCTCTGTCGCTGGCTTCCAGAGGCAGGACAGGCCTCCTGGTAAGCCCGCAAAGTTGCTGACCTCCTGACTTCGTCTGCCTTTTATTAATATCTGTATTGCTGATAACCGTGCTCTTGACTATGTGTCCCAGGTCATGTCCCAGGTCATGGAGAAGCCCGTGCCACAGTGACCCTCCCCATACTCCTGGGGGGGCTGCTCTCCATCCTGGATCGTAAGGAGGCATCATCAGGCTGTGTTCCTGGAACCCCAATAACCCTGGGCCCCCAGGGCCAGCCTGTTGTAGAGGGAGGCTATCTGACCGCCGGTCTGGCAGAGGAGATGGGTGGGCAGCTCCCAGACACCCCAAAGGACCCGGTTCTCTTCCCAGAGCGTCCTAAGGTTACTCTTGGAACCTGATCTTTGTTCCCTCATCCCAGGGAAATGACACACTCTGTATTTCTGTTTTATTTAGAAATGATTTAAAAAACATTATACAAAGGCTGATCAGTTTAAAATGTGACTGACACTGAAATGCTGTGATGTCCCCCAGGCTGAGGGGAAGCTAGGCTCTGGGGCCCCCAGTGCTTTGCCCCTCTGTCTGCCCTGTCCTGGGGTGATGGACAAACAGATGACCACAGGCAGGAGAATCTGAGATTGGAAGCCTCTAGGCTGAGCCCTCTGGGCCTGGCCCCACATCCCTCACCTCTGCAGCCTGGGCTGCCTGCCTCCATCTCCTGTTCATTCTCAGCTGGCCTGCCAGGAGCCAATGGGGAGCCTGGCGGGAGGCGGGGGTGCCTAGAGCTTTCAAGAAGTGAGAGCACCAACCTGAGGAGTGGACAGGGACCAGGAAGTGGGGGAAGGGAGGCCAGGAAGAGGTGGATACAGGAGACACTTCTCATCTCATCTCAGACCCTAGAGGGGTCCACAGATGGGGACACAAGACCCAGCCAGCCCACTGGATGGCCCGGGCAAGTAACAACCTCTCTGTGCTTCATCTGAGGGCACGGTGAGAGTTACCGTCGGCCTCCCAGGGCCTAACACGAGTTTCATGTGAGTGGACAGGTGTGAGCTAATAAAGTGCTTTGCAAAGTATAAAACACTGTACAAACCTATGAATCACTAATATCTCCGCAGTTGTTCCCTGCCTGTCCCAGGGAGCCTGCCCTTGGCCAAAATGAGAAAAAACAAGGATGATGACAGGGGACACAGCGGACCCACATGGGCACCTCTGGGACAAGAGATTTTGCTTGAGACAGCTCCCAGGGCAGCAGGAGTCCCTGTCTGTGCTACAGGGTAAGCCGACCCCAATCCCAGAGACCACAGGGTCGGGGGCAAGGCCCATGCAGGCTCAGTGAGCAGGGGTGGCATCCGAGACCCGGCCAGCACGCTGGAGACTGCCTGACACCTTTTTGGCTTTGGCAGAGAGCCAGTGGGCATTGATGAACCCATTGGCCTTGTCTAGGGCTCCTCAGTGACAAGCAGGGCTGCCTCCGCCGTACTGTGGAGCAAGGCAGGCCAAGCCCTAGGAACTCCTGCTGGAGACAGTGAAGGGCGGGCCAGTGAAGGTCAAAAAGGGAGCCCCCTCAGCTTGGGGCTGCTACCGGTAGGGGTGTCCTTCTAAGAGCAGTGTGGGAAGATGGGCCCAGTGAGCGAGGTCAGCAAGGGCCAAGCTCTGGGAAAACACTGCTTCCAGCCGAGAGATTGAGTCGGCCTCAGAGTAGCTGGAGTCGGCCTCAGAGTAGTGGGGGCACTGAGCACTTCAGACGCCCTGGTCCCCTTCCGAAGGACTCCCAGGCTCTGCCAGTGTTGGCCCTGCAGCCATCTCTGCCTCACCTAACTGGTGAGGCTGAGCTCCAGGCTGCAAGTGACAGACTGGAGCAAAGCTGGGGACAGTGACAATAGAGGGGAGTGGAGGACGGTCACAAACTCGGATCTTCCTCCAGAAATGGGGTCAGCTTCTGCCCCAGCTCTGTAGCCATAGGAGCAGAGCTCAGCTACTGGGGTGTCTGGGCGCTAGAGTGGCCTTAGCAGCACCTTGGTCCTTGTCGCCTGGGGGAGGGCCGCTATGCTGGCCTCATCACCAAGACAGTCACCTCTAGTTCACCTAAAGCCTCAAGCAGCCTTTGCAAAATGGGACAGTAGTGACAGGACATTTAAATATTCACGATGTGACAGCTGGGTCCTTGTCAGACCCAGCTGGGCCACAGCCCTGCCTGCAGCATGTGACCCTAAATCCTGGGTCTCCGAAGAGACCCTGACAAGTGGAGCAGGTTTCCTGAGGGATCTGCCGTCTGCCAGCAGGGAAACCCAGGCTTGTTGCTCACTGTGTCAGAAGCAGGGGTCCTGTAGCCTTGGAGGACAGTGGGGTGGGGGTAGGGGGACATCTGACCAGCAGGTGTTGGCAAAAGGGGACCAGGACTGGTGGTATCTCCCGGATGGGGGATGAGAGCTAGTGCTGGCTTCCCACAGAGGGTGCTGGGTTCCAGCCAGGAGTGGAGCTGTGGTACCTCATGGACACCACAGGATGCCGTGACCACAGGGGCTCCTCCTGGCATGGTCCCTGCCTCCGGATGGAGCCTGGCCTATTCCCTTAAGTAGGGAGTAGTTTGCCCAGGACAGAAGGCTGGCAGCTGGGTGCCAGACACCCACCCTGGGGCACAGCCCCCATAATTCCCTGCCCCACGCTCAGCCTAGGCCAATGCACCCACCACTTCAGCTGTACGACCCCAGCCTAGGGCCCTGCTGGCCCTGGTGAGCACTGGCCAGAGCTGCCCCTCAGACCCTGGTGAGGAAGGGCCTGGCTGGCCAGACCAAGTGGATAGAGAGGGCTCTGGGCTGCTCACACCCATTCCTGGACTGGCCGCTTATAGTAGGTGACAGGCTGAGGGCCTGTCTTGTTCTTGAACTGGAAGATGGTGTAGACCAGCACCAGGATGCAGAGGGACAGGATGCAGGGGATGACCACGGCCACGGCGTTCACGGAGCCCGGCACATCGTTGATGGTCACCATGATGTCCACGTCGTCCTGGGGCAGCCGCCGCTCCTTCCGCCGCTCCACCTCCTTCTGGTTGCAGCCCATCCAGTCACGCAGGATGTTGCGCGGGTAGCCTGGCTCCACGCTCAGTTTCTGGTTGTCAAACTTCCAGTAGTCCCGGCCCTTGTAGAAATAGGTGTAATCTGCAGAAATACAGCCCAGCATCACCACTCCCAGACACTTCCGGCACCTGCTCTGGGGCAGTGTGAAAAGGAGGGCACAGGCACTGTGGCAAGGGAGGCAAGGTGGGCACACCTGGAGGTTTGGGGTGCAGTGCTTGGCTGAGTCATGGAGTAAGAAGCTGCAGAGGGGGGCACCCGGGACCTGGAGTGGTCCGCCTGTCATCCTACGGGTGCTAGGAAACCAGAGGGGCTTCAGGGAGAACTGGGACATGGTTCACTTTGTGCTGCCCAGACAGGACCCCTTGCACGCAAGCCTGGGTCACAGCTCTGTCACACTGTGCGCACAGGTCCCCCTTGCCCCGCTCATGTGGGCTCCATTAAGCCTCAGCCTGGCTCCTGCTTGAGCCAAGGGAGGCAGGGAGCAAGATTTCACCTTGTGTTGACAGCAAGACCTCTCTGCAATTATGGATTTTTTTGGCTTGGCACACATCACTTCACAACACAGATGCAGGACCTTTGGGAGCCTTCTGGGAGAGAGGCTGGGCAGCCCTGCCAATCACTCCCTGGGCAACCACCCCAGGGCTCGAGCAACAGCCTGAGCGGCCCAGCCAGTGGGCAAAGCAGCTTGCTTAGGCCGTCCTCATTGGCTGGCTTCCCACCGTGGCTAGGGCTTTCATTGGTCTCGGTCCTTGATGTCACCTGTCTCTGAGGCTCCCCAAAAAGGGAGATCTTGTGCGTAAAGCATCAGGTATACAAGACAGCCAACAAATAGCAGCTGTGGCCATTGGCTTTCTCAGCAGTGAAGCCTCCTCAGAGACTCCTTCCCAGCCATCTCTAACACGGCCCCCTCTAGCTCGTTGCTCTCTCCCAGCATTTATTTCCTTTTTTTTTTTTTTTAAGACAAGGTCTCACTCCATTGCCTAGGCTGGAGTACAGTGGTGCAGTTGTAACTCACTGCAGCCTCAAACTCCTGGTCTTAAGCAATCCTCTGGCCTCAGCCTCCCAAGTAGCTGGGACTACAGGCACATGTCACCACGCCCAGCTAATTTTTGTATTTTTTTTTTGTAGAGATGAATCTCACTATGTTACTCAGGCTGGTCTCGAACTCCTGGCCTCAAGTGATCCTCCCACCTCAGCCTCCCAAAGTGCTGGGAGTCTTTCCCTTATAGCGTCTGTTGCCATCTTGCTTTATGCCCCTAGACTTGGACGTCTGCAAGTCCTGTTGACTGCTACGTCCCCAGCTCCCACCACACAAGCTGTCTATTATTATGGAGTGAGTGAATGAATCCTGTCAATCCACATAAACTGAAACCCATGATGATGACAATGATGATGACGATAGCAGCTAAAATATACAGCATGGATGGTGTGCTAGGCATTATTTCTAAGTATGCTACATAATTTGTCTTCTTTAATCCTCACAAAACCATTATATAAAGGTAGGTACTGTTATTATCATTTTATAAATGAGAAAACAGAAAACTTATTAAAGATTTGCTCAGATTCATAGTGAGTGGTACTATGGTGGTTACGAACCCAGCCAGTCCAGCTCTAGAGTCTGTGTTTTTGACCATATCAATGGAGATCTATTTAACAAACACTCCTGGAGGCCCACTCTGCATCTGGCCAGGCTAGCAGCTCCTCCTGAGAAGCTCCTAGGCTGGTGGGGAGACAGGCTGAGTGTCTGATGGCAGTCGTGGGGGCTGGTGGCCAGCATGGCTTCTAGGAGGAGTTCAGGAAACATAAAAAGTTTCTCTCTTGATGCAGTGGCTCACACTTGTAATCCCAGGGCTTTGGGAGGCTGAGGTGGGAGGATTGCTTGAGGCCAGGAGTTTGAGACCAGCCTGGCCAACATAGTGAAACCCTGTTGCTACAAAAAAATGTAAATTAGCCAGGCACAGTGGCATGTGCCTATAATCCCAACTACTCGGGAGGCTGATGAGGCAGGAGGATCATTTGAGACTAGGAGGTTGAGGCTGCAGTGAGCTATGATCATGCCACAGCATTCCAGCCTAGGCGACAGAGTGAGACCTTATCTCTTAGAATTTAAAAAAAAATTTTTTTTGAAGGTTTTCTTTCCATCTTCTTGCCCTCGAGCCCTGTGAAAAAGTGGCTTTGAAACATGCATGCCCATCATTGCTTTTCAGATTGGGTAACTCAAGGCGTCCCTGGAGTACACTGAGGATAAGTGTTTGAGAAATGCTGTCTGAAGGAATGAAGTCAGTCTATGACAACGTCTCTCTGCCGTGAATCATTCCTGCAGATGAAAAAGTGTGACTTGGCAGCTGGTAAGTGAATTAATGGACCACGTGAACATGGGTAGATATGAGGCAGTTGTCTGCCACCAGGTGTTTTTTCAAACCTGGACGCCCATGGGCACTGAGTATGCCCGTGGGCACTGGTGAGGACCACATAAAACCGGCTCCCCATGCCCACCCTGGCCCGGCCCTTACGTACATCCTTCCTTGCTGATGAAGGCTCCTTGGGGAGCCTGTGGGATGCCCTTCCACACGGTGATGGGCTTAGGGTAGCCAGGGTCCGTGGCCCGCCGCTCCTCGCTGTAGCGCCAGTACCGCTCGCCTTTGAAAAAGTAGGTCTTGCCCACAGGTTCCCAGCGCAGAGCTGTGTCAATGCCTTCACGGGGCAAACAGCTGCCCAGCTCCCCCAGGCTGTGGGGGTACCCAGGCTCCACCGTCACCTCCTTAAACACCCAATACTTGTCACCTGTGGCCAAGAGGAGCCCAGGATCAGCTTCCCCAGTCACTCAGTGCCGTTTGCCCATCTTCAGGGTGTCAGGTGAAAACAGTCTGATGCCCTCAGCCCCTTGGCCCAGTTAGAGTTGGGAAGGGCACGAAGCCTGAGGCCAGTCACAGATCCTGGACAACTTGCCTCTGCTGCCTGGGCTCCGAGTCCCACCCTCTTTTGTTCATGTGACTTGCTCCTCTCTCCTCTCTGGTGATCTCAGCCACTTACATGACTTTGCATATGCACTACCACTCCCCAAACCTGCTACCAGTGACACCCGACTCTGAGGCTCTCCCACTGGACCTGAGCAGCAGAGCCAGAAACCCTGACCTCCCTCGGCCTACCGGCAGCTCTGCATTGGCTGGCTCCCCAGAGCTCCTCATCTGCACCACAGAGGGGCTCCCTCCTCATCACCTTCTGCCTCCCAGGTCCCCAACAGGGAGTCCTAGCCTCACTGTTGACCCTCTCTTTCCTTCTCCTCTCAGTATTCAGCCACTTCTTTTTTTTAAGATGGAGTTTGGCTCTTGTTGCCCAGGCTGGAGTGCAATGGTGTGATCTCAGCTCACCACAACCTCCACTTCCTGGGTTCAAGCGATTCTCCTGCCTCAGCCTCCTGAGTAGCTAGGATTACAGGCACGTGCCACCATGCTTGGCTAGTTTTTGTAATTTTAGTAGAGACGTGGTTTCACCATGTTGGTCAGGCTGGTCTCAAACTCCTGACCTCAGGTGATCTGCCAGCCTTGGCCTCCCAAAGTGCTGGGATTTCGGGCGTGAGCCACTGCGCCTGGCCGAGTATTCAGCCACTTCTGAGGCCCTCTGACTCTCCTGGCAGCTGTCCCCTGCCCTTCAGCTGCACGGCTCCTCCCTCATTTGGGCCTCATGAGTGGCGCGCTCCAGAACCACCTCAGAAATGGCTGCCCTGCCCCTGCCATGTCTGTCACCTCCTGCCCTCTGGCTCTCTGCTGCTCGGAAACATTCCATGAATTTCCAGCCTTGGCCTAATGGATCAAGACCACATTCTGGCCTGGCAGCCAGGGCTCTTCAGGATTTGCCTCCAAATGACCTTTCTGGGCCATTTCTCACAGCTTTCCAAGGCGGGGCCTCCGTGGCCATCAGGTGGGCCTTCTAAGCCCTGTGGCCGTCCGTACACATCCCAGCCCTGCTCCTTTATTCAGCCGTTGTCCCTCTGGAATGCCTTCCTTGCTTCTCACTATCTGTATCTCACCCATCTGAGGTCTGGCCCGAGTCAAGATAACTGTCATGAAACAACCTAGCACAGTGCTGGGTACAGGGTGGGCACCTTAGCTCCCTCCCACACCCTCCCCCGACCTCCCCAGCTTGAGTGACCTCTTCCCTCTGGGTTCTTACAGAACTGACCCGATGGCCTCCCATGAGGTACTGGGTGGTCTTCAATTGCTTGTCCCACACTCTACTTCATGTGGACGAAGCTGGTCACCCCACCAATCTCGGCACATACAGATTCTCAGTCTCACTTTCTGACTTGATTTGTCAGAGGTCAGTGTCTCCGTTAGACTAGAGGGGCCCTCTGAGGACATCTGCCTCCCACCCCGCCTCTTCCAGTTTAGATGGGAAAAAGGAGGTCCCAAGACCTTGGGCAGGGAACTGTCCCACAGCACAGTCTACATTACCTTTGAAGAAGACAAATCTCCCATCGGCCCTTTCATAGGCTGCGTCGATGCGGGCAGGCAGGCCCTTCCAGAACTGCTCGATCTGCATGGGGTAGCCCTCCTGCACTCGGTTATTGCGCAGACGCCAGAACCAGCGATCCTGGGAGGAAGCGGGAGAGGGGGAGAGAGGTGTGTCAGGCCCTGCCTCCGAACCCAGTGATTGCAGCTGTGGGGCTTAGGTCCCAACAGCCCAGCCCTCCACCGAGACTGTCCATTAGCTGCTTCTGACTTTTAAAGCCCTGGGAGGAAGACAGGATGCTCCTGTAACTGTCTTCAATTCAGCCTCCTGCTGACTCTTGCTGCTGGGTGGACAATGAGACAAACAGCAGACAGGCCTGGTGTGGAAAAGGAGGTGTGAGGGAGCCGGAAAGGATGATGTTGGGGCCTGGAGTGGCCACATGGGGGCAGTGGAGCGTCACTGACATCAGCCAGACTGGTCCTCGGGACAGTGGGAGGCTGGGGTGGTCACTGAGCCTGGGCCGAGCGCCCTCCATGAGGCTGGCTCCATCCAGCAGGGCCAGGATCATGGAAGCCAAGTCATGGGAATTCCCTCGAGACCTGGGCATGAATTCACATTCCTCCATTTATAGCTGCATGACCTAGGCCTCACCTGCAAGTGCAGGTAATAATGGAGAATCAGATGAGAGATTCTAGGCAAAATGCCCAGACCAGTACGGGGCACACAGTCCATGTTGAGTAAATGGCAGCTAAATAGTCCGAGTCCAGTAAAAACGCCTCTTGTAACTGGTGCCTCAGTCTTGGGCTGGTACACAAGCAGTCTAGGCAAGGCCTGTAGCCTCCAGGCCTCAGTTTTCTTTCTTTTTTTTTTTTTTTAGATGGAGTCTCGCTCTGTCACCCAGGCTGGAGTGCAGTGGCGCAATCTCGGCTCACTGCAAGCTCCGCCTCCCAGGTTCATGCTATTCTCCTGCCTCAGCCTCCTGAGTAGCTGGGACTACAGGCGCCCGCCACCACACCCGGCTAATTTTTTATATTTTTAGTAGAGATGGGGTTTCACCATGTTAGCCAGGATGGTCTTGATCTCCTGACCTTATGATCCGCCCTCCTTGGCCTCCCAAAGTGTTGGGATTGCAAGGCGTGAGCCACTGCGCCCAGCCTCCAGGCCTCAGTTTTCTTATGTGTAAATGGGGATGATAAAACCCGGACCTGCCTATGAACGGTTCAGTTGGATCAAAGTAGAATGAGTGCAGAAGAAGAAGCATGATTTGTAAAAGATGGTACAAAAGCTAGTATTTTAAAAGGTGTTTTACAAAGCACTTTCACATCCAGGTTTTTGACCTTATTTTGACTTTCATGTCTCTGTTAAGTTGATCTGAGATATACGGAGTCTTAAGAAAGGCCAGGTGACTTGCCTAGAGCCACTCAGTGAGAAGCCAGACTGGGGCTGACTCACGCTGCCCGATTCCTGCGCAGTGCTCAGTGCGTGCTGGGAGAACTCCACAAGGGGAGCGAGGCAGCCTCTTTCACCATCCTGTGTGATGGAGCCACCCTGCCCAGATCCCCTTCAGAGAAGGGCTTGTTGCCCCAGTGGCCAGCAGTGTGGCCAGCAGGCAGTTTTCAACTGTCAGCCCCTTTGGGGATGTTCCCTGCTTCAGAGAGCTCTCCTCAGTCACTGGATGCCCTTCCTCATCCAGTGATTGAATGAGGTAGGGGTTATAATGTTCCAGATATTTTGGACCCAACGTAGGCTGAGTGACAGGCCACCGTAGCCCCAGAGCTCCCTGCGGGGGTGGCTGAGGCTGCCATGGGCCTCTGTTGCCACTTAACCTCTCCCTCTTCCCTGTCCTGCTTCCTTCTCCCCCTCACAAATGTTGATTCTGAAAGTACTCTCTAATCGAAATCCTGCATTCCAGACCCCACCTCAGAGTTCACTCCCCGAGAGCCCAACCTGCAACACGTCAAGCAGACTGCCACCCTGTCAGTCCATGGCTGATGGAGGACAGATGACAAGATATACCCTGGGCTGCTGCCAGTAGCAGCCCCTCAAGCCTTGGTAGGGTCTGGAGTCAGACTCAGCCACCACTGACCTAGCCCCTACTCCAAGTTGACCATCTTCAGAGCCGGGTACTCACTGGATCTTCACACACTCTTTGTTAGAGGAATGACTCCCCCAGGTTTCGGATGGAGAAACTGAGGTCCCAAGAAGGGTGGTCACAGACCAGAAGCCAGCTTCCAGCACTTTCTCCCAGCATTAACCCCAGGGGAGGTGAGGGATCACCCATCTTTCCCCCTCCCTCTTGGGAACAGTTGATTCACCCAGCAGCACTAGGAAGAGACCCCATGCCCTGGCCACTGGGCTAGCTCCTGTCCAGGCCCCATTGTAATCGAATCCCAAATCAGGAGCCTTCCCCAGCTCCATGATGTCGGGGAGGAGGAGGAAAGGTCAGGGGCCAGCTGGGTGGTGCCAATCCATTGGCCCTACCTTAAAGACAAACATCTCGCCCCGGAAGAGGGCCACTGTGTTGAAGTTGCCGTCACAGATGTTGGGTTTGGTGCCTGGTGTGGATGGCCGGTCCCCGAGGGGCGGCCGAGGGGGCCTGGGCTGGCGCTCGTGTTTCCTCTCCGATGGTGAGTGGATCCTGCGGACGGGGAGTGTAGGGAGTGGCCTTGTGGGCTCCAGAGGCTCGGCTGGGGGTCCTGGAGAGAGGAGCTGCATCTTAGAGAGGGGGCAGCCGTTTCCCGCCTCCCATTGCCAGTCTCAGCATCACCCAGGCAGCTCTGAGACAAGTCTGTCCCAGTTCAGCCTCCTGTTCCCTCTCCCCAGTTTAACTCCCCCAGTCTTTGAGAAAATGGATGAAAATAGCCATTAGAATGGGACTCTCATCTTTCCATCCCCGAATCTGGTATCTTCTCTTTTCTCTCTCCTGTTACAGAGCAATCATGTCCTTCCTTAGGGTCAGCGCTCTTCCTTAGGCCATACCCTCTTTGCCCCCTTCACACGCACTGGCCCCACTTCCTCACCCCCTTCATTTATTCTCTTTCCCACCCCAGTGCAGCTTCTACCCGTCACCCACTCCAACTGCTCTGCCAAGATCATCCAATGGTTACTTGACTCAGACTTTAATAAGCACATGCATCATCTGGGGATGTTGCTAAAATGCAGATGAGGGCTCAGAGGGCCTGGGGTGGGGCCTGAGAGTTTGCATTCCTTCACACTCTCAGGTGATGCTGATGCTGCTGGTCTGAAGACTACATTTTGAGCAGCAAGATTCATAGAAACACTTTCCTGGAAACACTCTCTTGGTTGTCCTCCTGCCTCATGGGCTGTTCTTTCTCAGTCTCCTTTGCTGGCTGCGTGTCCTCATCTGCCCTACTCTAGAGGCTGGCGTGCCCTTGGGTCCTCTTCTCTTCCGTCTCTACATTTTCATCCTTAGGTCAGTGCTTCTTCACTTGGGCTGCATATTAGGATCACCTTTGGGAGCTTTTCAAACTGGATGTTCAGGAAGCACCAGGCCAGCTCTCCAACTTTTTTTTTTTTTTTTTTTTTTTTGAGAAGGAGTCTCGCTCCGTCCCCCATGCTGGAGTGCAGTGGCGTGATCTAAGCTCACTGCAACCTCTGCCTCCCAGGTTCAAGTGATTCTCCTGCCTCATCCTCCCAAGTAGCTGGGACTACAGGCACGTACCACCACACCCAGGTGATTTTTTTTTTTTTTTTTTTTTTTTTTTAGCAGAGATGGGGTTTCACCATGTTGACCAGGCTGGTCTTGAACTCCTGACCTCAAGTGATCCACCCACCTTGGCCTCCCAAAGTGCTGGGATTACAGGCGTGAGCCACCACGCCCAATACCCAACTATTAATAAAACCAAATCTCTAGAGCTGAGGGCTGGGTGTCTGTGTTTTTTTATTAGAATCCCAAGGTAATTCCAAAGGGCAGCCAAGTTGAGAATCACTGCTCTAGGTGGTCTCATCCAGGCTCATGGCTTTACAGACCTGCATCAGAGCTGTCCAGTAGAGTGTTCTGTGATGATGGAAATGGTCCATATCTGCATCGTTCACTACAGTAGCCCCTAGCCACAGCCACATATGGCTACTGAGGTCTTAAGATGAATGACTAGTTCTTAGTGTGACTGAGACCCACTAAAGAACTATAACTGAAATGATAATTTTAATATATTTTTGGGGGGGTAGAGACAGGGGTCTCACTTTGTTGCCCAGGCTGGTCTTGAACTCCTGGCCTCAAGCAATCCTCCCACCTCGGCCTCCCAAAGCGCTAGGATTACAGGTTTGAGCCACCGCGCCCGGCCTAATAAATATAAATTTAAATTTCATTACTATGAAATTTAATACTAGTTTATTTAATAGTAGTTTATTTAATACATACTAGTGTATGACTAGTGGTTACTGTATTGAACAACAAAGATCCCAAATAAGTATTCCAGCCTAGATTTTTTTTTTTTTTGAGACGGAGTCTCACTCTGTCGCCTAGGCTGGAGTGCAGTGGTGTGATCTCAGCTCACTGCAACCTCCGCCTCCCGGGTTCAAGTGATTCTCCTGCCTCAGCCTCCCAAGTAGCTGGGATTATAGGCGTGCACCACCATGCCAGGCTAATTTTTTGTATTTTTAGTAGAGACAGGGTTTTGCCATGTTGGCCAGGCTAGACTTGAACTCCTGACCTCAGGTAATCGCCCGCCTCGGCCTCCAGCCTAGAATTTTGAGCTGCAGACTGGTGGACCCTATTGCTTCACAATTACAAAAGCTGGAAACCCTGGGGGCATCCTTGACCCTCCCTCCTTCCTCTCACCCCATGTCTGATCTGTCAGCAGATCCTGTTGTTCTACCTTTGGAATAGCTTCTGGGACCCACAGCCCCCACCTGGTCTCTGCTGCTTTACTTGTGGAGGTCCTGCCTGTCCTCCAGGGCTCTGGCTGGGTCATCTCCTCCAGAGGGAGCCCTCCTTCTGTGCTCCGTAGCCTGTGGGCTGTGGGTGCCTGTGCTGTCTTGACAAGCATTTGCTCAAGTAAACTGGTCTCCCTAGCTCACCTGACTTGACCAGAACAAGAACCTCACATACCAGTGTGAACAGAACTGGGAGAGAGGTGTGTAGGAGGCCTTTCATATCTTACCTAGATAGCAGTAGCTTCTCATCTTTCACCTTTTCTTTCTTTTTTTTTTTTTTTTTTTTTTTTTTTTTTTGAGACGGAGTCTCGCCCTGTTGCCCAGGCTGGAGTGCAGTGGTGCGATCTCAGCTCACTGCAACCTCTGCCTCCTGGGTTCAAGTGATTCTCCTGCCTCAGCCTCCCAAGTAGCTGAGATTTCACTTGCCCACCACCACACCTGGCTAATTTTTTTGTTTGTTTGTTTTAATATTTTTGGTAGAGATGGGGTTTCACCATGTTGGCCAGACTGGTCTCAAACTCCTGACCTCAAGTGACCTGCCTGCCTCAGCCTCCCAAAGTGCTGGGATTTCAGGCAAGAGCCACCACGCCTGGCCCTCGTTTTTTCTTTTTAAAGAACAAAGCTCTGGTTATAGTCCCCATCACGCTGTATCACCGTTACTCCTGCAGATGTGTGAACCTGCCTGGCTAGAGGTGGAATCTATGGGAGCACTCAGTCACCATCTGGTGTGGGAGGGAGGGAGAGAAGCATGAAGGGACGGGGAAGAGTGTGGAAGGGGAGGGGTAAAGGAGAGGGAATGGGTGGCCCTCACCTCACTTTTGTCCCTCTCAGTTACAGCTCAGACCCTCCCCTAGGTTTCCCAGGTGTGCCAGGGGAAGCCTTGCCCTCTGGCCAGGCAAAGCCATTGGAAGTCTGTAAAGGTCACACACAGAGAAACAGCAGCAGTGCTGATGATAGCAACGTCCCCCTCCCTCGTCCCCTGCCCCATGACAGGTAGGCAGTCACAGCCCAGCCCCGAGGAAGGAGCAGTCCCCCCTCTCCCTGCCACACACCATAGATCTTCTGGATGCCCTGGAGATCGTCCTGGGGCAGCTTGAAGTTGTGCGTCTCCATGTACTGGTAGAAGGGCGCCATGATGGCGCTGGGGTCGCTGGAGTGCTCCAGTCCCAGCGCGTGGCCCAGCTCATGCACAGCCACCAGGAAGAGGTCGTTCCCTGTGGAGAGGAGTGTGGGGAGGTGCCCAGGGCACCTGCTTAGATATGAGTCGGTCAGCCAACCCATTACCTCAGCAAACACCGAGCACGGGCCCTGTGCCAGGCCCCGTGCTGGACACCAGGGACATACAGAGAAATCAGGCACAACCCCTGCCTCCCAAGCCTCTCTGCAGAGCAGGGACAAGGAGAGAGAGAGTGACAAGTGAGGCAGAGGGCTCTGGGTGCTTTAAGAATGTCTGGGAGGGTCGAGCAGGGATTCTGAGGAGAGAGGGGTCATTTAAACCTGGAGGAAGATGTTCAGGGAAAGCTTCACAAAGGTGAAGTTGAAGCTCAGTCTTGAAGGATCAGAAGTTAGTCAGGAGAACGGATTCAGGGGGCAGGAGAGGAAGGGTGGGGGTGGCATTCCTGGCGGATGGAATGCAATAAACACAGTCCAGAGACAGGCAGTTTCATTCCACCTGGCTCTGGAACAAAGCAGGAGGGGAGGGCCGGAGAGAGATGAGGTCAGCCAGGCTGGAAAGCAGGGCGCTTAATGCCATACAAAGGAATTTGGATCAGCTTCTTGGCTAGTGGGGGGTTTAAGTAGGAGTGGGGGTGGTGATACAATTAAATCACTCTGGCTGCAGTTGAGGGAGGATTAGAGGGAACAAGACCTGGGGCAGGGGGATCTGTTTGGATGCTGGGGTCCAGGCGAGAGATTGTGGGGAAAAGCAAGAGAGATCAGATTGTTACTGTGTCTGTGCAGAAAGAAGTAGACATAGGAGACTCCATTTTGTTATGTACTAAGAAAAATTCTTCTGCCTTGAGATTCTGTTAATCTATAACCTTACCCCCAACCCTGTGCTCTCTGAAACATGTGCTGTGTCAACTCAGAGTTAAATGGATTAAGGGCGGTGCAAGATGTGCTTTGTTAAACAGATGCTTGAAGGCAGCATGCTCCTTAAGAGTCATCACCACTCCCTAATCTCAAGTACCCAGGGACACAAAAACTGCGGAAGGCCGCAGGGACCTCTGCCTAGGAAAGCCAGGTATTGTCCAAGGTTTCTCCCCATGTGATAGTCTGAAATATGGCCTCGTGGGAAGGGAAAGACCTGACTGTCCCCCAGCCCGACACCCGTAAAGGGTCTGTGCTGAGGAGGATTAGTAAAAGAGGAAGGAATGCCTCTTGCAGTTGAGACAAGAGGAAGGCATCTGTCTCCTGCCCGTCCCTGGGCAATGGAATGTCTCGGTATAAAACCCGGTTGTATGCTCCATCTACTGAGATAGGGAAAAACCGCCTTAGGGCTGGAGGTGGGACCTGCGGGCAGCAATACGGTTTTGTAAAGCATTGAGATGTTTATGTGTATGCATATCTAAAAGCACAGCACTTAATCCTTTACATTCTCTATGATGCAAAGACCTTTGTTCACGTGTTTGTCTGCTGACCCTCTCCCCACAATTGTCTTGTGACCCTGACACATCCCCCTCTTCGAGAAACACCCACAAATGATGAATAAATACTAAGGGAACTCAGAGGCTGGCGGGATCCTCCATATGGTGAGCGCTGGTTCCCTGGGTCCCCTTATTTCTTTCTCTATACTTTGTCTCTGTGTCTTTTTCTTTCCTAAGTCTCTCATTCCACCTTACGAGAAACACCCACAGGTGTGGAGGGGCAACCCACCCCTACAAGAGATGAAAAGGCCCTGAGCTGGCTGGGCGTGGTGGCTCACGCCTGTAATCCCAGCACTTTGGGAGGCTGATCGGGGTGGATCACTTGAGGTCAGGAGTTCGAGACCAGCTTGGCCAACATGGTGAAACCCCATCTCTACTAAAAATACCAAAAATTAGCCAGATATGGTGGCCTGCGCCTATAGTACCAGCTACTCCGGAGGTAGAGGCAGGAGAATCGCTTGATCCTGGGAGGTGGAGGTTGCAGTGAGCCAAGATCGCGCCACTGCACTCCAGCTTGGGCAACAGAGTGAGACTCCATCTCAAAAAAAAAAAAAAAAAAAAAAAGGATGCCCTGAGGTGGAGGGAGGGAGTGGGGACAAAGAGAGCAAGTCCTGGCAAACTGGCAGTCAGCTTCAGGAGACCCCGGGCAGGGCAGGTGGGGCCCGGGCGTGGGCAGCTCTCTGCAGGACCTTGGTTGTGGAAGCAGGGAACTGTTGGCTAAGATTGAGGCAGGGATTCAAGTGTAGGTGAAAACACACTCCAGGTCCTGGAAGTGGGACACAGGATCCTGAGGGTGGAACTGAGGCAGCTCCATGGCACGGTGGTTACGAGCTTGGGCTCCTGAGTAGGACAGATTACCTTCATTCCCCCTGCCAGTTTGTGAATATGGCCAGCAGGGCTACCCCTAAGCCTCAATGTCCTCACTTGTAAACTGGGGGCATCAGACCTACCTCACCGGGTTGTGTGAGGTTGAATAAGATACACGTGAAGTGCGTGGTATGACACAGAATGGCAGCTGTTGTAATCCTATGTAAGATAGAAGCTTGGTTACTGGAGGAAGCCCATTGACCAGAAAGGAAGCACGAGGCCAGTGGAGCGCCAGCAACCAGATCCTCTGAAAGCCAACTCCCCTGGGCTTCTGTATTGTGCCTAGGACAGGACAAGGAGGCCTGAACTTAGGGGGATGAAGTAACCGCAGCTTTGGGGAGAAAATGCAGGGGGTAGGGAGTCAGGTAGGCTGTGGATCACCAGTCCTGACTCCTGTCTGCCCAGTGTCAGACCCTTGCTTGCCTTGACCTCTGGCATTTGTAGCCCCTTGAGCCCTGCCTCTTATCTTCTGGCCCTAAGGCATGGCTCGGCCCATTCCTGCCACCTGTAAGTCCAGGGAGGCTGCCAGGAACCTAGGAGGTGGTCTAGAGTCCTACTGCCCACTCTGGCCCCAGCGTCACTGGCCTAGGGACACATGGGGGTGGGGATTGTTTGGCCTTCCTGGCTTAGGTCTCTGGAAGAGAGAAGAACCCCATGGGGCAGACCCAGGCCACGGGCAGTACATGCCTCCCACACTACTGACACCGCCAGTGTCTTCTGTGAAGCCACCTTTGAGCAACGGAAAGGAAGGGGGATGGGCAAGATCAGTGCAAGGTTGGCCAAAAGCCTGGGGCTGGCCTTCTGCTGGCATGAGAGGGCCAGGCCGCCCCCAGCTCCTTACTCAGGTCCTGGCCCCTCTGGCAGCAGGGAAGGGTGAGCTCATCGCTGAGCTCCATCCCAAACAAACTGGTAGAGCCAGCGGAAGGCAGCTCTGCTTCCTGGGGTCCAGTCCTGGCTGTGCTCCTGGGCTATTCTATGACCTGGGACAAGCTGTTCAGGGCCTCTGTCTCCTGAGCAGGCTCTTCCCCAGGGGCTGTCCACAGGGAGCTCAGCTGGGAACCAGGGAACACGGCTCTGAGCACTGTGGGAGACTCAAAACCTTTGTCCGCAGCCTTGTCTCTTGCTCTTTTAACCCCTGTTCTGGGTCTGCAGAGAACAGGAGTGACCCCTTAAAGGAAAGAGGCCTGTGGTTTGGGTCCAGGAACCAAAAGGAAGGGAAGAGCGAGGGAGCCAGTATCCTGCTGCACAGAAACCCAAGAGAGCCCTGAGGGGGAGACAGAGGGAGCAGGGCAGGGGCAGGAGGACTCCCTGAGCTTGTGAGGTGAAGGCAGAGGTATGAGGAGGAGAGGCCTGCTATGAGGACCCCATGCTCCATGGGCAGGAGGCTGCTAGGGTCTTCACTCTTCAAGAGGGTGAGCGGCAGGGAAGCAGAGTGGTCAGGAATGCAGTCTCTGGGAGCCAGACTGCCTGGTTTTGAATCCCAGCTCTGCCATGTCCTAGCAGTGTGACATTTTAAATTCTTCCTCTGGAAGATAGAAGGAACAATGGCACCTTCGTCATAGGGATGTGGGTGAAGATTCATGGGGCAGGGTGTGTAATGCGCTGATACCAGCTCCTGGTACAGAAGTATTACCCTTCATTAGCAGGGTCCTGTTGAGCTGTGTGTGAGCACCAGCACCCCTGATAGGGTGTGTTCCTGTAAGTCCCTGGGCCTCCGAGCAAGTCCCCAGCAGTCTACTCGGCTACTCAAGTGGACCTTGTCTCTGCCTCATTTCTTTCTTTTAGGATCTCCATATTTGGTCGTTCCCATCTCATTAACTCCCCCAGCCCCACGAAAGGTGATAGCATTTCCCTTTGCCTCTGTTCTTCTGCCAGTGCTGCCCCTTCCCCTGGAATAACCTGATTCCTTCAAAGTTCAGCTCCATGCCTGTCTTCCAGGAAGCCTTCCATGACTTCCCAGCTGGCAGTGAGTGCTCCTTCTGCTGTGCCCTCCCAGCAGTTTCCCTGAACTGCCTTTATGGCACTGACCGCTTCCTCCCCACGTGATTGCCACTAGTGCACATGCTCGCTGCCCCAGGACTGTGGGTTCCTTGAGGACAAGCTTTGTGTTGAAGAACCAGGTGACAGCCCCCGGAATGGAACAGCGCCAAAAGCACCGTATTTTACCAAGGGAAATACTCGGACCACCTGCAGCAGAACCACCTGTGGTGACTTAAAAATGCGGAGTCCTGGGGTCACACCTGGCTCTGCCACTTTCCAAAGGGGTGAATTTCCTATTTTTTTAAAAAGTATTTTCTTTCTTTTTTATTTTTGAGACAGGATCTCACTCTGTCACCCAGGTTGGAGTGTAGTGGTGCAATCTCGGCTCACTTGAACCTCCGCCTCCCGGGTTCAAGCCATTCTCCTGCCTCAGCCTCCCGAGTAGCTGGGATTACAGGCATGTGCCACCACACCCGGCTAATTTTTGTATTTTTAGTAGAGACGGGGTTTTGCCATGTTGGCCAGGCTGGTCTCGAACTCCTGACCTCAGGTGATCTGCCCCCCCTCGGCCTCCCAAAGTGCTGGGATTACTCCAGTGCTCCCATCGCACCTGGCCCGGGGAGCCTTTTAAACACATGGAGGAGGTGGGGAAGATATTCTGATTCAGGAGGTTTGGTTTGGGACGTAGGCAATCTTTTTTGTTGTTTTTTTTTTTTAAGTTCTCCAGGTGAATTGTATAATGGTTGGGTCAGGCTGACACAACCTGAAGCAAATGCTCGACCTCAACATCACTAAAAGTGGGACAGTCTGCATCATATGTATTTGCTAATATGGTGAATAGGAAGTACCAGCACCACCTAGGAAGTATTCTTGCCAAAAAAATTGAACTTGAATCTAGTCAGCCTGTAAATCTAATGAACAACATTCAGGAATTATGGGCAAGAGAGACGTATTAAAAGTAAACTTGATTCTAGTCACGCCAAATGATTATACTCGGGACACCTGACCCAGTTTCTTCAACAAATATATGGAGGGAAACGTGTGTGTAGGACGGGGGTGTTTTAAATAAAAAGGGCTTTAAGAGACATGTCAGCCATGTGTGTGTGGATCTTGTTTGGATCCTGATTCAAGCAAACAACTGTAAAAGACATTTCCAAGGTACTTTGGGAAAGTGAACTCGAACTGGGTATTAGATTTTAAAAAATTATTGTTAATTTTGTTGGGCTTGATAATGATTGTGTGCTTATGTTAAAAATTAGCCTTTATCTGTTAGAGGTATATACTAAAGTATTTAAAGGTGAAATGTTAGAATGCCTGAGATTTTCTTTAAAATACATCAGCCAAAAAAAGGTAGATAAATAGGAATGCCACAACGTTGATAATTGCTGAGGCAGGTGGTGGGTATCTGGGAGATCATAGAAGCATTCTTCCTACTTTTGTGAGTTTGAAATTTTCCATAATGAGAGTTTAGAAAAAAGAAGTAAGCTAATAAGTTCAAAAAGTTCCCAGGAAACTCCACCCCTTTGCTGAGTCTATGTGGAAATTAAACGAGATAATATATGGATGCTCAATAAATTTTGGTTCCTTGCCTCTCACCCAAAACCTGCCTTCACTGCATTCCAGTTCAGGAGTCGATTGCTGTGGTCCTGAGCTGCATCTGGACAGTTCCTGCTTGGTTTTCCAGAGCAGAGCAAAGTCCTGATTCTTATCCAAAGAAAACATTAGCAATCTTGGAATTTCTATCAGAATTGGCAGTCTTTCATGAAGGTTAGGGTTGGACAGATGGGAGAGGTGCTGGGATGGTGCCCATCCACAGGTCCCCGGTCCTTCCCACACATACCACCGGCTCTTGGGATTTGGGGGCTGGGTCCAACAAGTTCTGCAAAAGCAAGGAGCAGGTGTGGGAAGTGCACACCCCCAGTGCTGGGCAGAAGGGGAGGGCAGAGGAGTGGGAGTGTCTTCCCGTTGCCTCTGGACAACTCTTTGGACATTCATTTGCCTCTATCAGGAATATAACTAAAACCCTATCAGCTAACAGTGCCTGGCACATAACAGGGCCTCAAAAATATTAGTTCTCTTCTCCTCACATCTTATCTGTTAGCACAGACAGCCATTCGTTGACACCGATCCAAAAATAAGAATGAGATAAAGAACAGGTACTCAGCCAGGAATACATGCAGGACATACGGGAGAGATACCAGGGCAAAGGAAACGGAGTTCAATAGGAAAGAGGACAAAAATCTGAAGAAAGAAGAGGACAAAGAACAATTTAACAGGTTCATGACTTTGCCTAGGCTGAGCCTTGGCCAAACCACCTCCTGGTCCAGCCTTTGACAGATAACCCCAGAGCTGCCAATCCCTAATCCATGCGATGATATAAAGTGTTCTCAAGGAGGTGATCCCCAACTATAGACACCAAACATGGCCCCAACTATAGACACCAAACCAGCTTTGAGAGTCTGCTCTCAGCCTGGAGCAGCCGCAGGGCAGGAAAAAAGGATGCTCGGTGTTTCCCAAGCTTGTTTGAGCTCAAGAGTCAGGATTTCTGTGGGAAGGGCCTGGGAATCCCCGTTTATAACAAGAACCCCCATTGGTTCTTATGATCAGGCCAGGTAGGAAAACTCTAGGTATTAAGATAGCGTTTCTCATGGTGATGGAACACCTGCATCAGAAGGCCCCAGGAATGTATTAGACCACTTGCAGATTCCCAGGCCCTACCCCGGACCCAGAGAATCAGAATGACAAGAGGTTAGGGTCCTGGAATCTGCAGTCTTTTTTTTTTTTTTTTTTTTTTTTTTGAGACGGAATCTCTGTTGCCCAGGCTGGAGTGCAGTGGCATGATCTCGGCTCACTGTAACCTCCGCCTCCCGGGTTCAAGGGATTCTCCTGCCTCAGCCTCCAGAGTAGCTAGGATTACAGGCACCTGCCAACATGCCTGGCTAATTTTTGTGTTTTTCGTAGAGATGGGTTTCACCATGTTGGCCAGGCTGGTCTTGAACTCCCGACCTCAGGTGATCCACCTGCCTCGGCCTCCCAAAGTGCTGGGATTACAGGTGTGATCCACCGTGCCTGGCCTGGAATCTGAATTCTTAAAAATGGTTCCCAGGTGATTCTGCTGTGCCCTACAGTTTGAGAACCATGGAAGCTTAGCATGATGGCTGACAGCATGGGCTCCAGGGCCATAATGCCCAGATTCAAAGCCTTATTTCACCATTCACCAACTGTGGGACCTTAGGTAGGTGACTTAATGTTTCTCTATATCTCAGTTTACCTATCTGTAAAATGAAGATAGCAATATTTACCTATAATAATAATTTAACATTATATATTGCTTAATACATAAATTTAATTATGCATTATAATGTATTAATAGATATAATAGTTTCCACACATAATGGGTGGCAAGCACTTGGCACGGGCCTCAGAACACCAGCATACCCACTAATTATCATCTCTTATAATCCAAAAGCCACACTCCTCTGTCCCTCTTTCCTCCAAACTCCTACATATTTCTTTGTGCCTCTGCTACAGCCTTGGGTAGAGTCTGTCTATGACAGGGTTACTTACGTGCACACCTAACTCCCCTGCTAGACTGACTCTGGACTGCCAGGGGACAGAGATCATGCCATTTTTTTCAAACATTCAGCTCCCCCTGGTCTTTGCAAGACTTTGTATCATGTTCATTAGAGTTGGAAGGGCCCTTAGCGATCACCTAATCCAGCCCCTCACTTTGCAGACGAGGAGACCGAGGGTATCACATAGCCAGTAGTTGAACCAGGGCTTGATACCTGCATTGTCACCTTTCAGCTATGCCAGTTGAGCCCCAACTCTTCATCTTAAAAATGGGTGTAATAATGTACACTTGCCTACATACTAAGCATGTGCCTTGTGAGTAAATATTGATGATGAATTTTTTGGCAACCTGCAGGGTATCATTACTATTGCTGCACGGTATTGACTCTGCCTCCATAAATATTCATTGAACCATAGTGGTGCAGGGTAAATTATCCAAGGATGCCAGAATAATTTCAGGGCCTGCTACTCACCTGTGAGGGTGACAAAGGAGAGAGCCAGTCGTGTCATTCATAAGATGGCTTTTGGAGCCCTCATCATTCAGGCCAGAGCCTACTACTTTCAGACCCCTCTTTCAGCTTTAATGCCTTTTAACTTTTTTTTTTTTTGAGATGGAGTTTCACTCTTGTCGCCTGGGCTGGAGTACAATGGTGCGATCTCGGCTCACTGCAACCTCTGCCTTCTGGGTTCAAGCGATTCTCATGCCTCAGCCTCCTGAGTAGCTGGGATTACAGGCACCCGCCACCACGCCCAGATAATTTTTGTATTTTTAGTGGAGACAGGGTTTCACCATGTTGGCCAGGCTGGTCTTGAACTCCTGACCTCAGGTGATCCACCTGCCTTGGCCTCCCAAAGTACTGGGATTACAGGCGTGAGCCATTGTGCCTGGCCCCTTTTAAACTTTTTCTTCAGCCTCTGGTCCATTACTTTATCTTCTTACTGGCCTAACCTTACTTTTCTCCTGCCAACCGGACTATCTTCTAAGTGATCTGACTCATCTCCATGGCCCTGGCCCTGGTGGATTGAACGTTGAATATTATCAGAAATCACAGTTCCCACCCTCTTACGGTCTTAGTTCTTGGACAAGAGGCTCTAGAAAGCAGGAAACTCATCTAGGATGTCCTCCAAGTTCTTTCCCAACAACTGAGCAGCCCAAGACTGACCCCTGTCCCCTCATGGCCTTACCGTCATGGTTGGCATTTCCTAGCGTCCATGGCTCATCGGAGTCAAAGTGGGTGTCTCCTCCAATCCCTGGGCCAGGGAAGTAGGCATGGGCCAGGAATCCCCCTTCTCCATCAAATGGGGAGCTGTCGCCATGGAAACCAGAAGCAAAAAAGATCATGATGTCTGCCTCCTTCCGGTCACTTTTGATCTCATGGTATGGCACCTCTTCAAAGGTCAGTGGGGTCACCTTCTGCCACACATCGAAAGCCTGGCGAATAGCTTTCCGCGTGTCTAGCTCACCCACTTTTGGGGTATAGTTGTGAATGCTGGTGAGAGAGGGGAGGATCATTAGGCAAGATCAGAGAGTCAGAGACTAGCAGAGCTAAAATAGATACCTGAGACAATGTGGCTCAGTGATCTGATTTTGAACCCTAGAATTCTGCTTAGCTGCCTCAGGGATTGAAGAAGAGGCTGAGTAACAGAGCTCTGGATCCCCACCCTGCCTCAGTCAGATGGCTTTGCTTTACTCAGTGTTTTCCATTTGATCTCCAGCAAAGCTGTGTCGAATAAAGGATTCCACTCTAGTTTGTTGAGAAAAGTAAATTGGGGCTGGGCGCAGCGGTTCACGCCTGTAATCCCAGCACTTTGGGAGGCCGAGGCTGGCGGACCACATGAGGTCAGGAGTTCGAGACCAGCCTGACCAACATGGTGAAACCCTGTCTCTACTAAAAGTACAAAAATTAGCCAGGCGTGGTGGTGTGAGTCTGTAATCCCAGCTACTCGGGAGGCTGAAGCAGGATAATTGCTTGAACCCGGAGGCAGAGGTTGCAGTGAGCCAAGATTGCACCACTGCACTCCAGCCTGGGTAACAAGAGTGAGACTCTGTCTCAAAAAAAAAAAAAAAAAACCCAAAGGAAATTGGTAGATAGCATTTTCTGAATTTTAAGTTTTTTTCCCTAATACGAAATATGTTCATTTATAAAAGTTATAAAAATATTCAAATAATAGAGAGGAGTTTAAGTGAAAAGTCTCTTTAAAAAATCTTTGGTACCAATCTTTGGCTTGTCTGCCTAGAAGCTGGCCGGTATCTGATTTAATCCATTATAGGTTTAGCTGTTTAGCGTCGCTGTGTTCATATTGCATTGGTTCTTCACAAAACAACGTTACTACCTGTGGGTTCCCTGCCCTGTGACCCTCTGGGGCATGGATTATTCTACCTACTCCACACGTAAGGAAACTGAAGCCCAGAGAAGTCTAGTGATAGAAGTTACTCAGAGTTGGGTTAGAACCCAGTGCTTCTTTCTCTTGATCCACTCTACCCCTTCAAGAGACCCAAGAGTCTATTCAGTTTCTAACCTAGATTCTTAAGTTTCCTTCTCTTGTCAGATTTCTGGAAAAAAAAAATCCCGTTCTGAAGGGACAGCTTATCAGCAGAAGAGCCCTTAGTTCAACCCTAACTTTCCTTCTCTTGTCAGATTTCTGAAAAAAAAAAAAAAAAAAAAAAAGTCCCGTTCTGTAGGGAGTGCTTGTCAGCAGGGGAGCCCTTAGTTCAACTCTTGAGGATCTCTGTCTTAGATCTTGCCTCTGCACCAAAGGGATCCACCTGAGATGACAGCAGAGCCTTGAGAAGTGCCAGCCAGCACCCACCCGAGCCTGCCCATGCCTGGCCCTTGCCCCAGCCCCACCTGAGCCTGCCCATGCCTGGCCCTTGCCCCAGCCCCACCTGAGCCTGCCCATGCCTGGCCCTTGCCCCAGCCCCACCTGAGCCTGCCCATGCCTGGCCCTTGCCCCAGCCCCACCTGAGCCTGCCCATGCCTGGCCCTTGCCCCAGCCCCACCTGAGCCTGCCCATGCCGGGCCCTTGCCCCAGCCCCACCTGAGCCTGCCCATGCCTGGCCCTTGCCCCAGCCCCACCTGAGCCTGCCCATGCCTGGCCCTTGCCCCAGCCCCACCTGAGCCTGTCCAGTGCCTGCCCCTTGCCCCACCCCCACCTGAGCCTGCTCAATGCCTGGCCCTTGCCCCAGCCTCACTCCGGTGCTTCAGTCTGCTGTGATGGGCTCCATCATCTAGTTCTTGGGCCACTGATCTGACTTGGAGATGGATCCTGCTCTGCCCTTGGTTCCTCCAGACAGTCAAAGATGACACTATTATGATTCAGGTCCCAGTTCTTTATACTCCTTAAGAAACAACTGGAACTCTGCGTTGGGAATCTCAGGTGAAGTCCATCAGGTGGATTTTGGGGTGGGAGGATCCAGATCAGAGGGAATGGGGTTTGGCAGGCAGTGATAAGGAGACTGAATTAAGCCATGGTTTTGTTTGTTTTGTTTTGTGGTTTTTGTTTCATTTGTTTTGTTTTGGAGACAGAGTCTCACTCTGTCACGCAGGCTGGAGTGCAGTGGCATGATATAGCTCACTGCAAGCCACGATTCTTTTTCACAGCTGAAAGTTACCAAACCATTCATACCCCACTTCCTGTAACCTAAAAACTATAGGCATCTAAACAGAAGACAACTAAGAGCCCCCAGAGGACCAAATAAACCTGAGGTTGGAGTCACAGCATCCTGTGGAAGCCACAAGGAGGACAAGGTTATGGGCTCTCAGCACCTAGTGCCAATGCCCACATGCCTGGCTCTTGGCCTATGTTGTAAGCCTGATCCCCAGGCCCCCCTACATTGTGAGCCTTTGAAACTCAGGCCAGGAAAAACAGAGTGAGGGTGGAGCCAAAGGCAGGGAGGAAGAGGGAGAGTCGAAGCACCTGTAGGTGATGTGTTTTTGCCTCCACTTCTGTCCAGTCAGGGCATAGCGCTTGTTTCTCCGCCTACGGCTTAAGTGGGGGTGATCAGGGACACCACATCGGGGTTTCTTCATCCACCTGGGCAGAGAGAGGACACACACACACGCATATGCACTGTGGTCACTGAACACTTTAGGAAGGGACTGCCTATTCCCCAGCTCCAGTCTGGAAAGCAATGTGCATCCTCAAGCTACACTCTGGGACCCTGGCTTGGATGGACCCCAACAAGAACATGATTGATTGATTCATTAATTCATGCACTCACAATCATAGATGAGGAAATAGCTGTATAAAGACTGAGAATCAGAATATATGGGCTTGATAAGCTCCAGCTCCACCACTAGTCATAGGACCCCCAGGCAAGTGGCTGAACCAATATGAACCTCAGTTTCCTCCTCTGCAACATGAGAACTCTAGTTCTTGGTCTTAGGTGGAGGTGCGTCTTCAAGGAGGAAGTACATGTGAAAATGCTCTGTAAATGCAATGAGATTACAGGATGCCCTGGTTAAAAGCCTCCAGCGACTTCCCCAAACACTGAGAATAAAATTCAAACTCTTCAGCTGGGCACGGTGGCTCACGCCTGTAATCCCAGCACTTTGGGAGGCTGAGGCGGGTGGATTATCTGAGGTCAGGAGTTCGAGACCAGCCTGGCCAACACGGTGAAACCCCATCTGTACTAAAAATACAAAAAAAAAAATTAGCCAGCTGCAGTGGTTCACACTTGTAATCCCAGCTACTCAGCAGGCCGAGGCAGGGGACTTGCTTGAACCCGTGAGGCGGAGGTTGCAGTGAACCAAGATTGTGCCATTGTGCTCCAGCCTGGGCAAGAAGAGTGAAATGCCGTTTCAGGAAAAAAAAAAAAAAAAGAAGTGGCTTAACAACTGTGGGATGTGGAACATAATTCTCTGCAGCACTTATTATATTGTGTTGTGATTTAAAATTTATTGGTTTATTTCCTCTAATAAATGGTAAATTGAGGACAGGAACTATGTCCTATTCATCATTGTATCCTCAAAAGAAGGTAGCCCAGTGCCTGAAATTACGTAAATCCTGATATCTGTTTGTTACCAGGTGATATGTTTTGATTTGTGTCTCTGTTGGAGGCGGGGCCTGGTGGGAGGTGATTGGGCCATGCAGGCAGACTTCCCCCTTGCTGTTCTGCTGATAGTGAGTGAGTTCTCATGAGATCTGGTTGTTTAATGGTGTGGAGCACCTCCCCCTTCTCACTCTTCCCCCTGCTCCTGCCATATGATGATGTGCTTGTTTCCCCTTTGCCTTCTACTACGATTGAAAGTTTCCTGAGGCGTCCCCAGCCATGCTTCCTGTAAAGCCTGTGGAACCCTGAGCCAACTAAACCTCTTTTCTTTATAAATTACCCAGTTTCAGGTATTTCTCTTTCTTTCTTTCTTTTTTTTTTTTTGAGACAGAGTCTCGCTCTGTTGCCCAGGCTGGAGTGTAGTGGTGCCATCTCAGCTCACTGCAACCTCTGCCTCCCAAGTTCAAGCAATTCTCCTGCCTCAACCTCCTGAGTAGTAGCTGGGATTACAGGCGCGCACCACCACGCTTGGCTAATTTTTGTACTTTTAGTACAGACAGGGTTTCACTATGTTGGCCAAGCTGGTCTTGAACTCCTAGCCTCAGGTGATCTGCCCACCTTGGCCTCCCAAAGTGCTGGGACTACAGACATGAGCCACTGCGCCCAGCACATTCTTTTAAAATGTTTAATTCTTGGCCAGGTGCAGTAGCTAACACCTATAATCCTAGCACTTTGGGAAGCTGAGGCAGGAGATTGCTTGAGCCTAGAAGATTGTGACCAGCCTGGGCAACATGGCAAAACCCTATCTCTACTAAAGATACAAAAAATTAGCCAGGCATGGTGGCATGTGCCTGTAGTCCCAGCTACTAGGGAGGCTGAGGTGGGAGGATCACCTGAGCTTGGAAAGTTGAGGCTACAGTGAGCCAAGATCACACCAGTACACTTGGGTGAGGGGAGTCAGACCTTGTCTCAATAAATAGATAAATAAATAAATAAAATAAAAAAGTTTGATTCTCAAAACAACACTGTGAGGTAACAGAAATTATTATTCCCGGGCCAGGCACGGTGGCTCACACCTGTAATCCCAGCACTTTGGGAGGCCGAGGCGGGCGGATCACGAGGTCAGGAGATCGAGACCATCCTGGCTAACATGGTGAAACCCCGTCTGTACTAAAAAATAAAAAAAAAAAATTAGCCGGGCGTGGTGGCGGGCCCCTGTAGTCCCAGCTACTTGGGAGGCTGAGGCAGGAGAATGGCTTGAACCCAGGAGGTGGAGCTTGCAGTGAGCCGAGATCCCGCCACTGCACTCCAACCTGGGCGACAGAGCGAGACTCCGTCTCAAAAAAAAAAAAAAGAAATTATTATTCCCATTTCACAGATGAGGGAAACAATCCACAGATAAATCCAGTACCTTGCAAAACACAGAAATCAGCAAGGCAGGACTGGAACTTAGTTGAATGAAAAAATGAACTATTCATTAATGCAATTTAACAAAGCCTGGAGCTTTTATTTTTTCCTGTCAGTGCTTAGCACAAAGCTGAGCTAGAGGAACTATGTTGTTGACCAAATGAATGAGTGAATGAATAAATGTGTGACATTTCCCAAGGCGACACTCAAACATAGGACTTTAAATGGCTAATCTAGCTTCCTTTAATTAACAGTCCCTGGGAAGGGAACCAAGAACCACCTCTGACTGAGTTAGACCCAAAGGCACCTAGGGGAGGAAACAGGCTCAGAGAAAGGCAGCCATTGCCCAAGGTCACAGAGCTGGAGCTGCATCTTGGGGCTCTAAATTCTACCCTGAACACTCCCCATCTCAGGTCTTGGATTAATAAGTGCAACTGGCTTCCTCCTTCCCCTGCTTCCAGACCACAACTCCCCCGCCTTCTACAAGGAGGTGTGGGCAGAACTGCAAGTGGGAAATGCCATCCTTTTCCCTCGGATCATTCCCGCTGCCTCCTCCTTTCACCATCCACCTGCCACTCTCTGAGCGCCATCCAACAGGCCTGGGGCTTTTTGGAACAGAGTAAAACCCAAGGCCAGGTGGTGCCGCAGCAGAGACACCAGTGCTTCTGCCCCAGGATGCACTGCCATGAGGCCTGTGCAAAGCCCTCAAAATAACCTCCGCTTTGAAAGGCGGCTGGGCTCTCTTTAACCAGCCCACTCTGGAGACCACGGGGCCAAGGAGTCCACTGTATTCACAACAGCACAGGAGAAGAAGTTCACACTCATAATCAGAGAATCCTAGGAATGGGAAATGTTCACACAGGATTTTAGGATCCTAAAACCCCAGACTTGCCAAGTTTTAAAAGCTTAGATGCTTAAAATAATGGAATCTAGGCTGGGCACGGTGGCTCACGCCTGTAATCCTAGCACTCTGGGAGGCCGAGGTGGGCCGATCACCTGAGGTCAGGAGTTCGAGACCAGCCTGGCCAACATGGTGAAACCCCATCTCTACTAAAAATACAAAAAAAATTAGCCAGCATGGTGGTACATGCCTGTAATCTTAGCTACTTGGGAGGCTGAGGCAGGAGAATCGCTTGAACCCTGGAGGCAGTGGTTGCAGTGAACCGAGATCACGCCACTGCCCTCCAGCCTGGGTGACAGATCGAGACTTCATCTCATCAAAAAAAAAAAAAAGGGGGGGGGAATCTAGAATTTAGAGCCATAATCCAACACCCTCCTTTGCAAATGAACACACTGAGACCCAGAGAGATGATTCTGTCCAGGAGTGACTTACGTCAAATTGATCCTTGATCCACAACTGGGTGCATTTCCTGTTCCTCCCCCCACCAACTCCCTTGGATCCTCACCCAGCCCTGCTAGCATCTTCCACCTGCCTCAGGTTCCCCTCCCTTCCCACCTCCTTAGGAAACTCACTCCTGTTCTTTTCCATGCTTTAATGATGTGAATGGCTTTTCTTAAACAACTCTCATAGCTTTCTTAAGCAAGTTTAAGGCTGTTCAACTCTCTCCTATCTTAGACAAACAAAACTTCATCCTCTAGCTGCTACCCATTTCTCCCCACCTCCCTGTCAAGCTTCTTGAATGTCTTCCCTCCACTTGCCACCTCTTCTCCTCACCTCCGCTTCTCCCCACTTCAGTCTGACTTCATCTCCACCATTCTGCTGAGGTTAACAACAAGCTCTTTGTCACTAAACCCAGCAGACAACTTTCAGCCATGCTCCTGTTGGAGGGCTCTGGAGTGGCTGGCCCCACTGACCACCCCACACCATGTGGCATCATGACATTGCATCACATCATCACGTCAGGCTTCTTGCCCTCCGGCTGCCCCTTCTCGGCTGGCTTTGTGGGGTTCCATCCCCAGCACCCTGCCCGTGAATCTTTACATTCTCCTTGAGTGATTGGGACCATCCTCATGGCTTTTTTCTACCTCCTAAGTGTTACTACCTCCTAAGTGTCTCCCCAAAACTCATTGTTTCCTTCTGAGCTCTAGACTGGTGTGGCTAGATGACTGTATTTGTCACTAAATGGTGAGCCTCTGGAGGGCCGGATGACAGGCACATGCAGGCACCCAGCACATGTTTGGTAAATGGAAAAAGTGGAGCCAACTCATTATCATTCAAGCGTTTTCTGTATTCTGTGAGACATGCACGTTGCAGGGAACTCCAGAGGGTGACCCATAGATAAATTATTCGAGCCAGAGGGGATTTAAGACCCCATCTATAACCCAACCCCTCACTGTACTGATAAGGAAACTGAGGTCCAGAAGGGTTAAGCAACTTGTCTCCAAGGTCACATGGAATGTTAATGGGAGGGCTGGACTCCCATCCCAGCACACCCCCAACTCACATCGAGATATTCTTTCCCAGGATGGCACTGCAGGAATAAAAGATAGGAAGGGAGGATGGGCATGGGGTGTACACAGGCCATGACAAATGTGAACCCAAATGTAAGTCCAGAAAGTTCAAAGGCACAATGTCCTATGGAAATCTTACTCGATCGTTGTCTGATCCAACACACCGGTGACCGGGATCCCGTAAAACTGCTGCATAGTGGAGACTGCCGACTGCAAGGCCTTCGCTGAGTGCAGCGCAGATGCCCGTGAGTCATAGGGAAGCAGATAGCCATAGGACTTTAACCAGTTCTGAAAGACACGGGAAAGAAAAAGATGCGTTATGCTGGGAAAGGCTCTGTTCTACCTGGGCAGAGATGTGCCTTGAACACGAGGGATCATTTGACCCCAGTGACTCCTGGACTCATGCTCTGAGTTCTTTTTCCTTCACCCCATCCTGCAGACACTGTCAAATTCATCTCCAGAGAGCAGCTTTTATTGGTGTCCCCTCCTGCTAGAAACATTTCATTGGATTTCTACTGGCCACAGAATAAAGATTAAATTTGAATTCAGAGTTTTCCATTGCCCTGCCTCTTTACTCATTTATTCAGTGCTTTCCACTGATATTGGACTAGACCTGGAAAAGCACAGCATGGTTAATTCTTTTTTATTTTTTGAGACGGAGTCCAGCTTTGTCGCCAGGCTGGAGTGCAGTGACACAATCTCAGCTCACTGCAACCTCCGCCTCCGGGGTTCAAGTGATTCTCCTGCCTCAGCCTCCCGAATAGCTGGGATTACAGGCACACGCCACCATGCCTAGCTAATTTTTGTAAAATTTTTTGTATTTTTTTTTTTTTTTTTAGTAGAGACAGGGTTTCACTATGTTACCCAGGATGGTCTCGATCTCCTGACCTCATGATCCGCCCGCCTCAGCCTCCCAAAGTTGTGGGATTACAGGCGTGAGCCACCGCGCCCGGCCAGCACGGCTGATTCCGTGATGCAGAGTGGTATTTTGAAAATGTTGTGCCACCCAGAAATCCACCGTGTCTGCTGTCAAAGCCTGATGAAGAATCATGTTGTAGAATATTTATTGGCAGGAGATTATATACAATATGTATTGCTACCCCCCAAAAAAGCAAGGCACTATAAATAAATATAAATAAAACAATGCATGATCTTATTTAAATATAAATAAATCATGTGTGCATAGAAAAAATCTAGAAAGGCATATATAAAAATTAATATGTAGGAGAATATGTGATTTTTAGGAAATACACACTGAAGGACTGAGGCTGACATAAGGGTGCATAATATCTGCAACTTATTCTTTTTTTTTTTTTTTTGGCCCAGGTGACAATTGGCTAGCAAATTATTCTTAAATGGGTTCAGAAATATACATATATGGCCAGGCGTGGTGGTTCGCGCCTAAAATCCCAGCACTTTGGGAGGCCTAGGCGGGAGGATCACTTGAGGTCAGGAGTTCGAGACCAGCTTGGCCAATATGATGAAACCTCGTCTCTACTAAAAATACAAAAATTAGCCAGTCGTGGTGGTGCACACCTGTAATCCCAGCTACTCAGGAGGCTAAGGCAGGAGAATCACTCGGACCTGGGAGGCAGAGGCTGCACTGAGCCAAGATTGCACAACTGCCCTCCAGCCTGGGTGACAGAGCAAGACTCTGTCTTAAAAAAAAAAAAGAAATATACATATATGCCTATATATATAAAGAGAGAGACAGACAGAGACAGAGAGAAGAGAGAGAGATAAAGTAAGTATAGTTAGATGTTAACAGTTTTGGGTGAGGAGCATTCAAGAATTCTTTATTGGCTGGGTGTGGTGGCTCATGCCTGTAATCCCAGTGCTTTAAGAGGCTGAGGTGAAAGGATGGCTTGAAGCCAAGAGTTTGAGACCAGCCTGGGCCACATATCAAGACCCCATCTCTACAAAAAAGTTAAACATTAGCTGTGCATGCTGGTGTGCACCCATGGTCCTAGCTACTTGGGAGGCTGAGGCAGGAGGATCGCTTGAGCCCGGGAGTAAGAGGCTGTAGTGAGACATGATCATGCCACTGTACTCCAGGCTGGGCCACAGAGTGAGATCTCATCTCTAAAATAAATAAGTAAATAAATAAATATTTAAAGAAATTGTCCTATTCTCGAAAATGTTTCTGAAAGTCTGAAATGATGTCATAACTTTTTTTTTTAAATAAAAAAGAATTGACTGAGTATCCTTTGGTTATAGTATCACGAGGCACTTCTTTTCTGTGCTTTCCTGTTTTCTAAGTTTTATGCATGGAGTGATTTTTTTAAAGAGGAGAAAAACATTAAAAAGGCAAGAGAATCTGAAAGAAGCTTGGGTGAAGGAGCTCCAACAAGTAATGACTCTGAAGGATAGCAAGTAAAGATTATTCCCGGCTGGGCGCGGTGGCTCATGCCTGTAATCTCAGCACTTTGGAAGGCCAAGGTGGGTGGATCACCTGAGGTCAGGAGTTCGAGACCAGCCTGACCAACATGGTGAAACCCCGTCTCTACTAAAATACAAAAATTAGCCGGGCATGGTGACGGGTGCCTGTAATCTCAGCTACTCGGGAGGCTGAGGCAGGAGAATCACTTGAACCCAGGAGGCGGAGGTTGCAGTGAGCTGAGATCACGCCATTACACTCGAGCTGGGGCAACAAGAGCAAAACTCTGTCTCAAAAAACAAACAAAAAAATTATTCCCACCCAAAAGCATGAGGGGATGGAGACCCAGGGACACAAGAGTACCAGGAAATATGTGTGGCATCAGCTGGAAAATGAGGAAAACATCCGTGTATTTGTTGAGCCCACAAGCACTTCCAGGAGCTACATGCTGGGCTCGAATCTAGATAACCCTGTTTCCCATCCTCAGAGGATTATCCTGAATGCCAAGTAAGCCAATGAAGGGAAAAGAGCCTGGGGAAATGGCATTATTCCCCTCCTAGCTATAGCTTTTGTTTCATGTGTCTATATGAACAGGCTAATTATGGATGTGTCTTTTATTATAAGTCAAATGAAACAGTTTTTCAGAAGGCAGCCAGCCAGAAACTATAAATAAGTTATTATTTGCTTCACCAAAGGTGACTATAACATCTTTACTGCCTTGTGATAAAATCCATCTGATGATACAAGAAAAATTGTTGGAATAATAAAGCCTTGAAACATACACAATAAAGTAACAACTTTCTGTCTCTCACAATTGGATCTGAAACATACTTTCCATTCCAAATGATGGCACAGAATATCAATACTTGCAGTTCCCTAAATATTGATTCTCTTTCCTGCCTTTGTATTAATACATGTTTTTTCCTCTGCCTAATATTTTTCTCAGTTTGGCAAAAAACAAATTATATTTTAAGGTTCAGCCCATAAATTACTACCTCTGGAAGACTTTCCTGACGTGTCAGGCTAAGTTATTTTCTTCCTCTTCTGTGCTCCCCAAATCCCCTATTATAGATATTATAAGATTGGGCTGGAATCATTATGTAAGAGTCTCCTCCTCCTCCTCCTCCTTCTCCTCCTCCCAAAGTGCTGGGACTTTAACATCCTCGAGGGAAGGGGCTGTAGCTTAATCATCCAGTGCCCAGGACAGTGCTGGATACAGTAGTTGCTCATTATGTGCATTCAACAAGCATTAACTGAGCACCTACTACAGGCTAGGCACTGTGCGAGGCTCTGAAAAAATAAAGATGAATAAGGAACTCAGAGACTGACAAGTAAACCCACAATAAAAATACAATGCTAAAAAGCAAGTGTGCATAGAGTTCTATGGGAGAACAAAAGAAGGGTGTCTTATCCATGGTGGGGAGCAGAGCACCACAGAGAAAGGGGAACTCAGGGACGGCTTCCAGATAGAGATGAGATTTAAGCTAAGCCTTGAAGTATACAGCATGTGCAATTGCCTGGAAATGTGGGAGAGCATAGCACATTCTGAGCAGATTTTTTTTTTCTTTTTTTGAGATGAAGTCTTGCTCTCTTGCCCAGGCTGGAGTGCAGTGGTGTGATCTCGGCTCACTGCAACCTTCACCCCCGAGGTTCAAGTGATTCTTCTGCCTCAGCCTCCCAAGTAGCTGGGATTACAGGCACATGCCACTACTGCCTGGCTAATTTTTGTATTTTTAGTAGAGATGGGGTTTCACCATGTTGGCCAGGCTGGTCTTGAACTCCTGACCTCAAGTGATACACCTGCCTTGGCCTCCCAAAGTGCTGGGATTACAGGCATGAGCCACCGTGCCTGGCCATTTGACTCTTGCTTTTTGAAATCTAGCCATCCTGCCCTCCCATGTGCTCCTTGGACCAAGAGCCAGTTCTTGTGGGTCCTATGGAGGGCAGTTCATCTTTTGCGGTCAAGTCTTCTTTCTCTTGGGTGACTTATGGACATGACAGCATCTCCCAGAAGACTGGGGACACTGCATAGGGCCTGGTGCTGAGTGGATACGGAGAAACGACGGCTAAATGGAATTACATACCCTTCACCTTCTCACTCAACTTTCTTAGGACCAAACACAATTACTTTCTATTAGGCTTTAGCTTGAGGAAAATGTTTTCCCTATAGGATATTCTGTATACTTTAAGGTATAAGAAAAGGAACACTGGATAACCCAATGCGTTTCCCTTTTTGTCTTTCTCCCAGGAATTTTTCAGCCAAATTTATAGCTTATTTGTTGAGCATGGGGATGTTTGGAAGTAACCATTACTTTTTTCATCCTTCAGACCACCAAGTTTTATGTTTCATCCTTAAAAGACTTACATAAAGACATTATGGGCTTTTTTTAAATTTAATTTTTATTTTATTTTATTTTTTGAGATGGAGTCTCACTCTGTTGCCCAGGCTGGAGTGCAGTGGTACGATCTCGGCTCACTGCAATCTCTGCCTCCCAGGTTCAAGCAATTCTCCTGTCTCAGCCTCCCAAGTAGCTGGGATTACAGGCATGTGCCACCATGCCCAGGTAATTTTTGTATTTTTAGTAGGGACGGGGTTTCACCATTTTGGCCAGGCTGGTCTTGAACTCCTGGGCTCAGGTGATCCACCCGCCTTGGCCTCCGTAAGTGCTGGGATTACAGGCGTAGAGCCACAAGACATTATGTTTTAATATGTAAGCTGCCTCAAGACATCCCCAAAAGAGGTGTGGTACAAACCTAAAATATATCCAGTGCCTCCCTATCTGCCAACGGACTCTACTGGTTCTCTAAAAATTTGACTAAGATGAATTACACCATTTGGGAAATAGCTAGGGACCTCTGAACAGATAACTACTCACAAGCCAGTCAGCCAATGGAGTATTTTTTGAGCATCCACCTCGAAGCTAGCATGGAATTTAAAAATTTTCATTCCTGCTTATGGTAGGAAGTGAGGAACAGGGGGTCTTCTACATAAGCCCACTCTAGCGTTCCAGTGCTCTGGGAATTAAAAGTAGCTCCTCCTCAGTAAAAAGCTGGCAACCTGGTTTACGCAGCTCGTTTTCTGGGATACTCAAGCAAGGAGCATCTCACAGCCCATCCAAATCCATTACGAACATCACAGAGTCTATCGTGGCCACATCAGGAGTTAGGATCTATGGACTCAGGTCATAGGCAAATGTCTAGGCCAGAACTAAACACTGGGATGGATCAGACACATGGTGGGGGTGGGCCAGTATTAGTGTATTCTCTAATATTCTCTAGGCTCTGTTTCTCTCCCAGGTTCTCTGGGGACAATCCTCAGAGCCTAGGGGCACACTCCTAGAAGGGCAAATGGGGTGGGGGCAGTCGAATGACAGCATCTAAGCCAGGGGACAGGACAAGAAGTTGGACTAGCATTATGTGTGTGTGTGTCTGTGTGTCTGTGTGTGTGTATTAGAGGCTAAGGAAGATGGATCGGGGTCGGACAATTCTAATTCATGCTGCTTAATCCTGTCTCTGCCACTCACTTTCTCTGTGACCCAGACAATCCTCTGCCTTCTCTGGGCAGAACTCCTGAGGCTAGAGCAAGTGTTCTACATTCCAGTCATAGCAAGTCCAAAGCACTCTCTGCCCTTCACAGTTCCAGGCTGTTTCTGCTGCCTCCAAAACCCATTCTCTTTATGCACATTAGCAAACTCCTACTCATCCTTCAAGGTCTAGCTCAATGTCACCTCCTTTGTTAAATCTTCCTTAGCTCTCCCTGTCAGAGCTAGTGGGTGCCCTCTTTACTCCTGCAGTACTTTGTACACACAGCTACCACAATGTATCATACCCAGTCATGGATATGTCTGTTTTTCCCACTAGATTGAGTTCCTGGAGAACAGAGATGGTGTCATATTTATTTTTGTATCTGTTATAGTATTTAGCACAGTGTCTGACACAAGAAATAATCACTGAGTTAATGAATGAACAGTTGATCTAGGAGGCACTGCCTGGATATCAAGGAAGGGACTTCATCTTGGGAAGATTTAGTAATACACTGAAAGCACCAAGCACAATTCCTGGTATCTATTAGAGGTTTCAAAAAACACTTGCTGAAATTCAATCTATTGTGATTTGACTTCCTTGCTTGATGAGGCAATAGGTTCCATTGTTCCATTTGAAAAAAAAGATAAAACCCACTGAAGGAAAAAAGTCCCATTCACTTTTAGACAGAATGACCTTGCTTTCATCTCTTTACACCTAGATCCATTAATCAATCATCAGCCACGTCAGAAGTCTAACCTTTACAGCTCAGTTAACCAACTCTTAAGATGTCTGTCACCCTTTAAGTGCAGAAAGAGGTGTAAACCCAGAGGAAAGTAAGAAAAATCTCAGAGTGCAAGCAGAGACCAAAATAGCTGGGCTGAGCCAAAGACGTAGAGATCATAGACAATATGGTGTGACTGGTCTGCCGGCCAGAAGGCAGGATTTGGGTTCCTGAGAAGCCAAAGCTGAGAAGTCCCGGAGTGGTGGCAGTGAAAGGAGAGAGCAGAGAATACCAAGGAGAACAAAATGTGCACAGAAGAGGGAAGAGAGCGGGAGACAGCAGAGGTGGTGGTGAGGTTAGAAGTGGCAATGGGGGTGGCAAGAGGCAGAGCTCTGGCAGTGCCTACAAGTATCCAGAGCCCTAAAGCTAAGAAATGGCAGAATTCAGGCATATTCCGTACGGTCAGAGTGTTGGACAGGCAGCCCTTCCCCCTCCCAGGACTTCCTATACCTCACACTCCTGGAGTGCAATGCCTTATCTCAGACAATAGTGAGCTCAATATGCCTGTGCTATGTCAGGGTATGGCACCATCAGCTACCCAGTTGTCCAAACCAGCAGCCTCATATGACCTGTGACTCTTCCCTCTCCTTCACTGCCTACATCCAGTTTCCTTTTTTGTTTGTTTGTTTGGTTGGTTTTTTTTTGAGACAGGGTCTCGCTCTCAGCCATGGCTCACTGCAGCCTTGAACTTCTGGGCTCAAGTGATCCTCCCACCTCAGCCTCCTGAGTAGCTGGGACTACAGGCGTTTGCCACCACGCCTGGCTAATTTTTCTTTTTTAATCTTTTGTGGAGACGAAGTCTCGCTGTGTTGCTAGGGCTGGTCTTGAACTCCTAGGCTCAAGTGATACATCTGCCTTGGCCTCATAAAGTGCTGGGATTACAGGCGTGAGCCACAGCACACTAGTCTTTTACCAAAGAACTATGGGTCCTACCTCCTAAACATCAAATGTTTATTTCTGTCCCTTCATTCAATAAATATTTATTGAGGACCTACTATGTACCAAGTACTGTGTGCTAGGGCTAAAAGAGCAAACAAAAACATTCTAGTCCCAGCCTGGCCAACATAGCAAGACACCTCTCTACAAAAAAAGAAAAAAATTGAAAAACAGCCAGGCGTGGTGGCTCATGCCTGTAATCTCAGCACTTTGAGAGGCCGAGGCAGACAGATCATGAGGTCAAGAGATCGAGACCATCCTGGCCAACACGGTGAAACCCCATCTCTACTAAAAATACAAAAATTAGCCGGGCGTGCGCCTGTAATCCTAGCTACTCGGGAGGCTGAGGCAGGAGAATCGCTTGACCCCAGGAGGTGGAGGTTGCAGTGAGCCAAGATCACGGCACTGCACCCCAGCCTGGCGACAGAGCAAGACTCTGTCTAAAAAAAAAAAAAAAAATTGAAAAAAGTAGCCAGGCGTGGTGACACACCCCTGTAGTCCTAGCTGCTCTGGAGACTGTGGCAGGAAGATCCTTGAGCCCAGGAGTTGGAGGCTGCAGTGGGCTGTGGGCGACAGAATGAGACCATGTCTAAAACAGAAACAAAAACAAAAACCAAAAACAGCATTCTAGTTACTTTCTAGTAGTTATGGTCTAGTGGAAGAACCATGTGGGAATAAGTGCTGTGAAGAATAGAGCCGGTTGGAGAGATGGAGAGTGGGACAGCTATTTATGGAGGGTGATCAGGGACAATCTCTTTGAGCAGGTGACATTTGAGCAAGAGATCTGAAGGAGGTGAGGGAGTGGACCCTGTGGCTACTAGGAAAGCGTGTTCCAGGATGAGGGAACAGTAAGTGTGAATGCCCTGAGGTGGCTCTAAGAGCTTTCCATCTCTGCAGTTAAGAGCCTTTATGATATGGTCCCTGACTCCCTCTGCAACCCCTTTTATCTTTCCCCACCTAGTGCTCTGTGTTCCAGTGAGTTCCAGTTCTCCCAGGCCCTTACACGTATTGTTCCTTCTATTCAGTTCACTCTCCCCTCCTCCCTCTTTGGGGAGCCTTGGCCTCTTACATCTATTTCAGAAGGTCCTTGTACATCCCTGTCAGTCCCCCATCTGTTTCCTTATCGCAATTCTTACCACACTGTATTGTAACCACATGTTGAAATATCTGTCGCTTCCTCCTGACTCTAAAATGCATATATGTCCTCCTCATCATTGTCACCCCAACAGCTAGCACAGGGCCTGCCATAACCATGACGAAATGGACATGTTGTTCAGTGTCACTTATAATTGACTATGTTACCCATTTAGAAAAGTCTTCTATTAGCACTGGCTCAGTAGCCAGCCTCTGCTCTCTGTGCCTCGGCTCTGCAGTTATCTCTGAGTCCCTCACCTTGTCCATCTCCTTGGTCAATCCTAACTTGAGCAAATGGTCCATCAGCAGCTTCAACCCCCAACACTAAGATATTATTGTATCACTGTATGCAGGCATGAATGGTGGCCTAAGATCATTCTTCCTCATCCATTGCTATATTGGCTTAATGCTTACAACTGGGTTTTTTCCCTCAGTTTCTCTCTCTAGCATTCAAGTTCTAAGCTGAGACTGCTGTGACCCTAATCTATTTTTCAGGGTCTCAGATTCCCTGCCTAGTTCTTAGACAGCCTCCTCCACAGAGTTAGACTGTATTCTCAATACACTTGGGAGCTGAATGGGGTCCTATCTAAAAAGACAGCTCACTTGGGACCAAGATGCCACCACATACCAAATATTACCTAACTTTTCTCTTTCCAGCAGAGTGCCCTTGGGCAAATGACCTAACTCCTCTAAGCATCACATTCCTCATCTGTTAAACAGATGTTTAAAGAAGGGCTGTTAGGAGGACTCAGTGAGATGATGCACTGTGGTAGGTAAAATAATGACCCTTCAAAGACAGCCACATCCTAATCCCCAAAACCTGGGAATATGTTGCCTTATGTGGTAAAAGAGACTTTATAGAAATGATTAAGTTAAGGATCTTCAGATGGGGGAGATTAGCCCGGATTATCCAGGTGGGTCTAATGAAATCACAAGCATCCTTATAAGAGGAAGGCAGGGGGTTTGAGTCAGAGAAGGTGTTGGGAGACATAGGTTATAGCAGTGCTGCTGCTGCTAGAAGGGGCCACAAGCCAAGGGATGCGGGCATTCTCTAGACACTGGAAAAGGCAAGGAAGAGATCCTCTCCTAGAAACTCCAGCAGGAATGCAGCCCTGCCAATAACTTGATTTCAGTCCAGCAAGACCCATTTTGGACTTCTGACCTCCAGAAATGTAAGAAAACAAGTCTGTGTTGCTTTTAGAAATAAGTTTGTGGTAATTTGTTACAGCAGCAAGAAGCATTTAGCAGATTCTGGCACATAGTAAGTGTTCGTACAATGTTATTGTCTATTCCTGCTCCCATACTCCTTGGAAAGAACCGCTGAAAGGCAGAGACGCTTGGCTCCATTCCCAGCTCCCCCACCAACTTGCTCTTAGTGATTTTTTTTTTTTTTTTTTTTTTGAGATGGTGTCTCGCTCTGTCGCACAGGCTGGAGTGCAGTGGTGCGATCTTGGCTCACTGCAACCTCTGCCTCCTGGGTTCAAGTGATTCTCCTGCCTCAGCCTCCCGAGTAGTTGGAATTACAGGTGCACGCCACCATGCCCGGCTAATTTTTGTATTTTTAGTAGAGACAGGGTTTCACCATGTTAGTCAGGCTGGTCTCGAACTCCTGATCTTAGGTGGTCCACTCACCTCAGCCTCCCAAAGTGCTGGGATTACAGGTGTGAGCCACCTCACCCAGCCCTTGGTGATTTTTAATAAGTCATTTCTCCTCTTTGACCACCACGTTTGGTTATTGCTGCCAGACCAAATCACTGGGTCTTTCTGGTGACTCCTCAGGGATGGGTCCTATCACTGTGTCAGTTCCCTCCACTTCTTGTCCCACCAAAACCCTGCTTCCTCCTCTACCCATATAACTGAGGTCCCAGCCTTGCTGCTGAGCCCACCTGAGTTATATAACTAATTCGTAAAATTTCATACTGAAGGCATAATCATTCAGGTATCTAGAAAATGCACTGGTCACCAATACTCAGAGATCATCTAATTTAACATACTTGTTTTGCAGAAGAGAGAAAGAAAACTCCGGGAGGGGAAATGACTTATTCAAAATCACAGAGCAAGTTGGTAAGGAAGCCAGACATGGAGGCAAGCATCTCTGCCTCTCAGAGGGTTTTCTGTCATGCTACACCCTCTGCACTAGCTCTAGTTTGCCTCCAAATGCTGTTTTTTTTCTTCACTTACAGCCAATCTAAAAAGGGCCCTCAGGATCGCCCACAATGCCCAGCTTAGCTTCTTGACAAACACCTTAATGGCGCAGCATTGCCTGTTGGCTGCCATCGGCTCTTGAGTGGGTGGTAAGTGCACTAGCGGGAATTCCCTGGCGCTCTGCAGAATGTCCTTGGCCCACTCCCAGGAGGCCACCACAAGCCAGATGATCACCATACCCGGGGAGGTGGCACATTTGGGGTTTTGGGTCAGCACTGGGATGTCCAAGTTTTGCAGTTCTGGGGAGGCCTCTGCCCACAGTCAGGAGTGTGGCCATGGTCTCATTCACTCTCTGGAAAAGGAGAGGCCTTAGTCTTCCTCACCCTGTCCAAGGCCCTCCCGCAGATCTGCTAATTTTCTGTCCCCTGAGGCTCGACTTCTTGGTGAGTTAAGAAAAGGGAAAAGTGAAGACAAAGACCAGTGGCCAGGCCTCAGGGTTTTTAAAATTTAAATTAAAAAAAATTTTTTTTTGAGACATAGTCTTGCTCTTGTCACCCAGGCTGGAGTGCAATGGCGTGATTTTGGCTCACTGCAACCTCCGCCTCTCGGGTTCAAGTGATTCTCCTGCCTCAGCCTCCTAAGTAGCTGGGATTACAGGTGCCCACCACCACGCTCAGCTAATTCTTTGTATTTTTTAGTAAAGACAGGGTTTCACCCTATTGGCCAGGCTGATCTCGAACTTCTGACCTCAGGTGATCCACCCACCTCAGCCTCCCAAAGTGCTGGGATTACAAGTGTGAGCCACTGCACCTGGCCTAATTTTTTTAAGACAGGGTTTCACTCTATGGCCCAGGCTGCAGTGCAGTGGTACAATCTCTGCTCTCTGTAGCCTCAACTTCTTGGGCTCAAGCAATCCTCCTGCCTCAGTCTCCCAAGTAGCTGTGACTGTAGGTGTATGCCACCATACACAGCTAATCTTTGTATTTTTTGTAGAGATAGGGTTTCGCCATGTTGCCCAGGCTGGTCTCAAACTCCTGGGCTCAAGTGATCCTCCCAGCTTGGCCTCCCAAAGTGCTAGGGTTACAGATGTGAGCCCCACAGCCAGACCAAGTCTCAGTTTCTTAACTGCAACAGGGAGATGGTTGAACTAAATAACCTGTAAGTCATGTTAAAAAGTTCCATTATTTTAGCCTAAGTGGATTGACTGTGAAGCCGATCTTCTGGTTCCTCATTGCCAGTCTTAAAGTCCAGATTCTTTAGCATGACACAACAACCCTTACAATGTGATGCCAATGCACCTTTCCAGCCCTGTTTTCTTTTGTAGAGATGGGGTTCTGCTCTGTCGCTCAGGCTGGAGTGCAGTGGCACAATCATAGCTCACTATGACCTCAAACTCTTGGTCTCAAGCAATCCTCCAGCCTCAGCCTCCTGAGAAGCTGGGATTACAGGCATGAGCCACCATGCCTGGTTCTGCCAGCCTCATGTTCTGTCCTGTACCTTCTACCCTTTATTGCTCACCTCAAGTACCCCAACCTCTAGCTATACTGACCTAATTGTGTTGCCTGAGCATATCCTGCAGAGTCCTGCCTCTGTGCCTTTATTTCATTCCCTCTCCCTAGAACTCCTTTCCCATATGTACTCTGGCCTCCCCATGGTGCGCTACTTCAAAATGCAACTTGAATGCCACTTCATCAGGGAGGGCTATCTGTCTGGGGTTAAATGGACTTTCTATGTGCTCCCAATGGCATTATATGTATCCTCATTTATAGCATATTTTGTATTACATTATAAATAATGGTTTACATGCCTGTAGTCCCCTTTGAACTCATCCTCATGGAAGTTACAGCCGGTGGGAGAGATAGACATGGAAATACTAAACATTTCATTACAGTGGTGATAAGTGGAATGAAAGAGAAGAACCAGGAGCTACAAAAGTGTGTGGCAGGAGATATAGGCTGTGATATCAGGGATGGCCTCCCTGAGTACATGACATCTCAGCTGACATCTGTGAATGAACAGAAGAGGCTAGGTGAAGGCTGAGAATGAGACTCCAGGAAAGAGTACCTTACTGAATTCCTGAATGGGAAGGAGCCTGTATATTAGAAAAAGAGAGGGAAGGGCAGGGTGACTGGAGTCTAGTGACCAATGGGGAGAATGGGTGGTATAAAAGGAAGTCAGAGAGATGGGAAGGACTCAGTCATGCAGGGCCTCATCGGCTTCATTAAGCATGTTTTTGTTTTTGTTTTAGACAGGGTTTTGCGCTGTGGCCCAGGCTTGAGTGCAGTGGTGTGATCTCTGTCCACTGTAGCCTCAGCTTCCTGGGCTCAAGCAATCCTCCTGCCTCAGCCTCCCAAGTAGCTGTGACTACAGGCACATGCCACCACACCCAGCTACTCTTTGTATTTTTTTGTAGAGATGGGGTTTTGCCATGTTGCACAGGCTGGTCTCAAACTCCCGGACTCAAGTGATCCTTGTGGGTGCTGCGTCCAAGGGAGTTTATAATATTGTTCTTTCCATTTTCATATGCATTTGAAAGTTTTCCATAATAAAACTAAAAGGAAGAAGTGATAGTAGTACAGTAATAATAGTATAATCTTTGTCCTAAGAGTCATTTTAAGCCAGGTGAGGGTGGGAGTAAGGTGATCAGATTTTGGTTTGTTTTTAATTTTTTTTATTATTCAATATTTCAGTCATTCAGAAAGGCATAAAATAACAATATATATTGGAAAATCACCAGCCAGCTTTGTCAAACATTAGTTTTTGCCATATAGGCTTCAGATATAACTGACTCCTGAGTGGACTGATTGATTGATTCATTGATTGATTTTTGATACAGAGTCTTGCTTTGGCTGGAGTACAGTAGTTCAATCCTGGCTCACTGTAACCTCCGCCTCCCAGGTTCAAGTGATTCTTGTGCCTCAGCCACCCAAGTAGCTGGAACTACAGGCATGTACCACCATGCATAGCTAATTTTTTTGTATTTTTAATAGAGATAGGGTTTCACCATGTTGGCCAGGCTGGTCTCGAACTCCTGGCCTCAAATGATCTTTATACATACATATGTATAAAGAGAGAAAGGAGTAAAGAACAACTCCTGACTTTCTGGCCAAGTACTTTTGGTGCCCTTTATGCCTCGTAAGTGTTTGTGGCATAGAATTGAGTCTTTAAATTACTGCTAACAGGCAAGGCCAGGGCTCATGCCTGTAAGCCCTTTGGGAGGCCAAGGTGGGCGGGTCACTTGAGCCCTAAAATGAGTACTCGCCCCTAAGTTGTGCTAAGAAAGCTTAAAAGCATTCAGGGCAGGAGCCAGCAGCCAGAACAACTCAGGAACAAACTCCAGTCCCTCCACTTCCTCAACATGGCTCTGAGCAGGTCGCTCCTCTGCTCAGAAACCTTTAATGACTCCCCTCAGCCTTTGGACAAAAGCCAAATGCACAATCTGCTCTCAGTCTCCCTCTCCAGCCTCTTCTCCTTATACACTCTTACTGGAAACAGCAAGTAACTTGATGATTCAGGCACATCAAATTATCCACTGTTTCCTAAACATGCCATGCATTTTTGTGGAGCCATGGTTCATATTTTTTATTCTGCCTGGACTGCCCCACTCACCCTTCTCCATCATTCTCCTCCCTCAAAGGTTCATCTCAGATACCACCTTCTTCCTGAAGCATTCTCTGGCTTCCCGAACCTCAACTGGGGAACCTCATCTCCTCCCTCTTCGGTGCTTCCCGGCACCTTGTTATACCTCTAGCATGCATTCATTTATTCTTCACAAAAGGTAGCGACTTTTGTGTGCCAAGCACTATTCAAAGAAGTTGATGGGGATTAGATAACAAAATTAATTTTAAAATATTTATCACATGTCCAGAATGTATCATGCACTGTGCTAGGTACTGAGGAGATATTGGCTGTGGTTTGTTCTTCCTGTTTTGAGTTCAAACAATACCATACTATAGGGCTAGGCATTTCCTAAGATTAGTCTTTTGGGTACAATTATAATTTACTTTTATTAGTTCTAAAAATACCTCTTTCAAGGACCAGAGTAGGACATACTTGAAAGTAGAAAAGACTGGCTAAAAGGCTACAATAATAATCCAGAACAGGAAACTTGTATAGTGGGCAGAGTGCTGAGCCCAAGAACAGAAAACCTAGCTTCTGTTATTTGCTTTAATTTCTTTTTTTCTTCTGAGACGGAGATTCACTCTTTTGCCCAGGCTGGAGTGAAGTGGCACAGTCTTGGCTCACTACAACCTCTGCCCCCGGGGTTCAAGCAATTCTCCTGCCTCAGCAGCTGGGATTACAGGCATGCACCACCAGGCTCAGCTAATTTTTGTATTTTTAGTAGAGATGGGGTTTCACCATGTTGGCCAGGCTAGTCTCAAACTCCTGACCTCAGGTGATCCACCTGCCTCGGCCTCCCAAAGTGCTGGGATTACAGGTGTGAGCCACCATGCCTGGCCTGCTTTAATGTTTATGAGCTATGTGTGGGTCCTTAGACAAGATGATAGGCAATTCACATCATCTTTGAGTCTCCTTTTACTCACCTATAAAATGAGGACAATGTCTTCCTTATCTACCTCATGGTATTGTTCCCAGGACCAAATAGGGCCACATACATGGCATATGGGAAGTGCAAAGCACCTTACAAATATAAACAGCTATTAAAGTAATATGAAACCCCACAGTAAAAATAAGAGAAAATGAATTAAAAATACAGTAGACTAGATCCAGCTTATGTAAAAGGGAAAACTTCCTAATAGTGAGTTTTTTTTTTCCAGACAAGAATGAAGATATACTGGAGGCCATGATCACAGTGAAAGAATATTTTGATTTGGGAATACGTTGGTGCTTCTTAGTAGGTCACTCTCTTACCCCTCCAATCATTCGGGGTCAATCTTCCTTGACTACAGTTTCAAACCAAAGACTGTTCTCCATCTCCTCAGCACAAACCACTCAAAACCAGTCTCAAGGGCAGGAATCCATAAGTCCTGGGTCTAGGAGTCACACTCTGTTACTTATTCATGTGGCCTGTGATAATTGACTTGTCTCTTTCATCCTGTTCTGATCTTCCTCAGAATCAAGTTGGAAACTAGGAAGGCCAGAAAAGTATTTGAGGAGCATTCTACTCAGCAAATAAGAGAAGTGGTGCTTTTAATAAATCAAATGAAGGAAGCCAGTTAGAGAATCAGTGGGACCTCTTGATGTGTAAGATAAAAAAGAAAGACTAAAGAAAGCATAGGATCCTGTTTGTTGAGCTTCAAGGGGTCGGGGGTTGTGGGGTGTGGAGAAAAATAAAGCAAAGGAGAAGATAGACTGAATAAAAAAATTTTTTGGCTTGGTAATGAAAGATCATAGATACGAAATGAAAAATCAATGATGATGAAAAATGCTTTCAATTTAGAAATCAGGAGAACTAGGAAAAGTTCTACAGTAGTTCCGAATCATCTACTATCACGTTCTGTGCCCTTGGGCAACTCAATTAAAGAAGTATCTAGTAAGTGCTGTAGTAGGTACTGGGTGATCTCTAAGGTCACGGTTATCTCTCAATTTCTTTCTATTGATGCCACTACCATTAGAAGACTACCTAAAGAGTTCTGAAGGAACTCAAGGGTGAGCTTGTGGAACCACTGCCAAAAGGAATAGGCTTGATTTCTACCGAAGAAAGTACAAGTTGGCAATGAGTCCCATCTCTAAGAAGGGTTTTAGAAGGGGGCTTGGAGCCCCATGCCCATGAGTGCCTATTTCAGATCCATGTAACTTTTTGAGATAAAGGATAAAGAGTAGAATCATTGATTGCTCATTGAATACTTAATGATGAGCATTGAGAATCAGGGATTTTGTTCAATGTAAAAAAATAAAACATTTTGGTCAAGAAAGCCTTGCCTAAGAACCAACCTTCCTCTCCCCAAAAATAATGTTTAACTATTAAAAAATAAATAGGGCTGGGCACGGTGGCTCACACCTATAATCCCAGCACTTTGGGAGGCTGAGGAAGGTGGATCACTTGAGGTCACGAGTTTGAGACCAGCCTGGCCAATACGGCGAAAACCCTTCTCTACTAAAAATACAAAAATTAACCGGGCGTGGTGGTGCATGCCTGTAATCCCAGTTACTCAGGAGGCTGAGGCAGGAGAATCGCTTGAACCTGGGAGGCGGAGGTTGCAGTGAGCCGAGATCACCCCACTGCACTCCAGCCTGGGCAACAGAGTGAGACTCTGTCTCAAAAATAAATAAATAAAATAAATAAAAATAAGTAAATAAATAAATGACAAACTGGCTGGGGCTGCCTTAAAAATGTTTCCTGGAGAAGAGAGAAGAAAATGACAACTAGAGAAATCAGGGAAAGTTTATTGGAGAAGCAGGGCTTGAGCTGAAACTTTAAGGAAAGGTTTCAAATGAACGGGTAGGGGTGCAGAAGTAACTATGTGACAATGTCCAGAGAAATATGGGCAGCCTGTCTAAGGGTAAAGGAGAGATGAGCTTGTCGAGTAAGGATGCGTTATCAATAAGCAGTGGGAAATATGGCCTGCTAATGGAGGGGTAGGGTGGAGACAGACTCCAGAGGGCTTAAAAGACAGAAAGAGGAGTAAGCAATATTATCTGCCGGCTTAAAAGCAACAATATTTCTATAAGGTGTCAATCAAGTGATCCCCTAGTGTTCAGTGAAAGGATAATTAGGCACAAATTATTGAGAGAAGCAGTGGATATAATTTGTCTATCTTTCAGGAAGTTTTGGACAATGTATTAGACATTTAAAATGGAGTCATTGTCAAATTAAGGATGATGTTTTTGTCACTTAGAAAACAATAGATAGATATAAATGGTCACTTCCGTGAATGAAAGGGGATTAAGAGTGCAGGGGGCCCCAAGAGACCATGCTGGGACCTGTCTCACTTAAATTTTTTATAAGTGATCCAGAAGAAATATAGCAAAGTGAAAATTTCAAGACTTCAGATCATATTAAGCCCTTTCAGACAGGGAAATGCTATGCCAAAAGAGAAGGAAGGAGGAAGAGGTGGAGGAAGGGAGAGAGAGAGTGAGCGAATGCTTGAAGGAAGTTACTGAGTGCAATGCAAGATGGCAGACAAACGTCAAGGTGGAGAAATGTAAGGTAATGCACTCCGATAAAAATAATCCACATACAGGGTGTTGTGTTCCAGGCTATCAGTTTTGACCCAGGAAAAGGCTCCGGGAGCTATTATAGATTGTTCCCTAAAGGCAGTGGCCTAGTGTGTTGAGATCAGGAAAGCTGACAGAGGGAAGGGGGAAGCAGGATGGGACCAGGAGAGCAAAGAAGAAACCAACCTTCCTTTATGCAAAACCGTAGGGTCCTGTATCTGGAGACAATGGTCAAGTTGACATCTATTGAAAATTAGGGCCAAAAGGTATCTAGAAAAGGACAACTAAAATGACCCAGAGAATGAGTGTGGCTATTCTAGGGGTCTCGTGTCATAGGGGGAAACTTAAGTTTAAAAAGACAAAGGCTAAGAGGTGGAATAATCAAAGCCTATAAAACTGATACAGGTAAGGACTAGCTTCCTCTTAATGCTTGAAATATTGTAGGAATAAAAAAGTTTCAGAGTTGAGATTGTCTAGCTCTATCTCTTTATGTTAGACATGGTGAAATTCAAGCCTAGAGAGGGCAAGGAAATGGCTCAAGGTCACACAAACCAATGGGGGCCAAGGTCAGATCAGAGCCCAGGCCTCCTTAATCCCAGGCCAGGGTCTTTCCACCTCATCCTGTGCACTCAGGCAGTCTAAAGCAATCTTTCTTCTAGGGTATAAACTTAGGAAATGCATTACTTTAACATGTGATAAAACACATGTGAAAACACAAAGAGGCTAAGCAAAGTTTCCACAACAAGTCAACCAGCAATTATAAAATCTTTGGAGGACAACTGCCAACTGGCACTAAAGGTTCTTTTACACACCATATCTTTTTTGTTGTTTTGTGGAACCTGTAACCCTTTGAGAGGCTGAAGAAATCTAGGGGTCCTCGCCTAGAAATACACACATTTGCACTTACAAATTTGTACGCAATTTCAGTGCACGTATGACCCCCTGAGCTCCATGCCCAATTAAGAATATCTCTTGAGGCAGATTCTTCTAAACAAACAGACTGCCTGCTTCAACAAATATACTCCATCTCTTAGGGTGGCGAGGCTATCACTCTGATTTTCCTCAGCAAAACACCATTGTCCCAACATCATTTATTAGAATATTGCAGTCCTCTAGGTTGGAAGATACTAGAGAAATTAGTCCAACTGCACCCCCCATGAGATATAGGATAAGGTCATGGGTAAATAAGGGGAGACTAGAGTCAGCCTGCCTAGGTTAGAATTCCAATTCCATCACTCACTAGCTGTGTGACCTTGGGCAAGTTACTTAAGCTCTTTGAGTCTGTATCCCCATCTGTAAAATGGGGATAATAATTGCAGCTATTTCATAGAGTAGTTATGAGGATTGAATTGGATAATTCGTATAAAACATAGCACCAGGCCTGGCACATAGTGAGTGTTCAGTAAATGCTAGCTGGCATTATTGTGATGATGATGTATGCATCCATGCAAGCATTATGCATGCCTCCATCCAATCCCCTCCGAGAGCTTTTACTTGCACATGCCAGTGATGAGCAGCTCGCCGCCTCCTAAGCTGGTTGAGCAGCTCCAATTGTTACAAACTTCTTCCTATATCGAGCCCAAATTTGTCTTCTTGCAACCCCCACTCCCGCTGGCCCTAGTTCTGCCCTGTGGGGCCAAGCTAGAACAAGTCTATCCTACCTCCACCTGACAGCCCTTCAGCTACGAAGACAGTGATCGAGTCCTTCCTCCGCCCTCCCCCTCCCCCTTCTCCAGCTTGAACATCCTCGGTTTCTTCTCCCAACCCACAACAGACTGGCTGCGCTTACTATTTACTCCGAGGCGTTGTACGGTTTCCCTCGCACATAGTCATGCAGGCCACACACCCCACTGCCAACACAACAAACCCGACCCTCGTGCTCGGCCCCCGCCCGCTGCCCCTGTCCGCGGTGCTGAAGCAGCTCCCGGCCTCGGCGGCCCTCGGCGAGGCCCTCCCCAGCCCCCGCCCTGGGCCGCGCCAGCCCGGACCCAAGGCGCGGACCCCCGGCGCGCCGCCTCCGCGACCTCGGCAGTAGGTGCGGCCCGGCCCAGGCCCGTCCCCGGTGCCGCCCCCCGCCCTGCCCGGATGCCCCGAGCCCGCGCCCCGGCCCCGCGCGCCAGCCCCACCTGCCCGGCGAAGGGCGCCTCCGCCTCGTCCGCCCGCGCCACCGCCACCGCCACCGCTGCCCGGTTCCCTGCCCCCGCCGCCGCCGCCGCCGCCCGCGCGGCGCCCGGGAGGCAGCAGAGCGCGGGCAGCAGCAGCAGCAGCAGCCGCCCAGGGACCCGCCAGCGGCTCCAGCGCGGGGCCTGGCCCGGCGGCGGCGGCGGCGGCGGCGGCCCCGGCGCGGCGCGGCCGCCCCGGCTCCTCGGCATCCCGGCGGCGGGGCCCGCGCCCGGCCCGCCTGCCTTCGCCGCCGCCGCCGCCGCCTCGGCCGCCAGCGCGCCCCCGCCTCCGCGCGCCCCGCCCCGGTGGGGGGCGGCCGGGGGCGCGGGGGCAGCACCCGGGCGGGACCTGCGAGGGCAGTGGCTCCCCGACCAGCCCTGGGGCAGGGGCCGCGGAGCGGCGCTGGGGAGGGGGTTGCAGAGGCTAAAAGAACAGTTCTAGAGGCAGGGTCCGAAGGGGTGGAACTGGAGGTCGGGGTCTGGGGGTAGCCCTGAGCAGGAGGGGGAAGAGGCTAAATCAGTAATCCTGGAGGTAGAACAACTGGATGGCCCTGGGGGAACATATCCGGGGTTGGGGGTCCGGAACCCTGGGGAGAGGGTCCTAGGGAGTGGCATTGGAGGAGAGGGGGCCTGAGAGGCAGCCTGGGGGAGGAGACTGAGGAGCGGCTCTGGGGTAAAGGCGGGGTTCGAGAGCAAGCTAAAGAAATAGCCCTGGGTCTGAGAGGGTGACTCCGGAGAGGGAGCTCTGAGTGGCTCTCCTGGGCCGGGGTGGTGGGGGAAAGGGGTAGAGAAGACCTGAGGAGCGTTTAAGAGGGGGCATTCCTGTGAGACATTAGGTGAAGTTGAGGTGAAGCTCAGTCCCTCACCCCTAGAGGGAAAGAGCTCATCCAGCTGGGAAGATCATCTTTCATCCAAAACAACCCATATTTATCAAGCGCTTTCTATTTGTAGGGCTCTGGGCTACTTGGGATGCTGAAAGGAAAAAAAAAAACACCCAAAAACAAAAACAAAAAAGAGAAGGCCGATTTCCTGGAGTGCAGAGGTTTACAGCTTGATGAGAAAACATAAACGCAAAGAAAAACAGAATGGCAAACACCACGTGTCAACAAGGATACAGGCGGCTGCTCCAGGGGTCGAGGGAGACCTGATGAGGGGCTGGGGAAGTTAGGAAAAAGTGTAATGGAGGAGGGTGGGACTCTAGCTAGGACCTGAAGGAAAGGCTGGATTTAAACCAGGGGAGGGGAGAGGAGAGGGCATTTCAGGGAGGAAGTTGAGGGTGTACAGGATGTGCCTGAGGCGGCAGATAAGTTTCTCTGGAGCACAGGGTTCCTATAGGAAAGTGTTGGGAAGTGAGGGAAGTTGTACAAGACAGTGAATGCTAGGATAATAAATTTGGGTTGTGTTCTGAAGGAAAATGGGGGAGGGTGGTCATTAAAGGTTGTGTGTGTGTGGTGTGTGTGTGTGTATGTGTGTGTTTAAGCAGGATGATGTGTGAAAATAGTATTTTATGATTACGTGGTAATTTGGAGATGAAAAAAGGGCACAGGCTTTAGCGTCAGACCTATGTTCATATCTTGGCTCTGTTCCATTTTTATAAAATGATGCTACTATTACTGTATAAGATTGCTTTCAGCATGAGGTGCTTGACACTTAATAGATATTCCATGTTAGTTCCCCTCCCAGTGGAGAGAATAATGACCAGAGGAGGCAGAGAGATTGGTTAGGAGACTAGTGTAATAGTCTAAGTATAAGGAAATAAGGATAACAATAATAATTAACATTTATTGAGTGCCTAATACATACTAGTTACTGGGCTAAGCACTTTCCTCCACGATATCTCATTTAATCTTCATAGATAAACCCTATGAAATAGATGCTATTATTACCCCTAATTTAGGATAAAGAAGTGGAAGACTCTGAATAAGTTTGCCAAACTTGCGTGATTCATAAGTGATAGAGCTGAATCGATTTGACTTCAGAACCCATTTTTTTCTAGGATGGGGGTGAGAAAAGAGACAGATTTAAGAGACAATGGGCATACAAGAAGAGGGAAAGGAGTTTGGAGTGATGGCAAATCGAGAAAGATGGATGGTAGCATCTTCACAGAAACGGAGTCCTCATGTGGAGGAACTGGCTTGAAGGAGGTGACAAGGAGCTCGGTTTTAGACTTGCTGAAACTGGGGTGACCACAAGATCTGTGAGATGGGTATGGGAATGAGTTCTCGAAGAAGGTGGAGAATGGATATTTTGGACACCTTCAAGTAAATACGGTAGTTGAAGCTGAAAGCAAAGAGTTGAAGAGAGCAAAAGGCCAAGAGTTCCATCCTGAGACATACATATTCAGAGCCTGAGAAAAGTCAAGCCAAAAGTGAATCTAAAGATTGTCCAAAAAGACTGAAGAATCAGGATTGTGGAGTATCACCGGAAAGAAGAAGAGAGGTTCAAAGAAAAGGAAGGAGTTGGCTGGGCGTGGTGACTCACACCTGTAATCCCAGCATTTTGGGAGGCCAAAGCAGGCGGATTACATGAGTCCAGGAGTTTGAGACCAGCCTGGCCAACATGGTGAAACCCTGTCTCTGCAAAAAATACAAAAATTAGCCAGGCATAGTGGTGCACACCTGTAATCCCAGCTACTGAGGAGGCTGAGGCCTGAGAATCGCTTGAACCTGGGAGGCAGAGGTTGCAGAGAGCTGAGATTGCGCCACCGCACTCCAGCCCAGTAACAGAGTGAGACTCTGTCTAAAAAAAAAGAGAGAGAGAGAAGGAGTTGACAGTCTCAGGGAAATCAAAGAGACTGAAGACTGTATTAACACCATTGAGGTGAACAGCTCACAGTCCCGGTAGGGAGATGATAGAGACAAATCATTGTGGTTACATGATGAGTTATGACACGAATGAGAACAAAGTGTTGTGGAAACACTGAGGAAAGAGCAATGAACTGCCAAAGTTGGAAGGTTTGGGAGGGGATATATTCCAGAAAGAAGAAATAGTATATTCAAAGAATGAAGGGGAACAGACTGGACTGAGCTCTGTCTTATTCTTCTCCTTTCCTCTAATACCAAATGCTTGTGGAACTGCCGATGATGATATAGCACTGTGGTGGTCCACCTTGACCAGCTCCCAAGGATGGCGGATGTGAATGGCAGTAGGTATTGATGATAAGGAAAGAAGAGGCTGATAGAAGTCAATGGTTGCTTATAAAATGGATCCCTAAGATAGTCCTTAGTAAGAGGACGGTCCAGAGACTGCTGTGAAATCAGTTCAAGAGGAGGTTTAGAAGGTTTCAGAGCAACACCCCAAGATAGAATCACGGGAACTCTGACTTTGCAGCCTCCAGTCACCATGATGAGCATGGGATAAAATGGAAACAGCACTTGACTTAACGTCAGATACCTGATTCAAGCACTGGCTCTGTCACTGACTTTTGGTATGCCTTTCAGCAAGTCACTTCATTTATTTGGGCCTTGGTTGCCTCATAAAATGAAATGAATGACCTCTGTCTTCTCCACTTCACTTGAAAGACCACATGAGTGGTTGGAATTCACTTAATGAACTATATGGTAAACTGACCAGCTGCTAGGAAAAGCTTTTTATTATTATTATTATTATTATTATTATACTTTAAGTTTTAGGGTACATGTGCACAATGTGCAGGTTTGTTACATATGTATACATGTGCCATGTTGGTGTACTGCACCCATTAACTCGTCATTCAGCATTAGGTGTATCTCCTAATGCTATCTCTCCCCCCTCCCCCCACCCCACAACAGTCCCCGGAGTGTGACGTTCCCACTCCTGTGTCCATGTGTTCTGTTGTTCAATTCCCACCTATGAGTGAGAACATGCAGTGTTCGGTTTTTTGTCCTTGCGATAGTTTGCTGAGAATGATGATTTCCAGTTTCATCTATGTCCCTACAAAGGACATGAACTCATCATTTTTTTATGGCTGCATAGTATTCCATGGTGTATATGTGCCACATTTTCTTAATCCAGTCTATCATTGTTGGACATTTGGGTTGGTTCCAAGTCTTTGCTATTGTGAATAGTGCCACAATAAACATACATGTGCACGTATCTTTATAGCAGCATGATTTATAGTCCTTTGGGTATATAGCCAGTAATGGGATGGCTGGGTCAAATGGTATTTCTAGTTCTAGATCCCTGAGGAATCGCCACACTGACTTCCACAATGGTTGAACTAGTTTACAGTCCCACCAACAGTGTAAAGGTGTTCCTATTTCTCCACATCCTCTCCAGCACCTGTTGTTTCCTGACTTTTTAATGATTGCCATTCTAACTGGTGTGAGATGGTATCTCATTGTGGTTTTGATTTGCATTTCTCTGATGGCCAATGATGATGAGCATTTTTTCATGTGTTTTTTGGCTGCATAAATGTCTTCTTTTGAGAAGTGTCTGTTCATATCCTTCGCCCACTTTTTAATGGGGTTGTTTGTTTTTTTCTTTCTTTTTTTATTATTATTATTATACTTTAAGTTTTAGGGTACATGTGCACAATGTGCAGGTTAGTTACATATGTATACATGTGCCATGCTGGTGTGCTGTACCCATTAACTCGTCATTTAGCATTAGGTATATCTCCTAATGCTATCCCTCACCCCTCCCCCCACCCCACAACAGTCCCCAGAGTGTGATGTTGGAAAACCTTTGACACTGATAATCTTAACAAGAAATATTATATTGGGGCTGGCGCAGTGGCTCAAACCTGTAATCCCAGCACTTTGAGAGGCTGAGGCAGGTGGATCACCTGAGGTCTGGAGTTCGAGACCAGCCTGGCCAACATGGTGAAACCCCATCTCTACAAAACTTAGCCGGGCGTGGTGGTGCACGCCTGTAATCCCAGCTACTTGGGGGCTGAGGCAGGAGAATTGCTTGAACCTGGGAGGCAGATGTTGCAGTGAACCAAGATTGTGCCACTGCACCCTGGCATGGGCGACAAGAGACTCTGTTTCAAAAAAGAAAAAAAAAAAAAGAAAAGAAAAGAATTATGATATTGGCTGGGCACAGTTGTTCACACCTGTAATCCTACCACTTTGGGAGGCCAAGGAGGATGGATCACTTGAGCCCGGGAGTTCAAGACCAGCCTGGGCAACATGGTGAAACTCTGTCTTTACAAAAAAAAAAAAAAAAAAAAAAATTTAGCTGGGAGTTGTGGCACATGGCTGTAGTCCCAGCTACTTGGGAGGCTGAGGAGAGAGGATCACTTGAGGCCAGGAGGCAGAGATTACAGTTAGCTGTGATTATGCCACTGCACTCCAGTCCGGGCAACAGAGCTAGACCCTGTCTCAAGAAAAGAAAAAAAAGAAATGTTATATCAGTGCCTGAGCTCACTGTAGATAAACTGGGTCCCCTCTTCCCTTCACCTCCTTTCATATTTATTTATATATTTTGAGATGGAGTTTTGCTCTTTTGCCCAGGCTGGAGTGAAGTGGCATGATCTCGGCTCACTGCAACCTCCGTCTCCTGGGTTCAAGCGGTTCTCCTGCCTCAGCCTCCTGAGCAGCTGGAATTATAGGCACCCACCAACATGCCCGGCTAATTTTTGTATTTTTAGTAGAGATGGGGTTTCGCCATGTTGGCCAGGCTGGTCTCAAACTCCTGACGTCAGGTGATCCACCTGCCTTGGCCTCCCAAAGTGCTAGAACTACAGGCATGAGCCACTGCACCTGGCCTCATATTTCTTTATTCAACTAATATTTATTAAATATCTTTTTGGTGCTAGATACTGTGAGTGGGGCTAGGGATGTAAAGAAGATCAAGTTATAGTTGCCTTCTTTAGGAAGATAGTCGGTTGGGAAGATAGACAATTATCCAGATAACAAGATAACATAATATGTGCTATAATAGAGAAATGGGAGTAGGGAGGAGGGAACAACTGACTGTCTAGAGATGGCAGGTGAGACAGACCTTGAGTGACCAGCAGGAGTTTGCTATGTAGAATGGGAGGGAAAACTATGTACAAAGACAACAGATATATATGGAGACAACAACCATTTACATAATAATACGAAGACATTGTTTTCTTTTTAAACTCTCATTTTCTCATGAGAGTACTGGGTAGTTTTCCAGGGCTTCATGGCACATTATACAGATTGAATGAGAAGTAAATAGGATAATACAATTATCTTCTATTAAACCAGACATAAAACAGATTTTCAAAAAAGCAAAACAGTAGCATTCCTCTCACTATTTTTTTTGTTTCGTTTTGGAACAAAACAGCTAAATTTTTATTATTTTTTTAAAAATAAAAATGTTATGTTAACATGTTTATTATTGTTATTTTAAATGAATTAGTATGTAAATATTTAACAATTTCTCAGTTTTGATCCCTAGTGTGATACTTATCAATAGACAGAATCCACATAAACAAAAGTTATTTGGAGTCCTGAATTTTCAAAAGTTATTTGGAGTCCTGAAATTTTTTTTTTTTTTTTTTTGAGACAGAGTCTCGCACTATTTCCCGTGCTGGAGTGCAGTGGCGAAATCTTGGCTCACTGCAACCTCTGCCTCCCAGGTTCAAGCGATTCTCCTGCCTCAGCCTCCCAAGTAGCCGGGATTACGTAATAGGTGCCAGCCACCACACTTGGCTAATTTTTTGTATTTTTAGTAGAGATGGGGTTTCACTATGTTGGCCAGGCTGGTCTTGAACTCCTGACCTCATGATCTGCCTGCCTCGGCCTCCCAGAGTGCTGAGATTACAGGCATGAGCTACCAAGCCCAGCCTGAATGTTTTTGTGTTTTTTTTTTTTTTGAGACAGGGTCTCACCCTGTCGCCCAGGCTACAGTGCAGTGGCACAATCATAGCTCACTGCAACCTCAAACTCCTGAGCTCAGGTGATCCTCCCACCTGAGCCTTTCAAGTACCAGAGACTACAGGAATGAACCACTGTGTCTGGCCCTCAATACTTTGAGTGTAGAGAGGGTCCTGAGACCAAAAGGCATGAGTACTCTGTTCTGGGCAGAATGACCCAAAACAGAGGAGCAAAATGATAACGTTTGATTTCACTCAAGAAACAAGTTCAACAAATACTTATGTGAAACACCTATTTTGTGTTGAACATTATTCTCGGTACTGGGATGATAGAGCTTTGAACAAATCTAATAACACTTCCTGCTTTCATGGAACTTAAATTATAATGGAGCAGGCCGGGCATGGTGGCTCACACCTGTAATCCCAGCACTTTGGGAGGCCAAGGTGGGCAGATCACCTGAAGTTGGGAGTTCAAGACCAGCCTGGCTAACATGGTGAAACCCCATCTCTACTAAAAAACACAAAAATTAGCTGGGCATGGTGGTGCACATCTGTCATCCCAGGTACTCAGGAGGCTGAGGCACGAGAATCACTTGAACCCGGGAAGTGGAGGTTGCAGTGAGCTGAGATCGCACCACTACATTCCAGCCTGGGTGACAGAGTGAGACTCTGTCTCAAAAGAAAAAACAAAACAAAACAAAACAAAAACAAACAAACAAAAAAACTGGGGTGATAGACAACGAACAAAATGATTTAAATATATATATGTAGTTAAATAGCATTTTTTTTCTGTTGAGAAAAGCAGGATTTAGGACTTGAAATCTGAATGGTGTGTGTGTGTGTGTGAGAGAGAGAGAGAGAGAGAAAAAAAAAAAATTTTTGGATGGAGTGGCCAGGGAAGGCCTCAGTAAAAAAGTGAGTTTTTTGTAAAGATCTGGAGGAACAAGGGAGTGAACCATGTAGATATCTGAAAGAAATGAATCCAGGCAGACGGAACAGCAAATGCAAAAGTTTTGAGGCAAGAACGTGCCTGGTAGGTTTGAGGAAAAGGGTAAGAATCACTGTGGTTAGAGTGGAAGAGAGTGAGAGTATCAGGAGATGAAGGTTATGGAGGGAAGGGTGGTCTACATGAGATAAAAAACTGATGGGGCTGGGCATGGTGGCTCATGCCTGTAATCCCAGCACTTTGGGAGACTGAGGTAGGACAGTCTCTTGATCCTCTCACCTGATCATCATCTGTCATCTCCTGATACTCTCACTCATCACTTGAGGCCAGGAGTTCAAGACACCATCTCTACCAAAAACAAAAAAAAATTACCCAGGAATGGTGGGGTACACCTGTAGTCCTGGCTACTTGGGAGGCTGAGGTGAGAGGATTGCTTGAGCATGGGACTTTGAGAATGTCGTAAACTATGTGATCATCATTGCATTGCACTCCAGCCTGAGCAAGAGTGAGACCCTGTCTCTTAACAAAAACTGATGAGAGGTTCTGAGAGTGGAAGAGACATCTTCTGGCTTATGTTTTAACAGAATTACTTTGGTTGCTGGGCTGAGAAAAGGTTTTAAGACCATATCAGAAAGGCCAGTTAGGAGGCTATTACAATAATCCAAGTACAAGATGATGGCGGCTCAGACCTGGGTCCAAGTAGAGATACAGAGATGTAGTTGGATTCTCATAGACTTTGATTTTTAATTTTTTGTTTTTTGTATTTTGTATTTTTTCCCTTTACACTTTTTTTGGATTTTTTTGGAATCATAGATTTTGAAAGTAGAGTTGGCAGAATTTGTTAATGGATTGGATAGGAGGTATGAGACAAAGCGGAGAGTCACATTACCAATTACCAAACTTTTTTTTCAAGTCAAAATTGTTTTATTGTCATTCACATATTTAATATGAAAAGAAATGCAGCAAATGGCTCAGGGTTGTATTAAGGAAAAAAAACCAGGTTGTGCAGGTTGTTCTATTAACATCTGGGAGAAGAGCTGTCCCCACATCAGACACAGCAGCTGCACGCCCCTTTGCAGACACAGCCCTGGGCACACTTGGCACAGCCCATGGGGCAGCAGGAGCAGCAGCTCTTCTTGCAGGAGGTGCATTTGCACTCTTTGCACTTGCAGGAGCCGGCGCACGTGCAGGAGCCACCAGTGGTGCAGGAGCAGTTGGGGTCCATTTCAAGCCGCGGTAAGGCTGGAGATCTCAAGCGATAATGGAGAGACAGCAAGGCGCACGTGGACGGCGTGTTCACCAATTACCAAACTTTTTGACCTGAGCAACTAGAAGAATGGAGTTGCCATTATTTGACACAAAGAAGACTGCAGGAGGGACAGGTTTGAGTAGAAATATGAAGAGCTCACCCAAGTGGATGTGGTAAGTAGGCTATTTTGATATTTGGACCTGAGTTCAGGAAGAAGGTTGAGAGTGAAGTGGGAATTTGGAGGTTTTCAGAATCAATATAATATGTAAAACCCAAGGGACTGAAGAAATTACTTAGGAAATGAGTGTAGACAGAAAAGCAAAGAGTTCCAATGACTGGATCCTGGGGCAACTCTAATACTTAGAGGTTGGGAAAATGAAGAGGAATCAGCCAAAGACACTGAGAAGGAAGAGCCAAAAAGAAGAAAACCAGGAAAGTGAGAACTCCCGGAAGCCAAGTGAATAAAATGTTTTAAGAAAGAGAGAGTAATCAACTGTGTCACACAGATCAAATAATATGAAGATGAATAGAAGGTAATTAGATTTACCAATGTGGAGGTTGTTGGTGATCTTGAGATGTTTTGGTGGAGTGTATGGGACAAAAATCTGATTGGAGTAGGTTCAAGAGGAATTGAAAATGTTGAGTATACAGGTTATAGCTTTTTCAAGAAGTTTTACTACAAAGAAGAAGGAGAAAATGTGGCAGCTGTAGTTGGTAGTGGAGTCAAAACAGACTTTTTGTTTGTTTTTAAGATGGGAAACATAACATTTGTATGTTGATTGAGACTGATCCAGGAGAGAGGGAAAAATTGATGATGCAGGAGAGAGAGGAGAACTGCTGAAGCCATGCCCTTGAGTAAGCATGTATATGAGTGAGGAGGTTGGCTATGAGCTAGGATAATTCCTCCATAATAAGAGGAAAGAACAGGACTTTTAGCAGTACAAATCTGGTACCAGTGTGGAGAAGAGCTTAAAGGGAGAACTTGCATTTGTTGGTTACTTACTTTTTGTCTAGCATTGTTAGATGCTTTCCTCACAAGAGTTCTTTTTTATTTTTACTTGTATTTTTATTTTTTTCCAATCATATTCTTTCTAATTATTTTTATTTTTTTAGAGACAGGATCTCACTCTGTCACCCAGGCTGGAGTGCACTGGCATGATCATAGCTCACTGCAACCTCAAACTCCTGGGCTCGAGCGATCCTCCCACCTCAGTCTCCTGAGTAGCTATGACTACGGGTACGTGTCATCATGCCTGACTAATTTTAATTTTTTTTTTAAAATGGAGGTCTCACTATGTTGGCCATCCATGGCCAATATAACAGCCATGTAACAGTCACCGTGCCTGACTGCAGCAGTTCTCAATGTATGAGGAAAATGGGTTGTGACACTGTTGTAATGAGGCAAGAAAAGTTAAGAACTGAACTCAAGCTGCTGAAGATCCAAGATACTGTGCTCTTTATGCTCTGCAAAACTCCCCCACCCTTGCCCCTACCCCCACCAAATTGCATTGGCCTCTCACTGCAGATGTCAGGATGCCATCCATTTGGATAGGAAGAAACTGACACATTGGCTCAACCATAGGGTAGAGTTGCTTGTTTCTTATAAAGGAAAGAAAGATTTGAGTGGTCGTAAGAATCTGCAGTACTAGGCAGCTCTTGGTGCTGGAGGGCCTTCGCCCTGAAGCCAGGCAAATTTACCCAAAAGATAAAGACATAAAAAGAAAATGCAGGAACAAGGAAGAGTGACATTCTTTATTTTTTATTTTGTTTTATTTATTTATTTATTTGAGACAGAGTTTCGCTCTTGTAGCCCAGGCTGGAGTGCAATGGTGTGATCTCGGCTCACCGCAACCCCTGCCTCCCGGGTTCAAGTGATTCTCCTGCCTCAGCCTCCCGAGTAGCTGGGATTACAGACATGCACCACCACGCCTGGCTAATTTTGTATTTTTAGTAGAGACGGGGTTTTTCCATGTTGGTCATGCTGGTCTCGAACTCCCAACCTCAAGTGATCCTCCTGCCTCGGCCTCCCAAAGTGCTGGGATTACAGGAGTGAGCCACTGCGCCCGGCCAGAGTGACATTCTTAGTAGAGATCTGAAAGGAAATATAAATGAGAGGGTGGCTGGAGAGCACAGTCCAGCTTAGGAAGTCTCCTTGACCTCTCTCCTCCTTCCTCTGAATTCCTATTTCAGCAGCTAACAGTCAATGAAAAGCAATTTACCTACATCAAATCACTTAATCCTCACCACTGTCCTGTGAAGTGGATTCTAAGGAAAGGGTGAGAGAAGTGACCTACCCCACGACACACCTAAAAAACAGCAAAACCAGGAGTAGAACCCAAGTGTCTGACACTAAATTCATGTCCTTAACCCTTGGTGCCTTTGTTCATTCATTAATTACCTCAAAAATTCTGTAAACATTACTCAGAAGCCACTCTGTGGAAGGTACTGGGGCAAGTGAGGCCGTCTTCAGGTTAAAAAAAAAAAAAAGATAAGACTTGTGCACATAAAAGGCGTGACAAATAACCACAAAACATTACACCATTCTATAGGATTTCAGAGGGGAGTGAGGTCACTCTGGCTGGGGATATCAGGGAGATCAAGGAAGGTTTCCAAAAGGAAGTAGCATTTGAGATGAGTCTATATAAACTGGTAATATTTTAAAAGCTAATAGTTTTATATGCAATATACACAGAACATTACCACACACGTGTTCAAAAGTTACAAGCAATGGAAGACTGTGTGAAGTTTTAATTGGCAGAAAATGGAGGGTAAAAGGCCGGGCGCTGTGGCTCACGCCCGTAATCCCAGCACCTTTGGGAGGCTGAGGCGGGTGGATCACTTGAGGTCAGGAGTTTGAGACCAGCCTGACCAACATGGGTGAAACCCCGTTTCTACTAAAAACACAAAAAAATTAGCCTGGCTTGGTGGCGCGTGCCTGTAATCCCAGCTACTCAGGAGGCCGAGGCAGGAGAATCTCTTGAACCCAGGAGACAGAGGTTGCAGTGAGCTGAGATGGTGCCACTGCACTTCAGCCTGGGCTACAGAGTGAGACTCCATCTCAAAAAAAAAAAAAAAAAGAAAAAGAAAATGGGAGGTAAAGGCCTGGAGGAAGGAAAAGGTCTGATTGTTCAGGATCTAGAGAAGGTCCCAGTCCAATCCCCCGACTCAGTCTCAATGTCCAGCCCCAAATGACTTGAGAGTATTTCTTACTCAGGTTTCTCCCTTAAAAGCATATTCAAACCAATGCATACAATGGGACACTATGCAGCCTTTTGTAATTTTTTTTTTTTTTTTTTGAGATGGAGTTTCGCTCTGTCGCCCAGGCTGGAGTGCAGTGGCGCGATCTCGGCTCACTGCAACCTCCACCTCCTGGGTTCAAGCAATTCTCCTGCCTCAGCCTCCCGAGTAGCTGGGATTACAGGCGCCCACCACCACGCCTAGCTAATTTTTTTGTATTTTTTTAGTAGAGGCAGGGTTTCACCGTGATAGCCAGGATGGTCTCGATCTCCTGACCTTGTGATCCACCCGCCTTGGACTCCCAAAGTGCTGGGATTACAGGCGTGAGCCACCGCGCCCGGCCCAATGCAGCCATTTTTTAAAATGAGGAAGTACTTACGAATTTATGAATAATTAGGACATTATTTCCAAAATGTAATGTTAAGTGGTAAAAAAAAGGCAAAGGTGCAGAATCCTGGATATTGTAGGCTACTATTTGTGTAATAATCGGAAAAAAGAATACATGTGTGTGCATGCACTTGCTCATTTACACATAAAATAGGGACAGATACCCAAGGAACTGATAATAGTGCTTACTTCCTGGAGGGAAGCTTAAGTGGTTTGAGGACAGGGTGGGAAGGCAATTTTTATTTTTATTTTTTAATTTTTTTTAATTATTTTATTTTATTTTTTTGAGATGGAGTCACGCTCTGTTACCCAGGCTGGAGTGCAGTGGCACAGTCTCGGCTCACCGAAACCTCTGCCTCCTGGGTTGGAGCAATTCTCTTGCCTCAGCCTCCGAAGTAGCTAGAACTACAGGCAAACACCACAAAGCCCAGCTATTTTTTATATTTTTAGTAGAGACAGTGTTTCACCATGTTGGGCAGGCTGGTCTCGAACTCCTGGCCTCATGTGATCCGCCTGCCTTGGCCTCCCAAAAGTGCTGGGATTACAGGTGGGAGCCACCATGCCTGGCTGGAAGGAGATTTTTCTCACTGTATACCTTTTTGTATCTTTTGACTTTTTAATCATGTGGATATATTATCTCTTCAAAAAATAAGTACAAGCTGAGCATTTTTTCCCTTTAATATTGTATGTTCTCCAAATGAACAAGCTGAGCTTCTAAAAAAATAAGTGTAATAGTCTCTAAAGGCCACTCCCTGAAAAGAGGGCTTATATTGCAAAATACTGGTATACAGTGAAAGCAGTAACAGTTCACTTAGGTTTCAAAAATTCAGGCCTTCATCTGCATGGCCAAAAAAAAAGCAGAAATAAAGCAACAAACTATAAACTAGGTAAAATATTTATTATTATTTTTTTAACGTAAAACAGCTGTTATAAACCAATAAGAAAAAGACCTATGACCCAATTCAATAATGGCGAAGGACTAAATGGGCTTCATGCAAACAGAAATATAAATGGACTCTTTTTTTTTTTTGAGACAGTCTCGCTCCGTTACCCAGGATGGAGTGCAGTGGCACGATCTTAACTCACTGCAACCTCTGCTTCCTTGGTTCAAGCGATTCTCATGTCTCAGCCTCCCAAGTAGCTGGGACTACAGGCACATGCCACCATACCTGACTAATTTTTTTGTGTTTTTTGTAGAGACGCGGTTTTGCCGTGTTGGCCAGGCTGATCTGGAACTCTTGGCCTCAAGTGATCCATCTGCCTCGGCCTCCCAAAGTGCTGGGATTATGGGCGTGAGCCACTGTGCCTGGCCTGAACAGACTCCTATAATAATTTTTTAAATGACCAACCATGTTTGTAATTAAAGAAAGGCAAATTAAGACAATCAGCCACTGCTTTCTTAACATTATCAGACTGCAAATACCAAAAGGTTGGATACTACAGAGTGTTAAAGAGGGCATGATAAAACAGATACTCCTCCATACTGTTGGAAGAGATACAAATTGGTTTACTCTCTTCAGGTCACCAACTGGCAATGCCTATCAACCTTGAAAATGAGCATACCTTTGACCCATCAATTCTAATTCTGAGAATTTATCCTAGATAGATATCCTTGCATAGGTGCAAACACAAAATTATTTGTAGCAAATTATTCAATTGCCTCATTCTTTGTAATTACAAAACACCAAAATCAACCTAAGTACTTTCCAGTTGGGGAAATTGCTACATCTAAACTGAGGAATACACTGGGAAGAAGTTGAAAATGGTGTGGCTGTGTATTACTGTTACGACAAGACCTTGATTTAGCCCCTTCATTATCTCTTACTTGGACCGCAGTAATAACTTCCCAGCAGGTCTCCCTGCCTTCATCTTGCCCTCTTGCAGGACCTGCTACGTAATTTGCAGGGCCCAGTGCAAAAATGAAAATGCAAGTCTCCTTGTTAAAAAAAAAATAAGAATTTCAAAATGATGACAGCAGAACATTAAAACAAGCGTGAGGGCCCTTCTAAGAGGGGGGCCCTGTGTGACTACAGAGGTCACAAGTCCATGAAGCAGGTCTTGCCCCTTGAGTGTCACTTGGACACTGGCTGCCCATGTGACATGCTGCATCCTCTGCCTGGAACATCCTTCCACTGCCATCTCTTTTTCTCTATGATGTACTACACGCCTGCCAATAAATAACTCTAATGTGACCTCCTTTGGGAAGTTTTCCCAAAGTCTTAAAAAGTTCTTACTCAAAGTCTTACAAAGTTCTTACTCAAATCACTCTTTCTTCAGTACTCCCCTAGCTCTTGCACATAGTTTTATTAACTCTTTATCACAGTGTTTGTTTTTTTTTTTCTTGAGACAGAGTTTCACTCTTGTAACCCAGGCTGGAGTGCAGTGGCATGATCTTGGCTCACTACAACCTCTGCCTCCTAGGTTCAAGCAATTCTCCTGCTCTCAGTCTCCCAAGTAGCTGGGATTACAGTTGTGAGCCACCACACCCAGCTAATTTTTTTATATTTTTAGTAGAGATGGTGTTTCACCATGTTGGCCAGGCTGGTCTCAAACTCCTGATCTCGGGTGATCCTCCTGCCTCAGCCTTCCAAAGTGCTGATATTACAGGCGTGAGCCACCACGCCCAGCCGATCACAGTGTTTTTATAATTATTTCTTTAAAAGTTTCTCTCCTAGAGTTTCTGCAGGACTTGGCCTATGGATTGTGCTTTGTTTGTTTTTTGGGTAACTCTGGCACCTCATACATTACCTAGCACATGGGAGTTGAGAGAATGAATCAGCTGGAGTGGATGTATTTGGATGGGTGTGTTAAAAAATCAGCCATATATTGCTTCACAGTTACACCTCATCTTCAGGTTGTTAAATCTGACTGGACTCTTAATTTAATAGAGGCCAGCAGGTCCTGATGACTGGTTCTTCATTCCAGGAGCCATAGAATAGTATCAGACAGTCCCTTGAAGGGGTGGGAGGTACCTGGACCTGAAAATTTTGGAGGCTCCCGCAAGCCATTTACACCTATCTCTGAATCTCCTTATACCTTTCACGCTTTTAAAATGGAGGTGCAATCTCATTAGGGCCCACTGGCCCCATCAATCAGTGCCAGGTTCCAGGAACCCAGTAGTTTCAGATTGCCCCCAGTCCTTTGCAACACTGGTTTTCAAATGGGGTATGCAATAGCCGTAAAGTAAATGAAGGCTTGGTAAGCGGTACTCATGCATGGATATATTTAAGGAAATTCATTTCCAGATCCTCAACTTCCAGATGTACTCCACCTGAGAAAGTTCCTGGGGTTGAGGCTCCAAGCCGACTTTTTCTTCATAATTGTAGTTCTGCTAGTCTTCATAAGAAAGGCCAGGCATGGTGGCTCACGCCTGTAATCCCAGCACTTTGGGAGGCAGAGGTGAGTGGATCACCTGAGGTCAGGACTTCAAGACCAGCCTGGCCAACATGGTGAAACCCTGTCTCTACTAAAAATACAAAAATTAGTCAGGCACAGTGGCACGTGCCAGTAATCGCAGCTACTGGGGAGGCTGAGGCAGGAGAATCGCTTGAACCCTGGAGGTGGAGGTTGCAGTGAGCCGAGATCACACCATTGCTCTCTAGCCTGGGCAAGAGTGAGACTCCATCTCAGAGAAAAAAAAAAAAATGGAAAAAAGAAAAGAAAGAAAGGCATATATCTGACCCACCCTGAATGATACATTGCACGGGGCAATTAAAAAAAAGTTCAGAACTGGGGACAGTTAAAAATACAAGATTCAGAAAATAGCCTTCTATTATCTTTTAAAAATATGTCTATATTTTTGTTTGTTTGTTTTGAGACAGGGTCTCGCTCTGTTGCCCAGGCTGGAGTGCAGTGGCGCAACCGTAGCTTACTGCAGCCTCAATCTCCTGAGTTCAAGTGATCCTCCCGCCTCAGCCTCCCAAGTAGCTGAGACTACAGGCGTGTGCCACCACACCCACCTAATTTTTAAAAATTTTTCATAGAGATGAGGTCATACTATATTGCCCAGGCTGGTCCTCAATTCCTAAGCTCAAACAGTTCTCCCATCTTGGCCTCCCAAAGTGTTGATATTACAGGTATGAGTCACTGCACTTGGCCTAATGTTTTTTAAAAATTTTATTTATTTATTTTCTTAGAGATAGGGTCTTGCTCTGTTGCCCAGGTAGAAGTATAGTGGCATGATTATAGCTCACTGCAGCCTTGAACTCCTGGGCTCAAGCAATTCTCCCACCTCAGCCTCCCAAATAGCTAGGACTACAGACACACACCACCACACCTGGCTAATTTTTTAATTTTTGTAGAGATGGAGTTTCTCTATGTTGCCCAGGTTGGTCTCAAACTCCTGGGGTCCAGTGATCCTCCAGACTCAGCCTCCCAAAACATTTGGATTACAGGCTTGAGCCGCTGTGCCCAGCTCACATTATTTATCAAAATTATTTTAAGTGGTATGTGAGCAAAAGACTATGAAGACCACTGGTTCAAGACCATAGGCTATGGTGGCCTTTAGGAGGTTTTCTAAGAGGTAGTGGCCTAGTCTTCTCCACCTCTAGTCCTCTGAAACTGAATCTGTTTCACTAGGCAGACCAAAAAAATCATCGTAGACCAAGAAAGTCATTGCACTTGATTTCTTTGTAATTACCACCATGGTTGACCAGTCTTCTTTTTGAAATACACTTCCCCTGACTTTGGCATCATTGCACATTCCTGATTTTCCCCTCCTTGGCCCCTTGTCCTAAGTTTTTGCTAGCTCCATCTCTTCCAGTTGACCTTTTAAATTCTGGAGTTTCTCAGGGAAGTTATAAGCCTTCTACTCTTTCTATTATTTTCTAAGAAATGTCATCCATGACCACAGTTTCAAATATAATCTGTATCCCAACAACTCCCAACTTTCTATTTCTAGCATAGACCTTGCTCCCAAACTCCTGAATCTGATTGCTTATTCCACATCTATACCTTAATGTCTCGTGGGATTCCCGAACTGCAAAAAGCCAAAGCCAAGTTCATATTCTTTCCATTCATAATGTCTTCCTCCTCTAGGCTTCCCCTGCTTAGTAACAGTGCTCTATCTGCCCAGTTGTTCATGCCAGAGACCTGGAAGGCATTCTTGATGTCTCTTTAACCTCCCCCATAGCCAACCAATAATTTATTCCTATGAATTCTACTTCATGTAAGATTTCCCTAAGCCTCCAGACCAGGCTACATACCCTTATTCTATACCCTCATATAGCACCTTGTACTTCATAGTATTTATTCAAACTGTAATTAAGTAATTATTTTGTGTAATTCTGTCTCCCCCTCTACACCATAAGCTCCATGAACACAAGGACAATACCTGCTTATTTCTGGCATATAGTAGGCTCTCAATTAATATTTGTTTATTTATTTTTTGGGGATGGAGTCTTGCTGTATCACCCAGGCTGGAGTGCAGTGGTGTGATCTCGGCTCACTACAGCCTCCGCCTCCTGGATTCAAGCAATTCTCCTGCCTCAGCCTCCCGAGTAGCTGGTATTACAGGTGCGTGCCACCATGCCCGGCTAATTTTAGTATTTTTAGAGGTGGGGTTTCACCATGTTGGCCAGGCTGGTCTTGAACTCCTGGCCTCAAGTGATCCACCTGCCTCGGCCTCCCAAAGTGCTGGGATTACAGGCGTGAGCCACCACGTCCAGCTGAATATTTGCTAAATGAACAAATGTAAGCACTATTTATAGTGTCGTAGTCTTTCCAGTGTTGTGTAGTGTTCTGCTGTGTGTTTTTGTGATTTAAAACCTATTGCTATGTTCACGGTAGGGGGCAGCAGAGTACGCGGATACTGAGAGAGTCCAGTACTCAGTATTAAAAGGGCAACTTCAGATAAATGACTTAACCTTTCTGAGACTATTTCCTTCTCTGGAAGTCAGGGTTAAGTCTCCTTCCCTTGGATCAAAAGAGATAAGCAGATGTAAAAGGGCTTCACTGCAGGACAAACAGGAGACAATGTGATTAGAGTCAGTTAAGATAAATATTTGTTGAATAAACAGACACAGAGCAAGAGGATTTTGGCTATACGACTGTGGAACAGATTGCAGTAGAGAGTTGACAGATTCCGAAGAGAGAAAATGAAAGCTCCAGGAAGAGACTGGCCTATGCCCAGAGCCAGCCTGTGAAGTCAGCACAGGATGTCCTTGGCATGCTGTCATCTCTGCTCCCTGATCATTGCCCTCCACCTCTACCTCTGGCCTCTAGTTTCCCATCGCTGTGCTGCCGGCTTTTCCTTCCCTTCTCTCCCATCAAAGCACATCTGTCCTATGTCCTGGCCACTCCCAGGCCTGCTCACTGCCATCCACAGTCACTGCTAGTTAACCCAATAAATGGATTCTCACTAAAGTGCCCAGGGCAGGTAGTGTATTATTTTACCATTCTCAATAACACGAATTGGACCTTCTTGAGACGGAATAACTTACTCAAAAATTATGTTTCAAATAATAATAAAGTTTAGGTTTTGTGGAAGGAGAGGAAATGGAAGGTTAACAGAGATGAAGACAGTCCTAACTTGACCGGGCGTGGTGGCTCACACCTGTAATCCCAGCACTTTGGGAGGCCAAGGCAGGCAGATCACCTGAGGTCAGGAGTTCGAGACCAGCCTGACCAACATGGAGAAACCCCGTCTCTACTAAAAATATGAAAATTAGCCAGGTGTGGTGGTGAGCGCCTGTAGTCTCAGCTACTCGGGAGGCTGAGGCCAGAGAATCACTTGAACTTGGGAGGCAGAGGTTGCAGTGAGCCGAGATCATACCACTGTACTCCAGCCTGGGCAACAGAGTAAGACTCCATCTCAAGAAAAAAACAAAACAAAACAGTCCTAACTAATTTCAGGCTCAAGAAAGAATAATTGTACAAATACAAAATCTGTGAGATATGACTTGATAGTAATATGAGGGGAAAAAGCTTTTAAAAATATTCATATGTGTATATATATATATATATATATACACAAACATACACATAATAGATTTGCATACATATAATTTAATTGTAATTTACATTCAGTAAAATTTACATTTTGGTGTAGAGTTCTGTGAGTTTTGACAAATGCAAAGAATTATGTAAACACCACCACACACAAACAAAAAAATAAAACAGTTAATCACCTTCCCAAATTCCCTTTTGTTACCCCTTTGTAGTCAAAGCCTTCCCTACCCTTAAGCCCTGGCAACACTGATATGTTCTCTATTCCTATAGTTTTTTCTTTTCCAGACTGTCATATAAAATGGAACCATACAATATGTTGTATTTTGAATTTGGCTTCTTTCACTTGGCATAATGGATTTAAGATTCATCCATGTTGTTGAGTGTATCAGTAGTCAATTCCTTTTCATTGCTGAGTAGTAGTGTATTGTATGGATGTACCACAGTTTGTTACTCCACTTCCCAGTTGAGGAATATTTAGGTTGTTTCTAGTTTTGGCAATTATGAATAAAGCTTCTGTAAACATTCACGTACAGGTTTTGGTATGAACATAAATTTTCATTTTACTTGGGCTAATTTCTAGGAGGGATTGTTGGAGCCTATGGTAAGTGTGTGTTTAACTTTATAAGAAACCTAGAGGGGCTGTATCATTTTGTTTTCCCACCAGTAATTTATGAGAGTGGCAGTTGTTCCGCCTTCTCACCAACAATTGGTATTGTCAGGGATTTTTTTCAATTTCAATAGGTGTATAGACATACCTTACTGTGGTTTTAATTTGCAATTCCCTACCAACAAATGATGTTGAGCATATTTTCAAATATTTATTTGCCATCCATGTATCTTCTCTGGTGAGGTGCCTGTTCAAAACTTTTGCCTTTTTAAAAAATTGTTTGTTTTCTTATTTCTGAGTTTTGAGAGTTTTTTTTTTTTTTTTTTTTTTTGAGATAGAGTCTCACACTGTTGCCCAGGCTGGACTGCAGTGACGCCATCTTGGCTTACTGCAACCTCTGCCTCCCGGGTTCAAGTGATTGTCCTGCCTCATTCTCCTGAGTAGCTGGGATTACAGGTGCCTGCCACCATGCCTGGCTAATTTTTTTGTATTTTTAGTAGAGACGAGGTTTCACTATGTTGGCCAGGCTGGTCTTGAACTCCTGACCTCGTGATCCGCCTGCCTCAGCCTCCCAAAGTGCTGGGATTACAGGCATGAGGCACTGCGCCCTACTGAGGGTTCTTTATAAATTCTAGGCCAGGCACAGTGGCTCATGCCTGTAGTCCTAGTGCTTTGGGAGGCTGAGCAGGAGGATCACTTGAGGTCAGAAGTTTGAGACCAGCCTGGGCAACATACAAAAATCCTGTCTCTACCAAAAATAAAATAAAATAAAATTTTTTAAAAATGTTAAAAAATAAATTCTGGATTCAAGTCCTTTGTTAGAAATGTGATTTGCGGTCAAGTGCAGTGGCTCACACCTGTAATCCCAGCACTTTGGGAGGCCGAGGTTGGGGGGGGGATCACCGGAGGTCATACACATATATACATATATACATGTATACATATGTATATGTATACATGTATATATGTATATGTAGATATATGTATATATGTACATATATATGTGTGTATATATACATATATATATATATATATATATATATATATATATATTTAGACAGAGTTTTGTCCTTGTTGCCCAGGCTGGAGTGCAATGGCATGATCTTGGCTCACTGCAACCTCCACCTCCCAGGTTCAAGCAATTCTCCTGCCTCAGCCTCCCGAGTAGCTGGGATTACAAGCATGCACCACCACACCCGGCTAATTTTGTATTTTTAGTGGAGACGAGGTTTCTCCACGTTGGTAAGGCTGGTCTTGAACTCTGGACCTCAGGTGATCCGCCTGCCTCGGCCTCCCAAAGTGCTGGGATTATAGGTGTGAGCCACTGCGCCCGGCCAATATATATATATATTTTTGGATTAACGAAGTTTCCTTCTCTAGTTTGCTGAGAGATTTTTTTTTTTTTATCATGAATGGGTTTTAAATTTTGTTAATGCATTTTCTTCATCAGTTAGGATTATCATGTGTTTTTTTCTTCCTTAGTCTGCCAATATGGTGAATTATGCTCATTTATTTATTATTATTATTATTATTGAGATGGAGTCTTGCTCTGTCCCCCAAGCTGGAGTACAGTGGTGCGATCTCAGCTCACTGCAACTTCCACCTCCCGGGTTCAAGCAATTCTCCTGCCTCAGCCTCCCAAGTAGCTGGGACTACTAGTGCACACCACCATACCCAGCTAATTTTTGTATTTTTAGTAGAGACGGGGTTTCACCACGTTGGCCAGGCTGGTCTCAAACTCTTGACCTCAGGTGATCTGCCCGCTTCACCCTCCCAAAGTGCTGGGATTACAGGCGTGAGCCACCATGCCTGGCTATTTTTGAATGTTACACCAGCATTAAATTACCTGGGATAAACTCCACATAGTAGTGAAGTATTATTTTTTAAAAATATATATATATTTCTGGATTCCTTTGCTAATAGTTTGTAGTTTGTTGAAGTTTTGGGGTATATGTTCATGTGAAGTATTGTTCTATAGTTTTCTTGTTATCTTTTTCAAATTTTGGCATCAGGACCATGCTGCCTTCATAAAATGAGCTAAGTTTTTTTGATTTTCTGGAAGAGTTTGTGTGGAATTGATACTATTTCTTTCTTTAACATTTGGTAGAATTTCCCAGTGAAACCATTTGGGGGCCAGGCATGGTGGCGCATGCCTGTAATCCCAGCACTTTGGGAAGCTAAGGCAGGCAGATTGCTTGAGCCAGGAGTTCGAGACCAGCCTGGGCAACATGATGAAAACCCATCTCTACTAAAAATACAAAAAAATTTGCTGGGTGTGGAAGTCTTGGCTGCAGTGAGCTGTGATTGCACCACTGTACTCCAGCCTGAATAACAGGAGTGAGTCCCTGCCACAAAGAAAAGAAAGAAAAGGAAAGAAAAGAAAAGAGAAAAGGAAAGAAAAGAGAGAAGGAAGGAAGGAAGGAGGGAGGGAGGGAGGGAAGGAGGGAGGGAGGGAGGAAGGAAGGAAAAGAAAAGAAACCTTCTGGGCCTGGAGTTTTCTTCTCTACATTGGAAGGTTTTAAACTATGAATTAAATTTTCTTTAGTACATTTAGGACTATTTCTCTGATCTGTTTCTTCTGGACTGAGTTTAGGTAATTTGTGTCTTTCAAGAAATTGGTCCATTTCCTCTAAGTTGTCAAACTTATGAGCATAGAGTTGTTTGTAATATTCTCTTATTATCCTTTTAATATCTGGAGGGTCTGAAGTGACATCCCCTCTTTCATTCCTGATATTAGTAATTTATGTCTTCTCTCTTTCTTTTCCTTGGTAAATCTGTCAAAAAGTTTATGAATTCTGTACACCTTTTCAAAGCTTTTGGTTTTATTGATTGTTCTCTATTTTTTTCTGTTTTCAATTTCATTGAATTCTGCTTTTCTAATTTCTTTTTCTTCTGCTTGATTTAGGTTTAATTTGTTCTTTCTCTAGTTTCTTAAGGTAGAAGCTTAGAGTATGATTTGAGGCCTTTCTTTTTTCTATCATAGGCATGTAAAGCTATAAATGTTCCTGTACACGCTGCATTAGCTGCAACCCATAAATTTTGATATGTTTTGTTTTGATGTTCAGTCAGTTCAAATATTTTCTGATTTACTTTAAGATTTTTTCTCTGACCCATGGATTATTTAGAAGTATATTAACAATTTCTAAATATTTGAGAGTTCTCTTTTTTTTCTTTTTTTTCTTTTTTTTTGAGACAGAGTCTTGTTCTGTTACCCAGGCTGGAGTGCAGTGGTGCGATCTCAGCTCACTGCAACCTCCACCTCCTGGATTCAAGCAATTCTCCTGCCTCAGCCTCCTGAATAGCTGAGATTACAGGCGCGCACTATCACGCCCAAGAGTTCGTCTAAAAAGAAAAACAATAATAAATAAAAGTTATGTTTATACTATATTATAGTCTAATAAATGTGCAATAACATTATGTCTAATAACATTAGACATTGCATACAATGTTATGCAATGACATTTTGTATTTTTAGTAGAGACAGGGTTTTGCCATGTTGGTCAGGCTGGGGGAGTTTTCTATTATTGATTTCTTATTTAATTTTGGTATAGCCAGAGAACACCATTTATGTGGATGATCTCGGCTCACCACAACCTCTGCCTCCTGGGTTCAAGCGGTTCTCCTGCCTCAGCCTCCCGAGTAGCTGGGATTACAGGCATGTGCCACCATGCACGGCTAGTTTTGTATTTTTAGTGGAGATGGGGTTTCACCATGTTGGTCAGGCTGGTCTTGAACTCCCGACCTGAGGTGATCCACTGCCTCAGCCTCCTAAAGTGCTGGGATTACAAGTGTGAGCCACCACGCCCGGCCTTGTGTGGTTTTAATTTATTAAAAATTGTTAAAGTTTACTTTATGACCCAGAATATGATCTATCTGGGTATATGTTCTGTGGGCACTTGGAAAGAATATGTATTCTGTTGCTCTTGAGTAGAGTGTTTTATAAATGTCCGTTATATTAAACCAGTTGATAATGTTATCCAGGTTTTATATATCCTTTTTGATTTCCATCTATTTGTTTATCAGTTATTGAGAACAGAGTTATTGAAGTCTCCCAGTTATGACTGTGGATTTTTCCATGTCTCTTTTAGTTCTATCAATTTTTGCTTCATTTATTTTGGATCTTTGTTAGTTGCATACTATATTTCAGTGTTTATCTTCTTGGTGAATTGACCCTTTTATCATTATGTAACTTCCCTATATTTATATCTTTATATTTAAAATAGATTTCCTTAAACCATAAGACATTTGAGAAGTAAAAATAAAATAAAATAGCTTTCTTGCTGATAGCATATAGTCGGGTCTTGTTTTTTTCTTTTTCCAATCCGATAATCTTTGTCTTTTTTTTTTTTTTGGAAATGGAATCTTGCTCTACCACCTGGACTGGAATGCAATGACGTGATCTCAGCTCACTGCAGCCTCCACCTCCCAGGTTCAAGCAATTCTCCTGCCTCAGCCTCCCGAGTAGCTGGGATTATAGGCACCCGCCACGATGCCCAGCTAATTTTTGTATTGTTAGTAGAGACGGGGTTTCACCATGTTGGTTAGGCTGGGGGAGTTTTCTATTATTTATTTCTTGTTTAATTTTGGTATAGCCAGAGAACATGCTTTATGTGGTTTTATTAAAAATTGTTAGTTTATTTTATGACCCAGAATATGATCTATCTGGGTATATGTTCTGTGGGCACTTGGAAAGAATATGTATTCTGTTGTTCTTGGGTAGAGTGTTTTTTGTAAATGTCCATTATATTAAACCAGTTGATAACGTTATCCAGGTTTGATATATCCTTTTTGATTTCCATCTATTTGTTTATCAGTCATTGAGAATGGACTTATTGAGTCTCCCAGTTATGACTGTGGATTTTTCCATATCTCTTTTAGTTCTATCAATTTTTGCTTCATTTATTTTGGATCTTTGTTAGTTGCATATTATATTTCAGTGTTTATCTTCTTGGTGAATTGACCCTTTTATCATTATGTAATTTCCCTATATTTATATCTTTATATTTAAAATAGGTTTCCTTAACATTTGAGAAGTAAAAATAAAATAAAATGTAATAGCATATAGTTGGGTCTTGTTTTTTTCTTTTTCCAATCTGATGATCTTTGTCTTTTTTTTTTGAAATGGAATCTTGCTCTGCCGCCCAGGCTGGAATGCAATGGCATGATCTCAGTGCACTGCAACCTCCGCCTCCCAGGTTCAAGCGATTCTCATGCCTCAGCCTCCCGAGTAGCTGGGATTACAGGCATGCACCACCTTGCCCGGCTAATTTTTGTATTTTTAGTAGAGGTGGGGTTTCACCATGTTGGCCAGGCTGGTCTTGAACTCCTGACCTCAGGTGATCAGCCCACCTCGGCCTCCCAAAGTGCTGGGATTGCAGGCGTGAGCCACCGCACCCAGCCATCTTTGTCTTTTAATTGGTGTGTTTAGACCATTTACATTTTTAAAGACCATTTACATTTAATGTAGTTATTGATAAGAGTGGATTTTGGTCTACAATTTGTTATTTTTCTGCTTGTCTCCTCCATTTTTTTGCCTCTCAATGTCCCCTTTCCTGTTATATTTTGGATTATTTGAATATGTTTTATATTCCAATTTAATATATTGGTTGTCTATATCTTTTGTGGTTTTTTTTTTTTAGCTGTTGATCTAGGGATAATAATACACATACCTAATTTTAACAGTCAACTTAAAATCAATGTTTTAACACTTCAAGTAAAACACTGACATCTCACAACTACAGGCATACCTTGGAAATATTGCAGGTTCAGTTCTAGACCACTTCAGTAAAGTGAATATTGCAACAAAGTGAATCACACAAGGTTTTTGGTTTCCCAGTGCATATATAAGTTATGTTTAAGGCCGGGTGCAGTGGCTCACACCTGTAATCTTAGCAATTTGTGAGGCCGAGGCAGGTGGATCACCTGAGGTTGGGAGTTCGAGACCAACTTGGCCAACATGGTGAAACCCCGTCTCTACTAAAAATACAAAAATTAGCCGGGCATGGTGGCAACATGCCTGTAATCCCTGCTACCAAAGTGGCTTAGGCAGGAGAATCGCTGGAACCCAGGAGGTGCATATTGCAGTGAGCCAAGATTGCTACTGCACTCCAGCTTGGGCGACAGAGCAAAGAGTTCGTCTAAAAAGAAAAACAATAATAAATAAAAGTTGTGTTTATACTATATTATAGTCTAATAAATGTGCAATAACATTATGTCTAATTACATTAGACATTGCATACAGTGTTATGCAATGACATTTTGTCTAAAATGTAAATACCTTAGTTAAAAAGTACTTTGTTGCTTAAAAATCTGAACAATCATCAGAGCCTTCGGTGAGTCATAGTCTTTTCTCTGGTGGAGGTTCTTGCCTCAGTGTTCATGATTACTGACTAATAAGGGTGGTGGTTGCTGAAGATTGGAGTGGCTGTGGCAATTTCTTAAAATAAGACAACAATAAAGTTTGCATATCAATTGACTCTTCCTTCCACAAAATATTTCTCTGTAGCATGTGATGGTGTTTGATAGCATTTTACCCACAGTAGAACTTCTTTCAAAATTGGAGTCAATCCTCTCAATTCTGGCTGCTTCTTTATCAACTAAGTTTATGTAATATTCTAAATCCTTTGTTGTCATTTCAACAGTGTTTACAGTATCTTCAACAGGAGTAGATTCTATCTTGACAAACCACTTTCTTTGTTTATCCAGAAGAAGCAACTCCTCATTAATTAAAGTCTTATCATGAGATTACAGAATTCAGCCACATTTGCAGGCTTCACTTTTAATTCTAGTTATCTTGCTATTTCCACTACATCAGCAGTTCCTTCCTCCACTGAAGACTTGAACCTCTCAAAGTCATTCATGAGGGTTGGAATCAACTTCTTCCAAATTTCTGTTAATGTTGATATTTTTAACCTCCTCCCATGAATCACAACTGTTCTTAATGACATTTAGAATGGTGAATCATTTCCAGAAGGCTTTTTGTTTACTTTGCCCAGATCATCCAGAGAAATCACTATCTATGGCAGCTCTAGCCTATGAAATGTTTTTTTTTTTTTTTTGAGACACAGTCTCACTATGTTGCCCAGGCTGGAGTGCAGTGGCATGATCTTGGCTCACTGCAACCTCTGACTCGCAGGTTCAAGCGATTCTCCTGCTCAGCCTCCCAAGTAGCTGGGACTACAGGCGCCCACCACCATGCCCGGCCAATTTCTGCATTTTTATTAGAGACAGGGTTTCACTATGCTGGCCAGGCTGCTCTTGAACTCCCGACCCTGTGATCCGCCCACCTCGGCCTCTCAAAGTGCTGGGATTACAGGCGTGAGCCACTGCACCTGGCCTGTATTTCTTAAATAAGACTTGAAAATCGAAGTTACTCCTTGATCCATGGACTGCAGAATGAATGATGTGTTAGCAAGCATGAAAACAACCTGAATCTCCTTGTACATCTCCATCAGGGCTCTTGGGTGACCACGTGCATTGCCAATGAGTAGTAATATTTTGAGAGGAATCTTTTTTCCTGAGCAGTAGGTCTCAACAGTAGGCTTAAAATATCCAGTAAACCATGCTATGAACAGATATGCTGTCATCCAGGCTTTGTTGTTCCATTTATGGAGCATAGGCAGAGAATTCACATCATTCTTAATGGCCCTAGGATTTTCATAATGGTACATGGACATTGGCTTCAACTTAAAATCACCAGCTGCATTATCCCCTAGTAAGAGAGTTAGCCTGTGCTTTGAAGCTTTGAATCCAGGCAATGAGTTATCTTTAGCTATAAAAGTCCTAGGTGGCTGGCTGGGCATGGTGGCTCATGCCTGTAATCCCAGCACTTTGGGAGGATGAGGCGGGCAGATCATGAGGTCAGGAGTTCGAGACCAGCCTGGTCAGCATGGTGAAACTCCATCTCTACTAAAAATACAAAAAATTAGGCAGGCATGGTGGTGTACACCTGTAGTCCCAACTACTTGGGAGGCTGAGGCAGGAAAATTGTTTGAACCCAGCATATGGAGGTTGCAGTGAGCTGAGATTGCACCACTGCACACCAGCCTGGGTGACAGAGTGAGACTCCATCTCAAAAAAAAAAAAAAAGTCCTTGATGGCATCTTCTTCCAATAGAAGACTGTTTTGCCTACATGGAAAATGTGTTGTTTAGTGTAGCCACCTTCATCAGTGATCTTAGCTCGATCTTCTGTAGAACTTGATGCAGCTTCCGCATCAGCACTTGCTGCTTCACCTTGTACTTTTATGTTCTGGAGATGGCTTCTTTCCCTAAACCTCAGGAGCCAACTTATGCTACCTTCAAACTTTTCTTCTGCAACTTCCTCACCTCTCTCAGCCTTCATAAAATTAAAGAGAGTTAGGGATTTGATCTAGATTAAGTTTTGGCTTAAGGGAATGTTGTGGCTTGTTTAATCTTCTATCCAGACCTCTACAACTTTCTCTGTATAAGCATTAAGACTGTTTCACTTTATCATTCATGTGTTCACCGGAGTAGCACTTTTAATTTTTTTTTTTGAGACAGAGTCTCACTCTGTCACCCAGGCTGGAGTGCAGTGGCACAATCTCAGCTCACTGCAAGCTCCACCTCCCTGGTTCACGCCATTCTCCTGCCTCAGCCTCCCGAGTAGCTGGAACTACAGGCACCCGCTACTATGCCCAGCTAATTTTTTGTATTTTTTTTTTTTTAGTAGAGATGGGGTTTCACCACGTTAGCCAGGATGGCCTCAATCTCCTGACCTCGTGATCCACCTGCCTTGGCCTCCCAAAGTGCTGGGATTACAGGTGTGAGCCACCGCGCCTGGCCTTAATTTTCTTTGAGAACTTTTACTTTGCATTTACAACTCGGCTAACCATTTGGTGTAAGAGGCCTAGCTTTTGACCTATCTAGTCTTTTGATGTACATTCCTCACTAAGCTTAATCATATCATGATTTTGATTTAAAGTGAGAGATGTATGTGACTCTTCTTTTCTTTTTTTTTTTTTTTGAGACGGAGTCTTGCTCTGTCCCCCAGGCTGGAGTGCAGTGGCGCGATCTCGGCTCACTGTGACCCCTGCCTCCTGGGTTCAAGCAATTCTCCTGCCTCAGCCTCCTGAGTAGCTGGGATTACAGGCATCTGCCACCATGCCAGGCTAATTTTTGTATTTTTAGTAGAGATGGGGTTTCACCATGTTGGCCAGGCTAGTCTCGAACTCCTGACCTTGTGATCCGCCCACCTCGGCCTCCCAAAGTGCTGGGATTACAGGCATGAGCCACCGCACACAGACGTGACTCTTCTTTTCACTTGAACATTTAGAGGCCATTGTAGGGTTATTCATTGGCCTAATTTCAATGTATATTGCCTCACAGAATAGGGAGGGCCAAGAAGAGGGAGAAAGGTGAGGGAACAGGTGGTCAGTGGAGCAGCCAGACACATACTACATTTATCAACTATAGGTTTGCCATCTTATATAGGTGTGATTTGTGACACCCCAAAACAATTACAATAGTAACATCCAAGATCACTGATCACAGATCACCACATCAGATATAATAATAATGAAAAAGTTTGGGCTAAGTTCGATGGCTCACATCTGTAATCCTAGCACTTTGGGAGGCCAAGGGCAGAGGATCACTTGAGGCCAGGAGTTCAAGACCAGCCTGGTCAACATAGTGAGACCTTGTCTCTACAAAAGAAAAAACAAGTTTGAAATACTGCAAGAATTACCAGAATGTGATACAAGAGACAGGAAGTGAACATATACTGTTGGAAAAATGGCACTGATAGACTTGCCCCATAAACCTTCAATCTGTAAAATCACAATATCTACAAAACACGATGGGAAAATGAATAAAATGAGGTATGCCTGTATATGGGTCCCTTTACCTTCCCCCTGTTGTTTATAATTGTCCTATCCATGACATCTACATACATTGAAACTCTCCTAGACTGTGTTATAATTTTTTCTTTCAATGATCATAAATAACTTTATGTAAGGAGAGAAAAATAACCTAACTTTATCCAGATATATACCAATTCTGTTGCTCTTCCTTCATTTCTGTAGTTCCAAGTTTCCTTTTGGTATTATTTCACTTTGGCTTCTATTAGCATTTCTTTCAGAACAGGTGTTCTGGAGACAAATTCTTTTAGGCTTTCTTTATCTGAGAATGTTTTTATTTCACTTTTATTCTCAAAGGGAATATTCACTAGATAGAAAATTTCAAGTTGACAGTTCTTTTCTTTCAGCACTTTAAAGGTGTTATTCCATTGTCTTCTGGCTTCCATGGTCTCTGATGAAAAATCTACAGTCATAAGAATTATTGTTCCCCCATATGTAACATGTGATTTTTTGGTGGCTACTCTTAAAATTTTTTTCCTAATATTTGGTTTTCAGAAGTTTGATTAGGGTGGGTGGGGTTTTCATTGCTTTTATCCTTTTGGGGTTCACTGAGCTTTACAATTCTGTAAATTTGTATCTTTAACCAAATTTATGAAGTTTTCAGCCATCATTTCTTCAAATACTTTTCCACATCAGTCTCTTTCTCCTCTATTTCAGAAATATTGATGACACCAATATTAGAGCTTTTGATATTTTTCCACAGGTATCTGAGGCTCTGTTAATTTTTTTTTTTTTTTTTTTTTTTTTTTGGAGGCAGTCTCACTCTGTTGCCCAGGCTGGAGTGCAGTGGCCCAATCCTGGCTCACTGCAACCTCTGCCTCCTGGGTTCAAGCGATTCTCCTGCCTCAGCCTCCTGAGTAGCTGGGACTACAGGTGCATGCTACCACACTGTGCTAATTTTTTGTATTTTTAGTAGAGATAGGGTCTCACCATGTTGCCCAGGCTGGTCTCGAACTCCTGAGCTCAGGCAGTCTGCTCACCTCTGCCTCCCAAAGTGCTGAGCTTACAGGCATGAGCCACTGTGCCCAGACTATTTTTAATATATATCTAAAACATCATGTTCTTTTTCTTTCTTTCTTTCTTTTCTTTTTCTTTTTTTTTTTTTTTTTGAGACAGACTCTTGCTCTGTCACTCAAGCTAGAGTGCAATGGTGCAATCTCAGCTCACTGCAATCTCTGCCTCCCCAGTTCAAGTGATTCTCCTGCCTCAGCCTCCCGAGTAGCTGGGATTATAGGCAAGCACCACCACACCTGGCTAATTTTTGTGTTTTTAGTAGAGATGGGGTTTCATGATGTTGACCAGGCTGGTCTCAAACTCGTGACCTCAGGTGATCCACCCACCTTGGCCTTCCAAAGTGCTAGGATTACAAGTGTGAGCCACCACTCCTGGCCAACATCACATTCTTTATTCTTATTTATTCTCGTTTACTTTTTGAATTTTTTTATTACAAAATTTTATCGGTACATAGTAGGTGTCTGATTGTTTAAAAACATTTTTTTAATTGACAGCCTACATTACCCAGTATTCCCAGGTGGTCTCCCTCCAAATCCTAACCAGGCCTGACCCTGCCTAGCTTCAAAAATTAGACAAGATTAGGTGCATTCAGGATGGTATATCTGTAGACTGTTCATTTTTAAAATATTTTTTTCTCTATGATCTTTATATTGAATAATTTATATCGATCTATCTTCAAATTCACTCATTCATTCATCCATCTGTTATCTCCATTCTACTAATGAGCTCTGCAGCAAATATTTTTACTTCACATAATTTCTATTTGGTTCTTTTTCATAATTTCTATTTCTCTGCTAAGAACTTCTACCTTTCTATTTATTTCAAGGATGTTTAACTTTTACCTCATGGGGGATGGTTATAATAGCTACTTTAAAGTTTTTGTCAGATAATTCTAACATCTAAATAATTTGGGGATTAGCATCTATTTGTTTTCTTTTCCTTTAAACATTTATCAGTTTCTTGGTTCTTTGTATATTAAGTAATTTTGGATTGTATCTTGCCCATCTTGAGTGTTAGATTGTGGGACTCTGAGTCCTGTTTAAATTATCTGGATGGTGACTAGTTTATTTTAGCAGGCAAATAACTCAATTAGTTTCAGACTACAAGCTTTGTCTCACCTGCTGTGGGTGGTTGCAGTGTCAGTTCATTTTCAGAGTCTTTGCTAGGCTGTTTGAATCTACCCCATGCCACTCTGGGGTTAGTCTGACAGTCAGATGGTGATTTATATTACAGTTGAGTTATCAAAGCCATTACCAAGCTTTCTTTTTACCAAGCACATGTGCAACTTGGTAGTGAGCTTGCAATTTCTCTTGGCTCACGTACAGATTTAAGGGATCCCTTTCTCTAGCTCTTTCCTCCCTAGAGGAACTGTCCATGATCTTAGCTAAGTTGGTCTCTCCATTTGTGCCTTGGAGTCTAACCTCTTTTATAACCTGCTCCAGGACATCACTCCAGCCACTGCCCTCTCTTTTTCTTGTGTCATCAAATTTTCCCTCTCTATTGATTATCCCTGTAAGTGTACAAACATACTTTATTATCTACCTTATTAAGAGAAAAAACTTTTCTTGATCCCATAAGCCTCCTTAGTTACTTAACCCAACACTGCTTCATATCCTTAATTAATATTCTTTTTAATATCTTACTTCTCTGTTCTTCTGTAAAACAAACCAAACTCCTCAAAAGAGTTATTTATAGTCACTGTCTCAAATTAGTTTGTTTCTTGAGCTCATTCTAATTAGGCTTTTGTCCCTACCACACCACCAAAACTGCTGTTTATCAAGGTCTCCAGTGATCTCCATCAATAACCGATGATCAGTCCTTACCTTATTCCACTATCTGCTGTATCTGTTACAGTGGTTACTTCCTCCTTAGAACACTTTTTTCACCTGGCTTCTGAGATTCCACTCTCTCAGCTCTTATCACACCTCACTGGCTACTCAGTTTTCTTTACTGGTTTCTCCTCAATTTCCAGCCTTTAAATGTTGGGGCGTCCTCAGGGTTTAGTACTTGAATGTTTTCTCTGTCTAGACTATTCCTTAGGTGATCCCATCCAGCTTTATGAGTTTACATGTTATCTATATAGTGAGCTCTCAAATTTAGGTCTTCAGCCTAGACATTTCCCTCAACTGCAGACTTGTATACCAACTGCATTCTATCAGCATTTCAACTTGGATGTCTAATAAATATCAAATGTAGTATGTACATAATGAATGCATTTCCCACCAAAACCTGCTTCTTCTATAGCTTCCCCATTTCAATAAATGTCAATTATAGCCTCCAGTTGCACAGATCAAAACCTCTGAGTCATTCCTTTGTAATGTAAACTTTATTGAGGCATAACACTGATACAGGAAAGTGCTCAAATTATAAATGTACAACTTAGTGAATGTTCACAAAGTGAGCCTATTGATATAGCCAGCATCCAGATTAAGAAACAGGGCAGGCCAGGTGCGGTGGCTCATGCCTGTAATCCCAGCACTCTGGGAGGCTGAGGCAGGCAGATCACGAGGTCAAGAGATCAAGACCATCCTGGCCAACACAGTGAAACCCCGTCTCTACTAAAAGTACAAAAATTAGCTGGGCGTGGTGGCATGCGCCTGTAGGCCCAACTACTCGGGGGGCTGTGGCAGGAGAATGGCTTGAACCTGGGAGGTGGAGGTTGCAGTGAGCCGAGATTGCGCCACTACACTCCAGCCTGGTGACAGAGCGAGACTCCATCTTAAAAAAAAAAAAAAAAGAAAGAAAGAAACAGGGCATTGCCTCAGAAGCCCTCATGTCTCCCTTCTAATCATTAGCTTCCCAAATGTAACCAATATCCTGGCTTCTAACACCACAGGTTAGTTCTGTGTGTCTTTGAAATTTATATAAATGTAATCATATAGTTTATACTTTTTTGTGTTTGGCTTCTTTTGATCAATATTATATTTGTGACATTCACTTATATTAAGACTTGTAGTTTAAGTTTTTCTACTCTCGTTGTATATTCCATTATGTAAATATAGTATAATTTGTTTCATTATTCTATTCTTGATGGTGTTTGGGTACTTTTTAGTTGGGGATATTACAAAGAATACTGCTATTGACAGAGCAGGAGCACTGTCATCTCGAACAAACACTGCCACTTTAAGTTCCAGCTCCCTTTCTAGCCTCGTGCATTTCAAGGAAATCACTCTCTTCTAAGTACAAATAGAAAGAGCAGACAGTAAAACATAGATAAGACAGCTTGGGTACAGAGGGAGGTGGGGGGAAAGTCTCCTGGGTAACTGCCAAACTTCACCCTCATACGATGGCTCCCAGTAAAACAGTAGGCCCTAATAAGCACATTCCTTTCCCTTCAGGTGCACTAAGATAGGGAAGCTAAAAGCAACCCGGGGGATATGCCTGCAGCTGCAGAAAGATGTATGGGAACAGACACACAACTTTCCCTCCCAGATAAGCACAACAAAGAAACACAGAAGCAGTCCAAGCCTCTGATAAATTCTCCCACCCTGAATCCTTAAAAACACTTAGTCTGTAAGAGAGTGTGGCTCTGACCTAACTTGGCCAGCTGCCCCACTCAAGTTTATTCAGAATAAACCTGTCCCTGTTGACTGTCGAGCCGCCCTTCGTGTTTCTCTCTTCTTTCTTTAATTCTTACAGCTATGACTAATCTTGTATATGTCTTTCAGTGAACATAGGTAAACGTTTCTGTTAGGCATATGCCTAGGAGGCAGATGTTCAACTTTAGTAGATACTGCGGTTTTCTAAACAGTGGTTGTTTCATATCAATTTACCTTACCAACAGCAGTGTAGGAAAGTTCTAATTGGCCTGTATCCTTGCCAATACTGTCTTTTCTTTCCTTCCTTGTTTGTCTTTTTCTTTCTGACTATTCTGATGGGTAATGGGTAAGTAGTGGTATCACCCTTGTCCTTGCCACCATCATTTTTCACCCATATTATTGCCTCCTAACAGGAATGTATGAGTATCCTTGGAGGTCCCTGAGTATTTCTTTGCCTTTTAAACTTTGTTTCCCCCCATGGTAGCCATAGTGATGCTTTTCAAATGCAAGTCAAATCACGTCAGTCCTCTTCTCGAAAGCCTCCAATGCCTTTCCATCTCACTCAGAACAAATAGCAAAGTACAGATAATTGGCTTATTAGGCCCTCGGTTATTTGCCTCCTGCTCTTTCTCTTCTCTTTGCCTGTACCACTTCAGATAAACTGGCCTCCTTGTTCATGAAATAAACCAAGCTTACTCCTCAGAGCTTTTGCACTTGTTCGGTCTATCTAAATTGGCTTGTTCTTCCCCTGGCCACTCTTGCACTTCCTTCATATCTCTGCTCAACTGTCATCTTATTCCAGAGGCCTGCCCTGATTATGCTGTCTAAAACAGCAACTCAGTTATTCTCCCTTCGACCTTCCTTATTTTTCTACCTATTTCCTACTAATTATCTCTGACATTAAAAAAAAATTATTTGTTTAGGGTCTGTCCCTCCCAGTAAACTGTAGCTTCTAAGACAGACTTTGTTTTTGTTCTCTGCTATATTGCTCTATTCCCACGTCCTAAAACAGCGTCTGAACCATAGAAGTCACTCAATAATTTTCTTTTTCTTATTTAGTAATTCTAGTGACCCGACTCAATAAATTTTTTTAAATAAATGCATGAGAAATTGACAAATTGTAACAAGTCCAGAAGAACAATAGCAGGTTACTGAACTGCCACATCAAATAAGGAACCCTTGAAGAAAGTAAGATGTTTAATCTGGAGAAGAAAAGATTGCTGGGCACGGTGGTTCACAGCCTGTAATCCCAGCACTTTGGGATGCTGAGGTAGGTGGATCATGAGGTCAAGAGATCGAGACCATCCTGGCCAACATGGTGAAACCCTGTCTCTACTAAAAATATGAAAATTAGCTGGGCCTGGTGGTACGTGCCTGTAGTCCCAACTACTCAGGAGGCTGAGGCAGGAGAATCACTTTAACTGAGGAGGCAGACATTGCAGTGGGCCGAGATCACACCACTGCACTCCAGCCTGGCGACGGAGCGAGACTCTGTCTCAAAAAAAGAAGAAAAGATTTAGGAGAACAGGACCATCATCTTTGAACATATGTAGGACGGTCACATGCGGTTTTAGAGGTCAGAAGTTGGACTTGACATGCCAAATACTTCCAGTAACAGGGAGTTCACTACTCTGTGAAACAGCCAGTTCCATTATTGAATTGCTGGGTCAGAAAGTTACATTAAACTAACATTTATTTCTCTCTGACTTCCTCTCATTCATTAATCTGTTCCCTGGAATTCCACAAACCAAATCTAATCTCCTCTTCACTTGCATTTGGATGAAATAAAACACCATGTTTAAGGAAATAAGAAAAACTACAGGGCTTTTGTTTTGCTGAGAAAAATAAACATACTGAAAAATGAAAGGCTTAATAAAATAATGGGTTTTGTTTTTTGTTTGGGTGGGAAAAGGGGGCAAGGTTGTGAGAGGAAAGAGAAGGAAGAGAGATAAGTTCGTTGATGTTGAGAGAGATCAAGCTTAAGAAAAAGAACAGAAATGTCTAAGAATTGATTAAGCTTCTGCTGTGTGGGGTATGGTACAGCCAGGATCCCCATGAAGTAATCAGTACAATATCCCTGCATTGCGAGTTGGATCTATTTTTTGGGATATGTAGAAATCCTGATTATAGTGAGTGTGATGCAAGATTAAGGCTACCCATGAGAACCCTGTTATATGCCAGTACACATACAACAGATCATCGGATATACCAAGAGATATTAGAAGAAATAGAGTTTTGGTTTCTTTTTACTGGGTGTGAGAATAATAACGTTGCCAGGAAATGAGAATAATAACATCTATAGGAAATGATAATAATATCTGCCTTTCTTTCCTAATAAGCTTTTTGAGCATATCAATAAAATTTTTCATGACATAATAGGATAAAATGTTTCTGTGACTACAAAATTGTACAAAAAGGCGAGGGATTATTATCAGTAAAGTAAGGTGCAGATTGGATGAAATAATTTCCTTCCTCAAAACTCTTCAATTCATTCATTCATCCAGCCATTTATTGACTAACTTCTAAATTCCTGGCACTGTTGTAGATACTAAGGATACAAAGATGAACAAGGGTATTGGGGGAACCAGCCCCCGATATTTCAACGTGGGTTCTTTTCTATTTTCCCTAAGTGTTGGCTGGTCTGAGAAATAAAGGGAAAGAGTACAAAAGAGAGAAATTTTAAAGCTGGGTGTCCGGGGGAGACATCACATGTCGGCAGGTTCCGTGATGCCCCCTGAGCCGTAAAACCAGCAAGTTTTTATTAGCAATTTTCAAAGGGGAGGGAGTGTACGAATAGGGTGTGGGTCACAGAGATCACTTGTTTCAAGGGCAACAAAAGATCACAAGGCAGAAGGTCAGGGCGAGATCACAAGGTCAGGGCGAAACTAGAATTATTAATGAAGTTCCATGTCCCACTGTGCATGCATTGTCATTGATAAACAACAGGGTTCAAGAGCAGAGAACCGGTCTGACTAGAATTCGCCAGGCTGGAATTTCCTAATCCTAGCAAGTCTGGGGACGCTGCAGGAGACCAGGGTGTGTTTCATCCCTTATCTGTAACTGCATAAGGCAGACACCCCTCCAGAGTGGCCATTTTAGAGGCCCCCCCCCGGAATGCGTTCTTTTCCCAGGGCTGTTAATTATTAATATTCCTTACTGGGGAAAGAATTCAGCTATATTTCTCTTACCCATTTTTGGTAATAAGAGAAATATGGCTCTGTCCTGCCCAGCTCCCAGGCAGTCAGACCTAATGGTTATCTCCCTTGTTCCCTGAACGTCGCTGTTATCCTGTTCTTTTTTCAAGGTGCCCAGATTTCAAATTGTTCAAACACACATGCTTTATGAACAACTTGTGCAGTTAACGCAATCATCACAGGGTCCTGAGGTGACATACATCCTCAGCTTATGAAGATGATGGGATTAAGAGATTAAAGTAAAGACAGGCATAGGAAATTATAAGAGTATTGATTGGGGAAGTGATAAATGTCCATGAAATCTTCACAATTTATGTTCTTCTGTCACGGCTTCAGCAGGTCCCTCTGTTCGGGGTCCCTGACTTCCCACAACCCAAGGGTATTTTGTCCTAGAGGAGTAAATAGTTAACTATTGCCTATAGACTAAGTATAACTTCTTAGCATGGCATTCTTAATCTGGTACTAAAATTTGATTTCCCATAACATTTCCTTATATAACCAATATTCGGAGCAACCACATCAGACCATTTAGCATTCCCCAAACATAAGGTGCACTTTTATCCACTTTGTCTTTGTGCTATTATATCAGTCTAGAATCCACTCATTATTCATTGATTCAAAACACATGTATTGGACTCTTTCCTTGTGCCAGGCACTATGTTGGGTATCAGGAACACAGAGATAAATAAGATGTAATCTCTGCCCTCAAAGATCTTAGTCTAGGAAAGGAGAAACATCTTTCCCCTTTTCACCTACTGTAATTCTCTTCTTCAAGCCCCAGATGAAATCTATGGCCTCTGTGTAGCCTTCCCAGATCTCTTTCTTTCAGTACATAGCTTATAATTACTTTGAATCTTTTCATTCCTTCTGTGTTAAAATAAACTGCTTTGTATGCTTCTCCTTCTAGACTATCAGTTCCTGGGCAGAGATCATGTTTTACCCACTTTTGCATCCCTGCTAGCAGTTAGCACAATTCTTTGCATAAAACAGTCCTCAGCAACAGTTGGCTGAGTTGGAAAAAGAATGCGGTCCAAAACCTAAACCTCAGGCCACCTGGCAGAGATATAAAATCAAGGCACACGTGTTGAACTGAATTAAAAGATGGGGAATCCAGTAAGCCAAGCCACCCAGAAGGATACTTTTAGAATATGCCAGGGAGTCATTTGTTTACCTTTATTTCAGATTTGTTTATTTCTCTTGTAAACTCCAACTGGAGCTCTAATAGTCTGGCTGCCACGTAACTGACCCAAGCCAAACATTCTAAGATCATTCCCAAAAAGAGGAATGGAACTTCTAGGACCTTTACAATTGTCCTGTCAGCCATCTGGACTTAGGAATGTAGAATCCTAGTTATCAGAGCTGGGAGATACCTTAGATATCTCAGAGATTACAAACTCCCTCTCAGAGAGGGGCACTGACTTATCTAAGGTCATGTAGCTATGAACATGTATTCACATACGTAAGCATAAGCAGATGAACCTTCCATTCACTCTTCACCCTGTGTAGAAACTCCTGGAAATGAGGATCATATCTTCTCCCTAAACGGTCAGAGTTATTCATCCCACTGTTTCCCTGATTACTTACCTCTCCTGCTTTTGGACATGGGCAAAAATTTTCAGAGAATCCCTCCAAGTAGTACCTTACCTCTTTAACCTATGATTCCTAATGCCTCTCATGGAATGATGTAGCAGCAATAGCTCAGGATCAGAAGTCAGAAGTCCCAAGCTCTAGTGCCAGTTCTTGTACCACATCACTGTGGAACTTTGGGCAAGCCACTTACAGCTACCCAACATTATTTCACCATTAGTATAAGCGTGTTCAGGCCAGGTGTGGTGGCTCATGCCTGTAATCCCAGCACTTTGGCAGGCCCAGGTAGGTGGATCACTTCAGTTCAGGAATTCGAGCCTGGGCAACATGGTGAAACCCTGACTCTACAAAACAAACAAACAAACAAACAAAACAAATTTAGGCAGGCTTGGAGGTGCATGCCTGTAGTCCCAGCTACTCAGGAAGCTGAGGTGGGAGGATCGTTTGAGCCTGCGAGATGGAGACTGCAGTGAACTGGGATCACACCACTGCACTCCAGCCTGAGTGACAGAGCAGATTTGGAGGAAGATAGATCAAACTATGGATTGAGGAAGCGCAAAGAAGGAATTGACCTAATTGTTAACATGTTTTGCAGGCCACTGACTTAAACAGCTATTGCTATTTTTTTTTCTTTTTTTTTTTTGAGACAGAGTCTTGCTTTGTTGCCCAGGCTGGAGTGCAGTGGCGCAATCTCCACTCACTGCAACCTCCGCCTCCCAGGTTCACGCCATTCTCCTGCCTTAGCCTCTCGAGTAACTGGGATTATAGGCACGTGCCACCATGCCCAGCTCTTTTTTGTACTTTTTTTTTTAGTAGAGACAGGGTTTCACCATGTTAGCAAGGATGGTCTCGATCTCCTGACCTTGTGATCCACCTGCCTTGGCCTCCCAAATTGCTGGGATTACAGGCATGAGCCACTGTGCCTGGTCAGATTGCCTATTCTGGATGTTTCACGTGTGTTGAATCATATAATACCTGGTTCTTTGTGACTGGCTTCTTTTACTTATCATTTTTTTTTTTTTTTTTTTTGAGATGGAGTTTCACTCTTGTTGCCCAGGCTGGAGTGCAATGGCGCGATCTTGGCTCACCGCAACCTCAGCCTCCTGGGCTTAAGTGATTCTCCCGCCTCAGCCTCCCGAGTAGCTGGGATTACAGGCATGTGCTACCATGCCCGGCTAATTTTCTATTTTTAGAAGAGGCGGGGTTTCTCCATGTTGGTCAGGCTGGTCTTGAACTCCCGATCTCATGATCCACCCGCCTTGGCCTCCCAAAGTGTTGTGACTGCAGGCGAGAGCCACTGCTCCCGGACTACTTATCATGTTTTTAAGGCTCATCCGTGTTGTAACATGTGTCAGTACCTCATTTTCATGGCTAGATAATATTCCATTGTATTAAAATACTACATTTTGTTTCTCCATCAATTAACAGACATTTGGATTATTACCATTTTTGGCTATTAGGAATAATGCTTCTGTGAACATTCATGTACAAGTATTTGCATGGATGTATGTTTCAATTTTCTTGGGCATATACTAGGAGCGGACTTGCTGGGCCACACAATAACTCTATGTTTAACTTTTTGAAGAACTGTCAAATTGTTTTCCAAAGTGCTATACCATTGCCACCAGCAATGTATGAGGGTTCCAATTTCTTCACATTCTTGCCAACACTTGTTATTGTCTGTCTTTTTTCCTATAGCCATTCTTTTTAAAATTTTATTTTTCCATAAGTTATCGAGGTACAGGTGGCATTTGGTTACATGAGTAAGTTGTTTGGTGGAGATTTGTGGCACCCGTCACCCAAGCAGTACACAATGCACCATATTTGTAGTCTTTTATCCCTCACCCCCCTCCCACTCTTTGCCCCAAGTCCCCAAAGTCCATTGTATCATTCTTATACCTTTGCATCCTCATCGCTTAGCTCCCACATATCAGTGAGAACATATGATGTTTGGTTTTCCATTCCTGAGTTACTTCACTTAGAATAATAGTCTCTAATCTCCTCCAGGTCATTGCAAATGCTGTTAATTCATTCCTTTTATGGCTGAGTAGTACTCCATCATATATATATACCAGAGTTTCTTTATCCATTCATTGATTGATGGGCATTTGGGTTTGTTCCACGATTTTGCAATGGTGAATTGTGCTGCTATAAACTTGCGTGTGCAAGTATCTTTTTTGAATAATGACTTCTTTTCCTCGGGGTAGATACCCAGTAGTGGGATTGCTGGATCAAATGGTAGCTCTACTTTTAGTTTTTTAAGGAATCTCCACGCTGTTTTCCATAGCAGCTGTACTAGTTTACATTCCCACCAGCAGTGTAGAAGTGTTCCCTGATTGCTGCATCCACGTCAACGTCTACTATTATTTTATTATTTGATTATGGCCATTCTTATGGGAGTACGGTGGTATCGCTTTGTGGTTTTGATTTGCATTTTCCTGATCATTAGTAATGTTGAGCATTTTTTCATGTTTGTTGGCTATTTGTATATCTTCTTTTGAGAATTGTCTATTCATCTCCTTAGCCCACTTTTTGTTGGGATTGATTTTTTTTTTTTTTTTTTTTGTCTTACTGATTCGTTTGAGTTCATTGTAGATTCTGGATATTAGTCCTTTGTCAGATGTATAGATTGTGAAGATTTTCTCCCACTCTGTGAGTTGTCTGTTTACTCTGCTGACTGTTCCTTTTGCCGTGCAAAAGCTCTTTGGTTTAATTAGGTCCCAGCTATTTACCTTTATTTATATTGCAACTGCTTTTGGTTTTTTTGTCTTGAAATCTTTGGCTAAGCCAATGTCTAGAAGGGTTTTTCCAATGTTATCTTCTAGAAATTTTACAGTTTCAGGTCTTGGGTTTAGGTCCTTAATCCATCTTGTGTTTTTTTCTTTTTTGTGACAGAGTCTCACAGTCTCGCTCTGTCACCCAGGCTGGAGTGCAGTGGCGTCATCTCAGCTCACTGCAAGCTCCACCTCCTGGGTTCACGCCATTCTCCTGCCTCAGCCTTCTGAGTGGCTGGGACTACAGGCGCCCGCCACCACGCCCAGCTAATTTTTTGTATTTTTAGTAGAGATGGGTTTCACCGTGTTAGCCAGGATGGTCTCAATCTCCTGACCTCGTGATCTGCCCGCCTCGGCCTCCCAAAGTGCTAGGATTACAGGCGTGAGCCACCACGCCCAGCTCCTCAATCCATCTTGAGTTGATTTTTGTATAAGGTAAAAGATGAGGATCCAGTTTCGTTCTTCTACCTGTGGCTAACCAATTATCCCAGCACCATTTGTTGAAAAGGGTGTCCTTTCCCCACTTTTATGTTTTTGTTTGCTTTGTCAAAGATCAGTTGGCTATAAGTATTTGGGTTTATTTCTGGGTTCTCTATTCTGTTCCATTGGTCTATGTGCCTATTTTTATACCAGTATCATGCTGTTTTGGTGACTATGGCCTTATAGTATAATTTGAAATCAGGTAGTGTGATGCCTCCAGATTTGTTCTTTTTGCTTACTCTTGCTTTGGCCATGTGGGCTCTTTTTTGATTCCATATGAATTTTAGAATTGTTTTTTCTAACTCTGTGAAGAATGATGGTGGTATTTTGATGGGGACTGCGTGAATTTGTAGATTGCTTTTGGCAGTATGGTCATTTTCACAATATTGATTCTATCCATCCTCCTATAGCCATTCTTGATGGTATGAAGTGGTATCTCATGGTTTTGATTTGCATTTCCATAATGACTATAACGATGTTGGGCATCTTTTCATGTGCTTATTGGCCACTGGTGTATCTTCTTTAAGAAATGTCTAAAATTTACTCTGCTTTTTCCTATTTTCATTATTGAATCTGTTCTGTCTATCTTTCCTATCTGGGCATGGTCATATCTCACCAATTCACAAATACCATGTTTCTCCCCTAGATTCCTCTGATTCCTGCAGTTTTAGTAGAGGAGAGAAAGCATAAATCCTAGAACACAAAGGCACGGGTTTGAATCCTAGCTCTGATACTATATTAGTCAATTCTTGTGCTGCTATACTGGAATACCTGCAAGTGGCTAATTTATAAAAGAAAAGAGGTTTATTTTTGACTCACACTTCTGCAGGATGTACAGGAAGCATGGCACCAGCATCTTCTTCTGGTGAGGCCTCAGGAAGCTTTCAATCATGTTGGAAGGCAAAGGGGGAGCAGGCATATAAGATGAGACAGAAGGAAGCAAGAAAGAGGAGGGGAGGTCTCAGATCCTTTTAAACAACGAGATCTCATGTGTAATCTAACTGAACAAGAACTCACTCAACACTAAAGGATGGTGTTAAGCCATTCATGAGGGATCTGCCCCCATGACCCAAACACCTCCCATTATGCCCATCTCTAACAATGGAGGTCACGTTCCAACATGAGATTTGGAGGGACAAAACATCCAAACCATATCAGTTATTAACTTTCTTATTCTCCCTAAACATGTCTCCTAATCTAAAATGATTATATCTATCTTACAAGACCAAAGAGAGTATTAAATGATAAACGCAAGTTACAGAATTCCAAAAACTATATAGCAATATGTAAATGATAGCTACAAGAGTAAATCAGAGCATAACATTTTTCTTTCTTTCTTTCCTTTTTTTTTTTTTTTTTTTTTTTTTTGAGACGGAGTCTCGCTCTGTCGCCCAGGCTGGAGTGCAGTGGCACGATCTCAACTCACTGCAACATCTGCCTCCTGGGTGCAAGCTACTCTCCTTCCTTAGCCTCCTGAGTAGCTGGAACTACAGGCACGTGCCACCATGCCTGGCTAATTTTTGTATATTTAGTAGAGACGGTTTCACCATGTTGGCCAGGCTGGTCTCGAACACCTGACCTCAGGTGAACTGCCCACCTCAGCCTCCCAAAGTGCTGGGATTACAGGCGTGAGCCACCATGCCCGGCCACATAACATCACATTTTTATTTGTGTGTTTCTTCTAGTTATACAATGCATCTTGCCTTGTGTTGTTCTCTTTTGTATGTTTTATCTTCCCAAGAAAAGACTGGGCTCCTTGAGAAGGATCATATCCTAATCGTTTTGTGTCTTCCAAAGTACATAACATAAAGCCTTCTATATGGAAGTTTCTGACAAACATTTATTAAACGAGTAAATAAATTAATGATGTGAGATATAGTGAACATTTATGGGTTTTTGTTGTTTTTGCTTTTCTATTTTATTTTTCTTTTGTTCTGTTTTTTGAGCCCAGGAGGTTGAAGCTGCAGTGAGCCATGATCGTGCCACCAATTCCAGCCTGGGCAACAGACCAAGAGTCTGTCTCAAAAAAAAGATAATATATGTAGAGTTAGTAAATACAGCAGTGGCTACTGATCTCCAGGCTTCTCATTTGCATCAATTCTTTAAAATCACCTGTACCTGTTTTGGTTGCCCAGCATCTGAAATCTCTTCCTCTGTGTGAGTCTTAATGGGAGACAGGTTCTCACCTCCCACAAGAGAAGTCAAAGGTATCTAAAGTTTTCCTTTTCCCCCCTGCACTTGCAGCTAAGGCAAAAGCAACATGATCAAGGCTTGGTCATTTGGCTGCTTCCACTCAGGATATTGACTCTTGAACAAATGATGTAAAGACACAGGGTCAGAGGAGAATTCCTTTAATATGGCAGCAGCATTGGTGATGGAGGTAGTGCTTCCAGCTGTGGCATCCTTAATACCATTCCTGTGGTGTGACTTTGGCTGTGGTCCCTGGTTCTACTTTCTGAGCTTGATTATCTGGCTTTCCCATCAACTCTGAGGATTACTTAATAACCTTCCAATATACTTATTTTCCCCTTAAGTTGGCAGAATTGGTTTCTGTTGCTTGCAACTAATAATCTTAGCATACCTCTGGAGTAAGGATTTGGGGAGAATGAGAAAGCAGGAGGCGTTCCGTTTTTCCTTTATGAAATTTCTTTGTAAACTTCTCTGTTATTGCTGTTGTTGTACCACTTCCGTCATTTAAAAATATGCTTTTAAAATAAATAATCTAAGGCACAGTGGCTAAAGAGAAATGGTAGAAAATAAAATTTGAGGGGCCGGGCACAGTGGCTCACGCCGGCAATCCCAGCACTTTGGGAGGCCAAGGAGAGCAGATCATGAGGTCAGGAGTTCAAGACCAGCCTGACCAACATGGTGAAACCCCGTCACTACTAAAAATACAAAAATTAGCCGGGCGTGGTGGCACATGCCTGCAATCCCAGCTACTTGGGAGGCTGAGGTAGGAGAATAGCTTGAACCCAGGAGGTGGAGGTTGCAGTGAGCAGAGATCGCACCACTTTACTCCAGCCTGGGTGACAGAGTGAGACTCCATCTCAAAATAAAATAAAATAAAATTAAATTAAAATTAAATTAGAAAATTAGGTTGGGGCCACATTGTGCAAGGCCTTGAATGTCATTTTGAGGATTCTGAATTTAACTCAATGAGAAATTTAAAAAACAGTCCAGGCGTGGTGGCTCACGCCTGTAATCCCAGCACTTTGTGAGGCCAAGGCGGGTAGATCACTTGAGGTCAGGAGCTCAAGACCAGCCTGACCAACATGGTGAAACCCCGACTCTACTAAAAATACAAAAAATTAGCCGGGCGTGGTGGCACATGCCTGTAATCCCAGCTACTCGGGAGGTTGAGGCAGGAGAATTGCTTGAACCTGTGAGGCAGAGGTTGCAGTGAGCTAAGTTCACACTACTGCACTCCAGCCTGGGTGACAGAGAGAGACTCTGTCTCAAAACAAAACAAAACAAAACAAAAAACAAAAAACAAACAACAACAAAAAACGGAATAATGACACAATTAGATCTGTGTTTCTTACTGCCATGTAGAAGATGAATTAAAATATGGAGAAATTAGAGGCAATTTCTTAGGAGGAGGCTGCTGCCATGGTCCAGACAAGATTGAGAAAATTTCTCAATTTTGAAAGAGAGAGAGACACACACACACAAGTTGGGTTATCTGGAAGCAGAGGCTGAGACAGAGTTTGAGGTGCAAGATGCTTACCAGGGGGAAGAAGTAGGGCTGAGCTAAGAGAGAAGTCAAACGGCAATGCAGATCTGACAAAGACCCAGCCTCCCTGGCAGGGAGCTCTGGAGTGAATATTTCCAGCCCTGGCTAGCCCTTGTCAATCCAACCTATTCTCAGAGTTGTCCTGCAGTTGGCCAAAATGACCGAACTTTTATACCCCTGCCTTGCTTAGGCACCGAGTGAGGGCAGCCCTGGGATGGGCATGATCTTGTGCAGGACTGTCCTCTACAGCTGAGGCAGACATTGAAAGAACTGAAGCAAGCGGAAGCTATCTGCTGGCTATTCCCCCTATAGCTGAACGGCAAGTCTTTTTTTTCTTATTTATGTATTTATTTATTTATTTGAGATGGAATTTTGCTCTTGTTGCCCAGGCTGGAGTGCAGTGGCGAGATCTCAGCTCATTGCAACCTCTGCCTCTTGGGTTCAAGAGATTCTCCTGCCTCAGCCCCTGCTAGTAGCTGGGATTACAAGCGTGCATCACCGCGCCCGGCTAATTTTTGTATTTTTAGTAGAGACAGGGTTTCGCCATGTTGGCCAGGCTGGTCTCCAACTCCTGACCTCAGGTGATCCCCCCACCTCGGCCTCCCAAAGTGCTGCGATTACAAGCGTGAACCATCATGCCCGGCCAACAGGAAGTCTTTCTTTGGAGGTAGAACTGGATGGTACACCTTCATGTTTACCACAAAGAAAGAGAGGAATTATGATATCTTGAACAAAAGCAATGGGGTAGAAAGGAGTGAATGTGTTTTATAGATACTGTAGTTGGTAGATGGGGATAAATAAGAGGGAGTAAATAAAGGTTAACACTGAGTTCTCTCCACTTACATGATTTGATGGTTATTCTGTTATCCATTAATGAACAGTAAACATCAGAAGTAGAGAGAGCAGATTTGGGGAGATAGATAATAAATTTGATTTTGAACATGTTGATTTTGAAATGTCTACAGAACATTAAGGTAGAGATGATTTTAAAGAATCAATGCAAATGAGAGGTCTGGAGATCAGAAGCCACTGCTGTATTTACTGACTATACATACACTATCTTTTTTTTTTTTTCTTGGTCTGTTGCCAGGCTGCAGTGTGGTGGCACGATCATGGCTCAGTGCAGCCTCAACCTTCTGGGCTCAAGCAATCCTCTTACCTCAGCCTCTTGAGTAACTGGAACTACAGGCCCACACCACCATGCCCAGCTAATTTTTTCTATTTTTTTTTGTAGAGACAGGGTCTCACTATGTTGTCTAGGCTGGTCTCAAACCCCTGAGCTCAAGCAATCCTCCTGCCTCTGCCTCCCAAAGTGTTGGGATTACAGGTGTGAGCCAGTCATTGCGTTTGGCATTTTTTTTTTTTTTTTTTTTTTTGAGATGGAGTCTCACTCTGTCGCCAAGGCTGGAGTGCAGTGGCGTGATCTCGGCTCACTGCAAGCTCTGCCTCCCGGATTCATGCCATTCTCCTGCCTCAGCCTCCCGAGGAGCTGGGACTACAGGCGCCCGCAACCATGCCCGGCTAATTTTTTGTTTTTGTTTAGTAGAGACAGGGTTTCACTGTGTTAGTCAGGATGGTCTCGATCTCCTGACCTTGTGATCCGCCCGCCTCGGCCTCCCAAAGTGCTGGGATTACAGGCATGAGCCACCGTGCCCAGCTTGCGCTTGGCATATTATTTTACATATATACTTTTATTTAATACTCTTCATGCCTTTATGAATTGGGTATTGTTTTTCTTAGACCCTTTGGTATATTTTATTAATACCATTTGGGAACAAAAAAAACTGAGACTTAGGCCGGGCGCGGTGGCTCACGCCTGTAATCCCAGCACTTTGGGAGGCCGAGGTGGGCGGATCACGAGGTCAGGAGATCGAGACCATCCCGGCTAAAATGGTGAAACCCCGTCTCTACTAAAAATACAAAAAATTAGCCGGGCGTAGTGGCGGGCGCCTGTAGTCCCAGCTACTTGGGAGGCTGAGGCAGGAGAATGGCGTGAACCCGGGAGGCGGAGCTTGCAGTGAGCCGAGATCCCGCCACTGCACTCCAGCCTGGGCGACAGAGCGAGACTTCGTCTCAAAAAAAAAAAAAAAAAAAAAAAAAACTGAGACTTGAAGAAGTTAAATTTCTAGTTCAAAGAAGTAAAACTTAAGTCTGATGACAAAACACATACTCTTTTTTTTTTTTTTTTTTTTTTAGAATTAAAAAAAAAAAGAATCTCACTCTGTTGCCCAGGCTGGAGTGCAGTGGTGTGATCTCAGCTCACTGCAAACTCTGCCTCCCGGGTTCAAGTGATTCTCCTGCCTCAGCCTCCCAAGTAGCTGGGATTACAGGCGCGTGCCACCAAACTTAGCTAATTTTTGTATTTTTAGTAGAGATAGGGTTTCACTGTGTTGGCCAGGCTTGTCTTGAACTCCTGACCTCAAGTGATCCTCTCGCCTCGGCCTCCCAAAGTGCTGGGATTACAGGCGTGAGCCACCGCGCCTGGCCGACAAAACACATGCTCTTAAAGATAAAATTATATTGCTTCTCCATGGAAACCACAGGTAGATAGTATTTGCAGCCATGAAGGTCAGTAGGTCACCTAGAAAGGGTATAGTTCAAACAGGAACAAAAGGAACCAAAAAATGGAATTCTAAGGAAGCCAGCATTTCCAGGGTGAATCGTGTAAGATGACATAGTCAAAGGGATTGAAAAAAAGTAGACAGAACAGTTTTAAAAATTGAAGTATGGTATCTCAGAAGTTAAGGCAAAAAGAGAGTTCTAGTCCGCAAATTTGCAGATACCATGTAGGGTGATGGTTTGACAATTAGAGGTTACTGGTGATCTCAGAGTAGTTTATAGAGAAGTCAGATTGCACTGGGTCTAAGAATGAGTGAGAAGACCAGGCGCAGTGGCTCACGTCTAATCCCAGCACTTGGGGAGGCCGAGGTAGGCGGATCACGAGGTCAGGATGGCCAACGTGGTGAAACCCCATCTCTACTAAAAATACAAAAATTAGCTGGGTGTGGTGGCATGCATCTGTAATCCCAGCTGCTTGGGAGGCTGAGGCAGGAGAATTGCTTGAACCGGGAGGCAGAGGTTGCAGTGAGCTGAGATCACACCATTGCACTCCAGCCTAGGCAACAGAGCAAGACTCTGTCTCAAAAAAAAAAAAAAAAAAAAAAAGAATGAGTGAGAAATAAGGAAGCAGAAGAAATGGGTATAGGTTACTTTTCCAGAAATTTTGCAAAGTGGAGGAGATAACAATGCCTTAAATATAAGAAATTTATTAATATTATTAATTGATTAATAATTGATCACTGCCATATGACTTGGATTTTACATTTCCACCACTTCTTCGTGTTACTTCTTTCTACCCTATTATATCAGCGTCCCATCCCAAGTCTGACACACCTGGAAGTATTGAATGTTGTATTTTGATTGTGGATGACTTGTTTATTTGGTTATATCTTTTGAACGCCTCAGGTGATTCTGTCTGTCTTTGGAGGATGGGCCATAGGCTTCCTGCCCCAACTCCATTATCTGTTTTCCACAAAGATAGATAAACATTCACTTATCAGACTAATTCAGCAAAGCATACACGTTCTTAGGTTCTTAGCAAACCAAGTACTTTGTCCACCTCTCCTCTCCATCTCCCCTCCCTCAAATCTTCAGTGGGCAGATGTGGGAGAAGAAAGGAGCTGTCACTCCAAACCTTCTGGTGTTTCAGTTGGGGAGTCTGGCTTCACAGTGAGCTGAAACTTTCCCTTGCCAGCCTCCATCAATCCAGCCCCTTCTGAGGGGGCTGGAGAGTAATTAACATCGCCGTCCACCTGTGCACAGGAAGATGCCTACAGCCACACCAGCAATGATGAAACTGCCCACCAGGACGCCCAGGACCAGCGAAGTGTAGGAGCGGCTTGTTTGGCTCCCTGCAGAACATGCAAAGAGTTAGCCCGAAGAATAGGCCCCCAAGGAGTCCATGATTTGAGTCAAACCCCAAAGCGTTTCTGCCCCAGAGGAAAGGGACCCGTTTACCAACTGACTGAAGCTGCGTGTGTTCTGTCCCAAACCCCCAGCTGTGGGCCTCTTGTTGCTCTAGGCATCCATCCTTCAGGTCCATCCATTTGTCTGGAACCCGCCCTCTCCCCAGCTTGCAGGCCTGGGCCCCGTCCCATCATACCTTTCGTGTTTTCCGCGGAAATATGTTTCTGCACATACTGCACACAGGTGTCCTCCAGGAATTCCCGCAGTTCATACCGAGTGCGGTTGTAGGCATTGAGCTGCTGCAGGGTGAAGGTGACCACTCCGGAGGTGACCTGGGTGTCTGCCTGCCACAAGGCTCTCTCCGGCCGGAAACTCACAAAGGAGCTCCCATTCACAGCCACTTCGAAGAAGACATGGGCTCTAGAGCCCTCGGGAGGCAGCTCACAGCCCAGGAAGCAGCGGATGGTCAGAGGAACTGTGGATAGACAGTCAGGGTCAGGGGACTGTGCAGAGAGGGTGCCAGGTGTGGGGCGAGGCCCACCAAGGGGAAAAGAACATGAGAAGGCAAGAGTCAGTGCTGTGAGGAGAGGGGAGTCTAGGTCAGGGAACTATGGGGAGAAGGGCCTGGGGCTGTGAGGAGGGGTTTGGGGTTAGCCTGTTAGAGGCTAAGAAAGAAGGGGCCAGGGACTGTGATGAAAAAAGGGAATTGTCAGGCCTTGTTCAACTGTAATAGAAAAAAAAAACAGGGGGTGAGGCTGGGGCAGGGGCGGCAGCTCACGCCTGTAATCCCAGCACTTTGGGAGGCCAGGCTTGTGGATCGCCTGAGGTCAGGAGTTCGAGACCAGCCTGGCCAACATGGCGAAACCCCGTCTCTACTAAAAATACAAAAAATTAGCCGGGCGTGGTGGCGGGTGCCTGTAGTCCCAGCTGCTTGGGAGGCTGAGGCAGGAGAATCGCTTGAACCCGGGAGGCGGAAGTTGCAGTGAGCCGAGATCGCGCCACTGCACTCCAGCCTGGACGACAGAGCAAGACTCCGTCTCAAAAAAAAAAAAAAAAAAAAAAAAGGGGGGTGGGGTGGGGGACTAGGAGAGAAAGGAGTTAAAGGCCATGATGGTGGGGGAAGGGGGACGGAGTGGTGCTTGGTGCTTTGAGAAAAGAAATTGGGGTCTTTGAGAAGAAGGAGTTAGGGTTGTGACGGGGAAGGAGTGGGGCTTTGAGAGAAGAACTTGGGGTCTTTGGGGGAAGAGTTCGGGTCATGAGTGGAGCTAAGAGCGAAGTCATCAGCTTGTATGAGAAGTGGCTGGAGGGTGGGGGGTGAAGTGCTGGGGGCTGTGGGAAGGGAAGGACGGAGATCTATGAAGAAAAGGAGTTGGAGGACTGTGAGGCGAGGGGTGAGGAGTTTTCTGGGGACCTTCGACGTCACGGTGTCAGGGCCTTCCAACAGGGTCTATCCCAAGAGGTTATGCCAGCAGGACGACCGCCCGAGTCGGGGCTTTCTTAGCGGGGACAACTGCCTCTCTCCAGCCCCCACCCAGCAATCTTCAAAGGCCCAGGCGCCACCGAGCTCCAGTGGCTGCCGGGTCCCTGCAAGTCCCAGCCCGCCTCCATCCGCCAGGCCCCGCCCCCACCCGCCAGGCCCCGCCCCCACTAGCCCCGCCCAGACCCCGCCCCCGCTGCGCGCCTACTCACAGGCCAAGGTCCGCTCCTGGTGCACCAGGCGCACGAGGCCGTGGAACTGGAGCAGGTAGGACTGCAGGCCACTCTGCGTGCGCGCCCAGCTCTCGGGCTCCTGCAAGGGCTGCAGCTGAATGATCGTGGTGTTGGTGTCTGGGCCTTCCAGCACGTGCGTTAGGTGTCCCCCCAGCGACGCGTTGCCCTGGTACCACACGTGATAGGGGTCGCGGAAGTAGGAGATCTGGAGCATATGAAGTCTTTGGAGGCCTGCGGGCAGAGTCAGCTTCAGCCTGGGCCGGCGTGGGAGGGGGCGGCGGGCAGCGGAAGATAATAACCCCCTACCTCGAGGCTGGCCGCCCGCCTTCTCGACCCTTCATAAACTATAATGTGCCCTCCCACCGCTTCTCCCGTTTGACGCTGACAGTAACTCTGCCAGGAGGACAGGACAGGGATTATTATCTCCGTTTTACAGATGAGGAAACTGAGGCCTGCAGTGGAAGAGACACTCCTTTCTGCCTCCTTTTTCACCCTCGGCTCTCCCTCCCCCCGTTTCCTGTTAACCAACGGAACAAATGGTTAACAAATCCTGACCTGAATAAAATTCCAATTCCATCGCCTGTTCTCCATCTCCTCTTCCACTGCCCTGATTCAGGATTCATCCGTCTCATCTAGACTGGGGTAGTAACTTTCTACTTCATCTCCCCGTTCTCTATTCCGACCTCCACCTGACCCAGGGATGAGATCATGTCCTTTTCCTACTTAAAATCTTCCAGTGCCATAACCCCCTCCCCTTCATTAATCAAAAATAATCATAGCCAATGTCGATTCAGTGCTTATTATAACCTGGGCAATGGGCTTTACATACATTATTATCTTTGTGCCTTTCCCCAGTGGCTTAATGCAATAGCTACTATTATTAACCCCAGTCTACATGGGAAACTGAGACAGAGATAGTGTAGCAGAGCCAAGGTTTGCACGTAGGCAGTCAAGTCCAGCACTCAGCCATTCTGCTACACTGCCTCCCCACAGGATCAAGTCCAGAGTCTTTAGCCTGGCATTCAAGGCTGCTAGAGACCTGGCCCCTGCTGCCTTTTCTGGCCGCTTCCCGCTGCTTATATATCAAACTAGTTGGGATTCCTCATGCTGCCTTTGGCTGACACATGAATAGCATGTCAGGATTGCTCTGCCTCCCTTTTTCTGCCTGGCGAAGTTTATTCATGATTTAAGACCCAGCTCAGAGACTGGGCGCGGTGGCTCATGCCTGTAATCCCAGTACTTTGGGAGGCCGAGGCGGGCGGATCACTTGAGGTCAGGGATTCAAGACCAGCCTGGCCAACATGGCGAAACCCCATCTGTACTAAAAATACAAATATTAGCCAGGCGTGGTGGTACATGCCTGTAGTCCCAGCTACTCAGGAGGCTGAGGCAGGAGAATCGCCTGAACCTGGGAGTTGGAGGTTACAGTTAGCTGAAATTGTGCCACTGCATTCCAGCCTGGGTGACAGCACAAGACTCCATCTCAAAAAAAAAAAAAAAAAAAAAAAAGAAAAAAGAAAGAAAAGCAAAGAAAAAAAGACCCAGCTCAGTTGCCCTCTTCTTGGAAATTTTTTTCTGATGCCCCACGAGACACAGTGTGTCTGTTTCAGTGATCCCAGACCACCATATATTAGTGTGTATCTCACGGGATACTACCTGGCTGTCTCCAAACACACACAGGCCACACTGGACTCCTCTAGGCTATGGAACCATGCTTGGTAATCTCTGCTTCCTACACCCAGAAAAGAGGCTGGCACAGAGTTGATGCCCAGAGCACATTTGGATGAGTCCGGGGTTGTAAATCTGTGTGTGTGAGTGGGTCCTGTCTGTGTTTGCATTTGAGAAGTTGTGCTTTGTATCTGCAGATGTGAATAAGTATATTTATGGATAACCCTAGACATGGTCCTTAACTACTCTGTGACCCAGTTTCCTCCTCATAAAATGGAGATAGTAATAATATTACCCACCTTTAGGGGTTTGTGCAAGTTAAATGGGTCAATACATGTATTAACCATAGTGAGCACTCATTGAATACTGGTTATTATTTGCTGCCTCTCTGAGGGGGAGACTGAAGTTACGGGGATTGTGAGAGAGGGGAAAGGAGGCCCCTGTGCAATTATAATGGAGGGTAATAACTCCCTTTTCTGCTTAAACAGGGCCACTTCAGTAGCCTGATCGCCCATAAGTTCTATTAGGCACAGCATCTCTTTCTCCCCAGTTCCACCAGCTGCGACCAGTCTCCTTCCATTTTCCCTAGCCTCCCCTAACCTCTCTCTGCCCCACTCTTCCCCCACTTCTTCCATCAGTTTTCCCAGGGTCTTCCCATTCCCTCCATTTCTCTTCTCTTCTGAGCCTCTTCCCGTCTCCCCTAGATGTACCCCTATCTACCATCACCCTCAGTTCCCCTTTCTCCCCTCTCCCTGGGGCTGATTCTCCTACCCTCTCTGCTGGTTTCTTTCTCATGTTTCCAGTCATCCTGTTTCCCCTAGCCTCTTTCATCTCCCCCTTTTCAGGGGCTTAAATGTACTAACTCACCTTGGCTTTGGGACACGAACCAGTCCCCAAGACTCTGCCTGCCCTGTAGAGAGATCTAGCCAGCTGCAGACACAGATGCTGTGAGATAAGCTCTCCTGTGGTCTTGCCATGTGCCCAGATAGACTGAGATTCTCCAGAACCATCCTGAGGCAGGAGATGTGCCCCCGACTCACCATCTGAGGCGTCTTGGCTACAAAAGGCCCAGCCAGACAGCAGCAGTATCGGCAGCAATGTTGTCAACATCCTGAAGTTGAGGCTCCGGACCTGGGTTCCTGGCTCGGGCCGGCTGCGGGCTCCGCTGGCTGCAGTCTAGGGAAAAGAGAAGTGAGGACCGTCTGGGAGGGGCGGAGTCTGGGCAGAGGAGGATGGAAGGAGGCCAGGAGATGGGAGGAGGAAGAGGCTTATAAAGTGTTATTTCTACTGTGTCTCATTTCCTACTAGGGGGCCGGCCTCCCTCCTGCCCTCCCTCTGCCCCGCCCTTCATTGCTCCCTCCTGCCCAGACCTGCCTTTTCCCTTCTCCTTGGGCTGCTTCCTAGGAACCAGGAACAGGGAGCGGAAAAGGGGGAGAAGGGCTTGGTGAGAAGTCCTGCCGGCGCTGACTCAGGGGGTGGGGCATCTACTTTCAACTTAGAGCACACTCCTGGGAGTAGGATCAGCAGGTTGCTGATGGGGAGATTGAGGTCCAGAGAGGTGCAGGGACTTGCCCAAAGTTTATATATCATGGTGGTGACAGATCCAAGATTAAAATTTAGTTTTCCAGTATAATGGCTACATTTTACCAGAATTTTAAGTAAATAACAATTACATAATCCGGGATCTTGGTCTCAGAAGTAGTCATAAAATGAGTGTAAAGCAGTTCACTGCAGCATGTTTTTAAAAAATAGGAGAGAATTATGAGCAATCTGTATAAATCTCAGAAGATGATTGGTTACCTAAAGCAATCTTTTTGAAACTGAGGTCATAATTTATTAGTGGACAATGAAATCAATTTAGCAGGTCATGGTTACCATTTTTAAAAAATGAAATAGGACAGAATACAAAATTTCAGCGCGTCACCCTTAGTAAGAGAAAGTGTTATGTCATGAAATATTTGCTCAGTTGTATATGTGTGCTTTGGTTTTGTGTGTGTATGTTTCTATGATGAGTTTTGGATAGCAGTGTAAAATGCGTCCCTTACTCTAGGAAGCAAGTAGAAAAGCTTTAAAGTCACTCCTCCGAGCATGCTGCTGGCACTTTGGGAGGCCGAGGTGGGCAGATCACTTGAGGCCAGGAGTTTGAGACCAGCCTGGCCAATATGGCGAACGTCTCTACGAAAAATACAAAAATTAGCTGGGCATGGTGGTGCATGCCTGTAATCCCAGCTACTTGGGAGACCGAGGCATGAGAATCGCTTGAACCTGGGAGGTGGAGGTTGCAGAGGGCCGAGATCACACCACTGCATTCTAGCCTGGGTCATGCGGCAAGATTCTGTCTGAAAAAAAAAAAGAAAAGATTTCACTTCTGTTCAAATAATACATATGTAATTTCATCCTCATATATATATATAAAATTTATTATTATTTTTTTGAGACAGGGTCTAGCTCTGTTGCCCAGGCTATAGTGCAGTGAAGCAATCACAGCTAATTGTAGGCTTGACCTCCCGGGCTCAAGTGATTCTCCCACCTCAACCACCCGAGTAGCTGAGACTAAAGGTACGTGCCACTGTGCCACCACGCCTAGCTATTTTTTTTTATTTTTACTAGAGATGTGGTCTCGCTATGTTGCCCAGGCTGGTCTTGAACTCCTGCACTCAAGCAATCCTCTGGTATAGGCAGGAGCCACTGCACCTGGCCAAAATTAACTTTCAGTGTGTATCTGTGTATTTGTATATACATAGGGAAAATATCTGGAGGGGTACTGTCAATAGAGATTACCTCTGGGGAATAGGATTGGGTAAAGGACTGAGAGGGATTTTAACTTTTTATTTTATATACTTCTCCCCGGAGAGCTGACGTCATAGTGAAATCTGGGACAAACTCTGGACATAAACTAAGCACCCATTCTCTGAACTGAATATATGCAAGAGCTTCCATGCTCACCTCTCAGCTGTTGCAAACTGGCTAAGAAATAGCATCAAAGTCTTTTCTTTTTGCAGCTTATCAAAATGGTCTAGTTGGAACAAGGATAGGAACTTTGTTTTCCTGCACTGGGCCTCAGGAAAAGTAGAATGACTTAAATAACTACCAATTTATATTGTCTTGCCTTTTATTAAAAATTATGAAACATTTCTTTTTTCTTTTTTTTTTTCTTTTTTTTGAGATGGAGTCTTGCTGTAATGCAGTGGCGTGATCTCGGCTCACTGCAACCTCCACCTCCCAGATTCAAGCGATTCTCCTGCCTCAGCCTCCCAAGTAGCTGGGATTACAGTCACCTGCCACCACACCTGGCTAATTTTTGTATTTTTAGTAGAGATGGGATTTCACCATGTTGGCCAGGTTGGTCTCAAACTCCTGACCTCAGGTGATCCGCCCACTTCAGCCTCCCAACATGCTGGGATTACAAGCCTGAGCCACTGTGCACAGCCTGAAATATTTCATTTTTGAAGAGTTATTTCATGCTTAAAGGATTACATTTCAAACATACCTATCCCCACCACCAAGCATAAGAAATACAATATTGCTAATATAGTTGAAGCCCCCTATGGACTCTTCCTCAGCTGCATCTCTCTCTCCCTGCCACAGCCCCTGAAGTAACCACTTCAGATGAAAATGAAGATTTGATATTTTTCATTTCCTTATATTTCTGTATACTTACACTACTTATGTATATATCCCTAAACAATAGATAGTGGTATTTCACATATTTTGAGCTTTATATAAATGGTATTAAAATGTATGTATTCCTCTGTACCTTTTGCTTTTTTCACTTAATGTATTAATAAGATTCATTCATGTGGCTATGTGTAGACCATTCATTTTCACTGCTTTAAAATATTCCGGCTGGGGAGGTATTATCCCAGCACTTTGGGAGGCCGAGGTGGGTGGATCATTTGAGCCCAGGAGTTCAAGACCAGCCTGGGCAACATAGTGAGACCCCCATCTCTACAAAAAAAATAAAATTAGCTGGGTGTGATGGGTTGTGCCTGTGGTCTCAGCTACTCAGGAGGCTGAGGTAGGAGGATTGCTTGAGCCCAGGAGGTTGAGACTGCAGTGAGCCATGATCATGCCACTGCACTCTAGCCTGGGCAACAGAGCAAGACCCTGTCTCAAAAAAAAAAATCAATTTTGGGAATAGATCATTATTTATGTATCCATTCTCTTGTTGCTGAACACTTAAGTTTTTTCCAGTTTTTTGCTATTACAAACAGTGCTGGTATGAACATTCTCATACTCGAGTCCTTGTGCATATGTGGGAGTTTTTGTAGGTGCAAACTTGACAGTGGAATTTCTGAGTAATAAAGTATATGCATCTTCAGTTTTACTAGATATTGCCAAACTGTTTTACAGAAAGGTTGTGCCAATTTACGTTCCCAGCAGTGTATGAGAATTCCCTCGCTTCACATCCTTGCCAGCCCTTGGCATTATCAGATGGTTGGGTGTAAAATGGCATTTCTCTTTGGTTTTAGTTTGCATTTTTCTGGTTCTTAGTGAGGTTGTGCATATTTTTGCTTTGCCTTTTTTCTCCCTTGAAGGCTTGAAGGGTACTTTGGGATGGATAAGAGAGGGCAAAAGAGTGTACGATTGAACCAATTTGGAATTGAATGCTGTGAGCCTTCCATCTAAGCGGGTAGGGTCTGGGTCCACTTTCATCCACATTATCTTACACAGAGCTCATTACATCAAGGGCTTTCTTTCCTTTTCTTTCTTTCTTTTTTTTTTTTTTTTTTTGAGATGGAGTCTCGCTCTGTTGCCCAGACTGGAGTGCAATGGTATGATCTCTGCTCACTGCAACCTCCACCTCCTGGATTCAAGCAATTCTCCTGCCTCAGCCTCCCAAGTAGCTGGGATTACAGGCAGGTGCCACCATGCCTGGCTAATTTTTGCATTTTTAGTAGAGATAGGGTTTCATCATGTTGGCCAGGCTGGTCTCGAATTCCTGACCTCAAGTGATCCATCTGCCTTGGCCTCCCAAAGTGCTGGGATTACAGGCACGAGCCCCCACGCCCAGCCACATGGAGGCCTTTCTAATCAGGTTAAGATCCATCATGGACAGATAGCAGCAGCAACAGCTATTTCCCAAGCACCCCTCTCATATACTAGAGCCCTGAAAATTGAACAGTGAGACAATGATAGCATTATTATAGGTAACACTTATTGTAGGCCAGAAACAGTGTTCGGCTCTTTACTTAAATAATCTTACTTTATTCTTATGCTAGCCCTGTGAAATGGGTTTCACTAGCATCACCATTTTACTAAGAAACTGAGGCTCAGAGAGGTTAAGTGACTTACCTAAGGTCACACAGCAAAAGCTATAATTTGAAAGTTTCTCTCTCTCTCTGGTGCCAAAGTTTGTGAATTTAACTCCCACACAGTGACTCAAAAATTATTTTGATCACTTTCCATCAATACATTTTTTTAACACATACCTCCAACATGCTTGAATGTTTAATATATATGTTATAAAACATTCTTTAAATTCATACTATGTGCTAGGCCTTTAATCACTTTCTCTGGGGCAGACCATGCTCATTGTTTCCATGCTACAGACAAAAAAATAAATAAAATAAAGCTGCCTGGGTGTAGTGGCTCATGCCTGTAAATTAGTGACCAGCATGGCAACATATGAGACTCCATCTCTACAAAAAAATTTTTTTTAAATTAGCCAGGCATGGTAGTACACACCTGTGGTCCCATCTACTTGGGAGGCTGAGGCAGGAGTATGGCTTGAGCCCAGGATGTCAAAAGGTCAAGGCTGCAGTGAGCTATGTCTGTGCCTCTGCACCCCAGCCTGGGTGACAGAAAGAGACCCTGTCTCAAACAAAACAAAACAAAACAAACAACAACCAAAAAAACTGGGCATGGTGGCTCATGCCTGTAATCCCAGCATTTTGGGAGGCCCAGGCAGAAGGATCCCTTGAGCCCAGGAGTTTGGACCAACCTGGGCAACCTGATGAATCCTCCTCTGCTCCTCTGTACAAAAAAAAAAAAAAAAAATCAAAGCCCAGAAAAATAGTTAAGTAACTTGCCCAAGGTCACACAGCTTGGAAGTGCAGAGCGAGGATTTGAACTCAGAAAGTATGGGACTGGGCATGCCTGTAATCCCAGCACTCTGGGAGGCCAAGGTGGATGGATCACCTGAGGTCAGGAGTTTGAGACCAGCCTGGGCAACATGGTAAAACCCCGTCTCTACTAAAAATACAAAAATTAGCTGGGCATGGTGGCGTGCCTGTAATCCCAGCTACTCAGGAGGTTGAGGTGGGAGACTTACTTGAACCCGGGAGGTGGAGGTTGCAGTAAGCCGAGATCCTGCCACTGCACTCCAGCCTGGGCAACAGAACAAGACTCCATCTCAAAAAAAAAAAAAAAAAAAAAAAAAAGCATGGAAGTATGGAGCTGGGAACAGAGAAAATAAAAAGAGTGTTGCGGGTAGGGAAGTTGGGAGGGGGGCAACTTGAGCCTTTTCTCATTCTAAACCCAGGGATGGGGGTGGGGAAGAAAAGAGAAATGCTGCTGTTGGAGCCATGGCCTACACTGCATCTGGCCTGGGTGGCTGAGGTGTAGAAAATCACAGAGTGGGCACCAGGCCAGCAGCTGGGATTTGACTGAGACCTAAAGAATGAGGGTCCCGTTGAGCAAAGGGAAATGAAGGAAGCAAGCGGTGGTGTTTCCTACTCCAGAGAGCACATGCTGGAGGAAGATAAGGGAGACAGGAAGCTGAGCTGGGGCCAGTGCTGGTGCAGCCCCAGTGGGTGAGGGAGGCCTTGCCAGGGCAGCAGGAGCAGGGACAGGCCAGGGACTGGCCGTGTGCCCAGCTGGACTTCAGAGGACCAGGCTCTCCCACCCCTGTTGTTAGCTACTGAAGAACGGCAGTTTAAGCAACCTGGCCCAATTTGGGTAACAAAGGAGTGTGGACCCTTCAAAGGCACTTCCCCCTTAGGATGAGGAATAATAACAATAACATGTGCGAAGAGCTTACAATGTGCCAGGCACAGTATTAAGTAAGCAGAGTCCATGTATTTTTTTCTCACTAGTACCCTGTGAAAAGTCTGAAGAAAGTCCAGGCCAGGTGCTCAGGCCTGTAATCCTAGCACTTTGGGGGGCCAAGCTGGGAGGATTGCTTGAGTCCAGGAGTTTGAGACCAGCCTGGGTAATATAGCAAGACCCTGTTGAAAGACAGGCAGACAGAAATAAAGAGAGAGAGAGAGGAGGGAAGGAAGGAAAGAAGGAGAAAGAAAAAAGAAAGAAGGAAAGAAGAAAAGAAAGAAAGAGAGAAAGAAAAGAAAAGAAGAAGGGGGAAAGAGGGAGGGAGGAAGGGAGGGAGGGAGGGAGACAGAAAAGGAGGGAGGGAGGGCAGTCTGAAGAAATAGCCGTCGTTCCCATTTTACAGATGAGGACACAGAAGCACAGAACAGGGAACTGAGCTGCTCAAAGACATCCAGCTAGTAAAAGGCAGAGCTGGGACTCATACCCAGGTGAGTTGGATGCCAAAACATGCTTTCTTCATTATTAGACCATCTCATGAGGATAAACAAGATGATGCATTCAAAACTCCCAGAACACAGTACGTGTTCAGTAGGTGGGAGAGATAAGAAAGGAGCTTAGCAGCAAACAGAACGGACCCTGTCCAGGAGGGATGGACATCAAGTATGACTTCTTGAAGAGAAGGCAAAGGAATAGATGTTAAGTCTTAATCAGAATTTCCCCCTGTATCATCCCCCCAACACCCCCCAACTTAGGGAACATGAAAAGAAGCTCCAAACACTCAGGATGATGCCTGCTCTTGCCTGCCCCAGCAATTGATGGGAGCCTAGTATTGTTGGCTTGGCTCCTGCCTATCTCTCTAGCCTTATCTATCCATGTATTCCAGTTTCAGCCAAATCCATTCCTCCTGGTTTCCTGAACACAGAACACATAAATATTAACTTTTCACTTTTTTTTTTTTTACAGTAAGCTAAGGTTAATTTATTACTGAAGAAAGAAAAATATTTTTGCATAAACTTAGTGCAGCCTAAGTGAACAGTATTGATAAATTCTACAGTAGTGTACAGTAATGTCGTAGGCCATCACATTTGCTCACCACTCACTCACTGACCCACTCAGAGCAACACCAAGTCCTTCAAGCTCCATGCATGAAGTACACACTCTACAGGTGTACCTTTTAAAATCGACTATACCATATTTTTACTGTACCTTTTCTGTGTTTAGATTTCTTTTTTTAATTTTTATTATACTTTAAGTTTGGGGTACATGTGCAGAATGTGCAGGTTTGTTACGCAGGTATACACTTGTCATGGTGGTTTGCTGTACCCATCAACCCGTCATCTACATTAGGTATTTCTCCTAATGCTATCCCTCCCCTAGCCCCCTACCCCCTGACAGGCCCTGGTATGTGATATTCCCCTCCCTGTGTCCATGTGTTCTCATTGTTCACCTCCCACTTATGAGTGATAACATGCAGTGTTTGGTTTTCTGTTTTTGTGTTAGTTTGCTGAGAATGATGGTTTTCAGCCTCATCCATGTCCCTGCAAAGGACATGAACTCATCCTTTTTTATGGCTGCATAGTATTCCATGGTATATATGTGCCACATTTTCTTTATCCAGTCTATCACTGATGGGCATTTGGGTTGGTTCTAAGTCTTTGCTGTTGTGAATAGTGCCACAGTAAACATACCTCTGCATGTATTCTTTATAGTAGAATGATTTATAATCCTTATACCCAGTAATGGGATTGCTGGGTCAAATGGTATTTCTGGTTCTAGATCCTTGAGGAATCACCACACTGTCTTCCACAATGTTTGAACTAATTTACTCTCCCACCAACAGTGTAAAAGCATTCCTATTTCTCCACATCCTCTCCAGCATCTGTTGTTTCCTGACTTTTTAATGATCATCATTCTAACTGGCATGAGATAGTATCTCATTGTGGTTTCGATTTGCATTTCTCTAATGACCAGTGATGATGAGCTGTTTTTCATATGTTTTTTGGCCACATAAATGTCTTCTTTTGAGAAGTGTCTGTTCATATCCTTTGCTCACTTTTTGATGGAGTTGTTTTTTTTCTTGTAAATTTGTTTAAGTTCTTTGTAGATTCTGGATATTAGCCCTTTGTCAGGTGGATAGATTGCAAAAATTTTCTCCCATTCTGTAGGTTGCCTGTTCACTCTGATGATAGTTTCTTTTGCTGTGCAGAAGCTCTTTAGTTTAATTAGGTCCCATTTGCCAATTTTGGCTTTTGTTGCCATTGCTTTTGGTGTTTTAGTCATGAAATCTTTGCCCATGCCTATGTCCTGAATGGTATTGCCTAGGTTTTCTTCTAGGGTTTTTATGGTTTTAGGTCTTATGTTTAAGTCTTTAATCCATCTGGAGTTAATTTTTGTATAAGGTGTAAGGAAGGGGTCCAGTTTCAGTTTTCTGCATATAGCTAGCTAGTTTTTCCAACACCATTTATTAAACAGGGAATCCTTTCCCCATTGCTTGTTTTTGTCAGATTTGTCAAAGATCAGATGGTTGTAGATGTGTGGTGTTACTTCTGAGGGCTTTGTTCTGTTCCATTGGTCTATATATCTGTTTTGGTATATCATGCTGTTTTGTATACTGTAGCCTTGTACTATAGTTTGAAGTCAGGTAGCGTGATGCCTCCAGCTTTGTTCTTTTTGCTTAGGATTGTCTTGGATACGGGGGCTCTTTTTTGTTCCATATTAAATTTAAAGTAGTTTTTTCCAGTTCTGTGAAGGAAGTCAATGGTAGCTTGATGGGAATAGCATTGAATCTATAAATTACTTTGGGCAGTATGGCCATTTTCACGATATTGATTCTTCCTATACATAAGCATGGATTGTTTTTCCATTTATTTGTGACCTCTTATTTCCTTGAGCAGTGGTTTGTAGTTCTCCTTGAAGAGGTCTTCATATCCATTGTAAGTTGTATTCCTAGGTATTTTATTCTCTTTGTAGCAATTGTGAATGGGAGTTCACTCATGATTTGGCTCTGTCTGTTATTGGTGTATAGGAATGCTTGTGATTTTTGCACATTGATTTTGTGGTGTTCTCTGTATTTCCTGAATTTGATTGTTGGCCTGTCTTGCTAGGTTGGGGAAGTTCTCCTAGATAATATCCTGAAGAGTGTTTTCCAACTTGGTTCCATTCTCCCTGTCACTTTCAGGTACACCAACCAAATGTAGATTTGGTCTTTTCACATAGTCCCATATTTCTTGGAGGCTTTGTTTCTTTTCATTCTTTTTTCTCTAATCTTGTCTTCTCGCTTTATTTCATTAAGCTGATCTTCAATCTCTGTTATCCTTTCTTCTGCTTGATAATTCGGCTATTGATACTTGTGTATGCTTCACGAAGTTCTCGTGCTGTGTTTTTCAGCTCCATCAGGTCATTTATGTTCTTCTCTAAACGGTTATTCTAGTCAGCAATTCATCTAACCTTTTTTCAAGGTTCTTAGCTTCCTTGCATTGGGTTAGAACATGCTCCTTTAGCTCGGAGGAGTTTGTTATTACCCACCTTCTGAAGTCTACTTCTGTCAATTCTTCAAACTCATTCTCTGTTTCCAGTTTTGTTCCCTTGCTGGCAAGGAATTGTGATCCTTTGGAGGAGAAGAGGCATTCTGGTTTTTGGAATTTTCAGCCTTTTTGTGCTGGTTTCTCCCCATCTTCATGGATTTATCTACCTTTGGTCTCTGATGTTGGTGACCTTCAGATGGGGTCTCTGAGTGGACGTCCTTTTTGTTGATGTTGATGCTATTCCTTTGTATTTGTTAGTTTTCCTTCTAACAGTCAGGCCCCTCTGCTGCAGGTCTTCTGGAGTTTGCTGGAGGTCCACTCCAGACCCTGTTTGCCTGGGTATCACCACTGGAGGCCGCAGAACAGCAAAGATTGCTGCCTGTTCCTTCCTCTAGAAGCTTTGTCCCAGAGAGGCACCCACCAGATGCCAGCGAGAGCTCTTCTGTATGAGGTGTCTGTTGGCCCCTATGGGAGGTGTCTCCCAGTCAGGATACATAGGGGTCAGGGACCCACTTGAGGAGGCAGTCTGACCCTTATCAGAGCTCGAATGTTGTCCTGGGAGTTCTCTTCGGAGCCATCAGGCAGGGACGTTTAAGTCTGCTGAAGCTGTTTCCAAGCCACCCCTTCCCCCAGGTGCTCTGTCCCAGGGAGATTTTTTTTTTTTTTTGAGATAGAGTCTCACTCTATCACCCAGGCTAGAGTGCAGTGGCACAATCTCGGCTCACTGCAACCTCCACCTCCTGGGTACAAGCAATTCTCCTGCCTCAGCCTCCCGAGTAGCTGGGATTACAGGCCCCTGCCACCACGCCTGGCTCATTTTTTTTGTATTTTAGTAGAGATGGTGTTTCACCATGTTAGTCAGGCTAGTCTCAAACTCCTGACCTCAAATGATCCACTCGTCTCGGCCTCCCAAAGTGCTGGGATTACAGGCGTGAGCCACCGTGCTGGCCAGGGGTTTTATCTGTAAGTCCCTGACTGGGGCTGCTGCCTTTTTTTCAGAGATGCCCTGCCCAGAGAAGAGGAATCTAGAGAGGCAGTCTGGCCACAGCAGCCTTGCTGAGCTGTGGTGGGCTCCACCCAGTTTGAACTTCCCTGCAGCTTTGTTTACACTGTGAGGGTAAAACCACCTACTCAAGCCTCAGCAATGGCGGACAACCCCTCCCACCACCAAGCTCAAGCATCCCAGGTCGACCTCAGACTGCTGTGCTGGCAGCGAGAATTTCAAGCCAGTGGATCTTAGCTTGCTGAGCTCTGTGGGGGTGGGACCCATGGAGCCAGACCACTTGGCTCCCTGGCTTCAGCCCCCTTTCCAGCGGATTGAACAAACCTGTTTTTTTTTTTTTGTTTTTTTTTTGAGACGGAGTCTCGCCCTGTCGTCCAGGCTGGAGTGCAGTGGTGCAATCTCAGCTCACTGCAAGCTCCACCTCCTGGGTTCAAGTGATTCTCCTGCCCCAGCCTCCTGAGTAGCTGGGATTACAGGCCCCCACTGCTATACCCAGCTAATTTTTGTATTTTGAGTAGAGACGGGGTTTCACCATGTTGGCCAGGGTGGTCTCGAACTTCTGACCTCGTGATCTGCCCACCTTGGCCTCCTAAAGTGCTGGGATTACAGGCATGAGCCACCGCGCCCAGCCTGCAGAGTGAACGATTCTATCTTGCTGGCGTTCCACGCACCACTGGGGTATGAAAAAAAAAAAAGAAAACTCCTGCAGCTAGCTCGGTGTCTGCCCAAATGGCCGCCCAGTTTTGTGCTTGAAACCCAGGGCCCTGGTGGCGTAGGCACCAGAGGGAATCTCCTGGTCTACAGGTGGCGAAGACCTTGGGAAAAGCGCAGTATCTGGGCCGTAGTGCACCATTTCCCAGGGCACAGTCCCTCACCGCTTCCCTTGGCTAGGGGGGATATCCCCTAACCTCTTGCACTTCCTGGGTGATGCGACGCCCCACCCTGCTTCGGCTTGCCCTCCGTGGGCTGCACCCATTGCCCATCCAGTCCCAATTAGATAAACCGGGTACCTCAGTTGGAAATGCAGAAATCACCCACCTTCTGCATCGATCTCACTGGGAGCTGCAGACCAGAGCTCTTCCTATTTGGCCATCTTGCCAGCAAATCCTAGATTTCTTAAGATGCACAAATATTTCCGTTGTGTTACAGTTGCCTAAAGTATTCAGGATCATAACATGTTCTACAGGTTTGTAGCCTAGGAGCAATAGGCTATACCAAGGAGCCTAGGGGTATAGTAGGCTACGCCACCTAGGTGTCGTAGGGCATCCACCATTGCTGAGTCTTGAGTAGGTGGTTTAACCGTCACAGTTTTTTTTTTTTTAAAAAACCTTATTTTTGTAGAGATGAGGTCTTGCTATGCTGCCCAGGCTGGTCTCAAACTTCTGGGCTCAAGTGATCCTCCCACCTTAGCCTCCCAAAGTGCTGGGATTGCAGGCATGAGCCACCGCGCCCAGCCGCTTTGCACTTTCTTTATCATGTCTTTAGATAAACAAAAGTTCCTAATTTTAAGGTGGTTATGTTTATCAACCTATTCCTTTACAGTTTGTACTTTTTGTGCCTTATTTAAGCAACCCTTCCCTAAACCCCAAGGTCATGAAGATATTCTGTTTATGTTCAAAGCTTTTTAGTTTTGTCTTTCACCTTGAGGTATGGTATGAAGTGGAGGTCAAGATTAGTTTCTTTTAATGGATATCCACTGTCCCAGACAGAACCAGTTATCAAAAGTTGGCCTTTCCTTACTGATCTGCAGTGGCATCTCTGACTTACAGTAAATATGTCTATTCTGTTTCAGTGGTCCAGTTGTCTCACCTGGTACCAATGCTCATTATCTCAATTAGTATTATTTCTTTTTTTTTTAAATTTTTTTTTCTCTTTTTTTTTTTTTTTTTTTGAGACGGTGTTTCACTCTTGTTGCCCAGGCTGGAGTGCAATGGCAGGATCTTAGCTCACCGCAACCTCTGCCTCCCGGGTTCAAGAGATTCTCCTGCCTCAGCCTCCCGAGTAGCTGGGATTACAGGCACACGCCATGACACCCGGCTAATTTTGTGTTTTTAGTAGAGACGGGGTTTCTCCATATTGGTCAGGCTGCTCGCGAACTCCTGACCTCAGGTGATCCACCTGCCTTGGCCTTCCAAAGTGCTGGGATTACAGGCGTGAGCCACAGTGCCTGGCCCTCGATTAGTATTATTTCATAATGTATTTATATCTTGTAGATCAAGCCTTTCCTCTTTGTTCTTCAAGAGTGTCTTAGCTATTTTTGAATATTTGAACGTCTACACCTAAATTTTGGAATCTTTTTTATCACGTTGATGAAGTTTTGGTTGGTATTGCATTTAGCATGTAAATGACTGGGAAGAATTGACATCTTCACAATATTGAATCATCCAGTGCATGATAGGGTGTATTTTTTTCATTTGTTTACATCTTTTTTGGTATCTCTCAGAGTTTCATAATTTTCTCTCTGAACATATGGCCCATCCTCTGTTAAGTTTTCCCCTCTAAGTTCTTCATATATACATACGTATATATATTTTTTGAGACAGAGTCTTGCTCTGTTGCCCAGGCTGGAGTGCAATGGCACAATCTTGGCTCACTGCAACCTCCACCTCCCAGATTCAAGCAATTTTCCTGCCTCAGCCTCCAGAGTAGCTGGGGTTACAGGCACACACCACCATACCAGTCTAATTGTATTTTTAGTAGAGACAGGGTTTCACCATGTTGGCCAGGCTGGTCTCAAACTCTGACCTCAAGTGATCTGCCCGCCTTGGCCTCCCAAAGTGCTGGGATTACAGGCATGAGCCACTGCACCCAGTCAAGTTCTCCATATTTTAAAAATATTATTGCAAATAATTTTTTTTTAAATCTCATGGTGTGCTTATTCTCAGCATATAGAAGTACTGATGATTTTGTTGCATTAGTTTTGTTTCTAGCAACCTTAATAAATTCTTTTGTTTGTTATAATAATTATTTTTAGACTCTTTTGGATTTTCTACATGCATATTCATAGCACCAATAGATAATGACAGATTATTTCTTCTTTTTTAATTTTTATAATGTTTGTTTCAACTTATTGTTCTGGCTATAACCTCTAGTACAATGTTTAACAGAGATAGTAATAGAAGGCCAGGCACAGTGGCTCACGCCTGTAATCCCAGCATTTTGGGAGGCCGAGGTGGGTGGATCACTCGAGGCCAGGAGTTTGAAACCAGCCTGGCCAATATGGTGAAACCCCATCTCTACTAAAAATACAAAAATTAGCTGGGTGTGGTGGTGCATGCCTGTAATCCCAGCTACTCAGGAGGCTGAGGCAGGAGAATCGTTTGAACCCAGGAGGCGGAGGCTGCAGTGAGCCGAGATCGTGCCACTGCACTCCAGCCTGGGCAACAGAGCAAGACTCTGTCTCCAGGAAAAAAAAAAAAAAAAAGTGATAGAGAATATAAGAGAATATTCTTGCCATTTTCCTGGTTTAAAAAGGAATGCTTTCCAGGCCGGGTCCGGTGGCTCATACCTGTAATCCCAGCACTTTGGGAGGCTGAGGTGGGAGGATTGCTTGAGCCCAGGAGTTCATCTGGGCTCTGCAAAAAATACAAAAATTAGCCAGGCGTGGTGACGTGTGCCTGTAGTCCTAGCAACTCGGGAGGCTGAGGTGGGAGGATCACTTGAGCCCAGGAGGCTGAGGCTGCAGTGAGCTGAGATCGCACCACTGCACTCCAGCCTGGGTGACAGAGCAAGACCCTGTCTCAAAAACAAACAAACAAAGAAAAAAACAAAAACAAAAAACCCCGATAATGCCTAAGGGGCAAGTAGGGGTGAGGAAAAAGTTGTTTCAAGTACAGGGTGAAGAAGGTACAAAAGAATATAATAGGAAAGGAGAGAGAATATAACATACTTGAGAAAGCAGTAATACTTAAGTATGGCCAAATAGGAGTAGGTGATAGGAAGGAAGAAGTGATATGAGGAGGTAAGCAGGAGTCAGAAGAGCCTTTCATAATACACAAAGGAATCAAAATTTTGAATTGAGGTGCTTCCCACCACCTTCTTCAGCCCTACTAATTCCTATTAGAATACTCAGGTGTCACCTACTACAGGAAGCCTTCCCTGACTTCATGTCCACAAGCCAGGGTTAGATGCTCCCTCTGTTCTACTGGAGCCCTCTCTTTCCCTTAGTTCTTTTTATTTTTTTTAATTTTTAATTAATTAATTCATTAATTAATTTTTTTGCAGGCAGCCCCCAAACCAGAATAAGTTCAGAGAGTTTTCCTCCCTTACTTCTTTAAATGATAATTGTCTATTTATGCATCTGTCTTCCACACCAAAAGCCATAAGAGGGCAGAGAATGTGTTTTAAAGTTCTGTATTACCAGCTTAGCAGAGTATTTGGCACATCGTAAGTACTCAATGATTTTTTTTTTTTTAATCAATGAATAGATAAACAGGACTTCGAGGGAAGGAGAAAAAAACTGTAACTTAGTAAAGCTCCTGGCACAAAACTGGCACTGAGAAAATTTCTTTTATCTTTTTGTGCCTTCACTTTCTCATCTGGAAAATGGGGACAAAAACTATCTCAAAGGAGTATCATGGGTCTATAAATTACTTAATCCAGGGTCTGACACTTAGTGTCAAGGACAACTGTCAGCATGTTAAAAATGTAATTCTTGGCCAGGCGCAGTGGCTCACTCCTGTAAATCCCGGCACTTTGGGAGGCCAAAGTGGATGGATCACTTGAAGTCAGGAGTTCAAGACCAGTCTAGCCAACGTGATGAAACCCCGTCTCTACTAAAAATACAAAAATTAGCTGGGAGTGGTGGCAGGTGCCTGTAATCCCAGCTACTTGGGAGGCTGAGGCAAAAGAATCATTTGAATCTGGGAGGCGGGGATTGCAGTGAGCCAAGATCACACCACTGCACTCCAGCCTGGGCAACGGAGCGAGACTCTGTCTCAAAACAAACAAACAAACAAACAAAACCAACCATAATTCTCATTGAAATAGACAGTGAGCATGGGTCAGAGTTTCATTTAACTCATTAATGAAGGGACAAGCAGGACGACAAAGCCAGTTCAAAATAGAATATAAGAACTAGAGTTTTGGCTGGGCATGGTGGGATTACATCTGTAATCCCAGCACTTTGGGAGGCCAAGGTGGGTGGATCGCTTAGCCAGGAGTTTGAGACCAGCCTGCGCAACATGGCAAAACCCCGTCTATACGAAAAGATACAAAAATTAGCTGGCCATGGTGGCACATGCCTATAGTCCCAGCTACTTGAGGGACTGAGGCAAGATCACTTGAGCCTGGGATGTGGGAGGTCAAGACTGTAGTGAGCCGTGTTCGAACCACTGCACTCCAGCCTGGGCAACAATGTGAGACCTGTCTCAAAAAAAAGAAAAAAGAACTTGAGTTTTTATAGTCAATGGAAAAGGAAAATATTGAAGTAAGATTGCTAAATTAAATACTAAATGGGTTAATGTCCTACAGAGTAATAATATCATAACCTTTGGGATTATCTTCTCTACCAGGCAGGAAAGGAAATTGTCACATCTTATTACTTTACAGAATTGTACAATGTCTGGGCCGTAATTAATATGAAAATAGTGTCACGTTTCTCTTCAGGGACAGATGACAAGTAGACTTGCTAGTCAATGCTTTATCATGACAGCAAAAAGTCACACAATCATCTTTTTACCTTAGTAACATGTTTCAGATAATTTTTCTTAACACTAGTAAGTTTAATTCAGTAGACACTAACAGTTATAAGGCTCTCAAAAAATGTTTGCTGAAGGGATTTTCAATCTATTAGGCTTCTTCTTTCCCTCCAGTTTCTTTCTTCCTGACCTGGCACAGTTGATTAGCAGCAGAGTTTGGGGGCTATGGGGCAGGTAGGCTAATAGGGGGAATTCTGTAGGACACGGATCCTCTTCTCTCCCTTAGCCTGGTGTGGTAGGGCTAGTTTTGTATCATCAAATAGGCAGAGAAAGTATCTGCTTTGGATATCAGCAAAGGAAGCACCCTTTTCCCATTTACCAACCACCCCTCTCCCCGCCAGCCAGTAAGAACATATTTTCTGTGAAAGAATTGGGTATTTCTTTTTTTTTTTTTTTTTTCTTTTGAGACAGAGTCTCGCTCTGTCACCCTGGCTGGAGTGCAGTGGCATGATCTCGGCTCACTGCAACCTCCACCTCCCAGGTTCAAGCAATTCTCATGCCTCAGCCTCCCAAGTAGCTGGGATTACAGGCGCTCACCAACACAGCTGGCTAATTTTTGTATTTTTAGTAGAGATGGGGTTTGTTGGCCAGGCTGCTCTCAAACTCCTGACCTCAGGTGATCTGCCCACCTCGGCCTCCCAAAGTGCTGGGATTATAGGCGTGAACCACTGCACCCTGCCAGAATTGGGTATTTCAAAAGGGCAATAGACATCATCAAAATAATAATAATAATAATTTTGTTGGATCACATTCCATTTATTCCACCCTCCCACCTCAGCCTCCTGAGTAGCTGGGATTATGGACACATGCCACAACACCCTGCTAATTTTTTTTTTTTTGTAGTGACAGGGTTTTGCCATGTTGCCCAAGCTGGTCTCAAATTCCTGGGCTCAAGCAATCCACCCGCCTCAGCCTCCCAAAGTGCTGGAATTACAGGCTTGAGGCACTGTGCCCAGCCTCACTTTTTAATTTTTTTTTTTTTTTAATTTTAAATTTATTTTTTTATTGATAATTCTTGGGTGTTTCTCACAGAGGGGGATTTGGCAGGGTCATGGGACAATAGTGGAGGGAAGGTCAGCAGATAAACAAGTGAACAAAGGTCTCTGGTTTTCCTAGGCAGAGGACCCTGCGGCCTTCCGCAGTGTTTGTGTCCCTGATTACTTGAGATTAGGGATTGGTGATGACTCTTAACGAGCATGCTGCCTTCAAGCATCTGTTTAACAAAGCACATCTTGCACCGCCCTTAATCCATTTAACCCTGAGTGGACACAGCACATGTTTCAGGGAGCACAGGGTTGGGGGTAAGGTCACAGATCAACAGGATCCCAAGGCAGAGGAATTTTTCTTAGTGCAGAACAAAATGAAAAGTCTCCCATGTCTACTTCTTTCTACACAGACACGGCAACCATCCGATTTCTCAATCTTTTCCCCACCTTTCCCGCCTTTCTATCCCACAAAGCTGCCATTGTCATCCTGGCCCGTTCTCAATGAGCTGTTGGGCACACCTCCCAGACGGGGTGGTGGCCGGGCAGAGGGGCTCCTCACTTCCCAGTAGGGGCGGCCGGGCAGAGGCGCCCCTCACCTCCCGGACGGGGCGGCTGGCCGGGCAGGGGGGCTGACCCCCCCCACCTCACTCCCGGACGGGGCGGCTGGCCGGGCGGGGGGCTGACCCCCCCACCTCCCTCCCTGACGGGGCGGCTGGCCGGGCGGGGGGCTGACCCCCCCACCTCCCTCCCGGACGGGGCGGCTGGCCGGGCGGGGGGCTGACACCCCCACCAGACGGGGCGGCTGGCCGGGCGGGGGGCCGACCCCCCCACCTCCCTCCCGGACGGGGCGGCTGGCCGGGCAGAGGGGCTCCTCACTTCCCAGTAGGGGCGGCCGGGCAGAGGCGCCCCTCACCTCCCGGACGGGGCGGCTGGCTGGGCAGGGGGGCTGACCCCCCCCACCTCCCTCCCGGACGGGGCGGCTGGCCGGGCGGGGGGCTGACCCCCCCACCTCCCTCCCGGACGGGGCGGCTGGCCGGGCGGGGAGCTGACACCCCCACCTCCCTCCCGGACGGGGCGGCTGGCCGGGCGGGGGGCCGACCCCCCCACCTCCCTCCCGGATGGGGCGGCTGGCCGGGCAGAGGGGCTCCTCACTTCCCAGTAGGGGCGGCCGGGCAGAGGCGCCCCTCACCTCCCAGACGGGGCGGCTGGCCGGGCGGAGGGCTGACCCCCCCACCTCCCTCCCGGACGGGGCGGCTGGCCATGTGGGGGGCTGACCCCCCCACCTCCCTCCCGGACGGGGCGGCTGGCCGGGTGGGGGGGCTGACCCCCCCATCTCCCTCCCGGACGGGGTGGCTGGCCGGGCTGAGGGGCTCCTCACTTCCCAGTAGGGGCAGCTGCCGGGCGGAGGGGCTCCTCACTTCTCAGACGGGGCGGTTGCCAGGCAGAGGGTCTCCTCACTTCTCAGATGGGGCGGCCGGGCAGAGACGCTCCTCACCTCCCAGACGGGGTCTCGGCCGGGCAGAGGCGCTCTCACATCCCAGATGGGGCGGCGGGGCAGAGGCGCTCCCCACATCTCAGACGATGGGCGGCCGGGCAGAGACTCTCCTCACTTCCTAGATGTGATGGCGGCTGGGAAGAGGCGCTCCTCACTTCCTAGATGGGATGGCGGCCGGGCGGAGACGCTCCTCACTTTCCAGACTGGGCAGCCAGGCAGAGGGGCTCCTCACATCCCAGACGATGGGCGGCCAGGCAGAGACACTCCTCACTTCCCAGATGGGGTGGCGGCCGGGCAGAGGCTGCAATCTCGGCACTTAGGGAGGCCAAGGCAGGCGGCTGGGAGGTGTAGGTTGTAGCGAGCCGAGATCACGCCACTGCACTCCAGCCTGGGCACCATTGAGCACTGAGTGAACGAGACTCCGTCTGCAATCCCGGCACCTCGGGAGGCCGAGGTTGGCGGATCACTCGCGGTTAGGGGCTGGAGACCGGCCCGGCCAACACAGCGAAACCCCGTCTCCACCAAAACCAGTCAGGCGTGGCGGCACGTGCCTGCAATCGCAGGCATTCGGCAGACTGAGGCAGGAGAATCAGGCAGGGAGGTTGCAGTGAGCCGAGATGGCAGCAGTACAGTCCAGCTTCGGCTCCGCATGAGAGGGAGACCGTGGGGAGACGGAGAGGGAGAGGGAGAGGGAGAGGGAGAGGGAGAGGGAGAGGGCTCACTTTTTAATTTTTAAGAAATTGTGACAAAATACTTGTGACACAACTTACCATCTGAACCATTTTAAAGTGCACAATTCTGTGGCAGATTTAGCTACAGGTCTGAGTTCACTTGGAATATGAGCATAATAAAAACGTGGTCTGAGGCCAGGTGTGGTGGCTCATTTCTGTAATCTCTACACTTTGGGAGACCAAGGCGGTAGGATTGCTTGAGCCCAGGAGTTCAAGACCGGCCTCGGCAATACAGCGAGACTTTGTCTCTACAAAAAAATTAAAAATTAGCTGGGCATAGTGTCACGCATCTGTGGTCCCAGCTGCTTGGGAGGCTGAGGTGGAAAGATCACTTGAGCCTGGGAAGTCGAGGCTGAAGTGAGTGGTGATAGTGCCTAGGTGACAGAGCGAGACCCTATCTCAAAAAGAAGAAAAATAAAATAAGAATAAAAGTGTAAGGTCAGGCACGGTGGCTAATGCCTGTAATCCCAACACCTTGGGAGGCTGAGGTGGGCGGATCACCTGAGGTCAGGAGTTCGAGACCAGCCTAGCCAACATGGCGAAACCCTGTCTCTACCACAAATATAAAAATTAGCCGGGCATAGTGGCGCATGCCTGTAATCCCAGCTACTCGGGAGGCTGAGGCAGGAGAATCACTTGAACCCAGGAAGTGGAGGTTGTGGTGAGCCAAGATCGCGCCACTGCACTATGGCCTGGGTGACGAGAGTAAAACTCTCATCTCAAATAATAATAATAATAATAACGAGGTCTGAGACTCTAACCAGGGAGTCGATCGAAATGTTTGGACATACTGCATGCAAAGTTCAAGCATTTCTACAAAGCAACAGATGGATGGGAAATTTCCCAGGGATAAACTTATTTTTTGGCAAGTCAAAAGTATGTATTGTGCAAGCCCTGCTTTGGGAGTTGGGAGAACCAAATGACCTCCAGATGCTACAAAAAGGATTCTTCCCTGCTAAAAGAGGTCGAGTGTACTTGGCCAAAGGGGATCTAAAATGCCTTGGCTTCCAACTTCAGGGAACTGAGCTTTTCCCTCTAACTTTCTAGCAAAAGGGAAGGAAATGTTGACCCTAAAACCACATGAAGCTAAAGCTAGAGGACACTGTAGCAGTTCGCCAGATCTCCATTGTTGAATTCTGTGTTGGCCTTTTATTTATATATTTGTCATTATTTTCATTAATGCGTTAGAGTATAGGCTGTTTGGGTCCATATCTTGACTCTTCTACTTATTCGGTATGAGACATTGATTAAGTTGCTAAATCTTTCTTCAATTCTTAGAATCTGTGCTTCAGGTTTTTGGTTTATAAAATGGTGATAATGACACTTTCTCAGAGGGTTGTGGTAAGGATTAATGGTGTTGATGGATGTAAAGTACAAAGAACATTACTTGCTATGTAAATGTTCGCTATTATCAATACACGTGACTATTTTCTCCTTCTTCTTCTTGTCCCCCTCCCCATCCCCCTCCTCTTCCTTGTTTAGTTGGCAAATAGTCAAATTCCATTTGGAATGCTGTCCCACTGTTTTATTCTGCTTCATGGATGTTTCTGGGGGAAATTTGTGCAGTCGATGTGTGTTGAATTCTGTTTTCTGATTTTTTGCAATAACTGTATGGATCTGTTAATATTTTCCTTGTGCTGAGAGATAGTCTCACTCTTTCATCTTCCAGATATGGAAACTGAGTCCCCAAAAGGGAAAATGACTTGCCCGAGATCACACAGAGATAGTGGATAAACAAGTAACAAGACCAAGGGTTTCCGACAACCAGTCCAAGTCTTGTTCCACTGAACACAGAGTCCGAGGACATTGGCCTCAGATACTGATGTGATCTGAGCTCCCTCCAAACTCTATTCACCCACAGGGAAGACTTGAACACCCTATGATTCCAAGTATTCTCCAATTGACATCTTCCCCTTCTAACAAAATTGCAAGCACTTCAAGGGAAAGGACTATGACTTGATTATTTTGGAATCTTAGTTATATGCTCAGCACTGTGCCTCAAACTTTTGAGGGTAGGAACTATTGCCTATAACACCTTGGATGACTCGGGGCAGATGCTCAGTAAATGGAAACAACTGCCCTGCCTTAAAAAAAAAAGAAGAGTTGGGGAGGCAGGGAAGAGAATTAATATGTATCAAGAATTTAATATATACCAGTCACTGTGCTGAGAATGTTCACTTTCATTATCCCATTTAATTCCCAGAATTCCTTTATGGCCTCATCAATTTCTGTATTTTACAATAGGAAATTGAGTCTCAGAGAGGTAGGCAACTTACCCTGAGTCTCTTCACAAGTAAATGCTCAAGTGTGACACTTCACTGGTGGGTCATAACCTTCTAGAATCCAATATCATAAACACAGAGTGAGAGAAAGAAGAGTCCTGATACTTTCCAGAGGGTAAAACAATTTTTTTATTCTCATTAGAGAACATATAGTCACATGAATTGTGAAAACGTAAGTCATGGTTTTATTTGTTCAGTGACAGTGTGGAGAATGACATCAAGCTAGAAAAAGAATATAAAGGAAAATCATGAGTGTTTCAATCTTGCTCATAAAGAGAGACCTATCGTTACCAAATCCAGGCAACCTGAACCCACCCTTCCTGCAAAAGTTTTATCCACACTAGAATTTTGAATGGGAGACAAAAAGATAAGCTATAGGATTTATAATATGGAGAAGGTGAATTTCGTCACAGGGAAAGGCCCAGGTCTGAAAAATATTTAGTCCCTGCGCTAGGCTGGAAACAGCCACCTAAAGTCCAGGTCCTAATCTCTGGAAACTGTAAATGTTTCTCTATTTGGAAAAATGGTGTTTTTTTTTTTTTTTCCCCCTAGATGTGATTAAGTTAAAAATCTTGGAATGGGAGTTTATCCTGTATTATCTGGGTTGGGGGGGGCGCGGGGGGGGTCCTAAATGCAATTATAAATGTCCTTATAAGAGAAAAGCAGAAGGAGATGTGACACATCCACAGAGAAGGCGATATGAAGGCACGGGCAGATACTGGAGTGATACAACCATAAGCCAAGGAATGCCAGCAGTCAGGAGAATCTAGAGAGGCAAGGAACGGATTATCCCTTAGAGCCTTTGGAGTGGGTGTGGCCCTGTCAATAACTTAATTTTAGCCCAGTGAAATTGATTTCAGGCTCCTGACCTCCCAAACTGCGAGAGAATAAATTTCTGTTGCTTTAAGCCACTTGGTTTGTGGTAATTTGTTGCAGGAATCACAGGAAACGAATACAGTGCTCCTGTGTTGTTATCCAGGTCTCAGCTTACTGTCATCTCCTTTCCCTTCCATTTGGAAGCCCCAAGAAGAGTTTCTTTTTTTTTTTTTTTTTTGAGACAGAGTATCGCTCTGTCTCCCAGGCTGGAGTGCAGTGGCCTGATCTTGATCTTGGCTCACTACAACCTCCACCTCCCGGGTTCAAGCGATTCTCCTGCCTCAGCCTCCTGAGTAGCTGGGACTACAGGCGTCTGCCACCACTCCCGGCCAATTTTTGTATTTTTAGTAGAGACAGGGTTTCACCATATTGGCCAGGTTGGTCTTGAACTCCTGACCTCGTGATCCGCCCGCCTTGGCCTCCCAAAGTGCTGGGATTACAGGCGTGAGCCACTGCACCCGGCCAAGAAGAGTTTCTAAAAACATCCCAGGCTGGGTACAGTGGCTTATGCCTGTAATCCCAGCACTTTGGGAGGCCTGGCTGCACTCTGGCTCAACAAACTGAGCTATCACTTCCATCTGACTTTTTCAGCAAATAAGAGATAGCCAATCCTAGAATCATAGAAAGCTCGACCGAAAAGGATCTTAAAGATCCATTTGTTCAAACTCCTCATTATTTATAGACAAGGATGCTAGCCCCAGAGAAGGAGAGGGTCACATACACAGGTTATAGATGAGTGACAGAGTTGTAATTAACTGGATCCTAGATCTGACTTCAAATCCAGTGTTGGTTCTACCGCATGTCACACTGACCAAAGTCATGGGTGTTGCTGTGGTCTAAGGTGCTGACCAAATTTTAGAAACTTGGGAATAAGGGGAATGGAGAAATGGATCACAAACCTCCTGAAAGCTATAGTGCCCCAGGGTAGTCATTTGTCTTTTTTTTTTTTTTTTTTTTTTTTTTTTTGATATGGAGTTTTGCTGTTTTGCCCAGGCTGGAGTGGAGTGGCGCGATCCTCGCTCACTGCAACCTCCGCCTTCCGGTTTCAAGCGATTCTCCGGCCTCAGCCTTCCGAGTAGCCGGGATTTACAGGCACCCGCCACCACCCCTGGCTAATTTTTGTATTTTTAGTAAAGACGGGGTTTCACCATGTTGGCCAGGTTGGTCTCTATCTCTTAACCTCAGGTGATCCACGCACCTCAACCTCCCAAAGTGTTGGGATTACAGGCGTGAGCCACCGCGCCCAACCAGGGTATTCATTCTTACCCAAGACATTCTACAGGGCTGACAGGGGTAAAGCTTCCGGTTTGAGATGGAGACTGAAGGGACCATGATTGTGTAACCACATCCCAAATTGGGAGGAGAGAAGTGTCATGAATTCCTAGAACTGACGGGATTTCAGGAAACCTCAAGAGTGACAGCATCGGAAAATGCAAGAGGTTTTAAAAAAAAAAGAGTGGAAGTTTTGGACAAATAAATGTGAGTTGTGTCTTATACAATCAACAAGTAACTGGTTTGGGAAACTCAATATCCCTAAATAAGGGAGCAGACCACCCCTCATATTGTCTTATGCCCAATTTCTGCCTCAAAGAAAATGTAGGAGTTAAAAGAAAGACAGAAGTGAAATCAGTAGTCAGACAGCCCGGCGATGCATTCCAGGCCTGGTAATTAAAGATCGACCCCTCCTGACCTAACCGGTTATATTATCTATAGATTCCAGACATTGTATGGAAAAGCATTGTGAAAATCCCTGTCCTGTTCTGTTCCGTTCTGATTACCGGTGCACCGGTAATCAGTCACGTACCCCCTGCTTGCTCAATCAATCACGACCCTCTCACGCGGACCCCCTTAGAGTTGTAAGCTCTTAAAAGGGACAGGAATTGCTCACTCGGGGAGCTCCGTTTTTGAGAAGTGAGTCAGCTGACGCTCCCGGCCGAATAAAGCTCCTTCCTTCTTTAACCCGGTGTCTGAGGAGTTTTGTCTGCGGCTTGTCCTGCTAGGTAATAATGGTAAAGGCTGAACATTTCTCATGCTTACCCTGCCTTCATACTTAATAAGGTTGTTGAAAAAAATGAATGAGAGAATGCATTTTAAATGCTCCGTACAGTACTAGTACACAATAAGTGCTCAATACATGCTAGCTGTTATTATTAAAACATTAATTAATAACAGTAGTAACAACAGCCACTGACTTTAAGACACGTTGATCAGTGTTGCCGAAACCGTACATCCGAAGTTGCTCTTCGGCCGCGTTTCGCTGCCCATTGCATTCAGGGGCTTGTAGTCCGGAAGTGAGAGGCTGATTTCTCAGCGCGCAGGCGCAGTGGCGCGGATTCCCGGAAGAACCCGCAGCAGCTCCCAGGATGAACTGGTTGCAGTGGCTGCTGCTGCTGCGGGGGCGCTGAGAGGACACGAGCTCTATGCCTTTCCGGCTGCTCATCCCGCTCGGCCTCCTGTGCGCGCTGCTGCCTCAGCACCATGGTGCGCCAGGTCCCGACGGCTCCGCGCCAGATCCCGCCCACTACAGGTGAACTGTGACCCGCCCTTTCGCAGTTGGGGAATGGGAAGCGTGAACCCGGTCCTTTCCCTTTCCGTCCATCCCAGACCCCGACTTGCTCCGACACAGCCGCTAGGTCCCAGGGAGAAATCAGCTAGTGATTCCCACTTTCCGCCCTGTATCTTGTTCTTCCCCCGCTTGTTTTTGTGTTCTTGCCCCATGCCTGATTTCTCGTCCCCCACCCAGGGAGCGAGTCAAGGCCATGTTCTACCACGCCTACGACAGCTACCTGGAGAATGCCTTTCCCTTCGATGAGCTGCGACCTCTCACCTGTGACGGGCACGACACCTGGGGCAGGTAGTGCGAGCGGAGGGGCAAGGGGCGGCCAGGGTCTGACTCTCTGGGCCTCGGCGGGCGGGTCAGCTGGGGCTGGTGGCTTCATGGTCTCCTCACCGGCACCAGAAAGCTCCCAGCTGAGCTAGAGCCGCGCTCCCCGCAATTCTTACTATCACCTCCAGGATCCACTTAGCCTCTCGCAGTGAAAAAAAAAGTCCTGGATTAGCCGGGTGGGCTGGATCGCTGAGCTCAGCCCCAGCAGTAACAGGCATCAGCTGTGGGGACATAGGCAATTTCTGGAGTAACGAGATACCGTGGAAGGGCTCCAAGAATTAGAAAACCCACCCCTTTCATTATGTAGGTGGGCATTCAGATCCAGGAAGGAGTGTGACACTCCTAAAACTTAAGTCTTTGTAGTTGGTGTGCCCCGTGCCTGAAATACACTCCCCATTTTCCTCCCATCACTGGCTGCTGCTTGTCATTCAGATCTCAGCTCAGTATCTTAATACCCCTACGAGTTAGGTGCCATTATCCCTGTTTTACACACGAATGTGCTAAGGTCGGGAGAAATTAAACTCAAAACTTGTGATGGTTTTTATTTTTTTAAGTTGAAACAAAGTAAATACAAATGGCAAATTCAAGTGGTAAAAGATTATATACAATAAATATCTCCCATACCCTAGAATTCCAACTATTAACTTTCCTTTGTATCTGTCCAGAAATATTCTTGGTTTATACCATTATATATATAGATGTGTGTATGTGTATCTTTTTAAAATGAACTTCTTAAAGGCATAATTTACATATAATAAAATACACTCTTTTTTTTTTTTTTTTTTTTTTGAGATGGAGTTTCGCTCTTGTTACCCAGGCTGGAGTGCAATGGCGTGATCTTGGCTCACTTCAAACTCCGCCTCCTGGCTTCAAGCGATTCTCCTGCCTCAGCCTCCCAAGTAGTTGGGATTACAGGAGCCCACCACCACACCCGGCTAATTTTTTTGTGGAGACGGGGTTTTGTCATTTGGCCAGGCTGGTCTTGAACTCCTGACCTCAGGTGATCCACCCACCTAGGCCTCCCAAAGTGCTGGCGGATTACAGGCATGAGCCACTGTGCCCAGCCTACACTCGTTTGAAGTGACCACCATCACAGTCAAGATATGAAACACTTCTGTCACTTTAAAAAGTTCCCTTGTGGCCCTTTATAGTTCATCCCTGCACCACCACTGACCCTAACAATTGCTGTCTGCTTTCTGTCAGCATGTCTTTTTGAAACAGATGGAAACATACTAAACCACCCTGACTTTTTCATTAAAAACAATTCGAATGTCTTTCCATCAGCACATAGAAGTCTTGATAACAATCTTTTTGATAACTCATAGTTTTGCACTGTTTATAACACAGTTTAATCACCCATTAATGGGTGGACAGTTGGGTTCTTTCCAGCCTCTTGCTGTTCTAAGCAATACTGCCATGAACACTCTCAAACAGCTGTTCACTGTGAATTAAATTCCTAGAGGTGAAAATTGGTGAAAGGCCTGTGCTTTAAGCTGCAATCTTATACTGCCTCCCAATGGTAGAGGAGAATGCCAGACTATAGGTGATGTATTTAATTACAATTGAGCTACATCAGCCAACCCTCCCAGGTGCATTAAGTGGGTCAGAGAATACCTGCGATTTTCACTGTGGTTTCTCTGTTGTGACTGTAAGTGGGACAGGCAGAGGCATTACTTTGCCTCATTTAGTTTTAGGGGGATCAGATCTAGGGCAGCCATAATATCTGGTATTTGATTTTCTTACTAAGCGGCTGGGATTTCTGTCCTTTTGCAGTTTTTCTCTGACTCTAATTGATGCACTGGACACCTTGCTGGTAAGTATCTCGTCTGTTTCTTTTCCTTTCCACTGTTACATAACCAACATCCTTCCTCTTTTGGCAGCGTGACTGTGGGTGAAAAATGAATTCCTCTCCTAGGCCTTTTATTTGCATCTCATGATTCTGAAGCGTCCGGCTGTGGTTGCCTAGCTAGATAGGGGAAAAACGAACTACAACTTATGCAGATTCATTTATTTAGCAAACATTTATAGAGGACCTGTTATGTACGGAGAATTGTGATAGGCTTGCATAGCTCTATGGGGGATACAGAGACTTTGACATCTCCTGTTTTCAGAGGCTTACATTCTAGTGGCCATGTTCAATGATAATAAAAGGGTATCAGGCTGAGCATGGTGGCTCACACCTGTAATCCCAGCACTTTGGAAGGCCGAGGCAGGCAGATCACCTGAGGTCAGGGGTTTGAGACCAGCCTGGCCAATATGGTGAAACTCCATCTCTATTAAAATACAAAAAATTAGCCCAGCATAGTGGCACATGTCTGTTATCCCAGCTACTGGAGAGGCTGAGGCAGGAGAATTGCCTGAACCCGGGAGGCGGAGGTTGCAGTGAGCCGAGATTGCACCATTGCACTCCAGCCTGGGTGACAAGAGTGAAACTTCATCTCAAAAAAAATTATAAAGAAATAATATCAGTGACTAGTTAGTATGTTTCTGTAGGGCTTAGTACAGACATGTATTAATTCTTCTAACAACTTCTTGAGGTTAGTACCTTTACTCCTTCTTATCGTTAAGAAACCTGATGCTTAGGGATGGGCACAGTGGCTCACGCCTGTAATCCCAGCACTTTGGGAGGCCAAGGCGGCAGGACTGCTTGAGCACAGGAGTTCAAGACCAGCCTGGGCAATATGGTGAAACCCCGTCTCTACCAAAAATATAAAAAATTAGGCATGATGGCACATGTCTGTGGCTCCATTTGTTAGGGAGGAGGGTGAGGTAGGAGGATTGTTTGAGTCAGGGAGGCAGAGGTTGCAGTGAGCCGAGATCGCACCACTGCACTCTGGTCTGGGTAACAGAGTAAAACCCTGTCTCACACAAACAAAAAAAAGATATAAAAGAAACCTGATGCTTAGAAAGGTAAAAAGGGCCAGGTGTGGTGGCTCATGCCTGTAATCCCAGCACTTTGGGAGGCCAACATTGCTCAAGTCCCAGAGTTCGAGGCTGTGATGAGCTATGATCACACCACTGCACTCCAACCTGTGTAACAGAGCAAGACCCTGTCTCAAAAAAAAGACTTGGACTGGTTCAGGTCAAGTACCCACTCCACAGCTAGAGGGATGGGATCAGCCTCTCCCAAACCACAGGAGTGACTGCCGGGGAAGAGTGATTCCTCGAGGGTAAATTGAGATGTTACTATCAAAAGAAGAGAGATTGAGATTGCATTTGGCTAACGGTTTAAATAAAGAGGGTTTATTTTCTCAAGTAAAAGAAAGTCTAGAGGTAATTTCTAGCATTGGGTCAGCTACGCAACTGTGTCATTAGAGACCAGCCTCTTTGTAGCTTTGCATTCTAGTATCGTTAGTGTTTTGGCTTTTATTCTAATGCTTAGTACGTCATGGTCTCACATAGCTGCCATCACTTCAGAAATCGAGTCTGAGTTCAAGGCAGAAAGAGAGAGACTAAAAGCCATGTTAGCTGTGTTTGTCCCTTGGTATTAAGAAAACAGAAGCCTTCCCAGAAGTGCCCCCAGTAGACCTCTCAAGGGTCAGAATTGACTGGGTAACACAATCAACTGCAGCAGCAAAGGAGGCCGAGAAAGCTTCTGGATTTCCAACCTCTGGTGGGAGGCCATGAGGTAAAGAGGGTAGGAATGAATTTGTTTTGGGCCAACCAACCTGTTCTGTTTTCCACAAGGTTGAAGGTGACAACTGGTATCTACTGCAAATGTCAAACTAAGACTTTTGGCCAGGTGCGGTCGCTCACACCTGTAATCCCAGCACTTTGGGAGGCCAAGGCGGGTGGATCATGAGGTCAGGAGTTTGAGACCAGCCTGATCAACATGGTGAAACCCCGTCTCTACTAAAAATACAAAAATTAGCCGGGCATGGTGGTGCATAATCCCAGCTACTCGGGGCTGAGGCAGGAGAATCGCTTGAACCCAGGAGGCGGAGTTTGAAGTGAGCCAAGATCACGCCACTGCACTCTACCCTGGGCAGCAGAGCGAGACTCTGTCTCAAAAAAACGAAACAAAAAACCTAAGACTTCTATGCGTAGTTTGCGTTCTTTATATTGTGTCCATTTAAATGACAACATCGTGACTCTTAATTGGGACCTAGGAATTTACTTAACCAGTCTCTTGGTATGAAGTCTCTAGATGATTTCTAGCTCTCAGTGTTTTCTTCTGCTGTCACCAATCCTAGGACAGAAACTGGAGGTCTTAAGTGGAATTAGTGAGGGCCACATCAACATAGGATCCCAGACTCTGAATCTGCCTCCATGCATGTAAGAGCCTCATTGTCAGGTCTCTTTTTTATTTCCAGATTTTGGGGAATGTCTCAGAATTCCAAAGAGTGGTTGAAGTGCTCCAGGACAGCGTGGACTTTGATATTGATGTGAACGCCTCTGTGTTTGAAACAAACATTCGAGGTAAGGGCTGCTCTCTAGGACCTTTAAAAGAAAAAAGAGTGTGAAGTTGCCTCTGTAAACCAAGAAGTGGTAAATAGGATTTTAAGGACTGACCATGCCAGGACCCTTGGCCAAAACCTCTGACCGACAGAGCTCTTCTTCCCTCCTGGAGGGTGAGGTGGGGAAGTCTCAGGATTTCCCCATCAGTTTCAGATATGAAAGTGAGCAGGAGACTAAGAGACTGGAAAGAAATACACCAGATTACTCACCTCTTTAATATGTATTTGATACTAGGCATACAGCTATGAACAAGAAAGATATGATCCTTGCCTTCTTGGAACTTATTGTCTGTCCAATCCAATTTTCTGCAGTGATGGAAATGTCTTATAGCTGTGTTTTGTCCAGTATGGTAGCCACGAACCACATGAGCTATTGAGCATTTGAAATGTATCTACTACAACTATGGAATTGAATTTTTAATTTCATTTAATTTTAATGATATTAAATTTAAGTAGTCACATGTAGTTAGTGATTATTGTATTGGACAGTGCAAATCTACAGCATTAATCTTCCAAACTTGGCAGCCCATAGGAACCACTCCCAAGTGGTTAAAAAATTCAGATGTTGAGACTCCACCCTAAACCTAATGAATTGGAATCTCTGTGTTGGGTCCTAGAATCAGTATTTTTAGCAGACTTCCAGTGATTCTTGTGAAGCCAGCACAGCCCTTATTTGCATCGAACCTCTAGACCACTTAACAGCTGTCACCTCTGGATGGCAGAGTTCTATTTTTCCCCATTATTTTGTATGTTTTCTGCAATGAAACTTATATTCCAGACATATGATCCATAAAAGATTAAAAAAGAGAAGAGAGCAGAGGGACAACATGGTCTAAAATCCTGGTTTAGGAATCCGGCCTGAGTTTGAGGCTGTACTTGCTGCTATGTCTCCCAGCTTCTGAGCCCAGTTTGTCATCTGTAAATGAAGGTCATTCTTATACCTTTATTTCTGATAGGAATATAAGTGATACCAGCTTTCTTTTGGTTGACATTTTCCCATGTATCTTTTTCTATCCTTTCCATCTTTCTGTAGTTTTATGATTAGATACATCTTTTGCAAATAGTGTATTATATTTTGTTTATCCATTCTGACAATCTTTAACTGGCACATTTAATCCATTTACATTTACTGTAATTACTGATATATTTGCACTCATTTCTACAGTATTGTGCTCTCTGTGCCGTCTTCTTTTTTTTTTTTTTTTTTTTTTTTTTGAGGCGGAGTCTCACTCTGTCGCCCAGGCGGGAGTGTAGTGGTGCAATCTTGGCTTACTGCAACCTCTGCCTCCCGGGTTCAGGCGATTCTCCTGTCTCAGCCTCCTATGTAGCTGGGATTGCAGGTGCCTGCCACCGTGCCCTGCTAATTTTTGTATTTTTAGTAGAGATGGGGTTTCACCATGTTGGCCAGGCTAGTCTCGAACTCCTGACCTCAGGTGATCCGCCCCCCATCAGCCTCCCAAAGTGCTGGGATTATAGGTGTGAGCCACTGCACCTGGCCCTGTGCCATCTTCTTTATGTTCCTTTATTCTGTCCTTTTTCATGCCTTCTTTAGATTGTTTTCCCCCCATTCCATTTTCCTCTTACTAATATGGAAATTATGCACAATATCTAGCTTTTTACATAGTTTTCCAAGCAAATTTAACAAACATAACTTATCAAAGTCTAAATTTAATGAAAATCTTTGTTCTCCTCCTGAATAATGCAAAACCTGACTTAGAGAACATCCTGACCTATATGCTACAGTTATATATTTTAGTTATTTGTTTTAAACCTTCCATACATTATAATTTTTGTTCTATATTGTTGAAGTTTTGCATTTACACATAAATTTACCACTTTTTTTGTTGTTGTTGGTTTGAAATAGAGTCTCACTCTGCCACCCAGGCTGGAGTGCAGTGGCGCGATCTTGGCTCACCTCCACCTCCTGGGTTTAAACGATTCTCCTGCCTCAGCCTCCAGAGTAGCTGGGATTACAGTTGTGCACCACCACACCAGGCTAATTTTTGTATTTTTAGTAGAGATGGTGTTTCACCACATTGGCCAGGCTGGTCTCAAACTCATGATCTTGAGTGATCCACCTGCTTTGGCTTCCCAAAGTGCTGGAATTACAGGTTTAGCCACTGTGCCTGGCCTATTTACCACTTTTTTGACTATTTTTTCTTTTCGTGTCTCAGACCTTTTCTCTAAAGTATTTCCTTTAGAATTTCCTTTAATGCAGGTGTGTGCTTCATAAACATTCCCAGCTTTTGTTTATATGAAAATGTCTTTATTCAACTGCCTTTGGTTGGCCTTTGAGTGATATTTTTGCTGGGTGTATGGTTCTAGGTTGATGGTTACTTTCTCTTATTGTGTTAAAAACTTTTTCCATTATCTTCTGGTTTCATTATTGTTAAGAAGTAATCTGTCAATGTAATTATTATTTATTTGTAGAGAATCTTGTTTTGGTTTTCACTTTGGCTGTCTTCTCCTTTTAAAAACTTTTTGTTATGGAAAACTTCAAACATAAAAGTAGAGAAAATAGCATAATGAACCAGACGTGCCCATCACCCAGCATTAATAATTATTATTACATGGATTCTGGCTGCATTCGAGATCATTTTTCCCTTTGGTGTTCTGCAGTTTTACCATAAGGTACATACATGTAGATTTCTTTTCTTTCTTTCTTTTCTTTTTTTTTTTTTTTCTGAGATGGAGTCTCGCTCTGTCGCCCAGGCTGGAGTGCAGTGTCATGATCTCAGCTCACTGCAACCTCCGCCTCCTGGGTTCAAGCAATTCTCCTGCCTCAGCCTCCCGAGTAGCTGGGACTACAGGCGCACAACGCCATGCCCGGCTAATTTTTTGTATTTTTAATAGAGACAGGGTTTCACCGTGTTTACCAGGCTGGTCACGAACTCCTGAGCTCAGGCAGTCCACCTGCCTCAGCCTCCCAAAGTGCTGGGATTACAGGCATGAGCCACCGTGCCCAGACTTTTTTTTTTTTTTTTTGAGACGGAGTCTCACTCTGTCACCCAGGCTGAAGTGCAGTGGTGCAATCTTGGCTCACTGCAACCTCCACCTCCTGGGTTTAAGCCATTCTTCTGCCTCAGCTTCCCAAGTAGCTGGGACTGCAGGCGCTTGCCACCACGCCCAGCTAATATTTTGTATTTTTAGTAGAGACAGGGTTTCACCATTTTAGCCGGGATGGTCTCCATCTCCTGACCTCGTGATCTCCACCTCGGCTCCCAAAGTGCTGGGATTACAGATGTGAGCCACCATGCCTGGCCTGCATAGGGACCTTTTATCAGACTTCCACTTGGGGCAGGTCTGACCTTGGTCTCCTATTCCCCCTCTGCAGGGAGGAGGGGAATTTTGAAACTTAGGGTCACCAGTTATTTTCATTGAGAGGGCCACTCAGGATATCTATTTAGCTGTATTTCCAAGAACCTTTGTGTCTTTTTAAAAGTTCTAAGTAGGCCGGGTGCGGTGGCTCATGCCTGTAAATCCAGCACTTTGGGAGGCTGAGGCAGGTGGATCATGAGGTCAGGAGATCGAGACCATCCTGGCTAGCACAGTGAAACACCGTGTCTACAAAAAAAAAATCCAAAAAAATTAGCCGGGCATGGTGGTGAGCTCCTGTAGTCCCAGCTACTCGGGAGGCTGAGGCAGGAGAACGGCGTGAACCTGGGAGGCGGAGCTTGCAGTGAGCCGAAATCGCGCCACTGCACTCCAGCCTAGGTGACAGAGCGAGACTCCGTCTCAAAAAAAAAAAAAAAAAGTTCTACATATTGCATAATAAGTTGAAATAGATAAATTAGTAAAATAAAGGTAATAACCATCATTACCCCTTCCCCCCAGGTATGACAGGTGACTGGGAGACAGACAGAGTGACAAATGGAATGAGCATGGGCTTTGGAATCAAAGATACTCAGCCCTACCACCTACTAGATGGGTGACCTGGGGCAAGTCACTTTATCTCATGGAACCTCAGTATCTTCATACGAAGAGGGGACAGTAGTACTTAGTGCTTGGTACACAATAGGGACTTACAAAAAATAGCCACTGTTCCTGTGATGAACCAAGAGAAGAAAACCCCATAAACTTAACACCATAGAAATATGTGGGATTAAGGGACTCTTTTTTCGCTGGGTGGCTCTAGCTCCTTCCCAGTGAGCCACCCCAACAGAGTGAGGTTTTTGTTTGTTTGTTTTTACCCGTGAAATAGCTTCAGGAGGTCCTGAGAACATGCGCCCCACAATAGAGTGTTTATGTTTAACTCGCACAGGGGAAAGATCCTTGATCCCTTGGTCTTTCCCTTTGGACTGTGCCATTTGCTTTCTGTGCCATCTGTAGTGGTAGGAGGACTCCTGTCTGCTCATCTGCTCTCCAAGAAGGCTGGGGTGGAAGTAGAGGCTGGATGGCCCTGTTCCGGGCCTCTCCTGAGAATGGCTGAGGAGGCGGCCCGAAAACTCCTCCCAGGTAAGACCCACACAGAGATGGGGCAGAGACGAAGTCCAGTAGGTCCTGCTTCCCTTGCTGAAGATGAGAGTGGCAGTGCTGAATTAATTCCTGGTATTTCTCACCAGGTGTATTTGGTCTTTCTACCCACCAGGCACCCACCATGGAAATCAGGAGTGTCCTGGGCATTTTAAGGGCCTGCTGGGGCCCTGACCCGGATGGATGAGTTGACCTCATTATTGTTTGCAGGGGATGGTTGAAGGTGGCCAGCCTGGTGGGTGGAAGGCCATTACCCTTATTTTGAATGAGCCCATTTGTCCCCTTCCAGGTACTACAGTTATTCCACACACTGCTGGAGTAACAGGGGCCCAGGGAAGGGTGTTGGTGTGAGCATTAGCAGCCCTGGATTCTAGACTCAGCTCTGCCAGCCAACATCGTGACCAAGCCACTCTTTCTCTTCATAGTTTGTTGTTTGTTTGTTTGTGATGGAGTCTTGTTCTGTCGCCCAGGCTGGAGTGCAGTGGCACAATCTCAAGTCACTGTAACCACCGCCTCCTGGGTTCAAGCAATTCTTTTGCTTCAGCCTCTTGAGTAGCTGGGATTACAGGCGCCTGCCACCATGCCCAGCTAATTTTTGTATTTTTTAGTAGAGATGAAGTTTCGCCACGTTGATCAGGCTGGTCTCAAACTCTTGACCTCAAGTGATCTGGCTGCCTCGGCCTCCCAAAGTGCTGGGATTACAGGCATGAGCCACTGTGTCTGGCCTCTCTCCACAGTTTGGTTTCCCCATCTATCAAATGAGAATCATAATTTCTACTTCCCTACCACATCGGGTTTTGGAGAGGCTAAAATGAGGTCAGGAAGGAGAAACTGCTTAGAGAACGTCCAACACTTTTAAAACGAGAGGGATTTGTTTTGTGGCTAAGCTGTGTCCAGGGCTGCAGGTCAAGCCTCCATGTTTTTGTCTAGTGGGGCAGTAACACCAGGCTCAGTAGCATCAACTGTACACTGTGTTCCCTTCAGGGTGTGGTGGAGGCTCTGAGGACTGTTCACACCCAGACACGTCACACTGTGCTTTCCATCACCTCTTGGCCATCTCACTTATTTATCCCTTTTCTTTCTTAATTTTTTTTTTTTTTTTTTTTTCAGACAGGGTCTTGCTCTGTCGCCCAGGCTGGAGTGCAGTGGCGTGATCATGGCTCACTGCAGCCTCTCGAACTTCTGGGCTCAGTTGATTCTCCCACCTCAGCCTCCTGAGTAGCTGGGATTACAGGCAGATGCCACCATGCATGGCTAAATTTTTTTTTGTAGAGATGGGGTTTCACCATGTTGCCCAGGCTGGTCTTGAACTCCCGGGATCAAGTGATCCATCTGCCTTGGACTCCCAAAGTGTTGGGATTACAGGCGTGAGCCACCACACCCGGCCTCTTTATCCTTCTCACATAGCACTTGCCTCTCCTTTGGGGGAGAGCTGAGGATAGCGGGTGAGCTAGGTTCAGGTCTCACTCATGGCTCATGGCTCATGGCTTGAGCGTCTCCTTGCAGACATTGTGTCCTGTGTGATTCATCCCTGGAGGAAACTCTGGAAACTCTGCCTAGCTGCTCCTCCTTTATAATTTAATTATTTTTGGTCATTGGTCATTTTATAAAAAAAGGTCAAGAAACAGGATTTTGTCACTCCTCTTCTTTTTATTACAGCCTGACTTTTTCTGAAATATTGCTTAGAGCCCTTCCTGGTTGTGACTTGCTCTCCCGCTGGTGCCTGCCAGATTGCAAGTTTCTTGTCTGTGGCAGACACAGTTGCTAGACCCTGTGGTTCTTGGAAGTGTCGACACCTTTGTTCACAGTTTGGTGACGCATAGGCTGCTCTGGAGTTGTTTGACCTTTAGGCCCAGAGAGGAAATCTCTGCCTCTGGCTGGTTGTCCAGTTCTCGTCTTGAACCAGAAGGCACTTGGGTGCCACTTGGGTGGGGCGGGCAGAGAACTGGACTGGGGCTGGGGTGGGCACAGGGGAGGCGTTCCCATCCCAGCTCTGTTTGACTCTCTCTGTGTGACCTGTGGCTGAATTACTTCTTTACAGGCATGGTTTTCCCTACCTATAAATCGAGGGTCATACTATATCCGTGGTTTAGTGGTTTATATCCTATTTTGCTTCCCTTTAAAAATAATTTAGCCCCTATACTCTTTATTTAAAGCAGAGATCTTTATTTAAAGTCTATGAATGGCTTTGTTTATTATTATTATTATTTTGAGACAGGGTCTCGCTCTGTCACCCAGGCTGGAGTGCAGTGGTGCAATCTCAGCTCACTGCAGCCCACGCCTCTTGGGTTCAAACGATTCTCGTGCCTCAGTCTCCCAGATAGCCAGAATTACAGGCGTGCACCACCACGCTTGCCTAATTTTTGTATTTTTAGTAGAAATAGGGTTTCACCATGTTGGCCAGGCTGGTCTCGAACTCCTGGCCTCAAGTGATCTGCCTGCCTTGGCCACCCAGAGTGCTGGGATTATAGGCGTGAGCCAAAAGTCTATGAATGGCTTTGAACGGGGCTTACTCTTGTCATTGTGCCACAAGCCCCACCACTTTCTGTGGCTTAAACCCTGCCTGCATCACAATAAGTTACCTGCCTGGGCTTTGAAGGCGTAGTGTAAAATAAATAAAAATAGGTAAAGCTCTCTAGCTAAAGCGAGTGTGTGTGGAGCACAGCCTGCTCCCTGCCCCCTCATGATGAGCAGGAACCCAAGGTTATGCAGAGCAGTGTTTGACAGCATCTGGGCTGGGTGGCTGCTCAGGGCCCTCCAGTTATGACATTTATCTTTCTCTGGCTCAGACTCTAGCAGGATACCCAGGAGAAAGAGGGAAGTGCTGGCTAAGGTCCCAGGCTTTGGGCGTGTATCAGAACTATCCCTATCCCCCTGCTCCTGTCCGGGATCATAATTTGTCGATTGTTCAGCCTTTCAGACCCCCACTGGCATGCCATATGGAACAGTGAACTTACTTCATGGCGTGAACCCAGGAGAGACCCCTGTCACCTGTACGGCAGGGATTGGGACCTTCATTGTTGAATTTGCCACCCTGAGCAGCCTCACTGGTGACCCGGTGTTCGAAGATGTGGCCAGAGTGGCTTTGATGCGCCTCTGGGAGAGCCGGTCAGATATCGGGCTGGTAGGTTCGCTGCTGCCCTTCCTGTTTGAGTCCCTGCTTACGAGGCCCAGGGCTCTGAGCAATAAGTTGCAGTCAAGCCAAGGAAAACTTAGGGTGACCTTGGGAGTGGTCCAGGATTTGGGCTCAGGACACCAAAAATAGACCAAGCCTCCAATTCAAGTTTGGCTTGGAGTGGGGAGGAGAGTGGGAAAGCACGTTTCTGGCAGGCAGCAGGGGCTGCATTCAGCTTTGACCAGTTGAGATTCTCTGATTTCTAGGAAGAGGGTCGTATGTTTCATGCCCCTGACTCACTTGACGGCTTCAGATCATCAGCTCGTCCGGCCTTCATTTTTAGCGTCTATCTGTATTTGCTGTGTTTCTTAGGACACCGGTTCTGAGAGATACTGAGTGGCAGTTGCATGAAAAAATGAGTCTTGGCCAATTAAGTTAGGGGAATATTAGATATAATATCCCCCCCTTTTTTGGAGAGTCAGAATGCACATGAGCAGAATAAAAATCCTCTAGTAAAGAAATCTATTCAACTTTGTTTAATTTAACATTTCCCAAACTTATTTAACACCAGAGCTTCCCTTTATCTTCCAGTACTATTAACCCATGGAAATTGAACACACTTTGGACCAGATGATCTCTAAGGTCAGTTTCAGCTTCTAAATGGGATAATCAATAAGATTAACAGTAATTGAGCCAAAGCCATCCAGGACATAACACTGGATTTAGTCAGAACTGGATTCAAGCCCTGGCCTTGCTACATCGAAACTGTGTGACCCTGAGCAAGTCACTCAACCTCTCTGGTCCTCAGTTACTTCAGCAGTAACGTTAATATATTAATACCAACTTTGCTGAGTCACTCTGACTTAGGAAGACTGCATTTAGGTCTAGGCACATTTTATGCAGTCTGGTGCTAATCCAGCTTGAAAAGTAAAGCTTGTGTGAGGACTCCCCGAAAATCCCTTAAGAAGGTGCCCCCCTAAGGCTGGGTGCGGTGGCTCACGCCTGTAATTCCAGCACTTTGGGAGACTGAGGCGGGCGGATCACCTGAGATTGGGAGTTCGAGACCAGCCTGACCAACATGGAGAAACCCCATCTCTACTAAAAAATACAAAATTAGCCGGGCGTGGTGGTGCATGCCTGTAATCCCAGCTACTTGGGAGGCTGAGGCAGGAGAATTGCCTGAACCTGGGAGGTGGAGGTTGGGATGAGCCGAGATCGCGCCATTGCATTCCAGCCTGGGCAACAAGAGCGAAACTCCATCTCAAAAAAAAAAAAAAGGTGCCCCGCTGGAGACCTGTAGTAAATCCCTTAGTCCATCTCAGGCAGGTTTTGCTCCAGCAGTGGGACCGTAGTAGACTCTGTTGGTGCCATGCCCATATCCTCTCAACTCTTAACATTTCCATGCACACTGGCCAGTCTTCCAACTGCCATCACCTGCGCCTCTTTGCCTGTGGGTCTCCTCTGGTGCCTGGAGCCACTCTGCTTGCCTTTGGCTGAGGGTACCAGGATTTAATGCTACCCATGAGTAGCTCTCAAGCCGGTAACTGATACTGATGGGAGTTGGTGGATAAACATTCCAGTTCCCTGCCCCTTGGGTGGGATCACTCCGAAGCTGGAGCTCTACACTGAATTCCTAAGCTCCCCAGCAAGATTGAACTCCAGTTCCCATGGTGGAAACCTGCCTGATGGCATACCCCTTAAATGCCGCCTCCCTTGCCCTGCCTCACTTCCCCCTCCTCTACTGGTGTTTACAAGGACTTACCTTCCAAATCAACTACTTTCAGGCAGAATGAGGTTGTGCTCCTGGGGGGACACAAACCAACGCGGAACAGTTAGCTATTTCTTTGAGTACCAGATGAAGTTACCAGCTTCCATGAGGGTCTAAGCCATATGAAAAATACATATATTTGGCTGGGCGCAGTGGCTCACGCCTGTAATCCCAGCACTTTGGGAGGCCAAGGCAGGCGTATCACCTGAGGTCGGGAGTTCGAGACCAGCCTGACCAACAGGGAGAAACCATGTCTCTACTAAAAATACAAAAAATAAAATAAATACAATAAAATAGAAAAATACGTATCTTTGTTTATTTTTTTGAGACAGAGTCTCCCCCTGTCGCCCAGGCTGGAGTGCAGTGGCACGATCTCGGCTCACTGCAACCTCCCCCTCTTGGGTTCAAGTGATTCTCATGCCTCTGCCTCCTGAGTAGCTGGGATTATAGGCACACACCACCATGCCTGGCTAATTTTTGTGTTTTTATTAGAGACAGGGTTTTACCATGTTGGCCAAGTTGGTCTCGGACTTCTGACCTCCAGTGATTTTGCCCCCCTCAGCCTCCCAACGTGCTGGGATTATAGGCATGAGCCACCGCGCCTGGCCGGCATTGCCAATTTTTCACAGTCTCTACAGAGACTGAACAATTAAAAAAAAAAAAGTCAAAGGATACAAAAAAGGGTACTCAGTGACATTGGTGAAGTCCCCTTTTGCCCCTGTCTCCAGCTATTCGGTTTCTCTCCTTAGAACCACTCTGTCAGCTTCTTGGTGGATGTTCTTATTGAGTTAATTTATGGAAATACGTAAAGCACGTCTGTGTCTTCAGATAGTGGAATCACATGCTGGGTGCTGAGAAATCAGACAGATTGCGGCAACAGCAAATTCTCATCTCCCATCTCACACTCACTCTAGGCAGGACATAAACACTCCAAATCATTTTTCTTTTTCATTTTTTGCTCAATGTGTATAATTAAGTCCTCATAAATGTGCATGAGATGCATCTCTACTATGCAGATGTACAGGAAGGCTGGCCATGATCCAGCATTGCCCTTCCCTCTCAGGGTCTGCATGTTTCCCAAGAAGCACTGGGGCACCTGCCCTGCATCTCCCTGGGCAGTCAGGGTTGGGGGTGAGTAGATCCTTCTTTGGCCATCGGCCTTCCCGTTGGGACCGTGTGTCTTTCTCTCTCTCAGGTCGGCAACCACATTGATGTGCTCACTGGCAAGTGGGTGGCCCAGGACGCAGGCATCGGGGCTGGCGTGGACTCCTACTTTGAGTACTTGGTGAAAGGAGCCATCCTGCTTCAGGATAAGAAGCTCATGGCCATGTTCCTAGGTAAAAATGGCAGAGTAAGGGAGCTTTTCCCCTCATTTTTCTTGCTGATGTGTGATTTGTTTAAAAACTTTTTTTTGAGACAGAGTCTTGCTCCATCTCCCAGGCTGGAGTGCAGTGGCACAATCTAGGCTCACTGCAACCTCTGCCTCCCAGGTTCAAGTGATTCTCATGCCTCAGCCTCCTGAGTAGCTGGGCATGTGATGGTGTGGACTACAGGCGCACACCATCACATCCAGCTAATTTTTGTATTTTTAGTAGAAACGGGGTTTCACCATGTTGGCCAGGCTGGTCTCAAACTCCGGACCTCAGGTGATCTGCCCGCCTTGGCCTCCCAAAGTGTTGGGATCACAGGTGTGAGCCACCACGCCTGGCCTGAGTGCCTGCAGAATCAGTTCTGAATTCAGAGTCACTATGGACTTACACTGCCCACTTCATGCCCACTACAGCACTTGATGCCTTCTTGCAAAAGCCAACTGAAGCGTGCTGCATTCTGTGTATGTAGCCCTGGATTTCTTATCTCCTGGCCATTGCACATGGCATCTTCTTTGCCTAGAATGTCTTTTTTCCTGTCTTCCTATGTCCAAATTCTTTTCACCCTTCAAAGCCTAACTTAAATGTCGCCTTGCCCAGGAAGTAGCTTGATCCTTCTACAGAATTTGGGACCTTCAGCATCTTTCTTGCAGTTAGCTCTCATCAACAGTTACAGCTCTACAAATTGAATGCAGAATCCATGCCTTACTCATCTTATGTTCCCCACAGTGCTTTACATGTGGTAGGTAATAGATTAATACCTGTTGAATAAATACATCTTACCCGCCAGGCCCTTAGACACTAGCAATCTTGAGGAATTGTTGAGCACCTAATTACTATTATTATTATAGCTACAGTAGTCCCCCGTTATCCACAGTTTTGATTTCCATGGTTTCAGTTATCCATGGTCAACTGCAGTCTGAAAATAGGTGAGTACAGTCAGATACGATATTTTGAGGCTGGGTGCAGTGGCTCACGCCTGTAGTCCCAGTTTTTTGGAAGTGAGGATTGTTTGAGGCCAGGAGTTTGAGACCAGCCTGGGCAATATAGTAAGACCCCCTCTCTAAAAAAACAAAGATATTTTGAGGCACTAAATTTACATAATTTCTTTTTTTCCTGTCTCTTACCAAAAAGACAAATTCACATAACTTCTATAACATATATTGTTATACTTGTTCTGCTTTATTATTAGTTATTGTTGTTAATCTCTTCCCATGCCTAATTTATAAATTAAACTTTTTCGGCTAGGCACAGTGGCTCATGCCTTTAATCCCAGTGCTTTGGGAAGCTGAGGCGAGAGAATTGCTTGACCCCAGAAGTTCAAGATCAGCCTGGGCAACATGGTGAGACCTCGTCTCTACAAAAAATAAAAAAAAATTTGCTGGGCATGATGGTGCGTGCCTGTAGTCCCCACTACTTGGGAGGCCAAGGTGAAGGATTGCTTGACCCTGGGAGGTCAAGGGTGCAGTGAACCGTGATCATACCACTGCATTTCAGCCTGGGTGACAGAGTAAGACCCTGTCTCAAAAATAAAAATTTTTAAAAATTTAATGAATTAAGAATTCTCATAGATGTGTATGTATAGGAAAACAGTAGTCACGCATTGCTTAATGACAGGGATATAGTCTGAGAATTGCATCGTTAGGTGATTTCATCATTGTGCAAACATCATAGGGTGTACTTAAGCAAACCTAGATGGTATAGCCAACTACACACCTAGGCTATATGGTGTAGCCTATTGCTCCTAGGCTACAAACCTGTACAGCATGTTACTCTACTGAATACTATAGACAATTGTAATAGAATGGTAAGTATGTATATAAACATAGAAAAAGTACAGTACAAATACAGTATAAAAGGGCACATGAATGAAGTTCACAGGACAGGAAGTTGCTCTGGGTGAGTCAGTGAGTGGTGAGTGAATGTCAAGGTCTAGGACATTACACTATTGTAAACTTTATAAATACTGTACACTTAGGCTATACTAAATTTATTTAAATTTTTTTTTCTTTCTCCAGTAATAAATTTTTTTTTTTTTTTTGAGATAGAGTCTTGCTCTGTTGCCCAGGCTGGAGTGCAGTGGCATGATCTTGGTTTACTGCAACCTCTGCTTCCCCAGTTCAAGTGATTCTCCTGCCTCAGCCTCCTGAGTAGCTGGGATTACAGGCGCCCACCACCATGCCTGGCTGATTTTTTTTTTCTTTAAAGACAGAGTCTCACTCTGTTGCCCAGGCTGGAGTACAGTGGTGCAATATCGGCTCGCTGCAACCTCTGCCTCCCGGGTTCTAGCAATTCTCCTTCCTCAGCCTCCCGAGTAGCTGGGATTACAGGTGCACGCTGCCATGCCCAGCTAATTTTTTGTATTTTAGTAGAGATGGGGTTTCACTGTGTTGCCCGGGCTGGTCTTGAACTCCTGAGCTCAGGCAATCCACCCGCCTCGGCCTCCCAAAGTGCTAGGATTACAGGCGTGAGCCACCGTGCCTGGCCTAATTTTTGTATTTTTAGTAGAGATGGATGGGTTTTCACCATGTTGGCCAGGCTGGTCTCAAACTCCTGATCTCAGGTGATCTCCACCCACCTTGGCCTCCCAAAGTGCTGGGATTAGAGGCGTGAGCCACCATGCCTGGCCTCCAATAATAAATTAACGTTAGCTTACTGTAACTTTTTTACTTTATGAACTTTAAAATTTTAAAAAACTTTTTGACTCATTTGTAATAATGCTTAGCTTAAAACACATTGTACAGCTATACAGAAATATTTTATTTATATCCTTATTCTCTAAGTTTTTTTCTGTTTTTAGTTTTTTATTTTGTTTTCACCTTTTAGACTTTTTTGTTAAAAACTAAGCTACAAACACACATTAGCCTAGGCCTAGGGTCAGTATCATCAATATCACTGTCTTCCACTTCCCCATGTTATCCTGCTAGAAGGTCTTTGGGGGCAGTAACACTCACAGAACTGTTGTTATCTCAGATGATTGATAACAATGCCTTCTGGAATTCCTTGAAGGACCTGCCTGAAGCTGTTTCATTTTTTTTTTTTTTTTAGACAGAGTTTTGCTTATGTTGCCCAGGCTGGAGTGCAGTGGCACCATCTCGGCTCACTGCAACCTCCGCCTCCCAGGTTCAATTCTCCTGTGATTTTCCTGTCTTAGCCTCCTGAGCAGCTGGGATTATAGGCACCCACCACTACGCCCAGCTAATTTTTGTTTTTGTTTTTATTTTTTTTGGAGACAGAGTCTTGCTCTGTTGCCCAGGCTGGAGTGCAGTGGTGTGATCTCCGCTCACTACAAACTCCACCTCCCGGATTCACGCCATTCTCCTGCCTCAGCCTCCCGAGTAGCTGGGATTACAGGCGCCCGCCACCACACCCAGCTAATTTTTTTGTATTTTTAGTAGAGATGGGGTTTCACCGTGTTAGGCAGGATGGTCTAACACTGACCTCGTGATCCGCCCACCTCGCCCTCCCAAAGTGCTGGGATTACAGGTGTGAGCCACCACGCCCAGCCGACTTTTTTTATATAAGAGGAAGGAGTTATCTAATGATAATAATATAGTAAATACATAAACGCGTAAATGGTTGTTTATTAAATATCACGTACTATACATAATTGTATGTGTTATACTTTTATGACTGGCAGCACAGTAGGTGTGTTTACACCAGTATCACCACAAACAAGTAAGTAATGCATTGCATTATAAAATTACAACAGCTGTGATATCTTTAGGCTGTGGTGATTTTTCACCTCTATTATAATTTTATAGGACCACCATCTCTACAGTTCAGTGTTGACCAACATGTTGTTATATGGCACATGACTGTATATAGAGTTTATTTAGTACTATCCATGGTTTCAGACATCCACTGAGGGTCTTGGAACGTATTCTCCTCACATAAGGGGGGACTACTTTACTCATTTATTCAACAAATATTTATTGAATACCACGGATGTACCAAGCATTGTGCCAAGCTCTGAACATGGACTGTTTCATATAATCCTTACAACTCCTGTTTGAGATTATCTTATTTATTTGCATGTATATTTGGTACTTTGTTCATTCAGAAAATGTTTATTGCTCATTGTACTAGTGTGGGGGATTCTGCAGTAGACAAAACAAAGTCCCAGGCCTCATGGATTTACAATCTAGGGGAGAGATATGAGGGATAAATTCAAGTTCCTACTAGAATGTAAGTTCTCTGAAGGCTGGATTTTGTCTTGTTTACAAACTCATAGGAGCCTGGAACCTAGTAGGTGCTTAGCGAATGTTTGTGGTATAAATAAATGACTGAAAAATTCCACAGATACCTAACATTACTGTATTAGACCATTTTCACTGCTGATAAAGACGTACTCAAGACTGGGTAATTTATAAAGAAAAAGAGGTTTAATGGACTCACAGTTCCACATGGCTGGGGAGGCCTCACAATCGTGGCGGAAGGCGAAAGGCACATCTTACATGGTGCAGGCAAGAGAGAATGAGAGCCAAGTGAAAGGGGAAACCTCTTATAAAACCATCAGATCTTGTGAGACTTATTCACTACCATGAGAACAGTATGGGGGAAACGGCCCCCATGATTCAATTATCTCCCACCAGGTCCCTTCCACAACACGTGAGAAATATGGGAGCTACAATTCAAGGTGAGATTTAGGTGGGGACACAGCCAAACCACATCAATTATTTTCTGCTTTTTTCTTTTTGAGATGGAGTTTCACTCTTGTTGCCCAGGCTGGAGTGCAATGGTGCGATCTCAGCTCACAGCAACCTCCGCCTCCTGGGTTCAAGCAATTCTCCTTCCTCAGCCTCCCAAGTAGCTGAGATTACAGGCATGCACCACCACACCTGGCTAATTTTGTATTTTTAGTAGAGACAGGGTTTCTCCGTGTTGGTCAGGCTGGTCTCGAACTCCCAATCTCAGGTGATCCGCCCACCTCGGCCTCCCAAAGTGCTGGGATTATAGATGTGAGCCACCACGCCTGGCCTCCCCATTTTATAGATCATAAGGCTGAGGCTTAAAAGGGAAAAACCCACCCCAGGTCACGGTTAGCAAGTGGTAGAGCTGGAGCTGGAATTTGAGCTGGAAGTTTGACTCCAGAATCCATGCTCTTGTCTAGCCTCCTTGCCTCATTGCATCCTGGTGCTCTTTCCAAAGTGTAAGTTCTCGCTTCCGCTGTCCAGGCCTGCCTTTTTTCTCCCTAATCACTCATATGTCCATTATCCCATCTCCCCCACTGCAGAGTATAACAAAGCCATCCGGAACTACACCCGCTTCGATGACTGGTACCTGTGGGTTCAGATGTACAAGGGGACTGTGTCCATGCCAGTCTTCCAGTCCTTGGAGGCCTACTGGCCTGGTCTTCAGGTAGGAATGATCAAAGAATGTGATCATCTTTCTATGAGTCTGGCAAAGCAAGCTCATTCTGATGTATAAGTCAAATAATGTACTTTGTTAATTGCTTGAGTACTTTTTTTGGAGGGACAGGTTGAGGATGGAAGAGAGACCTAGAGTGAATTAGATAGATTTAGAGTTCTGCCAAATTGAGTGTCAGGAACTGAGCTTCCAGTTTGCCATGGAGTGTTACAGTACTTAAAGTCGACAGTGCATTTCCAGTCTGGGCAGGAATGGCCATTGGCAACAGGTGTTTCTCCACTGGGCGTTTCTGTCCAATCTCATTCTTGACAGTGGGCCTCAGGAAGGGCAGGAAGCAGCTTGTGCCGCTGTGCCATCTCGTTGTTTTTCCATTACATGGTCTGGTAGAGTTGCAGCTGGAAGGATCTTAGAGCTTATCTAATCTACCCCACTTTGGTGTTCCAAAATAGTGCATGTACCAAAATGTTTTTATAATCTACGTTTTTAAAAGTTTTAAGAAAAAGTAGTCCCACCTGGGCAACATAGTGAGACCTCATCTCTACAAAAAATAAAAAATTAGGTCGGGCGCGGTGGCTCAGGCCTATAATCCCAGCGCTTTGGCAGGCCGAGGCAGGCGGATCACAAGGTTAGGAGATTGAGACCATCCTGGCTAACACGGTGAAACCCCATCTCTACTAAAAATACAAAAAATTAGCTGGGCGTGGTGGTGGGCGCCTGTAGTCCCAGCTACTCGGGAGGCTGAGGCAGGAGAATGGCATGAACCTGGGAGGCGGAGCTTGCAGTGAGCTGAGATTGCGCCACTGCACTCCAGCCTGGATGACAGAGCAAGACTCCGTCTCAAAAAAATAAAAATAAATAAATAAAAATAAAAATAAAAAATTAGCCTAGGGTGGTGGCACATGCCTGTAGTCCCAGCTACTCAGGAGACTGCAGTGGAAGGATTGCTTGAACCCAGAAGATCAAGGCTGCAGTGAGCCATGATCATGCCATTGCAGCCTGGGTGACAGAGTGAGACCCTGTCTCAAAAAAAAAAAAAAAAAGTGGCCACCGGGTTTCTATCCAGAATAACCAGGTAGACATTGTGTCATTTACCAAGAAGGGAAAAAGGCCAAAGTAGGGAGGCAATTTCGTGGGAAAGTAAGGGAACCAAGAATTTTGTTTAGGAAGTGCCAAGTTTGTTCTGTCCATGAGACATCCAATGAAGATGTCAGGGTCAGCTGCTTCCCTGTGAGATTACATTAATAGTAATGGCTACTTAGCAATAGTGGTAAAATTATAAATGCATATATCCTTTGACCCAGTGATCCTAATTCTGAAAATGTATCTTACACATAACATTTTACATCTATTTGATGTGACATATATACAGAATTATTTATTGCCACATTAGTTGTTGGAACCAATTCAAATAAAAATATCTGAAAGCCAAATTTCCATATCTAAAAATATGGAGATAATTAATATCCCTATTAATAAAGAACCAAAGGCTATTTTTTAGTGTGGGGAAAATAACATATACTCATGCATAAAGAAACTCTGAAAGGTTATACAAGAAACCAGTAATGTTTATCTGAGGCCAGGCAAGATGGGTGATGGTTGTAATCCCAGCACTTTGGAAGGCTGAGGTAGGAGGATCACTTGAGCCCAGGAGATTAAGACCAGCCTGGGCAACAAAGTGAGACCCCCATCTCTACAGAAAATAAAAAAATTAGCACTGGGAGGCTGAGGTGAGAGGATCTCTTGAGCCCAGGAGGTCAAGGCTGTAATGAACCGTGATTGTGCCACTGCACTCCAGCCTAGGTGACAGAGCGAGACCCTGTCTCAAAAACAAAAACAAAAATGGTTATCTTTTGGGGGTGTGGTGTGGGAGTGAGCCTTAGCACAAACTTTTCTCTATTCTTAGAATTTTTAACTGGCTGGCCGAATTCCAAAACTGTTAGCTGACATTGACTCTGAAGATTTAGGGACTTAATATACAATCTTTGTTCCTTCCAACAATGCATGAGATAGGTGGTGTATTTTACGTTTTATAGATGGGGCTCAGAGAAGTCCAGTGCCTGGCTCAGCACCACACTGAGTAACTGGCAGACTCAGGGATTGATTCAAGGCCTTTTTGGCCCCACAGATTTTACTTTGTCTTTTCTTAAGGTTGTCTGTGGGGTTTTATGCCTGGTGTCTACCTGCCTGACAGCCACTTTCTCCCACAGAGCCTCATTGGAGACATTGACAATGCCATGAGGACCTTCCTCAACTACTACACTGTATGGAAGCAGTTTGGGGGGCTCCCGGAATTCTACAACATTCCTCAGGGATACACAGTGGAGAAGCGAGAGGGCTACCCACTTCGGCCAGGTGAGCAGCATTTCTGGCTTGTCATCTGCCCACAGGCTCTGGTTGCTGAAACCCCAAATCCCCTCTACAAGGCTCCATCCTCCACAACTGCCCACAAGTTCATTTCTTTCCATCTGTTCCTTTCAGTGGCTCTGGGTGGTTTTCTTACTAGGAGTTAATTATCCCCATGTTTTCAGATATGGAAACTGAGGCCTAGTGGGATGAAATGGCTCGCCTCTGGCTCTTAAGTGCAGGAGCTAGGCCTGGAACCCAGGGCTCCTAACTAAATTGCATGCTCTTTTTTATTTTTATTTTTTTGAGATGGAGTTTCGCTATTGTTGCCCAGACTGAAGTGCAATGGTGTGATCTCGGCTCACCGCAACCTCCGCCTCCTGGGTTCAAGCGATTCTCCTGCCTCAGCCTCCCGAGTAGCTGGGATTACAGGCATGAGCCACCATGCCCAGCTAATTTTGTATTTTTAGTAGAGATGGAGTTTCTCCATGTTGGTCAGGCTGGTCTTGAACTCCCAGCCTCAGGTGATCCGCCCACCTTGGCCTCCCAAAGTGCTGGGATTACAGATGTGAGCCACTGCGACTGGCCCCATATGCTCTTTCAAATCAGGAAATGAGTGAGAAGGAAAAGGCCAAGGTTGACTCCTTTTGAGCTCCTGCCATCAGGATTTCAGAAGTGTAGGCAAGCTTCCTAAGTCCATGGGTCAGATAAATTATGCTTACGTGTATGGAATGTTAGAACTTTGGGGCGGACCTTAGGAATTACCTAGTCTCTTCCACCTCCCCATTTGCAGCTCAGAATCAAGCAAAGGACTATATTTGAGACACTCTCATAGGTTCCTTTCTAGCCCTAATGTCATTTGATTCACTTCAGGGAAGCTGAAAATTGTGAGGAGGGAAAGAAAAAGAGGGACAAAGGAAGGAAGCTTAGTCAGCACACATAGTCATCCCCCACCCCAAAACAGGCTATGAGCCCATTGTCTTAGACACTTCCCACTTTCCCACCTGAATTGCCTTTTAGCCATGGGACAGGCCTTCTGGTTATCCTGCCTTCCTCTACCCCATTTCCTTCCTCTTCTAACTCAAGTGATTATCGTAGGAGGTGTAGAGGGGACCAGGAGAGGGAATAAAGAGCAAATTCATCAACTTTTGACTCCTTAGAGGCCACTGTTATTGATGTTTCTCATGCATTTGTTCTCATGGCATGTTTTTAAAACAGGAAACTTGGTTGGGCATGGTGGCTCACGCCTGTAATCCCAGCACTTTGGGAGGCCAAGGCAGGTGGATCACCTGAAGTCAGGAGTTTGAGACCAGCCTGGCCAACATGGTGAAACCCCATCTCTACTAAAAATACAAAATTAGCTGGGCATGGTGGCGTGCACCTGTAATCTCAGCTACTGGGGAGGCTGAGACAGTAGAATCGCTTGAACCCGGGAGGTAGAAGTTGCAGTGAGCTGAGATCACGCCATTGCACTCCAGCCTGGGCAAAAAAGAGCAAAACTCCATCTCAAAAAAATAAATAAGTAAATTTTAAAAATAAGAAGCTCTGAGAAGGTATCGTATCTGGTGTTACCAACAGGTAAAGATTAGGGTTTGGAACTAAATGTAAGACATAGGCTTGCACAATCTTAGGGTTAGAGGGAACCTGAGAGGTGTTCTAATTGGAATTTTCCTAATATGGCCCTGTCAAGTGGTTATCTAGTTTTTGCTTAGTTACCACGAGTGACAAGGAGCTTGCTACTTAACAGAGGCAACCTGTTCCATTTGGGACAGGCTGGCAGGAAGGCATTCATGGAAAGTAAGACACTACTGGCCAGATGCAGTGGCTTATGCCTGTAATCCCAGCACTCTGGAAGCCTGAGGCAGGAGGATCATTTAAGCCCAGGGGTTCAAGATCAGCCTGGGCAACATAGCAAGACCTTGTCTCTATAAGAAATATAAATAAATTAGCCAAGAGTGGTGTTGCATGCCTGTAGTCCCATCCCAGCTACCTGGGAGGATCACTTGAGCCCAGGTGGTCGTAGCTGCAGTGAGCCATGATGGCGCCACTGCAATCCAGCCTGGGCAATGGAGTGAGACCCTGTCTCCAAAAAAAAAAAACATAAGGCACCGCTGTCAGGAATCCAGGAGTGCGTTAATCCAGTCATCCCTCCTACCCCAAAACAATGGCAAATAGGAGATAAGGACTACTCTTTCACTAAATTGGCCAGAGCCCTGTACTTTCGTATATGTCTCTCTGATCAGCAGTGTTGGAGCACAGAGCCTAGCCTAAAGGCCTCTGCAGGCTTTTACCTTCCTCTAAGTCCAAATCTGAACTTTGGGCTGTCTCCTTCCTCTAGAGCAGGGATTCCCCAACCCCCAGGCCGTGGACCGGTACAAGTCCATGGCCTGTTAGAAACCAGGCCACACAGCAGGAGGTGAGCTGCGTGTGAGCAAGCAAAGCTTCATCTATATTTATAGCTGCTCCTCATCGCTCACATTGCTGCCTGAGCTCCGCCTCTTGTCTTATCCGTGGTGGCATTAGACGTTCATAGGAGCACAAACCCTATTGTGAACTGCATATGTGAGGGATCTAGGTTGTGTGCTCCTTAGGAGAAGCTGATGCCTGATGATCTGTCACTGTCATCCATCAACCCCAGATAGGGCTGTCTAGTTGCAGGAAAACAAACTCAGGGCTCCCACTGACTCTACATTATGGTGGATTGTATAATTATTTCATTATATATTACAATGTAATAATAATATAAATAAAGTGCACAATAAATGTAATGCACATGAATTATCCCAAAACCATCTCCTACAAGCCCAGTTCATGGAAAAATTGTCTTCCATGAAACTGGTCCCTGGTGCCAAAACGGTTGGGGACCACTGCTCGACAGAGTTGGTCAGATGCACAGGAAAGTAAAGCAATAACTAACATGCTTAGGAGGCCCACATGTGAGGAGAGAAGCGTGATGGCTGGTCATGAGGGCACTGGCCCACCAGCTGCTAGAAGCAGAAGAGGGCTGGGTGTGGTGGCTCACGCCTGTAATCCCAGCACTTTGGGAGGCCAAGGCGGTGGATCAACTGAGGTCAGGAGTTCGAGACCAGCCTGACCAATATGGCGAAACCCTGTCTCTACTAAAAATACAAAAATTAGCCGGGCACGGTGGCATGTGCCTGTAGTCCCAGCTACTCAGGAGGCTGAGACAGGAGAATTGCTTGAACCTGGGAGGCAGAGGTTGCAGTGAGCCAAGATCATGCCATTGCACTCTAGCCTGGGTAACACAGCAAAACTCCCTCTCAAAAAAAAAAAAAAAAAAAAAAGAAGAAGCCGAAAAAAGAAGCAGAAGAGGAGGCCTCCCATGAGGGCACTGTCTTTTCTGCCTTTGAACACACAGAATGTGTTCATCTAGTAATGAATGTACCCTAGTCTGTGCCTTAGAATATGAGCAATTAGATTAGCAATTGTCTAGAGGCCTGTGAGGAGAGGGGAGGAGGAAGTAAGAGAGAACTGGGGAGATAGGCAGAGACCTTTTCTCTAAAATAAGAACTAGAGGCTGGGTGCAGTGACTCACGCCTGTTATCTCAACACTTCAGGAAGCCAAGACTGGCGGATGACTTGAGGTCAGGAGTTTGAGACCAGCCTGGCCAACATGGCGAAACCCTGTCTCCACTAAAAATACAAAAATTAGTCAGGGCTGGTGGCGCATGCCTGTAATTCCAGCTACTTGGGAGGTTGAGGCATGAGAATCCCTTGAACCCAGGAGGCAGAGTTGCAGTGAGCGGAGATCGCACCATGGCACTCCAGCCTGGGTGACAGAGTGAGACTCTGTCACAAAAAAGTAATTAACGGAATAAAATAAGAACCAGAGTTTGCAGCAATAAGCCAAAAGGGACAGAAGCACTGATCAAGCCCAGGAGGAAACAGGACAGGAGAAGGTCAGGGGGAGATGATGGTATAGAAAGGAGACAGGGGTTCTTCTGTCTCTTAGAAAAGATGGATGAAGTAGAAAAACATACTGAGCTGAGGCCACCCTTGAAGTCAACTCTACAACAGTTCTTCAGGTATTTGAAAGCAATAAACACATTTTTTTTGGATTTCCTTATCTCTAGAATAAATATTCTCATCTGGACCCACTCCTGTTGGCTAATATTCATCTTAAGGTAGAGCTCATGTCTTAACATCAAGTTCCAGTTGTGGCATAGAATTGGGCAAGACAAAACATCACTTTTTCTGGCCACAGTGAACTGATGACTACGTCTTTGTTAGATTGACGGTTTGGTGGTTTATTTTATTTTATTTTTTTAATTTTTATTTTTTGAGATAAGGTCTCACTCTTGTCATCCAGGCTGGAGTGCCGCAGTGGCTTAATCATGGCTCACTGCAGCCTCAAACTCCTGGGCTCAAGTGATCCTCCTACCTCAGCCTCCTGAGTAGCTAGGACTACAGGTGCATGCCACACCCAGCTAATCATTTTTAATTTTTGTAGAGACAAGATCTCGCCATGTTGCCCAGGCTGGTCTCAAACTCCTGGGTTCAAACGATCCTCTCACCTTGGCCTCCCAAAGTGCTGGGATTACAGGCATGAGCCACCCACCATGCCTGGCCTGCTCTTGGATATCTCAGCCTTTTCTTTTGGTCCATCCTATCTTAGAACGAGCCTTATGATGCCAAGCTCTTACTCTTCTTTTGAGTTTTAGAATTAGGTTAGACTCTGAGTGACAGGAAAAAAAATAGTAGCTTAATTAGGATAGAAATGTATTTCTCTCTCATGTTCTGGGCTTATATGGCTCGCCATGGTGTCCTTAATCCCACCTAGCTGTTAGAATAGTTAGTGTTGGCAGCCAGGCAGCCTGTGCTTAGCTAAAGTTAGGAATCCTGCTACTAAGGAGGAAGCGGGGAACAGATATTGGGAATTAGGCAACAACCTCCGCCACCTTCTCTATGCCAGAACCTGGCCACCTTTCTCTCCCTTGTGGTGGAAGTCACTGGTCAGCCTTAATGCTGGTCTCCACTGAGCTTCAAGCTTTGGGTATACTGGCTCTGAAACTCAGCACTGGGTGAGGTATCCTGTGTTCCTGCTAGTTGGGGCCTTATGGACAAGATATGGAGGGGAGTAGTCCCTCACGGCCCTAAGAGGCCCCAGGCCATCTCTGTGCAGCCACTGAGTGAGGAGGGTCTGCTTTGGACTTTGCAGAACTTATTGAAAGCGCAATGTACCTCTACCGTGCCACGGGGGATCCCACCCTCCTAGAACTCGGAAGAGATGCTGTGGAATCCATTGAAAAAATCAGCAAGGTGGAGTGCGGATTTGCAACAGTAAGTGTTTGCATGGCCCCAAGAACTGGGAAGAGTCTCCCCTTGCTGCTAAAAAGCCTCTTTAAGGGTAGAGCTTTGGGAGTTCTGACATATCAGCACTAGAAGGGACCTTGGAGATATACATAATGCTCATATTTTACAGATGGGGAGACCAAAGAACAGAGAAGCTAAGTGCCTTGCTAAAGATCTCACAGCTAGTAGAGGTAGAGCTAGAATTAGTTCCTTGGGATCTTGACCCCGGCCCTTGGCATTCCTCCCACAGTGGAGATCTTTGATCTGTTTGAATAGGTGACTTTGAAAAGGTGAGTTTAGCGAAAAGTTTTGTGAGACACTAAAATAGATTTTAAGGGGAATCCAGAGTCCCATAGCCCTATATTCAAACCTGGGACTCCTTAACAAAGCAGTCCTGCTTAGTCTCACAGATATTTCTTGAATGTCTTTCACATGCCAGGCACTCTGCTAGGCCCAAGGGTTACAGCAGTGGCCTTGCTCTCATGGAGCTTACATTTTAATGAGAAAAAAACCATGAATGTGTATCTGGTAGACAGAAGGCCAGTGTGGCTGGAGCGGAGCAAGCAAGGAGAAAAGTGGGAAGAGATAAGGTCCCAGAGGTAGGCAGGGGCTAGATCATGTAGGGTTTTGTGTAAGCCACAGGAAAGAGTTTGGGTTTTTTTTTCTACTTGGAATGTGAACCCTTGGTAGGATTTACAGCAGAGCAGTGACATGATCTGATTTGTATTTTAGAAAGATCGCTTTGGCTGCTTTGTGAAGAATAGATTGAAAGGGTCAAAGGTGAGAGCCATCTCACATCCATGCAGGAACCAAGCAGGCAAGATATAAATATGAAAGTAGAAGAAAATAGTCTGGAAGAAAATCCCCTGAAAAGCCTACAGTGTTGGGGTATGGAATTCAAAACAACAACAAAACACTTATTTTGCAAAAGTTTGTAATGTGATTATATTCTATAAGTAAAATATAGATATGTGTAGGGGAAGAGAGAAGACCTACATGTGGAAGGGAAAAAATAAACCCCTGATATGATTTGGTTTCTAATATGCTGTATTGTGTGAAAAACCAAAATGATAAGCCCACTGGGGCCTTCCTAGGAATGCTGGGCTCATTTCCATGAACATGAAGCCCTTTGGAGGTCTTCCATGGTGAATGATGGGAACAGGGGTCTGACCTTTCTCAAACAGGGCAAGGAAATAATCATCTTGATACATCAAGACCATATTTGAGTCATATTTTTAAATGTAAGATAGAGTCCACTGAGAATGTTTTGTTTAGAAGTATTACTAATTCTGAGAAGCTAAAATAAATGTTTGTAGCAAGTAATCTTAGTCATCCATGCCTGAAAACTCAGTTGAAATTCTCTAAATAAGACTCCTTACTAAAACAATGTCAATAGTTTTCATCAACAGCAGTTGAACCTAGTAAGTGTCGATACTTTGGGTCTGAGTGGAGAAAAAAAGACCCCTTATTAGTTGCTTACAAAAACTTGGTAATTGGCCAAGCGCAGTGGCTCAGGCTTGTAATCCCGGCACTTTGGGAGGCCAAGGCAGGCGGATCACGAGGTCAGGAGTTCAAGACCAGCCTGACCAACATGGTGAAACCCTGTCTCTACTAAAAATACAAAAAAAATTACCTGGGTGTGGTGGCATGTGCCTGTAGTCCCAGCTACTCTGGAGGCTGAGGCAGGAGAATTGCTTGAACCCGGGAGGCAGAGGTTGCAGTGAGCCGAGACCATGCCATTGCACTCCAGCCTGGGCAACAGAGTGAAACTCCATCTCTAAAAAAAAAAAAACTTGGTAATCATCTGAATGCCCTTCCAAGGAGGATTAGCCAAGTAAATGGTGATCCATTTTCACGATGGAATACTCTGCCATCATTAAAAGGGACGATTAGCTCTATGTTTATAGTCACAAAAAGTTGGGATAAAGGGGATAGGAGATTGTCATGTCATAGAGCAAGGTTAGCGGAGACCTTTCTGGTGAGGAAGCATTTGAGCAGAGACCTGAAGGAAGGGAGGGAACAAGCTATGAGAAAAACTGGAGGCGGAGTGCTCCAGGCTGAAAGAACCACAGATGCAAAGAGCCCGAAGCAGGAGGGTGCTGTGCTAGCTCAGGACAGAAAGGCAGCAGCTGGAGCTCTTAGAGTGGTAAGAGGTGAGGGCAGGAAGGGAGCAGGGGCCAGGTCATGACTTGCATTTTTATCCTGCATGAAATGGAGGGCTCACAGAAAGTTGTGAGTAGAGAATTGACAGGAAGACTTATGTTATACAGATACTGTAGGAGCTTGGTGTGTGTCTCACGCCTGTTATCCTGGCACTTTGGGAGGCCAAGGTAGGAGGAATTGCTTGAGCCCAGGGATTTGAGACCAGCCTGGGCAACATGGTGTGAGACCCTGTCCCTATTTTTTAAAATAGTGTGTGTATATAAACTGCAGGGCTAAGATTGGAAGCTGGGAGCCCATTTGGAAGCTTATGTGATAATCCAGGTGAGAGATGATGGTGGCTTGGGAAAGAGTGAAGTTCTGAAAAGTTCAGTGATTTGCTCACAGGCCCTCAGCTGCTTTGTGGCAGAACAGGCCTTCTTAAGGGATTGCCTGACCCTTACTACTAAATTGTGATGGTGTTCCAGCTTGCTTCCTTCTCCCACATGTCAGATCAAAGATCTGCGAGACCACAAGCTGGACAACCGCATGGAGTCGTTCTTCCTGGCCGAGACTGTGAAATACCTCTACCTCCTGTTTGACCCAACCAACTTCATCCACAACAATGGGTCCACCTTCGACGCGGTGATCACCCCCTATGGGGAGTGCATCCTGGGGGCTGGGGGGTACATCTTCAACACAGAAGCTCACCCCATCGACCCTGCCGCCCTGCACTGCTGCCAGAGGCTGAAGGAAGAGCAGTGGGAGGTGGAGGACTTGATGAGGGAATTCTACTCTCTCAAACGGAGCAGGTCGAAATTTCAGAAAAACACTGTTAGTTCGGGGCCATGGGAACCTCCAGCAAGGCCAGGAACACTCTTCTCACCAGAAAACCATGACCAGGCAAGGGAGAGGAAGCCTGCCAAACAGAAGGTCCCACTTCTCAGCTGCCCCAGTCAGCCCTTCACCTCCAAGTTGGCATTACTGGGACAGGTTTTCCTAGACTCCTCATAACCACTGGATAATTTTTTTATTTTTATTTTTTTGAGGCTAAACTATAATAAATTGCTTTTGGCTATCATATTTTGGTTATCATGTTTTACATATTGGGCTGTCTCATGAGATTTCATTCAAAGAAAGGATTGGTGGCTACGGGCAATTGTGACTCTAGTTAATTTTCTCATGCAGCTGGAGAGACGGCTAAATGCGGTTAGCTGGCTCCAAAGATCCTAGGGGTCGATAGTTGAATCTCCCTTCCTTTTCTGGTGTCTTTGTGGAAAGTGTTGTCATAAATGTATTTCTTTGTTAGTTCTTGCTCCAACATGTGCTTCTTACTTTTTTTTTTTTTTTTTTTTTTTTGAGACAGAGTCTCACTCAGTCACCCAGGCTGGAGTGCAGTGGTGTGATCTCGGCTCACTACAACCTCTGCCTCCCAGGTTCAAGCAATTCTCCAGCTTCAGCCTCCTGAGTAACTGGGACTATAGGCGTGCATCTGGCTACACCGCATCTGGCTAATTTTTTTATTTTTATTTTTATTTTTTGTATTTTTAGTAGAGATGAGGTTTCACCATGTTGCCTAGGCTGGTCTCGAACTCCTGACGTCAGGTGATCCACCCGCCTCGGCCTCCCAAAGTGCTGGGATTATGGGCGTGAGCCACCATGCCCCGGCTGCTTCTTACTCTTTAGTTGACCTATCTATCCACCTGTCCTTCCAAGCAACGAAGATTTATTAAGCACCTTTTTTCTTTTGAGACAGGGTCTCCCTCTGTCACCCAGGTTGGAATGTAGTGGCATGATCACGACTCACTGCAGCCTCGACCTCCCAGGCTCAAGTGATCCTCCCATCTCAGCCTCTGGAGTAGCTGGGACCACAGGCACACACCACTATAATTTGCCTGATTTTTAAAAATTTTTTTGCAGAGACGGTGTCTCCCTATGTTGCCCAGGCTGATCTCAAACTCCTGGGCTCAAACAATCCCCTGCCTCAGCCTCCTGATTAACTGGGATTTCAGGCGTGAGCCATGGGGCTGGGCAGGCACCTTTGTGTGCCAGCCGCAGCCCCAGAGGTTCAGCAGCAAACAAGGCAAACAGTTTTTATTCTTGTGAAACTAAATTTCTAGCAGAAAGAAATAACCTAGTAAATAGATAAAGTAACATTGTGATCAGTTCCATGAAGAAAACACGGGGCTGTGCTAGAAAATAATGGGGAAAGATAAGCTGCTTTAGATAGGGTGGGTGGAAAAAGCCTCCCTGAGGACGTGAGCTTTTAATTATGTAAAATTTTATTGCTTTTTAAAATTTTATTTTCTTGTAACTTTAATTTTTTCTTTTTACATTTTTATAAACATTAGAGATGGGATCTTGCTTTGTTGCCCAGGGTGGTCTCGAATTCCTGGGCTCAAGCAATCCTCCCATCTCAGCCTCCCAAAGTACTGGAATTACAGGCATGAGCCACTGTCCCTGGCCACAAAGTTGTTTTTTTTTTTTTTGAGACAGGGTCTCACCCTGTTGCCCAGCCTGGAGTGCAGTGGCGCAATCACGGCTCACTGCAAGCCCTGCAAGCCTTGCAATCCCTGACCTTCTGGGCTCAAGCAATCTTCCCACCTTAGCCTCCCGAGTAGCTGGGACAACTGGAGCATGCCACCATGCCTGGCTAATTTTCCTAATTTTGTATTTTTTGTTGAGATGGGATTTTGCCACGTTGCTCAGGGTGGTCTCAAACTCCTGAGCTCAAGCAGTCTGCCTGCCTTGGCCTCCCAAAGTGCTAGGAGGCATGAGCCACCGTGCCTGGCCAGGATGTACTATTTTATTTTATTTTGTTTATTTTTTTATTTTTATTATTTATTTTTTTATTTTATTTTTTATTTATTTTATTTTATTTATTTTTTATTTTTTTATTTTTATTTTATTTTATTTTATTTTATTTTTATTTATTTTCTTATTTATTTGGAGACAGGATCTCACTCATGCCCTGGCTGGAATGCAGTGGCATGATCTGAGCTCACTGAAGCCTCCACCTCCCAGGCTCAAGCGGTCATCCCACCCCAGCGTCCCAAGAAGCTGGGACCACAGGTGCATGCCACCATGCCTGGCTAAGTAAAATTTTAAATAAACAAAAATGGAGCGAACAGGACATCCATCCTTTGTGTGCTCATCACCCAATTTCAACAAACTAGCTTCAAAGATGATGAATTCATGGCCAACCTTATTTCATTTATATCCACACTAGATTATTTAGGATTCCAAACATTTTATTCCTAAAAGTATTTCAGAATGCATCCCCAAAGCATGCCTATAAAAATAAATCATTATTCCTTGATATCCTCTCCAATGTTCAAAATGTTTTGTTTCATAACTTTGTATTATAGTTTGTTTGCATCAGGACCCACATAGGGTTGATTTATATATTTGAAATTAGATGATATATCTCTGAAATGTCTTTTAATTTACAGGAATTCTTTCCCTCTCCCTCCCTCCCTCCTTTCCCACTCCTCCTCTATTTTCATTGCAGTTTGTTTGTTGAAGACAACAGTTGTATGTCCTGTAGGTTTCCATATTATGGATTTTGTTAATTGCATCTCTGAGGTATTTATTATATAACTGTTTTTTAAAGTTGATATTAAGATCTAGAGACATCATCAGATTTGGATTTTTACTTTTGTTTTTATTTTTATTTGTGTATTTATGTATTTTGAGACAGCGTCTCACCCTGTCACCCAGTGGGGTGATCACAGTTCACTGCAGCCTCACGGGCACAAGTGATTCTCCCGCCTCAGCCTCCCGAATAGCTGGGACTACAGGCCCACACCACCACACCTGGCTAATTTTTAAATTTTTTGTTTAGATGGGGTCTCGCTATGTTGTCTAGGCTGGTGTTTTTATTTTTCAAGAATAAGCACTGTTGTTTCTTTTGGTCAAGAGACACATGATGTCTCCTTGCCTGTTACTAACAGCCATTTGTTGGTCATTGCTTGGATCCATTATTTCAACAGGGGTTTCAAAATAGTGAGATTTTAATTAGTCTAGACTACTTCTCTTTTTTTTTTTTTTTTTTTTTTTTTTTGAGATGAAGTTTTGCTCTTGTTGCCCAGGCTGGAGTGCAATGGCTTGATCTCGGCTCACCGCAACCTCTGCCTCCCGGGTTCAAGCAATTCTCCTGCCTCAGCCTCCTAAGTAGCTGGGATTACAGGCATGCGCCACCACACCCAGCTAATTTTGTATTTTTAGTAAAGACAAGGTTTCACCATGTTAGTCAGGCTGGTCTCGACCTCCTGACCTCAGGTGATACACCTACCTTGGCCTCCCAAAGTGCTGGGATTACAGGTGTGAGCCACCATGCCCAGCCAAGGCTAGACTACTTCTCTAAAGAAAGACTTCCTCTCGTCAACTATTTGGGTTCCTTGGGGCACAGTTCATTCAGGAAAGCCAGGATAAATATTTGATTCTTAACTTTTATTTTTTATTTTCCAGAATAATGCATCATTTTCCTAGCATCTTCCAATTGTGACAATGAAGTTTTGTTTTTCAAGTATTGTGAACTCTTGGATTTAAACTCATTTGATGGTTTTCAGTTCATTGAAATTATTTTTCTTATCAAAGCTCAAATTGTCCCATTTCTGGCCAGTGGAAGCCTCTCTTCAAGTTAGCCCTGAGTCCTGTTAACACAACCCCAATAGTCTTTGATAGTGTCCTGCTTTCTGGTATTACAAGATGTTCCAAGCTCAGCTGATCCCGTTCCTATCCCAGCCCTGAATCAACTGTTTCTCTAAATAGCTCAGGAGGTGACTTTTAACCAGGAATTTGTCTGGCTTTATCTGCCAGCCTCATCTTTGCCCATGAACCTTGGCTAATTCAGCTGCTGATCATTTTCTTCAGTACCATGGCAAACCTCTGGCTACCTTGATAGGCAGGGATATACCTCCTGCCCTCTCTTCTATTACTTTGCCTCAAATAGAGACTCAGGCCTACACATAATTCCCCATAACCTAGACGAGAACTGCTATAACTTTGAAGAAGTCTTGACTGAAAACTGAGGCATAATGGAAGGAAATTACATCATCTACTAGCTAACAGCTACTATTAGCTATGACTACTCTTAGAACCACAGTCCACTTCATTATTCAGGCTTCTTTGTGGCCAAGGCCAGCTCATCCCCACACCCAGGGATACCCTTGATCATTAGTCAACACCCCGGATTCCAGGCCAGATCAGAGAGACGAAAGAAAGTCCTTTCCTAAACCCTGCTCTTCCCTAACTTAGAAAGTTGTACTTTTCTATGAATTCATTGGCATGAAGTTGTCCTATCTGTTTTGTTCTTTTTTTTTTGAGAAAAGATCTCGCTCTGTTGCCCAGGCTGGAGTGCAGTGGTGTGATCACGACTCACCGCAGCCTTGACCTCCCACACTCAAGCAATCCTCCTGCCTTAGCCTTCCAAGTAGCTGGAACTCCAGGTATGCACCATCACACCTGGCTAATTAAAAAAATTTTTTGTGTGGAGGCAGGGTTTTGCCATGTTGCCCAGAGTGGTCTCAAACTCCTGGCATCCAAATGATCCTCCTGACTTAGCCTCCAAAAGTGCTGGGATTACAGGTGTGAGCCATCATGCCTGGCCTGTTTTTTATTATTAATTATCTATGCCTTCTCTTTTTCTTGATTAGTCTTGCCAGATATTTCTTATTGTATTTCTCTTTTTTGAAGAACAAACTTGGGACTGACTTGTTGCTGTCAAGTGTATGTTTGTCTGTTGTGCTAATTTCTGCTTTGATCTTATTTCCTTCCTTCTACTTTCTTTGAGTCCGCTGGAATTGCTTATTACTGTGGCATAATCTTGTGTGTAGGATATCTTCCATTTCCCCCTGTGGATGTGCTTTTCACCCTTTTTCACCCTATTCTTTGCCCCAAGAAATTCATTATCCTCTGTTCTCGTGGTCTGGTATGAGCTACAATTAATGGGCTCATTCTTCCTGGCTTCCAGTTGGGTTCATCCAGTGGGGAGCCCAGACAGGAGACTGGTGAAAGGGAGTGGAGTGAGTTCAAGGGCGTTTATCCCTCTGGCTCCCTTCTTGCAGGATTTGCTTCAGGCTGGCTACATCTCTCAATCAAAAGGTATCATTTCTGACTGGGCATGGTGACTCACACCTGTAATCCCAGCACTCTGGGAGGCAGAGATGGGAGGATTGCTTGAGCCCAGGAGTTCAAGACCAGCCTGGGCAACATAGTGAGATCCTATCTCTATATATATGTATATAAAAAGAATATCCTTTTGATGAGTTCATGTCCTTTGTAGGGACATGGATGAAGCTGGAAACCATCATTCTGAGCAAATTATCGCAAGGACAGAAAACCAAACACTGCATGTTCTCACTCATAGGTGGGAATTGAACAATGAGAACACTTGGACACAGGGCGGGGAACATCACACACCGGGGCCTGTGGTGGGGTGGGGGGATAGGGGAGGGATAGCATTAAGATAAATACCTAATGTAAATGATGAGTTAATGGGTGCAGCAAACCAACATGGCACACGTATACATATGTAACAAACCTGCCCGTTGTGCACGTGTACCCTAGAACTTAAAGTACAATAATAAAAAAAAAGTATCATTTTATCCCAAGGTGCCCATCTCTACACAACTTTTTATTTTCAGGTGGTGGTTAATTTTATGTGTCAACCTGGCTGGACCACTGGGTACTCCGATATTTGGTCAAACATTATTCTGAGTATTTCTGCAAGGGTGTTTTTGGATGAGATGAACATTTTAATTGGTGAAGATTACCCTTCATAATGTGGATGGGCCTCATTCAATCAGCTGGAGCCTGAAGAGAATGAAGAGACGGCCTCTCCCTTACATGAGAGGGAATTCTCCAGCAGCCCGCTCTGGGACTTCATCTATACCACTGGCTTTCCTGGGTTTCAAACCTGCCAGCCCACACTGCACATTTGGACTTGCCAATCTCTGCAACTGTGTGAGCCAATTCCTTATGATAAACCTCTTTCTATACACACACATATTCTTTTTTTTTTTTTTTTTTTTGAGATGGAGTTTCACTCTTGTTGCCCAAGCTGGAATGCAGTGGCACCATCTCGGCTCACTGCAACCTCTGCCTCCCGGGTTCAAGTGATTCTCCTGCCTCAGCCTCCCAAGTAGCTGGGATAACAGACACCTGCCACCATGCCTGACTAATTTTTTGTATTTAGTAGAGACGAGGTTTCACCATGTTAGTCAGGCTGGCCTCCAACTTCTGACATCAGGTGATCCACCCACCTCCGCCTCCCAAAGTGCTGGGATTACAGGTGTAAGCCACCTCGCCCTCCTTACACAAACATATTCCATTAGTTCTGTTTTGTAATTCTGACTAATACAGTAACCATTCTCTTATTCCCTTCAGGCTAGGGATAGGATTGGCTGTATAGGATTACTGTATTTTCCCTTGCGGTTCTCTAACACTCTGTCCACACCTTTGTAAGTAGTCTCTTTATTAAACCTTCCACTAATTTTTCTAATTTGAATGAGCCATCTGTTTCCTGTCAGGTTCCTGGCTAATAGAGACCATTATGACGAGTACATATCCTTAAAGTCTAAAGTTAATCACATATGCTAATTACCTCAATTTAGCCATTCCACAATGTATATATATTTCAAAACAACATGTACTTGATAAATATATACTAATTTTATTTGTCAATGTAATTTTTTTGTTTGTTTGTTTGTTTTTTGAGACGAAGTCTCTGTCGCCAGGCTGGAGTACAGTGGCGCGATCCCGGCTCATTGCAACCTCCGACTCCCTGGTTCAAGTGCTTCTCCTGCCTCAGCCTCCCGAGTAGCTGGGATTGCAAGCATGTGCCACCACGCCCAGCTAAGTTTTGTATTTTTAGTAGAGCCGGGGTTTCACCATGTTGGCCAGGATGGTCTCGATCTCTTGACCTCGTGATCTGCCTGCCTCAGCCTCCCAAAGTGCTGGGATTACAGGCGTGAGCCACCACGCCCAGCCTTGTCAATATAAAAATTTTTAAAAATCATTTATTTAAAAAAAAAAGGCCAGGAACAGTGGCTTAAGCCTGTAATCCCAGCACTTTGGGAGGCCAAAGTGGGTGGATAGTTTGAGTCCAGGAGTTTAAGACCTGGGTAACATGGCGAAACCCTGTCTCTACCAAAAATAAAAAAATTAGCTGAGCATGGTGGCTCGCACTTGTAGTCACAGCTTTTAGGGAGGCTGAGGTGGGAGATGTTAGTGAGGATGTGGAGAATTTGGAATTTTGTTTTTAAAATTTTTATTTATTTATTTATTTATTATTTTTTGAGACAGGTTCTCACTCTGTTGCCCGGGCTGGAGTGCAGTGCCGCAATCAAAGCTCACTGAAGCCTCGACTTCTGGGGCTCAAGTGATACTCCTACCTCAGCCTCCCAAGTAGCTGGGACCACAGGCGCATGCCACCACGCCTGGCTAATTTTTTATTTTTTGTAGAGACAGGGTTTTGCCACGTTGCCCAGGCTGGTCTCGAACTACTGCGCTCAAATGATCTGCCCGCCTCAGCCTCCCAAAGTGCTGGATTACAGGCGTGAGCCACCGCGCCCAGCCCTGGAATTTTCATCCATTGCTAGCGGGGATATAAAACGGGGTAGCTGGTTTGGAAAACACTTTATTGGCTTATCAAAAATTAAACATTGCCCAGCCTGGCCAACATGGCGAAACCCCGTCTCTACTAAAAATACAAAAAATTAGCCAGGCATGGTGGCGCACGCCTGTAATTGCAGCTACTCGGGAGGCTGAGGCAGAAGAATTGCTTGAATCTGGGGGGTGGAGGTTGCAGTGAGCCAAGGTCACGCCACTGCACTTCAGCCTATAAATAAATTAATTAAAATTAAAGATTAAGTTACCATGTGACCCAGCAATTCCACTCACCCAAGAGAAAACTAAAATGAATTACGTCTACACAAAAGTTTGTACGTCAGTTTGTAACAGCATTATTCATAATAGCTAAAAGTGGAAACAATCCTAGCATTCATCAACTTACAAATGATTAAAATGTGGAATATTCATACAATGGCATATTACTTGACCACTAAATGGAATGACCTACTGATAAATGCTGCAACGTGGATAAACCTTTAAAAATATATGCTAAGTGGAAGAAGCCAGACATAAAAGGCCACATACTGTGTGATTCCTTTTATATAAAATATCTAGAATAGATTAATCTATGGAGACAGGAAGTAAATTAGTGGTTGGCAGGGACCAGGGGCAGGGAAAATGGGGAGTTACTCTTCATGGGTATGGATTTTTTTGATGGGTGATTAATATGTTCTGGAATTAGATAGTGATGATAGTTACACAATATTGGGAATATACTAAAAACCACTGAATTGTACTTTAATAGTGTGAATTTTATGGTGTATGAATTATATCTCAATTTTTTAAAAAGACCATAAAATAAAAAAGAAAACATATATACCCCACACACCCCTCTCCTACCCCTCCCCACCAACCCATGAAGCAGCAAGTTTGCAAGCCCAGTGTGGTATAAATCCAGCCTTGAAAAATAAAGTTAGCAAAGAAAACATTCTGCATGCAGAGAGGTAAGCTATTCTGTTTATTGTATTTTTTACAAACTCCCTTGCAATAGTTAATAGTTTAGTGTCTTACAGTAGTGTTTTTGAGACTTTGCTCATGACCCTTTAGTGGGTCAAGAAATAAATTTAATGTGTCCCACTAACTTTTTAAATAATGAAATAGAATGGATTCGAAAATATTAGAGTGCCTTGTGTGGATTCTTGACAAGAACTGAGGACAGGAGCACATTACTAATCGCACAAGGCTAATTGCATTACATTGTGGGAGAGACAGAGGAGGGGATGTGAAAAATGTGCACGTTGGCTAAAAGCAGTTTATTTGGTGAATTGTCATCTCATTTGATTTTCTGGTACATGAGTGTCAATATGACCATCAAGTTATAATGGCAGAATAGTATAGTATTTATTTATTTATTTATTTTTTTTTTTTGAGATGGAGTTTTGCTCTTGTTGCCCAGGCTGGAGTGTGGTGTTGCGATCTCGGCTCACTGCAACCTCCGCCTCCCGGGTTCAAGCAATTCTCTGCCTCAGCCTTCCTAGTAGTTGGGATTACAGGCACCTGCCACCACGCCTGGCTAATTTTTGTATTTTTAGTAGAGATGGGGTTTCACCATCTTGACCAGGCTGGTCTTGAACTCATGATCTCGTGATCCACCCGCCTTGGCCTCCCAAAGTGCTGGGATTACAGGCGTGAGCCACCACACCCAGCTGTGTATTATTTAATTTTATATCAAAATAGTTTGTAGTTAGTTGTGAATTGAAGAGTGGAATTTTTTTTTTTTTTTTTTTTTTTTTGCAATATTGCCATGACTTTCAACTGAGTTTTGGTTAGGAATTTGCAGTGCAGTTTTTCAGAAAGTTTATAATCAGATAAAAAATTTTGGATGTGCAATAATTGTAGCATTTTAATTGAACTAGTTCAAATTGCTCTTAAGTTGACTGTTTTAATGCTACAAAGAACAAGAATAATAAGGTGAAAAACATGGGAAGAGTAAATGGAAATATTGGAGAAAATATCAACTCTAATCAACAGACTGACATCATTTGCATCTTGTTAAAAAGGGTAAATGCAAGATTTGCTTTATTTATGTATTTATTTATTTATTTTAATAGAGATGGGGGTCTCACTATGTTGACTAGGCTGGTCTCAAACCCTTAGCCTTGAGCAATCCTCCCATCTCAGCCTCCCAAAGTGCTGGGATTACAGGCATGAGCCACCATGCCCAGCCAGCTCACACCTGTAATCCCAGCACTTTGGGAGGCCAAGGCAGGCAGATCACCTGAGATCAGGAGTTTGAGACCAGCCTGCCCAACATGGCAAAACCCCATCTCTACTAAAAATACAAAAATTAGCCAGGTGTGGTGGCAGGCGCCTGTAATCCCAGCTACTCTGGAGGCTGAGGCAGAAGAATCACTTGAACCCGGGAAGCGGAGGTTGCAGTGAGCTGAGATCACAGTCTCTAGTCTGGGTGATAATTATGAAACTCTGTCTCTCTCTATATATATATATACATATATGTGTGTATTATTTTATGAAATGTGTAAAACCAACAAAATGACATGTACACCAATGCATTATAATGATGTTCTTGCAAATGAGAACTTAAAACCATCAAAACTTAAAAGATGCTTGGAAACATGACATGTTGAATTAGTCAGTCTCTCGAATATTTCCAAAGAAAGAAAAACATATATAATGTGATAGGCAAATTTTATGATTCATGTTGTGACTGTCAGTGAGAAAGCCTTATTATCATTGTATTGGGTTGCATATTATGTGCCAAAAGAAAAAAATTGCTCACATGGTTCCTGAAAAAAACATTTATTCTCTGGCATGTATTTTGGTGTGTATAGTTTTTATGGTGTAGCAAGCCATAAAAACATACCTTAGCAATAATAGAGTTTCTCCTTGAATCTATACTGTTGCGGAATGTTGGAAACAATGCTTATTATGCTGTTACAATCTCGTATAGATTTTGTAATCCAACCAGAGAAAGTCAAATTGAAAGTTGCACAACACTTAGCTTATATCTTACATGAGTGGTAAGAACATTTTAAGGAGGGTCTTCTTGTTTGGTTAATCTTCTCTCACAAAACTGGATTAAAAGCATTCAGAGAATTGACAATTGTAACTTTGGCCAATACAGATTAGTCCAGACAAATATAAAGACATTGTATGAGAGTAGCAAATATGAATGAAAATATAATACAGTTATTATAAAATTGTTAGAAGAATCTGAAAGCAATGCTATTTGGAATACTCTTTTATATGCTGTAAATCTTAGGAAAACAAAGGGATCCTGCTAAAATTCATATATATGTTGGGGGAAAAACAGTGATAATCAACTTCTTGAAAACAAATTTTCAGGGATTACAGCTGACCACATCATTTACTTTAGCATATTGAAATTGGCCAATCATATCAATGTTGGCCAATCTAACCAAGATTTTTTTTTTTACATCCTTAGAGAATTAAATTAGAAGTTGTTCCAACATACTGAGCCTGTCCAAGCATTCCAAATAACATTACTTCTATGGCAAGCAAGATTTCAAAATAGTATGTGCCACTGGGTCAGTGATTGTCAAAAGTGGTCCCTGGTGCAGAGGCAACAGCATTACCAAGGATCTTGTTGTATTTAAAACTCTTGGGCCCCATCCCTGACCACAGATGGGCCCCCAATCTGGTTTAACAAAGCCAACCCCTCCAGGTGATTCTAATGCAAGCTCAAGACTGAGAACAAGGGTACTAGATGTTCCCAACATTGCTGCAACAAATTGATGCAATTTTATTAATGAAAGCAGTTTGTATTAATCCAATCTCACGCTGCCAATAAAGACATACTCAAAACTGGGTAATTGATAAAGGAAAGAGGTTTAATTGACTCACAGTTCCGCATAGCTGGGGAAGCCTCAGGAAACTTATGATCATGGTGGAAGGGGAAGCAAACAAGGTCTTCTTCACCTGGCAGCAGCAAGAAGTGAAGCGCGAATGGGGGGAAAAGCCCCTTCTAAAATCATCAGATTTTGTGAGAACTAACTCATGATCAGAATAGCATGGGGGTAACTGCCCGCATGATTCAATTACCTCCCACCCGGTCCCTCCCACAACATGTGGGGATTATGGGAACTACAATTCAAAATGAGATTCGGGTGGGGACACAGGCAAACTGTATCACGGTTTGAACTGAATGAAATGAAATTAGAGATATTTTTGCACCTTATCTCCTATGTTGGTGTCAATGTTATGTTGCTTTCATGTCGGTTGGTGACCTTTTTTCCTGGCCTTTGGAAGAAATTATGTGATGTTGGCATTATTTCTTCCTTAAAAGTGTGGTAGATTTCAAAGGCATTAGGGATTGGAGTTTTCTTTGTGGGAACCTTTTAAATTAGAGATGAAATGTCTTTAATAGTTATAGGATGATTCCAATTTTCTATTATGTTTTGTGTCCATTTAGGTAAGACTTTTTTCTAGAAATATTTCTGTTCCACTTAAATTTTCAAATACATAGGCATAAAGTTATTCATCATGTCTTCTTATGATCTTTTGGTGCTGAAGAATCTGAAATGATATTCCCTTTTCAAATTTCTGACATTAATTTCTGGTTGGAATCTCTTCTTTTTATTCATGGAGTCTGTTCTGATTTGATCGATTGTTTTCTAGGATTACAGCACAACACTCAATCTGGGATTTCTTTTCTATCTGCACCTGCGGATCACAAGGTCAGGAGCTTGTGATCCTGACCAACATGGTGAAACCCTGTCTCTACCAAAAATACAAAAATTAGCTGGGCATGGCATGGTGGCACACGCCTGTAATCCCAGCTACTCGGGAAGCTGAGGCAGGAGAATCGCTTGAACCAGGGAGTTGGAGGTTGCAGCGAGCTGAGATCATGCCACTGCACTCCAGCCTGGCGACAGAGTGAGATTCTGTCTCAAAAAAAAAAAAGATATTAATTATCCACTTATTCATCAAGCTCTGCTCAGAGGGCTTTGGGTTGTATATAAGACAATGCTAATTTGTCACCTGTGAGGAGCTTCCAAAGAATATAGTACAGATTCAGAGGCAGTGGGTTTTAGATTTTGTTTTTCTTTTTGAAACATATTTTTGGGTTAGATGCAGTGGCTCACGCCTGCAATCCCAATGTTTTGAAAGGCAGAGGTGAGGGGATTGCTGGAGGCCAGGAGTTTGAGACAAGCCTGGGCAACATAGTGAGAACCTGTCTCTACAATAATATGTTTTTAAAAATGTTTGTGTGGGTTGGAGCTCTGATGGTAATTGCTTATGTGTCTGCCTTCCTCCACTAGACTTGAGCCCTAGAAGGCACAGGCTGCATTTGTCTTATTCACAGATGTATCCCCCACGCCTGGGGCAGAGCTTGTACATAGGAAGTTTTCAAGAAATATCTGGTGAATGAATGTAATTCAGTGACTACATGCCTTTATTTACAATAGTATGTATTCTAGTGTGCTGTGATAATTTGTTAGTTTATGAAATCTCTATTTTATGCATCTTTGTTAAGATGACATGTATCAAACACTTAGTACAATGTCCGGAACATACATGGTAGGTATTTTCTTTTTCTTTTTGAGACGGGGTCTCGTTCTGTTGCCCAGGCTGGACTGTGCAATCTCTGCTCACTGCAGCCTTGGCCCCCAGGGCTCAAGCAGTTCTCCCACCTCAGCCTCCCAACTAGCTGGGACCACAGGCATGCACCACCATGCCAGGCTAATTAAAAAATATATATATATTTGTAAAGATGAGGTCTCACTATGTTGCCCAGGCTTGTGTCCAACTCCTGGGCTCATGTGACCCTCCTGCCTTGGCCTCCCAAAATGCTGGGATTTCACGTGTGAGCCACCACATGGGGCCTAGGTCTTTTTTAAATGTTAATTTTCTTATTTTCTTCCCTTTGCATTTCTTTGCATCTAGCACAATCTCTAATACATAGTAGGCGTTCAGTGATTTAGAGATCACTGTAAACAATCCAAGAACCACTGGCAAAATGTGTGTGTGTGTGCATGCACGTGTGTCTGCCTGTGTGTCCGCACGCACACGTGTGTGTCTGCCTGTGTGTCTGCGCATGCACGTGTGTGTCTGCCTGTGTGTCGGATGCATGCATCATTTGGGGAAAGAAGTTTCAACTTTATGTCATAAGAGTCTTCAGTGTTGCTGAAGAATGGCTGTTGTAGATTAAGGAGTGACTAGCTTTGGGAATGAGGTAAGAATCTACATCTGTGGAGATTGGAACAAAAATTTAGAGAGACTATTTTCTGAACTCAGAACCGATCATAGTGTTGGACAAGTTTAAGTCCCACAGGGCCCATTTAAAATTAAGATTGTCCCAAAGATGACACAGGAATTAATTTGAGAGGACTACCAATGGTCAAATTTGGGACAATTTGAGCATCAAAAAGAATGAGAAATACACACACACAGAATTTTTTTTCTTTTTTTTTGAGACAGAGTTTTGTTCTTGTCCTTCCTTCCGGGTGTGCAGCAGGACCCTCTCTGGAATGGGGGTCTTATGACCTACAGTCAAACCAGGTAGGTTGGATAATTTCTTGATGGCCAGTTTATGCACAGAAAGGTGTGGTGGTTTAGGGGGAGGGAGTTAGAGTAATATTTTTAGGTTTGGTTTCACCGCTGGCAAGGGGAAGGAGGAAGGTTTCTGGTTTCTTTTTTTTTTTTTTTTTTTTTTTGAGATGGAGTTTTGCTCTAGTGCCCAGGCTGGAGTGCAGTGTCACAATCTTGGCTCACTGCAACCTCCGCCTCCCACATTCAAGCGATTCTCCTGCCTCAGTCTCCAGAGTATCTGGGATTACAGGCATGTACCACCACACCTGGCTAATTTTGTATTTTTAGTAGAGATGGGGTTTCACCATGTTGGCCAGGCTGGTCTCGAACTCCTAACCTCAGGTGATCCGCCTGCATCGACCTCCCAAAGTGCTGGGATTACAGGAGTGAGCCACTGCGCCCTGCCAGTTTCTGGTTTCTAAACCCTGCCTTGGGGAAGAGGGATTCTAGTTTCTATGACTAGCCTCAGGGGAGAATAAGAGGCCAGAGACAGAAGGGCAGGAGACGGTCAGAGAGAGCTGCTTCTGAAGCCTTTATCTTAGGGTATCATCTTCTTTTTTATTTTTTCAGAGACAGGGTCTCACACTGTCACCCAGGTTGGAGTGCAGTGGTGGGATCATAGCTCACTACAGACCCCAACTCCTGGGCTCAAGCAGTCCTCTCACCTCAGCCTCCCAAGTAGCTAGAACTACAAGTGTGTGCCACCAAGCCCAGCTCATTTTAAAATTTTTTGTAGAGACTCCTGGTTTCAAGCGATTCTTGTACCTCAGCTTTCCAAAGTGCTGGAATTCTAGGTGTGAGGCACTGCACCCGGCCCTGGACTATCATTTCCTGAGACGGTACACTTCCCAGCAGTAAAAAGGAATGAACCACTGACATGCAGATCAACATGGATGAATCTAGAAAACATCATCCTTAGTGAAAAAAGCTAAACACAAAAGACTATATATTAGATGGTTCCATTTATAGGAAGTTATGGAACAGTCAAAATTAATCTATGATGATAAAATTAGAACAGTGGAGAGGTACATTTTTCTCCTTTGGAGTTAGTAAGTAACAAGTGCATGAGAACTTTCTGGAGTAATGGAAATTTCTATATCCATTGGGAGTATTGGTTAAATTCAGGTGTTGGTTACACAAGTATATACATATGTCAAAATTCATCAGATTACATATTACCTAATATCTATGCATTTCATTTTATGTAAATGATACCCTAATAAAACCAAGGGAAAATAGAATAACCATAGTAATGGATTATAACACATAAAATAAAAAAAAGTTTATGAGTCCATAGTGATACCCCAGAAAAAGGGCGGGAGCTCCTTTTGGGGGGGAATATTACCTAATAAAAGAGGAAGCAATGGTAGAATTAGAAAGTTACAATTTTGCAACCACCAGCATGATAATCCAGGGAGGGATCATCAAGGGATGATAAAAACTACTGGGTTGGCCAGGTGTGGTGGCTCACACCTGTAATCCTAGCACTTTGGGAGGCCAAGGTGGGTGGATCACGAGGTCAGGAGATCGAGACCATCCTGGCTAACATGGTGAAACCCCGTCTCTACTAAAAATACAAAAAAAACCCAAAACAAAACAAAAAAAACTACTGGGTGGGGGCTGGGCGCGGTGGCTCACGCCTGTAATCCCAGTACTTTCGGAAGCCAAGGCGGGTGGATCACCTGAGGTTGGGAGTTCCAGACCAGCCTGGCCAAAATGGTGAAACCCCATCTCTACTAAAAAAAAAAAAAAAAAAAAAAGCAAAACTTGCAATGTGAAGTGGCTCGTGCCTGTAGTCCCAGCTACTCGGGAGGGAGGCTGAGGCAAGAGAAGAAGAACAGAAGGTTGCAGTGAGCCGAGATTGCGCCACTGCACTCCAGCCTGGGCAACAGAGCGAGACTTCATCTCAAAACAAACAAACACAAACATTACTGGGTGAAAGGTGGGTGGAGAACAAGACAGTCTCGTAGTCTTGAAGGCCACAGATTACTTATTAACCCCAAAATGTATGTTTCCAATGAAGACATATTAAGTTTGATCCAACAGATCAAACTTAGCATCATCAATAATGGGACACATTTACATTATTTCTTTCTGATATGAAGCAATGGGAAAGACACACCATCACCTGTTTAATATTCTAGCCATAAAAGCTTAATCCTAACCAAATCATGAGAAAACAATAAAGCAGATCCAGATGTCAGGGTATTCAGTACAACTGGCCCGGACCCCAAAACTGTCAATATCCCGAAAGGACAAAAGAGATGAGGGACTCTTCTAGATTAAAAGACAGTGACAAGACATAGCTTTCAAATGTATGCATGATCCTTTACTGAACTCTGGACTGGGGGGAAGAGACTGTAAGGGACATTTGGGGGGTAATTGCAGATATTTGAATATGGATTATAAGATAAATAATGGCCAGGCATGGTGGCTCATGCCTGTAATCCCAGCAGTTTGAGAGGCCAAGGTGGGCAGATCACTTGAGGTCAGGAGTTCGAGACCAGCCTGGCCAACATGGTGAAACCCCATCTCTACTAAAAATACAAAAGTCAGCTGGGTGTGGTGGTGGGTGCCTGTAATCTCAGCTACTCGTGAGGCTGAGGCAAGAGAATCGCTTGAACCTGGGAGGCAGAGGTTGTGGTAAGCCGAGATCACACCACTGTGTTCCAGCCTGGGCTACAAAGCAAGACTCCATGTCAAAAAAGAAAAAAAGCCTGGGCATGGTGGTTCATGCCTGTAATCCCAGCACTTTGGGAGGCCAAAGCAGGCGGATCACCTGAGGTCAGGAGTTTGAGACCAGCCTGACCAACATGGAGAAACCCCATCTCTACTGAAAATACAAAATTAGCCAGGTGTGGTGGCGCATGCCTGTAATCCCAGCTACTTGGGAGGCTGAGGTAGAACAATAGCTTGAACCCAGGAGGCAGAGGTTGTGGTGAGCTGAGATTGTGCCATTGCACTCCAGCCTGGGCAAAAAGAGTGAAACCCTGTCTTAAATAAATAAATTTAAAAAAAGATAAATTGTATCAATATTAAATTTCTTGGGTGTGATGGTATCATAGTTTTTAGGAGCATGTCCTTGATCTTAGGAGATACATTCTAAAATATGCAGGTGAAGTGTCATAATATCTACAATTTACTTTCAAATGGTTTAGCAAAAAATGGCTTAGCAGGATGGGTGCAGTGGCTCACATCTGTAATCCCAACACTTTGAGAGGCTGAGATGGGAGGATCCCTTGAGCCCAGGAGCCCAAGGCTACAGTGAGCTATGATCGTGCCACTGCACTCCAGCCTGGGCAACAGAGCGAGACCCTGTCTAAAAAAAAAAAAATGTTTAGCAAAACTAACACAAACCCTCTCTACGTATAAATGAAGTATAGAGAGAGATACATATATGGAAAGAGCTGTATATATACATATATGTATATATACATATATGTATGTGTATATATGTATATATACACATATATATGTATGTATATGTATATATACACATATGTACGTATATGTATATATGTGTATGTATATATACACATATGTATATATGTATATATACACATATATGTATATATGTATATAGGCACACATGTATATATGTATATAGGCACACGTGTATATATGTATATATACACACGTGTGTATATGTATATATACACACGTGTGTATATGTATATATACACACGTGTGTATATGTATATATACACACGTGTGTATATGTATATATACACACGTGTGTACATATGTATATATACACACGTGTGTACATATGTATATATACACACGTGTGTACATATGTATATATACACACGTGTGTACATATGTATATATACACACGTGTGTACATATGTATATATACACACGTGTGTACATATGTATATATACACACGTGTGTACATATGTATATGTATATACACACGTGTGTATATATGTATATGTATATACACACGTGTGTATATATGTATATGTATATATACACGTGTGTATATATGTATATGTATATATACACATATATGTACATATGTGTATATATGTATATGTATATATACACATATATGTACATATATGTGTATATATACACAGAGAGAAAGATAAAATATAGTTTTAGTAGCTGACAAGTCTAAGCAAAGGGTATATGAGTGTTAATGGTGTATCTTTTAACTTTCTGTAGATTTGAAAAACTTCCCCAAAAATGCTGCGAGAATAATAAGATAGTGCAAAGAAAGTGCTTGGCCAATGGTAAGTGCTCAATAAAGGGTAGATCTTACCCAGAAGTATAAGCCCCATGAGGGCAGGAAATTTTGTTTATTTTATTTAGCACAATATCCACAGCACCTATAACAGTGCCTGGCACATAAGATAGTACTTAACAAACATTTAAAAGACAAATCATGGAGAGGTTGTACATTAGAAATGTAATGTAAAAAAAAATCACTGTAAAAAATGACACCACAGGACAATGCATAGTTGCATGGGACAGCTGTTACCATGGCCTGATATAACAGTGCCAGTTGCTTTGATTAAAGTGACTTCTTGGCAGGGTGCCATGACTCATGCCTGTAATCCCAGCACTTTGGGAGGCTGAAGCGGGAGGATTGCTTGAGCCCAGGAGCTTGGCGGCTGCAGTGAGCTATAATCACACCACTGTACTCCAGGCTGGGCCACAGAGCAAGACTTCAAAAAAAAAAAAAAAAAAAAAAGTCCCAGAAAATCTGTCTGCCCAATTGAGATGAGTTTGGCGATTTATTTACAAGAGTTAATGTTCTCTGAATAGCATCATCATGTTTGGTTAAGCCATTTGGGATTACGGTGGAAAAAAAATTAGCCAGTTTGGGAGCTTCATTTTTTTTCTAGTGCTGATTAAAATTGACATCAACAGACCTCTGGTGGGAGAGGTACTTCGCCCTCTGGTGGTGAGAGACACTCAGCTTTTTTTTTTTTTTTTTGAGACAGAGTCTTGCTCTGTGGCCCAGGCTGGAGTGCAGTGGCGCGATCTCGGCTCACTGCAAACTCCGCCTCCCGGGTTCAAGCAATTCTCCTGCCTCAGCCTCCAGGGCAGCTGGGACTACAGGCGCGCTTCACCCCGCCCAGCTAATTTTTGTGTTTTTGGTAGAGACGGGGTTTCACCATATTGACCAGGCTGGTCTCGAACTCCTGACCTCGTGATCTGCCCGCCTCGGCCTCCAAAAGTGCTGGGATTACAGGCCTGAGCCACCGCGCCTAGCCTCAGCTAGTTTCTACGGAAAAGGCTGGCAGAGCAGAGGTGAAGTGGAAAAGAGTGTCTTTCCACAGAGGTTTCTGGAAACATGTCCCCTTACTTCATGGTCACATGGTATCTGTAAGGACTGAATTTGAGGTTGTCATTTTTGACCCAGTGAATACCCAGCTTTGGTGAATGCCTGGGCCAGGCTAGACTGACAAAGATAGGAACTGAGGAATGGAAAGTGACATTTGCAGTTGGGTCAAAGCTGAGGTGGGAAGATTTGTCCCTAGCATGATGAGTGCCAAGGGAAACCTGGAGGGCCATGTGAACTGTGAAATTAGTCAGGATCCTGTCTCCTCACCGCGACAAGGGTGAGAATATCCATCACCATATGCCTCAGGAAGAGCTCTGGGTGGAATCCCTGGGCTGTGGATTCCCTGGTAAGGCTGGCTGCTGCCCGGACAGCTCACCAATGCCCTGTTTGTATCCCTGGAAATGCCTTTTCTTTTTATGTCTTTTTAAAGTTAATTTCACATATTAGAAGACTTTTTTTTCTTGAATCTAGAAATGATACATAGCTGGTGCAAAAAGTTATGAAAAGTATTGTTATTGAACCAAAGTGAGGGCTGCTTACCTGGTGCAGCAAAGCCACTGACATTGGGATTACAGCAAGAGAAAGTGAGGCATTTATTATTGCACTTGCTGCAGGGTGCCAAGCGAGGAGAATCAAACAGCTTATGCTTAAGACCTGAACTCCCTTATGGCTTACAGGGGTTTTATTTTATTTTTTTGAGACAGAGTCTTGCTCTGTCGCCCAGGCTGGAGTGCAGTGGTGCAATCTCAGCTCACTGCAACCTCTGCCTCCTGGGTTCAAGCGATTCTCCTGCCTCAGCTTCCCGAGTAGCTGGGATTACAGGCACGTGCCACCATGCCTGGCTAATTTTTGTATCTTTAGTAGAGACGGGGTTTTGCCGTTTTGGTCAGGCTGGTCTCGAACTCCTGACCTCAGGTGATCCACCTGCCTCGGCCACCCAAAGTGCTGGGATTATAGGTGTGAGCCACCGCGCCCAGCCGGCTTACAGGTTTTTAATGGCAGGAGGGCAGAGGCCACAGGCGAAGTCATAAATCAATACATAGGGGCTGTATATTGGTTCCACCTAAAAAGACAGGACATCTCCAACCAGGGGCCCACAAGTGGATTCAAAGATTTTCTGACTTGTAATTGGTTAAGGAGGTAAAGCTTTGTCTAAAAATTTGGGATCTGCAGAAAAGAATGTTAGCTCTGACTTATGGTCGTGTCCTCCTCCAGGCCCCCTAGGAAGAAATTTATAACAAAAAATAGAAGTCAAAGTTTAGTTCTCAGCTCTCCCTTATCTGAGTTTGCCTATCAGCAGATCCATTTGGTGGGGGTTCGAGTTTCTAAGAAACAACACTCAGGGACAAATTTTAAGATGTTATATTCAGTTTCTATAGGGAACAAAATATCTCCTGACTGTAACTTCTTTGGCTATTTTTTTTTTTTTTTCTGAGATGGAGTCTCATCCTGTCATCAAACTGGAGTGCAGTGGCGTGATCTCGGCTCACTGTGACCTCTGTCTCCAGGGTTCAAGTGATTCTCCTGCCTCAGCCTCCCAAGTAGCTGGGACTACAGGTGCATGCCACCACGCCCAGCTAATTTTTGCATTTTTAGTAGAGATGGGGTTTCACCATGTTGGCCAGGCTGGTCTCGAACTCCTGACCTCATGATCTGACTACCTCGGCCTCCCAAAGTGCTGGGATTACAGGTGTGAGCCACTGGGATTACAGGTGTGAGCCACTGCACCCGGCTGAGTTTATTTTTGTATAATGTGAGAGATGAGGATCCAGTTTCATTCTTCTGCATGTGGCTTGCCAGTTATCACCAGCTGTTGAATAGGGTGTCCTTTCCCCACTTTATGTTTTTGTTTGCTTTATCGAAGATCAGTTGGCTATAAGTATTTGGTTTTATACTGTGTTCTCTATTCTGTTCCATTGGTCTATGTGCCTATTTTTATACCAGTACCATGCTGTTTGGGTGACTATGGCCTTATTGTATAGATTGAAGTCAGGTAATGTGATGCCTCCAGATTTATTCTTTTTGCTTAGTCTTGCTTTGGACATGCAGGCTCTTTTTTGGTTCCATATGATTTTTAGGATTCTTTTTTCTAGTTCTATGAAGATGGATGGTGAGTCTACTCCTTTTAGATGGGGTGTGAGGATGGTAACCATAGTGCCAGTTCACCTGGGAGAGTCACTTTTATGCCTACCGTCCCGGTGTAATTATTTATTGTGTCTTTTCATTCTTTAAAGTGTTCTGGTTTGAGCAGTAAGTTACAGTCATCTTAGTTATGAGTCACAATCTTCACCATTCCCTGTTACATCACACTTAGCTCTCCTCTTTCATTTTTATTACAGGCCCCCTGCTAGGAAGGGAAAAAGTGTGTGTGTGTTGGGTGGGGGGAGTCAGTGCCATCCTGCCACAGAAGTTAGCTGAAAAAATGAGTATTAGAGACAACATGCTATCTGGTGGATAGAAATTAGGACAGGGTTTTCATCTGACAGAGAATATGATGTCACAATTTACTAATCCCTTTCCCTTCCATTATTTAATTTCACAACAACCTACCCAGTTACACAACTTATCCAGTTTGAGACTGCGTTTCTTTGTGTATGGATCTGCTGTCTTCCCCTGTAACCTGCATTTCGTGATAAAGGATCCCAGGCCGTTCTGCTCACCACTGTATCCCAGACACCCTCCCTTTCCCCTAGACATGGTTTGGTGTCGGGCGCAGAGAAAGCCCCAGGAACTACGATTGATCAGGCTCCCAGAATCTATAGATGGAGTGACCTGACGAGGACACAGGCGCAGTGGCAGAGCGCGATGACTTGGTCGATGTCCGCGGTGAGTCACGTGTAGAGAGAAGCAGGCAGGAAGCGGACTCGAGGGCCTGACTCCTGACCTGAAGCCCAGGATCATTTCTTGGCCAGCTGCCTGCATCCTGCCCAAATCGGCGAGAGAAATGGGAGAATGTGGACCTTGGGAGATTTCGCCGAAATGCTGGGCCCGGGGGCCAGAGAAACCGGCAGTGCAGGAAAGGCCACATCTCTTTTCCCACCTACCCCGCTGCCGCGCAGGACTACAATTCCCAGTAGCCTCCACGCCGCACACGGTCCCTGCCACGCGGCTTGCGCCTCCGCCGACGGCCCACTGGGGGCGCTGCGGCGACCCCTCCGCCGCCCCGTAGAAATCTCCGCGGCCCCGAGGCCGCTTGCTTCCTGTTTGTCCGACGAGGAGACATGGCGGCGGCGCCGGTAGCGGCTGGGTCTGGAGCCGGCCGAGGGAGACGGTCGGCAGCCACAGTGGCGGCTTGGGGCGGATGGGGCGGCCGGCCGCGGCCTGGTAACATTCTGCTGCAGCTGCGGCAGGGCCAGCTGACCGGCCGGGGCCTGGTCCGGGCGGTGCAGGTACGAGGCTGGACCAGGAGGGGCGGGGCGGGGCGGACCAGGCGGGAGCTGGCGGGGGGCCGGGGAAGAGGCCTTTCCAGGCCGCCGCTGGACGGGCCAAAGCCCTTTTGGCTGGCCGGAAGGCCTCCCTGTGAGCTGCCCGGACGCTCTCAGCTGCAGCGGGGCCGTGGGAAGCAGCTGGCTTGATGTCCCTTGTCAGGGGCCGAGCGGGGCTGGGCTGCTGTGGACACTGATGGCGTGTACGAACCCTGGGCCCAGTTTCTGGATCCTCCCTTCTTTGCGCCACGTCTACACGTCTGGGGGACCCTGTCGTGTTTGTTTTAGCCTCTGTGGGCCTCGAGTTTATCCCGTGTATTGGGCGTGGGGGAGGGGGTCATCATTGCAGCCCCCAAATGGTTCCCGAGCATTTCATAAATGTCATTTTCTCAGGCCTTTCCTTGACACTCTTTCCTTCCCCTTTCTAAAGTAGGTCCCCATTGTTATTCTGTCACAGCCGCGAATTCGTTTCGTTTACATTACTTTCTTAGTCTATAATTTCGTATTTCTTTGTTGTCTGCCTTTTTCTCGCCCGTCTCCCACATTAGGCTGAGTTCCAGCGGGTGCAGAGACTATATCTGGTTTGCTAGTGTAGAGCGTCACGGTTAAGAGGGACTCTGGAGTCAGGCCTGGGTTCAAAGCCCTGCTCCTCTCTCTTGCTTGGGCAGGTGACCTTTCTGTGCCTCAGTTTCCTCACTTGTAAGATGAAGATGAGAATTAGTAACCTACCTTTTAAGATTGTTGTGGAGATCAAAGGGGGCAATTGTGTAAAGCATTAGTGCATTTCTGGTGCATACTAAGGGCTGAAGGTAGTTAATATTAAGCATCTGACTTATAACAGGTGCCCAACATATGATTATTGTTATTTTTGAGTGAGCGAAGGACACTGCTTTAGGGTAAACCAGGTTGAATAGGACCTAGTCCACTACTTCTTCCACCCTCCCCCACCCCGAACCTTGCTAACACCTGTAAAACATTAGCTTTATTTAAAGACAGCTTTTTCATAAAAAGTTTGAAGGATACTCAAGAAACTGATAAAGTGGTTGGTGGGAGTGAGGTGGGAATTGGGCTAAAGGGGGAGAAAATGGGAGTGAGACTTTTCACAGTGTAACTTTATTTAAATTTAATTTGAATATCACTTCCTCAAATGACGAAAAGGATAGAATAAAATAAAGGCTAGGGGGTCTGTGTGTATGGAGGACTGTGGACGAAAGGAGCAGTTGTGAGTGAGAAATGTTTTCCTGGCCATCACACAACCATAGATGAGCAGCCTTTTTCCCCCTTGTGTTCTTAAGACCTGACTTAAGACCCTGTAATCCCAGCACTTTGGGAGGCCGAGGCAGGCAGATCGCTTGAATCCAGGAATTCGAGACCAGCCCAGGCAACACGGCAAAATCCTGTGTCTCCAAAAATTTAGCCGGGCATGGTGGTGGTGTGTGCCTGTGGGGAGGCTGAGGTGGGAGGATTACCTGAGCCTGGGAGGCGGAGATTGACAGAGTGAGACCCTGTCTCAAAAAAAAAAAAAAATCCTAGAAATACTTGCTCTTTCCTTCTTAAGCTAAGATACCTTACCGAGCTGGGTGTGTAGAGACAGGCAGAAAGAGGACTAACTTTTAGTGAGCACATAACCTTTAGAAAAAGTACGGTACAAGGCATATGTTATCTTTAATCCTCAAGCTTTTGAGTTATGCTTCAAGACTCATTTCTTAATATGGATGAGGAAACTGAGGCTCAGAGAGGTTAGATGATATGTTCCTAAACACCCATCCTGATAATCAGTGTTCTGAGAATAATAGGGAGCCACAGAAGTTCTTTAGCATGATAAATGAGGCAATTTAGGCAACTTAATTTGTTTCCAGTGCTGAATGACTTAGAATGGGAGGAGCCTAGAAAAGCCCACCAGAGGCTGGGCACAGTGGCTCATTCCTGTAATCCCAGTGCTTTGGGAGGTCGAGGCGGGTGGATCATCTGAGGTCAGGAGTTTGAGACCAGCCTGGCCAACATGGCGAAGCCCCGTCTCTACTAAAAATACAAAAATTAGCCGGGCGTGGTGGTAAGCACCTGTAATCCCAGCTACTCTGGAGGCTGAGGCAGGAGAATTGCTTGAACCTGGGAGGTGGAGGTTGTGAGCTGAGATCACGCCACTGCACTCCAGCCTGGGTGACATAGTGAGACTTCATCTCAAAAAAAAAAAAAAAAAGCTCACCAGATACAAGGCTGCTGGAATATTCTGGAGCCACAAAAGCAAGGCAGGTTATTGTGGTAACTGATGGTTGTATATAGGTGTGGGAGCTATTTCAGAAGTTGAAGTAGAGACCCCCTGCCTGGAGCTATAGTGAGGATAAAATGGGGACCTTCATCTTTCAAATATTTCTTTTCTTAGTTTTTTTTTTTTTTAATTTATTCCATGCTGTGCCCTTCCGCTCCTCTCTCCCATCCTGCAGAATAAGTTATTTGCTTACCCTTTTTTTTTTTTGAGACAGAATCTTGCTCTGTCACCCAGGCTGGAGTGCAGTGGCAAGCTCAACTTCCTGGGCTCAAGTGATCCTCCCACCTTAGCCTCCCTAGTAGCTGGGACTACAGGCGTGTGCCACCACACCCCATTAATTTTTGTATCTTTGGTAGAGACAGGGTTTTGCTCTGTTGCCCAGATTACCCATATTTTTATACTGTTATGGCATGTGGTATAGTAGGAAAAGACCAGATTTAAACATTTTTTATTTTTTATTTTTTAGACGGAGTCTCGCTCTGTTGCCCAGACTGGAGTGCAGTGGCGCAATCTCGGTTCACTGCATCCTCCGTCTCCCGGATTCAAGCAATTCTGCCTCAGCCTCCTGAGTAGCTGGGATTACAGTCGTGTGCCACCACACCTGGCTACTTTTTGTATTTTTAGTAGAGATGGGGTTTCACCATGTCGGTCAGGCTGGTCTCCAACTCCTGACGTCATGATCCCCCTGCCTTGTCCTCCCAAAGTGCTGGGATTACAGGTGTGAGCCACTGCGCCTAGCCAAAATTTTTTCATTGTAGTAAACAAATATATAATATAGGCCAGGTACATTGGCTCATGTGTGTAATCCCAGCACTTTGGGAGACCAAGATGGGATGATCACCTGAGCCAGTTTGAGTCAAGCCTGGGCAGTGTGGTGGAGCCCCAGCTCTACTACAAAAAAAAAAAAAAAAAACATTAACCAGGTGTGGAAATGCATGCCTGTAGTCCCAGCTGCTCAGGAACCCGAGGTGGGAAGATCGCTTGAGCCTGGCAAGTCAAGGCTGCAGTGAGCCATGATCACACCATTACACTGCAGCCTGGGCAACAGAATGAGACCCTGCCTCAAACTATATACATATATAAATATATATATGTAAACATAAAATTTACCATCTTAACCATTTATAAGTGTATAGGTCAGGCCCAGTGTGGTGGCTTACACCTGTAATCCCAACACTTTGGGAAGCTGAGGTGAGCGGATTGTTTGAGCCCAGGAGTTTGAGACCAGCCTGGGCAACATGGTGAAACCCTGTATCTTAAAAAAAAAAGGTGTATAGTTAAGTAATGTGAAGTATATTCCCATTGTTGTGAAACAGATTTCCAGAACTTTTTCATCTTGCAAATCTGAAACTACCATTGAACAACTTCCCATTTCTCCCTCCCAGTCCTTGGTAACCATTCTTCTCCTTTCTGTTTTTGTGAGTTTGACTACTTTAGATAACCCCAGTATAGTAATACAGTATTTGTCTTTTTGTGACTGGCTTATTTTACTTAACATAATGTCCTCAAGGATCATCTGTGGTATAGCATGTGATGGAATTTCCTTGGAAAAAAAAATCAGATTTTAAAGTAAGGTGGACCTGAATTGAATCCTAGCAGGGTGACCAAGATTAAGTTATTTAACCTCTCTTAACTTCAGTTTCCTTATTTCTAAAGAGGTGATGATAACATCTATCCCATAAAGTTGTTAGGAGGATTAAGTGAAATAATATGTTTTAAAAGCGTAGCCAGTGTGGCATATAGGAATAGTTGTTTAGTAAATAGTTGCTCTCAGCTAGTAGTTAATTAGACTGGGCTTCCTGAAGAGACTGTGTCTTATTTTTCATTGTATCTGCAGAGCCTGAAACCTTGCCAGCCATTTGATATTCAGGAAATTGCTTAAATTGAAATACTGTGTCCTCAGTCTAATTTCTGTCTGTACTTGCCAAGCAATCTCATGGCTTTAAAGAGTTCCAGAGTCAGATTACCTAGGTTTGAAACCTAGCTCTGGTATTTACTTACTATGTGTCTTTAGGCAAGTTATTTAATCTGTTTATGCCTCAGTTTATTTATTTGTAAAGTAAGTATCATAGGACCTGACCTTCCAAGGTTGTGGTGAGGACCAAGTGAGTTGTACATATAAAGCACTTAAAATAGTGACTGAAACATACTTTCTCAGCTATAAGTACATAGCTTACTGCTATAAAGATTAGCTTGTATTGTTATTAATAACTGCTCTATACGCTGACGGATCCTAAGTTTCTGTTTCCATTCGTGTTTCTCCTTTTAGCTCTGGATGGGTAGGTATATCCAATTGCCTTCTAGCATTTCCACTTTGATGTCTAATGGGCATCTCAAACTTAGTATGTCGAAAGCCAAAATCCTCTCCCTTTTCCATCAGACCTGATCTTCTCCATCTCCCTAAATGGGGCATAAGGGAAGCCTGAGTCATGACTACTGGCCACATAATTTGTAATGGGTCAATTCTACTTGGATTTTAGTTTGCTTTATTTTCTTCCCTTCGTTTTGTTCTGCCCTCTGTCAAGGCAATAAAATATGCTGGGGTGATACTTTGGAGTTTACTGAGCCTTTTCATATTCATCAGCACATTTGATGCTTAATGCAAATCAGATCTTATAAATCCTTTGCTTAAAACTCTCCAGCCTCATCTCATTGCAGTTGATAGAATCAATTCTGGATTCCTTACCATGGGCGTACAAGGCCCCAAATGATCAGTACGAGTTGAAGGAAAGGATAGACTGAGTAAACGCTGGGCTCTAGGATAGTGCAGCTCACATTACAGGTCATGACCCGCCATCCCTGGATGCCCTTCAGTTTGGCAATCTGGTGACAGACTGGGTTGTGGGATGCTGTTATATTTCCCACATGGCAGTCGTTGCTTCCTTTATGATTATTGGCATATCTAAATGCCCCTGAGTGTTCCTTACTTTATATTTTTTCTTTAGATTCACTGACTTTTTTTTTTTTTTTGAGATGGAGTCTCGCTCTGTTGCCCAGGCTGGAGGGCAATGGTGCAATCTCAGCTCACTGCAAGCTCCGCCTCCCAGGTTCATGCCATTCTCCTGCCTCAGCCTCCCGAGTAGCTGGGACTACAGGTGCCCGCCACCACGCCTGGCTAATTTTTTTTTTTTTTTTGTATTTTTAGTAGAGACGGGGTTTCACCGTGTTAGCCAGGATGGTCTCGATCTCCTGACCTCATGATCCGCCCACCTCGGCCTCCCAAGGTGCTGGGATTACAGGTGTGAGCCACTGCGCCTGGCTGACTTCTTTTTTTTGTGAGATGGAGTCTCGTGCTGTTGCCCAGGCTGGAGTGCAGTGCACAGTCTCGGCTCACTGCAACCTCCGCTTCCCGGGTTCAAGCGATTCCCCTGCCTCAGCCTCCTGAGTAGCTGGGACTATAGGCATGTGCCACCATGCCCGGCTACTTTTTGTATTTTTAGTAAAGACAGGGTTTCACCATGCTGGCTAGGCTGGTCTCAAACTCTTGATCTCTTGATCCACCCACCTCAGCCTCCCAAAGTGCTGGGATTACAGATGTGAGTCGCCGTGCCCAGCCAGATTCACTAACTTTTAAAAAAAATTTCATTAGGCACTACTTGTTTTAGCCTCATTCTAACCATTAGTATTTATGAAACCTAGGCATTTAAGTCAAACAAATCTTACCTGGCTTTTCAAAGGTAATTTGATACTGAAAAACTCCTGATTAGGATAAAGTCTTATTCATATATATATACACACACACACACACACACACACACACACACACACACACACACACACACATATATACACACACACACATATATATACACATATATATATACACACACATACACACACACACACACACACACACACACACACACACACACACACATATGCCATTCATTTCAATGGGAAGTTTTCGTATTCACAAGCCCTTAAATTTGCTCCTAATTTTACTGAATCATACCCCATTAAAGGACACAAAAGTATTCAGTGGTTAACATGTATTGTCAGAATAACCCAACAAGGTATTTTATCTTTATTATCCTTTAAGATATCTATTTAGGCTGGGTGCGGTGGCTCACACCTGTAATTCTAGCACTTTGGGAGGCCGAGCTAGACGGATTCTTTAAGCTCAGGAGTTCAAGACCAACCTGGGCAAGATGGGTGAAACTCCATCTTTACTAAAAATACAAAAAATTATCCGGGCGTGGTGGTGCGTGCCTGTAATCCCAGCTACTTGGTGGCAGTGGTGGTGGTGTGGGGGGCTGGGAGGGGGAAGGGGGCAGGGCTGAGGTGGGAGGATCACTTGAGCCCAGGAGACGGAGGTTGCAGTGAGATTGCGCGAGACCCTTGCATTTAGTGTGGTATTTTGAGGCATTAGATGTCTTACATTTAGGATTAAAGAAACAAATAAGATGCACAGTTATCTTCATGGAATTTAGCCTTTAGTTATTTTTAAAAACAATAAAATCAGTGGAAACTGTAAATGTCTAGAAATGTCATATTTGCTAAACAGGTTGACAGTTTAGAGGGTATGATGTAAGAGATTATCACTGCTGTAAACTGTTAAACCACAAGTACTTCAAGAGAAAACCCATGTGATACCTGCCAGTAATTCAACTGGGAAGATGACTGAATGGTGGCACTTTTGTCACAGTGCTGAGCTGTTCACAAGGAAAACAAAATTCTAATGATTTTTTTTTTTTTTTTTAGACAGGGTCTTGCTCTGTTGCCCAGGCTGGAGTGTAGTGGTGAAAAAAAACTACTGAAACCTCCGCCTCCTGGGCTCAAGCAATCCTCCCACCTCAGCCTCCCGAGTATCTGGGACTATAGGCGCATGCCACCATACGCAGCTCATTTTTGTATTTTTTTGTAGAGATAAGGTTCTGCCATGTTGCCCAGGCTGGTCTTAAACTCCTGGGATCAAGCAATGGGCCTACCTTGGCCTCCCAAGTGCTAGGATATGAGTGTAAGCCGCTGTGCCCAGCCCCAAATTATTATTTTTAAATGAGAGTACATGCCTTGTAAGACAATGTATAAATAGTAAAGAAATTGCTTGTGAAGTCAAATATTTGGACTGTGATTAGATCTCTGCGTATCATGGAGCTTGTAACAAAAAAACAGCAGTGCCCTGCCTGCTTTGCACCTCTAAGTTCCATACTCCTAATGCTGTTCAGTGTCCATACTTAGCTATTTCTTTTGCAAGAGAAGGATCCAGGAAACAGGAGAGCCAGTATTTCTAAATAACATGGTTATAAAGCTGTTTCTTTTCACTTTTAGATACTATCTATTTTCTTCGCTCTTGAAAGACTAGGATTTAATTCACACATTCGATTCCTTCTTACTCGTCTCCACTAGTCTACCAATGTAGTTATATCACAGCTTTGGCTGTTGTTAAGTATTTACATTATGATGTTAGCATTATTATTTACAGCAGGGCCATATATTGTACAATTATATTTGTTTTATATAATTTTTTTGTAGTGTTAAAAACAGTCCTCTTCCATTTTTTAAATTGAAGGATAAATATACATATACCCTGTATATATATACATATACATATATATGCATATAAACATATATACATATACACATATATGCATATAAACATATATACATATACACATATATGCATATAAACATATATACATATACACATATATGCATATAAACATACATACATATACACATATATGCATATAAACATATATACATATACACATATATGCATATAAACATATATACATATACACATATATGCATATAAACATATATACATATACATATATACATATATACACATATATACGTATATACATATATAGATATATACATATATACACATATATACATATATACACACATATATACATATACCCTTTTGACTTTCATTAGCATAATAGTGCATCCTTTAATTTATTTTACTGTTTTTAAATTTGTATTAATGGGGTACAAGTGAAATTTTGCTACATTGGTGTATCGCATGGTGGTGAAGTCAGGTATAATGCATCCTTTTAAATTGTTTTGCCTTGTGTATACCTTTTTTTTTTTTGGGACGGAGTCTCGCACTGTTGCCCGGCTGGAGTGGAATGGCGCAATCTCGGCTCCCTGCAACCTATGCCCCCCGAGTAGCTGGGATTACAGGTGCCCGCCACCAAGTCTGGCTAATTTTTTTGTATTTTTAGTAGAGATGGGGTTTCACTATGTTGGCCAGGCTGGTCTCGAACTCCTGACCTCAGGTAATCCACCCACCTCGGCCTCCCAAAGTGCTGGGATTACAGGTGTGAGCCACCGCGCCCGGCCTGCTTTCTGTATACTTATAATTTGTTCCTAAATTCTAAAACTTTTTTTTTTTTTTAAAGAAATCATTTGAAGCCCTTCATTCCCCTACTGCAGTTTAGCAGTTTAGCAGTTTAGTTTAGCTGCTTACTAGGTCTGCTATACAGCTGAGTTCTTGGGACTTCTCTTCACCAAATCCAGAGCATTTTTCTTTCTTTTCTCATGTTTTAGACCTTGTTTCCTCAATTGTCTTCCTTTTTCCTGGGGCACACTCTCTGGTAGCCTCCCAAGAAAGAGTACATGGGAGGTAACTTTTTTTTTTTTTTTAAAGCTTGCAGATCAGAAAATGTCTTATTCTGACACATATATTTAGTTTGACTGGGTATAGAAGTATAAATTGGAAGTTATTTTCCTGTAATTTTTTTTTTTTTTGAGATGGAGTCTCGCTCTGTCTCCCAGATTGTAGTGCAGTGGCACCATCTCAGCTTTCTGCAACCTCCGCCTCCCAGGTTCAAGCGATTCTCCTGCCTCAGCCTCCCCTAGTAGCTGGGATTACAGGCGCCCACCATCACGCCCAGCTAATTTTTTTTTTTTTGGTATTTTTAGTAGAGATGGGGTTTCACCATGTTGGTCAGGCTAGACTCAAACTCTTGATCTCAGGTGATCTGCCCACCTTAGCCTCCCAAAGTGCTGGGATTACAAGTGTGAACCACTGTGCCCAGCCAAGAGTGTGTTACAGTTTTCTATGTAGCCGTCTTGCATAACTTTGTTAGATTTATTCCTTAGCGTTTTTAAAAGTGGTATTGTAAGTAGTGTTTTTAAAACTGCATTTAAAAATTGTAGCTGTAATATAAAAATAAGATAGATTTTTATATTATTCATGTATATTGCTGTAATAGTTGATAATTTACATTTAGGTTCTTTTGGATTGTATACTGTACAGTCATCTGTGAATATTATATCATCTGCAAATGAATCTTTTATCTTACCCTTACCAATCTTATGTCTTCTATATATCTTGCCTTACTCTGCTGCCTGAGACCTCCAGTATGATGAATAGAAGTAGCATGTTCCTGATCTAAGAGGGAAAAAACCTTAAACATTTTGCCATTAAGTATGATGTTTGCAGTGGGTTTTCTGTGGATACCTGTTACTAGAAATTCATTTTTTTATTTGAGTTTATCATGAATGGATGTTAAATTTTATCAAATGCTTTTTCTGTATCAATTGAGGTATTCATATCATTATTCTCCTTTATGTTATCAAATAATTATTCTCCTTTATGTTATCAATGTGGTGAATTGCATTGAATAAAATTTTCAAATATTAAACCAACTTTTAATTTCTGATACAAATTTTAAATTTAATTCAATTTTTGAATTGTGGTTTTTCCCTTACATCGTCGTTAGTGAAACTGGCCTGCAGTTTTCCTTTTGACAGGTTTTGGTATCAGGGTTATAATGGTCAGTAAGCATGGCTTTAGTTGTACCTCATCAGTTTGGATGTGTAGTATTTTCATTATCTTTCAGGATATTTTCATATATCCACTTCGATTTCTTCTTTGACCCATGCATTTTTGAGAAGTATATTATTTTCCAAACATGGGGATTTTATAACTATCTTTCTGATGTGGAACATAGTCTGTATTTCAGTTCATTTAAATGTATTGACATTTGCAGTATGGCCTAGCAGCTGGTCATTTTGCAAATGTTCTATTTGTATTTGTAAAGGACATGTAGAGTGCATTTACTAGATATACTGCTCGAGGTGTGTCCATTTTGTTTAATTGTGTTAAAATATTCTGTATTCTCACTAATTTTTGTCTGCATATATCAGTTTTTGAAAGAGATGTGTAAAATCTCCCATTATGATTATGGATTTCCTTATTTCTCCTTTTAGCCTTGTCAGTTTTTGCTTTATGTATGTTGAAGTTTTTATTAGATATTTTCAAATTTAGGATCATTAACATTATCCAGTTTGCCATTTTTATCCTTATTAAAGTGCCTATCTCTGGTAGTACTTTGTTGTTGTTGTTGTTTTTGTTTTGTTTTGTTTTTGAGACAGAGTCTCACTCTGTCACCCAGGCTGGAGTGCAATGGTGCATTCTTGGCTCACTGCAACCTCCACCTCCTGGGTTCAAGCAATTCTCCTGCCTCAGCCTCTCGAGTAACTGGGATTACAGGCCTGTGCCACCATGCCCAGCTAATTTTGCATTTTTAGTGGAGACAGGGTTTCATCATGTTGGCCAGTCTGGTCTTGAACTCCTGACCTAAGTGATCTACCTGTCTCGGTCTCCCAGAGTGCTGGGATTAGAGGTGTGAGCCACCATGCCTGGCTTGGTAATGCTTTTTCTTTGCTCTTGCTGATTTTAATATAGTTATACTACCTTTTGGTATATGTTTACATTGAGTATTATTTCCCATTCTTTTACTTTTAGCCTTTCTGTTTCTCTGGTAGGTGGCATAACAAACTTTGTTTTTATTTTATTTTATTTTATTTTTATTTTATTTTATTTTCTATTTATTTTTTGAGACAGGGTTGCATTCTGTTGCCCGGGCTGGAGTATGGTACCAGATCACAGGTCACTGCAGTCTCGGCCTCCTAGCATCAAGGGATCCTCCTGCCTCAGCTACCTGAGTAACTGGGATTACAGGCACATGCTGCCATGCCTAATTTTTTTTTTTTTCCTTTGGTAGAGACAGGGTTTCACTGTGTTGCCTAGGCTGGTCTTTAACTCCTGGGCTCAAGTGATCTGTCTGTCTCTGCCTCCCAAAGTGCTGCAGTAACATGCATGAGGCCCTGTAACCGGCCCAAACTTTGTTTTTAATTGGAGCATTTTAGCATATTTAGATTTAATGTAATAACTGACATTTTGGTGTTTATACTTGCTTAATACAATATATGCTTTTTTAATGTCCTATCCTTTGTTCCCTTTTCTCTTCTTTCTTCTTTTAAATATTTCTTAAACAACTTTATTGAGGCATGATTTATATACAATAAAATTTACCCATTGTAAGTGTACAGTTCAGTGATTTTCAGCAAATTGATGAAGTTATGCAACCATCACCACAATCTGGTTTTAGAACATTGTCATCCTAAAAAGTTCACTTATGTTCATTTATTTATTTAGTTTTTATAGCAGCTTTATTGAGATGTAATTCACATATTGCACAAGTCACCCTTTTAAAGTGTACAAGTTGGTAAACTAAGGAGATAAAAGGGTAAAAAAAAAAAAAACTGAAGTGTACAAGTCAGTGGTTTTTACTGTATGCACAAAGTTATGCATCTATCATCACGATCAATTTTAGAATATTTTATCACCCAAAAAAGAAACCTGGTATTCAGTAGCAGTTACTCCCCAGTTTCCCCATCCCCACAGCCTTTGCCAACCAGTGATCTTTCTGTCTCTGGATATGCTTATTCTGGACATTTTAAATTAATAGAATCAGACAATATATGGCCTTTTGAGACTGGCTTCTTTTAGGTTTTTTTTTTTTTTTTTTTTTTAGATGGAGTCTCGCTTTGTTTTTGTTTCTGTTTTGAGACAAGGTCTGGCTTTATCGCCCAGGCTGAAGTGCAGTGGCGCAGTCTTGGCTCACTGCAACCTCTGCCTCCTGGGCTCAAGCCATTCTCCCACCTCAGCCTCCCGAGTAGCTGGGACTACAGGCATGTGCCACTACATCCGGCTAATTTTTTTTTTTTTTGTAGAGGTGGGGTTTCGCCATGTTGCTCAGGCTGGTCTTGTACTTGTGAGCTCAAGTGATCTGTCCACCTTGGCCTCCCAAAGTGCTGGGATTACTTTGGCATCAGAGGCATGAGACACTGTGCCCAGTTAGACACTGGCTTCTTTGATTTAGCATAATGGTCTCAAGATTTATCCTTGTTGTAGTATCAGTACATCATTACTTTTTTTGCTGAATAATATTCCATTGGATGGATATACTATATTTTATTTATTCATCAGTTGATGGACATTTGAGTTGTTTCACTCTTTGGTTATAATGATGTCTTTTTTTTTTTTTTTTTTTATCTTGCTCTGTCACCCAGGCTGGAGTGCAGTGGTGCTGTCATAGCTCACTGCCGCCTCATTCTCCCAAGCTCAAGTGATCTTCTCACCTCATCCTTCTGAGTAGCTGAGACCAGAGGTGTGCACCACCACCCTTGGCTTATTTTTTTTTTTTATTTTTAGTAGAGGCGAGCTCTCGCTATGTTGCTCAGGCTGGTCTTGAACTCCTGAGCTGAAGCAATCCTCCCGCCTTAGCCTCCCAAAGTGCTAGGCAAATATTGGGGCAAACGGTTCATAATACTCCTTTATCATCCTTCGAAGTCCATGGAGTCAGTAATAATAACTCCTCTTATGTACCACATATTAGTAATTTGTGTTTCTGTCTTTTTTTCTTGATAAGCCTGGTTAGAGTTTATCAATCGTATTGATCTTTTTAAAGAACTAACTTTTGGTTTTGTTTTCTCTCTTGATTTTTTGTTTTCAATTTCAGTGATGTTTGCTCTCATTTTTATTTTTTTCTTCTGTTTGCTGTAGGCTTAAACTGCTCTTTCTGTAGTTTACTAAGGTAGAAGCTTAGATTATTGACTATAGATATTTCTTCTTTTCTATTATATGCATTCAGTGATATACACTTCTGGCTTATTACTGCTTTCGCTGCATCCCACAAATTTTGATAAGTTATATTTTCATTTAGTTTAAAATATTTTAACTGTAAGAGTTGATTTGCCATTTTTTTGTCTGGCAGTTCTTTTAGGCAGTTTTTGCCTCATATTTTGACATGCTGTTGTTAGGTGCATATATGATAAGGATTGTTATGTCTTCTTGGAGAATTAACCCCTTTGTCATTATGAAATGACCCACTTTATTTCTGATAATTTTTTTATGAAGCCTGCTTTCTCTGAAATTAATATAACTACTCCATCTTTCTTTTTATGTGATTTATCTTTCTCCATCCCCTTTTCTATTTTTTGAGACAGAGTTTTGGTCTGTCGCCCAGGCTGGGGTGCCATGGCGCGATCTTGGCTCACTGCAACCTCTGCCTCCCGAGTTCAAGCGGTTCTCCTGCCTCAGCCTCCCGAGTAGCTGGGATTACAGGCACTTGCCACCACACTCAGCTAATTTTTGTATTTTTAGTAGAGATGGGGTTTTATCACGTTAGCCAGGCTGGTCTCAAACTCCTGACTTCAGGTGATCCACCTGCCTCGGCTTCCCAAAGTGTTGGGATTACAGGTGTGAGCCACCGTGCCTGGCCTTTTCCCTTACTTTTAACCTATCTATATGTATATTTAAATGAGTTTCTTGTAGACAGCATATTGTTGGATCTTGGTTTTTTAAATCCATTCTTTTAGTCTCTTTCCTTTGATTGGTAAGTTTAGACCATTCATAGATATTTACAGTGATTATTGATATAGTTGGATTAATGTATACCATGTTTGTTTTATTATACTTGTTCTTTGTCTTCCCCTCTTTTTCTGCCTTTTATGGGCTTAACTGAGCAGTTTATATGGTTCCATTATTTTTCATCTCTTAGCATATCAATTATTCTTCTTGTAAAAATACTTTTAGCAGTTGCCCTAGAATTTCCAGTATATATTTACGACGAGTCTAAGTCCACTCTCAATGATATTGTGCTGTTTGTGAGTGGTACAAGAGTATTTCCAATCCCTCCTTCTTATTATAACATAGTAATAGGCTGTTGGGGAGGTTTTGAAGATTTATAGAAAGAGGCTTTTTATAGTAGTGCTTAGAGATAAATTTGTAACTGTCCTGGGTGGGTTTGGAAGTCGGCTGCTCTCCTTTGCCGTATCAGCTATTATCATCAATAATACAATAATATGTTCTCTCTTTTTTTGACTCACAGTTCACTGAGACTTTTTTGACGGAGAGGGACAAACAATCCAAGTGGAGTGGAATTCCTCAGCTGCTCCTCAAGCTGCACACCACCAGCCACCTCCACAGTGACTTTGTTGAGTGTCAAAACATCCTCAAGGTAACTCTTAAGGACCTTGGAGGGGCGTATTCAGGGCCTCTAGGTGACACAAGATGTCTGCTGTTTTTTTTTTCCCTTCCGTTGGCTTTTAAAAATAGCCTGTTTTTACTGTGTGAGCTATAGAAAATTTGAGAAATTCAGAAAAAGTACAAAGAAGAAAATATACATCACCTATAATCCCATCATCCCAAGATAATCACCATTAGGTTCCCTGTGTTATCCTTTTGGGCTCTATGTGTGTTTATTTTGTGGCAGTGCTTGCTTAATTTTGGGAGGTCAACACTATCCTGTGATTGGGATGACATTCTTTTTGAAAAGGGTTTAGAAGATTACATACTGCTGAAGGCTCGTGGAAGAGGCCTTATGGTTGTTGAATATTATTACTAACGTAAGAAGATTGAAGGGGCCAGGTTTGATGATTGGGAAATGAGTGGAAAGAGCACGGAGACATTATGCTAGGATAATTGTTCTCAAACTGGAGTGTGTTTATGAATCACCTGAAGAGCGTGTTAAAACACAGAGTTCTGGGCCCCACCCCTGAAATTCTGATTCAGTAGGGCTGGAGTATCTAAACTTTAGCTGTAGTTTGGATCTAAATTTGAATTTAGAGCACCAGCTCTAATGCAGTTAAAACCCATGTAAGTGGGGGTCCGGTTCCAGGATGGCCAAATAGGAACAGCTCCAGTCTATGGTACCCAGCATGAGCGATGCCTAAGACAGGTGATTTTTGCATTTCCAACTGAGGTACCGGGTTCATCTCACTGGGGCTTGTCAGACAGTGGGTGCAGTCCACGGAGTGTGAGCTGAAGCAGGGCGGGGCATTGCCTCACCTGGGAGTCGCAAGGGGTGGGGGAATTCCCTTTCCTAGCCAAGGGAAGCCATGACAGATGGTACCCAGAAAATCGGGACACTCCCACCCTAATAACTGCACTTTTCCAACGGCCTTAGCAAATGGCACAGCAGGAGATTATATCCTGCGCCTGGCTTGGAGGGTCCCATGCCCACGGAGCCTTGCTCACTGCTAGCACAGCAGTCTGAGATCAAACTGCAAGGTGGCAGCAAAGCAGGGGGAGGGGTGTCCACAACTGCTGAGACTTGCGTAGGTAAACAAAGCGGCCGGGAAGCTCGAACTGAGTGGAGCCCACCGCAGCTCAAGGAGACCTGCCTGCCTCTGTAGACTCCACCTCTGGGAGCAGGGCATAGCTGAACAAAAGGCAGCAGAAACTTCTGCAGGTTTAAATGTCCCTGTCTGACAGCTTTGAAGAGAGTAGTGGTTCTCCCAGCACAGAGTTTGAGATCTGAGAACAGACAGACTGCCTCCTCAAGTGGGTCCCTGACCCCTGAGTAGCCTAACTGGGAGACACCTCCCAGTAGGGGCCGACTGACACCTCATACAGCCGGGTGCCCCTCTGAGATGAAGCTTCCAGAGAAAGGATCAGGCAGCAGCATTTGCCGTTCTGCAATATTTGCTGTTCTGCAGCCTCTGCTGGTGATACCCAGACAAACAGGGTCTGGAGTGGACCTCCAGCAAACTCTGACAGACCTGCAGCTGAGGGTCCTGACTGTTAGAAGGAAAACTAACAAACAGAAAGGACATCCACACCAAAACCCCATCTGTATGTCACCATCATCAAAGACCAAAGGTAGATAAAACCACAAAGATAGGGAGAAACCAGAGCAGAAAAGCTGAAAATTCTAAAAATCAGAGCGCCTCTTCTCCTCCAAAGGAACACAGCTCCTCACCAGCAACGGAACAAAGCTGGATGGAGAATGACTTTGATGAGTTGAGAGAAGGCTTCAGATGATCAGTAATAACAAACTTCTCCGAGCTAAAGGAGGATGTTTGAACCCATCATAAAGAAGCTAAAAACCTTGACAAAAGATTAGACGAATGGCTAACTAGAATAAACAGCATAGAAAAGACCTTAAATGACCTGATGGAGCTGAACACCATGGCTCGAAAACTACGTGACGCATGCACAAGCTTCAGTAGCCAATTCGATCAAGTGGAAGAAAGGGTATCAGTGATTGAAGATCAAATGAATGAAATGAAGCGAGAAGAGAAGTTTAGAGAAAAAAGAATAAAAAGAAACAAACAAAGCCTCCAAGAAATATGGGACTGTGTGAAAAGACCAAATCTACGTCTGATTGGTGTACCTGAAAGTGACGGGGAGAATGGAACCAAGTTGGAAAACACTCTTCAGGATATTATCCAGGAGAACTTCCCCAATCTAGCAAGGCAGGTCAACATTCAAATTCAGGAAATACAGAGAACGCCACAAAGATACTCCTCGAGGAGAGGAACTCCAAGACACATAATTGTCAGATTCACCAAAGTTGAAATTAAGGAAAAAATATTAAGGGCAGCCAGAGAGAAAGGTCGGGTTACCCACAAAGGGAAGCCCATCAGACTAACAGCGGTTCTCTTGGCAGAAACTCTACAAGCCAGAAGAGAGTGGGGGCCAATATTCAACATTCTTAAAGAAAAGAATTTTCAACCCAGAGTTTCATATCCAGCCAAACTAAGCTTCATAAGTGAAGGAGAAGTAAAATCCTTTACAGACAAGCAAATGCTGAGAGATTTTGTCACCACCAGGCCTGCCTTACAAGAGCTCCTGAAGGAAGCGCTAAACATGGAAAGGAACAACCGATACCAACTACTGCAAAAACATGCCAAATTGTAAAGACCTTCGATGCTAGGAAGAAACTGCATCAACTAATGAGCAAAATAACCAGCTAACATCATAATGACAGGATCAAATTCACACATAACAAAATTAACCTTAAATGTAAATGGGCTAAATGCTCCAGTTAAAAGACAGACTGGCAAATTGGATAAAGAGTCTAGACCCATCAGCGTGCTGTATTCAGGAGACCCATCTCACATGCAGAGACACACATAGGCTCAAAATAAAGGGATGGAGGAAGATCTACCAAGCAAGTGGAAAACAAAAAAAAAAGCAGGGGTTGCAATCCTAGTCTCTGATAAAACAGACTTTAAACCAACAAAGATCAAAAGAGACAAGGCCATTACATAATGGTAAAGGGATCAATTCAACAAGAAGAGTTAACTATCCTAAATATGTATGTACCCAATACAGGAGCACCCAGGTTCATAAAGCAAGTCCTACAAAGAAACTTAGACTCCCACACAATAATAATGGGAGACTTTAACACCCCACTGTCAACATTAGACAGATCAACGAGACAGAAAGTTAACAGGGATATCCAGGAATTGAACTCAGCTCTGCACCAAGCGGACCTAATAGACATCTACAGAACTCTCCACCCCAAATCAACAGAATATACATTCTTCTCAGCGCCACGTCGCACTTATTCCAAAATTGACCACATAGTTGGAAGTAAAGCACTCCTTAGTAAATGTAAAAGAACAGAAATTATAACAAACTGTCTCTCAGACAACAGTGCAATCAAACTAGAACTCAGGATTAAGAAACTCACTCAAAACCACTCAACTACGTGGAAACTGAACAACCTGCTCCTGAATGACTGCTGGGTACATAACGAAATGAAGGCAGAAATAAAGGTGTTCTTTGAAACCATTGAGAACAAAGACATGACATACCAGGATCTCTGGGACACATTTAAAGCAGTGTGTAGAGGGAAATTTATAGCACTAAATGCACACAAGAGAAAGCCGGAAAGATCTAAAATTGACACCCTAACATCACAATTAAAAGAACTAGAAAAGCAAGAGCAAACACATTCAAAAGCTAGCAGAAGGCGAGAAATAACTAAGATCAGAGCAGTACTGAAGGATATAGAGACACAAAAAACCCTTCAAAAAATCAATGAATCCAGAAGCTCGTTTTTCGAAAAGATCAACAAAATTGAAAGACCGCTAGCAAGACTAATAAGAAAAGAGAGAAGAATCAAATAGATGCAATAAAAAATGATAAAGGGGATATTACCACCAATCCCACAGAAATACAAACTACCATCAGAGAATACTATAAACACCTCTACGGAAATAAACTAGAAAATCTAGAAGAAATGGATAAATTCCTGGACACATACACCCTCCCAAGACTAAACTGGGAAGAAGTTGAATGAATCCCTGAATAGACCAATAACAGGCTCTGAAGTTGAGGCAATAATTAATAGCCTACCAACCAAAAAAAGTCCAGGACCAGACGGATTCACAGCCGAATTCTACCAGAGGTACAAAGAGGAGCTGGTACCATTCCTTCTGAAGCTATTCCAATCAATAGAAAAAGAGGGAATCCTCCCTAACTCATTTTATGAGGCCAGCATCATCCTGATACCAAAGCCTGGCAGAGACATAACAAAAGAGAATTTTAGACCAATATCCCTGATGAACATCAATGCAAAAATCCTCAATAAAATACTGGCAAACCAAATCCAGCAGCACATCAAAAAGCTTATTCACCACGATCAAGTTGGCTTCATCCCTGGGATACAAGGCTGGTTCAACATATGCAAATCAATAAACGTAATCCATCATATAAACAGAACCAAAGACAAAAACCACATGATAATAGGTGCAGAAAAGGCCTTCGACAAAATTCAACAGCCCTTCATGCTGAAAACTCTCAATAAACTAGGTATTGATGGGACGTATCTTAAAATAATAGGAGCTATTTATGACAGACCCACAGCCAATATCATACTGAATGGGCAAAAACTGGAAGCATTCCCTTTGAAAACTGGCACAAGACAGGGGTGCCCTCTCTCAGCACACTCCTATTCAACATAGTGTCGGAAGTTTTGGCCAGGGAAGTCAGGCAGGAGAAAGAAATAAAGGGTATTCAATTAGGAAAAGAGGAAGTCAAATTGTCCCTGTTTGCAGATGACATGATTGTATATTTAGAAAACCCCATTGTCTCAGCCCAAAATCCTCTTAAACTGATGAGCAGCTTCAGCAAAGTCTCAGGATACAAAATCAATGTGCAAAAGTCGCAAGCATTCCTATACACCAATAACAGACAGCCAAATCATGAGTGAACTCCCATTCACAATTGCTACAAAGAGACTAAAATACTTAGGAATCCAACTCACAAGGGATGTGAAGGACCTCTTCAAGAAGAACTACAAACCACTGCTCAATGAAATAAAAGAGGACACAAACAAATGGAAGAACATCCCATGCTCATGAATAGGAAGAATCAATATTGTGAAAATGGCCATATTGCCCGAGGTAATTGATAGATTCAATGCCATCCCCATCAAGCTACCAATTACTTTCTTCACAGAATTGGAAAAAACTACTTTAAAGTTCATATGGAACCAAAAAAGAGCCCACATTGCCAAGACAATCCTAAGCCAAAAGAACCAAAGCTGGAGGCATCACGCTACCTGACTTCAAACTATACTACAAGGCTACTGTAACCAAAACAGCATGGTACTATTACCAAAACAGAGATATAGACCAGTGGAACAGAACAGAGCCCTCAGAAATAATGCCGCATATCTACAACTGTCCGATCTTTGACAAACCTGACAAAAGCAAGAAATGGGGAAAGGATTCCCTATTTAATAAATAGTGCTGGGAAAACTGGCTAGCCACATGTAGAAAGCTGAAACTGGATCCTTTCCTTACACTTTATACAAAAATTAATTCAAGATTGATTAAAGACTTAAATGTTAGACCTAAAACCATAAAAACCCTAGAAGAAAATCTAGGCAATACTATTCAGGCCATAGGCACGGGCAAGGACTTCATGACTAAAACACCAAAAGCAATGGCAACAAAAGCCAGAATTGGCAAATGGGATCTAATTAAACTAAAGAGCTTCTGCATAGCAAAAGAAACTACCATCAGAGTGAACAGGCAACCTACGGAATGGGAGAAAATTTTTGCAATCTACCCATCTGACAAAGGGCTAATATCCAGAATCTACAAAGAACTTAAATTTACAAGAAAAAAGCAAACAGCCCCATCAAAAACTGGGCGAAGGATATGAACAGACACTTTTCAAAAGAAGACGTTTATGCAGCCAACAGACACAGGAAAAAATGCTCATCATCACTGGCCATCAGAGAAATGCAAATCAAAACCACAATGAGATACCATCTCACACTAGTTAGAATGGCGATTATTAAAAAGTCAGGAAACAACAGGTGCTGGAGAGGATGTGGAGAAATAGGAACACTTTTAAACTGTTGGTGGGACTGTAAACTAGTTCAACCATTGTGGAAGACAGTGTGGCGATTCCTCAAGGATCTAGAACTAGAAATACCATTTGACCCAGCCATCCCATTACTGGGTATTTACCCAAAGGATTATAAATCATGCTGCTATAAAGACACATGCACGTGTATATTTATTGCAGCACTATTCACAATAGCAAAAGACTTGGAACCAACCCAAATGTCCATTTAATGGTAGGCTGGATTAAGAAAATGTGGCACATATACACCATGGAGTACTATGCAGCCATAAAAAATGATGAGTTCATGTCCTTTGTAGGGACATGGATGAATCTGGAAACCATCATTCTGAGCAAACTATCGTTAAGGACAGAAAACCAAACACCGTGTGTTCTCACTCATAGGTGGGAATTGAGCAATGAGAACACTTGGACACAGGGTGGGGAACGTCACACACCAGGGCCTGGCATGGGGTGGGGGGAGGGGGGAGGGATAGCATTAGGAGATATACCTAATATAAATGACGAGTTAATGGGTACAGCGCACCAACATGGCACATGTATACATATGTAACAAACCTGCATGTTGTGCACAAGTACCCTAGAACTTAAAGTATAATAAAATAAAAAACAGCAAAAATAAATAAATAAAAACCATGTAAGTTATATTGAACGTAATGAAACTGAATGACAGTGTTCTTCAGAGGTGAAGTTTTGATTATTATATCACATAGTAAGTTATTTTAAAATGTAATAGAAACTAATTAAACTTAGTCTTTACGTTTAAGAAGAGACATTTTCATATTTTGAATCTCACAGTCTGATAGAAATAATTATAGCTTCTTAAACTTGTTTAAAAATGCTTTTCAAAGAGTTGCACATTATTTGCTTCTTGCAAAATCTCAGGAGATTGAGGTGAAGTTAAAGGGGAGGGAAATTAATATTTGTATATCTTTGCTATGTGATCATCATTTCTTTATTCATTAAGTAAGTACTTATTTGAAACTTACTATGTTTTAGGTTTTCTTGTAAGATTTTTTTTCCTCTTAGCTTTGTTCCATATGAACAAAGGATTCTGTGGCCGTCAGTTTGAGAACTACTACCCTATGTGTGCTGTATCAAATACTCTGTCTTGGAATCTGTGGGGAATACAAAGTGGGATCTGTTTGTGTTGTCCTCAAGGAACGTTTAGTCTAGGGAAGAAATAACATAGGTTTGGCCGGGCGCAGTGACTCACGCCTGTAATCCCAGCACTCTGGGAGGCCGAGGCGGGTGGATCACAAGGTTAGGAGATGGAGACCACGGTGAAACCCCGTCTCTACTGAAAATACAAAAAATTAGCCGGGCGCAGTGGCGGGCGCCTGTAGTCCCAGCTACTCGGGAGGCTGAGGCAGGAGAATGGCGTGAACCCGGGAGGCAGAGCTTGCAGTGAGCCGAGATCGCGCCACTGCACTCCAGCCTGGGTGGCAGAGCGAGACTCCCTCTCAAAAAAAAAAAAAGAAATGGTTTGTAAATAGGTGCAAAGTAAAAGTGCTAAATGTTACAAATGAGTTGTAGATTGTTTTGGGGGTCTGAAGAGCATGCTTCTGGTTGGGGGAAATCAAGAAGACTTCCTGCAGGAGATTATATTTGAGCAGTGACTTGGTTATTGCTACAGAACTAGTCACCCCGAAACCTAGCAGCCGGAAGTAACAAGAATCATTTATCTGTCAACAATTCTTGGTTGACTGAGTGGCTCCTCTGCTTCATGTGCTGTTGGGTAGGGTGGTACTGAGATATCTGGAATGTCCAAAATGGTCTCTCTCACATCCCTGGCAGGTTGGTGCTGGCTGTCAGCTGGAGATCAACTAAGGATGTTGCTCTTGGCCTCATTTCTTCTCCTTATGGCCTCCCCATTGGCTGTGTTCTCACAGCATGATGTTTGGGTTCCAGGATGGCAAGAGCGAAGTCTGTCAGGCTTTTTATTTTTTTTTAATGACAGAGTCTCCCTCTGTTGCCGAGGCTGGAGTGCAGTGGCTCTATGTTGGCTCACTGCAACGTCTGCCTCCGTGGCTCAAGTGCTTCTTGTACTTCAAATTCCTGAGTAGCTGGGATTACAGGTGTGTAGCACCACATCCGGCTAATTTTTGTACTTTTAGTAGAGATGGGGTTTTGCCATGTTGGCCAGGCTGGTCTCAAACTCCTGGCCTCAAGTAATCCGCCCACCTTAGCCTCCCAAAGTGCTGGGATTACAGGTGTGAGCCTGGCTTTCTTAAGGCTTGTGCTGGAAGTGGCCTAGTGTCACTTCTACCACATGCTGTTAGTTGAGGTGTGTCATACCAGCCCAGATTTAGTGTGAGAAGGGGCTTTACAGGGGCCTGAATACTAGGAAGTGTGGTTCATTGGGGACTGTCTTTGTGTTCATGGGAACTCCAGTTGGGACTAAAGCTCAAACTGATGCTTTAGTGTCTGGTCTGTGTTGGTTACTAAAACAATGTATGTACTTTTTTTTAAAAAAACTAGGAAATTTCTCCTCTTCTCTCCATGGAGGCTATGGCATTTGTTACTGAAGAGAGGAAACTTACCCAAGAAACCACTTATCCAAATACTTACATTTTTGACTTGTTTGGAGGTGTTGATGTAAGTAGCTATTTATTATTACTACTGCTGTTACTACTGCTTAATGGTTTGGGAATTTAACTTTTGAAATGGGAGATAGGAAAGATTTCAGAATTTATAACATTTCAGATTTTAACTTTTAGAAGCTTAGCGGCATTTACATGTTGAAGCAGCATAGTTTTTACTTCAGAAGAATTCATTTATTTAAATTGGTGTATACCTTTTTAAAAAAATACTAAGTGAAAAGTACATCTCTAAATTTCCCAGTGTCCCCTCCTCAGAACCAGTTGTGATTACTAGTTTCTTGTGTGTCCTGCTTAAGATGTTTTGTTTTTTTTGTGTGTGTGTGTGTGTGTGTGTGTGTGTGTGTAAATATTCCCCACCACCTCCACCTTAGTTTATTTTCTCCGCACATAGAGTGATATACCATATACACGGCTACACTATTCTGTACCTTCTTTCTTCTTCTTTTTTTTTTTTTAATTAAAACAATTTTAGGCCGGGCGCAGTGGCTCACGCCTGTAATCCCAGCACTTTGGGAGGCCAAGGCAGGTGGATCGTGAGGTCAGGAGTTCGAGACCAACCTGTCCAAGATGGTGAAACCCTGTCTCTACTAAAAATACCAAAATTAGATGGGCACGGTGGCAGGCACTTGTAATCCCAGCTACTCAGGAGGCTGAGGCAGGAGAATTGCTTGAAGCCGGGAGGCAGAGGTTGCCGTGAGCCAAGATCATACCACTGCACTCTAGCCTGGGTGATGAGCTCTCAAAAAAAAATTAAATGGTTAGTGTTTCCTGGTGTGATTGTGCCATAATTTATTTACCCAGGCCCCAGTTGACTGGCATTTATAATTTTTCCACACCATTTCTCTTACAGACAAGGTTGCAGTAAAGATCTTTTACATATTTTTGTATACATGTGAGTATATACCTTTGGAACAAGAACGTATGTTTTTTATTGTTTATAAATCTGAAGTTTACCTACCTAAGAAGTTTTGTCAGTTTATATCCCCAGGAACAAAGTATGAGCGTCTGTTTACCCATACCATCACCAACATACTGTGTTTATGTGTGTATTTTTATAGACTTTGTTACTGAAGTATAACCTTCATACAGAAAAGTACACCAATAATTACCACAAAATACATTCACTTTTGCACTACCACCCAAATTAGGAAATAGAACATTACCAGTACCCAGAAGCCCCCTTCCACAAACAGTGTATTTTAAGTATTTACTAAGCAGTTATGAGAAAAGTGATATTTTTCCATAGTTTTTTTTAATCAGCTTTATTAAGATATGGTTCATATACCATACATTTCACCCATTTGAAGTACACAATTCAGTGGTTCTTAGTATATTTGCAGATATGTGCAACCATCACCACAGTCAACTTTAGAGCATTTTCATCACCTCAAAAAAGAAACTCCATGTGTTTTATCTAGCACTCCCCTACCTCTACCACCTCCTCCCCCTCTCCCCACACTAGTATACTTTTTGTCTCTATAGATTTCTCTGTCGTGGACGTTTTGTATAAATTTAGTTATATAATATGTGGTCTTTTGTGACTGGCTTCTTTTCACTTAGCGTAATGATTTCTAGATTCATCTGTGTTGTAGCATGTATCAACACTCATTTTTATGGTCAAATGATGTTTCACAGTGTGGATATGCCACATTTTTTATTTGTTGAGAGGCATTTGGATTGCCTCCGTCTTTTTGCTATTATGAATAACAGTGCTATAAACATTCTTGCACAGGTTCTTTGTGGACATGTTTTCATTTCTCTCAGGCATATACATACCTAGGAATACAGTTGCTGGGTCATATGGGGTAACTCTATGTTTAATTGTTTGAGGAACTGCCAGAATGTTTTCCAAGAGGCCCTGCCATTTTACATTGCCACCAGCAGTGTATAAGGGTTTCAGTTTTTCTGTATCCTTGCCAACACTTGTTATCTGTCATTTTGAAAGTGTTTTAAAATTTAAAAAAAAAGTACTGAGATGGCGTTTTGCTTTGTTGCCCAGACTGGTCTCAAACTCCCGGACTCAAACAGTCCCCCAGCCTTGGCCTCCCAAAGTGCTGGGATTACAAGCATGAGCCCCCGCTCCAGCCCTGTAATGATTACAGCCATTCTAGTGAGTGTGAAGAGACATCTCATTGTGGTCTTGATTTGAATTTCTCTGATTGCCAATGATGACCATCTTATTCTTGAGTTTGTCATTTGTATATCTTCCTTGGAGAAATGTCTGTCTCTCCTTTTTCAATTTCTTAGTTGAGATATATCTCTTTTGAATATTGTGTTGTAAGAGTTCTTTATAAATTCTCTGCATAGTTTTTAAAATTCATTCTTCTATGACTGAGATTGGATATTTTTTCTTGTGTTTATAAGTAGTTCCTTTTCTGCCAGTTTTCTGTTTTGCACCTTTTTCGATTTGATTATTTGTCCTTTTTCTTATTGATCTGTAAGTGCTTTTGATTTTTTAAAGGCCTTTGTCATTTGTGTTTTTTTACTATTTTGAGAATTAAATTTTGATGTTATTTTAAAATTAGAAATGTTTAATTTTTAGATTGTCAGATTGATCAGTGTTTTACTATAATGGCTTCAGAGTTTTGGTTCATGCCTTTCCCACTGTTGGATTTAAACCATGCCTATTTCCTTCTAATATTTTACAGTTTTTATTGTGTATGTTTAAATTTTTGCATCATTTGAAGTTTATTTTGGTGTAATGACTGAGGGGTTAGGATCTGACTTTGCTCCCCTAGATATCTGCCCTTAACCCCATTACCTGAAGTGAACATGAGGGAGAGGGCATTTCTGGGTATTATGGTTAGTCTTTATCTTGATCTATGTGGCGATTGTACAGGAATGGTGTTCAGTGTGTAAAACTACATGTGCAATTTATACTCATGGCCAGGTACAGTGACTCATGCCTGTAATCCCAGCACTTTAGGAGGCCGAAGCAGGCGGATTGCATGAGTTGAGGAGTTAGAGACCAGCCTGGGCAACACGGCAAAACCCCATCACTACTAAAAATTAAAAAAATTAGCCGATTGTGGTAGCACATGGCCTGCAGTCCCAGTTGCTTGATGGGGGCTGGGTGGGAGGATTGGTTGAGTCCGGGAGGTTGAGGCTACAGTGAGCCGAGATCGCACCATGAACTGCAGCCTGGGTGACAGAGCAAGACCCCATCTCAAAAAAAAAAATTGTACTCTTTATGCGGTATCACGTTATACTTCAATTATTAAAGTTTCCTTTTGTTTAAAGCTACCATTTTCCAGTAAAGTAAAGATTGAGTGTGACATCTGCATGCATGGCATCAGCCACAGCCTTTCTTCTTTAACTGCTGCTCCGCATTCCCTCTCCACAGCAGTGTCGGTGGTCCTAGGGCATTTACTTACTTGGCTAGCTCAAGAGACCCTTTACTTTTGAATTGTTTCATCAAGAAATCTACTTAGTAAGAACTGATGTATTTATGGGAGGAAAAATAATAATGTAGGTCTGTAGCCTGTGTCTATTTGCAGTGGAAATGTGGCTCTCTAGTAGGAGCCTATCCCATCTTCGGACATCTTTGGATCAACTGTTCTTGATTTTGTGGGGGTTTTTCTTTCCTGCTTTGAGTTAGGGCAGCTTCTCCAGGAATCCCAGTCATTTTATAAACATGGGCTCCTGCTTAAGTAATTATGCACCTCACTGACCTTCAGTTTGGGTGCATTTGTTAGTGAACTCTCTTGCTGTCCTGCTGCTGGTAGTATTTTCCAAACAGCTTGTTATTTCTTCCTCTGCTAATAACTAGCAAGAACCCAAAGTAAGCCTCTCTTGGTCATGCTGCCCAAAGCTCAGTGGGATCACTCCTTGTCAGCCTGACCCTATCCATAACATGACTGTGAAAAGTGTGTCTTAGAGTTTACAAAGCAGATGTGAAGTATGTAACTAAGTGGAGTGAAGCAGACCCAGAGCAAGCTCATCTGCATAAATTAAATGAGTATGGGGAATGTTTTGGGCTAGAGAGTGTGTGCCTGCTTTTATGGAGGAAATGACTCTTCCTCTCCCATTGAGTGTTTCCCTGAGAGGTTATGGGAAATCTAGATTTGTAGGTAAAAATCTTCCAGCTTTTCAGTAATTGTGGGCCAGGTGTAAGCCATTGCTTGGCATTCAGGAACTTTTATTCACTGACATAGTCTATCTTCCATTTGAAGTTAATTTATTTTAAATACATTCTATGCACTTGAGCATCTTACGTCTTACTTGGATGAATGTGATCTCTTTTGAGAAGAATTGGTGTAGTATACTTCAGAGCTTTAAACATTACTACTCATTTTGCCCTGTTGTTTCCATTTCTGTGACTCTGATGAAGACGTAAGTCAAAATGAGATAAAGCTTGTGTATACCAAGACCGTTAGGTGTAACATTATTTGTAATGACTATCTACCAGGAGAAGATAATGGTTATTCTATCTATTTTGTTGAATTTTATGAAGTTGTTAATATAATGTTAAAGTTATAGTAATATGGGAAAATTCATGATGAAAACAGGCTATAAAATGGTTATATACTGTATAATAATTACTTCACCTTTTCTAGAGGATGACCTTAGGTCTCTATTATACAAAGCAAAGCAGGCATATGTTCAGGGCAGTTTTCATTGTTGCCTCAAGTCATGAGACTTCTTTCTTTTCCCTCCTGCAAGTGCAGTTAACAATAAATACAGATGTGCAGAAAGCTGAGCCCAGTGCTTCTCTAGAATTGACAATCTGTGGTGTAGTAGTTTAGGATTTTTATTTTTAATCTGCTGCTTTAAGCTAAAATAACACATCTCTCTTAATTCAGGATGTTGAATTATAGTGTCACATTCATGCCACGAGCAATCTCATGGCATGTGAATTACTTTCTAAAGATTTGTTGCTGGTTTGAGATGAGCAGAGGCTTTCTCAGACCCTCAAGCTGAACTGTCTAGTCTCAAAGATTTGCCTGCTGGCTTTTTAATTTAAAAAATGCTATGGAATCTTCCTTCTTCATTTGGCTTGAGGTGTCTTGGACATGCTGCCTAAGTATTGGCCTATAGCTAGAAGGGGCTAAGGAAGAATTTTTCTTTTTGTTCTGGGGTAGCTCCTAGCTTGATTTAAACAATAATAAAAAATACATACGTATATAGGGAATGTCTTTAAACATATGGGCTTAGTCATATTCTCAGCATATAGATAATTTTTAAATGCTTTAAGTGAAAATTGGACTTTTTTGGAAAACAAAGGTCCTAATTTTTCTCATTTTAAAAGGAAAAGGTGTTTGTCAAGGAAAATGTGAAAAACTGTCTTGGGACTTGTCACCAAAATTCAACCACTGTTAAGATTCGGGAGTATTCCTTTCTAACATTTATTTTTTTCTGTTTATATTAACCTAGAATTTGTTTAACAGAATTTTTTTTAATTACAGCTTTTAAAAATTGTTGGGATGATTTTAGAGATAGAGTTGCACTGTGTCACAGGCTGGAGTGCAGTGGTACGATCCTAGCTCACTGCAGCCTTGAACCCCTGGGCTCTAGTGATCCTCCTGCCTCAGTCTCCCGAGTAGCTGGGACTACAGGTTCATGCCATCACACGTGGCTAATTTTTTAATATTTGTTAGAGATATGGGGGTCTTGCTTTGTTCCTTAGGCAGTCTCCAACTCCTGGTCTCAAATGATCTTCCTGCCTCACCTTCTTCAGTAGCTGGGATTATAGGCACGAGCCACCCTGCCTCCCCAGCAATAACAGCTTTATTGAAATATAATTTACATAAAGTTAATTCTTGTAACCACCCATCAGTATTGTGCAGTGATAACCAGAACATTTTTATCACGCCAAAAAGAAATCTTGTACAAATTAGCAGTCACTCCCCATCTCCCCTTCTCCCCAGCTCTGGCAGCCGTTAATCTATTTTATGTCTGTATTATGCCTGTTGTGAAATATCCATAATGTCCATAATATGCCTGTTCTGTCAGTCCGTTCTCATGCTGCAATGAAGAAATACCTGAGACTGGGTAGTTTATAAAGGAAGGAGGTTTAATTGACTCACAGTTCCATGTGGCCTGGGAGGCCTCAGGAAACTCACAATCATGGCAGAAGGCAAAGGAGAAGCAGGCACCTTCTTCACAGGGCAGCAGGACAGAGTGAGTGCAAGCAGGGGAAATGCCAGACACTTATAAAATCATCAGATCTCATGAGACTCCCTCGTTATCACGAGAACAGCATGGGGGACCTGCCTCCATGATCCAGTCACCTCCACCTGGTCCCACCCTTGACACATGAGGATTATTACAATTGAAGGTGAGATTTGGGTGAGGGCACACAGCCAAACCATATCACCTGTTACGGATATTTCATATCAACAGAATCGTCCACTGTGTGGCTTTTTATGTCTAGCTTCTATAACTGAGCATGAGGTGTTTTATTGTTTTAAATAATAGCTTTATTGAGATATAATTCATGTCATACAAGTCACCCATTTAAAAGATATATTAAAAGATATAATTCAGTTTTTTAGTATAGTCAGAGTTATATACCACTGTCACCACAATTGATTTTAAAACATTTTCATCACTCCAAAAAAGAAACACCATATTCTTCAGTAGCCACTCCCCATTTCCTCCCAAGGCCTCCCTCCCACATCCTTAGGCAACCACTAATCTACTTTCTGTCTTTATAGATTTAATTATTCTGGACATTTCACATAAATGGAGTCATAACAATACGTGGTCTTTTGTGACTGGCTTCTTTTGCTTAACATAATGTTCTCAAGGTTAATCCGTGTCATAACGTGTATCAATACTCCATTCCTTTTTATTGTCAAGAAATATTCCACTGTATGGATAGACCACATCTTATTTATCCATTCATCAGTTGATGGACATTTGGGTTGTTCCCACTTTTGGCTATTATTAGTAATCTGCTATGATTAATAATGCTGCCATGAACATTGGCATATAAATTTTTAGGTGGACGTGTTTTCATTTTCTATTAGATTGTCTTACTAAAAAATTTCCCTTGGTATATACCTAGAAGTGGAGTTGCTGGTAACTCTGTTTAATTTTTAAGGATCTGCCAGACTGCTTTCTGAAGCAGCTGCACCATTTTACATATCTACCAGCAGTGTATGAAGGTTCTAATTTCTCCACATCTTTGCCAATAGTTACTATTTGTCTTTTTCATTATAACCATCGTAGTAGGTATGAAGAGGTATCTCATTGTGGTTTTGATTTGCATTTCCCTGATGACTAATGTTGATCATCTGTTTATTATTGGACTTTTGGAGAAATGTCTGTTCATCTGCTTTCTCCATTTCTTGATTGGGTTGTCTTTTTATTATTGAGTTGTATTAGTTTCTGGATACTAATTCCTTGTAATTTGCAAATATTTTCCCCCATTAAGTAGCTGTCTTTTCACTCTCTTGATGGTGTCCTTTGAAACACAAAGTCTTTAATTTTGATGAAGTTCATTTTATCTTTTGTTACTTGGGTATTGGTGTGCATCTAAGAAACCATTTCCTAATCCAAGGTCACAAAGATTTACCTATGTATTCTTCTGAGAATTTTATATTTTGTATCTTACATTTAGATCTTTGATCCATTTGCATTGACTTTGTTTATCATGTGAGGCAGGGGTCCAGTTTCATTCTTTTGCATGTGACTATCCAGTTGTCACAGCACCACTTATTGAAAAAACTACTCTTTCATCATTGAATTGTCTTGGCAACCTTGTCAAAAATCAACTGATCATAGACACGGGTTTATTTTTGTATTTACAGATCAAGATTGTTTTGGCTGTTATGCATCCCTTATATTTGCATGTGAATTTCAGGATCAGCTTGCCAATTTCTGCAAAGAAGCCAGCTGAGATTTTGATAGTGATTGCATTGAATTTGTAGGTCAATTTAGGGAGTATTATCATCTTAACAATATTAAATCTTCTGATCCATGAACTACAAGATAGCTTTCCATTTTTTTAGATTGTCTTTAATTTCTTTCAAAAATGTTTTGTTGTACAAGTCTTGCACTTGTTAAACTTATTTCTAAGTGTTTTTACTGTTTTTGATGCTCCTTTAAATGGAATTGTTTTCATAATTCCAGTTTTTTTTGCTTCTTGCTACAATTTTAGAAATACAGTTGATTTATGTATATTGATCACATATCGTGAAATCTTGCTGAACTCTTGCTTATTGGCTCTAATAGTTTTTTTGAGTGGATTCTTTAGGAATTTTCTGTATTCTAGATTGTGACATCTGTAAATAGTTAGTTTTACTTATTCCTTTCCAATTTGGGTGCCTTTAATTTCTTTTTTTATTTTTCTCTAGTTGCCTTAGAACACTCAGTACAATGTTAAATTGAAGTGGCGAGAGTGGACATCTTTGTCTTTTTCCTCATCTTAATGGGAAAGCATTTAGTCTTCACTGTTAAGCGTGATGCTAGCTGTGGGTTTTTTAATAAAAGCCCTTTATCAGGCTGAAGAAGTTCTCTTCTATTCCTTGTTGATTGTTTTATCATGAAAGTGTTTTGGGTTTTTTTTTCCAAACGCTTTTTCTGCATCTGTTGAGATGACCGTGTGGCTTTTGGCTTTTGTCCTTTATTCTATTGATATGGTGTATTATATTGATTTTCATATGTTGAACCAACCTTACATTCCTGGGATAAATTCCACTTTGTCATAGTGTCATGGTGTATAATCCTTTTCTTGTTTTTTTTTTTTTTTTTTTTTTTTTGGAGACAAGGTCTCTCTGTCACCCAGGCTGGAATGCAGTGGTGTGATCACAGCTCACTGCAGCCTCTCCTGGGCTCAAGCGAGCCTCCTATCTCGGCCTCCTGAGTAGCTGGGACTACAGGAGCATGCTACCATGCTTGGCTAATTTTTGGTTTTAATTTTTGTAGAGACAGGGTCTCACTATGTTGCCCAGGCTGGTTGCATACTCTTGGGCTTAAGTAGTCCTCCTGCCTTGACGTCTCAAAGTGCTGGGATTACAGGCATAAGCCATCATGCGTGGAGTATAATCCTTTTTGTATGTGTCTGGATTTTGTTTGCTAGGGTTTTCAGGATTTTTGTGTATATATGCATGAGATACTCATCTGTAGTTTTCTTGTGATGTCTTTGTTTGGTTTTGGTATCAGGGTAATACTCGCCTCAAAGAATGAGTTGGGAAATGTTTCCTTCTCTTCTGTTTTTTGGAAGAGTTTGTGAAGAATTGATCATTCTTTAAATGTCTTGTATTGTTCACCAATGGAGCCATCATGTCCAAGGTTTTTCTTTATGGGTAGTTTTTTGTTATTGTTGTTTTTGTTTGTTTTTTTTTAAATCACTAAGTCAGTCTCTACTTGTTATAGGGCTGTTCAGATGTTCTGTTTTTTCTTCTTCTTCGTCTTCTTCGTCTTTGTCTTCTTCGTCTTCGTCTTCTTCATCTTCATCTTTGTCTTCGTCTTTTCTTCATCTTTTCTTCATCTTCATCTTCGTCTTCTTTGTCTTCATCTTCTTCGTCTTCATCTTTGTCTTCGTCTTCGCCTTCTTCTTCATCTTCTTTGTCTTCGTCGTCTTCTTCGTCTTCTTCTTCTTCGTCGTAGTCTTCTTCCTCTTCTTCTTCTTCTTATTTCTTCTTCTTTCTTCTTCTTCCTTCTTCTTCTTCTTTTTTTTCTTTTAAAGAGATGGAGTCTCACCCTGCCATCCAGGCTGGAGTGTATTGGCATGATCATAGCTCACTGCAGCCTCAACCTTCTGGGCTCAAGTAATCCTCCTGCCTCAGTCTCCCAAGTAGCTGGAACTATAGGCGTACCACCACGCCCAGCTAATTTATTTTATTTGTAGAGACATGGGGTCTTGCTGTGTTGGCCAGGGTGGTCTCAATCTTCTGGCTTCAATCAGTCCTCCCACCTCAGCCGCCCAGAGTCTTGGGATTACAGGCATGAACAACCATGCTCAGCCTCTGTTTCTTCTTAAGTCAGTTTTTAGTTTTATGTCTTTCTAGGAATGTGTCCATTTCGTCTAGGTCATCTAATTTGTTGGCATACAGTTGTTCATAGTAGTTCCTTATAATCACTTTTGTTGCCATAAGGTTGGTGGTAATGCCCTCTCCTTTATTTCTGAGTATAGTAATCTGTATCCTCTCTCCTTTTTTCTTGGTCAGTCTAGTTAAGAATTTGCCAGTCTTCAAAGAGCCAGCTTTTGGTTTTGTTCATTTTCTGTTATTTTCTATTCTCTGTTTCATTTGTTTCAACTCTTATTCTCCCTTTTGCTTGCTTTGGGTTTAGTCTGCTCTTTTTCCAGTGTCTTAAGGTAGAAGATTAGGTTATCGATTAGAAACAATTTTCTTTGGCCGGGTGCGGTGGCTCATGCCTGTAATCCCAGCACTTTGGGAGGTCAAGGTGGGCAGATCACCTGAGGTCAGGAGTTCAAGACCAGCCTGGCCAACATGGCAAAACCTCGTTTCTACTAAAAATACACAAAGTAGCCAGGAGTGGTGGCAGGCACCTGTAATCCCTGCTACTCTGAGGCTGAGGCAGGAGAATCGCTTGAACCCAGGAGGCGGAGGTTGCAGTGAGCCGAGATAGGGCTATTGCACTCCAGCCTGGGAGACAAAGCAAGACTCTGTCTCAAAAAAAAAAAAAAAAAAAAGAATTTTCTTTTAATATAGGCATTTACAGCTATAAATTTCCCTCTGAGCACTCCATTAGCTACATCATAAGTTTTGGTATTTTCATCCTTCTTGGATACTTTATACTTCCCCTTGTGGTTTCTTCTTTGGCCCATTATTATTTAGGATGGGTTTTTAAAATTATCCATATAATTCATGAATTTCCCAAATTTCGTTCTGATTTTAATTTCATTCCATTGTGGCCACACAACATACTGTATGTGATTTAAGTGCTTTTAAATTTATTGAGGCTTGTTCAGTGGCCTGAAATTTGATCTGTCCTGGAGAATGTTTCATGTGCACTTGAGTAGAATGTATACTCTGTTCTTGCTGCATGGAGTGTTCTGTAGATGTCTGTTAGAATATATGTGTTCGTTGTGTTCAAGTCTTCTATTTCTTTGCTCGTCTGCCTAGTTGTCTATTATTGAAAGCAGAGTTATTAACGTGTCCAACTTTTATTTTTAAATTATCTGTTTCCTTCATTTCTGCCAGCTTTTGTTTCATGTATTTTTGGGCTCTATTGTTAGGTACATACATATTTGTAGTTGTTATATCTTTCTAATGGATTGACCCTTTTATCAACTATCCTTTCTCTCCGTAGAATGAATTTTTAAATACATGCTTATTTTAAACAGTTTGTGCAAAATTGTATTAAAGTATGTAAAATAAAAAACACATGCATATAACCCCCAAACCTGTAGAAATCAGTGTTAACAATTTATGGTGTATCTTTTGAGTCCTTTTAAAATAAACTTACAAATGTTCTTTAAACAGAAGAATCATAGTAATAATGTTCTGCAGCTTTTCAGAAATTAAAGCCGCATTAGATCCCAGAGATTACCTAATCTAAAATACTTCTTTTCAAAAATGAGAAAGCTGAGGCCAGAGAAGGGCAAGTAGGTGGCCAAGCTGGGACTAGAACCTGGGTCTCCTGACTTGCTGCAGTCAGGAGCCTTACTGAACCTTAACTGCCTCCTGGAACAAAAGGGTCTTGTAATACTGTGACAGATACATGGGCCATGAATGGTTATGGCAAAATCATTTTATAAGTTATACTTTGAATTAATTTTGAAGATTTTATCTAATTTTTTTTATAGCTTCTTGTAGAAATTCTTATGAGGCCTACGATCTCTATCCGGGGACAGAAACTGAAAAGTAAGTATACCTATTAGCTACTGGTCCTTGTTTTCCAACCTGCCGATACGGTGGCAGTTCCCAGCAGCTGCCTTCTTCCTTCCCTTCCTAACTCTTAATAGTAAGGACATGTCTTACATTTAGCTACAGGTTGCTCTCTCCTCCCCCAGCTAAGCAGCTGTCTTTATTCATTCTGTACTGCGTAGAAATTCAGATCTGGGTTAAGAGAATGCATCTTTGTACTTTTGATAGTCCTGTGATCCAGCTTCTATGTTTCCTTGGGAAATTCTTCTTTCTCACATATAACTAGCTGAGAGAGTAAGATCACTCTGTTTTATTTTTTTTAAACTATTTTTTTTAGAAAGGTGATACATGCTCTTTGTAAAAAGTTCAGGCATTACCAGGGTGTGAATGGTAAAAAGTCAGAGTGTTTTGGTATGCACTATTTCTTAAGCTGGGTGGTAGATATATGGGTAATATTCTATTATTATTTTTTATAACTTACACGTTACAAATAATTCTTTTTAGGTATTCAATTTTTTTTTTTTTGAGACAGTCTCTCGCTCTGTTGCCCAGGCTGGAGTGCAGTGGCATGATCTTGGCTCACTGCAACCTCCGCCTCCTGAGCTCAAGTGATTTTCCTGCCTCACCCTCTCAAGTAGCTGGGATTACAGGCGCCCACCACCATACCCGGCTAATTTTTGTATTTTTTTTTTTAGTAGAGATGGGGTTTCACCATGTTGACCAGGCTGGTCTCGAACTCCTGACCTCAAGTGATCTGCCCACCTCAGCCTCCCAAGTGCTGGGATTACAGGCATGAGCCACCGCACCCAGCTTCGGTATTTAATTTAAAATAAAAAAGTGAATGCACTTTACTCTGGTGTTAAAAGCCAGAGATGACTTCAGTTAATGTTTGGTGAATGCCCTCCTACCAACTTTGCGTTTTTTTAATTTAAAAGATTTTTTTTTTACCCCAATACGACATACTGTATAAGGCCTCATTTGTGCATGCAGTAGTGGTTATTAAGAGGATTTATATTCATTTTTAATGTCTCAGCTGTGTATTCTAACTTGGTCTTTCATGTTCTCTATGTACCCTCATAGCAAGTAGCATATTGTAATTATTTGTTGGTGCACTTGTTTAGTCTCTCTTCTTCCCACTAGATTTATAGGTTCCATGAAGGCTGAGACTTTTTTTCCCTCACCACTGTATCTGCTCTAGAGTAGATGCTGAACAATACTTGATGAATGAGTGAATCCCAATTCCTTTTAAAAATGGAGGATCTAGAAATAGTGAGATATATAGTGAGACATGCAGAGCAGTGTTTCACCCTGCTCTGAAGTCGTTAAATAAATCAATCACAGAGCCCCAGTAGGTTGAAAGGTGGTGATAAGGGATGCAGAGCGTCTGCGTTGTCTCAGGATTATGAGACAACCCATCTAGTCAAGCTAGCTTGGCAGGGCTGCCCATTGGGATCTGAGAAGGAGACCTAGCATTTTAGCATTCCTAGCAGCTTAGGAGTGAATGGAAACAATTTTAAAAAATAGAAGCAAGTGCCAAATAAAGCACTTTGTCCATGGTTCATACTCAGTTTCATCATCTTTTGGTTTTGGGCTCATGAAAATTAAGTTTCGTTTTTATGCTACTTTCCTGTTCCTGCTCACAGGGAAGTAGTAGTTTCTTTATAAGAATTAGTAATAGATCAGACATTAAGAGCCATTTGCCCAACACAGATAACAGCAACAAAAAAAGAAATGCTCAGTTAATGAGTCTGATAAAAATGGTATTTTTGTTTGCTGCAGTAGAACTTTCAATGGAAATTTATAACAAGAGCAATTGAGATGCTTATACTTTTAACTTTTAGCCAGGCGTGGTACACGCGCATGCAGTCCTAGCCACTCGGGAGGGTGAGGAGGGAAAATTGCTTGAGCCTAGGAGTTCGAGACTACAGTGAGCTGTGATTGTGCCCCTGAGTGACAGAGTAAGACCTCATTTAAAAAACCAAAACAAATGAACAAAAAAAAGATGCCTATACTTTAGATTCTAGTAGTTCTACTTTTGAAAATGTATCTTGAGGAACTAGTTTAATACAAACATGAAAAGGATACACATATATATTAAGTTGTTCATTTGTGGTCTACTTAAATAGCCAAAAAACACAAAAAACAAAAAAAACAAATCCTAGATATATCCTAAGCAAGACATTAAGGGAAAATGGCTTTATTAAATGATGGCACAACAACAGGTTGAAATTATGAAGACTGTGGAGCATAATAAGAAAACAGCTGCTGTATCAAACCAAAAGCAATATGCAAATGGGCTTGTAGGTTCTGATGGGCACTATGAAAACCTTTGGTAGACAGGGGCTGGAAGAAGTATATTAAAGGAAAAATAATCATCTTGGAGGGGATTATAACAGTTCTTATGCTGAAAAAAATGTGGTAACTGTTGTACTATCTTTTCATTGAGAAAAATAACCAGTCATTACCCTTTCACTTTCAGTAAGTGATGAAATGTCCAAGGACTGCTTGAGTATCCTGTATAATACCTGTGTCTGTGTAAGTACCCCTGCCACTGGGGCTCTGTTTATCTCCCCTACCAGGTCTGCAATGTTTAAGATGGGAATATTCGAGTAGAATGGCAGACATAAGAGCTGCTTTCAGACAGTGGGGGAATCGGGCTTATTTTATGTGTGCCTGAAAATCAGGACTAACTGGTAGAAATTACGGGGAGGCAGAATTTTGTAGCAGTTGTTAAGAGCCAGGACTGCTGCAGCAGGTAGTAAACTCCTTTGGCCTTAGAGCTGTCCAAGTAGAAACTGGACACTTGTCAAAAGGTGACAAGTGTTGGCAGACTGTGACCTTTAAGACTCATTTTAACTCCATTATGCCTATTTCTTCATTTTCCTTGTTAGAAAACAAAATGAGAACCAGAAGCCCCGCCCATATATTGAGCAGGACTCTACTAGGTTGACCACTGAGCCAGGAAGAATGGTGAATAAAGAAAGCAATCTGGTAGAAACAAAAGAGGATGGCACTTAGTGTTAGGACCTGATTTTGTGTTCTGGCCCTTGGCTTAGTACACCTCCCAAGCCGTAGTTTCTTACCAATAGAATGCAGTTAGCAGTTGTATTAACATCATAGATTTATTGTGAGAAATGAGATAGTAGATGTGAAAACACTTTGTAAAACAATATATAAATGTTAGTTTTTAAAAGATACAGTACCTGTCTTTTAGAAACTTATGATAAACTGTGTAAACTGTGAATCATAATACATGGCAGAATGAGACGAGCGCTATTATAAATGTGAACCCTGTATGCTGTGGAAATAAAAAAAAAAAAACATTTAGCTCCATTTCATTTCTTGCCTCATTCAAAATAAGATTTCTGACATCTTGTGGGTGTATGCAAAATCTACCAAGATCACGAACTTAGAAGCAGGTAAGAAAGAAGAAGATAAAGGTGGGGACATAACGTATAGCCAGGAATTGGGCTGATATAAAAATGAAGACCATAAAATCATCTGTATTACGGATGGGCACAAATTTGGCTTCAAGCTTCTTAGCAGCCAACACAAATAGGGGAATATGTTTGAACACTTACGTAATTCAGCATCTATAATAGTGCTGTGCAATTGAAATATAATGCAAGCCACTTGGGTTATTTTAAATTTCCTTGTAGCCACATTTTTTTAAAGAAAAAAGTAGGAAGAAGTGGTGAAGTTAATTTTAATGATAAATTCTGTTTAACACAGTGTATCAAGAATATTGTCATTCTAACATGTAATCAGTATAATTAATTATTAATGAGATATTTACTTGTTTTTCGTATTGAGCTCTCAAAATCCAATGTGTGTGTGTGTTTTGTTTTTCTTTCCTCTTGTTTGAACACCCAGAGCACATCTTAGTTTGGCCTGGCCACCTTTTAAGTGCTCGGTAGCCATGTATAGCCAATGACAGAGATAGGCACAGGGAGATCTATAAGATAAAATTTCAAATTGTTCAGGAAATGCACAGTTCTTGCAACTAAGGCCAATAAGAAATTGTCCTTATAGAAGAAGACAGTGTATAATATAATGACTCCATCTTTGGCAACTCCATATAGTCACTAGTTTTATGAGGCCGTTTTAAAATCATGATACCTAATGTTAATCAGTGACATTCCAATAAAACAGTTAAGTTAAAAAAATGAAATGTATGAAGAGAAGTTGATTAATGGGTACAAATATATGGGATGATAAATAAGACCTAGTGTTAGATAAATCAGTAAGGGTGACTTAGTTTATAATATTCTGTTCTGTTTTACATTTCAAAATAGCTAGAAGAGAATTTGAATGGTTCTTAGCATAAAGAAAAGACAAGTATTTAAGCTGATGGCTATCCCAAGTACATTGATTTGATTTTTATAAATTATACGAATGTATTAAATTATATGCTCCCTGAAATTATGTACCTTTATTATATATCAACTAAAAGTATTTTTAAATAAAATTTTTTAAAAAATTTGAGGAACATAGGGCGATATGGTTCAATTATGTGCTATCTGGCTGAATTCCATGTTAATGTAGAGAACCTGGGGCTCTCAGGGTTGCAAACACCAATGCCTCCAGGGATCAGGCAGAAAACAGGAAATGTTTGGAATTGCTGGTGTTGGAGTGGGGACTTGTGTAAACTGTGACTAAACTGGAGCAAGTATGTCCTGTCTAAAGATGTTTGAATTCAAAAGTTTAAAAAGTACTGTTGGCCGGGCACGGTGGCTATCACCTGTAATCCCAGCAATTTGGGAGGCTGAGGCGGGTGGATCACTTGAGGTCAGGAGTTCCAGACCAGCCTGGCCAACATGGTGAAACCCCGTCTGTACTAAAAACACAAAAATTAGCCAGGTGTGGTGGTACATGCCTATAGTCCCAGCTACTCAGGAGAGGCAAGAGAATCACTTGAACCCAGCAGGCAGAGGTTGCAGTGAGCTGAGATTGCACCACTGCACTCCAGCGTGGGTGACAGAGTGAGGGTCTCTCAAAAAATAAAAGATAAAAAAATAAACAGTACTGCTCACCAGAAAAAGCTTGGCCTACTGGATGCTAGTTTGTAGCTCCTCATTTAGATACTTGACAGATACTAGGTCAAGAGCTTATGATTAGGCTGGGCGCAGTGGCTCACACCTATAATCTCAACACTTTGATAGGCCGAGGCAGGAGAATTGTGTGTGTCCAGGAGTTCAAGACCAGCCTGGGCAACATAGAACCTGTCTCTACAAAAAATAAAAAACTGGCTGGACGTGGTGTTATATACCATAGTCCCAGCTCCTCAGGAGGCTGAGGTGGGAGGATTGCTTGAGCCTGAGAGGTTAAGGCTGCGGTGAGCCATGATTGTGCCAGTGTACTCACTCAGCCTGGGCTATAGAGTGAGACCCTGTCTCCAAAAAAAAAAAAAAACCAAAAAAAAACCTATGATGAATGTTACATGGAAAAAACTCTCCCCCGAAAAATGTAGTTGCATACAACCTTTTATATATTGTTTTAGTGCTTTTTGGCCTCAGTTAAGAACTTGTGATATAGAGGAAAGGAAGGATTGTGATGGCCTTTTGGGTGGCCACTGTTGACTTGGGAAGGTTTTCCAAGAGGAGTCATTTTAGTCAGTCTGTAAAAGGAGTAGCACTTTGATAAATTGAAGAGAGGAGAAAGGTGGGTAGTCAAGGGTAGCTAGTTAGAGCAGCAGGGTTGTGTATTTGACAGCCTGGAGATAGATTTTTAAGCTTTGAGAAAGTGTAAATTTAGTTCTCTTTTTGTTCTGTTTCTTTGGATCTTCCAGAACTTTTGCTTGTCAGTAAAACTAGAGTCAGTCCTGTTTCACATATCATAGCCAGTGTAGGTACTGTATGTAGTTCGGGAATAACAACCTTTTTTTTTTTTTTTTTTAATGTGTCAGTGCTACGACTGAAGAACCGAAATGTATTAATACAGATGGAGATTGCTTTCTTTAGTGTCCTATTTAATGTGATCGTCAAAGATTTATATACGTGGCACATCTTTATTGATGCCTTCACTTTGAAAATTAAATTTGCCAGGTGCGGTGGTGCACGCCTGTAGTCCCAGTGATTCAGGAGGCTGAGGTGGGGGGATCGCTTGAGCCCAGGTGATTGAGGCTGTAGTGAGCTATATTCGTACTTGTGAATAGTCATGGCCTCAGCCTGGGCAACAGAGTGAGACCCTGTCTCTAAAATTAAAAGAAAGAAAATTAAATTTGTTGCAACATATCTCATTTCACTGATTCTGAAATGCCTCCTAGCTTGGGGTTCCCATTTACCAAACTGTGTGTGTCTGCACTCTTGATTATACTTTTTAAGGAGAAGTCAAGTTTATCGCAGTAAACCTTGGAATTTTTTCAGCTTAGAGGCTAAAAAAAAGAAATATTAAAGTCACTAAGCTCTAGTTGCCTTAAGGCAGTAGGGGTGGGATATATATGTGTGTGTGTGTGTGTGTGTGTGTGTGTGTGTGTGTAAGCTATAGCAGTACTGCAGTTTCTTTCTTTTTAGAGATAGGGTTTCACTCTGTCCCCATGCTGGAATGCAGTGGTGAGACAGATTGTAGCTCACTGCGGCCTCACACTCCTGGCCTCAAGCGGTCCTCTCACCTCAGCCTCCGGGGTAGCTGGGATTACAGGTGTGAGCCACTGCACTTGACAATACTGCAGTTTTAAATCCAAACTCTTGAACCTAAGTTTTAAGGTCTTTTACCAGCTAGTTTCCTTAACTTCCTTCATACCCCTTGGGGGTTTTGTTTTTTTGTTGTTGTTGGTTTTTTTGTTTTGTTTTTTTTTTTGAGTTAGGGTCTCCCTCTGTTGCCAAGGCTAGAGTGCATTTGCACAGTCTAGGCTCACTGCAGCCTCCACCTTCTGGGCTCAAATGATCCTTTTACCTCAGCCTCCTGAGTAGCTAGGACTACAGGCATGCACCACCACACCCAGCTAATATTTATATTTTCAGTAGACAGGGTTTTGGCACGTTGGCCAGGCTGGTCTCGAACTCCTGGCCTCAAGTGATCTGCCCACCTTGGCCTCCCAAAGTGCTGGGGTTACAGGTGTGAGCCACCACGCCTGGCCTCAAAGACTTTTAAGATGATCATTTTACTGATGAAAAAAATGGAGTTCCAAAGGTGAGAAGTGATTTGCTCAGGATCACACAGCTGGAATTAGAACTTAGGTCTGACTCTTAAGTCCATGCTTCGGCACTGTTTGATTTCAGATTTAAGAATGGCCTTCAGAACTCTGAGATAAGTTATTTTAGGAAATACCATCTCATTGTGTTATGTTCTCACAAGTGAGTTCCCACTTGTGTAGCCTGCACGTCAGGAGACTTTTTTCTTCCATAGCTGGGGAGTTAACGAGCGTTTCCCACAGTTAAGCCATGCCATTCCTGTTTTGTTGACTCATGCCAGTTTTCAGAGGTGAAACTGCTTTTCAGTGTCTGTAAAGGATGCCTTGTACTTTCATAATTTATTTTGTACTTACAACCTATTCTGCCTTTTCTTCTTGTGACAGACAGAGGGAGTTACAAAGCGTTTGGCAGAAAAGAATGACTTTGTGATCTTCCTGTTTACATTGATGACAAGTAAGAAGACATTCTTACAAACAGCAACCCTCATTGAAGATATTTTGGGTGTTAAAAAGGTGAGCTGTGTCCTCTAGCTGACCAGATGGGGAAGGGTGTCTCAGACCATTGGATTCTCAAAACTGAATAATATACAGAGCTTTTTTAAAAGAAAGTGTTAAATTATGTCTTGTTACTCAGATGTATTCAAGTATAAAACTTGATTACCCCTTATACTAGTGGTTCTTAAATGACTGTAAAACCTAAACAGACATACATTGAAATCAAACTAATTCTAAAACTCAGAACTTCAGATTGACTCTGTGAATGTAGGGTGATGCCTCATGTTACTTTGCTGAAATCAAATTGCCCCTCACTCATCACCGTTGGGGCAAGTTCTTTGTAGCATGTATGTGCTATTGTATGCTATGCAGTGACTCCATTCTCTTACCACTTTACCGCTATCTGAACTGGTGTGAAGCCTTCATTCATTAGGATATGTTCTCCTTGGTAGTAATGTTTGGCTTTCACTTATGAAGTCCGCCTCTATTTTTTCTCATTAGTCTTCAACAATTAAAGTTGGTTAATTGGCACCAGCGCAGTAGGAGACAAATGGGAGCTCTGAAATCCTGCCACTTGGTCATAAGGTTAATATTCGGATGACCCATAACTTTAAAAAAAAAAAAAAACAGCTATGATCGAAATGAAAACTAAATTAAAAATTTCAAGAATTCACAGATACCCAAAAATACATTCATAGATCTCTGTTAGAGACTTACTGTGTTACATTTTTGGTGTAATGCTTGTTAGGACCTGGAGCTCACCTCCCCAGTCCTAATCTGTCCTGAGCCTCCATGTTGGTTGCTGGTTGGCAGATTTCTTTCTCTTCCTGTTGAGCAGCCTCCTAGAGGTTGCTGTTGCAGGGAGGTGGATGTTCATGTGCACTGTGGTGAACCCAGCGTTCATTTCTTCTTGCTGTGCTTTCCCCAGGCCTTGCTTGTCATTGCCCAGCACAAGTGGCCTATTGTCTGTAGGAACACATTGGAGATGTGTGCAGGCCCCAGACAGACCCTTTGTGCCCTTTGATAAAAAGGCTTTGTTGTTATTCCAGTAATTGTGTGTTCCAGCCAGTGTGTGAAAGGGGACCTCCAGAGTGGAAACTCCAGACTCCTTAGCAGTCTCAGCATAGGAGTCTAGAAGTGCTCCTTCACAACTTTTCCCACTTGCCTCTCACTCCCTCTCATTCCTTTTTGTGTACCCCAAAATGGCGAGGTGTTCCACCAAACATTATGGGTATCTTGGTGCAGTTTGAAAGGGGGATAGATACCATAAAGAAAGTGGAAACACCATAAACTGGGAAAAGACATTTGAATTCAGGTAACCAACAAAGGATTTGTTGTATTCAGAATTTATCAATAATTCTTACAGGCCAGGCACGGTGGCTCATGCCTGTAATTCCAACACTTTGGGAGGCTGAGGCAGGCAGATCTCTTGAGGTCAGGAGTTTGAGAACAGCCTGGCCATCATGGCAAAACCCAGTCTCATTTTGTACTAAAAAATACAAAAATTAGCCAGGCATGGTGGTGCACACCTGTAGTCCCAGCTACTTGGGAGGCTAAGGCATGAGAATTGCTTGAACCCGGGAGGCAGAGGTTGCAGTGAGCCAAGATTATGTCACTGCACTCCAGCCTGGGCAACAGAGCAAGACTCCCTCTCAAAAAAAAAAAAAAAAACAGAATTCTTACAAATCAGCATGAAAAAGAGAAATAGCCCAGTAGACAAATGGGCAATGTTATGAACAAGCATTTCACAGACAAGAAAGAAATGGTCCATAAACATAAAAGAGAAGATGTTTAACTTGATTGGCAATCAAGGAAATGCAAATCAATACCATAGTGAGGGAGAGAGTGGGCAAATGTTGGTGAGTGTGTGTATCAGTGGAAACACTTGTATACTACTGATAAATGTTTATCAGCAGAATATCCTCTTTTTTTTTGTTTTGTAGTTGAACAGGCACATATCTTGTGCCCCAGCACCTAGGGAAGCTTTACCCTGAGGGCTGAGGCATCAGTATTTTGCCATGGGTTACCTATAACCTGTGCCTGGACACACTTGTGGGGAAGCTCAGTCCTAGAACAGTGATTCTTAGGATTGAAACCCAGAAGGTTGTAAAGTCAGTCCATCGGGTCTACCAGCCAAGTAGAAAAGATCAAACTGTATTGTGTAAGGGTATTTTTTGAATAAGTTTTTGTTTGACATTTCTATATACATTCCAATATGTATGTTTACTGGTGGTCGTTCTTGGTGATAGCTAAAAAGTTTAGAAGCCACTGCCCCAGCAAAAACTTCTCCACCTGTGCATCAAGAAACACATAAGAACATTTGTAGCTTCGTTGTTTCAGAACAAAAAACTGAAACCAAGTCTCTGATCCATGAATAGGAGAAGGGATGAATGTACTTTCTTCACACAATGGAATATTATATAGTAGAAATGAATGAACTGTTGCCATAGGCAACAACATAGCTGAGTAATTGAAATAATCGAGTGGTAGAAGCCAGTTGCAGAACACTGTAGGTAGTATATCATTTTCATAAAGCTCAAAAAAGCAAATTATTTGTTGATAAAACTAGTTTTTAAATGGCAAGGCAATAATAATTAATGATGGTGGTTCCCAGAGGCAGAGAGATGCAATAGGAAAGGCACACACAGCTAGTCATTTTGTTGTGCTGCATAATACGTATTGTACATATCAAAAATTAAAACATAAGAAGTAAATTCTTGGCCAGCCACAGTGGCTCTCATGCCTGTAATCCCAGCACTTTGTGAGGCCGAGGTGGGCAGATCACTTGAGGTCAGGAGACCAGCCTGGCCAACAGGGTGAAACCCTGTCTCTACTAAAAATATAAAAATTAGCCCAGCATGGTGGTGCATGCCTGTAGTCCCAGCTACTTGGGAGGCTGGGACAGAAAAATTGCTTGAACCCAGGAGGCAGAGGTTGCAGTGAGCAGAGATTGTGCCATTGCGCTCTGGCCTGGGCATCACAGTGAGACTCCGCCTTAAAAAAAAAAATCTTAAAATTTAAGACAAAACAAAAAACCATAAGAAGTGGGCTGGGGGTGGTGGGACCTGTTTTGGGAACCATATACTGAGTTAGACAGGGCTAGAGGAACTGGTGAGCTACAAGTTACAGTTGCCAATAATAGTAGTAGCTTACATTTGTTTTGTACTAGGGAAAAGGAAAAGTGGAAGCAGTTGTTCCCCAATGCCCCCTGCACAGCAAATTCCTGTCCTCCATTACTAGAAATAGAGGCGAGTATGGGATTCATGAGAGCTTCTAGGAATCATGCACTCGTTTTGGGCACATTCACTGATACCCTTGCTACCAGGTCCTGTGCATTGAGTCTCAGGAGAAAGGGTAGGATATATGCCTTCATCAAAGTATGGTCAGATTATTTGGGAAATAGATGCAGGAACAGATTATTAAAAGTTCATGTGATCTGTGCAGTGAAAGAGAAACACCCAATCCAGTGGAAGTAAATTAGTGGGATGAAGGATAGCAGGTGTTATCTGAGTAGCACGGGGATGGTTCAAAATGAGAAAAGTTGATGTAGTACATGCCATTTACAGATTTTAAGGAGTAATGAGTGAGAATAGAACCAAATAGCACAAGGCATTCCATAAAATTATCATTCTTAATAAAAGCTAGCAATAGAAGGAAAACTTATAAACTATATATAGGGTATTTATTAAAATTTAACTTATAGGATATTAAAATTTACAGCAAATATTGAACTTAATTTTAATGTTTTGGAATTATTTCTGGTAAAGTCAAGAAAAAGACAAGAATTCTTGCTCTCACTCTGGATAAATGGTCACATACATGTGTACACAGAGAGTACCTGTAAGAATGTTCATTGCAACATTGTTTAATAGTGAAAAACTGTAGTTTACCTAAATATGTATTAAAAGAAGAAAGGGTCAGGCACAGTGGCTCATACATGTAATCCCAGCAGTTTAGGAGGCCAAGGTGGGAGGATTGCTTGAGTCCAGGAGTTCCAGCCTGGGCAACAATAGTGAGACCCTGTCTCCATAAAAATAAAGTATTGGCCAGGCGTGGTAGCTCACGCTTGTAATCCCAGCACTTTGGGAGGCCAAGGTGGATGGATCATCTGAGGTCAGGAGTTCAAGACCAGCCTGGCCAACATGGTGAAACCCCATCTCTACTAAAAAATACAAAAATTAGCCAGGCGTGGTGGCGGGCGCCTGTAATCCCCACTACTTGGGAGGCTGAGGCAGGAGAATCACTTGAACCCAGGAGGTGGAGTTTGCAGTGAGTCAAGATTGCGCCACTGCACTCCAGCCTGGGCGACAATGAGATACCATCTCAAAAAAAAAAATATTAAAAAAGTAGCCAGGTGTAATGACACGCACCTGTAGTCCTAGCTACTTGGGAAGCTGAGGTAGGAGGATTGCTTGGGCCTAGGAGTTTGAGTCTGCAGTAAGCTATGATGACACTACTGCTCCGCAGCTTGAGCAACAGAGTGAGACCCTGTCTCTTAAAAGAGAGAGATGATTAAACTGTGGGGTAAAACGGCGGGAAGTGATTGAATCAGCTGCTTGTATCAGTGTAGATAAACTTCAAAATGTTGGATGAAAAGTAAGGTATAGTATGGTATCATTCACACTGTGCATGCAGAGCAGTAACATGTATTTTAATGGAAATATTTGTAAGTATAAAAACATGCACGGGAATAATAAACACAGAGTTCAAAATAATGTTTACGTCTGCAGGGAGAGAAAAAAATGCGACTGGATGGGGGATACACAGAGGCCTTTAGCTATATTTGAAGTATTTTATTTTTTAAAAAAGCAAATCTGTAGCAAGAATGGTAATTTATGATTTCCAAAACTTGAGTGGTAGGCATTTCCTTTTTTTTTAAATAGGCAAAATATACCACAAGAACAATTGAAAACAGTGGTGCTCAAAAGGTAAATTTAGTCCTCAGACTAATCCTGTGAGGTAGATTAGTTCCGTTTTACAGATAAACAAGCAAAGACTCGAAAGGTTTTTGTAACTTAACCAAAGTTTCAGAGCTGCAAGTTACAGAGCTGGGATAGGAACCTAAGTGATCTAGCCACTAAGCCCCGTATGTAAGGGGATGCGAAAGAGAGGCACATCCAATCTCTTGAGTGAATTGAGCATGGGGATTGTTTCATTTTTGTCTTCTGTAGGAAATGATCCGACTAGATGAAGTCCCCAATCTGAGTTCCTTAGTATCCAATTTCGATCAGCAGCAGCTCGCTAATTTCTGCCGGATTCTGGCTGTCACCATTTCAGAGATGGATACAGGGAATGATGACAAGCACACGCTTCTTGCCAAAAATGCTCAACAGAAGAAGAGCTTGAGTTTGGGGCCTTCTGCAGCTGAAATCAATCAAGGTAAAGTCTCCAAGTTCTCAGAATTTTGAGATTATAGCTCTGAGGCCCTTACTAAATCATCTAGTTTTTTTTCTTTTTCTTTTCTTTTCTTTTTTTTTTTTTTTCCTTTTTTGAGATGGGATCGTCACTATGTCACCCAGGCAGGAGTGCAGTGGCACAATCGTGGCTCACTGCAGCCTTGACCTCCCCAGGCTCAGGTGATCCTCCCACCTCAGCCACCTGAGTAGCTGGAACTATAGGCAGGTGCCACCACACCGGGCTAATTTTTGTATTTTTTGTAGAGATGGGGTTTCGCCATGTTGCCCAGGCTGGTCTTGACTTCCTGGTCTCAAGTGATCCACCCACCTCATCTTCCCGAAGTGCTAGAATTACAGGTGTGAGCCACCACACCTAGCACCCCTTTTAAATATCTCTAGAGATGGATCCATGTGAAGGCTCCTAGTATGTAAATTTTGTGTATCTGTTCATTATTTTGGGAACTGAGTTCCATACCTTTCATTAGATTTGTTAATGGGCTCAGAACCACAAAAAAAGTTAAGAACTACTTTTTATCAGAATTACAAATGCATATACTTTTTGATCTACTAAGTCTCTCCTGGGCCTTCATTTTATAGATAATGATGTATAGACACTAATCTCCTCTTGTCTGCAGTTTCACTTTCTGTGGTTTCAGTTATCCGTGGTCAACTGCAATCCGAAAATATTAACTGAAAAATTCCAGAGAGAGACCACATTCGTATAACTCTTATTACAGCATCTTGTTACAATTGTTCTATTTTATCATTAGTTATTGTTAATCTCTTAGTGTACCTAATTTATAAATTAAGCTTTATCATAGTTATGTGTGTATATAAGAAAAAACATAGTATATATAGGGTTTGGTGCTATCTGCCATTTCAGGTATCCACTGTGAGGGTCTTGACTAAGGGAGGACTACTGTACAAGATTATTCACTGAGGCCAGGCACGGTGGCTTAACGCCTGTAATCCCAGCACTTTGGGAGGCCGAGGCAGGAGGATCACTTGAGGTTCAGAGTTTGAGACCAGCCTGGCCAACATGGCGAAACCCCATCTCTACTAAAAATACAAAAATTAGCTGGGTGTGGTGGTGCACGCCTGTAGTCCCAGTTACTCAGAAGGCTGAGGCAGGATAATTGCTTGAACCCAGGAGGCAGAGGTTGCTGTGAGCCCAGATTGCACCACTGCACTTCAGCCTGGGCGACATAATTAGACTCCGTCTCAAAAAAAAAAAAAAAAATTATTCATTGCAACATTATTTGTAATAACAAAAGACTAGAAACCCAGATGTTCATTAACACTGGACTGCTTAGTGTATTCAATATTTATATAATGGAAAATTGTGTAGCTTTGAAAAAATGAAGATCTCTATGTACTGCTATAGAAAAATCTCCAAGATATATTAATGATAAAGAGGAAAATACAGAACAGTGTGTATATGGTATAGTTTTTGTATTAAGTCAGGGGGAGAATAAGACCATACGTTTGCCCACATATATGGTATGCCTAAAGAAACAAAGGGTACACAAGAAACATAAAGTGGTTATTAATAGGAAGTAGCTGGTAAGGGAAGGTAGTAGCAGTGGGAGTGGGACTCCTTACTGTATACTTTCATATATTGTTTGATTTTAGAACCGTGTAAATATATTACTTAAAAACAAAACACTATTCTAACCAATCTAGCCCACCTATTTCTGTTCAGTAGCAAAAGAACTGTGTTCTATCTAAAATGTTGTTGCCTGCACAGATTTTGGAGAAACTGGCATAGATGTATTTTGGTCATAAGAGTGTAGATAATTCATATTTGAACTGAAACTTGTGTCTTAAAAGCTAGTTTTTCAATGTTAACAGGCTGGAAATATTGTTAATACAAAAACCTATCACTGTGTACCTTATGGTACACCAAATAAACAAGGTAAAATTATACAAATGTATCATTAAAAAGCAGCAGTAGAAAACCATGACCATGCAGAGGTAGCCCTAATCATGCTCTGAAAACAGTTCTTTGTTTCTAAAGTCCAGTTGTGTGCATTCCCCAGGCTGGCTCTGCAGAGTTATCAAGTGCTTCAGAGCAGCCTCCTCTCCTGAGGCTGAATATGAACCTGCCATTCACTCTGTTATTGTCTAGTTTTAGTTAGGAACATGAGGTGATCATAACTATACTTTGTAGGTTATTAGGGAATATAATTTTACATGTTGTAGTCATATGTAAAGGTAGAAGTTTGTGGACTCCAACCCCAGTTTATTCTCTCTCTAGATTTGCTTTTCCTCCTGTGTCACTAGATACAAGGTCTTCCTTGGTCTGTGTACGGTTTTCTTCCCACTCCTTTATGATTTTGGGGGAGTTCTCATTTTAGGAAATTTACATTTTTAAAAAATATGTGACTTTCCAACATGGCACATATATACATATGTAACAAACCTGCACGTTGTGCACATGTACCCTAGAACTTAAAGTATAATTTTAAAAAAAGTGACTTTCATTATAACTAAATTATACCTCAGAGCTGGTGTACACACCTCCATATACATTGACAAAAGGTAGTATTTGCTAAGCTCCTGGTATGTGGCAAACGCTGGGTAACTGCTTTACCTAGAAGTGATTTTATTTAATCCTTCAAGTGCCCTGTGGAATAGAGATTAGTATCCCCATTGCACATGTGAGGAAACTGAGGGCTAGAAAGGTTCTGTATTGGATGCCTGTGTATGCCGAGGCACTAAGTAACTTTCATCTTTTAGTTTCCCATTTAAGGAATCTATTCTGGCAGATGATTTTGATCCTGTTAGTATTGATTGCTTTCAGATGCCTATTTGTAAACTGACTTAAGTAAAACCAGCATTACCCATTATTCTTGAGGAATGAACTGTTCTGGTCAGCTGGGCTTTTTTGATTAACTGAGAACGGAAAGCCCAGTTTTTGTTTTTGTTTTTTTATTTGGGAGTTTTTTCTTAAAGTCTCTATAAAATAATCTAGATTCACTTTCATATCTGTGTGACTAGCCTAGTAGACAGTCTATGTGTGATTCTGCTTGTAGCTTTTGGGATAAAGCCTAAAAGTTGTAGTTCCACACATGAGGTTGTGCAGGATCTGACCCTTCCCAACCCTGACCATAATTCCTACTCCATTCCCTTACCCGCACGATTTTCTCCATTCAAATGCCCTGGGAAGGCCAAGCTGGTGGACATAATTAAATCACGAGTGGATGAGGAAAGTCTTAGTCCTCTGAATGTTATCATTCTTGAATTGCGCTCCAGTAGTGAATGCCTTTATCTCAGGTGTGTGTATCAGTCAGCTTGAGCTGCCATAACAAGGTACCGTAGACTAGGTGGCTTAACTAACAGACATTTATTTTTCTCACAGTTCTGGAGGCTAGAAGTCCAAGATCAAGGTGCTGTCAGGATTGGTTCCTGGTTGAGGCCTTTCTTCCTGGCTTGTAGAAGGCCACCTTTTTATTGTATCCACATATGAATTTTCCTCTCTGTCATTGAGGAGAGACGGAGATCTCTGGTGTCTCTTCCTCTTCTTAGAAGGACACCAGTCCTCTCGGTTTAGGGCCCCACACTTTGTAACCTCATTTAACCTTAATTACTTCCCTGTATTAGGCAGCAGTCTCCAGAGAGACAGAAGCAGTAGGATTTATGAGGTGGGATTTGTTAGGGGAATTGGCTCACACGATCACAGGCGGAGGAGTCCCATGATAAGCCATCTGCGACAAAAATTAGCTGGGCATGGTGACACGCCTGTAATCCCAACAACCTGGGAGGCTGAAGCAGGAGAATTGCTTGAACCCAGGAGGCAGAGGTTGCAGTGAGCTGAGATTGTGCCATTGCACTCCAGCCTGGGCAACGAGTGAAACTCCGTCTCCAAAAATAAATAAATAAAATAAAAGATAAGCCGTCTGCAAGCTGGAGAACCTGAGAAGCCATTAGCATGGCTCAGTCCAAGTCCGGAAAACTTAGAACCAGGAAAGCTAATGGTGTAGCTCCCCGGCTGGAGGACCCCAGAAACTGCTGGTGCAAGTCTCAGAGACCAAAAGCCAAAGATCCTGGAGTCTGATATCCAAGAGCAGTAGGAGAAAAACTTCCCACTCCAGAAGGGGGAGAATCCCTTTTTGTTTTCCTCCATCGCCTCCCACTGCTCCCCCACCAATTGGATGGTGCCTGCCCACATTGAGGGCAGATTTTCCCTTAGTTCACACACTCATACACCAATCTCTTCTGGAATCACCTTCACAGACACACCCAGAAACAGTGCTGTGCCAGCCATGTAGGCATCCCATAGTCCAGTCAAGTTGACAGCTAAAATTAACCATCACACCACCGCATTCCCTAAAGGGCCTGTTTCAAAACGCAGTCATATTTAGGGCTAGAGCTTCAACGTATGAATTTGTGGGGGCGCGGGGGGTGGGGACACAGTCCATAACTGTATGGAAAGCTGAAATATGTAGGATGTTGCCAAAAAGTTTTCGTTTCGTTTTTAATAAACTGTGGCTGTGAGGTCATTTTCTTGTCTAGCAAAAATAATGATTTACACTATCTTCCTGGGGCTCAGATAATTTACATGTAATTATCTAATGTAAATTATCTGAGCCCCAGGAAGATAGCGTAAGTCATTATTTTTTGAGATTCATTTTAAAATAAATAATTATTTTTTGAGTCCTTTTTGAGATTCTCAGAACTACCAGTTGTTCTTCTGTCGATTTAGAAGAGAACAGCTGGTTTCCTTCTGGGGGAAAGTAACGTCTTTCAAGATTCTTAGCAGAGATGTAAATGAAGCTATAGGCTAGATAATTGTCAATTTATAAGTGACACTTAGCTGAGAGGGGCTGAATTATGCAGCACATGAAGCTGGAAAGCAGGAGGGGAAACTACAGGAGTATGGGGGGAATACTGATGTTTCAACAGTGAGAAGAGAGAAGAGGCCTGCTTCTGCAGAAATTCTCAGGGGTTGTGAGTGATTTAGTTGTCAGTTTAACATTAACCAGCCAGGTGTGGTAGCTACTGATAAAGCTGTGAGAATTACAAGGACTGGATATGCTGGGATGTCAGCCCATGAGATTGTGTATGAGTTGCTAGGTATGATTGGTCCAGTGAATTTTTTTCTGGGGAGAAGGTCTTAGCTTTTATTAGCTTTTCAAGAGGTGAGTGACTCACAACAGCTCAAGAATCTCAGGTGGGAAGTCAGACTTAGAACCCTGAGTACCGGGCACTTCCCATCTGGAGGAGTGTGTTGAGTGTGCAGGAATGGGGAAGACTAGCTCCTACATGCTGTCCTGAGAGGAGCAGGTCAAGCAGCAGGAGCTATTTTTGCTGAGAACAGAAGTATAAGAGTAAAAATCCAGCTATGTGAAGATTTTCATGTAGAATACAAATTCTTTTTATTTCTTTTTTGTTTTTTTTGCTTTGTTTTATTTTGAGACACAGTCTGGCTATGTTGCCCAGGCTGGAGTGTAGTGGCACAATCTTGGCTTACTGCAACCACCACTTTCTGGTTCAAGCGATTCTCGTGCCTCAGTCTGCGAAGTAGCTGGGACTACAGGCATGCGCCACCAGGCCCGACTAATTTTTTTGTATTTTTAGTAGACATCGGTTTTGCCATATTGGCCAGGCTGGTCTTGAACTCCCAAACTCAGGTGATCCACCCACCTCGGCCTCCCAAAGTGCTGGGATTACAGGCATGGGCCACCATGCCCCGCCTACTGATTTGTTTTTAGAAAAAATAATACACACCTAAAATTTTTTTTAAATGATACAAAAAGTACAGCAGAGAGTTTGTTCCCCTCCCTGTGGTAACTTTTTACCAGTTTCTTAAACGTCCTTCGAAAAATATTCTATACATGCCCAATCATGGGACGGGGGAAGGAGGGAGGGACAGAGAGAGATTGACTCCTGTTTGTACAGATGGTAATGTAAATAGGTAATATAAAATAAGTGCTGCTCTCTTTTTATTAAACTTATCTTGCCAAAAATTACACTCTAGTATATATAGAATTATATGATTCCTTTTTGTAATTATATAATATTCTATTATACAGGCATACTGTAATTTAATTAGTCCCCCATTAATGGAAATTGGTAAGTGTTGACAAATTAACCCTCCAAAGAAATTACTTGTTCATCTTCCCCACCGTGTTGTCTGTAGCCTTTCCCAGTACAGAGCATTATCAAACTTTTTTATATTTGCCAAGCTGATATGTTAAAAAAAAAAATGGTGTCTCAAACAAAAATCTATTTCTGTGTAATTATTTTATGGAGATGGAAGTCACGTAACATAAAATTAGCCGTCTTAAAGTGAACAACTCAGCGGCATTTAGTACATTTACAGTGTTGTGCAGCTACCACCTCTATCTAGTTGCACGTTTTCATCACCCCAAAAGGAAACGCCGTACACATTAAGCAGCTTCTTCCCATTACCCCTTCTCCCCAACTGCTGGCAACCACCATTCTGCTTTTTTCTCTGTGGATTTACCTATTCAGATTACTTCATATACAGTCATGTTGTCACTTAGCAGTCTCTATCCTTCTGAGAAATGCAGTGAGGTGATTTTGTCATTGTGTGAATGTCATAGAGTGTACTTGCACAAACCTAGCTGGTATAGCCCATGATACACTTAGGCTGCAAACCTGTACAGCATGTTTCTGTACTAAATACAGTAGGCAGTTGTACCATAATGGTAAGTATTTGTGTATCTAAACATAGAAAAAAGGTATAGTAAAAATACAGTATTATAATCTGATGGCACCACCGTCTTCTGTGTGGTCGTTGTTGACCGCAACAGCGTTAATGCAGTGCATAACTGTAAATGGAATCATATAGCATGTGGCCTTCTGAATCTGGTTTCTTTCACTTGGCATAATGTTTTTGTGGTTCATTAATGTTGTAGCATGTCAGTACTTCATTCCTTTATATGGCTGAATAATACTCATCATGTAGATACCACAGTTTGTTTATCCCTTCAGTTAATGGACATTTGGGATATTTTCATCTTTTGGCTGTTGGGAATAGTGCTGCTATGAACATGTGTGTACACATATTTGTGTGTGCACCTGTTTTCAATTCTTTTGGGTATATATGTAGGAGTGAAATTGCTGGGTCATATGGTAATTTTATGTTTGACTTTTTTTTTTTTTTTTTTTTTTTGAGACAGAGTCTCGCTCTTTCGCCCAGGCCGGAGTGCAGTGGCGCGATCTCCGCTCACTGCAAGCTCTGCCTCCTGGGTTCACGCCATTCTCCTGCCTTAGCCTCCCAAGTAGCTGGGACTACAGGCGCCTGCCACCGCGCCCAGCTAATTTTTTGTACTTCTTAGTAGAGATGGGGTTTCACCGTGTTAGCCAGGATGGTCTCGATCTCCTGACCTTGTGATCCACCCGCCTCGGCCTCCCAAAGTGCTGGGATTACAGGCGTGAGCCACCGTGCCTGGCCAACTTTTTGAGGAACCTCAATGTAGTTTTATTTTATAACTAAGGTCAAACATCATCTTATAGCCACTCACTAATTATGGGAGGGGTGTGTGTGTGTGTGTGTGTTTGTGTGCGCACGCGTTGAGACAGAGTATCACTCTTGCCCAGGCTGGAGTACAGTGGTGCAGTCTCAGCTCACTGCAACCTCTGCATCCCAGGTTCAAGCAATTCTCATGCCTCAGCCTCCTGAGTAGCTGGGACTACAGGCGCACGATACCACGCCTGGCTAATTTTTGTATTATTGGTAGAGATGGAGTTCGCCATGTTGACCAGGCTGGTCTTAAACTCCTAGCTTCAAGTGATCCACCCACCTTGGCCTCCCAAAGTGCTAGGATTACAGGCATGAGCCACCGTGCCTGGCCAGCTTGTCTTACTTTATCTCTACTCCCATTCACTATACCCTACTTCACCTTGGGTTATTTTGAAGTAAACCCCAGACATCGTATAATTTCACCTGCATATATTTCAGTGTTTCTACATGATAACGACTTTTAAGAAACGTAACTGCCACTGTATCAAAAATTAATAGTAATCCCTTGATATCCTGAAATATCTAGTTATTTATTAATTTTTAATTAGGTGTAACATTCACATGGTTCCAAAAAATCTGCGGATTCAAAAAGGTATTTATTGAAAAGTTTCAGTTCCACTGTTACTCTCAGTGACCTAAATCCCCTTTTCCACTTGACGGACATTTTGGCTGTTTCCATCTTATGGCTGTTTACTGTGGCAGCCACTGCTCTTGGCTTCTTTTCTGTCCTTCCAGGGAGACTTAATGCATATACAGGCAAACATGATCAGGCATTAGTCTCATTTTAAAGAAGGTTAAATGATGGAGTCAGGATTTGAATCTGGATCTCCCTGCCTCCAAAGTTTATGATGTTCTAATATGCCGATCAGAATTTCCACCTCACTCATTGTGAATAAAATGAGATTGGTGGAAAGAAAAATTGGGTGATTATTCAGTTTTTTTCTTTACCTTAAAAAAATGTTTATCTTTCATCCTGCTAGTAAATGTTACAGGAAAATTAGAAACTATAGATGAGTAATTTTAAGAGAATTGTTTGTATTCTCTCCTGCTTAGGAACAGCCACAGTAAATTCCTTGGTATATATGCTTTCATTCCTTGTGTATTTTGAAGAAGCAAATATTTAAATTTTTGAAGAAAATTAAATTCATATTGTTTAATAATTTACTCTCTAACAAGTAAACAGCTGTTTTGAGTCACTATATAAAGATGTATGTGTCATCATTCTTAGTGTCTATGCAGTATTCCATTGTATAAATGTGTCATTGTATTTAATTAATCAGCTGTTGATGAACATTTAGTTACCTTCACCTTTTTGCTGTTACAGAAACCACATCAGTGAACCTCCTTATACAGATATTCTCGTGTAATATGACTGGTTATTTCGTTATGGTAAATTCCCAGAAATTGACCTCTTGGCTCAAAGACACACACATTTAAGGCATAAAGATTATTCTAATTTATATTCCCAGTAGATAAAAAGCCTGTTTCCCTGTACCTGCTAAAAACTGAGCTTATGCCTGTAACATAATTACTATTTACCTTGGTTTGACATTCATTTTAAAAGAGTAGCTTTAGCTACTATCAGAGTAAGAATTATTCCTATCATGCAGATTGTTTGTTAGGGCTTTAGGGGTAGTTTTGCTGGTCTCTATTTTGAAAATTTCCTCGCTTGTTCTTTCCCTGGCAGCGGCCCTTCTCAGCATTCCTGGCTTTGTTGAGCGGCTTTGCAAACTGGCGACTCGAAAGGTGTCAGAGTCAACGGGCACAGCCAGCTTCCTTCAGGAGTTGGAAGAGTGGTACACATGGCTAGACAATGCTTTGGTGCTAGATGCCCTGATGCGAGTGGCCAATGAGGAGTCAGAGCACAATCAAGGTATGGAAGGATGGGTCCCCTGAGTGATCGGGAGCTTTTCCTTGGGCGCCTGGGACCATTCTTGCTCTTCTTTCCAAGAAGGATTAATTTGAGATTTGCTCAGAGTAGAATTGTCCTCAAGGCAATTCTAGACCATGACTATTAAGACTCTTTTGACAGCTTGTTACAGAAACTTCATTGAACTCCCCAAAGTGGACCTGATTTCAGGGAGAAGGGCTTTGTTGCAGACCTGAGACAGCTGTGTCTCAGGGACTAACAAGAACCAGTAACCAGAGCATTCTTAGGAACCTAGAAACTTCTCTCCTCGTCTCTTTTTCTTTCTACAGTGTTTCTTAGTCTTCTCTCTCACTGTACCCTACCTTTTCCTGGTCCCCTTGATGGGACTAGGCAGAAGACTGCCTATTAAATAAGAAGACTCCCAGTCTCAGCTCCAGCTTCCTGGTAAAGAACTCTGGCCCATCTTTGGTTAGGTGCCCAGCCTTAAAGCATTTGACTCTGGCCAGCAGGTTCAGAATATACAAACCCAGGAATTCTCAGCTCCCAAACAAGGAATAGGTTTCTCATTGGGAGTGGGGGGCCATCAGCTTTTCTTCTTCCCTCCAGCTCCAAATTGAAGAGACTAAGTTCTCGGTGAGTATGGCAAAGAGGTCAGAGGCTTCCTTCCTCCACCCAGCTCCATACTGTACTCACGGTGTGGAAGCTCTATCCCACATACTTGAGGCCAAGAATTCTATGGCTCTGATCACCTTTGCCCTAGCTTGCTCATGTACAGAGGTTTTACACTGGGAGAGGCAAGCCCGGAAGACTAGAGGCTACTGACCCTGCTCTGAGAATTTGCCCACAGAGAGAGGCAGTTAATAAGAACAGAGTCCAGGGAAGTTCATGCCTGAGGAGATTTTGATGGTAAGCAAATAAAAAGAGGTACCTCTTCTTTTTTTTTACTCTTTTTTTTTTTTTTTTTTTTTTTTTTTGAGACGGAGTCTCGCTCTGTCGCCCAGGTCGGACTGCGGACTGCAGTGGCGCAATCTCGGCTCACTGCAAGCTCCGCTTCCCGGGTTCACGCCATTCTCCTGCCTCAGCCTCCCGAGTAGCTGGGACTACAGGCGCCCGCCACCGCGCCCGGCTAATTTTTTGTATTTTTAGTAGAGACGGGGTTTCACCTTGTTAGCCAGGATGGTCTCGATCTCCTGACCTCATGATCCACCCGCCTCGGCCTCCCAAAGTGCTGGGATTACAGGCGTGAGCCACCGCGCCCGGCCTTTACTCTTTTATTTTTTATATTTTCTCTTTTTTGAATAGAGACGGGTTTTGCCATGTTGGTCAGGCTGGTCTCAAACTCCTGGCCTCAAGTGATCCACCCTCCTTGGCCTCCCAGAGTGCCAGGTTTATAGGCATGAGCCACTGTGCCTGGCCAGGTACCCTCTTCTTAATTAAGAACAGGGTGATCTACAGGCCAGCTAGTTCACCAGAGAACCAGGGAAGGAGACAGCTGAGAAGAACTCTCCCAAGGTCAGAACAAAGCTCAATTTCAAAAATTACCCCTTCCTGAATTTAATTGAATTAGACTTTGGAGCAGTGTATACTCCAGGGCATTATCAAAAACAGTCGAGAATTCAGTCAGCAGTTAGTAGAGCCTAACAGCTGGATGTGATACCAGAAGAGGTAGAAAGCTTAACAGAGAGATCATGGAAAGAGCTAGTCAAAGACAGCCTGGCTCAATGTCATCCCAGGGAGACTCTGTACATGCCCAAGGTTGCACTCTCTGAGGCACAACATGAAAATCTTCACCAGTCTTTGGGGAAGGAGACTTTACGAAAATAGTCTAACCAAGTCACTAAACTAATAAATAAGCAAATAACAACAACAAACCCTGAAGGAGGGGGAATCAGTATCCAGAGTTGCTACAGTATATTACTTAAAATGTCCTTTTTTGAGATGGAGTCTCTTGTCGCCCAGGTTGGAGGGCAGTGGCACAATCTCGGCTCACTGCAACCTCTGTCTCCCATGTTCAAGCAGTTCTCTCTCAGCCTCCCGAGTAGCTGGGGTTACAGGTGCATGCCACCACACCCGGCTAATTTTTTGTATTTTAGTAGAGAAAGGATTTTACCTAGTTGCTGGTATTGAACTCCTGAGCTCAGGCAATCCACCCACCTTGGCCTCCCAAAGTGCTAGGATTACAGGCGTGAGCTACCACACCCAGCCTAAAATGTCCAGTTTTTAACAAAAATTGAGACATACACACAAAAAACAGGAAGTGTAACCTATACACAAGAAAAAGCAGGCAACAGAAATTTCCTGTGAAAGGGTCCAGATACCAGATTTAACAGCAGCCATTAAAAATATGATCAAAGGGCTGGGCGCGTTGGCTCACACCTGTAATCCCAGCACTTTGGGAGGCTGAGGCGGGCGGATCACGAGGTCAGGAGATCGAGACTATCCTGGCTAAGACGGTGAAACCCCGTCTCTACTAAAAATACAAAAAATTAGCTGGGCGTGGTGGCAGGCGCCTGTAGTCCCAGCTACTGGGGAGGCCTGAGGCAGGAGAATGGCGAGAACCTGGGAGGCAGAGGTTGCAGTGAGCCGAGATCCTGCCACTGCATTTCAGCCTGGGCGACAGTGCGAGACTCTGTCTCAAAAAAAAAAAAAAAAAAAAAAGATCAAAGAACTAAAACTATGCTTGAAGAAGTAAAGGACTATTTGATAATGTGTCGTTAAATAGAGAATAACAATAAAAAGATAGGAAGTATTTGAAAAGAGCCCAGTGGAAGTTCTAGAATTGAAGAGTAGTATAATAATCAGGCCAGGTGTGGTGGCTCACACCTGTAATCCCAGCACTTTGGGAGGCTGAGGCGGGCAGAGCATTTGAGGCCAGGAGTTCAAGATTGGCCAGGCCAACATGGCAAAACCCCATCTCTATTAAAAATATAAAGGTTAGATGGCCATGGTGGTGCACACCTGTAATCCCAGCACTTTGGGAGGCTGAGGTGGGCGGAGCACTTGAGGCCAGGAGTTTGACATCAGCCAGGCCAACATGGCGAAACCCCATCTCTATTAAAAATACAAAAGCTAGATGGCCATGGTGGTGCACACCTGGAATCCCAGCTACTTGGATTGCTGAGGCATGAGAATCGATTGAACCCGGGGCAGAGGTTGCAGTGTGCTGAGATGGTGCCACTGCAGTTGCGCCTGGGTGACAAAGTGAGACTTTGTCTCAAAAAAAACTTTTTTTTAAGTAGTATAATAATCAAGATGAAAAAATCACTAGAAAGACTCAGCAGTAGATATGAACTGGCAGAAGAAAGACTCAGCAAAATAGGTTGATAGAGATTAAACATTCTAAAGAACAGAGGGAAGAAAGAATAAAGAAAACAGGGCCTTAAAATAATGTGGGGCACTATTAAGCACACCAAGATATGCATAATGGGAGTACCAGAAGGAGATAAAGTAACAGAAAAATTATCAAAGAAATAATGCTGAAAATCTCCCAAATGTAATGTAAATCATTAATGCACACATTCAAGAAGCCCAAAGAATCCAAGTCGGAATACTCAGATCCACATGCAGACACATGGTAATAAAAACGCTGAGGCCTGGCATGTTGGCGCACACCTGTAATCCCTGCACTTTAGGAAGCCAAGAAGGGTGGATTGCTTGAGCTCAGGAGTTCAAGACCAGCCTGGGGAATGTGGCAAAACCCCATCTCTTTGAAAAAAAAAAAAAAAAAAAAAAAAAGTTAACCAGGGGTAGTAGTGCACACCTGTAATCCCAGCTACTCAGGAGACTGAGATGGGACAATCACCTCAACCCAGGAGGATGAGGCTGTAGTGAGCTGCAATCACAGCCTGGGTGACAGAGCGAGACCCTGCCTCCAAAAAGAAAAAAAAAAAATCCTGAAAGATAAGAAAATCTTGAAAGTAGTAAGAGAAAAATGGCTCATCATGCCCAAGGATATTCCAATAAGATTAGTGGCTGACTGCTCATCAGGAATAATGGAAGGCAGAAGGCAGTAGGGTGACATATTCAGAATGCTGAAAGAAAACAGTCAACCAAGAATCTTGTATTTTACAAAACTATGTTTCAAAGATGAAGTTGAAATAAAAACATTCTTAGAAAAGAAAAACTGAAAGAACTCATTAGTAACAGACAAACATCTGGAAATTAAGCAGCATACCGACTTATGAGAAATACCAAAGGAAGTTCTTCAGGTTGAAAGCAGGTGACTTCAGACAGTAATTTGACTCCACATGAAAAACAAAGAGCACCTTAAGTAAAGGTAATTCTGTAATTGTAAGAGATTGTGTAAATGCATATTTCTTCTCCTTTTCTTCAGTTAAAAAACTTACACAAACCATCTAATTATATTGTTGAACCTATAACATATGGAAACATATTTTGCAATAACTGTACAAAGAAAACGGGTGGTACCAAAGTTGTAATGGAGTATCATGACACCAAATTGCAACTTGAATCCCTAGGAATCGGTGAGGAGAACCAAAATGGTAATAAGAGGGTAAATATAAAAACTCCATAAATGTATACTTGCTCTTCATTCCTTTTCTCAGTTTCTCTAACATAAAATTATTTAAAGTAACAATTAGAACAAGTATTGTTGGGCTTTTAACATACATAGATACAATATGCACAATTACAGCACAAAAAGAATGAAGATGGAATGGAGCTCTAAGTTAGAATAAATCCGAAAATGCTTGCTTCAGCAACACATATTCCAAAATTGGAACAGTACAGAGATTAGCATGGCCCCTGTGCAAGGATGACATGCAAATTCCTGATGCATTCCATATTTATTTCTAATTTTTAAAAAAAATCTGGAAAAGATTAAGATGTATGTGGTAAGCAACTTCTTTTTTTTTTTTTTTTTTTGATATGGAGTTTCGCTCTTGTTACTCAGGCTGAAGTGCAGTGGTACCATCTTGGCTCCCCGCAACCTCCGCCTCCTGGGTTCAAGTGATTCCCCTACCTCAGCCTCTCTAGTAGCTGGGATTACAGGCATGTGCCACCATGCCCAGCTAATTTTGTATTTTTAGTAGAGACGGGGTTTCTCCATGTTAGTCAGGCTGGTCTCGATCTCCTGACCTCAGGTGGTCCACCCACCTTGGCCTCCCAAAGTGCTGGGATTACGGGTATGAGCCACCGCGCCAGCCAGCAACTTCTAAGAAAGTAACTTGGGGCTGGGCGCGGTGGCTCACGCCTGTAATCCCAGCACTTTGGGAGTCTGAGGTGGGCGGATCACGAGGTCAGGAGATCGAGACCACCCTGGCTAACGTGGTGAAACCCCGTCTCTACTAAAAATACAAAAAAATTAGCTGGGCGTGGTGGCGGGCGCCTGTAGTCCCAGCTGCTGGGGAGGCTGAGGCAGGAGAATGGCGTGAACCCAGGAGGCGGAGCTTGCAGTGAACCGAGATCGCGCCACTGCACTCCAGCCTGGGTGACAGAGCGAGACTCTGTCTCAAAAAAAAAAAAAAAAAAAAAAAAAGAAAGTAACTTGGGAAATATAGTAAAGAAATAATTGAAGGAGATATAATGTTATACTAGAAAATATTAATCAAAAGAAACACTAAAGGAGATATAGAGGAACAAAAAAACACACAAGACATACAGAAAACAAAAAGTTAAATGGCAGAAGTCAGTCCAGCCTTATCAATAGTAACATTAAATGTGAATAGATTTAACAATTCATTCAAAAGACAGATTGTTATATTGGATCAGAAAACAAGATCCAGTTATATGCAGCCTATAGAAAACACACTTTCAATTCAGAGATAAAATAGGTTGAAAGTAAAGGACAGAAAAAGATGTATCATGCAGGCAGCATCCACGAGAAAGCTGGAGAGGCTGTACTTTTAAAAAGTTGGAGGGACAGAGTCTCACTCTGTCACCCAGGCTGGAGTGCAGTGGCACGATCAGCTCACTGCAACCTCCACCTCCCGGGTTCAAGCAATTCTGATGCCTCAGCCTCCCAAGTAGTTGGGATTACAGGCGGGGAGCCCACGCCCAGCTCATTTTTGTGTGTGTTTTTAGTAGAGATGGGGTTTCAGCATGTTGGCCAGGTTGGTCTCAGATGGCCTCAGGTGATCTGCCTGCCTTGGCCTCTCAAAGTGCTGGGATTACAGGCATGAGCCACCACCACCCAGCCAAAAAAGCTGGAGAGACTTTAAAACAAAAACTGTTATCAGAGCAAAATAGGGATATTTGATAATAACAGGGTGAAACCATCAAGAAGATACAACAGTTATAAACATGTATGCATCCAAAAACAGCCCCCAAAAAATACATGAAGCAAAAACTAACAGATTGGAAGAGAGCAGTAGTTCAAAAACAACAGCTGGAGACCTTAACATACTACTTTTAATAATGGATAAAACTAAGCAGAAGATCAACAGGGAAACAGAAGACTTAAATAACACTGTATACCAACAAGGACTAACAGAGAACTGTAGAACCCTCCACCCAACTACTACAGAATGCACGTTCTTCTCAAGTGCACATGAACATTCTCCAGGACAGACCATATGCTAGGCTGTTAAAAAAAAGTTCAGCAAATTTAAAAGGATTAAAACTGTACAAAAGTATGTCCTCAAATCCCAGTGGGGTGAGTTAGAAATAAATAACAAACTTGGGAAATTAATAAATACATGCAAATTAAGCAGTATACTTCTAAATAACCAGTGGGTCAAACAGGAGATCACAAACAAAATTAGGAAGTGTCTTGAGGCCGGGCGCGGTGGCTCACACCTGTAGTCCCAGCCCTTTGGGAGGCCGAGGAGGCGGGTCGCTTAAGGTCAGGAGGTCCAGGCAGGAAAATTGCTTGAACCCCCGAGGCAGAGGTTGCAGTGAGCCGAGATCACACTACAGCCTGGGTGACAGAGTGAGATTCCATCAAAAAAAAAAAAGGAAATATTTTGAGACAAATGAAAATGATACTATATATCAAACTTATGGGATGCAGCTAAAGCGTGCTTAGAGGGAACTTTAGAGCTATAAATGCCTACATTTTTAAATAAATCTAAATTGCCTAAACGTCTACCTTAAGTCATTGGAAAAAGAACAAACATCTCAAAAGGAAAAGGAAGTAATAGGATTAGAGTGAAAACTGGTGAGATAGAGAATAGAAAAACAGTAGAGAAAATCTGTAAAACCAAAGGTGATTTTTTTAAAGGTAATCTTTAAAAAGATCAACAAAGTTGACAAACTTTTAGCCACACTGACCAAAAAAGAAAGGCTCAAATTACTAAATTAGAAATGAAAGAAGGTACGTTACAACCAACCTTAAGAAAGTAAGAGGACTCTAAGGGAATACTATAAACAATATAAGCCAATAAACTAAATAACCTAGATGAAATGAGCAAGTTAAAAGACACAAACTATTGCAGCTAACTCAGGAAGAAATAGAAAACCTGAAGTATAACAACGAGATTGAATAAATAATGAAAAACTGCCCACAAAGAAAAGTCCTGGCCCACATGGCTTCACTGGTTAATTCTACCAAATGTTTCAAGAAGAATTCACACCAATACTTTCCAGACTCTAATAGAAAATAAAAGAGGAAGGAACAGTTCCCAACTTACTCTTTGAGGTCATATTATCATGATACCAAAACCAGATAAAGACATCACAAGACCAGTATCTCTTATGATTATAGGTGCAAAAATCTTCAACAAAATACTAGCACACCAAGTATAGCAACATACAAGGATTGTATACCATGACCAAATGGATTTATGCAAGTTTGGTTCAACATTTGAAAATCAGTTTATGTAATACACTGTGTTAATAGAATAAAGGACAAAAACCACATGATCGTTTCCATAGGAGCAAAAAAGCATTTGACAAAATCCAACACCCTTTCATGGTAAAAACAAAAACTCAGGAGAGAACTTCCTCAGCCTGTTAAAGGGCATCTACAAAAACCCATGGCTGACATACCTAATGGCAAAAAATTGAAAGCTTCTACCACTAAGATCAGGAACAAGACGAGTTCCTGATCGTTTCTGGAAGTGGCAGTGCCATTGCCACTTCTCTTCAGCATCGTATTGGAGGTTCTGGCTAGGGCAGTTAGGCAAGAAAAAGAAATTAAAGGCATGCAAATTAGAAAAGTAGTGAAACTGTTCACAGATGGGATGATCTTATATGTAGAAAAATCTAAGGAATCTACTATAAAAACCAGTAAACTAATAAATAGGTTCAACAAAGGTTCAGAATACAAGGCTAATATTAAAAAATGAGTAGTATTTCTATAGAGTAGCAATCAACAAACCAAAAATTAAGAAAACAATTTTATTTATAATAGGATCAAAAAAATAAAATACTTAGGAACTTAAGTGTAAAACTTATACTCTGAGAATTCTAAAACATCATTGAAAGAAATTAAACCCTAAATAAATGTAAAGACATCCCATGTCTTTGAATCAGAAAATTAATATTGTTAAGATAATGATAGTCCCATTCTGATCTATAGATCAGCCTTACAGATTCAACACAATTTCTGTCATAACTCTCAGCTGACTACTTTGCACAAATGGAGTAGCTGATCCTAAAGTTCATGTGGAAATGCAGGAGACTTGGATTAACAAAAACAGTCTTGAACTAGGCCGGGTACAGTGACTCATGCCTGTAATCCCAGCACTTTGGGAGGCTGAGGCAGGAAGATCACTTGGCCTCAGGAGTTTGAGGCCAGCCTGGGTAACATAGTGAGACCCCTGTCTCTATAAAAAATTTAAAAATTAGGCAAGCCTCGTGACACCCACCTATAGTCCCAGCTACTCAAGAGGCTGAGGTGGGAGGGTAGCTTGAGCCCAGGAGTTTGAGGCTGCAGTAACCTGTGATTGTGCCACTGCACTCCAGCCTGGGTGACAGCAAGACTCTGTCTCAAAAAAAAAAAACAACCTAAGACAACTCACATCCTGACTTGAAAACTTAC